>NC_000001.11:26849163-28200698 GCF_000001405.40 Homo sapiens | reverse complement strand
CAATCAGTGTGGCATGAGGCCCACGCCACCCAAACCTTTCACTTTCCAAAGAGCTAGCCGTCCTCCACCCAGTACCATGTCCTAGCCTGTCTGCATTTGTTAGTGGTAATATTCTTTATGTATAATAAATTTTTATACCCAAGCCATTGATGTACTTTTCCTTGTACTCTCCCTTGTGGGTCCCTTGTCTGGCTTGGCTGAACCCCAAAATGCTTTGGGGTTGGACAGACCTGGCTGAACCTTAGTTTCTTCATCTATGAAATGGGAATATGAATTACTGCAGCAGCTTTTAGGGCAGATTTGCCATGGCATATACAAGGTAACTACCATAGTGCTCCTTGGGTATTGCCAATATCCTATTATTTCTGTGTAAAATGAAGATACTGATTGTTTTGAGGATTAAATGAAGTAATATATGAAAGCGTCCAGCTCACAGTCTATGCTTAAATGTCCTGCTTGCTTTCAGGGACAGAATCAGCCCTCAGGAGGGGCCCAAAGTGAGAAGGGGAAAGGTGACACTTGAAATGTGAAGATACAGGAAACTAGGTGACTCAAAACTAGAGTTTTGCTTTTTGCAATGTCTTGTAGATGAGTAAACAGGCACAATGACTACGAAAGGCACCATGTCTTTTAGTATCATGAGAAGTGCAACTTTCATTTCTCTGTGGGAGAGGACAGAGGCTTGGGTGTCTTACTGTCCTTCCAAGTACCACTGAGCACATCCAAACCACATGTGAAGTAGAGCACAGTGATGAGTGGGTGGGTGGGTGGGTGTGCTTCTGGCTAAAACTGGACCAAGGCAGGGGGAGAAAATGTTTAGTTGCCCTGCAAAAGTGATACATGCCGTGAGGTAATGCAGTCCTGACTAGGGGGGCAGTGATTATCTTTTCTAGCCAAGCAAAGCCAAGCAACCCCATTTCAGTCCAGGATGTGGGTGCACACACCGCTTCCTTAGAGGTTAAGTGGTGGTGGTTCAGTTCAGCTATCTGCAAACTTACCTTTGCCCTCAAGGAGGCTGTGCCAGCAATTAGCTATGGGTGTTAGTTCTCACACTGCTATGAAGAACTACCTGAGACTGGGTAATTTATAAAGAAAAGAGGTTTAATTGACTCATGGTTTCACAGGCTTTACAGGAAGCATGGCTGGGGAGGCCTCAGGAAACTTAACAGTTGTGGCAGAAGGTGAAGAGGAAGGAGGCACGTCTTACATGGCCGGAGCAGGAGGAAGAGAGCGCAGGGAGAGGTGCTGTACGCTTTTAAACAACCAGATCTCACTATCTGGATAGTGATAGATAAGAACTCACTATCACAAGAACAGCAAAGGGGGCGGCCCCTATGATCCAAACATATGGATCATATGACCTCTTACCAGGTCCCTCCTCCAACGTGGGGGATTACAATTGGGCATGAGATTTGGGTGGGGACACAAATCCAAATCATATCAGGTGTGTTTATTCATTGAACAAATATGCTGGTTTAGAAATACAGTGGTGAACACTGCAGGACCCCTGTTGCCTGCCTCACAGCTGGGGCACACGGGCAAGAAGACTGTCCACTGCTCCGAGAAGGGGGCCCTTGATCTCATTTTTAGCAGCCAGGGAATGTTTCCTGAAGAAAGTGGCCCTTTTAAAAACTGGAACCCAGGGGCTGATGCATCAGTTAGGAGTGTTTTGGCTGCAAGGAATAACTGGCAAAAAGAATTAGAGGAATATTTTACTTCCATAAGTGGAGACAGGTGGTTTCAGGTATTGTTCATGGTGGAATCATTCATTCAGTAATACCTCCAGGGAAACAGGCTCTTACTATGCTTCTCCGTCCTCTGTGGAGGGTTTGGCATCTCATAGTTGCAAGAAGTTTCTAGCACCACATCTTATAACAACTACCAAACAGAAATAAGTCATCCAGGGAGCAAAATTTTTCCCAGAAGATGTCACTGGTTAGAAAATGGGTCACAGGGACCCCTCTTGGTAAGTTTGGCTGGGAGAGCTGCGAAGAACAGACAGGCAATATACCAAGCCTTACTCCTTGGGATTGGGCACCTGTTTCCAATAAAATTAAGTTGGTAAAGATGAAAGAATGCCTGCTGGAAAGGCCGGGTGGGGTGGCTCACGCCTGTAATCCCAGCACTTTGGGAGGTCAAGGCAGGCGGATCACAAGGTCAGGAGATCGAGGCCATCCTGGCTAACACGGTGACACCCTGTCTCTACTAAAAATACAAAAAATTAGCCGGACGTGGTAGCAGGCGCCTGTAGTCCCAGCTACTCGGGAGGCTGAGGCAGGAGAATGGCGTGAACTCGGGATGTGGATCTTGCAGTGAGCCGAGATCGCGCCACTGCACTCCATCCTGGGCGACAATGAAACTCCGTCTCAAAAAAAAAAAAAAAGAATGCCTGCTAGAAACAACAGTGTCTGGCACAGAAGGGGTGGGACTTGAGGGAAAGGTGTTTCAGTCAGAGAGAGTGGCATGTGCAAAGGCCCAGAAGGTAAGAGAATAGCCCATTCATGGGACTGAACAACATTTGTTATGCTTAGAGCACAGACGTGAGGTGAGATGAGATCAGGGAGATCGTAATGGCATATTGAGGAATTTGGGTTTCAGTCAGGACATCGTATTTTCCTAGATGGACCAAAGTCTTCCCACTTACTTTCTGGCACATTTTAGTGACAGACCCACTGGGAAGATCAGCAGTGGTCCCAGCCCATTCTCATAACCCTGCTTGGAGCAATCTCTGTGATGACGTGGCTGGGGAGAGGAGTGTATGCTGGGCATTGACTTGAGGCAGTACAGTCAAGACCGGCCTCCAGGGTGGGGCTGTGGCTATGGCAGTGCCATCCTCTCCCACCCCTTCATCCATGAATAGGTTAAGGGGAGCTCTCTGGGTAGGGAAGGCTTGCTGGAGGAGTGCCAGGGCCCAGAAGAAAATGAAAGGCTGGATGAGCCACTTTTCTTGTTTTCTGTAAATAGTGGAGCAGATAGGCTCCCCAGCTGTGGAGCCAACTGCTGGCAAGAGGACCTTTGTGGGCAGAGGTGAGGTGGAAGGAGCCAGCCAGGTATGGGTAGAAACCCGGCATATGGGCCAGTAACATCAACTCTGAGCCTCAGCATCCTGGTATGTAAAGTGGGAACTGCACCTTTAAAATGAAGTGTAGGCTGGGCGTGGTGGTTCATGCCTGTAATCCGAGCACTTTGAGAGGCCGATGCAGGCAGATCACTAGAGGTCAGGAGTTTGAGACCACCCCGGCCAACATAGTGAAACCCCGTCTCTACTAAAAATAAAAAATTAGCTGGGCACGGTGGTGCAGGCATGGTGGTACGTGCCTGTGTCCCAGCTACTTGGGAAGCTGAGGCAGGAGAATCACGAACCCCGGAGGTGGAGGTTGCAGGCAGTGAGCCAAGATCTTGTGCCACTGCACTCCAGCCTGGGTGACAGAGCGAGACTCCGTCTCAAAAAAAAAAAAAAAAAAATTGTAACCACTGAAAGAAAGCATCAGCTGTTGTTGCCTTCGGCATTCCAGTCACCTGAACGCCCGCAACCCTATGGCTGTGGCTTCTCAGCTGCTTCCTGGAGCAGCCACAGCCAGCTTCACTTTCTGGCCCCTCCCGCTTCCCTGGGGCCCCAGTGGAAGTAGGAAGAAATGTGTGGGAGGTTGTGGATGGGTCTGGGCCTGCTGTAAGGGTGGAACTCAAGGAAACAGGATTTGCCCCTCTAGATTTCCTTCTCCCTCTCCCCAACCTCAACCTAGCACATCTGGATCATCTGCCTCTTGCTGGAGGTTATCAGTGCTTCTCACCATTAGAACTGGGGGCTCGGAGCTCGACAAGGGCCCTGTGGAATGAGTGCAAAAGGGCGTGAAGTCACCCACCTCCTTGAGTTTTCTGCTCTACCACTCATTAGCATTGTGTCTCTGGCAAATCATTTCCCCTCTCTGGACTTTAGCTGCCTCCTCTGGTAAAATGAGGGTAAAAACACCGTCTCCATTCCTGTTTTGCAAATTAGTGAGATTCTGTTCATTATAAAACAAATGGAGGCAAACCTTCCAAATGGAGACAATATGCCTGCATTTGGCATCAGACAGACTGGAGTTTGAATCCTGACTCTACTGTGTGTGGTATCCTGAGGACTGAGGAGGTCAGGGAAGCCAGGTGCCCAGCACAGTGGGGTGCACAGTGGCCGTTCCTCTCTGCCCCACTCCTGCTGGTTGTTCCCTGCTTAAATAAAGGGATGAAAGAGCTGAGGATTGAGGACACCTGGGAAGCTTGTTAAAAAGACATTTCTTTTTTTTTTTTTTTTTTTTTGAGACAGGGTCTTTGTTGCCCAGGCTGCAGTGTGGTGGCACGATGATCATGGCTCACTGCTGCCTCAACCTCCCGGGCTCAAACTATCCTGCCTCACTATGTTGCTCAGGCTGGTCTCGAACTCCGGAGCTCAAGTAGTCCTCCCACCTCAACCTCCTACAGTGCTAGGATTATAGGCATAAGCCACCGCACCTGGCCTACAAGGACATTTTCTGATCTCCCTGAAGATTCTGATTCAGGGTGGGGTATGTGTGTGTGTGGTGGGGAGACAGACAGCTGGATCTTTAACAAGCTCCCAACTTAACCCAGCCAGGGATGGAGCCATCAGGCAGGGACAGCCAGTCCTCCAAGAGGTGGGGGGTGGGTAGAGCTTAGGGTTCTGTCAGTGATGCCATTATCCTAACCACATACCTGTGGCTTAGTGGGGCTGCCATTCCTCTGGTGGGAGATAGGCAAGCATAGCTAGAAACAGCCTCTGAAGGATTGAACCCTCCTCTCCTTGGCTTCCTCTGGAGTCCTTCCAAGCCTGTATTGCTCCATGGGCTGCTACCTTGGAATCGCCTGGGTGCTTGTTAAAATTTTACTCTTCCTGGCCCCATCACCAGCACTGCTATATCAGAATCTTTTTTTTTTTTTTTTTTTGAAATGGGGTCTTGCTCTGTCACCCAGGCTGGAGTGCAGTTGCAATCATGGCTCACTGCAGCCTCAATCTCCTGGGCTTGAACGATCCTCCTACCTCAGTCTCCCAAATAGCTGGGACTGCAGGTGCAAACCACCATACTTAGCTAATTTTTTTTTTCTTGGTAGAGATGGGGTCTGGATTTGTTGCCCAGGCTGGTCTCGAACTCCTGGTCTCAAGTGATCCTCTACGGCAGCCTCCCACAGTGATGAGATTACAGACATACACCACTACGCCTGGCCTAAGCCTTTATTTAATTAATTTATTTTATTTTTTATTTTTTTGAGATGGAGTCTCACTCTTGTCAACCAGGCTGGGGTGCAATGGTGCAATCTCAGCTCACTGCAACCTCGACCTCCTGGGTTCAAGCGATTCTCCTGCCTCAGCCTCCCGAGTAGCTGGGATTACAGGCGCCCACCACCATGCCTGGCTAATTTTTGTATTTTTAGTACAGACGGGGTTTCACCATGTTGACCAGGCTGGTCTTGAACTCCTGACCTTGGGTGATCCACTCACCTCAGCCTCCCAAAGTGCTAGGATTACAGGCGTGAGCCACCCCGCCCGGCTAAACTTTTATTTTTAACAAGTTCTCCAACTGAGTCTGATGTGGGGAAAGGAGTTGACCCCTAAGCCTGGGACACTCAACAGGAGCTTGGGTAAATAAAGTGATTTTCATTTACTGAATTCCTGGTACGTGCCAGTCATCATGCTAAGTGTGAGGTAGGGAGTATGTGTGGCTCTTACAGACTCAGGAAATAGGCTCAGAAAACATTCACTGCAGGGCTCAAGCTGAGGACCAGAGGCGGCGGTTAAGCCCTCATCTGGCAGATTCTTAGAGCTGGCATTTGAGAATGTTCACCTATGCCATGGCCCAGTTTGCTTTCCTCTGTGGCCTGACACCTCTGCTCCCTGCTAAGCCCAATATTTTGGTTGTGGTAGGGGGCGGTGGGGAGAGGTATTAATAGAAATAGAGTAACTTTCAGTGCAGAACGTGCAAAGCTGGAGCACTGGGTGCAGTCCTAGGCTTTTGCCAGAACTCTGAGGTGCAAGGGTTTGTCTTCTCCCTCAGCCTGATGGCTATGGGGACAGGGATGGCTTTGTCTCCCTCTCAGCCGGATATGGCTTCAGAAGGCAGAAACTTCTCTTTCCCAGAGGCTGGGCATTTCTGAAGGCAGGTCTGTCTCCCCTTCTGTTGAGGGCACCTGTGGGCAGGGCTTTGTCACACCCATTGTACTGGCCTCCTGTGGGCAAACTGGCTGTGTGTCCCCTCAGACAGGGTGCCTTCTGAAAGCAGCTTTGGGTCTTTTTCATCAACTTGGGGCTCACTGGATTTGGGGCTGTACCCATTGAATTGAAGCCCGGGCTCCCGAGGACAGGGCTGTGTCCCCATCTCCCCCAGGCTGGGGACTCCTGAGGACAGGGCTGTGTCCCCATCTCCCCCAGGCTTGGGGCTCCTGAGGACAGGGCTGTGTCCCCATCTCCCCCAGGCTGGGGGCTCCTGAGGACAGGGCTAAAACCTTCTCTAGGTCAGGGCTCATCTCCCCCTCAGTCAAAGGACCCAGTTCCTCTCTCCCCTGCCAGCCCAAGCCCAGCCCTTCCTCCCAGAGGGGCGCAGCATCAGAGGGGCCCAGCCCAGTATTGTGGGATGAGCTGGTGTGCCTGGCTGGATGTGGGTATTCCCGGTGACCTTGGTGTTGGGGCCCCGCCCCAGGAGCTGGCTTCCTGGCCTCAGCTGCCCTGCCCACCCAGCAGAGCCCGGGGGCAGGCCTTTCCTAATCCTTCATCCTGCTGCTGCTCATTGGAGGGTAGAGCAGAGTGAGTCACACACCTGTGCCTGGGCCCGTCCTCTGCCTCCTGTGCACTCATTACCTGCTTCCTGAGCTCCCCGAGAAGTCATCCAGGACCTCCCCGAGAAGCCGTCCAGGAAACATGCTCTCAGGGGACCCCCATCTGCCTCAGCCTCTTTGTCACTGCCTGGACCATTGTCCCTGCTGTTTCTCAGGTAAGAGGCTGGTGGCCTGAGGGAAGGGCTAAGTTTCGGCCGCTTTGTCTAGCTGCCCTGCAGAATCCCCAGGGCTGCTCAGATTCTGGAAGGGTCCACAGAGCTAGGTGATGTCTGATTTCCCTCCTGTTGGCACCCCCTCAAGGACACATGGCCCGTCTTTGTTGCCCACAGACACAGCACAATCCTCTCACCCCTCAGGGCCATTCACACACACTCACCAACAGACGCAGCATTCCTCACACACCACACAAAACACATCCTCGTCACCCACAGAATCCCTTCACAACACACAACAGACCCTCATCATCCACAGATACAACCCATGACCCTCCCTATACACATACACGAACGGGCACCAACGGACAATATTGCCTCACATGATGCAGATCCTAACCCAAGGGAAAACATCCTTACAGACACACAACATGCACAACTGCACTGACAGATCCACACCCCAACCCGGAAGACCCTCCACCCACTCACTGCAAACAAACCTACTCCGCAAGGTCTCACAAATATCTTCCCTACACACACACACACACAGACACACAGCAATGCAACCATCTGTACATATCACAGAACTCCCCTTCCCCTAGATGCACCCGCCCTACTGTTCAGTCAGTAGGTCAGTAATCCCATCCCCACTTCTTACCCTCCCGAGCTCATGCACTGGCAGCCAGGCCACACAGTGGAGCAAGAAGGGCAGAGCTGAGCCGGGGGTCCCAGCCGCACTAAAGAGCATGACAGGAGAAGCTAGCACTCCCAGCTGTCTCAGTGCTGCTTCCTATGGCCCTAGGACTTAGAGCACACTGATAATAAAAACACAGGTGGATCACCTGAGGTCGGGAGTTCGAGACCAGCCCGGCCAACATGGTGAAACCATGTTTCTACTAAAAACACAAAAATTAGCCCGGCATGGTGGCGGGTGCCTGTAATCCCAGCTACTTGGGAGGTTGAGGCAGGAGAATCACTTGAACCCGAGAAGCGGAGGTTACGGTGAGCTGAGATCCCACCACTGCACTCCAGCCTGGGCACAGAGCGAGACTCTGTCTTAAAAACAAACAAACAAACAAAAAAAAAACCCAGCATTTACCACATGCCTCCTGGGAGCCAAACACCAAGGCTTTTACAAACATTATCTTTTTTTTTTTTTTTTTTTTGAGACGGAGTTTTGCTCTCATTGCCCAGGCTGGAGTGCAATGGCGTGATCTTGGCTCACTGCGACCTCCACCTCCCAGGTTCAAGTGATTCTCCTGCCTCAGACTTCCAAGTAGCTGGGATTACAGGCATGTGCCATCATGCCCGGCTAATTTTCTATTTTTGTAGAGACGGGGTTTCTCCATGTTGGTCAGGCTGGTCTCGAACTCCTGACCTCAGGTGATCCACCCGCCTCGGTCTCCCAAAGTGCTGGGATTACAGGCATAAGCCACTGCGCCCGGCCACAAGTATTATCTTATGCAGTTGTGTAAAACCTTTATGAAGTAGGTATTATTATCTTCATTTTACAACTATGGAAATAGGCTCAGAGAGGTTAAGAAACTTGCCTAATGTACCACAACTAAGAGGCTGTAATGGAATTTAAACTTAGGTGAGTCTGGTCCCAGAGTCCACCTTTTTTTTTTTAAATGTTTTACTATTTATTTATTGAGACACAATCTCACTCTGTCATCCAGGTTGGAGGGCAGTGGCGGCACGATCTCAGCTCATAGCAGCCTGGAGACCCCAGGCTCAAACGATCCTCCCGCCTCAGTCCCTTCATGAGTAACTGGGACCACAGGCATGCACCACCATGACCAGCTAATTTTTATATTTTTTTGTAGAGACAGGGTTTCATCATGTTGCCTAGGCTGGTTTTGAACTCCTGAACTCAAGCGATCCTCTCGCCTTGGCTTCTCAGAGTGCTGGGATTGCAGCAGGCATGAGCTACCACACCTGGCCTCTTTTTTTTTTAATTAAAAAAAAAAAAGAGAGAGAGTTAACAAATTAGCAAGTTAAAAGTTCAATAGATATAAAAGAGTACATAGAGAAAAGACGCTCTCCTATCCTTGTTCTCCAACCACCCTATCTCCCTCTTGGAGGAAGCCTGAGTTACTCTAGGAGACCTCTCTCTCTCTCTCTCTCTCTCTCTCTCTTTTCTTTTTTCTTTTTGTAGAGATGAGGTTTCGCTATGTTGCTCAGGCTGGTCTCAAACTCCTGAGCTCAAGTGGTCCACCCACCCTGGCCTCCCAAAACGCTTGGACTACAGGCATATACCACTGCGCCCGGCTGGAGACGTTTCTTTTAACCACTGAGTTAGACTCATGACAGTTACATTTCATACCAATGTCATAGCTTTCTAGGTCTATGAAGAGTGCCCAGGCTCTGTGGGCTTTCCCAGGCCCTCCCCTGCCCAGGCAAAGCCAGCGGCCTCATCTAGGGCTTCTTCCAACTTAAGTCCTCTGCTGCCCTAAACCTCTAGGGACCTCCCTGCCTTTGAATTTCCTGGTCTGGATTGTTCTCCCTGTCAGGCCTCCCCCGCGAGGCCTGGCCACATCTCTGAGTCTTCCTCTCAGGATACAGTGCATGCCACGGTGACCTTTCTTACAAGATAGGGAGCGGAGCAGGTCTTGCTTTGCTCCCGAGCTGAAGAGGGAGGGCCAGCAGGACTCAGCCCTGAGCAAGGGAGGGAAAGGGTGAGGGAGAGGAAGAGGAAGAGGAGAAAAGAGAGGAGAATGATAGCGGCCAGGCGTCCTTTACCGGCCTAATCCCATTGTGAGGATGGCAGTGCTTCACAGATGAAGACTCTGAGGCTCAGGGAGGCCCAGGGACTTGTCCAAGGTGACACCGTTGTGAAGTGGCAGAGGTGAGATTGAAACTCCCTAAGTTTGAGGAAGGCTGTGAGAGAGAGGGAGAGAGAGCCCAAGAGAGAAGCTGAGGTTGTGGTGAGGAGGAAGAGAAGATTCAGGGCTGTCCATCCCCAGGAGTCTCCCTGGGAACTTGCTGCCTAAGTTACTTTTGGGCTCTCAGAGACCTCTGGTTTTAGAGCAGTCCCCTTCCTCCCGTGACTCTTTCTCTATTCTGTTATTTTGCACTATTGTCTATCCTTGATATTGTCTATACCACCCCTTCTTAACTACTACGACTTAATGGCAAGCCTGATAGATGATGTGGCATATTCCTGGACTTCTCACTTCCTCATTCTCCAGATTCTCTTTGCCAATCTCAGGCTTATGTATTTATCTTATAGAATACAAGATAAATATAATCTGTAGAATAATATTACAAAACAGTTGTGTATCCACTGCACTGTTAAATATTACAGATGTAATAGAAGCCTCCTGTGTACCCACACTCATTCCACCCCCTCTTTCCCAGAGGTAATCATATCCTGAATTTGTCTTTATATGTGGATGCATGTGTATTGCATTCTCCAGCATAATAATGTGTTAATGTGCTAAGAAATGTTATCTGGCCAGGCATGGTGGCTCACGCCTGTAATCCCAGCACTCTGAGGCCCAGGCAGGCGGATCATCTGAGGTCGGGAGTTTGAGACCAGCGTGACCAACATGGAGAAACCCCGTCTCTACTAAAAATACAAAATTAGCCGGGCGTGGTGGCACATGACCATAATCCTAGCTACTTGGGAGGCCGAGGCAGGAGAATCGCTTGAACCTGGGAGGTGGAGGTTGCAGTGAGCCGAGATTGCACCACTGCACTCCAGCCTGGGCAACGAACAAGAGCAAAACTCCATCTCAAAAAAAATAAATGTTATTTGGCCAGGCATGGTGGCTCATGCCTGTAATCCCAGCACTTTGGGAGACTAAGGCAGGCAGATCACTTGATTCCAGGATTTAGAGAACAGCCTGACCAACATGGTGAAACCCTGTCTCTACAAAATATACAAAAGTTAGCTGGACACAGTGGTGTGCACCTGTAGTCTCTGCTACTCGGGAGGCTGAGGTGGGAGGACGCCTTGAGCCCAGGAGGTGGAGGTTGCAGTGAGCCAAGATCATGCCACTGCACTCCAGCCTGGAGTGCATGAGCTTGTCTCAAAAAGTATAATTTATCCTCTGCAACATGCTTTTTTAGTATCGCATTATGTTTATTTATATTTATTTATTTATTTAAAGACGGAATCTCACTCTGTTGCCCAGGTTGGAGTGCAGGGGCACCATCTCGGCTCACTGCAACCTCCACCTCCTGGGTTCAAGCGATTCTCCTGCCTCAGCCTCATGAGTAGCTGGGACTACAGGCGCGCGCCACCATGCCCGGCTAATTTTTGTATTAAAAAGTAGAGATGGGGTTTTACCATATTGAACAGGCTGGTCTCGAACTCCTGACCTCGTGATCTGCCCGCCTCCGTCTCCCAAAGTGCTGAGATTACAGGCATGAGCAACCATGCCCGGCCGCATTATGTTTATTATCTTTGTTATTATATGCAGCTCTTCTCATTTTAACATATGTACAGGATCGCACTGAAGAATCATACAAATGTCTGTTTCCTTATTTCTGTGTTTAATATTTTTGGTAAATACCTAGGAAGAATGTGCACATTTTCAACTTTATTGTACAACTATTATTTTTTATTATTTTATTTTTCTTTTAATTGGCACAACATCTGGCAAGCATTGATTATGAAATTAACTTCCAAAATAGTAGTGGCAGTTGCACTGTCTTTTGGCAGGGTAATGAGAGTTTCCATCGCTCTGTATCCTCTCCAGTACTTGGAACTGCCAGACTTGAATTTCTTCTATTCAGGTGGGTGGTGATTGTTTTAACTTAGGCTCCTGATTTCCTGAAATGTTGACTATATTTTTATATTTCTCGGTCATTTGGGCTTTTCCTTCTGTGAATTGCCTATTCCTTTATTGACTCATTTTTCTATTGGGTTTTTCTTTTGTTGACTTCTAAAATTTATATTATGCAATGCCTGAAAATTCTTTGTTATATATGTTGCAAATATCTTCTGATTTGTGACTCTTCATCAGTTTTTGGTTTTTGTTTTTTTTTAGATGGAGTTTCACTCTTGTTGCCCAGGCTGGAGTGCAGTGGTGCGATCTCCCGGGTTCCTCCACCTCTAGGATTCAAGGGATTCTCCTGCCTCAGCCTGCTGAATAGCTGGGATTATAGGGGCCTGTCACCCAGCTAATTTTTTGTATTTTTAGTAGAGACGGGGTTTCACCACGTTGGCCGTGCTGGTCTCGAATTCCTGACCTCAGATGATCCTCCTGCCTTGGCCTCCCAAAGTGCTAGGATACAGGCATGAGCCACTGTACCCAGCCTGTTTGTTTTTTGAGACAGAGTCCCCCTCTGTCACCCAGGCTGGCGTGCAGTGGCAAGATCTTGGCTCAGTGCAACCTCTGCCTCTTGGGCTCAAGTGATTCTCATGCCTCAGCCTCCTAAGTAGCTGGGATTACAGGCGTGCACCATCACACCAGGCTAGTTTTTGTATTTTTAGTAGAGACAGCGTCTTGATACGTTGCCCAAGCTGGTCTCGAACTCCTGGGTTCAAGCGATCTGCCAGCTTCATCCTCCCAAAGTGCTGGGGTTACAGGTGTGAGCCACTGCTCCCAGCCATTTTTGTATTTTCAGTAGAGATGAGGTCTTGCTATGTTGCCCAGGCTGGTTTTGAACTGCTGGGCTCAATTGATCCACCTGCCTCAGCCTCCCAAAGTGCTGGGG
This sequence comes from Homo sapiens, assembly GCF_000001405.40. Taxonomy (NCBI): domain Eukaryota; kingdom Metazoa; phylum Chordata; class Mammalia; order Primates; family Hominidae; genus Homo; species Homo sapiens. Next base: position 28,188,057 of record NC_000001.11, on the reverse strand, counting down.
TTACAGGTGTGAGCCACTGCTCCCGGCCATTTTTGTATTTTCAGTAGAGATGAGGTCTTGCTATGTTGCCCAGGCTGGTTTTGAACCCTGGGCTCAATTGATCGGCCTGCCTCAGCCTCCCAAAGTGCTGGGATTACAGGTGTGAGCCACTGCACCTGGCTTTCATCAGTTTTACAGTGTCTTTTAATGTACAGTTTTCACATTTCTATGGTCAAATTTATCCAGCTTTTCTTTATTATGTGTAATTTCCATGTCTTAATTTAAGAAGTTTTCTTGGCTGGGCATGGTGCCTCACGCCCGTAATCCCAGCTCTTTGGGAGACTGAGGTGGACAGATCGCTTGAGGCCAGGAGTTTGAGAACAGCTTGGGCAACATGGCGAAACCCCACCTTTACAAAAAATACACGGTGCCTCTATTCCTAGCTACTCGGGAGGCTCAAGTGGGAGGATGGCTTGAGCCCAGAGACAGAGGTTGCAGTGAGCCAAGACTGCACCACTTCACTCCAGCTTGGGTGACGAGCGAGACTCTGTCTTAAAAAAAAATTTTTTTTTCTCTCACCCCTAGATCATAAAGATATTCAACTCTATTTTCTTCCAAAATTTTGCATATTTTGCTTTTCGTGGGTTGTTATTCCATTTGGAATTTAATTCTGGATATGAAGTGAGAGATCTAATTTTATTATTTTTTTCCTTAATGGATAGCTAATAACTTGCACTATTAGTGGCTATTAGTAGCTAATATCTACTCTTATTGATCTGTAATGGCAACTCTGTCATATGTGTCAAGTTTCCATAGATGAGCTCTCTATTTATGGGGGTCTCTGTTTTGTTCCTTTGCTCTGTTTATTCCTCCTCACTTCAGTGAGTAGCCCTTTTCTCATCAGTAAACGGAGGATAGTGTGGGTGGAAGAATACCACAGGGAAAAGAGCATGGGTTTTGGAATCACTATGATAATATCACTCTTGAGGGCTGGACGAGGTGGCTCACGCCTGTAATCCCAGAACTTTGGGAGGCCGAGGCGGGCAGATCACTTGAACTCAGGAGTTCAAGACCAGCCTGTGCAACATAGTGAGACCCCCGTTGGTATAAAAGAAAAAAATACCACTCTGTCTTGATTGATTGATTGATTGATTGACATGGAGTCTCCCTCTGTTACCCAGGCTGGAGTGCAATGGCACGATCTCGGCTCACTGCAATCTCTGTCTCCCGGGTTCAGGCGATCCTACTGCCTCAGCCTCTGCAGAAGCAAGGATTACAGGCGTGTGCCACCACCCCGGGTTAATTTTTGTATTTTTATTAGAGATGGGTTTTCACCATGTTGCCCAGGCTGATCTTGAACTCCCGACCTCAGGCGACCCGCCTGCCTCAGCCTACCAAAAATGCTGAGATTACAGGTGTGTGCCACTACGCCCAGCACCACTCTGTCTTAATACTGTGACTTTAAAGTAAGACTTGACATGTGATATGAAAAGTCTTTTCAGGTATCCTTGTTGTTCATATATATGCCCTTGTTCTTCAAAAATTTCTCAGCTACTCTTGGCGCTTTGCTTTTTCATTTCGAATTTTAGGATTAGCCTATAAATTTTCTGGGAAAACTATTGGGATTTTGATTGTACTGGTTCTGAATTTATAGATTAAATTGGAAAGAATTTGTATTTTGATTATATTGACAGTCTCATGCATGAATATAGTACATCTACCCATTTATTTAATTCTTGTTTTTTTTTTAAATAACTTTTGTAATTTCCTTCATGAAGATCTTGCACATTTTGGGGCCGGGCACAGTGGCTCACGCCTGTAATCCCAGCACTTTGGGAGGCCGAGGAAGGCGGATCACCTGAGGTCAGGAGTTCGAGACCAGCCTGACCAACATGGTGAAACCCTGTCTCTACTAAACAAAACAAAACAAAAAAATTAGCCGAGCATGTGGTGTGCACCTGTAGTCCCAGCTACTGGGGAGGCTGGGGTGGGAGAATTGCTTGAACCCAGGAGGCGGAGGTTGCAGTGAGCTGAGATGGCGCCACTGCACTCCAGCATGGGTGACAGGATAAGACTCCATCTCAAAGATCTTGCATATCTTTGGCCAAAAGAAGAAAAAACAAAAAAAAAGCCAAAATAGTTTTCTTGCTGTTATAAGTTGTGTCTTCTTAATAATGTCATTTTCTATTTAATTGCTTGTTTATAGGAGCATGATTGCTTTTTACATGTTGGTTTTATATCCAGAAATCTTGTTTAGGTGCTGTTTTGGTTCTAATAATTTTTCTATGGAATTGCTGCAATTTTCCTATGTAAATAGTCATACTATCTGCGAAGATGACAGTTTTGCTTTTCCTTCCCAATCTTCGTAACCTTTTTTTCCTTTGGTCTGATAGTCTTTACAACAGAATAAGGTTGTGATTATTCCTATATGATTATTCCCATTTGCAAATTAGAAAACAGGCTTGAAGAGGTAATTTGGCTTTTTCAAGTTCACACAGAAAGCAGATGGCATCAAGATTTGAACTCAAGTCTCTTTGATTCTAAAACCCATGCCCTTTTCCCTATGGTATTCTTTCACCCCCATTATCCTCCATTTGCTGATGAGAAAAGCGATACTCACAGCAAGGAAATGTCCACAACACTCTTGGCAAAGGACAAGTTTTGAGAGCAGAAAGAACTGAACAACCCCTTTATAATAGTTGTGCAGGACTGCCCTAGTTTAGTGTATCTGGATCCTAATTCCAGCTCTGTTACCTACCAGCTATGTTACTTGGATAAATCACTTCCTCTCTCTAATGTCATTCATTCATTCAATAAGCTTTATCCAGCACCTGCAATGTGCCAGGCAATGTTCCAGATCTTGGCAATAAACTCAAGGAGATTACAGTTTAGCTGGGGAGAAGATAATGAGCAAAGTAAATAAATAAATAAAATACATGTTGTATTAGATGTGATATGTGCTGTGGAGAAAAGGAAAGCAGGATGAGAGCCTGGGAATGTGGGGGGATGGCTGCAACTTATTAGGGTGGTCAGGAAAGGCCCCACTGAGAAAGTGGCTTTTGAGGAAAGACCTAACTTTGAGTGTCTGAGGAAGGGTGGTCCAGGCAGAGAGAACAACAGGTGCAAAAGGGTGAGGTGAGGCCGGGCATGGTGGCTTACGCCTGTAATCCCGGCACTTTGAAAGGCCGAGGTAGGTGGATCACTTGAGGTCATGAGTTCGAGACCAGCCTGGCCAACATGGTGAAACCCCATCTCTACTAAAAATACAAAAATTAGCTAGGTGTGGTGGTGCACGCCTGTAATGCCAGCTACTTGAGAGGCTGAGGAAGGAGAATCGCTGGAACTCAGGAAGAGGAGGTTGCAGTGAGCTGAGATTGCACTACTGAACTCCAGCCTGGGCAACAGAGGGAGACTCTGTCTCAAAAACAAACAAAAAAACAAAAGGAAAAACAAAAGGGTGAGGTGAGAGTGTGTTGAAGAAGGGCAGGAAGAACAGAACGACTACAGTGGAGGGAGCGAGATGTAGGAGATGAGGTGAGGTCTTACAGGGTCTTGAGGGTGCTTTAAAGGACTTTGACTTCTCCTGTACGTGAGATGGAAGGCCCTGGGGGGCTTTGAGCAGAGGAGTGATGTGATGTGACTGATGTTTAATAGTTCAACCGCGTTGCTGTATTAAGAACAGACTAGGCCGGGTACGGTGGCTCACACCTGTAATCCCAGCACTTTGGGAGGCCAAGGTGGGCGGATCACGTGAGGTCAGGTGTTCAAGACCAGCCTGGCCAACATGGTGAAAACCCGTCTCTACTAAAAATACAAAAATCAGTTGGGCGTGGTGGTGCACACCTGTAATTGTAGCTACTTGGGAGGCTGATGCAGGAGAATTGCTTGAACCTGGGAGGCGGAGGTTGGAGTGAGCTGAGATCACGCTACTGCACTCCAGCCTGGGTGACAGAATGAGACTCCAGCTCAAAAAAAAAAAAAAAAAAAAAAAAAAAACAGACTAATGGGGACGTGAGTATGGAAGCAGGGAGACGAGGGAGGAGGCTGCAATCCAGCGGGGAGGTGGAGGGACTTGGACCAGGGCTATAGCAGTGGAGGTGGTGAGAAGTGGCAAGATTTTGGATCTATCATCTATCTATCTATCTATCCATCCATCATTTAAAGTTTTTTTTGTTTTGTTTTGTTTTGAGATGGAGTCTTGCTCTGTTGCCCAGGCTGGAGTGGAGTGCAGTGGGGTGATCTTGGCTCACTGCAACCTCTGCCTCCCGGGTTCAAGTGATTCTTCTGCCTCTGCCTCTTGAGTAGCTGGGATTAACAGGCATGTGCCACCACGCCCGGCTAATTTTTGTATTTTTAGTAGAGACGGGGTTTCACTAGAGGGCAAAAGAGCCTCTGGTTGAGAACCACTGATACAGTAAAATTCCTACCTATTACACACACACATATTTTGAAGAGAAGATATCACTCTGTTACCCAGGCTGGAGTGGCAGTGGTGTAGTCACGGCTCACTGCACCCTCAACCTGCTGGGCTCGAGTGATCCTCCCACCTTAGCTTCCTGAGTAGCTAGGACTACAGGCATGCACTGCCATGTCCAGCTAATTTTTTCTGTATTTCTTGTAGAGATGTGGTTTTATAGGCGTGAGACACTGTGCCCAGCCTTACTTATAATATTTAATTTATTCTTTTAATTACTTATATACTTAAATATTGTGGGCAATAGCTCGTTATTTTATAAATATTTCTTTTTTGCACTCAAATTTCATGAAACAAATGTATAAGCATCTTTTACGCCAGCATCTTCATTGTTGTTGGAGCCCCTTTTCTGTCATTTAACAGAGCTTTCTAGGCTGCATACTTTTCACTTCCGTCTCCATTGAATGAGATACAGCACTTAACATCCCAATAAGATGCTATCACAGGAAAATTATATCCCAAGACACAATTATCCACTACATAACATTGGGACAGTTTTCTTTTTCACTGCTGTTCTGATCTCAAAAGCTCAACAAGTATTGCTTTAAAAAACAAACACAAAATTGAATTTCTTTAAAAAACAAACAGCAAAAAACCCTTTCTTAATTATAAAAAATTGAAAACCACCGGGCCTGGTGGCTCGCACCTGTAATCCCAGCACTTTGGGAGGCTGAGGTGGGTGGATCACTTGAGGTCAGGAGTTCGAGACTAGCCTGGCCAACATGGTGAAACCCCATCTCTACTACAAATACAAAAATTAGCCAGGGATGGTGGCAGGTGCCTGTAATCCCAGCTACTTGGGACATTGAGGCAGGAGACTCACTTGAAAGCGGGAGGCGGAGGTTGCAGGGAGCCGAGATCGTGCCGTTGCGCTCCAGCCTGGGTGACAAAAGTGAGACTCCGTCTCAAAAAGAACAGAAAACATGTGCAACAGTACATTTAAAGGTATAATGGATCCTCATGTACCCTTAGCCAGCTTCAACAATTATCAGCACACTTTTTTTTTTTTTAAGAGACAGGGTCTCACTCTGCCATGTAGGCTGGAGTGCAGTGGCATGATCATGGCTCACTGCAGCGAATTTTAAAAAGTTTTTGTAAAGATGGAGTCTGGCTATGTTGTCCAGGCTGGTCTCAAACTCCTGTCCTCAAGTGAGGACCACCTGGACCTCCCAAAGTGCTGGGATTATAGGTATAAGCCACCATGCCTGGCAATGCTCAATTTCCCTCCCTCCCTCCCTTCCTTCCTTTTCTCTCTCTCTCTTTCTTTTTTTGACAGAGTCTCACTCTGTCACTCAGACTGCAGTGCAGTGGTGCAATCTTGGCTCACTGAAATCTCTGCCTCCCAGGTTCAAGCGATTCTCCTGCCTCACCCTCCTGAGTAGTTGGAATTACAGGCATGTGCCACTATGCCAAGCTAATTTTAGTATTCTTAGTACAGACGGGGTTTCACCATGTTGGCCAGGCTGGTCTCGAACTCCTGACTTCAAGTGATCCACCCACCTCGGCCTCCCAAAGTGCTGGGATTACAGGCATGAGCCACTGCGCCTGGCCCAATTTCTTTCTTTTTTTTCCCTTTTGTTTGAATCAGGATCCGAGAAGATTCATGTAGCAATTGGTTGCTATGTCTCTTAATTCTCTTTATTTAAGTAGTTAATTTATTTAGAGGTGAGTTCTCACTGTGTTGCCCAGGCTGGTCTCAAACTCCTGTGTCAAGTGATCCTCTCACTTCGGCCTCTCAAGGTGCTGGGATTATAGGCATGAGCTCCTATGCTTGACCTCTTAATTATCTTTTAATCAATAGTTTCTCCCTATATCTTTTTTTCTTGTTTAGAATTTATTTATTTATTTATTTTTATTTTTTTGAGATGGAGTTTCGCTCTTGTTGCCCAGGCTGGAGTGCAATGGTGCAATCTCGGCTCACCGCAACCTCCGCCTCCCAGGTTCAAGCAATTCTCCTGCCTCAGCCTCCCGAGTAGCTGAGATTACAGGCATGCACCACTATGCCCGGCAATTTTGTATTTTTAATAGAGACGGGGTTTCTCCATGTTGAGGCTGGTCTTGAACTGCTGACCTCAGGTGATCCGCCCGCCTCAGCCTCCCAAAGTACTGAGATTACAGGCGTGAGCCACCGCGCCCGGCTAGAATTTATTTATTGAAGAAAGCAGGTTGTGTGTTCCATATGTTTCTTATCATGTGCGTTTGTTGAGTGCATCCCTATGATCTGTTTCCTTCTGTAACAGGAGTAAACTAGTGATTAAACTTGCTGATTCTGTTTCGGTTTCCTTGGCAAGACTGTTTTATAGGTGGTGTTGTGAATTGTACGTGCTCAAACACAACTTCATAGAAAAGTTTTCAAACATACACAAAAAGAGAAGGAAGAGTACAAGAAATCCTTGTGGTAGTTTCCTGTGGCTGCTATAAGAAGTTACCACAAACTTAGTGGTTTCAAATAACACACGACCGGGCGTGGTGCTCACACCTGTAATCCCAGCACTTTGGAAGGCGGAGGAGGGCGGATTGCTTCAGGTCAGGGGTTTGAGATCAGCCTGGACAACACAGTGAGACTGAGATCGCGCCACTGCACTCCAACTTGGGAGACAGAGTGAGACTCCATCTCAAAAAAATAAATAAATAAAAATCAATCAATCAATAAAATAAATATTTTGCCACATTTTCTATTTCTCCCCTCTCTCCCTTCATTCCTCTTCCTTTCTTTTTTCTTCATACTCTGTATCCATCCTTCTTTATTTCTTCTCTTTTTCTTTACTTTCTCTCTCCTTCCTTTCTTCTTATTTTGCTGTAATATTTTAAAGCAAATTCCACATATATGGACATTTTGTTTATAACTGCAACACCATTATCTCTTAATGCTATTATCAATAATTCCTTAGAATTATCTAAAATCCTGTCCATATACCAGTTTCTGTGATTTTCTCAGGTATGTCTGTCCTGGATATCTTCTGCTTTCTCCTCCAGACCCACTGTGGGATTGGTGATGCATGCCCAGAGTACACTCCACCCTTCTTCACCCACCTCTTGCCCCGGAGGCTGCCCTGTATGGACCACATTAATGGTTCCTTTGTTTCTGGTTGGGGTCAGCCAACTGGCGGTGCCGATAAGATGTCAGAGGATGGGAGAAGAGAAAGGTTTGAGTATTTATTTCCTGGTTCCCTCCCTGCCTGTTGCAGGCTCAGCTGCAACTTCTTTTTTATATATATATATTTTGAGACAGAGTCTTGCTCTGTCGCCCAGGGTGGAGAGCAGTGGCTTGATCTTGGCTCACTGCAACCTCTGCCTCCCGGGTTCAGGCAATTCTCCTGCCTCAGCCTCCCGGGTAGTTGGGATTACAGGCGTGAGCCACCATGTCCATCCTCTTAAATCTCTTTTAATCTGGAACAATCTCCTCCCTGTTTCTTTTGTGCTTTTATTTCATTTTATTTTTAACTTTTGTTTTGTTTTGTAGAGACAGGGTCTCCCTGTTTTGCCCAGGTTGGTCTCAAACTCCTGGGCTCAGGGGATCCTTCCGCCTCAGCTTCCCAAAGTGTTGGGATTACAGGCATGAGCCACTGAGCCTGGCCCTCTGTTTGTTTTTGTGTTCAAGCGGTTGATTTCTGGAGAGAACTGGCTCCATTGTCCAGTAGAATGTTCTATATTTTGGAATTGGTTGATTGCTTCCTTATGAGGTCCTTTAATTTATTCCTCTGTCCCCTATATTTTCTGAAAACTGAGGTTAGACCTAAAGGCTTGATTAGATTCAAATTTGGACATATTTTCTTTTTTTTTTTCCACCCAGGCTGGAGTGCAGTGGCACCATCTTGGCTCACTGCAACCTCCGCCTCCTGGGTTCAAGCAATTCTCATGCCTCAACCTCCCAAGCCACTGGGATTACCAGCGGTAATCAGCAGGTGTGTGCCACCATGCCTGGCTCTTTTTTTAATTATTATTATTTTTAGTAGAGACAGGGTTTCACCGTATTGGCCAGGCTGGTCTTGAATTCCTGACCTCAAGTGATCTGCCCGCCTCAGCATCCCAAAGTGCTGGGATTACAGGCGTGAGTCACTGTGCCCGGCCAAATCTGGACATATTTTCAAGTGGAGCCAACATAATTTGCTAACAGAATGGATGTGGGGTGTGAGAGAAAGAGTTGAACTCAGTTTCCTCATTTGTAAAATATTGATAGTAATATCTACCTACCTACCCTGCTTATTGATAATCTCAAAAGAGGTGCTGATCTGCAGTTGCCACATGCGCGCATGGAAGGGACTATACTGGAAGGCAGGCCGAGCCAACAGTTCCGGACCTTGAGCCAGGCGTCCTGGAGACTCTGGGCAATGGAGGCTGGTTGATCCCGGAGGTCCCTCCCAGGCTTGCTGTCCCTCCTGGAGGGTGGTGGCTGGAGGAGGGCTGAGGTGAAACTGTTTTGGAACCAAGGATCTGGGCTGGGGAGCAGAGTTGAGGCCTTGCCTTTTAGGTGAGCAGTTTGCATGAAGGCTAAGTTCATGTACAGACCATGTCCTCATATTTCAGGGCACTCGAGGCTCAAAAAGCCTGTAAGGGAGACAAGAAGAAATGATCAAACTGAGCCTGTTTCTTTTCTTTTTTTTTTGTTTTAAATATGAAGATGGGGTCTCACTATATTGCCCAGGCTGGTCTCGAACTCCTGGGCTCAGCAATCCTCCTGCCTTGGTCTCCCAAAGTGCTTGGCCTGAGCCTGTTTCAGTGTCCCTGGCAGGACATGGGGATTGGGAGAGTGTGTGCGGTGCGTGAGTGTGGAGCAGTATGGACGCATGAACTCGAGGAAGGAGATGAGCCTGGCAGGTGTGAGTGAGGGGAGACTGGGCGTGAGTGTGCAGGTGAGTGGAGGAACACAGTGTGAGTGGGCATCTTCGCATGAGAGTAGGCGCTGAGTGTATGCGAGTGTGCAAGTGTTATGTGGTCTGAGTGTGTCTGCCTGTGTGTGATGGGGGGCTGGAGGTGGAGGAGGGGGCAGATGCTTGGCTCTAGTTCTACATGACTGAGGCAAATGTTAAAAGTGGTTTGTTCTGGCCAGGCGCGGTGGGTCATGCCTGTAATCCTGGCACTTTGGGAGGCTGAGGTGGGCAGATCATTGGAGGTCAGGAGTTCAAAACCAGCCTGGCTAACATGGTGAAACCCCGTCTCTACTAAAAAGACAAAAATTAGCCGGGCGTGGCAGTGCTTGCCTGTAATCTCAGCTACTCCAGAGGCTGAGGCAGGAGAATCCCTTGAAAGTGGGAGGCAGAGGTTGCAGTGAGCTGAGATTGCATCACTGCACTCCAGCCTGGGAGACAGAGTGAGACTCTGTCTCAAAAAAAATAAAAAATAAAAAAATAAAAAAAGTGTTTTGTCCTTTGAGAGCCATTTTTGGCTTTGATAAGGGACATTAGGAGGAGGAGCCTGGCCCAGATACCCAGAGCGGAGCTGAGACTGGATGCTGATGCAGGCCCCCGACTCTCCTTATACCTGCCTTGCTGTGGGACCCTGGTCCTGTCGGGACCTCAGTTTCCCTCTCTGTGTAGGAGGTTGTTGGGTCGGCTGATGTATCTGAGGGACTTGCTTCTTTAGACAGGGTCCACCCCAGTGCCTGGTGCCTGGGGGTGCTCAGATGGTGCTTGTTGGTTGGTTGAAGGAATGAGTGGGTAAATGGACTGGAAACTGAGGCAGATACTCTGGCTCACCTCTCACTTATGCACACGGGATGCCCCCACCAGCTCACTTTCACACATACCCTCACACCTACACTCAGAGATTCATGTGCATTCACCATCGATTGTCCACCCCTCTTCACCTGCATGCTCCCATGAACTCATACGCTGCCAACCCACACCAGCCTGGGTGAAAAAAAAAAAGAAGAAAGTATGTCCAAATTTGAATCTAATCAAACCTGTTTTCAGAAAATACAGGAGACAGAGGAATAGATTAAAGGACCTCACAAGGAAGCAATCAACCAAGTCCAGAATATAGAACATTCTACTGGACAATGGAGCCAGTTCTCTCCAGAAATCAACCGCATGAACAAAAAAACAAACACAGGGCCAGGCTCAGTGGCTCATGCCTGTAATCCCAACACTTTGGGAAGCTGAGGCGGAAGGATCCCTTGAGCCCAGGAGTTTGAGACCAACCTAGGCAAAACAGGGAGACCCTATCTCTACAAAACACGGTCTCAGGGAGCTTCCACCTCCACCCCCACAGATCTGTTCCCATGGGGTTTCTGGGCTCAATGTTTCTTGGTCTCCAGGGAGGCCCTGCCCTGTCATGCCCCTGACCACAGTGGCTCTTCCGAGCTCCTCTCTTCTCCCTCCACTTTATATCCCAGCGGGCATTCTCTTTCCTCCACTCCCCTTCTTTTATTTTCTCTCTCACCCCCATCCAGAGACGCACAGACCCAAATGTGCACAGGCACATGCTCGCTGTCTGTGTCTTGTCATCTCGTCTTTTGTCTTGGATCTTACCTTGTCTTTGTCCCTGAATCTCCTTGTTCCTCTCATCTCTCCCGGTGTTTACATCTGTCTTTTTCCCTGAGCCTCGCTCCCTCCATCCATTCCTCCGCCCTCTCATTTTTTTTCCCGACTCCCTCCTGCCTCCTCCCTTTCTCCTTTGATTTTCCTGGTCCCTCATCTCTCCTCCCTCCTCTTTCTCACTCTCATGCTCCCTTTTTCGCTCTCTTGAGTACATGCACTTGCTTTCTCTCTCTTGCTTTTCCTCTTTCTCACCTTAGCTCCTGGCCTCGGGCGCTGTCTACACCCCACCCCATCCCTCGCTCTTTGAGAAGCCTCTGTGCAGTGCCCAGGTCCTGGCGGCCCAGCTTGGAAGTTCCTGTGGTACCCCTTGAGAGGCCCTAGGGCCACAGCATTTCCTCCCAGGGGTGACTTGGTAGTGATACGCTCTGTTTCTTCACTTCTGCAATTGCCAGACAGCATAGAGGCTGAGGCTGGGGCCAGGACCCAGACAGAGACACACGGTCACTGCAGCTGAAGCCGCTGCCCCTGCTACAGGTAAGGGGGAATCCTGGCCCCTGCTGGGCAAGGGGGAGGCATATAAAAATGTCCTCAGGAGGCAAACCAAGGTCATGCCCCCAGGCTGCACCTAAGCAGATGGGTGCTTCTATTTCTTTTCTTTTCTTTTTTTTTTTTTTTTTTTTTGAGACAGGGTCTCTCACTCTGTTGTCCAGGCAGAAGTGCAGTGGCGCGATCATGGCTCGCTGCAGCCTGGACCTGCCAGGCTCAGGTGATCCTCCCACTTCAGCCTCCCGAGTATCTGGGACTAGAGGCATGCTCTACCACGCCTGGCTAATTTTTGTATTTTTTGTGGAGACGAGGTCTTGCCTTGTTGCCCAGACTGGTCTCTAACTCCTGGGCTCAAGCAATCAGCCTGCCTCGGCCTCCCAAAGTGCTGGGATTGCAGGCTTGAGTCACTGTGCTCGGCTGCTTCTGTTTTTAAGGGATTTTTCTGGCACCTTTCTCAGGCCCAGAGTCTCATGTTTAGAAATAACTTCTAGTGTCCAAACATTCCTGGAGAACCCAACACCCAAGTTTGGCTTTTCTGAGGCTGGGGCAGTGCTGACCCCAGAGATCCCACTGGGAGGTGTTGATGGTGGTGATGGTGGCAGTGCTGACCCCAGAGACCCTACTGGGAGGTGGTGATGGTGGTGATGGGGGCAGCTTGGATCTCAGGGAGCCAAATGACATCTACTTGACTAGCTGTGTGGTCTTGGCCAAGTTACGCTCCATCTCTGTGCAGTTTTCTAAATTGTCAAATAATGATAATCCCATCTCCCCCACAGAATTGTCGGGTCATATAAAGGATCTGGTACAGGGCGGGGTACTTAGGAACTCACTAAATGCTAGGTTTGCGGGGTGGGGAAGGGGGTGCTGAAAATAACCAGGTTCTTATACACAGGGCCAAGCCCACAAACAATAGCCCCTATCAGGTCCCAGGTGCTGGGGACAGGGCCCAGGCTGGCACCCACCGTCCTCTGCTTGCAGGAGGTCCAGACATGGGGCTGTGCACTCACTCACTTGTGAAATATGACAGAACCAGCAGGCTCTCTCCCCACACCTCTGGCTGCTCTCCTTTAGCTCTGACTGAATACCCAGCTGTGTTCCAGGTGTTTGGGGTGGTGTGTGTGTTGGGGGAGGCGGTAGGGGTGGGAGGTGTGTTGGGGAGTGCTAGAGAAGCAAAAGAGACACCACTATCTTTAGGTGCTGACAAACCGCCGGAGAAAGAGTTCAGCCCCTTAGATGACTGGGTCCTGGGCCTCAGGTGGGCATCCGGGGTTTCGATCTCAGCTCCTGCTGACAAGCCGGGGCCTTGAGTTGTTCGGAAGTTCCACTTTCCTCCTTTGCAGATTGCAGGTTAAAATACTGACCTCTGTGGGCCGGGCATGGTGGCTCACGTCTGTAATCCCAGCACTTTAGGAGGCCGAGGCGGGTAGATCACGAGGTCAAGAGATGGAGACCATCCTGGCGAACATGGTGAAACCCCATCTCTACTAAAAATACAAAAATTAGCTGGGCGTGGTGGCGGGTGCTACTCGGGAGGCTGAGGCAGGAGAATTGCTTGAACCTGGGAGGCGGAGGTTGCAGTGAGCTGAGATGGCGCCATCGCACTCCAGCCTGGGCAACAGAGCGAGACTCCGTCTCAAAAAACAAAACAAAACAAAACAAACAAACCACTGATCTGTGAGTTTGCAGGGAGGATGAAGTAAGAGTTGGGATGGGGAAGTGCTTTGTCAATTGGAAAATGCTGCGCAAAGGGGACTGATGAATTCCCTCTAATGCTGACTCTGGGATTCCTGCTGTTAAACGCCTTAGGGATGAGGAAACTGTTTTGTTCACTGTTGTATCCTTTATCCTTAGCACAGGGTTTGCAACATAGCATATGCTTAGAATATGCACAGGACAGATGAATGATGAAGCGGTTTTTGCAGTTGGAAGGGAACGGACGGTGAGCCAGAGGCCCAGTATCTGGTCCCAGCTCTGCCCCTGACACTGTGTTCACCTTGGGAAAATCCTTTCTCATCTCCGGGCCTCAGTTTCCCCATCTGGTCATTGAAGGAGTAAGGAATTCACAGTTTATGCTATCAGTGACAAAATGTGCCTACAGGACTGAGTTTTCTCTGACTGGTGGTGGGAAGCAGGTATGAGGAGAGGCTGGGATCTTATTGTCCTTTTACAGGGAGCAGAGATTCCCCACTTCCCACCCCAGGCCTGTGAAGGAGGCCTTGTTGAAGAGGATGGCATTCTCTTTCTTGGTGGCATCCCCCACTTTCCTGTTCTGATCCCCTAGATGGGTGGAGGCTTGGACCTCAGAGAGGGCAACAGTGGAGCAGGAGCCGGCAGCACCCCTTGATGGGCCTAGGGGTGTGTGTCTGGGTCGGGAGCAGAGCCAGCTCCCAAAGGGCAAGTGCTGGGACCCTGCTGCAGCCCCCTCTCTGACCACCCCCTCTTGGGCTCCTTGACAGCATGATGAGAGCGGGGAGAAGCCTCTGGTGTGTCTTTGTGTGTGCATGTGTGTCTGTGGTTATGTGGGGTGGACAGGGAGCTGGCTCTGGCTATGTCTACATGTATCTGGAATGATGGGCCGGGAGCATATCCGGGCTGCATGTGGCCTGCTCCAGCCAGACAGCTCCCCTCCCAGGAGCAGATGGCCAGCAAAGCCAGCTGAGAGGCTGATATGCCTCTGTGTGTCTTTGGCCGAGGGGAATCACAGCCAGATTCTGTGTGTGTATTTGTTTGTGTGTTTGTGTGTGAGAGAGAGACAGAATATGCAGGGGGAGGATCACCACTCAGCCACCCCTCCCCACCCCCTTGGTTCTGTAGGTGGGAGATCTTCAGGGCCTGGGTTTGGAGTTGAGCTTGGCTGGCTAATGGGAGAAGCATGTCAAAACCAAATTTGTGCATACCCCGCCCCCCCTCCTCTTTTTTTTTTTCTTTTGAGACAGAGTCTTGCTCTGTCACGCAGGCTGGAATGCAGTGGCGTGATCACACCTCACTGCAGCCTCGATCTCCTGGGCTCAAGCAGTCCTCCCACCTCAGTCTCTCGAGTAGCTGATACTGTAGGTGCACACCATCTTGCCTGATTAATTTTTGTGTTTTTGTTTTTGTTTTTGTTTTTGTTTTGTTTTGTTTGTTTGTTTGTTTTTTGTAGAGGTGGGGTTTGACATGATGCCCAGGCTAGTCTTGAACTCCCGTGCTCAAGCAATCCGCCTGCCTTGGCCTCCCAAAGTGCTGGGATTACAGATGTGAGCCACCATGCCTGGCCTACACCCCCCGCACACCCCCCCCCCTTTTTTTTTAAGAGACACAGTCTTGCTCTGTCACCCAGGCTGAAGAGCAGTGGCATGATCGTGACTCACTGCAGCCTTGAACTCCTGGTCTCAAGCTATCCTCCAGCTTTAGCCACCCAAGTAGCCAGGACTACAGGCGCATGCCACCATGCCTGGCTAATTTAAAAAACTTTTTTTTTTTTTTTTTTTTTTTGTGGAAACGGGATCTTGCTATGTTTCCCAGGCTGGTCTTGAACTTCTGGCCTCAAGCCATCTCCTGCCTTGGCTTCCCAAAGCGCTGGGATTACAGGCGTGAGCCACTGCACCCAGCCTGCACTACCTTTCACAGTTCATAAAGTCCATTTCAATGTACCAAGTGCTTTACTGTTTACCCAAAACTGTCACCACCAATAATCTCACTTCCTTTTTTTTTTACAACAATGCTTTGAGATAAGCGAGGCACAGGCACCGCATTTTGCAGATAAAAACCCCAAGGCTCAGAGCTGGAATGAGGCTCAGTCAAGATATGTGGGTGAGTGGCACAGCTGAGGCCAGAGCCCACATCTCCTGGTTTCGGTTCCTATGCTTTCTCTCCGGCTAACCCCGGTTGCTTCTAGGAGAGAATGTGTAGCTGGCTTAGTGCATGGCCAGTTTGGTTGCTTCTTTATTCACTTATTCAACAAACATTTTCTGAGGACAGCAGGGAAGGGAGTTCACAGTTATTGAGTAAATTGCTTCACTCAGCTCTCACAACCACCCCGTGAGGAAGGTTTTATTACCATCATTTTGCAGATGAAGAAAAGGAGGCTGGGAGAGCCAAGGATCACGCAGCAAGGAAGAAACAGACCCAGGTGCAGACTCAGGTCTGTGTGACGCCAGGGCCTGTGCCCAGCCCTGCTTTTTTCCCTGGACGGGGTCCTGGACTGGCCACGAGGACACCAGCAGGACTCAGGAACTCCCAGGCTGGGAAGATGTCAGCGTGATTCCTGGTATAACAGAGGCATGGCTGTGTGCGGTGGCTCATGCCTGTAATCCCAGCACTTTGGGATGTTGAGGTGGGTGGATCACCTGAGATCAGGAGTTTGAGACCAGCCTGGCCAGCATGGTGAAAACCTGTCTCTACTAAAAATATAAAAATTAGCCAGGCATGGTGGCATGCGCTTGTAATCCCAGCTACTTGGAAGGCTGACACATGAGGATCGCTTGAACCTGGGAGGCGGAGGTTGCAGTAAGCTGAGATTGCATCATTGCACTCCAGCCTAGGTGATAGACTGAGATTCAGTCTCAACCCCCCACCCCCGCAACACACACACAAAAACCAGAGGCATAACAGAGGCATGATGTGCCCAGTGCTGGGGCAGCCCAGAGGAGATGGTTCCTCCCTCCCTCTTCCTGGCCCTGTCCTGGAAGCAAAATTGGATAGGGTAACTCACAAACAGATACCACCTGGGTATCTGGGAGCCAGGAGGAGAGACCCAGGCCAGACTTGGGGTTTCCTAGGCCAACTGAGCAGAGGCTGAGTCTCCTCAATGTAATATACATATCTGGGGCCAGGATGAGGTCCCCAATGAGAAGGAACACTGGGTAACTCTGACTGGTACCCAGATCATCCTCATCCCTCGTGCCCTAGACCCTGTCCGTAACCTCTCCCAGACATGGTGCTTCATTCATCAGCCAATAAATGTGCATGGTCCCTTGCGCTGGGAATTGTAGGGAGCCTGGCACAGAATTCCCCAGAGGTCAGGATTTCTCCTCCCTTAATTCGTCGCTCAAATCCTTCTGCATCTTGGAGAAATGGTATTGAAACCACTCTGTGAGAGGTAACATTAGAGGGTGTGGTCGGCACGGCCAGGTCAGGGCACAAATATCAAGCAACAGGGCATGTCAGAACAGGAAGTAACTCATGTATTGAGTACCTTCTATATGCCTAGCACTGTAGAGGTTGTCTGTCTTCAACATCAGGGCTATCCTGTGAGGTCAAGTTTTTTTTTTTTTTTGAGATGGAGTCTCGGTCTGTCACCCAGGCTGGAGTGCAGTGGCACAATCTCAGTTCACTGAAACTTCCCCCTCCCGGGTTCAAGTGGTTCTTCTGCCTCAGCCTCCCATGTAGCTGGGATTACAGATGTGCGCCACCACACCCAGCTAATTTTTGTATTTTTAGTAGATATGGGGTTTCGTCATGTTGGCCAGGCCAGTCTTGAACTCCTGACCTCAGGTGATCTGCCTGCCTCGGCCTCCCAGAGTGCTGGGATTACAGGTGTGAGCCACCCCACCCAGCCTAATTTGTATTAATTATTTATTTATTATTTTTATTTATTTTTTGAGATGGAGTCTCGCTGTTGCCCAGGCTGGAGTGCAGTGGCACAATCTTGGCTCACTGCAGACTCTGCACCCCGGGTTCACGCCATTCTCCTGCCTCAGCCTCCCGAATAGCTGGGACTACAGGCGCCCACCACCTTGCCCAGCTAATTTTTTGTATTTTTAGTAGAGACAGGGTTTTACCGTGTTAGCCAGGATGGTCTCGATCTCCTGATCTTGTGATCCGCCCGCCTTGGCCTCCCAAAGTGCTGGGA
This sequence comes from Homo sapiens, assembly GCF_000001405.40. NCBI lineage: Eukaryota > Metazoa > Chordata > Mammalia > Primates > Hominidae > Homo > Homo sapiens. Next base: position 28,170,746 of record NC_000001.11, on the reverse strand, counting down.
TTACAGGCGTGAGCCACCGCGCCGGGCCCTTATTTTTATTTTTAAGAGATAGGGTCTTGCTCTGTTGCCCAGGCTGGAGTGCAGTGGTATGATCATAGCTTACTGTAATGGACCCAAGTGATCCTGCAGCCTCAGCCTCCATAGTAGCTAGGACTGCAGGCATGTGCCACCATGCCTGGCTAATTTTTTTTTTAATTTTTAATTTTGTAGAGACAAAATTTGGTTATGTTGCTCAGGCTGGTCTTAAACTCCTGACCTCAAGCAATTCTCTTACCTCAGCCTCTCAAAGTGCTGGCATTATAGATGTGGGCCACCTTTCCAGCCTCAATGTTGATGCTATTCCCATTTTATAGATGAGGAAAGTGGGACTGGCCCCAGCGAATCTAAGAGCTGGGAGTGGCTAGAGCTGGGGTGTGAGAGTTTGGAAGCGAAGAGTGAGGGACACTGTGACTGTGTGTGTACAGAGGCTCACCTGTCTATTTAGTCAGTATTTCTCATGTGTTTGCTATGTAGGAGGCCCTGTGATGGGTATTGGTGATATGCCAGAAGCCTTGGCCCTTGGGAATTCCCAGTCCAAAAGGAGAGAGAAATCAACAGCTATGATAATGCAATGTGATAGATTGTTATGGGAACTTGAGGTGGAATTTCCAACTCTGTCTGGGGTAGGGAAGTAAGAGTAACAATAGCCAACATTCAATGAGCTCTCACTGTAGACCAGACCAGGCATCTTCTTTTTTTTTTTTTTTTGAGATGGAGTCTCGCTCTGTCGCCCAGACTCCAGTGCAATGGCGTCATCTTGGCTCACTGCAATCTCTGCCTCCTGGGTTCAAGTGATTCCCCTGCCTCGGCCTCCCGAGTAGCTGGGATTACAGGCATGCACCACCATGCCTGGTTAATTTTTGTATTTTTAGTAGAGATAGGGTTTCACCATGTTGGCTAGGCTGGTCTCGAACTCCTTACCTCAAGTGATCTGCCCGCCTTGGCCTCCCAAAGTGCTGGGATTACAGGTATGAGCCACTGCGCCCAGCCCTGATAAGGACTTTATACACATTATTTCATTGACTCTTCACACCACTCTGGAGAGGTATGTGCCTGGGTATTATCAGCTCCATTTTCAGTGAGGGACCTGAGAATCAGAGGGAGGACATGCTTGGCTGTGGTTCTGTGGTAGGAAGTGAGAGAGGTAAGATCTGAACCCAGGTTTGTCTGACTACAGAGTCTGACTCCAGAGTCTGTGCTCTTAACCACTGTTCTCTAAATACTGTACATCCTTTATTTCGCTTGATGAAAGAGATGTGGTTTACAAATGAGGCCCGAAGGCGGCAAGCAGTTTTACCAAAGGTTGCATAGCTTTTAAGTCATAAACTGAGTCATATGACTCTAACTTAAAAATACACAATGTACTTTCAAATTTGTCGTCTCTTAGGCCCATTGATTTTTTTTTTTTTTTTACTGTGGTGAAAACCGTAACATAAATTTACTCTCTTAGCATGCATTTTGAAAAATTTATTTTATAGAGACTGGGGTGTTGCTATGTTGTCCAGACTGGTCTCAAACTCCTGGGCTCAAGTGATCCACTCATTTTGGCCTCCCAAAGTGCTGGAATTACAGGCCACGTAATTCCAGCCATGTGCCTGGTCCCTGTTAACATTTTTAAAGTGTATAGTTCAGTCATGCTACCTATATTCACATTGTTGTATAATAGATCTCTAGAATGTTTTCTTTTCTTTTCTTTTCTTTTTTTAAATCCTGCGAGTGCCAATAGAATGTTTTCAACTTGGCTGGGCGCAGTGGCTCATGCTGGTAATCCCAGCACTTTGGGAGGTCAATGAGGGTGGATCGCTTGAGGTCAGGAGTTCGAGACTATCCTGGTCAACATGTTGAAACCCCGTCTCTACCAAAAATACAAAATTAGCTGGGTGTGGTGGTGCATGCCTGTAATCCCAGCTACTCGGGAGGCTGAGGCAGGAGAATCGCTTGAACCCAGGAGGCGGAGGTTGTGGTGAACCAATATCATGCCACAGCACTCCAGCCTGGGTGACAGAGTGAGACTTCATTTCAAACAAACAAACAAAAAAGAATGTTTTCATCTTGCATGACTGAAACTCTACATCTGTTGAACATCTCTCTATTTTCCCCTCCTCCCAGCCCCTGGCAACCACCGTTCTACTTTTGGTTCTATGCGTTTGATTACTTTAAATGTCTCATATAATAAGTGGAATCATATAGTATTTGTCTTCCTGTGAGCTGGCTTATTTCACTTAGCAGAAATGTCTTCAAGATTCATCCATGTTGTAACATGTGTCAGAATTTTCTTCCTTTGTAAGGCTGAGTAATATTCCATTGTATGTATATACCACATTTTGCTTATCCATTCATCTGTCCATGGACATGTTAGGTGTTTCCACGCTTGATGATTGTGAATAATGTTGCTATGAATATGAATGTGCAAATGTCTTTTCAAGATCCTGTTTTCTGCCGGGCGCGGTGGCTCACGCCTGTAATCCCAGCACTTTGGGTGGCCGAGGAGGGCGGATCACGAGGTCAGCAGATTGAGACCATCCTGGCTAACACGGTGAAACCCCTTCTCTACTAAAAATACAAAAAAAAAAAAAAAAAAATTAGCCGGGTGTGGTGGCGGGCACCTGTAGTCCCAGCTACTCGGGAGACTGAGGCGGGAGAATGGCGTGAACCCGGGAGGCGGAGCTTGCAGCGAGCCGAGATTGCGCCACTGCACTCCAGCCTGCGCTACAGAGCGAGACTCCATCTCAAAAAAAAAAAAAAAAAAAAAAAAAAGATCTGGTTTTCAGTTGGGCGTGGTGGTTCATCCCTGTAATCCCAGCACTTTGAGAGGCCAAGGTGGGCGGATCACTTGAGGTCAGGCGTTAGAGACCAGCTTGGCCAACATGGCGAAACCTCGTCTCTACTAAACGTACAAAAATTAGCCGGGCGAGGTGGCGGGTGCCTGTAGTCCCAGCTACTAGGGAGGCTGAGAACCGCTTGAACGCGGGAGGCGGAGGTTGCAGTGAACCAAGATCGTGCCACTGCACTCCAGCCTGGGCGACAGAGTAAGGCTCCATCTCAAAAAAAAAAAAAAAAAAAAAAAAAAAAAATCCCGTTTTCAGTTCTTTTGAATATATAGTATACCCAGAGCGGAACTGTTGGGTCATATAATCATTCTAATTTTAGTTTTTTGAGGAGCTTCTATACTCTTTTCCATAGTGGCTGCACCGTTTTGGAATCCCACGAACACTATGCGAAAGTTCCAATTTCTCACATCCTTGCTGACACATTTCTGTTTTACTGATAGTGGCCATTCCAGTGGGTTTGAGGTGATATTGCATTATGGTTTCAATTTGCATTTCTCTGATGATCAGTGATATTGAGCCATCTTTTCACATGTTTATGGTCATTGGTATATCGTCTTTGGAGAAATGTCTATTCAGGTTCTTTGCCCATTTTTTAAATTGAATTTTTTGTTATTGTTGTTACTGAGTTGTAGGAGTTCTGCATATTAACCCCTTATCTGATATCTGGTTCCATCCGAAAGGTTGCCTTTTCTCCCATCCACAGGTTGCCTTTCCACTCTGCTGATTGTTTTCCTTTGCTTCATGGAGATTATTTAAAGTTTGCCAAAAAATAGTTTATTTGTGCTTTCGTTGCCTGTGCTTTTGGTGTCATATCCAGGAAATTATGACCCATTCCAATGTCATGAGGCTTTTTATTGTTTTTAATGTAAATAACTAATTAATTAATTTTTTTGTTGTTTAGAGACAGAGTCTCCCTCTGTTGCCTAGGCTGGAGTACAGTGGCATGATCATAGCTCACTTCAGCCTTGAGCTCCTGGGCTCAAGGTATCCTCCTGTCTCAGCCTCTGAATAGCTGAGACTACAGGTGCATGCCATCGTGCTCAGCTAATTTTTTAAATTTTGTGTAGAAACAAGATCTTGCTACGTTGCCCAGGCTGATCCCAAACTCCTGGCTTCAAGCAATCCTCCTACCTAGGCCTCTCAAAGTTCTGGGATTACAGGCATGAGCCACTGTATCTGGCCTGTTGTGAAGCTTTTTTTTTTTTTGAGATGGAGTCTTGCTCTGTTTCCCAGGCTGGAGTGCAATGGCACGATCTTGGCTCACTGCAACCTCCGCCTCCCTGGTCCAAGTGATTCTCGTGCCTCAGCCTCCCGAGTAGCTGGGATTACAGGCACCCGCCATCATGCCTGGCTACTTTTTGTATTTTTGTAGAGACGGGATTTCACCATGTTGGCCAGGCTGGTCTTCAACTCCTGACCTCAGGTGATCTGCCCACCTTAGCCCCACAAAGTGCTGGGATTACAGGCGTGAACCACCACACCCCGCCAAGAAGCTTTTATCCTATGTTTTCTTTGAGGAGTTTTATAGTTTCAGGTCTTATGTTTAGGTCTTTAATCCATTTTAAGTTAATTTTTGTATAATATATGGTGTAAGATAAGAGCCCATCTTCATTCTTCTGCATGTGGATATCCATCTTTCCCAGCACTTTTCGTTGAAGGGACTATTCTTTCCCCATTGTGTAATCATGGTCCTCTTGTCAAAGATTATTTGACTATGTATGTGAGGGTTTATTTTGGGTCTCTCTATTCTGTCCCATTGATCTATGTGTCTGTCTTTATGCCAGTCCAAACCATTTTGATTATTGTAGCTTTGTAATATGTTTTGAAATCAGGAGTTGTCTTTCAGTTTTGTTCTTCTTTCTCAAGATTGTTTTGACTATTTGTTGTCCTTTGAGGTTTCATATGAATTTTACAATTTTTAAAAAATTTCTGTAAAAATTACACTGGGATTTTGGTAGAATGGCATTGAACCTGTAGATCACTTTGGGTGGTATGGACATTTTAATAATATTAAGTCTTCCAATCCATGAACTTGGGATGTCTTTCCATTTATTTGTGTCATCTTCAATTTCTTTCAGCAATTTTTTTTTTTCCTAGACAGAGTCTCGCTCTGTCACCCAGGCTGGAGTGCAGTGGCACGATCTCGGCTCACTGTAAGCTCCGCCTCCTGGGTTCATGCCATTCTCCTGCCTCAGCCTCCCGAGTAGCTGGGACTACAGGCGCCTGCCACCACGCCTGGCTAATTTTTTGTATTTTTAGTAGAGACGGGGTTTCACTGTGTTAGCCAGGATGGTCTCGATCTCCTGACCTCGTGATCCGCCTGTCTCGGCCTCTCAAAGTGCTGGGATTACAGGCGTGAGGCACCGCGCCTGACCTTCAGCAATGTTTTGTAGTTTTCAATGTACAAGTCTTTTGCCTCCTTGGTTAAGTTTGTTTCTTTTTTTTTTTTCCTTTTTTTTTTTTTTTTTTTTTTGAGACAGAGTCTTGCTCTGTCGCCCAGGCTGGAGTGCAGTGGCATGATCTTGGCTCACTGCAGCCTCCGCCTCCCGGTTCAAGTGATTCTCCTGGCTCAGCCTCCTGAGTAGCTGGGACTACAGGCATGCGCCACCACGCCCAGCTAATTTTTGTATTTTTAGTAGAGATGGGGTTTCACCATGTTAGCCAGGCTGGTCTCAAACTCCTGAACTCAAGTGATCTGCCTGCCTCAGCCTCCCGGAGTGCTGGGATTATTATAGGCATGAGCCATCGTGCCTGGCTGGTTAAGTTTATTTCTAAGTATGTTATTTTTTTTGAATACTGTTGTAAATAAGATTGTTTTCTTAATATCCTTTTCTCTTAGTCCATATAAAAATCTTCATTTACAAATGAGGAAACAGAGACTCAGAATCACAGGATGAGCTTAGTGGTTGAACCAGGATCTGACCCAGCTCTCGCCCTACCAGGCGGGAGTCAGATGGATACAGAGCAGGTCATGCCATCCCTTTGTCGCATTCCCTTCCCAGCTTTGAGGAACAAAGGTAAAAGCAGGGCCCCAGGTCAAAGGCATCTCTTCCTGGGGCCTCACAGCATCTGGAGCTCCCATTCTCAGGCTGTAAGACAGGTCTGTGAGTGGACAAGCTGGCCAAGGAGCAGTTTGCTTCTAGCAGGGGACACAGCTTGTTCTAGGAGAGTCAGAATGAACCTTGGAGTTCAAAATCCCAAGTCTGCCACTTCCCCGCTGTGTGACTATGGACAAATCTATTTTCTTCTCTAGTCTCACTTTTTACCCCTAGAAAATTAGGTATCTTGTAAAACCAGCCTCACGAAGATGATCTGAGGAGGAAATATGATCATAGGCAAGATGTACTGTATACCAGTAAATGGTGCCCAGTGTCTTGAAATTAGGGGGGCTCCAGCCTCATGATCCCCACAGAGCAAGGAGTACTTGGATCCAAGAGAGTGTGCCCACTTGGAATGTGGTGTTCCCCCGCCTTCACCACTTCTAGTCCTTGCCCTGTTGGTGAATGCACCCTCAGGCCTGCGGGGCTGCAAGGAACTGCTGGTGCAGGAGCTGTGGATGAACTTGGATGTATCTTATTTATAGCTTATAAATATTTAGAATTTTGTACTTTTGACCTCAACTGGCCCCACAAATGTTAAGAGCTAGCAGGACTGGTGAACCCAACTTCCCAACCCACAATCTGGCCTGGGAAATCAACCAGCACATACCTCCTTCTGTCCATCTCCCGATGGTCCCTCCTCTCTGGCTGTCCAGCTATGGATGAGAACCCCTTCTCCAGGTTCCCTAGGGACTGGGAATGTTTCCAGCAGGGATGAGGGCCGAATGCTGCACAGGGAAAAGGGTACCAGATCCAGACAGCAGAATTCTTCTGTCTCATGAATATTTATGGCCTCTCTACCCCACCCCCAGCTGAAGGCTGTGCCTGGGCCAGCTGCCCAGCCTCGATCCATCAGGGAACTGTGCCCATGTGTTAAACTGAGTGGTCTGAGCCTCTTCTTTTCTTTCCAAATGTTCATCCTCTTCCTGAGCTGTTGAAAGCTTTGTTGCCATTAGCTGGAGGCTCTATCTGGAGCTGGCAGGAAAGCCAGTGTGTAGGTCAAAGCCCCTAGGTCAATGTTGGCCCACAGTCCCCTCCCCTGGCTCCAAGCAGCTGGGCCAGTGGGGAGAGGGAGGCTTGGTCATTTGTGGCTCAGGTCCTGTTCCAGCCACTTTGCATACTTATCTTTGAAACCATTGTTAGGATTGTAAGATTTTGCAAATGAAGACATTGAAGGTTAGAGAGGCGAGGTCACTTGCCCCAGGTCATACAGCAAGTAAATGGTAAGCCAGGTATGAACCTGTAGACCTTTCTGACTCCAGAGACCTTGTTCTCCCTAACCCACTCCACCCCAGTACAGCTCCCCTGGGGAGACTGTGCACACTTCCTTTGTGCCGGGGATTTCGGAGCCATCATCAGGGCATGGCCACTCATCCATTCATTCCTCGGTGCCCGACACTGGGATTGAAGAGATGAAAAAGATCTAGTCCCTGCCCTCAGGAAGTGCCCAGTCTGACAAGGAAACAGCCACAGAAATTAATACTTAAAACATACTGTATCAGGTGCTAGACTGAGGAATGCGCCCAGTGCATAGGGACCCAGAGAAGAAGGCAACTCATTTTGCCTGTGGCGATCAGGGAAGGCATCCCAGAGGAAGTGCTTTTTCAGATTAGGTCTTAAGATGAGTAAGATTTTTCTAGGTAAAGCAATAGGCAAAAGCAGGCTGCTGGAAAGGCAAAGAGATTTGAGGAAAAATGGAGTTTTTAGGGAAGCAGCGAGAAATTCAGTGCAGCAAGAGTAGAAAATGAGTAGCGGGGAATGGTGGAAAATAAGATGGGAAAGGAGCTTAGACTTGATCCTGGGCCAGGGGAGCCACGGAAGATGTTAGCCCAGGCAAGTGTGTGGCTGGCAGTTGTTGGGGTACAACATGTCTCAGATTTCGGTGCGTGCACGAATCGCCTGGGAATCTTATTAACATATGGAGTCTTTTTTTTTTTTTTTTTTTTTTTGGAGACAAAGTCTCGCTCTGTCGCCCAGGCTGGAGTGCAGTGGTGTGATCTTGGCTCACTGCAACCTCTGTCTCCTGGGTTCAAGCAATTATTCTCCTGCCTCAGCCTCCAGAGTAGCTGGGATTACAGGCACCCACCACCATGCCTGGCTAATTTTTGTAGTTTTATTAGAGAGGGGGTTTCATTATGTTGGTCAGGCTGGTCTCGAACTCCTGACCTCAAGTGATCCACCTGCCTCAGCCTCCCAAACTGCTGGGATGACAGGCGTGAGCCACCATGCCCGGCCAACATACAGATTCTGATACAGGAGATCTGGGGTGGGACCCAAGATTCTGCATTTCTAACAAGCTTGCAGGTGGTGCCAATGCTGCTCGTCCAAGGACCACAGTTTGAGTCCTGAGTTTGTAGAGGGCTCACTCTGCCTTGTGTGGCAGCTGCTCTGTCTGGGGAGTAGGCAATCCTGTCGGTTGCTGGGTGTTTGTTCACCTGACAAATGTTTACCAAACTTTTGCCCCAGCCAAGCTCCCTGAGTACAGGGGACGGGGAGAGGAATTGAAAATGCCACTTTCTGGTCCATGCCACCACCATCTCTGACCTCCAAAATGCTCTTGCTGTTTCCACGCTTGCTCCCTACCATCTATTCTCTACCTGACAGCTAGAGCGAGTCCGATCATGTTACTTGCCTGCTTAGCGACACTGAAGCAGCTCTCCGAGGCTCACAGAATAAAATCCCAACTCCTTACCATGGCTCAGGAGTGATCTGCAGCCAGGTGTCCTCTGATCACATCCCACTCTTCCCATTTCTCACTCCCCTAGGGCCACACCAACCTTTCAGTTTCTTGTTCCTACTTCAGAACATGATGAAATTATTCCCATTACAGGCCCTTTGCACATGATACTCTCTGGCTGGAATAATCCAGATCGTCCTCTTACTTGTTCCTTTTTTCTTTTTTAGAGTTCAGCCAGGGGTAGACACAGATTTTATAGGTTACTAAAGCTTATACAATTTGAAGGGCCCCCCTTTGAAGATACCAAATTACAAATATACAATTAGATACAGGGCCTAGGAGAGGGCCTTAAAGCTTAAGCTTCATTGACTTCATGGTAAAGCTGTCTGTGGTTTTGTTTGTATGTCACCTCCTCCAAGAAGCCTTTCCTGGTCATTCTACTTAAAACAGCCACCAGCTGGGTGCAGTGGCTCATGCCTGTAATCCTAGCACTTTGGGAGACTAAATCAGGCAGATCACTTGAGCTCAGGAGTTCAAGACCAACCTGGGCAACATAGTGAGACCTTGTCTCTATTTATTAAAAAATAAAAATAAAAAAAAAGCCATCTACCCTATCTTCATGTTACTATTTTTATTTCCTTCATTAAATTCATCACAATTTGAAATTATCTTATTTGTTGCTCCACTTATTTTTGACTGTTTCCCCCAACTAGAATGTAAGCTCCTCGAGAGCAGGAACTTTGTTTTGTTTCTGCAGTCTCCCCAACATAGTGCCCAACACCCAGAAGGATGTCAATAACTGTGAGGTGAATGCATGGACATTGTCTCTGCCTCTGGTTGGCAGAGAGGTCACATAGAGGCAATTTCAGTGGGATAAAGAGCTATGAGCTACGGAAGTCCAAAGAATGGGCACTTAACCAGACCGCGGGTGGAGCTGGGTGTGCAGGAGGCCAGGAGTCTTAGAAAGAGCTACTTGGAGGAAATGAGGTCTGAGCAATCTTAAAGAATGTTCTAGTAAACATCCAGACAATGACAAGGAAGGGAGGATTTCTTGGCAGAGGAAACAGCATGAATAAAGTAATGAAAGTGCAAGCTCTCAGGCCCAGAGGAGAATCAGCTGGTTACATTTTGGGTGATTTCAAGGGTTCTACTCATGCAAAGATACAGTGATAGGCACCAAGTTTGGGTTGGGGCCAAGGGAGTGGGAGTCACATGGGGGCCAGGAGCCTGGGATTGAACAGAAGGCAGCAGAAGTAGGAAGAGCCAGGATGACGGGTACTGGTGGCACCAACGGGTTTGAGTCAAGCAGGGACTCCACCAGCACTCCCCTTACTGATTCTGGTCCTGTATCTGGAAGGAGGAGGCCTACTCTTGCTGGGGCTCCTGTGGGGCCTGTGTGGACTGGGGAGGCTCTGAAGTCAGATAGACCCAAGTATACAATCTCCTAGGTTGGGTTCCTGGGAAGCCAACTTTGAAATAGAGATTAGCATGCAGGCACAATTTTCCTGGAATATTTTATTCTCGTGTGTGTGTGGGGGGTGGCGGGGGGAGGCAAGGTGGGGATGGGTGTAGAGATGAGGTCTTGCTATGTTGCCCAGGCTGGTCTTGAATTCCTGACCCATCCTCCTTCCTCAGTTTCCCCAAAGTGCTGGTATTACAGGCATGAGCCACCACACCTGGTCTTCCTGGAATTTTTTTTTTTTTTTTGAGATGAAGCCTTGCTGTGTTGCCCAGGTTGGAGTGCACATCTAATAGCTAAGGAATTTAACAATACAACCACCATATCATTATCCTACCTAAATAAATAAACATTTTTTTAATACCATCTGTGTTTGAGTTTTCCCAAATGTCTTTTTTTTTTTTTTAATTCTTTTTTGTGTGTGTGTGACAGGGTCTTGAGGCTCTGTTGCCCAGGCTGGAGTGCAGTGGCATAATCACAGCTCACTGCAGCCTTGAACTCCTGGGCTCAAGCAATCCTCCTGCCTCAGCTTCCTGAGTAACTGGGACTAGAGGTGTGCACCACCACACCCAGCTAACTTTTAAAAATTTTTAGGAGTGATGAGGTCTTGCTATATTGCCCAGGCTGATCTCAAACTCCTGAGCTCAAGCAATTGTTCCGCCTTGGCCTCCCCAAAGTGCTGAGACCAGGCATGAGCACCACAGCCAGCCCAATTGTCTGGAAAATATTTTTTACAGTTGGTTTATTTGAATCAGGATCCAAACAAGGTCCACACACAGCATTTTGTTGCTCAATCAAACTTCTTTTTTTTTTTTTGAGACGGAGTTTCGTTCTCGTTGCTCAGGCTGGAGTGCAGTGGTGCTATCTCGGCTCACTGCAACCTCTACCTCCTGGGTTCAAGCGATTCTCCTGCCTCAGCCTCCCCAGTAGTTGAGATTATAGGCGTCTGGCTAATTTTTGTATTTTTATTAGAGATGGGATTTCACCATATTGGCCAGGCTGGTCTGGAACTCCTGACCTCGAGTGATCGTCCTGCCTCGGCCTCCCAAAGTGCTGGGATTACAGGAGTGAGCCACTGTGCCTGGCTCAATCGAACTTCTTGAGTGAGGATTTGACATTCCCCTTTCTCTCCTATCACTCACCCCTCAACCCATGCCTGGGCAACTGCTCTCCCTGTGATCACATGATCTGATCACATGAGATTGATTTCCATGTTTCCACATCCAGTGTTTGCTTTTCTGTCTGCATTGTCATTCATCTCCCTGTGGCTTTTCACACTGTTGCCCATGTCTTCCCAAGCTCTTGAAACTTTCTTCCCTTAGGCCTCAAGCATGGAACCCTCCTTGTCTCTGACTGTCCTGTCTCTGCCTCCATAGGTCTGTCCTCCTCTGACTTCTTCCTTGATGTTGGGCTCTTCAGGGTTTAACCCTGGTCCTTTTGGGTGTTTCACAGGCATCCCAGATGGGATATGTCCTCATATGAATTCATCCTCCCTGCCCTCATGCTGTTCCTCCTCAGTGTCTTCTCCATGAAGACAGACACCACCATGTCCTCAATCATCTGGCCCAGACACCTGGCAGTTCTCTTTGTTTCCTCCTTTTCTCTCAACCAATATCCCATCCGTTACCAAATTCTGTCCATCTGATTTCCCAAATAACTCTCACAACCATCCATTTCCCTCCATCGGCTCTGCCCTGGTGCAGTCCTCTTGAGGCCCTCCAGACGACTGCACGTGTCTCTTTGCTGTCTCCCTGACTCTGGTCTGATCACCTCCAGTTCATTCTGTGCACAGTGGTCAAAGCCATCTTCCCCAAATCCAGACCCAGTCTTGTCCCTTCCAAGCTCAAGATCCTTCAATAACTCCCATTGTCTGCAGAATAAAGTCCAGACTCCTTAGACTAACCTCTAGGACCCATCTTGAGTTGACTGATGATTTTTTTTTTTTAAGATGGAGTCTGGCTCTGTTGCCCAGGCTGGAGTGCAGTGGCATGATCTTAGCTCACTGCAACCTCCACCTACTGGGTTCAAGCGATTCTCCTGCCTCAGCCTCCCAAGTAGCTGGAATTACAGATGCGTGCCACCACACCCGGCTAATTTTTGTATTTTTAGTAGAGACAGGGTTTCACCATGTTGGTCAGGCTGGTCTCAAACTCCTGACCTGATGATCCACCCGCTTCGGCCTCCCGAAGTGCTGGGATTACAGGCGTGAGCCACCGCGCCTGGCCCTGTTGCTTATTTTTAAAGCCCTGTCTCTTCTCAACTCCTTAAAGTTTTGGCCAAACCAAATGTCTCACGTTCCTTTAGAATGAAGTACGCCTTTGCCTATTCTTCCAGGCCTCTGTCCCGCAGTCCCCTGTGCCTGTTATTCCTCTCTCCTCGCACTATCAAATTAACTCCTTCAGCATAGGCAGGAGGTCTCTCCTCACCCTCAAGTCTGGGTAGGGGCAGCTTCTCTGAAACCGCGTTACACCTGATACATCCATCATCATAGCACCGCCCGCTTATCTATTTCTGAATCTCTCTCTTGCAAAATGGCCTGTGAGCTGCTCAAGGGCTGGGTCTGTTCTCTGAGGCCTCAGGGCACTGCTCAGCTCCGGGAGCTGTGAGTGCTTGTCCAACGAATGCATGAATGAGCAACTGAATGAGTGAATTGGGCTAGTCTGTGTGTGTGTTCTGTTCACATGGTGAGAAGGTTTTTTTAAAAACTCAAAATTGCCAGGCGTGGTGGCTAATGCCTGTAATCCCAGCACTTTGGGAGGCCGAGGCGGGCAGATCACAAGGTCAGGAGATCAAGACCATCCTGGCTAACATGGTGAAACCCCATCTCTACCAAAAATACAAAAAAAATTAGCCGGGCGTCGTGGCAGGCGCCTGTAGTCCCAGCCACTCGGGAGGCTGAGGCAGGAGAATGGCGTGAACCCAGGAGGCGGAGCTTGCAGTGAGCTGAGATCGCGCCACTGCACTCCAGCCTGGGTGACAGAGGGAGACTCCACCTCAAAAAAAAAAAAAAAATCAAAATTAATGCAAAAAAAATTATGATAAACAAAGTACCAAAATGTTAGATGAAGACAGTATCATAATAGTGCCAGGCAGTTATATTAGAGATTGAGGCAAGAGGAAGAATCAGTAATACTCCTTTTGATTTAAAAAAATATTGCATTAAAATATTATTTATTGGCCAGGCACAGTGGCTCACACCCGTAATCCCAGCACTTTAGGAGGCCGAGGCGGGCGGATCACTTGAGGTCAGGAGTTCGAGACCAGCCTAGCTAACTAAAATTATAAAAATTAGCTGGCCATGGTGGGCATGCCTCATCTCTACCAAAAAATACAAAAATTAGCTGGTGTGGTAGCGTGTGCCTGTAATCCCAGCTACTTGGGAGGCTGAGGTAGGAGGTTGGCTTGAGCCCAGGAGGTGGAGGTTGCAGTAAGCCAAGATTGTGCCACTGCACTCCAGTCTGGGTGACAGAGCCAAGCCCTGTCTCAAAAATAAATAAACAAAATAAAATATTATTTATCTTGATTGCTGAGGTTTAGTGTCTTCTTAAATTTTGCAACCAGTGAATGCCTCACATGTTTCACTCTAGTCCTGGCCCTGGCGGAAAGGCTTTCTCAATAGGCGTGGGCAGGCAGGGTGCAGGAACCCAGGAAGAGGAAGGCATTTTGTGATGGGCAAGGGGGCGGGGGTAGCAGGGAGGTGCGGACCTGACTGCCCCCAAGACCCAGAATGAGCACCATGCCCTGCCCAGCTGTGAGCTGCCCCCAGCCACCACACAGGCCAAATATGCCTCCATGCCCTGGAAACAGGACCCCCAAGGCAAGAAGGTATAACCAGTATAGCCTGAGAGAGAAACAAGGCCGGTCCTGGATGAACTGGGCATCTTGGGATCCAAGGAAGGGCAGGGGTGCTGAGATTGTGGAGCAGCAGTATTCAAGTCTTCTGGTCTCAGGGTCCTTTTATATCCTTAAAGATTATTGAGGGTGCCAAAGAGCTTTTGTTTACATAAGTTATCTCCAGCAATATTGTATTAAAAATGAAAACTTAGACATTCTAAAAATTTTCATTTTTAAACAAAAACACCCAATAATAAACTCTTTCCATGTTAACATAAATAACACATTTTTGTAAAAATAGCTAGATTTTCTAAAACATAAACAATTTAGGGAGAGAAGTGGATTGATTTACATTTTTTACACATCTCTTTAATGTTGGGCTAAATAGAAGACAGTTGGATTCTCATATCTGCTTTTGCACTTAGGCTGCTGTGATATGTTGTTTTGGTTGAAGAAAATCTGCCTTCACACAGATACATACTTATAAAGGGAGGGATCTTTTAATGGCTTTTTCAGATAATTGGTGATATTTTCTTTTTTTTTTTTTGGAGTTTTGTTCTTGTTGCCCAGGCTGCTGGAATGCAATGGCATGATCTCGGCTGACTGCAACCTCCGCCTACTGGGTTCAAGCGATTCTCCTGCCTTAACCTCCCGAGTAGCTGGGATTATAGGTGCCTGCCACCACACCCGGCTGATTTTTTGTATTTTTAGTAGTGGTGGGGTTTTACCATGTTGGCCAGGCTGGTCTCGAACTCCTGACCTCAGGTGATCCACCCGTCTCGGCCTCCCAAAGTGCTGGTATTACAGGCATGAGCCACCACGCCTGGCAGATACTATTCTTTGATATGATATCAAAGCCCCGCATATAGTAGTTTCTTAAAGGTTCGTTGTGATGTAGAACCTACATCATATCAATGGACTTTTTCGTTGTTTTACTTTTTGAGACAGGGTCTTGCTGTGTTGCCCAGGCTGGAGTGCAGTAGTGAAGTCACAGCTCTCTGCAGCCTTGACCTTCCAGGCTCAATTGATCCTTCCACCTTGGCCTCCTGAGTAGCTGGGACTACAGGAGTGCACCACCATGCCTTGCTAATTTAAATTTTTTCTTTTGTAGAGAGGGGATTTTGCCATGTTGACCAGGCTGGTCTCAAACCCCTGGGCTCCAGCAATCTGCCTGCCTTGGCCTCCCAGAGTGTTGAGATTACAGCCGTGAGCCAAGTCCATTGAAGACCTCCCTAAAGCAGTGAAATTCAGCTGAGGTCTGAAGCATGAGTTGCACTTGGCCAGGTGAAAGTGGGGAGTGGAGCCAGGCGAGATGGCTCACGCCTGTAATCCCAGCACTTTGGGAGGCCGAGGTGGCGGATCATGAGGTCAGGAGTTCGAGATCAGCCTGACCAACATGGTGAAACGCCGTCTCTACTAAAAATACAAAAATTAGCCGGGTGTGATGGCACACACCTGTAATCCCAGCTACTCAGGAGGCTGAGGCAGGAGAATCGCTTGAACCTGGGAGGCGGAGGTTGCAGTGAGCCGAGATTGCACCACTGCGCTCCAGCCTGGGTGACAGAGCGAGACCCCATCTCAACAACAACAACAAAAAAGGAAAGCGGAGAGTGAGGAGTGGGTAGGGAAGAGCATTCAAAACAGCAAGATGGGTATTGTGGAGGCTTCTAGGCAGGAAATGTCTGGACAGGTTTGAAGGTCCGCCTGGGAAGTCCGTTCTGGCTAGAGCCTGATGCTAAGGTGGCACGAGGTGAGGGTGGAGTGGCAGCTGGAGGTCAGGGCAAGGGCCATCTGATAAGCTTATTTCCGTTCCTGGAAACCACCAAGCTCTTGCCGCACTTTTGGACCCATGCAGAGTTCTCTGCCTGGAATGTTCTGCTCTTGTTCCTCCTTCAGGCCTCAACTGAAATGTCACCTCCTTTCTAAGTAGATCTCTTTTTGTTCTCAATATCCGTGCTGCCCTCCCTCCCCCCCCACTTTTTTTTTTTTTTTTTTTTGAGACAGAGTCTTGCTCTGTCACCCAGGCTGGAGCGCAAAGGCATGATCTGGGCTCACTGCAACCTCTGCCTCCCAAGTTCAAGCGATTCTCCTGTCTCAGCCTCCCAAGTAGCTGGGATTACAAGTGCCCACCACCATGCCTGGCTAATTTTTTGTATTTTAGTAGAGATGGGGTTTCACCGTGTTGCCCAGGCTGGTCTCGAACTCCTAAGCTCAGGCAATCCACCCACCTTGGCATCCCAAAGTGCTAGGATTACAGGCGTGAGCCACCACGGCCGGCCCAATCAGCACTCCTGTTTGTTTGTATAACAACGGTGTTTGTTTAAATTGCTTTTGTCTGTCTACCCCGAGAGATGTAAGTTCTCTGAGGTCAGGGCCCCCTTGCTGGGTGTTCGCCCTATAGCTCCTGTGCTTAGCTGTGTGCCTTACCTGCAGTTGGTGCTCAGAAATATTTGTTGGATGGATGTGTGAAAGAACAGAGCTGGATCTGAGATCCTGGCACCATTCCTTAATAGCCGTGTGACCTTGCACAAGTCATATAACCACCCCGTAGTCAGCTTCCTATTCTGTAGCATGGGATCTTACTTCCTATGGCAAAGTGTTTGTGTGAGACTCAAATGAGGTAGTACACGTGGAAGCACCTAGCAGGGTACCTGGCTCCAAAGAAGGTGCTCCAAGTGTTGTCTTCCTTGTGTCTCACTCCCTTTTTTTTTTTTTTTTTTTTTTTTTCTGAGACAAGGTCTCATCCCATTTTCTGAGACAAGGTCTCACCCCATCATCTAGGCTGGAATGTCAGTGGCACAATCTCCGCTCACTGCAACCTCTGCCTCCCGGGCTCCAGCGATCCTCCCACTTCAGCCTCCCAAGTAGCTAGGACTACAGGCAAGCACCACCACGCCTTGCTAATTTTTTTTCTTTTTTTTGAGATAGAGTCTCAATCTGTCTCCCAGTCTGGAGTGCGGTGGCACAATCTCGGCTTACTGCAATCTCCGCCTCCCGGGTTTAAGCGATTCTCCTGCCTCGGCCTCCAGAGTGGCTGGGACTACAGGCACCCACCACCACGCCCAGCTAATTTTTGTATTTTTAGTAGAGACACAGTTTCACCATATTGGCCAGGTGGGTCTCGAACTCCTGACCTTGTGATGTGCCTGCTTCGGCCTCCCAAAGTGCTGGGATTACAGGTGTGAGCCACCGCGCCTAGCCTGTATTTTTTTTTTTTTTTTTTTTTTGTAGAGACAGGGTTTCACCATGTTGCCCAGCCTGGTCTCAAACTCCTGGACTCAAGGATCTGTCTGCCTTGGCCTCCCAAAGTGTTGGGATTACAGGCGTGAGCCACCACGCCTGGCCTACTGCGCTCTTTTTACTACACTATTAGATATTATGAGCTGGACCTTGCTTAGCCCCAGCTGGGTTCTTGCTTCCCATCCTCCTCCCTGCCTGCTGCTTCCCTGAGTCATGCCCACTGCAATGTAAATAACAGGGCAGCTCCTAGGAGCTTGCAATGACAGCAATAGTGGGAGGAACAAGAGGGAAGGGAGCAACTGTTTTGTTTTGTTCGAAATGGTGTCTCACTATGTTGTCTAGGCTGGTCAAGCGATCCTTCTGCCTCAGTACCCTGAGTAGCTGAGACTACAGGCGTGCACCACTATGCCTGGCTAATTGTTTCATTTTTTATTTTACTAGAGACGGGAGTCTCACTGTGTTGCCCAGACTGGTCTTGAACTCCTGGGCTCACTCGGTCCTCCCACCTTGGCCTCCCAAATGCTGGGATTACAGGCATGAGCCACTGTGCATGTCCTTACATTGTATTTTCAAAATTTTAAATTATTAAGATAATAAATGCCCTTTAAAGATTCAAACAAACACATAAAAGTATAAAGTAAATAAACTTCCCACTAAGCTACCTCACCTTCCCAGAGGCTACTTACCACTGTCAACTATTTGAGGTGTATCCTTCTAGATCTTCTATTCAAACACGCATATATAGTGGGGTCATAACAAACATTTTCTGCAACTTTTTTTGTTTTGTTTTGTTTTTATTATTATTTATTACTTATTTATTTTTTCGAGACAGAGTCTTGCTCTTCCTGCCCAGACTGGGGTGCAGTGGCTTGATCTCAGCTCACTGCAACCTCCACCTCCCGGGTTCAAGTGATTCTCCTGCCTCAGCCTCCCAAGTAGCTGGGATTACAGGCGCCTGCCACCACGCCCAGCTAATTTTTGTATTTTTAGTAGAGACAGGGTTTCATAATGTTGGCCAGGCTGGTCTCGAACTCCTGACATCAGGAGATCCACCCACCTCAGCCCAGCCTCCTGAGTAGCTGGGACTACAGGCATACAACACCACACCCAGCTGATTTTTTGTGTTTTTGTACAGACAGGGGTTGCACCATGTTGGCCAGGCTGGTCTTGAACTCCTGACCTCAGGCGATCCGCCCACCTTGGCCTCCCAAAGTGCTGGGATTACAGGCGTAAGCCATCATGCCTGGGCAGACAGTTATATTTTAAAATGGAATAAAAGAAGAGAAACAGAACTGCCATTGATTGTATTGACTATCAGGTGCTATTTATTGTAAAAACACACCATTATTTTATGTAGGAAAAAACACTGCATGGTCAGGGGTGGTGGCTCTCGCCTGTAATCCCAGCACTTTGGGAGGCCAAGGCTGGCAGATTCCTTGAGCTCAGGAGTTCGAGAACAGCATGGGCAACATAGCAAAACCCCTTCCCTACAAAAAATACAAAAATTAGCTAGGTGTGGTGTCACACGCATACCTGTAGTCCCAGCTACTCAGGAGGCTGAGGTGGGAAGATTGCTTGAGCCCAAGAGGTTGAGGTTGCAGTGAGCTGTGATCGCACCACTGCACTCTAGCCTGGGTGACAGAGCAAGACCTTGTCTATAAAAAGCAAAAAACAAAGAAAAGAAGAGAAAAAAGGAAGAGAAATGTATTTCTCATAGTTCTGGAGGATGTTCATGATCAAGGCACCAGCAGGTTTAGTGTCTGATGCCTGGTTATCTGCTTCCAAGATGGCACCTTGAAAGCTGTGACCTCACATGGCAAAAGGGATGGAAAGACAAAAAGGGCAATATTAAGTGCTTTCTTCAACCTTGAGCCCCTTTTTAAAGAATTATTATTTTTTTTTTTTGTGTGAGACAGAGTCTCACTTTGTCACCCAGGCAGGAGTGCAGTGGCACAATCACAGCTCACTTCAGCCTTGACCTCCCTGGGCAACCCGGAGCCCTTTTCTAAGTGTGCTAATCCCATTCCACCCTCTGACTTAATCACCTTCCACAGGCCACACCTCTGCACTGGGGATTAAGATTCAACATGAGGCCGGGCACAGTGACTCATGCCTGTAATCCCAGCACTTTGGGAGGCCGAGGTGGGCAGATCACCTGAGGTTGGGAGTTTGAGACCAGCCTGAACAACATGGAGAAACCCCATCTCCACTAAAAATACAAACTAGCCAGGCATGGTGGTGCATGCCTGTAATCCCAGCTACTTGGGAGGCTGAGGCAGGAGAATCGCTTGAACCCGGGAGGCGGAGGTTGCGGTGAGCTGAGATCACGCCACTGCACTCCAGCCTGGGCAGCAAGAGTGAAACTCCATCTGAAAAAAAAAAAAAGATTCAACATGAACTTCTGAGGGGACATCATCATTCTAACCATGGCAAGGAGTCTTGGAACTGATGAAATGGAACAGTCCCTTCTTGTCCCTTTATTAACCAGAATTTTTGTGTGGTCTTCCAGGCACCACCAGGACCAGCTGATCATTCCAGCCCACAGCAATGGAGCCACATGACTCCTCCCACATGGACTCTGAGTTCCGATACACTCTCTTCCCGATTGTTTACAGCATCATCTTTGTGCTCGGGGTCATTGCTAATGGCTACGTGCTGTGGGTCTTTGCCCGCCTGTACCCTTGCAAGAAATTCAATGAGATAAAGATCTTCATGGTGAACCTCACCATGGCGGACATGCTCTTCTTGATCACCCTGCCACTTTGGATTGTCTACTACCAAAACCAGGGCAACTGGATACTCCCCAAATTCCTGTGCAACGTGGCTGGCTGCCTTTTCTTCATCAACACCTACTGCTCTGTGGCCTTCCTGGGCGTCATCACTTATAACCGCTTCCAGGCAGTAACTCGGCCCATCAAGACTGCTCAGGCCAACACCCGCAAGCGTGGCATCTCTTTGTCCTTGGTCATCTGGGTGGCCATTGTGGGAGCTGCATCCTACTTCCTCATCCTGGACTCCACCAACACAGTGCCCGACAGTGCTGGCTCAGGCAACGTCACTCGCTGCTTTGAGCATTACGAGAAGGGCAGCGTGCCAGTCCTCATCATCCACATCTTCATCGTGTTCAGCTTCTTCCTGGTCTTCCTCATCATCCTCTTCTGCAACCTGGTCATCATCCGTACCTTGCTCATGCAGCCGGTGCAGCAGCAGCGCAACGCTGAAGTCAAGCGCCGGGCGCTGTGGATGGTGTGCACGGTCTTGGCGGTGTTCATCATCTGCTTCGTGCCCCACCACGTGGTGCAGCTGCCCTGGACCCTTGCTGAGCTGGGCTTCCAGGACAGCAAATTCCACCAGGCCATTAATGATGCACATCAGGTCACCCTCTGCCTCCTTAGCACCAACTGTGTCTTAGACCCTGTTATCTACTGTTTCCTCACCAAGAAGTTCCGCAAGCACCTCACCGAAAAGTTCTACAGCATGCGCAGTAGCCGGAAATGCTCCCGGGCCACCACGGATACGGTCACTGAAGTGGTTGTGCCATTCAACCAGATCCCTGGCAATTCCCTCAAAAATTAGTCCCTGCTTCCAGGCCTGAAGTCTTCTCCTCCATGAACATCATGGACTGAGCTGGGGGAAGAAGGGATATCTACTGTGGTCTGGGCACCACCTCTGTGGGCACTGGTGGGCCATTAGATTTGGAGGCTACCTCACCTGGGCAGGGATGATGGCAGAGCCAGGCTGTTGGAAAATCCAGAACTCAAATGAGCCCCTTCATCCGCCTGTGGGCGCATACTACAGTAACTGTGACTGATGACTTTATCCTGAGTCCCTTAATCTTATGGGGCCGGAAGGAATGTCAGGGCCAGGTGCAGACCTTGGGGGAAGACTTTAAACCACCTAGTTCTCCCCGATGGGGCATCGGTCTAAAGCTTTGGGGGAGTGGGCGCAGTGGCTCACACCTGTAATCCCAGCACTTTGGGAGGCCGAGGTGGGCAGATCATGGGTCAAGAGATCGAGACCATCCTGGCCAACATTGTAAAACCCCATCTCTACTAAAACATACAAAAATTAGCCGGGCATGGTGGCACACGCCTGTAGTCCCAGCTACTCAGGAGGCTGAGGCAGGAGAATCGCTTGAACCTGGGAGGCAGAGGTTGCAGTGAACCTAGATTGCACCATTGCACTCTAGCCTGGCAACAGAGCGAGATTCCATCTCAAAAAAAAAAAAAAAAAAAAAAAAAAAGCTTTGGGCAACTACTCTCAAGTGATAGAGGTAGACTGGGTTAGGAAAGGACACTGCCCTCACTGTATGGCACTACCTTGGGGCAGACTTTTGAGCTAAGATGTTGCCATCCTCTCTCCACCCTCCGGCACAAGGTCTTTGTGACCTTTCTCAGGGGAAGGGGCTTGATGGAACCTTCTCTGACTCATCTGGCAACCTGTCCCTAATGGTGACCAAAGAAGATAAAACATGAACAGACCAAAAGCTAGGACAAGAGCTTGCTTCCCAAGACAGACGTGTCTGTCTGCAAAGGCCTTGCCTCTAGTCCAGTCAGCTCTGGGGGAGTGGGAAGGAGATGCCCACCTCCTCTTTCTGTCTCAACAATAGTCCCTAATTAAGTACCTTCTGTGGGGCAGCCACCCACTGAGGGTGGGCAAAGGCCCCTTGAAAGCAAAATTGGGGCTGGGCTCAGTGGCTCATGCCTATAATCCCAGCACTTTGGGAGGCCAAGGCAGGCAGATCACCTGAGGTCCGGAGTTCGAGACCAGCCTGGCCAACGTGGTGAAACGCCATCTCCACTAAGAATACAAAAATATGGCTCATGCCTGTAATCCCAGTACTTTGGGAGGCTGAGGTGGGCCGATCATTTGAAGTTAGGAGTTTGAGACCAGCCTGACCAATATGGTAAAACCCCGTCTCTACTAAAAATACAAAAAAATTAGCCTGGCGTGGTGGCGCATGCCTGTAGTCCCATAGGCTGTAGCTACTGGGAGGAGGCGGAGCTTGCAGTGAGCCGAGATCACGCCACTGCTCTCCAGCCTGGGCGACAGAGTGAGACTCTGTGTCAAAAACAAACAAACAAACAAAAAAGGCAAAATTGGAGCTGTCCAGGCCAGGACACCCCGATGTCCAGGGGCTTCCATACGAACAGGCACATGGGCTGGGAAGTACATGAGGCCCCTGGGTAGAAGGGTCTGTCAGTTCTCTCCTCCCTTGCCCTCTGGGAGGGTCCTCCTAACATAGCTTCCAGGAGGTGGGAGGAGCAGTTACTGTCAGCAGGTGTCAGCCAGGTGTCAGCTTCTCCTGGGGATCTCTAGATGTCTGCTTGTGATTTTTGGCAAGTATATGCAAATGAGCCTCCTCTCCTGCCCTGAGACAAGTATCTGCAGTGTGAACCTGGCAGCCTCAGACCCAAGGGGCTCAGAGGAAACTTCTCTGGTTTCTAGAGCTCTGTGCTCCTTCAGAGAAGTCTTCCTTCCTTCCAGTCAGTGTCCCTGTGAAGCTGGGATACTCATTTCCTGTGTACCGGGCAAACACCGGATTGCTGATTTTGAGAAATGCCTCTCGATGGACCTGTAACCTGCTGGAGTCTGGGATGGTAGCTGTGGGCTGGACTTGGCTGATGGGATGACCCGGTGGCTAGTGCAGCATCACACAAGCCTGGTTCAAGTCTTGGCTGTGTCATTTCCTGCTGAGGGACCAGGCACTGAATTTCCTACCTCTTAGGGTCATTACCTATGAGGTTAAAGCTACCTCATGGGATTGTTATACGCCACTAATGTTGAGGCAGACACCTCTTGGCAGGGTGACTGCTCATCTTAGACCCTCCCCTTTTCTGCGAATTTGGGCCCCTTGATCCTCTGATGGGAGCTGAAAGGATGAGAGGTGGGCATCTAGATTTAGGGAGGCTGTTCAGGCTTTGCAGGTCCCTTACCTGAACACATAGAAACCCTGGAGCTGTGACTGTGTCCATGTGTGTGTGTTTGTCTGTGTGTGTTGCGGGGGATGGGCACCTGCATGAATGTGGTAGAGAAAATGGCTCTGCTCAGAGGGAAGATACGCATAGCAAGGCAGGGACCAGAGGAATCACAGGCGCCTGGAGAGCAGCCGGGCACCGCCTCCAGGGACCTGCCGGCTTCCCTCAGTCCTCCAGGGGCCCAGCACTCTTCCTTTAGGCCCTGTGAGCGTCCCTTGTCAGGATACATTCTCTCATTTTGCTGAAGCTGATTTGATTGGGTGTCTGTTTCTCGCAGCCAAAAGAGCTCTGAATGAGGAAAGTGCTTCTGTGCTAACTCCCCGCGTCTCCTGAATTTCAGTCATTCATGTACCCGCCTCGAAATTTTTGCAATATCTGTGTACCAACTGTCCATTTACTTAATAAAGAAGTTTTCTTTAAATTAAGTCACTTTTAAAAACTTACATTTATTTGAAAGAAAACATTATAACATAATTGTAAATGAAAACTAATACTACCTGCCACAAATAGAAGGTAGACATAAACATAAAACCGTAACTATAAAAATGTTTCTCGCCTGGGTGCGGTGGCTCACACCTGTAATCCCAACATTTTGGGAGGCTGAGGAGGGTGGATTGCTTGAGCCCAGGAGTTCGAGACCAGCCTGAGAAACATGGCAAAATGCTGCCTCTACAAAAAATTTGTGGGTGTGGTGGCTCACGCCTGTAATCCCAGCACTTTGGGAGGCCAAGGAGGGCAGATTACCTGAGGTCAGACGTTCAAGACCAGTCTGGTCAACATGGCGAAACCCCGTCTCTACTAAAAATACAAAATTAGCCGGTCATGATGGTGGGTGCCTATAATCCCAGCTTCCCAGCTACTTGGGAAGCTGAGGCAGGAGAATCACAATCACTTGAACCCGGGAGTTGGAGATGGCAGTGAGCCGAGATCGCGCCACTGCACTCCAGCCTGGGTGACAAAGTGAGACTCTGTCTAAAAAATAATAATAATAAAAAAATTAAAAAATTAAAAAAATTAGCCAGGCGTGGTGGTGTGTGTCTGTAGTTCCAGCTACTTGTGGGAGGCTGAAGTGGGAGGATTGCTTGAGCCAGGAGGCTGAGGTTGCAGTGAGTTGTGATCATCATGCCACACTGCATTCTGACCTCGGTGATAGAACAAGACCCTGTCTCAAAAAAAAAAAATAGTTTTTCTGTGTTGTGTCTAAAGTCACTTGACATGTCTCAGTGACTTGTGTACACACTTTAGGAAACTCTACTTTGATGGGTATAAAGTGCACAGGGTCTCAATAAAGAATAACTCTGGGCCCATGCCTGCAATCCCAGCACTTTGAGAGGCCAAGGCAGGAGGATTGCTTGAGCTCAGGAGTTTGAGACCAGCCTGGGCAACATAGCGAGACCCTGTCTCTAATTGGAAAAAAAACAAGAGTAACTGACAGTTCTGAGACAGTGACTTGTGATTACCTCCTTGCTTCTCCCAGGATGTTGCCCCAACACATAGACCATGCGCTCATGGGGATCAGGGGGATGGGAGGAGTATATTAGGTTGTAGCCCATGCTCCAGCCTTGTTGATCTCCTCACCACCCCAGTACAGCCACCTTTACTCCTCCTGTATCCTCTGTCTTTTCTGTTTTTTTCTAAACTTTTTTTCCTGGAGGTGGGGTCTTGCTATATTGCCCAGGCTGGCACGCAATGGCTGTTTACCGGCATGCCTATTGCACACTACAGGATCGAACTTCTGGCTTCAAGTGATCCTCCTACCTCAGCCTCCCCAGTAGCAGGGACTACGGGAATGGGTCACTGTACCCAGCCCTTCTCTTCTTTTTTATTTTATTTTGTTTTATTATTATTATGTTTTGAGATGGAGTCTCGATCTGTCACCCAGGCTGGAGTGCAGTGACGCCAGCCTGGCTCACTGCAAGCTCCACCTCCTGGGTTCATGCCATTCTCCTGCCTCAGCCTCCCGAGTAGCTGAGATTACAGGCCCATCACCATGCCTGGCTAATTTTTTTGTATTTTTAGTAGAGACGGGGTTTCACCGCCTGGCCAATTTTTTTTTTTTTTGTCAGTGTTGACCAGGCTTGGCCTCAAACGTGTAGCCTCGCCTCCCCGAGGGCCAGGACGACCGGCCTGAGCTGCCGCAGCTCCCCTCTTCTTTTTGACATATCCCAGAATACTCCAATAGGTAGCCTTCTGAATTCCTCCAGGCAGCATTTTGGGACTGGGAGGGTCCAACATTTGTATACCTTAATTACTGTGACCATTGAAATTAATTCCTTTCAATGCCTGTCTTTCCTATCCTGGGGGGCAGGAACCGGATCTAAATAATCTGTCTCCAGTTTCTCACATATAGCCTGGAATTGAGATCTGTCTGTCTCCAAAGTGTACAGCTTCCCCAGGGTTTAGCATAAACAGACATGTTGACAGATACATGCAAATATTTTAAAAGGTTTTGAGAAGACTCTATAGAGATAGATGGAAAAGAAATGTAATACATGTTCTTCCAAAGTTCTAGGTCCATATTTTAAAGGAAGATGTAGGGAGTTTTCAGAGAATCAGAACATCTTGGAGCTGGGAGGGTTCAACCCCTTCATCTTACTAAGGAGATCGTGGGGCTCAGAGAGACTAAGTGATTGCAGAAGTTACACAGTGTGGAGCTGCAGCGGATGCAGGGCTGGCTGTTCACCTGCATCTCTCCATTCTTGCAACGGTGACAGGAATTATGGGAAAAGCTGAGTTGTAATTCTTTTGATGAAACATCACTGATTAGAATTTCCAAGGCATCCTGTGTATCAGGAAAGCCTCACCTTGCATTTGCCCCTGATCTCAGCTTTTGCCTCAGGGAACCACCAGTGATCTCAGTTGGAGAATGCTTGCTTATGTAAGATCTGGCCTCGTTGAGATGAGTCATAGACCCAAGAGTGGTAAGTGGAGGTCACAGTTGACTAGACCTGGATACATTTATGCCTGTTTTTACTCATCTGTGTTATATATGTGCTCAAGACCTAAGGCCACAAAGAGATATAAGACCTTCTTGTAAAGCACCTGGTTTTTGTGCAGACTTGGTATTTCTGTATAAAAAGTCCTATTCCCTTTGATATCCTACCAGCAAGCCATCCTCCCACATACCCATCTGTCTATCCACCTATCCATCCCTCCATCCCACCATCCCTCTATCCATCTATCTATCCCTCTAACCATCCATCCATCCATCCATCCATCCATCCCTCCATCCCTTTAGGTACCCAACAAACACCTATGGAGTGCCTATTTTGGTCCAGTAACTATGCTAAGCACAATTTTGATCTGTTATCTCACTGAAACCTCATACTCCCTGAAACATGGGTGGTTTTATCCCGACAGAAATGAATAAAACAAATGTTACAGCTCTTTTAGAATTTGTCTAGCAGGCTTTTCAGTTTTTGCCAGAAAGCCCCTTAAAAAAGAAGGGAAAAAAAGAAATGAATAAAATAAATAAGGACCCAAGCTGACTGAATAAGACATAGTGGCTGCCTCTCAGGTACCTGGTACAGAAGGAAGGGGGACCCAGCTATTTGCTTGCCACTTTCACCTATCTTATGTCATTGAGTCCTCACAACCACCCCACAGAATAGAACATTTCATGCCCATTTTACAGATAGGGAAATCGAGTCTCAGAAGGGTTCAGAGATTTATAAAGGTAAAAGAGCTACTAAGTGGCATAATAATATTCAAAGCCAGATCTGCCTTAGTAAGCATGGGTCCCTTTCCTTCTCTCCTCCCACTCCACCATGTGGCTGTACCCTTGCCCAAGCCCCTCCAGGCACAGCCTCCTAAGCGCTGGGACAGGGCTGTCTTGGGGGAATGACCCAAGAGGCCTCCAGTGGAAGGTGAGGGCCTCCGCCTTGCTGTTTCTGGCTTCCTCTTTGAGGCCTCTGTGCTCCCTATGCATGTTGAAGCCCCAGCAGCAATGACTGTTCCCTGGGCTCAGGCTGTGCTCAGCTAGGGAGGGTACTCCTGAGGGTGGATGGCGTCCATGAACACAGTGTTCCAGAGACCCTCAGAAGCCAGAGTGGTCATTGTCACTGGAGCTAGAAGGTGCTCTTAGATGTCACCTGGATCCTGACAGCTCTGTAAGGGGAGGGACAGAGGTGGCCACTCAATATTTGCTGACCACTTACTGCAAGGGGAACTTCACGTCATTTACTCCTCCCAAACACCTATGGGTAGAACTGCCTCTTCCCTCTGCCTGAGTTACTTTCTTCCTGGATAGCAACATGGCTCACTCCCTTGCTTCCTTCAAGGCTTTGCTTAAATGGCCCCTTCTCGGTGAGGCCTGCTTGACTACCTCACTTAAAAATGTAGGCTTGGGGCCTGGCGCAGTGGCTCACACCTTTAATCCTAGCACTTTGGGAGGCCGAGGTGGGTGGATCACCTGAAGTTGGGAGTCGAGGCCGGCCTGGCCAACATGACAAAACCCTGTCTTTACTAAAAATACAAAAATTAGCCGGGCATGGTGTCAGGCACCTGTAATCCCATCTACTCGAGAAGCTGAGGCAGGAGAATCACTTGAACCTGGGAGGTGCAGAGATTGTGGTGAGTTGAGATCATGCCACTGCACTCCAGCTTGGGCAACAGAGCAAGACTCTGTCTCAAAAAAAAAAAAAAAAAAAAAAATGGAGGCATGGGTAGGAAGCGTGCAGGGTTTCATGGCCCTGCAGCCTCATTAGACTCAGTACCCTCCTGAAAAAAAAAATTAAAAATATAACAGCGGTGCTTGCTTCGTCAGCACATAACTAAAACTGGAACAATATAGAGATACAGATATGGCCCCTGAACAAGGATGACACACAAATTCATGAAGCATTCCATATAATTAAAATAAATTAAAAAAAATGAAAACCAAATCCCCACCCCCAAAATACAGATGCTTAGAGAGTAAAGTGATTCCCAAGGTCACACAGCGAATGGCTGGCCTAGCTGGGTATGTCCAGCTCCAAAGCTCATTCTGCCACACTCCCTTCCCCTGTGGACATCTTTCATGATACAGAATGTGAAGGTCCCTATCTTCCATCTTCCAGACAAGAAAGACGAGCATCAAGCAGGTGAAATGACTTACATCCAAGGTCACGCAGCAATAATCAGGATGCAGAGATCCTTATTTTACCTCTACTGTGCAAGATGCTTCTCATACATTTTTGTCTGAATGCATGTCATTTTCCTTCTTTTTTTTCTTTATCTTTTTCTTTTTTTTTGAGACGGATTTTTGCTCTTATTGCCCAGGCTGGAGTACAATGGAGCAAACTTGGCTCACTGCAACCTCCACCACCCGGGTTCAAGCAATTCTCCTGCCTCAGACTCCCGAGTAACTGGGATTACAGGCATGCACCACCACGCCCAGCTAATTTTGTATTTTTATTAGAGATGGGGTTTCTCCATGTTGGTCAGGCTGGTCTCAAACCCCCGACCTGAGGTGATCCGCCCGCCTCGGCCTCCCAAAATGCTGGGATTACAGGCGTGAGCCACTGTGCCTGGCTAACATGTCATTTTCTTTTATCATCATTTTCCATTCTCATCCTCCACAGCAGTTCTAGTGCAGGCGATATATATCCTTGATGTAGGTATGCTTGTAAAACGTATAGTGTTATTCTGTGTGTGTATCCATTTTAAATTTACATAAAAGTTATAGTTCACATAATTTGACCTTATTCTGTGTCTCATTTCCCCTGCCTCAGCATTATTTTTGCAATGGAATCATGTTGGAGTGTGTACATCTAGTTCAACAATGTCAGTGTCTGCTGGGTCCTCCACTGTGTACATCCACTACATTCTACCCATTCCCTTGGTGATGGACACTCAGGTTGCCTTCTGTTCCCTTTACTTTTCTTTCTTTTTTTGGGTGGGGGATGGTGGGGGATAGAGTCTCTCTCTGGCCCCTAGCCTGGAGTGCAGTGATGTGATCTTGGCTCACTGCAACCTCTGCCTCCCAGATTCAAGCTATTCTCCTGTCTCAGGCTCCCGAGTAGCTGGGATTACAGGTGCCCGCCACTGTACTGGGCTAATTTTTGGATGTTTAGAAGAGACAGGGTTTCATCACGTTGGCCAGGCTGGTCTTGAACTCCTGACCTCAAGAGATCTGCCCGCCTCGGCCTCCCAAAGTGCTGGGATTACAGGTGTGAGCCACTGCACCAAGCCCCGTTCCCTTTTCTATAACCAATGCTGTGAGATTCTTCCAGGTGTTCCCTATGGACAAATATAAGAATTTTTCTAGAATGTAGACCTGGGAGTGACATTCCCAGGTCGTAGGCTACACTTATTTAATTTGGTAAAGAATTGTCAAATTGCTTCTGGAATGGCTGCACCAGTCTACATTCCCACCCCTAGTTACACAAATGTGTTTATTTCTGTGCATTCCTACCAACACTTGGCACTGTCCAACTTTAAAATTGCAGGTAGGTGTAAAATAAAAATCTTGTTTTTAGTTTGGATTTCTCTAGCATTACTTTTTTTTTTTTTTTTTTTGAGGCAGGTTCTTACTCTGTCACCCAGGCTGAAGTGCAGTGGCATGAACATGGCTTACTGCAGCCTTGAATTCCGGGGCTCAAGTGATCCTCCTGCCCCAGCTACCCCAGTAGCTGGGACTGCAGGCACACCACCATAACTGGCTCACTTTAAATTATTTATTTATTTATTTATTTATTTAGAAGGAGTTTCACTCTGTTGCCCAGGCTGGAGTGCAGTGGTGCAATCTTGGTTCACCACGACCTCTGTCTCCGGATTCAAGGAATTCTTCTGCCTCAGCCTCCCCAGTAGCTGGGATTACAGGCGCGTGACATCATACCCAGTTAATTTTTGTATTTTTAGTAGAGACAGGGGTTTCACCATGTTGTCCAGGCTGGTCTCGAACTCCTGACCTCAAGTGATCTGCCTGCCTCAGCCTCCCAAAGTGCTGGGATTATAGATGTGAGCCACCGCGCCTGGCCAATTTTTTCTTTGTTTGCCAGGCTGACTTCGAACTCCTGAGCTCAAGCAATCCTCCCTCCATGGCCTTCCAAGTTGGTGGCATTACAGGGGTGAGCCACTGAGCCCAGCAATCTCACATTATTAATGGTTTGTAATCATGTACTCATTAGACATCTGAGTTTAAATTCAGACAATTCTGACTCCAAAGTCCATACGGTGTCACAGAATGATCAATAAAGTGGTCTCTGGGGCCACATTGCCAGGGTTCAATTTCTGTCTCTGCCACTTCCTAGTCTGTGATTTTTAGGTAGACTTAACCTCTCTGTGCCATTTTCCTCATCTGTAAAATGGGAATAATTATACTGACGATATAATAGGATGGTTTTGAGGATTTAGAATTGGTTAGAACAGTGCTTCCCATGAAATGAACTTAGTAAATATTATGTCCTGGCTGGGCACGGTGGCTCATGCCTGTAATCCCAGCACATTGGGAAGCCAAGGCGGGAGGATTGCTTAACCCCAGGAGTTTGAGACCAGCCTGGGCAACAGAGTGAGACTCTGTCTCAAAAAAAAAGTGTTATGTCCTGACCTGATGGAGTGTGTCTTTCTCCACACATAACCTCCCATTTCCTCCTTCCTTCCTTCCTTCCTCTTTCTTTTTTTTTTTTTTTTGACGGAGTCTTGCTCTGTCGCCAGGCTGGAGAATAGTGGCGTGGTCTCAGCTCACTGCAACTTCTGCCTCCCGGGTTCAAGCGATTCTCCTGCTTCAGCCTCCCGAGTAGCTGGGACTACAGGCACACGCCACCACGCACAGCTAATTTTTGTATTTTTAGTAGAGACGGAGCTTCACCATGTTGACCAGGATGGTCTCAATCTCTTGACCTCATGATCTGCCCGCCTCGGCCTCCCAAAGTGCTGAGATTACAGGTGTGAGCCATCGCGCCTGGCCCATAACCTCTCTTTTCACTCCAGCCCATAATCCCATTCCCCTGCCCCTTTTCACCAAGTTCATGTTCTGTAACCCTGCATTTTCTTTAGAAACCTGAAACCATAGCAGAGAGGAACACAGTGGGACTAGTCAGGCTTTCCCCTTGTATTTGACTTCCCAGACCATTCTAAAACACGCTGAGTGTTTCTTAAGAAGCCAGAATTGCCACATGCATGAGTCAGGGAATTTTGGCCTTTGGAACAAAAAGGATGAGTTAGTTCCTCAAAAAGGAGGATGAGGCATCAAAGGACACCATCAACAGAGTGAAAATGCAACCCACAGAATGAAAGAAAATGTTTGCAAGTCATATATCTAATACAAGATTGATACCTAGAATATATAACTCCACAATGAAAACCAAACAACTTGATTTAAAAATGGGCCAAGTACTTGAATGTACATTTCTCCAGAGAAGACCTACAAATGACCAGTGAGCACTTGAAAAGATGCTCAATATGACTAATCTGTAGAGAAAAGCAAATCAAAATCACTATGAGATAAAAACAGAAAACAAGTGTTGGCAAGGATGTTTAAAAATTGGAAACTGTGGGCAAGGCACAGTGGCTCACGCCTGTAAGCCCAGCACTTTGCGAGGCTGAGGCGGGCAGATTACGAGGTCAGGAGATCGAGACCATCCTGGCTAACATGGTGAAACCCCATCTCTACTAAAAATGCAAAAAAATTAGCTGGGTGTGGTGGCAGGTGCCTGTAGTCAGTCCCAGCTACTCAGGAGGCTGAGGCAGGGGAATTGCTTGAATCCGGGAGGTGGAGGTTGCCGTGAGCCAAGATTGCACCACTGCACTCCAGCCTGGGCAACAGAGCGAGACCCGATCTCAAAAAAAAAAAAAGAAAGAATCACCGTTTAATCTAGTAATTCCTTCTTCTTCTTCTTTTTTTTTTTTTTTTGACGAGAGTCTCACTCTGTCACCCAAGCTGGAGTACAGAGGCACCATCACGGTTCACTGCAGCCTCAAAGTTCTGGGCTCAAGGGATCCTCCCACCTCAGCCTCCCCAGTAGCTGGGACTACAGGTGTGTGCCGCCACACCCAGTTAATTTGATCTAGTGATTCACTTCTGAGTACAAACCCCAAAGTATTGAAAACAGGGACTCAAGCAGATATTCGTAGTAACATTATTCACAATACCCAAAAGGTGGGAGTGACGCAAATGTCCACTGAGGAATGAATGAACAAAATATGGTATAGACACGCAATTAAACATTATTCAGGCCATGAGTGGTGGCTCATGACTCAATCCCAGCACTTTGGGAGGCCAAGGCAGGAGGATCGTTTGAGACTAGGAGTCTGAGATCAGCCTGGGCAAAATAGAAAGACCTCATCTCTACTTAAAAAAAAAAAATTAGCTGGGTAAAGTGGCATGCACCTGTAGTCCCAGTTACTCAAGGAGGCTGAGGCAGGAGGATCACTTGAGCTCAGGAGATCAAGGCTGCAGTGAGCTGTGGTTGTGCCACTGCACTCCAGCCTGGGTGACAGAGCAAGACCCTGTCTCAAAAAAAAAAAAAAAAAATTGGTGGGAGCTGTGCCTCACGCCTGTAATCCCACCATCTTGGAAGGCCAAGGTAGGTGGATCACTTGAGGCCAGGAGTTTGAGACCAGCCTGGCCAGCATGGAGATACCCCATCTCTACTAAAAATACAAAAAAAAAAATTAGCTGGGCATGTTGATGTGTAACTGTAATCCCAGCTACTCAGGAGGCTGAGGCAGGACAATTGCTTGAATCCAGGAGGCAGAGGTTGCAATGAGCCAAGATCACGCCACTGCATTTCAGCCTGGGTGACAGAGCACCACTCTGACAACAACAACAAAAAATTAATCCGTTTTAAAAAGGAAAGAAATTCTGACATTTGCTACAAAGATGGAAGGACCTTGAAGACATTATGTTAAATAATATAAGCCAGATACAAAGGACAAATATTGTATGATTCCACTTATATACAGTACCCAGAGTAGTCAAATTTGTAGAGACAGAAAGTAGAACAATGATTGCCATGGAGAGAACGGGAAATGGAGAGTTAGTGTTTAATGGGTACAAAGTTTCAATTTGGAAAGGTCAAAGTTCTGGAAATGCATGGTGGTGATGGTTGCACAGCAATACGAATATTCTTAATGTGCTGAGCTGTATACTTAATGGTTAAAATGGTACATTATATGTTACCACAATTAAAAAAAAACTTACACAAAGGGAAGAGGGGATTGAAACTGCCTGTGCAAAATTATGACTGAGACAGTGAGAGATCTAACCTCACCGACTCCATCTTGCTTCTAATCTTTAAGCTGTCCTTGTTCCTTCCTGGGCACAGGCTGAACTAACTTTGGGAGGAACTTAGTTTATAGTTTAAAACAAAGACAATAACAGCCCTTTCCCAAAACAAACCTCCTTCTTGCCTGAAGACTAGACTGCCTTTGTAGGACTAACAAATTAGCCACAAGATTAGAAATTATGGTTTACGAGTCATGCAGCTGGAGGCTACAAGATTTTGACCTCCCCTAAACTGTTCCTAAGATCAGTGCTTAAGATATTTTGCAGACCCTGCACTTTATGGATCAGCTGGCACCATCCAGATCTATAAACTGGCTCATCTGATCTGTGGCCCCCCCGCCAGGAACTGACTCAGCCCAAGAGGACAGCTTCACCTTCCCATGATTTCATCACTGACCTGACCAATCAGCACTCTCATCTCACTGGCCTTCCCCAGCTCACCAAATTATCCTTAAAATCTCTGATCCCCACATGCTCGGGGAGACTGATTTGAGTAATAATAAAACTCTGGGCCAGGTGCGGTGGCTCACGCCTATAATCCCAGCACTTTGGGAGGCCAAGGCAGGAGGATCACGAGGTCAGGAGATCGAGATCATCCTGAATCTCAGGCCTGACACTTGCTGGCTATGTGATCCTGGGCATTTGCCTCAGTTTCCTTATATGTAAAATGGGTATAATGTCAATTCCCTTCTCTTCACTCTTCTAAGATGTGGATAATTTAACACTTGGGATGGGTCATTGATTGTTCTTGAATTACAGAGAGCTTGTCTCTCCTTAGGTAACTGCTGATGTCCCTCCCTTATCAGCCCAGTGGGCACAAATGTTGCCCCAGGCTACAGGTTGGCCGGAGAGGGCAGCATTCCAGAAGTAACTTCACATACATTCATGTATTCTGTGGGCACTGGGGAGAGAGAGAGGAGCACTAGAAAGGAAAGAGAAGACGACAGCTCTCCATAGTCAATTTGCTTACACTTGATCTTATGTGTGGCCTGTTAATGGCTCCTAACATTAGGGATGTTTCACAATAAATGACCTTTAACTACAGCAGCAGCCAAAAGAAGCTCAGGAGGGCAAGAGGGGCAATGGGGAAGACCATGGACCTTGGAGTTAGAGCTGGATTTGTCTCCTAGTTCTGACGTCACTAGTTGTTTGGCCTTAGGTAACTGATTGTCTATCTCTGAACCTCAGTTTCCCCAGTTGTAAAAATGAAGATAATGGCAACTACTGCACGAATATGTTAGGAGGCTCTGGGGAGGTAATAGACTCAAACTCCTGGCCTCAAATGATCCTCCTGCCTCAGCCTCCTGGGTAGCTGAGATTTACAGGCACAAACCACCGCCCAACTTGGGAAGGTAATGGAGAGGAAATCATTTTATAATCTGTTAAGAATTATTATACATACTGTTGAACATGAGCAATTAGCTGCAGCAAGAAGGCGTGTTGCCTAATATCTATTGTCTCCCTGTTCCTAAGTAGAAGAACCCTGTTTTTAATCTAGGTGCTGGCAATGCACCTAGCCGAAAGATTACATTCCTTATAGCTAGGTGTAGCCCTGTGACTAAGTTATGGTCAATGAGCTGTAAGTTGTAGGGGAGGAAAAAGAACTTCCTCTTTTACCCTTCATAGTTCTTAACTAGGACACAACCTGGTAACAGAAGACGAGAAAAATAAACAGAAGTCTATTAACATGCATACCTCATGTTCACAAGAGAGCTACCCAGGGGTTGAGTAAGTCGCAAAGAGGTGGCTTTGAATTCAGGCTTATGGAGAATTTTCAACAAAGAACAGTAAAGTTTTGGAAAAGTGACAAGGCAAAGGAAAAGGACTTTTTTTTTTTGAGACGGAGTTTCGCTCTTGTTGACCAGGCTGGAGTGCAGTGGCGCAATCCTGGTTCACTGCAACCTACGCCTCCCGAGTTCAAGTGATTCTCCTGCCTCAGCTTCCCGAGTAGCTGGGATTACAGGCACCCACAACCACGCCTGGCTAATTTTTTGTATTTCTAGTAGAGACGAGGTTTCACCATGTTGGCCAGGCTGCTCTCGAACTCCTGACCTCAGGTGATCCACCTACCTCGGCCTCCCAAAGTGCTGGGATTACAGGTGTGAGCCACCGTGCCTGGCCAGAAAAGGACTTTTGAGTCCCCTGGGGAAGCAAATTTGGGGAAGGCAAATAAATAGTAGGTAAAGGCTAGTTAGTAAAGTTTGTCACATAGATTCCTTTGGTGTCTTCTTCCAGCAAATGAGGGTCTAAAGTTGTCTTCAGAGATCAACCTCTGTTTCTCGTGGTTGGGAGGGGAGGAAGGACACCTTTGCCTTTGTAAACTTATGTCTTGCTTTTAGGCTAATGGGGGAGGGTAGAGACCTTTTGTTGTATCTGCTTCTTCTCAATTGCCTTCAGCTCAGAATAGTCCTTATGCAAAAGAGGCATATTTGGAGGTGGGGAGGTAGAATATTCTGGTCTCCTAAAAGTGAAAGAGTTGATAGGTCATCTGGAAATAGTGCTTCAAAGAAGCTTACTCAGCTATAATCCCCTTCTGCTCTTCCCTCCTTTTTTTTTCCTTGCCTGGAATTTGGTGCTCCTGCAGCCATCTTATGCCTTGAAGTGACTTTGAAGGTGAAAGCTATGGGCCACAATAGTAGAACAGTGATAGAAGGAACCTGGGCCCATGATAATGGCGGGGTACAATTCCTGGACAAGGATCAGCTGCTAAGTATAATAGCAGGCCTGGGACTTGAATTAGGGTCTACATGGTGGAGTAGCAGTTAGGATACTTGGTTGCAAGCAACAGACATCGCCTCTGCCTATTTTTAGCAAAATAGAATTTATTGGAAGGATGTGGGTGGGGCTCAAATAAGTTGTAGGTAGCTGGAGAAGCAAGCTTGGGGATACACAGGAACCAAAGGAGAGTTGGAAGGCCTAGGATCAGGTTGCAGGCACATTTTCACCTGAGTGCTGCCACTACCACCATGATGAATGATTTCCAACAAGATCTCCTATCCTGCCCGCACTGTTTCAAAATTCAGATTCTCAGGAGAGGGTGTCTGATGGAATCAACTCTGGCCCTGTCCTCCATGGATTATTTAATGAAATGGGTCATCTGGAGTTACTTTTCAATCAAGGCTACAAAGGAAATTAACACATTATTGGGATAGAGGAGGTTATTTCAGTTATCTATTTCCACAACAGTGATAAATAGCAAATAATCACATGCTTCGGAAGCATTTAAACATTCATCGTTCATCACAGATCACTCATACATCTGGTGATCAGCTAGACAGCTCTGCTGTTCTGCTTTGGACATGCTACACATCTGGAGGTTGGCTGGCTGTTGATTGATTTAGTCTGACCTTGGCTGGGAAGACTAGGGCATCTGGGTCTGTTCCTTCAGTAGGAAAGTCTGGCATGTTCTCATGGGTGATGGCAGGGGTGTGAGAAGGGTTGTATGGCAGACACACCTGACAGTCATAATATAAGCATACCCTATGAATTACCCTATGATCCAAGAGGGATCTGGGAGTGGCCAAGCCAGAGATTCACTCCTTATCTATGAAGGACATTGAAACCCCTGGCCCATCCCTTGGAACACAGACTGTGCGGGGGATGGAGGCCCTTTGTTTTGGGTTAAATGGAGGTTGCTAGTTTAACTGCCCAGTGGTTTCTTCTTGCCCACTGCCCAGATAGAGCTGATTTATCGAGATAGGGGAATTGCAATAGAGGAAGAGTCTCACACATGTAGAACTGGCTAAACAGGACACCAGCGTTTTATCATTACTCAAAGCAGTATCCTTGAAAAATTGGAGGCTAAGGTTTTTCAAAGATAACCTTTGGCAGGGAGGTGGGTGGCTAGGGAATGGGTGCTGCTGATTGGCTGGGATGCAATTATAGAGGTGTGGAAAATGGTCCTAGCATGCTGAGTCTGCTTATGGGTGGGGGCCAAAATCCAGTCGGTGGGTCCAGTGGGGCCATCGGGTCATCAGGAATGCAAAAGCCGGCTGGGTGCAGTGGCTCATGCCTGTAATCCCAGCACTTTGGGAGGTCAAGGTGGGAGGATAGCTTGGGTTCAGAAGTTCAAGACATACCTGGGCAACATAGTGAGACCCTATCTTTACTAAAAATAAAAAAAAATTAGCGGAGTGTGGTGGTGCATGCCTATAGTCCCAGCTGGGGAGGCTAAGGCAGAAGGATCCTTTGAGCCCAGGAGGTTGAGGCTATTGTGAACTATGATCATGCCACTGCACTCCAGCCTGGATAACAGAGCAAGACCCTGTTTCAACAACAACAACAAAAAAAAAAAAAAAAAAAGAGAGAGAGAGAGAGAGAAAAGAAATGCAAAGGCCTGAAAAGACAACTCAAAGCCAATCTTAGGTTCTACAATAATGATGTTATCTGCAGGAGTAATTGAGGAAGTTGCAAATCTTGTGACCTCTGGAGTAATGGCTGGTAATCATTTATGCCTACATCTTAGCCGAATTCAGGCTTCTCTTATCCTCCTAACCTGGTGGTCTTTCATTAGTTTTACCAAGGTGATTTCGTTTGGGAGAAGGGCTATTATCATTTAAGCTATAAACTAAATTTCTCCCAAAGTTAGCTTGGCCCAAGTCCAGGAATGACCAAGGGCAGATTGGAGGTTAAAGGCAAGATAGGGAGGTTGGTTAGATCAGATCGCTTTCACTGTTATAATTTTTGCAAAGACGGTTTCACTAGGTGGAGGCTGCTAAGTAAAAACGCTATATGAACTGCATGCCTTTTTTTTTTTTTTTTGAAACAGGGTCTTGCTTGCTCTATCGCCCAGACTGGAGTGCAGTGGTGCGATGGCAGCTCACTGCAGTCTTGACCTCCCAGGCTCAAACAATCCTCCTGAGACAAGAATAATACACGGTGGTCACAGGAGAATAGAAAACTCCAGGCAGCAGTTTCACATGACTAGCAAAATGAAACCGTTGAAATAGCTGCAGAAGCTAGGGGATAAGACCCTGAAAAACCAGGGTGTGGGCCAAGCTGGCTGAGACCAACTGGACCCAACGTGAAACTGGATTTGACCTAGGTTTCTCCCAGGACCTCATTATATGCTTATTAACATACAAATTACACACCCACCAGCGCTGTGACAGTTCTGAGAACACCCATATTAGGTGTAAAAATGAGTGGCACCACAGTTCCAAGAAATCTTCACCTTTTTCCAGGAATCTTAATGAATATTCAACCTCTTGGTTAAAGAAACCCATAAAGGTAGAAACCTCAAACTCTACTGTGTGGCACTTTCTCTTGAGTCCACCCTTACTCCCCTCTCCTGGGTGTGTACTTTTCACTTTACAATAAATCGCCCTACTTTCACTGTTTTTTTAAGATAGGGTCTCCCTCTGTTGCCCAGGCTGGAGGGCAGTGGGGTTATCTTGGCTCACTGCAATTTCCACCTTCTGTGTTCAAGCAATTCTCCCACCTCAGCCTCCTGAGTAGCTGGGACCATAGGTGTGCACTACCACACCCAACTAATTTTTGTATTTTTAGTAGAGACAGGGTTTCACCATCTGGCCCAGGCTGGTCTTGAACTCCTGGCCTCGAGTGATCCGCCTGCCTCAGCCTCCCAAAGTGCTGGGATTACAGGCATGAGCCACCACGTCCAGCCTACTTTCACTGTTTTTTGATTCATCCTTTAATTCCTTCTTGTGATGGGGTCAAGAACCTGGACACTGGCCGGGGTTGAGGTCCCACTGACATTTGGGGACCTCCCTTAGCCCACGGGTATCACCCCTGGCTAAGCCTCCCAAGTATCTAGGATTACAGGTATGCACCACCATGCTCAGCCAATTTTTTTTTTTTTTTTTTTTTTTTTTGAGACGGAGTCTCGCTCTGTCACCCAGGCTGGAGTGCAGTGGCGTGATTTCGGCTCACTGCAACCTCTGCCTCCCGGGTTCACGCCATTCTCCTGCCTCAGCCTCCCGAGTAGCTAGGACTACAGGCGCCCACCACCACGCCCGGCTAATTTTTGGTATTTTTAGTAGAGTCAGGGTTTCACCGTGTTAGCCAGGATGGTCTCGATCTGACTTCATGATCCGCCTGCCTCGGCCTCCCGAAGTGCTGGGATTACAGGCATGAGCCACCACGCAGGGCTCAGCTAATTTTTTTTTAAACTTTATTATATGTAGAGACTGGGTCTCATTTTGTTTCTCAGGTTGATCTTGAACTCCTGCGCTGAAATGATTCTCCCACCTCAGCCTTCTAAAGTGTTGGGATTACAGGCACGAGCCACTGCAAGTCACATGACTAAGCCCAGAATCAGAGCACCGCGAAGTTTTGTGACAAAGGGTGTGGATACAGAGAAAGGTGAAGAATCGGTGCCACTTGTGCAATCTACAAGGGAATAGTTCATGCCAATAAAAGGAGCCAATGTCTACAACAGACATCAAAACCCAAGTTCTCTCCATGTTTCACACCACCTGGGACCCAGCTGAAGGAGCAGTTCTTGAGGAGAGGCCTCTGTCCTCACTCAAGGGATTCAGTAGAATGTCAGCTCCACGAGAGCTGGCGCCTTCATTCTCTGTTGTCGTTTTTTGTTTTTTACCTTGCCTTTATTTCAGACAAGATTTTATCTGTTTATGTAACCTCAGTGCCTAGAACAGTGCCTGATACATAACAGGTGCTTAAAGAACACTGGTTAAATGAAAATTAACTTGTGAACTTACCTTAGGCATCTAACCAAGGTATCTCCCTTTTTGTGGGGAGGCTGGGTGGTATGGAGAAAAGGACCTAGATTTGGAGGAAAAAAACAAAATGAGTTAGAATCTGGGCTTCATTAACTCTGGGTGATCTTGAGCAAATTGTTCAACTCCCTGAGCCTCAGTTTCCTACAGTGGAAACCTTTTGCGGTGACTTTTCAGTGCATCCTCCCCATCTTTCTGGTAATCGTCCCTGCCGTTGTCACATGATTGATACGATGGGGCTTCTATAACTATGTGAATCTGTGTCCCTCAACCCTGCCCGACTGATTGGATTAGGGGTATGGATGGATCTGACTCGCACTGGCCCATCAGAGTCCCTTTCCTGGGAATCTGGAATTCCAGGTTCAGTCTTAAATAGGGGAGATAGGAACTCAGGAGCTGCCTATGACCATTTTCTGCCACAGAGTGCTGATATGCAGCAAGAGAGAAGGATAAAACCCCCATTCCAGGTTATTCCTTAGGCATAACTAGGTAATCACTAGATGACCAGCTAGGCATAGCTAGGTAATCACTGGTGAAATGGTTATGGGCACAGTCTCTGGCGCCAGACTACCTTGGTTCAGATTCTGGCCTTGCCACTTAGTAGCTGTGTGACCCTGGGTGAGTCATTGAACTTCTCTGTGACCTGGTTCTCATCTGTAAAATGGGAGTGACATTATCATCTACTGCATGGGGTTGCCCTAAGGATTAAGTAAAAGGCATAGAATAATACCTGACACACAGTGAGTACTAAGTAAACATTATCTTTTGTGTGTGTGTGTGTGTGTGTGTGTGTGTGTGTGTGAGATGGAGTCTGGCTCTGTCACCTAGGCTGGAGTGCAGTGGCACAATCTTGGCTCACTGCAACCTCTGCCTCTCGGGTTCAAGCGATTCTCCTGCCTCAGCCTCCCGAGTAGCTGGGATTACAGGCATGTGCTACCACGCCTGGCTAATTTTTGCATTTTTAGTAGAGACAGGGTTTTGCCATGTTGGCCAGGCTGGTCTTGAGCTCCTGACCTCAGGTGATCTGCCCGCCTTGGCCTCCCAAAGTTCTGGGATTACAGGTGTGAGCCAACGCGGCCAGCCAGTACTGGGTATTTTCATACTTCCCATTCTTCTTGCCCTCTGTTCCCCAGAATCTGGTCATCTTCATCCACCTTGGCTGGGCTGGGGCTGACTATGGGAGATGGTGCCTCTGGGGTGGAGGCACTGTCTTTCCAAGGTGAGTCTGATCTGTTTGACAAGGTTCTTAGAACCACACACCTTGACACCTCATTCTGCACTCAGGAGAGTGAATCATCCATCTTGAGTGCCTTTCCCCAGGAAGATTTCACCCCTGGATGCACTCTAGGTTTTCTCGTTGCTGGGAACATGACTCAGGGCACAGTGGCCCTTGTGGGTGGAACAGAAGCTTGAGCCCAGTTTTCCTCATTTGTATCCTGCTGTGCAATCCCTTCCCTGGTCCCCTTGTGATCTACACAGGAAGGAAGGAAAGGTGTGCTATGGGCTTAAGGGAACAGAGGGCAAGAGTCTTGGAGATGTGAATGGAGCCTCTTGTTTCATGTGCTAACATCCCAGGGCAGAGAACAAGTCCGTGATGAGGAGTTTTCTTCCCCTGAGTCTGCTTCCTCAGCCTTCCCAGCCCCTTCCTTCGAGGTCTCTCCTGTCAGCCCACCCAGTTTACATCCTGGACCAAGCCCAGCAAGGGCGTGGGTGTGGTTAGGTGGGGTGGGAGATTCCAGGACCATTTTTATTTTTTGTTTTTTTGAGATGGAGTCTCACTCTGTCGCCCAGGCTGGAGTGCAGTGGCGCGATCTCAGCTCACTGCAACCTCCGCCTCCCGGGTTCAAGTGATTCTTCTGCCTCAGCCTCCTGAGTCAGCCTCCTGAGTAGCTGGGATTACAGGCACACACCACCACAC
Source organism: Homo sapiens (assembly GCF_000001405.40). Classification (NCBI taxonomy): domain Eukaryota; kingdom Metazoa; phylum Chordata; class Mammalia; order Primates; family Hominidae; genus Homo; species Homo sapiens. Next base: position 28,128,764 of record NC_000001.11, on the reverse strand, counting down.
CCAGCTAATTTTTTTTGTATTTTTAGTAGAGACGGGGTTTCACCATGTTGGTCAGGCTGGTCTTGAACTCCTGACCTCGTGATCTGCCTGCCTTGGCCTCCCAAAGTGCTGGGATTACAGATGTGGGCCACCGCGCCCGGCCCCAGGACCAGTTTTGCCTCCTGTATCCATTTGCTTCTGGTCTGGTGGACAGGAGGGTGATCCCTAGAAAGGGGCAAGATATTGTCATGGTCTGTGATCTTGCCCCTTTTCTCCTGTGGGGAAAGCCGTTGTGGACACAGAAAAGGCCATGGAGTGGGGAGGGAGAGCATCAGGAAGAATAGCTAATGGAGGGGGGGCTTCATACCTAGGTGATGGCTTGATCTATGCAGCAAACCACCATGGCACATGTTTACCTGTGTAACAAACCTGCACATCCTGCACATGTACCCCAGAACTTAAAGTTGAATTACAAAAAAAAAAAAAAAAAAAGGAAAAGGCCATGGAGTATTGGAGGGTACTTCTGGAAACCCACAAATCACAATGCTGCCGTCTTCTTCTTCTCCCATGCTGCTATGGTCCTTGACTGAGATTCTGCCTCAATTTTTCTATTTAGTTCTCCAGTTGTGACTGAACATAGCCTCAGACTTTGCATATTACCTGCCTCTTAGCTGCCTCGGTTAAAGACCTGCTAAGGCTATACCATGTTCCCACTCCTCCTTGGATCCCAAACCTAGGGCTGTCTGATTTCCCAGAAAGTGCCTCTGGAGATAGGTCAGTGTCCTCTAGGCTCAGCGGTCAAACATCCTCCCCATCTCCACCAGCCCAACATTCCCCATGCCTGAATTGACTTCAGTTACTATATTTTGAGTCTTTCTTAAAGAGACAGCCTGAGGAAGGAGCATGGACTCTAGAATCAGACATGCTGGGCTAGAATTCTGGGACAGTGATCACTTGTTGTCTGACTGAGTTGACCACTTCCCCTTTCTTAGTATCAGTTTCCACACTTGTCAAAGAGTCTATTGATCTCCTATCTTGAAGATGAGAGGCTTTAATGAGACAACCAATCTACAGTAACTAGCACATTGTAGAGGCTTGAGAAGTGGCCATCCATGCCCCTTCTCCATACACTACTGTAGAAGGAAGAAGAATTCTGTATCTTCATTGTTCCTCAATGATTTAAACCCTCCCTTGCCCTACAGCTGTTGAGCCATGGGAAAATTACTTTATTCCTTGTAGTCCCAGTTTCCCCATTCAGAATACAAGGAGTAAAATAGCATATCCCTCCTAGAATTGTTTTGAGGATTAAATGAGATTATTTGTGTTGAGTGTATAACATAGAACCTGCTACAAAGTAAGTGCTCAAAACACGTGACATGCAAGTCATTTCCAGGTTTTTGCTACTTTGTTTCCCCTTTATTATAATTTAGTTATAATAAAGTTCTGGGAAAGGAATTACCACCCGGTGAAATATATTGCCAAAGTTCTTTTTGAAGGGTTGTGACAGTTACACCACCACCAGCAAATTATGTAAATACTAGTTTTGTCATATCCTTGCCAGCACTGACTGTTATAATTATTTTTAGTTTTTACTAATATATAAGGTGCCTCATAGCTGACTTACTTTTTGTCCCTTTAATAGCAAAGGTGGACAGGTTGTGCTGGTCAGCAAAAGTTTATTGGAACTGGGGAGGAATAATTTTCTTTGAAGAGGGAACTTAGGAAGAGAAAAACACACACAAACTTTGTAAATATCTTGAAAATTGAGGATGTTGCTCTTCCTGTCAACTGCTGCTACTTCTCTTTTCTGAGATATACAGTTCTATATATTTTGTTCAGTTCCCTTAGCTTTGACACTTGTAGATCTGGAATGTGGAAGTGCCCCAGAATGATCATGATTTAACGTTTGAGATAAACTTTTGATGAAATTTCAGATCAATTCCTACGTCCTTTGGAAGATACGTTTTATCATGACTTTATAATTCAGAAGAGAAACTTTAATTTCTGTAGAAAATTATAAAAGATGGTGAGACTAAGTTTCTCTCTATATATAAAATGAGAGGATTGGAAGATTGAGATGAAGTCATCTCCTAAGGGACCTACATTTAAAAGCAATCAGCTTCATGGACCTGAAAGGACCTTCAAGGGCTTGACTGGCAAAACATGTCTTGGAAAGAGGATGAATTCACCCAAGACCAAGAGAGGCTGAGGAAAGGAGGTGTGAAACTCGTCTCCGGGGTAGGCAGAATAATGTGGAGGAAGGAGGGGGAAATATTCAATGTCACCTTCCCAGGTTTAAATCCCAGGTCAGCTACTTCTTGGTTGTGGAAACTTGAGCAAAACAATGCCTTGACCACTCTGAGCCTCAGTGTTCCAATCTGCAAATGGGGTAATACCACTTGCCTTGCATGACCTTGAGAAGATTCAATGAGCTATAGTACATAAGGTAGCTATTGCAGTGCCTTCCATGGAAAAGTGCTAAATAAGAATGATTGCTAACATTTATTAATAAGCCAGACACGACTCTAAATGCTTTACATCTATTAACTCTATGAGGTTAGGAATATTAATAATCCCATTTTAAAACCAGAAAGGCCAGGTGCAGTGGCTCACACCTGTAATCCTGGCACTTTGGGAGGCTGAGGAGGGTGGATCATGAGGTCAGGAGTTCAAGACCAGCCTGGCCAAGATGGTGAAAACCCGTCTCTACTAAAAATACAAAAAATTAGCCAGGTGTGGTAGCGGGCGCCTGTAATCCCAGCTACTTGGGAGGCTGAGGCAGAGAATTGCTTGAACCTGGGAGGCGGAGGTTGCAGTGAGCCGAGATCACACGATTGCACTCCAGCCTGGGTGACAGAGCAAGACTCCGTCTCCAAAAAAAAAAAAAAAAAAAAGACTAGAAAACTGGGGCATAGAGAGACTTAAGTCGCTTGCTTCTGGTTACATAGTTAGTAAGTGGCAGGGTGGGGATTCTGAACCCCTATACTATTCTGCCCATACTCTGAGGACAGTTCTAGACAAGAGGGTGTGGCTGGCTTAGGGAGGATTCAGTATGCCATCAACCCTAGGAAGCCCACTGATGGAAAGGAATGGTGGAAAATGATCTGCCAGGAAAAAAAAATGCTGATAATGGGCTCGAGTACAGAACCAGGTGGTACTATACGATTCTCAATGTCTTGCTTGTTCATCCCAGGAATCTGGTTGATGGCAGGGAGTTAAGAATCCAAGAGACGGGAACTGGAGCCAGAGTAGACCAGAAGCCAGAGATTCATTGCCCTCCATCCTCAACTACATGCTGAAATACTAGAGGGACTCTTGTTTCTCACTCTCCAAGGGCTGTGAGTTCAAGCTAATTGTATTTAACTTCACAAGAATTAGTCTTTTTTTCCATCTTAGCAACTCCTTGCTTTTTTCCTTCATTAGATTATCACTTGCATTGCTTCGCGTTTTTCTTCTTTGGCATTTTTACTTGTTACTGTCTGTCTTTCTTACTAAAATATAAACTCCATGGAGGCGGGGAACATATCTGTCTCTGTCATTGTTGTATCCCTAGCTTCTGACAGATGCTAGGTGTTTAAGAAATATTAGGCCGGGAGCAGTGGTTCATGCCTGTAATTCCAGCACTTTGGGAGGCCGAGGTGGATGGATCACCTGAAGTCAGGAATTTGAGACCAGCCTGGCCAACATGGTGAAACCCTGTCTCTACTAAAAATACAAAAATTAGCTGGGCGTGGTGGCGGGCACTTGTAATCCCAGCTACTCGGGAGGCTGAGGCAGGAGAATCACTTGAACCTGGGAGGCAGAGGTTGCAGTGAGCCGAGATCGTGCCATTGCACTCCAGCCTAGGCGACAAGAGCGAAACTCCGTCTCAAAAAAAAAAAAAAAAAATACATACATACATACATACATATTAATGGAGGCCAGGTGTAGTGACTCATGCCTGTAATCCCAGCACTTTGCTGTAATCCCAGCACTTTGCTGTAATCCCAGTGCTTTGGGAGGCCGAGGTGGGTGGATCCCTTGAGGTCAGGATTATAGGCCTGAGCCACCACACCCGCCGAGTATTGGCTATATATTTTAGCACCTCTTTTTTTTTTTTTTTTTTTTTTTTTTGTGATGGAGTTTTCTTCTTATAGCCCAGGCTGGAGTGCAATGGCAGGATCTTGGCTCACTGGGTTCAAGAGATTCTCCTGCTTCAGCCTCCTGAGTAGCTGGGATTACAGGCGTGCACCACCACACCTGGCTAATTTTTGTATTTTTAGAAGAGACGAGGTTTTGCCATGTTGGCCATGCTGGTCTCGAACTCCTGACCTCAGGTGATCCACCCACCTCAGCCCCCCAAAGCACTGGGATTACAGGCATGAGCCACCGTGCCCAGCTGGCACCTCTTACTATGATCTCTACCTCTTATCTAATGTTGTAGGTACAACTGGAGGTGACATATGATTTAAGCATTTTTCCCACATCATAAAATAAATCTTGGACTGCTGGCCGGGCGCGGTGGCTCACGCCTGTAATCCCAGCACTTTGGGAGGCCGAGACGGGCGGATCACGAGGTCAGGAGATCGAGACCATCCTGGCTAACATGGTGAAACCCCGTCTCTACTAAAAATACAAAAAATTAGCCAGGCATGGTGGCGGGCGCCTGTAGTCCCAGCTACTCGGGAGGCTGAGGCAGAAGAACCGCTTGAACCCGGGAGGCGGAGGTTGCAGGGAGCCGAGATCACGCCACTGCACTCCAGCGTGGGGGACAGAGCGAGACTCCATCTCAAAAAAAAAAAAACAAACAAAATCTTGGACTGCTTCCTTTGAAAATTCTCCTGAAGAAATGTTACCCACAGGAGGTTTGTTAATTCCTGTGTGTATTACTCACAACAGAAAACACTTTGCTTAACACAGGGAGCATGAAACCAGGTCATGTCATGGGGAGTGGTGAATTAGATCAGTCTGGAGAGCCAAGGTGCCTAGTCAGGATGGTTTGGTTGCAAATAGCAGAATCCTTCCCATACGCTAGCCTAAGCAGAATGGACATTTAGAGGGAGGAAAAAGGGGGAAATTTGGATGAACACGGGGGCAGGAAGTAGACAGGTCTGATGAGGAACTAAAACCAGGAAATGGAACCTTCCAAATAAATCCAGACTCCTGCTCCTCCTCACCACCCCCTCCACTGCTGCTCCTGTTGTAGCCATCATTCTCTCTCGCCTGGACTATTGCAACATTCTCTCCACTTCTCCCCTTACCTCCTACACAATCCATTCTTAGCACAGCGGCTAGAGTGATCTTTTAATAATGTAATAAGATTGTGTTGTTGAGCCAGGCACAGTGACTTGTGCCTGTTACCCCAGCTGCTCCAGAGGCTGAGGCGAGAGGATTGCTTGCGCCAAGGAGTTCCAGGTTGCAGTGAGTTGTTTTTGTTTTTGTTTTTGTTTTTTTGAGACAGAGTCTCACTCTGTCGCCCAGGCTGGAGTGCAGTGGTGTGATCTCGGCTTACTGCAAGCTCTGCCTCCCGGATTCACGCCAGTCTCCTGCCTCAGCCTCTTGAGTAGCTGGGACTACAGGTGCCTGCCACCATGCCCGGCTAATTTTTTGTATTTTTAGTAGAGACAGGGTTTCACCGTGTTAGCCAGGATGGTCTGGATCTCCTGACCTTATGATCTGCCCGCCTCAGCCTCCCAAAGTGCTGGGATTAGAGGCGTGAGCCACCGCACCTGGCTGCAGTGAGCTTTGATCATGGGACTACACTCCAGCCCAGAGTGAGACCCTGTCTTGAAAAAATCATAGATTGTAAGCCTGGGCAACACAGTGAGACCCCATCTCCATAAAAAAGAAAAAATTGGTGGGCCACAGTGGCACATGCCTCTGGTCCCAGCTACTTGGGAGGCTGAGGTGGAAGGATCACTTGAGCCCAGGAGAATGAGGTTGCAGTGAGCCTTGATCACACCACAGCACTCTAGCTTGGGTGGAAGAGCCAGAACCTGTCTCCAAAAAATAAAAATAAATAAATAAAAAATATCGTGTTGTTTCTCTGTACAAAGCCTTTTGGTAGTTTCCATGGTGGGGCGTGGTGGATCACGCCTGTAATCTCAGCACTTTGGGAGGCCGAGGCGGGCAGGTCACTTGAGGCCAGGAGTTCGAGACCAGCCTGACCAACATGGAGAAACCCCATCTCTACTAAAAATGCAAAAATTAGCCAGGTGTGATGGTACATGCTTGTAATCCCAGCTATTCGGGAGGCTGAGATGGGAGGATCACTTGAGCCCAAGATGTGAAGACTGCAGTGAGCTGTGATTGTGCTACTGCATTCCAGCCTGGGTGACAGAGTGAGACCTTGTCTCAAAACAAAATGAAACAAAACAAAAAAACCTTTCAGTAGTTTCCAGTTTCCTATTATGCCTAAAATAACATCCAAATTCCTTACCAAGCCCCATGGTTATTTGGCTCTTGCCCAATCACTACTGTCCCTGACTCTTACTCCAGCCATGAGGCTTTCTTTTTGTTGCTTGAATGAATACACAGTCATCCCTCGATATCCACCAGGGATTGATTCTAGCGCCTCCATGATTCCAAAATATGTGGATGCTGAAATATCTTATGTAAAATAGTGCAATATTTGCATATAACCGACACACATCCTTCTGTATACAGGCATACTTTGTTTTATTGTGTTTTACTTTATTGCGCTTTGTAGAGTTTGTTTGTTTAACATAGGGTCTCCCTCTGTCACCCAGGCAGGAGTGCAGTGGTGCAAACACAGCTCACTGCAGCCTTCACCTCCTGGGCTCAAGTGATTCTCCCAGCTCAGCCTCCCCATTAGGTGGGACTACAGGCGCATGCCACTACGCCTGGCTAATTTTTTTTATTTTTTGTAGAGACAAGAGTCTCGCTTTGTTGCCTAGACTTTTCTTGAACTCCTGGCCTGAAGCAATCCTCCTGCCTCAGCCTCCCAAAGTGCTGGGATTACAGGCATGAGCCATCGTGCTCAGCCTGTAGATTTTTTTTTTTTTTAACAAATCGAGGCCGGGATCGGTGGCTCACGCCTGTAATCCCAGCACTTTGGGAGGCCGAGACGGGTGGAGCACGAGGTCAGGAGATTGAAACCATCCTGGCTAACACGGTGAAACCCCGTCTCTACTAAAACTACAAAAAATTAGCCGGGCGTGGTGGCGGGCGCCTGTAGTCCCAGTTACTTGGGAGGCTGAGGCAGGAGAATGGCGGGAACCCGGGAGGCGGAGCTGGCAGTGAGCCGAGATTGCGCCACTGCACTCCAGCCTGGGCGACTGAGCGCGACTCCGTCTCAAAAAAACCAAAAAAAACCCTAGGCAGCTGCCGCCCCCTGGGGTCCGCCCGTGTTGCTCTGGGACCCGAAGGAGCCGTTGGGGGGTCTGGGCGGAGGCCTGCTCGTGTGGAAGTCGTGGTCGCCTCCACTCTCCGTCCTCCCGTCCGTCCTCGCTGCCGGCCGCCATCATGCTGGCACTCATCTCCCGCCTGCTGGACTGGTTCCGTTCGCTCTTCTGGAAGGAGGAGATGGAGCTGATGCTCGTGGGGCTGCAGTACTCGGGCAAGACCACCTTTGTCAATGTCATCGCGTCAGGTCAATTCAGTGAAGATATGATACCCACAGTGGGCTTCAACATGAGGGAAGTAACAAGGTAACGTCACAATAAAGATCTAGGACATAGGAGGACAAGCCCGATTTCGAAGCATGTGGGAGCGGTATTGCAGAGAAGTCAATGCTATTGTTTACATGACAGATGCTGCAGATCGTGAAAAGATAGAAGCTTCCCGAAATGAGCTACATAATCTTCTAAGAAACCACAGTTGCGAGGAATTCCAGGGCTAAGTGCTTGGAAACAAGGGAGATCTTCCTAATGCCTTGGATGAGAAACAGCTAATTGAAAAAATGAGCCTGTGTGCTATTGAGGATAGAGAAGTTTGCCGCTATTCAATTTCTTTTGTTGTTGTTGTTGTTTGTTTGTTTTGAGACGGAGTCTCGCTCTGTCACCAAGCTGGAGTGCAACGGCACGATCTCTGCTCACTGCAACCTCCGCTTCCCGGGTTCAAGCGATTGTCTTGCCTCAGCCTCCCGAGTAGTTGGGACTAGGGGCACCCGCCACCACGCCCAGCTAATTTTTGTATTTTTAGTAGAGACGGGGTTTCACCATGTTGGCCAGGATGGTCTTGATCTCTTGACCTCGTGATCCACCCGCCTCGGCCTCCCAAACTGCTGGGATTACAGGTGTGAGCCACTGCGCCCAGCCTCAATTTCTTGCAAAGAAAAGGATAATATAGATATCACACTTCAGTGGCTTATTCAGCATTCAAAATCTGGAAGAAGCTGAAGCATCTCCTGAAGTCTTCAAGTCCTTCTTGACTATAATCCTAGAATTACTGTCCGTTCCTCTGAAGTAATTCCCAGAATACGGTCCTGCCTAAACCTAAGAAATTGCCTTTTTCAGAGTTTATTTCTCATGTGCACTGCTGAAGATGAGTATCCGTAATCCTTCATAAAGAATCAGCTAGAGTTGTCATGATAAAGTCAGCACACACAAAAAGGCTTCTTACACATACCTGTCTTAAGCCATGTGTAGAGCTTTAAAAAAAAACAAAAAACCCACACACTTTTGACCATCTTAAATCAAGAAAATTGCATATTTCTGTTCTGGTCTTTCTGGGCCAGATTTTTATATTGGTTTTCAGTAAATATCTATCTATAATATTTCATTATAGAGTCCAGTAGCTTAATACTGACACTGACTTGATACAGCATGAAGTTTCTAGTGCCACACACAGTATTTAGAAAACCTTTAAGCCTGCTAATAAAAAAATTAGCGGCTAATTTTTTTTTTTTTTGTAGAGACGGCGGTGGCGTGGGGGGTCGGCGGGGAGCGGTGTGTTTCACTTTGTTGTCCAGGCTGGTCTTGAACTCCTGAGCTTAAGCCATCCACCCACCTTGGCCTCCCGGAGTGCTGGGATGCTGGAATTACAGGCATGAGCCACCGCACCCAGCCTTGACTTTCAAGTCTTATTACCTAAGAAATACATTTCATAAGGCTATAGCTGCCATAGATACTGATTCCTCTGATGGATTTGTTTTTTGGGGTTTTTGTTTTGTTTTGAGTCAGAGTCTTGCTCTGTTGCCCAGGCTGGAATGCAGTGTTACAATCTCAGCTCACTGCAACCTCCACCTCCTGGGTTCAAGCAATTCTCTTGCCTCAGCCTCAGAAGTAGCTGGGATTACAGGCGTGTGGCACCATGCCTGGCTAATTTTTGTATTTTTAGTAGAGATGGGGGTTCCCTGTATTGGCCAGGCTGGTCTTGAACTCCTGACCTCAGGTGATCTGCCGGTCTCAGCCTCCCACAGTGCTGGGATTACAGGCATGAGCCACCGCACCTGGCCTGATCTGGGAAAAAAGGAAATTTGAAAACTTCTGGAAAGGATTCACCATTCTAGATGCCATTAAGAACATTTGTCATTCATGGGAGGAGGTCAAAATATCAACGTAAACAGTGGTTTTGGAAGAAGTTGAATTCAACCCTCATGGATGATTTTTGTTGTTAATTTTATGTGTCAATTGATGGATAATTTTGAGGGATTCAAGACTTCAATGGAGGAAGTAACTGCAGATGTGGTACAAATAGCAAGAGAACTAGAACTAGAAGTAGAGCCTGAGATGCAACTGAATTGCTGAAATCCATGGTAAAACTTGAACAGTTGAGGAATTGTTTCTTATGGATGAGCAAAGAAAGTGGTTTCTTCCTCTGCCTCCCACGTTCAAGATTCTGCCACCACAGCGTCCTGAGGAGCTGGGACTACAGATGTGCACCGCCACACCAAGCTAATTTCTTTGTATTTTCAGTACAGATGGGATTTCACCATGTTAGCCAGGCTGGTCTTGAACTCCTGACCTCAAGTGATCTGCCCCCCTCAGCCTCCCCAAATGCTAAGATTACAGGCATGAGTCACAACACCTGGCCAGAAAGTGGTTTCTTAAGATAGAATCTACTCCTGGTGAAGATACTGTGAACACTGTTGAAATGACAATGAAGAATTTAAAATATTACATACACTTAGTTGATAAATCACCAACAAGGTTCGAGAAGATTGACTCCAATTTTTTTTTTTTTTTTTTTTGAGACAGAATCTCACTCTGTCACCCTGACTGGAGTGCAATGGCATGAACACGGCTCACTGCAGCCTTGACCTCCCAGGCTCAAGTGATCCTCCTGCCCCAGCCTCCCCCATAGCTGCAACCACCAGGCACAAGCCACTACACACAGCTAATGTAAAAAAATTTTTTTTTGTAGAGACAGGGTCTCACCACGTTTCCTATGCTGGTCTTCAGCTCCTGGGCTCGAGTGATCCTCCTGCCTCAACCTCCCAAAGTGCTAGGATTATATATATACCACATTTTTTTTCTTTTCTTTCTTTTTTCTTTTTCTTTTCTTTTTTTTTTTTTTTGAGACAGAGTTTCCCTCTTGTTGCCCAGGCTGGAGTGCAATGGCGCAATCTTGGCTCACCGCAACCTCTGCCTCCCAGGTTCAAGCAATTCTCCTGCCTCAGCCTTCCGAGTAGCTGGGATTACAGGCATGCACCATCACGCCTGGCTAATTTTGTATTTTTAGTACAGACAGGGTTTCTCCATGTTGGTCAGGCTGGTCTCGAACCCCCGACCTCAGGTGATCCACCCGCCTCAGCCTCCCAAAGTGATGGGATTACAGGCGTGAGCCATTGCGCCCGGCCTATATACCACATTTTCTTTATCTACTCATCGATTGATGGGCATTTAGGCTAGTTCCATATTTTCGCAATTGCAAATTGTGCTGCTATAAACATGCGTGTGCAAGTATCTTTTTCATATAATGACTTTCTTTCCTCTGGGTAGATACCCAGTAGTGGGATCAGAAAGTCTTCTCTGATTTCTGTTCCCAGGCTGGGATAAGTGCCCCCTCCACAGTGCCTCCCGGACATCTCTCACTATTACAAGAATAAAGCTGCTCTCTGTCTCAGCCCCACTGTCTTTGATTAGTCCTTCCAGTGCTAACAGCATGGACTTTGGAATTAAAAAACACATTGTTTAAGCCCAGCTTCTGCCACTTCCAAGTAGCTCTGGGCTCTTGGGTCCACACATACTAAGCCCTCCAAAAACTCCAGTTCCTTGCGCTCTTTCCTCCTGGTTTCTTGGAAGGTACCCTTAAGTCTCAGCTTGCACTGGAACCCTGGCATCATCCTCACGTCCTACATGGCTCATGTCCTCATGTTCTACAGCCTTCTAGGGTGTGGCAGGCACATTTTCATTGCTTGACCTGTCTTCCTATGGGAAATTGTTCCTCCTCTCCCCAGTCCAGCTCAGTCCCTGTGGTTTGGGTCTTGGCAGAAGACCCAGGACTGGCCAATCCAAAGTCTGTATTCTTTTGGCCCCGGTGATTGGTCCAGGGATAGGCCTGTGAGTTAATAAGATCCTTCATATTTATTATATGGACATTAGAGGAAAGACGGTCTCTCTCTCTTTTCCTTCCCGCTCACCATCTTTTTTTCTTTCTGTCTCATTATAAGATGCGCAGCAGTGGGCCGGGTGCGGTGGCTCACGCCTGTAATCCCAGCACTTTGGAAAGCCGAAGTGGGTGGATCGCTTGAGCCCTGGAGTTCGAGACCAGCCTGGGCAACATGGTGAAACCCTGTCTCTACTAAAAACACAAAAACTAGCCGAGCATGGTGGCGGGCACCTGTAATCCCAGCTACTCATGAGGCTGAGGCACAAGAATTGCTTGAACCCAGGAGGCGGACGTTGCAGTGAGCCGAGATCATGCCAGTGCACTCCAGCCTGGGCAAAAGAGCAAGACTCCGTCTCAAAAAAAAAAAAAAAAAAAAAAAGATACACAGCAGTGATGGCTTGGCACTACCAGCAGCCATCTTGCTACCTGTTTGAGAATGAAGCCAAACAAAATCAAATAAACCCCGAAAGATGGAAAGAGAGTTCTGATGCTCTCCTTGATCCAGACATGTCTGAAGTCCCTTTGAACTACTTTTTTTCAGCTAGTCTGGGTTAGATTTCTGACATTTGCAACCAAAAGAATCCTGACCAATACATGGGTTCACTTTAATATGTAAACAGGCCTAGCATAGTGGCTCCCGCCTGTAATCCTAGCTACTCAAAGGGCCAACATGGGAGGATCACTTAAGGCCAGGAGTTTGAGACCAGCTTGGGCAACATAGCGAGACCCATATCTCTTAAAAAAAAGCAGACAGGGTGGCTAGATCTAAGGCAGCCTGAAGATGAGCCAGCAAGTTGAGGATAGCAGAGTGGCAAGAGCACAGAACTTGGGCCCTTGGGCCGGGCACAGTGGCTCACATCTGTAATCCCAGCAGTTTAGGAGGCTGAGGCAGGCAGATCACCTGAGATCAGGAGCTCAAAACCAGCCTGGCCAACATGGTGAAACCCCATCTCTACTAAAAATACAAAAATTAGCTGGCCATGGTGGTGTGGACCTGTAATCTCAGCTACTCGGGAGGCTGAGGCAGGAGAATCACTTGAACCTGGGAGATGGAGGTTGCAGTGAGACGAGATCAAGCCACTGCACTCCATCCTGGGTGACAGAGCGAGAGTCTGTCTCAAAAAAAAAAGAACTTGGGTCCTTGATGACACCAGCCAGCTGCTGAATTAATTAACTCTGGATCCCATCTAATTTAGGACTTCTTAAGTGAATATTTCCTTACTAAGTAATTTTGATTTTTTTTTAAAAATTAAATATGGAATGCTTTATGAATGTTTGTGTCATCCTTGCGCAGGTGGAGGTTGCAGTGAGCCAAGATCGAGCCACTGCACTCCAGTATGAGCAACAGAGTGAGACCCTGTCCCCTACTAAAAAAAAAAGCAGTTTTGAGATTTAATTCAGGTATCTTTTAAAGTGTACACTTCAGTGGCTTTTTTTGTTGTTGTTGTTTTGTTTTTTTGAGACAGGGTCTCACTCTGTTGACCAGGCTGGAGTGCAGTGGTGCAATCATGGCTCACTGAAGCCTCGACCTCCTGGGCTCCAGAGATTCTCCCGCTTCAGCCTCCTGAGTAGCCAGGACTACAGATGTGCACCACTATGCCCAGTTAATTTTTCTTTTTTTTTTTTCAGTAGAGATGAAGTCTCATTATGTTGCCCAGGCTTGTCTTGAACTCCTGGGCTCCAGTGAGCCTCCTGCCTCAGCCTACCAAAGTGCTAGGATTACAGGTGTGAGCCACCATACCCTTACTGATTTTTAGTGTATTCATTGACAAAGTTGTGCAACAATCACCACTAATTTCACCACCTCAAAAAGAAACCCCATACCCACTAGCAGTCACTTCCTGTTCCCCCCCACCACCGCATGCAACCATTAATCTTAACAAGGGATCTTCGGGGAAAGCGTCCAGTCTTTCACAAGGAAGTATGATGTTAGCTGGGGGTTTTTGTAGATATCCTTTATCTGGTTGAGAAAGTCCCCTTCTCTCCCTAGTTTGTTGAATGCTTTTAAACTGTTAGATTTTGTCGAATGTTTTTAGGCATCTATTGGAGGGGTGGGTTTTGTTCTTTATTCAATTAATATGGTGTATTACATTAATTGCTGTGTAAATATTAACATAATGGTTCAACACACTCCTTGAAATAATGATATTCATTTGTAAGCTCAGGTGAGCCACATTATAAGAGCATCTGATAGCTGACAATCCAGCTTACACAACTGTAGGCTTGTTTAATTAGGTTAACAGATTTTTTTTTTCTCTACCAAGTTTTTCTTTTCTCTTTTTTTTTTTTTCTGAGACAAAGTCTTGCTCTGTCGCCCAGGCTAGAGTGCAGTGGCACCATCTTGACTCACTGCAACGTCTGCCTCCCAGGTTCAAGCAATTCTCCTGCTTTGGCCTCCTAACTAGCTGGGATAACAGGCATGTGCCACCACACCCAGCTAATTTTTGTATTTTTATTTAGTAGAGATGGGGTTTCACCATGCTGGCCAGGCTGGTCTTGAACACCTGACCTCAGGTGATCCGCCTGCCTCGGCCTACCAAAGTGCCGGGATTACAACCGTGAGCCATTGTGCCTGACCACTACCAAGTTTTTCTGAAGAAGAAAATTCATTGTTAGTGAAGGGGTTCAGGACATGCCACCCCAAAATATGCCACTCTGGCATATTATTTTGAGCTGAAGCCACTTGAGAAACAGCCGGTGCAGGAAGAACCCTCTGAATTCCATCTTTTTACCTAAATACAGTTCATAAAATTTCCCATGAGAAAGATGCCCTCTCTGTACCAGGAAGAGAAGCACATTCCCATCACCGGAGACTGAGGGTTGATGGCGCAGTGGGCCTGTACAAATGAACCTACTAAAATAACCCCATGTATTTCCTAGTCATTGTCCCACAACTAACTGCCTTTAGCTCAAGCCTCTTTGTCTTGTCACATCCCCACAATTTGTCATTCTTTTTTTTTTTTTTTAGACAGAGTCTCTGTTGCCCAGGCTGGAGTGCAGTGGCACAGTCTTGGCTCACTGCAACCTCTGCCTCCCAGGTTCAAGCAATTTTCCTGCCTCAGCCTCCCGAGGAGCTGAGACTACAGGCACCCGCCACCAAGCCCAGCTAATTTTTGTATTTTTAGTAGAGACGGGATTTCCTCATGTTGGCCAGGCTGGTCTTGAACTCTTGACCTCAGGTGATCCACCAGCTTTGGCCTCCCAAAGTGCTGGGATTACAGGTGTGAGCCACCAAGCCTGGCCTGTCATTCTTTTGTTGTTGTTGTTCTCTTTATAGCCGGCTCAGACTCCAGTTCACATCACCCACCGATTTATTATTCTTTATGTAAAAAGGTATATAAGCATTTGGGCTTAATTAATTCTTTGGGTTTTCACTTTCCTTCTGACGACTCCTGTGTATAGATAAAATATTTAAAAACTTTGTATGCTTTTCTCATGTTATTCTGTCTTATGTCTGTTTAATATTAATACTTAGGCCAGGCTGGGCGTGGTGGCTCACACCTGTAATCCCAGCACTTTGGGAGGCCAAGGCAGGTGGATCACTTGGGGTTAGGAGTTTGAGAACAGCCTGGCCAACATGGTGAAATCCCGTCTCTACTAAAAATACAAAAATTAGCCAGGCATGGTGGTGCGCACCTGTAATTCCAGCTACTCGGCAGGCTGAGGCAGGAGAATCACTTGAACCCGGGAGGCGGAGGTTGTGGTGAGCCGAGATCGTGCCTTTGCACTCCAGCCTGGGCGACAGAGTGAGACTGTGTCTCAAAAAAAAGAAAGAAAAAAAAAAAAAACTTAGGCCAGCCATAGAACCTAAGAGGGTAGATGGAAGTTTCTTCTCCCCTGTAGGAGCATATACAGTATGATGCAAAAATGAGATGCTTAGGCTTTTCAGGAACTATCTCTGTTGATTTCTCTGCAGCTGAAAAAAGCTACAACATGCACGGTAAAATGTTGTCTTGAGCTGTGGCCTAACTGGTCAAAATGGGTCTCAGCGCAAGGTCTACTGACTCCTCAGGGCTTTCATAGCCACCAAAGCTGCTGTGGAATTGATCACTGGTCTCTAGGGGGCAGGAGTGTCTTCTCTTGACAGGAAACGAAATGAGGTTAGAATAGAGATAATGGTCTGTAGAAGTCCACCTTCTCCCTCTCCCTACCACCCCACCCGCCTCCAGTTCTCTATTCTGGAACTTCTGCCCTGAGAGGAGAAGCTGCTGCTGAAGATCTTGCTCCAGATGGAGAGAGTTGTGCATTTAGCTTGCCCAACTACCATTTTGAGGACATCGTCTAGTTTTGTGTCCAGTGTTCCTTCCTTGGAGGAACTTCCCCCATCCCCACACCAAGTGATACTCACATGGCTGCCAATCACAGAACGCCACCTCTCTGACCACAAGAGTGACTCAATCCTGGGTCAACTGGACTTTCTCAGGACTTTGGAACTGTGGAGACACTCAGGGATGGAAGGAAGTGGGAGCTGAGTCATTTGATGTGTTTCCCCTAAAGCAGTGCTTCTCATAAGGGGGTCCCTTGACCTGCAGCAACAGCATCTGGGAACCTGTTAGAAATACAGATTCCCGGGCCCCAACCCACACCTACTGGATTAGAAACTCTAGGGGTAGGCCCCAGCAATCTGTGTTTTAAAAACCCCTCCAGGTGATTCTGCTGCATACTAGGGAAACCACAAGTTTCTGTAAGTGGGATTCCCAGAGCTTACCTGCACCTTATCCTTTTCTTGGCCTTGGCTGTTGAGATCTTCCTTAGATTCTTTGGTCTTCCCAATGTCTTTCTAGTAAATTCTTTGTTTTGTTTGAGCAACTCAGAGTTGCTTTCTGTTGCTTGCAACCTAAGGACCCTGACTAATGGTCCTCCCATCTAATTCATATCTACACAGACCCTTCTTGAACCATGGGCCTTCCTGCCGTATGTAGACTGCAATGGTTTGACTTCACCCTGGTCTTTGTATTTTGCTTCAACGCCAAACCATATTAACTCCAAAGCAGAGCTCAGTGGGCATCTGATTAGGCTCTTTCACTGTCCTGCCTGTTTATTCAGTTGCCTCCCCAGTAATGCAAGTCTTTATAAGAACATCTCTTATTCCTCCATTTAGTTGACATCTCTGTTTTTTTCGTCTTAGCTCCCAATCTTCTTCTTCTTCTTTTTTTTTTTTAACTATTAACAACACACCAATGGCATAATGAAGTTTGTTTTTTTCTTTCCTATATGAGTTAAGGAACAGAATAAGCTGCTTTAGTAAAGAGGCTCAAAAATACAGAATAAATTTATTTATTTACTTATTTATTACTGAGACAGGATCTCATTCTGTCTTCCATGCTGGAGTACCATGGTATGATCATAGCTCACTGTAACCTCAAACTCCTGGGTGTAAGGAATCCTCCTGCCTCAGCCTCCTGAGTAGCTAGGATTACAGGTGCTCACCACCATGCCTGGATCATGTCTCAGAGCAGCCTCAACCTCCTGGGCTCAAGTGATTCTCCCACCTCAGCCTCCCGAGTAGCTGGGATTATTGGCATGGGCCACCATGCCCAGTTACTTTAGGGTCTCATTATCTTGCCCAGGCTGGTCTTGAACATTTGGGCTCATGTGATCCTCCTGCCTCCACTTCCCAAAGTATTGGGATTACAGGCATGAGCCACCATGCCCCAGCTAGAGCAAATTTATTTTGAATCTCTTGTTTTACAGGTTTTGTTTGTTGTTCTTATTTTGTCTTTTGTTGTTGTTTTATCCCTTTAAGCATATGGGTGATTCAGGATGAGTCCAGAGGTGAGTAAGGGGCTCTGCTTCAGGTAGTCATTTGGGGATACAGGTTCCCTCTATCTTGTTGCTCTGCCGTCTCCAAGGACATCATTGAAGCATCTATATACAAGCCTGTGGTAAGTGGGGGAAAGAGGAAGTAAATGGCTAACAATTTCACTTTAGGAAATGATGTAGAAGTGATGATCACATGAATCTATACATTTTCCAGTGGTGAGTACTTAGTTACATGGTCACACCCAGCTAGCTACCATGGCAGCGGTGACCATGAACTATGATCTGGATCTGGGCAGCCATATACCCTGCTATATCTTGGGGTGAAAATTATTTTATTACTAGAAGAAAGGGGGAAGTAATGGATAATGGAGACAGTTAGCAATCTTTTCACACTTTCTAACTCTGAGCCTTGTATCCAAGTGTTGAAAGTTCAAATGCCTTCACAGGGGCTAGGCAGGTGATTAACTGAGTAAAGCAATCTAAAAGGAGTGAGGTGACTGTGACAAAGTAGGATGCACTGTGTCCTGTCTAAAGGGGGTAACAGTTACTTGATCCCTTCCCCTTCTTCATTAACAGAATTCCAAGCTTGTTTGAGTGCCCAGCCTTGGAGCACAAATCATAATTTTCTATTATCAATCATGAAATTCTGTTTCTAGTGTCTTCAGCCTCCCCTGTGTCTGGGAATCTCCATATGACTCAGCCAATGGGAGAGTTAAGGAAGTCTGGCGGGGGACTTCTAGGAAAGCTTTTGTTTTCCTAGTAAAGAGTCAGCCATGACTGGAGCTTTCCCATACCAGTTCTTCCTGATTTGAATGTGGGTGAGATGCCTGGAGCTGGGGCAGCCATCATATGACCTGGGGTGGCAAGCAAGAGGGGAAAACCAAAAGAACTGTGGTGATACTGAGCTAGAAAGAACTAGGGCCAGAACCTGCCTGACTCCAGACATCTTGTCATGTGAATAACACAAAAAACCAAAACACCTATTTGTTTAATGAAACTTAAAATTGGCTTATCTGAACTTCATGGCCGTTCAAAACTGATCTAATCCTTCCAGATTTATTTTTCAAGTTTCAATTATTTATTAATCAGGGTAATCTCCAACACATTACATCAACATGATTTCATGTATTTAGAGGACAAATATTTCCTGATTAAATGGAAAATTGTGCGGATGGCTTCAGAAAGACCTTCATTCGAAAGCAGCTTTAATAGTGAAACACTTCATTTACAAATCTGGACCTTCTTTCTTCAGTTTGCTATAATCCACATTCACTGAGTAAAACTTGGATGGATTGTTGGGACCCAGTTTGTTACAGGGCTCTGGGTTATTCTTTCTTTCCTTTTTATTTATTTTTTTTTTTGAGACTGAGTCTCGCTTCGTCGCCCAGGCGGGAGCACAGTGTCACGATCTAAGCTCACTGCAACCTCTGCCTCCAAAGTTCAATCAGTTCTCTTGCCTCAGCCTCCCGAGTAGCTGGGATTACAGGCACATGCCACCACATCCAGCTAATTTGTTGTATTTTTAGTAGAGACAGCGTTTCACCATGTTGGCCAGGCTGGTCTTGAACTCCTGGCCTCAAGTGATCTGCTCACCTTGGCCTCTCAAAAAGCTGGGATTATAGACATGAGCCACCACACCAGGCCTCTGGGTAATTCTTTCTGTCCTAACATCCGGATTGAACAATGCCAGACTTAAGACATACAATGCTTTTCTAATACCTCTAAATCCAATAAATACAAAGAAGGGATCAAGCTCAGATGCTTCTTGGCCTGACTGAGGATCTGCTGGAGCTTGTCTGCAGCAGAGGTCTCCCATTCGAAAGGAGAGAACCAGCCTAGCTATCAGGCCCTGGACTAAGTAGTATCTGCCCCAGATATTTTAACATGTATATTCACTTTGTATAAAGATGAAATGCATACGCTGCTTTGTAACTTAAAAAAGAAGTACTGGCCAGGTGTGGTGGCTCACGCCTGTAATCCCAGCAGCTTGGGAGGCCGAGGCAGGCAGATCACAATGTCAGGAGTTCAAGACTAGCCTGGCCAAGAGACCAGCCTGGCCAATATGGTGAAACCCCATCTCTACTAAAAATATAAAAATTAGCCGGGCGTGGTGGTGTGCACCTATAATTCCAGCTACTCGGGAGGCTGAGGCAGGAGAATTGCTTTAACCTGGGAGGCGGAGATTGCAGTGAGCTGAGATCACACCATTGCACTCCAGCCTGGGCGACAGAGCAAGACAAGGCATTTTTCATTTTGATGACTGCAGAATATCCACTGTATGTGTATAGCTTAGCAGCTAATCAATCCTTTATCATTGGACATTCAGTTAGTTTACAGTTTAGCTGTTTTTATTTTTGTTTTTGAGAGGGCAGTTTGCTATTGTAAACAATGCTGTAACGGACTACCTTTTAACTAAGCCTCTTCTTTTTTTTTTTTTGAGACACAGTCTCACTCTTGCCCAAGCTGGAGTGCAGGCTCGGCTCACTGCAACCTCCTTCTCCTGGGTTCAAGCTATTCTCGTGCCTCAGCCTCCCATGTAGCTGGGATTATAGGGATGTGCCATCATGCCCATCTAATTTTTTTTGCATTTTTAGTAGAGATGGGGTTTTGCCATGTTGACCAGGCTGGTCTCGAACTCCTGACCTCAAGTGATCCACCTGTTTCGGCCTCCCAAAGTGCTGGGATTACAGTGAGCCACCGCTCCCAGCCTTAACTAAGTTTCTTAATATACTCTTATAATTACATTCTTGATTATTTTCTTAACTTTCCAGAAGTGAAATGGCTGGGTCAGAAGACAATAAATAGCAATCTCTTTTAAGTAAAATGATGCACTTGCTTTTGGTTCTGTTTCTGCTACTTTGAGTAAGTAATCACTCATTTATTCATCATCCATTCACTTAACAAGCACAAGAAGCACAGAGTAAAATGTGGTCCTCGTCTTCAAGGAGCTCATAATGGAATGGCAGAGGCAGGCAGGGCAACAGTTAATGAGAAGGAGTGACAGTTGTGGTGGCGGCTTTCGACAAGGTTTCCAGTGATCCCTGCTTCCTGATATTCATGCCCTTGTGTAATTCCCTACCCATGAATATGGGCTGGACCTAGTGAATTGCTTCTGATGAATGGAATATGACAAAAGTGATAGGATGTCACTTCTGTGATTAGGTTACAAAGAACTGTGACTTCCATCTTGGTAGCTCTCTCTCTCTTTTCCTTGCCCTCTCATTTGCTTGGTCTGATGAAGCCAGCTGCCACACTTACTTGATGGAGAGGCCTATGTAGCAGGGAACCCAGGGAGGCCTCCCGCTAGCAGCTCTTGAGGAACTGAGGCCTCAGTCCAACAGCCTGTGAGGAACTGAATTCTGCCAACAATCATGTGAGCTAGGAAGCAGATCTTTTCCATTGAGCCTTCGCTGACCAAGGACTTAGCCAAGCCATGCCTGGATGCCTGATCCATTAAAACTGAGAGAATGAATTGATATAGTCTTAAGCCCCTACATTTTGGAGAATTTGTTACATGGCAGTAGATGACTAATACACAAGCAGAGTGGTACAAATGAGTGTGTGATAGGTGCAGGCATGAAGGAGAAGCATGAAACCGCCATGGTGGGGAAGGGCCACGTCTGATAGGAGTTCTGAGTGGAGGGCAGGCTTGCATTGCATTTTGCAAGCTAAGAAGGAATTAGGGGAAGAGAAGAAGTTTCCAGAACAATCAAGCTCTGAGACCATTTCCCTAACCTGTGTTACCAGATCACTTGTTGCACCCTTGGCTAGAGGTAAATTCACTGTGAAGTTAGCAGAGTTTAAGCCCCAGGGCCCCTCACCTGCACAAACTCCTTTTAAAGCCCAAGAAGGGTCCTAGTAATGTTGTATTTATAATTCTGCATTCTTTTTCTTAAGGAGAGCCACCTAATTTAGGCCCCTGCATCAATGGACTTGCCAAGACCCTTTTAACGCCCTTCCTCTCGCCCCTTTCAATCTATAGCATATACTTACCAGTCCTATTTGGCTCTGCCTCCTCAAATACTGTTTCTCAGCAGCTCATCCTAGCCCTTCAGCCTTTACTTCCTTAACCTAAACAATCCAGGTTCTGGAGTTTTCCCTACAGGCCCTGTTCTCTACCTCTTTAATCATCTTTACTGCTGTTTTTGTTTTATTTTATTTATTTATTTTATTGAGATGGAGTTTTGCTCTTGTTGCCCAGGCTGGAGTGCAATGGCGCAATCTCAGCTCACTGCAACATCCGCCTCCCAGGTTCAAGCAATTCTCCTGCTTCAGTCTTCCCGAATAGGTGGGATTACAGGCATGCACCACCACGCCAGGCTAATTTTGTAGTTTTAGTAGAGATAGGGTTTCTCCATGTTGGTCAGGATGGTCTCTAACTTCTGACCTCAGGTGATCCGCCCACCTTGGCCTCCCAAAGTGCTAGGATTACAGGCGTGAGCCACCATGCCCTGCCTTTTACTGCTGTTTTTGAAGACTCAAAAAAGTTTTTCCTTAAGTGGTAGTTTCCAGAACGGATGTGTTTTTGTAAATGGCAAGCCTGGTTCCTGACCAAATGGCATTCGAGCAGGGAGGGCCACGTGGGGCCCTCAGAACAGCCTCTCTGCCCATTGTTTCCCTACCTCCCACCCCCAACTTCAGAATGACAAAGTTTCATCTGATGAAAGGAGGGAGTGGCTGGGGAGAAAGTAGAAGGGGCAACAGGAGAGGGGGCAACAGGAGAGAGGGTACCCTTCCACTTCCTTAGAGATGGGACCTCTCTTTTAAGATGCTTTTGGCAGTATTTCAAGCTGCTGATGGGCCCAAGAGGGAAGGAAACTGACATCATTCATACCTACACTGTGCCAGGCACATGGGCTTTCCAGACACTATATCATGGAATCCTTGCTACATCCCTGAAAGAGAGAGACTCCTCATTTTATTTTATTTTATTTATTTATTTTTGAGACAGAGTCTCGGTCTGTTGCCCAGGCTGGAGTGCACTGGCATGATCTCGGCTCACTGCAATCTCTGCCTCCCGGGTTCAATTGATTCTCTTGCCTCAGCCTCCCGAATAGCTGGGATTACAGGCATGAGCCACCATGCCTGGCTAATTTTTTTTTTATTATTTTTTGTAGAGATGGAAGGCTTCACCATGTTGGTCAGGCTGGTCTCGAACTCCTGACCTCAAGTGATGTGCCTGCCTTGGCCTCCCAAAGTGTTGGGATTACAGGCGTGAGCCACCGCACCTGACCAAAACTCCCCATTTTGTAGCTGAGGAAACTGAAGCACAGCCAGCAAGGGCCAGGTCAGGCCCAGCTAACTTAAGAGTCCAGCCTCTAACCCCAGCCCATGTACCCCCATCCTTTATTGATTCTCCCAGGGGCTACTACCTACATTCAAGTCCTAAATGAAAATTGGTGAGCATCACAACAAAAATCCACTTGGAAATAAGTTTAATAAATGAAAAAGTCAGGCAGGCCAAACTCCTGATTCTGGGAGATCTGTATAACAGAAGAAGACTCATCAGTGACCTGGGAGTCCTCCCAGAGTTGGGATTCACTTCTAGAGAGAAAAAAAATATGTATTGACAAGAAGAGGCAGGAGATCTAGGCCCCAAACCAGAAGATGGGGATGAAAGTTAGGCTGGACAGACTATAGGATGGGGATAACAATGAACAATGAAAGTAATGAGAATAGCAACTATTGTTTACTGAGTGCTTACGAGGTGCCAGGCACTGTAATACACACACACACACACACACACACACACACACACACACACACGTTATATAGGTTAGTGCATTTTATCCTCACAGCAACCCCAACTAAATCTTATACACAGAAGCAGTGGTGAAGCAGACCAAAGTCTGTGCTTCTGTGTGTAAGAGTCTTCATCTTCAGGCTCCTCAACCTAAAAATACAAATGATAACCATGCCTTTTTAGTAGGGTTGTTGTGTAACCCTACTAAATGTAACCACTAGGCTTTACTAAGTCTCGGAGAATGGGAGTGGGAGAAATCTAGCCCTGGTAAATGACACAAACAGAGAGAAGCAGGGCTTACAAAGTGCCATAACTTGGGAGGGTGGGGTATAGGGGTGGCTAGGGCTCATCCAGACCCAGATCTTGCAGGCAGCAGAGGTGACTCATGGGAACCTCGGAAGCTAGCAGTTGAGTGCTTTGTACCAAGTTTGCAAACAAAGCTCTTGGGTTCAGAGAGGGTGGAGAGATGCAGAGTCTATCAATATCCATTGGCCTCTCTCCGGATTGGCTCAGGAATCTGAGTGGGAGGAGCTTAGGTCTCAGGGATGATGACGTGAGGCTGGACTAGGAAGCTGCAGCTCGCTGGGCTCCTTCACCTTCAAGGTGCTCCTACCCCAGCGCTGGAGTCACACACTTGTGTTTGGATCCCGCCCTTCCCACCTCTGGGACTTCGACTTAATGATTTAACAACCTTGAGCCCCAGTTTTCTGTAAAGTGGAGAGAATCAGAATATATATAGCCAAATGATAGATAATAATTGTGCCCTTGGGAGAAGTCAGTGAGGCGCTGCATATGAAGGACTAACACAGTGCCTCGGATGCTGCATGCTAGTAAATAGCAGCCAGATTATTGCCAGATTCCTATTCAGGGGAGCCGGAGAAGCTTTTTCTACTTTCCGCTTCCTTCTCCTCCCATTGCCTTCTTTGGTAGGGAAGTGGAATTGTATTCCAGAGGCAGAGTACATGTAATGCCTCTCTCACCTTTCATTCTTTTCACCTCTGAATGATTTTTATTAGTTTTGTAGCTCACAGCCCATTTCACAAAGTTGTAATTTGCCTCTTGCCTGGAGAATATTAAACTGTTACATAAAAGCAATAGTTTTTTTATGCTAGGAATTTTCACTATGCCGATTTTCTATGTCTTTTATAGATAAGACATTGGATCAGCCATGGTTCATTGATTGAAAACATCAGTGACCAATTCTGGTCTTAATAACAACAACAACAAAAATATTTTATTGGAAAGATATGGGATAGCTTACCGAAGGAAAGCTGAACGTCAAGCCTCAGAAAAAGCATACAGGGTAGCTCCAGGGATCTAGGTAGCAGGAAGTTTTGTTTGTTTGTTTGTTTTGTTTTGAAACAGGGTCTCACTCTGTCGCCCAGGCTGGAAGTGCAGTGGTGCAATCACGACTCACTGCAGCCTCAACCTCCTAGGTTCAGGTGGTCCTCCTGCCTCAGCCTCCTGAGTAGCTGGGACCACAGGTGCCACCATGTCTAGCTAATTTTTTTCTTTTGTATTATTTGTAGAGACAGGGTTTCGCTATGTTGCCCAGGCTGGTCTCGAACTCCTAGGCTCAAGCAATCCTCCAGCCTTGGCCTCCAAAAATACTGGGATTAGAGGGGTGAGCCACCATACCCTGCCTCATAATATCTTCTAATTGCTAGTTCATTTTCAAATTTCCTCAATTGATAAAAGAATTTTTTTTTTTTGAGACAGAGTCTCGCTCTGTCGCCCAGGCTAGAGTGCAGTGGCGCAATCTTGGCTCACTGCAACCTCTGCCTCCTGGGTTTAAGCGATTCTCCTGCCTCAGCTGCCTGAGTAGCTGGGATTACAGGCATGCGCCACCACGCCTGGCTAATTTTTGTATTTTTAGTAGAGATAGGGTTTCACCATGTTGGTCAGGCTGGTCTCGAACTCCTGACCTCGTTATCCACCCGCCTCAGCATCCCAAAGTGCTGGGATTACAGGCGTGAACCATCATACCCGGCCTAAGAATGTATTTTGTAGACTTTTTCCCAAATCAAGATTGTATCAAAGTTCACTCATTGCAATTTGTTATTGGGTCTCTTTACTCTCTTTTAGTCTAAATCCCCTCCATTTGTGGATTTTTCATGATATTGACATTTTGAAGAGTTTAGGCTAGCTGTCATGTAAAAAATTTTTACATTTTTTTGGTATAGTATTTTTTATTGTGGTAAAATATGCATAAGATTACAGTTTTAACTATTTTAAAGTGTACAAATCAATGGCATTAAGTACATTTACAATGTTGTACAACCATCACCACTATCAATTTCTGGAACTTTTTTTTTTTTTTTTTGAGATGGAGTCTTGCTCTGTCGCCAGGCTGGAGTGCAGTGGTGTGATCTCGGCTCACTGCAACCTCCACCTCCCGGGTTCAAGCGATTCTCCTGCCTCAGCCTCCTGAGTAGCTGGGACTACAGGCACGCGCCACCACACAGCTAATTTTTGTATTTTTAGTAGAGACAGGGTTTCATCATATTGGCTAGGATGGTCTCAGTCTCTTGACTTCGTGATCTGTCTGCCTCGGCCTCCCAAAATGTTGGGATTACAGATGTGAGCCACCACGCCCGGCCAATTTCTGGAACTTTTTTTTATCATCACGAACTAAAACTCTGTACCACTAAACAATAACCCTCCATTACTCCCTACCTCTAGCTTCTGGGAACCTTTATTGTACCGTCTGTATCTATGAATTTGCCTATTTTAGGTACCTCGTGTAAGTGGAATCATGTAATATATGTCCCTTTGTATTTGGCTTATTTCATTTAGCATAATGAATGTTTTCAAGTTTCAGCCGTGTTGTAGCATGTATCAGACTTTCATTCTCTGCATTGCTTTTTTTTTTTTTTTTTTGAGACAGAGTCTCCATCTGCTGCCCAGGCTGGAGCGCAATGGTGTGATCTTGGCTCACTGCAACCTCCACCTCCCAGGTTCAAGCCATTCTCCTGCCTCAGCCTCCCAAGTAGCTGGGACTACAGGCATGCGCCACCACGCCCAGCTAATTTTTGTATTTTAATAGAGATGGGGTTTCACCGTGTTGGCCAGGCTAGTCTTGAATGCCTGACCTCAAGTGATCCACCTGCCTTGGCCTCCCAAAGTGCTGGGATTACAGGTGTGAGCCACTGCACCCGGCCTGCATTGCTCTTTAAAGTTAATTTATTTGAGTCTTATATTTATTTTCTTATAACTTTTTAAACTTTTTTTTTAACATGAAGGAATGCATTTAGATGTATTCCCAAATTTAAGAAAATCTGTCTAGACTTTTACGCTGGCCAAGCTAATTAGATTTAGATTAGTGAGCTCATAGTGAGTGGGTTAATTTATCACCAGGTTGCAGTAAAATTAACCTTCCAAAACAAACATAGTTTATAGCTTTGAATGAATAACCACCATTTCCTATACTAAACATTCTTTTAAAAATGTAGTTTGCTGTAATAAAAATTAATAGCCTCAGGATTACAAGTAAATACTCCCTGGGATTATTAAAACAAGCATTTCAATAGTATAGAAAAGCTCTTTGTCTTTTTAATTAAAAGACTTAGTCTATTTTTATGATGACATAGTTCAGAATTCTTTTAGATGTATCTTAAATTTTATGGTAACTCTTATGTAGAAATTCACTAACCCTCGGCCTTGTCTTTTTATTTTTTTTTTGAGAAGGAGTCTTGCTCTGTTGCCCAGACTGGAGTCCAGTGGCGCGATCTCGGCTTACTGCAAGCTCCACCTCCCGGGTTCACACCATTCTCCTGCCTCGGCCTCCCGAGTAGCTGGGACTACAGGCGCCTGCCACCACGCCCGGCTAATTTTTTGTATTTTTAGTAGAGACGGGGTTTCACCGTGTTAGCCAGGATGGTCTCGATCTCCTGACCTCGTGATCTGCCCGCCTCGGCCTCCCAAAGTGCTGGGATTACAGGCATGAGCCACCGTGCCCGGCCTTACCCTCAGCCTTGTCTTTCTAAACAAAGCAGGCTGGATAATTTAGTGCTTGGCATTCTCTAAAGCACTTAGGTGAATAGCATCTCAAGTTTCTTGATAAAGATCAGGACTTTGAGGTTTATTATAATTTTTTTCTACATCTCTATACTCATGAAAGCTTCATAGTATAGATTTTTTGTTGTAGTTATTGTTGAGACGGAGTTTCGCTCTTGTCGCCCAGGCTGGAGGGCAATGGAACGATCTCGGCTCACTGCAACCTCTGCCTTCTAGGTTCAAGCGATTCTCCTGCCTCAGTCTAGGATTACAGGCACCTGTCACCAAGCCCAGCTAATTTTTGTATTTTTAGTAGAGACAGGATTTCACCATGTTGGCCAGGCTGGTCTTGAACTCCTGGCCTCAAGAAATCCACCCATCTTGGCCTCCCAAAGAGTTGGATTACAGACATGAGCCACCATGTCCGGCCCATAGCAGCTTTTATAAGTCCATTGTTTTCTGATTTTTAATCACTTACATATGTATGTATCTGTCATAATTCTAAACACTTTACATGTATTTGTTATTTAACTCTATGAGATAAAGGCTTTTCTTTTTTTGGTGCATTTAAATTTTATTTGAAATTTTATTTTTATTCATTTATTTTTGAGCAGAGTTTTGCTCTGTCGCCTAGGCTGGAGTGCAGTGGAGCGATCTCAGTTCACTGCAACCTCTGCCTCCTGGGTTCAAGAGATTCTTCTGCCTCAGCCTCCCGAGTAGGTGGGATTACAGGCATGTACCACCACACCCAGCTAATTTTTGTATTTTTAGTAGAGACGGGGTTTCACTGTGTTGGCCAGGCTGGTCTAGCCAACACACCTTATGTAATCCACTTGCCTTGGCCTCCCAAAGTGTTGGGATTACAGGCGTGAGCCACTGCACACAGCCAGTGCTGTTTTAAATCTCCATTTTACATGTATGAAAACTGAGGCACTGGCCGGGCACTGTGGCTCATGCCTATAATCCCAGCACTTTGGGAGGCCGAGGCGGGCAGATCACCTGAGGTTGGGAGTCCGAGACCAGCCTGACCAACATGGGAAACCCCGTCCCTTCTAAAAATACAAAATTAGCTGGGTGTGGTGCCACATGCCTGTAATCCCAGCTACTCGGGAGGCTGAGACAGGAGAATTGCTTGAACCCGGGAGGCGGAGGTTGCGGTGAGCGGTGAGCCAAGATCATGCCATTGCACTCCAGCCTGGGCAACAAGAGTGAAACTCAGTCTCAAAAAAAAAAAAAAAAAAAGAAAGAAATACTGAAAACTGAGGCACTGAGCAATACTTGACCTGTCCAAGTGCGCACAACTGTAAGTGGGAGAGTCAGGATTCAAACACAATCTGTTTCCAGAGCCCTTGAAAGTCTATACATTCTTACTATGGGGGAAGAAAAAGAAAGAAAGAAAAAAAAAAGTGAAGTTGACAGAATATATGACATGGTCCCTTCTATCCACAAGAAACATCTATTATTAACAGTTTTTTTTTGGTTGTTGTTGTTCTTGTTTTTTGTTTTTTTGAGACAGAGCCTTGCTGTGTTGCCCAGGTTGGAGTGCAATGGTGTGATCTTGGCTCACTGCAACCTCTGCTTCCTGGGTTCAAGCAATTCACCTGCCTCAGCCTCCTGAGTAGCTGAGATTACAGGCATGCGCCACCATGGCTGGTTGGTTTTTGTATTTTTAGTAGAGATTGGGTTTCACCATGTTGGCCAGGTGGGTCTTGAACTCCTGACCTCAGGTGATTCACCCACCTCAGCCTCCCAAAGTGCTGGGATAACAGGTGTGAACCACCATGCCTGGCCAACAGTTTATGTTTTAACTTTAAATCTAATTATAGAGTACAAATACACAGATAATGGCATTCTTGGGGGAAGGTATAACCATAATTTTTTTTTTTTGAGATGGAGTCTCGCTCTGTTGCCCAGGCTGGAGTGCAGTGGCACGATCCTGCTCACTGCAACCTCCGCCTCCTGGGTTCAAGTGATTCTTTTGCCTCAGCCTCCCAAGTAGAGTAGCTGGGACTACAGGCGTGTGCCACAATGCCTGGCTAGGTTTTGTAATTTTAGTAGAGACAGGGTTTCACCATGTTGGCCAGGCTGGTCTCAAACTCCTGACCTCAAGTGATCCACCCACCTTGGCCTCCCAAAGTGCTGGGATTACAGGCATTAGCCATGGCACCCGGCCAGTATAGCCATGATTAAAAGCAAATATGAATCCATCATCTGGTTGGCAGGAAACTTCCAGGCAACCTAAGTTTGACACAGCTCACTCTGGAATTGGACAGGGATACAGGCCCCTGCTAACCCAACTAACTCAGCTTAGTTATGGGCAGCTGACAACTGCTCCGCACAGCAGCGGCCACCTGAACAGGAGGGGAACCAAGAGTAGGAACGGGAGGCAAGAGTGGGTCAGTCTAGTGCTCAACAGGGCAAAGGCAGGGGCAGAAACCAGGTATCCCAGATGAGTCAGCCAGAAAAGATAATCCAGCACCAGCAGGGCAAAGGGCTGGTCTGTGGGTCTTGTGTTGGCCATGAGGACAATTCACAGTTATGTGGAGTCCCAAGGCTGTGCCAAAACAGCTGTTACTGGTCATGTGCAAGAAGATACTGTCTCAAGTGTTTTAATCAAAATAGAAAGGCATCCTGGTAGGAGGGTGTTGAACATGGCATGGGTATAGCCGTGTGTGGGAATCAGGCATCCAGAAATGGCCAAAGTGGAGCCACTGCAAATAGTACAAGAATGAATATACACAATGACTTAGGTCAGCAGTTCTCAAATGTTTTGATATCAGGATCCCTTAATGCTGTTAAAAATTACTTGTGACCCTGATGGCTGGATGTGGTGGCTCACGCCTGTAATCCCAGCACTTTGGGAGGCCGAGGTGGGTGGATCACCTGAGGTCATGAGTTTGAGACCAGCCTGGCCAATACGGTGAAACCCCATCTCTACTAAAAAAAACCAAAAAACAATAAACAAAAAATTAGCTGGATGCGGTGGCATGTGCCTGTAATCCCAGCTACTCAGGAGGCTGAGGCATGAGAATTGCTTGAACCCAGGAGGCAGAGGTTGCAGTGAGCTGAGATCGCACCATTGCACTCCAGCCTGGGCAACAGAAGGAGACTCCGTCTCAAAAAAAAAAAAAAAAAAAAAAATTACTGGTGACCCCAAAGAGCTTTTGTTTATATGATTACAGCTATTTATATTTTCTCCTTTAGAGATTAAAATTGAGGAATTTTGAAAATGCAAGAATATACCAGCACACATTCCATTAGCCATTAGCAATGAATTAGCACATAGCCCCTGGAAAATTCCACCACACTTTTGAAAGAATGAGAGTGAAAAAGGCAAATAATGAGTTAGTGTCATTTTTAAAGTAGTTTTGATTTCACTTACTCCCTGTTACTGTCTTGGAGGTCTCCAGGAGGTCCCCAGACCATACTTTGAGAACTACTGGTCTAAATAATATATAGTAGGCTGGGCGCCACCTAGCACTTTGGGAGGCCGAGGCGGGCGGATCACATGAGGTCAGGAGTTCAAGACCAGCCTGGCCAAGATGGTGAAACCCCATCTCTACTAAAAATACAAAAATTAGCAGGGCATGGTGGTGCATGCCTGTAGTCCCAGGTACTCAGGAGGCTGAGGCAGGAGAATCGCTTGAACCTGGGAGGTGGAGGTTGCAGTGAACCGAGATTGCACCACTGCACTCTAGCCTGGGAAACAGAGTGGGACTGTCAAAAAAAAAAAAAAGAAAGAAGAAGAAGAAGGAGAAGGAGAAGGAGAAGAAGAAGAAGACTGGGTAAGTACTGTTTTTGCAAGCCATCATTGCTGCTAGTAACTTTCATTCATTCATTTTTTTCTTTTTTTTTTTTTTTGAAGACAGAGTCTCACTCTGTTATCCAGGCCGGAGTGCCGTGGCGCTATCTTGGCTCACTGCAACCTCCACCTCCCAGGTTCAAGTGATTCTTGTGCCTCAGCCATCCGGGTAATTAGGATTACAGGCGCTTGCCACCACGCCTGGCTAATTTTTGTATTTTTAGCAGATACAGGGTTTTGCCATGTTGCCCAGGCTGGTGTTGAACTCCTGGCCTCAAGAGATCCACCCAAAGTGCTCGGATTCCAGTTGTGAGACACTGCACCCGGCCTATTGCTGCTACTACCTTTCAAGACTCAGAGAGACTAGAAACTGAAATTCTGGGCTGGGTTTGGTGGCTCACACCTGGAATCCCAGCACTTTGGGAGGCTGAGGTGGGTGGATCACTTGAGGTCAGGAGTTTGAGACCAGCCTGGCCAACATGGTGAAACCCCATCTCTACTAAAAATATAAAAATTAGCCGGGTGTGGTGGCAGGTGCCTGTAATCCCAGTTACTTGAGAGGCTGAGGCAGGAGAATCACTTAAACCTGGGAGGTGGAGGTTGCAGTGAGCTGAGATCGTGTCATTACACTCCAGCCTGGGACACAAGAGTGAAACTCCTTCTCAAAACAAAACAAAACAAAACAAAACAAACTGATATTCTGCCTCAGAAAAACCCCATGTCTCCGGCAATGATCATATTGGCCAACAGAAACAGCCAACTGCAGGAAAATGGCTTCTTCCTCATTTCTACCTTACAAATCTTACCTAAGTATATCTAATGGACCATATCTAGTTCTCACCCAGAATCCTACGTGGATGGAAGCCTGTGAAATGCCATTTATAAACTTCCACCTCTGCAGTATGGGAAGGTTCACTAGAATGAAGTAGGAAAGAGTGTTAAGTCCCAGTTGAACACATTCAACACACATTTCTGTCTACGGGTTGATTAGAATGTGAGCTCCATGAGGGCAGGGAGTTTAGCCTGATTTATGGTGTTTTTGTTTTGTTTCATTTTTGAGACACGGTCTCACTCTGTCACCCAGGCTGGACTGTAGTGACGCAATCATAGGTCACTGCAGACTTGAACTCCTGGGGTCAAGCAATTCTTCCACCTCAGCTTCCTGAGTAGCTGAGACTACAGGCATGTGCCACCATGCCTGGCTTTTTTTTTTTCTTCTTCTTTTTTGTGGAGTTGCTTTTTTTTTTTTTCTTCTTTTTTGTGTCAGTATGTTGATCAGGCTGATCATGAATTCCTGGCCTCAAGCAATCCCTCTGCCTCAGCCTCCCAAAGTGTTGTGTACAGGTGTGAGCCACTACACGCAGCTGATTTGTTTTTTTACCATGTCCTCAGAGTCTGGAATTTTACAAAGTAGTTGCTGAGTAAACAGGTAGATACAAATCAAGATGAACTTTTCCGCAGGAGCTCTTATCATGAACATCAGACAGATAACAGTTACTCGAACAATAGTTTTGGGGAGGTAAAAAAAAAAAGTCAGATACGGAGGGAGACGCAGAGGCGGACAAGATGGCGGCGGCAGCTGTACAGGGCGAGAGAAGCGGTGGTAGCGGAGGCTGTAGTGGGGCTGGTGGTGCTTCCAACTGCGGGACAGGGAGTGGCCGTAGCGGCTTGTTGGATAAGTGGAAGATAGATGATAAGCCTGTAAAAATTGACAAGTGGGATGGATCAGCTGTGAAAAACTCTTTGGATGATTCTGCCAAAAAGGTACTTCTGGAAAAATACAAATATGTGGAGAATTTTGGTCTAATTGATGGTCGCCTCACCATCTGTACAATCTCCTGTTTCTTTGCCATAGTGGCTTTGATTTGGGATTATATGCACCCCTTTCCAGAGTCCAAACCCGTTTTGGCTTTGTGTGTCATATCCTATTTTGTGATGATGGGGATTCTGACCATTTATACCTCATATAAGGAGAAGAGCATCTTTCTCGTGGCCCACAGGAAAGATCCTACAGGAATGGATCCTGATGATATTTGGCAGCTGTCCTCCAGTCTTAAAGGGTTTGATGACAAATACACCTTGAAGCTGACCTTCATCAGTGGGAGAACAAAGCAGCAGCGGGAAGCCGAGTTCACAAAGTCCATTGCTAAGTTTTTTGACCACAGTGGGACACTGGTCATGGATGCATATGAGCCTGAAATATCCAGGCTCCATGACAGTCTTGCCATAGAAAGAAAAATAAAGTAGCCAATTCTAAAAGTAGCCCTCTTTCTCCTGGATCTTGCTGAATTAGTGGCTTGGGGGGTGGGGGAGATAAAAAGAACTTAAAATGGGTAAAGTAAGAAATGTTAAAAAGTCCCTGTTTTGTCCTGAAATTTTAGTCTATTCTGGATAAATAGGATTTTCTGACACAGATATGAGAAGTTGTAGCTCTGATGTCTAGCTGTAGTCTCCTTGATCTGCTGATTGCATTATTTTAATTTGCTTTTCTGGGAAAGCAGTTTTGCTAAAAGCTGTACAGACTTTTTCTTTTGTACCTAGCAGTACTTTATATAGTATAGCTTTGGGCCATGTAGCATTTTAAGACTCAATTTTAAAAAATTATTAATCTGTTGCTGACTCTTAATTCCTATTTCAATATGTGTTTCCTTGAAGAATTCAGGATACAACTTCTTGTGTATGACAGCTTTCCTTCACACACTATTTTTGTGGGTGTGTATATATCTGATTTGGGAAGAATTTAAAAAACACATAGCTTTTTAATTTGTTTGAAACAGACTTTCTGCCTGTTACATTTTGTGCTTTTAACCAATTAAAGAAGCCAATGGCATTTTAGTTTTATATTGTGTTTCCCACTAGTATATCCCTGTTGATTTGTTTGTGCCTTTTATTAACTGCCATTTTCTAAAATTTTTTTCAATAAAAGGAAGGAAGATGTGAAAAAAAAAAAGTCAGATACAGAGTGTAAATAAACTACACTGTAGTGAATTAAACTTGGCTGCAAATTACTACACTGTAGTGAATTAAACTTGGCTGCAAATTATTTGACATTCTTCATATTACAAAGTGGAGTCTATGTTGCCTCCCTTGAATCTAGGAGATTTCTATGACTGCTTTGACCAATAGACTAAAATGGAAGTGATGCTGTGCCTCTTTCCAGGCTGGACTTAAAAGAATGGCAGCTTCCACAACCTGTCTTTATGGATCCGTGAGCTGCCATGTGAAAAGTTCAGCTACCCTAATAGACCACGTGGAAAGGCTCTGAGACTACATGCATTGGGGCGAGCTGAACCCAGCCTTTCAGTGTCAGGCATATGTGTTGGACCCTCCAGACTAACCTGGCTGCAAGCTAGAATGCCATCAACTGACTGGTTGATACAGTATGGAACAGAGAAATCACCCAGCTGAGCCCTGCCCAAATTCCTGACTCAAAAAGTGTGAGATATAATATAGTGGTTGTTGTTTTAAGCCACTGAGTTTTGGGATAGTTCGTTATGTATTTACAGATCACCAGAGTGCATGCTTAGTGTGGTCTTGGTGAATACAAAGCTGACTGTGGTAAGGATGGAGAAAATGTCCTATTTACGTCTCATGTCGATTTCCACAGTTATAGTTTTACTCCATGGTTACAGGTTTTTTGTTTGTTTGTTTGGACAGTCTGGCTCCATCACCCAGGCTGGAGTGCAGTGGTGCATTCTCGGCTCACTGCAACCTCCGCCTCCTGGGTTCAAGCGATTCTTGTGTTTCAGCCTCCTGAGTAGCTGGGATTACAGGCGCATGCCACCATGCCCAGCTAATTTTTGTATTTTTAGTAGAGACAGGGGGTCTCACTATGTTGCCCAGGCTGGTCTCAAACTCCCAGTCTCCAGTGATCCACCCGCTTTGGCCTCCCAAAGTGTTGGGATTATAGGCGTGAGCCACTGCACCTGGCACATGGTTACGGTTTTATAGCATGCATTCCGTAAGGTGTTCCTAAAACACTCAAGTTTTGTTCAAGACACATTCTCTATAAAGCAAGCAAGAGATCTTGGATGTTGCTAAATGATATTGATTTGCTGGAAAAATATGAACAGTAGTAATGATGATATGGAAAAGATGCCTGTAGGTAAAGATACTATACTCAGGAAACTGGAAATGCTTTGCTCTGAAGGTAGCAATGGTTACTAAATATCTTACAAATTTGAATTTATTCTATTCCAAAGGCGTTTTGCTGGTGAAAGTTTGAACAAAACTGTGAAAAAGACTTTAGTAATCTCCATGCAGGGTCAAGTAGGCAAAAGTGACCCATGTCTTTTTTACAGTGATGACTAGATTCCTACAGATTTTAAACATTATTAATCTATTTATTTGTGGTAAAAACACATATCATAAAATTTACCAACTTAACCATTTTTAATTATACAGTTTAGTAGTGTTAAGTATATTTGCTTTCTATGAAACAGATCTCAACCTTTTCATCTTGGAGAACTGAAACTCTATACTCATTAAAGAAACTCCCTTTTGTCCTTTCTCCCCAACCCTTTATATCCACCATTCTACTTTCCATATCTATGAATTTGACTAATTTATATAACTCATATCAGTGGAATCATATGGTATTTGTCCTTTTGTGAGTGGCTTATTTCATTTAGCATAATGTCCTCAAGATTTATTCATGTTGTAGCATGTGTACATGCTCTTTTTTTTTTTGGTGGAGTCTTGCTCTGTCACCAGGCTGGAGTGCAATGGTGTGATCCCAGCTCACTGCAACCTCCGCCTCCTGGGTTCAATCGATTCTCCTACCTCAGCCTCCTGAGTAGCTGGGACTACAGGCGCACACCACCATGCCCAGCTAATTTTTGTATTTTTAATAGAAACAAGGTTTCACCATGTTGGCCAGGATGGTCTCGATCTCTTGACCTCGTGATCCACCCGCCTCAGCATCCCAAAGTGCTGGGATTACAGGCATGAGCCACTGCACCCAGACAGAATTTCCTGCCTTTTTAAGGTTGCATAGTATTCCATTGTATGTATACCAAATTTGTTTATACATTCATCCATCAATGAACATTTGGGTTGCTTCCATCTCTTAGCTATTGTGAATAGTGCTGTCATGAACATGGGTGTGCAAATATCTCTTGGAGATCCTGCTTTCAATTCTTAGGGATATATACCCAGAAGGGGATTCCTGGATCATACGTTAGTTCTATTTTCAATTTTTTTCAGGAACCACCATATGGCTTTCCATAAGGTTGCACCATTTTACAATCCTACCAACTACTGATTGCTTTTAGAAGGTCAACGATCATGTATATCATAAGAAATTGCCTCAAGTACAATATAGAACATCAACAGAAATAAAATCCAGACCATTGTACTTCATATATGTCAATCAGGAGGGTTTAAATTAATAGCTATTATAAAACACTGATCATACATTCATCATGTCTTTTCAAAATGGAAATATATAAATTAGAGGTCTTATTTTTATTATTTTATTTTATTTTATATATTTGTTTATTTTTCGAGATGGAGTCTCTCACTCTGTCACCCAGGCTGGAGTGCAGTGGTGCCATCTCGGCTTACTGCACGCTCTGCCTCCTGTGATTCTCATGCCTCAGCCTGCTAAGTAGCTGGGACTACAGGTGCCTGCCACCACACCTGGCTAATTTTTGTATGTTTTGTAGAGATGAGGTTTCACCATATTGGCCAGGCTGATCTTGAACTCCTGACCTCAGGTGATCTGCCTGCCTCGGCCTCCCAAAGTGCTAGGATTACAGATGGGAGCCACCGTGCCCGGCCTTTGGATTTTATTATTATTATTATTATTATTATTATTATTATTTTTGAGACAGAGTCTCACTCTGTAGCTCAGGCTGGAGTGCAGTGGCACGATCTCAGCTCACTGCAACCTCCGTCTCCCAGGTCCTGGTTCAAGCAATTCTCTTGCCTCAGCCTCTCGAGAAGCTGGGATTACAGGCACATGCCACCATGCCCAGCTAATTTTTGTATTTTTAGTAGAGACGGGGTTTCACCATGTTGGCCAGGATGGTCTCGATCTCTTGACATCATGATCCACCTGCCTCGGCCTCCCAAAGTGCTGGGATTATAGGCGTGAGCCACCACGCCCAGCCTGGATTTTATTCTTAAATGACTGTAAAGACACTAGAGCACCAGCAAGGTACAGCTTCTGCTCTGGGGAGGAATTTGCATGCTTTCTTGTAGCTCTGTTTTAGAATCATAGCTGTCACATAATGATATTTTGGTAAATGATAGAATGCATATATGATGGTGGTCCCATAAGATTATTTAATATTTTTACTGTACCTTTTCTATGTTTTTATATGTTTAAATACACAAATACTTGCCAT
The DNA here is from genome assembly GCF_000001405.40 of Homo sapiens. NCBI lineage: Eukaryota > Metazoa > Chordata > Mammalia > Primates > Hominidae > Homo > Homo sapiens. The sequence goes on along the minus strand of NC_000001.11, from coordinate 28,091,638 downwards.
TGTGTTACAATTGCCTACAGTATTCAGTACAGTCATATGCTATACAGATTTATAGCCTAGGAGCAATAGGTTATACCATATAGCTTAGGTGTGTATAAGTCCATTTTACGATGTTCGCACAATGATGAAACTACCTAACGAGGGATTTCTCAGAACATATTCCTGTCCTTAAACAGAGTGTATATGTATGTAAATGCTTTAGGCATAACTTTTCTGGAGCTATTGCATTGATTACTCATGGGCTCCCTCTGGTGGAGGTGGTGGCTCAGTTTGCAGGGTTTCAGATCAGGAAAACCAAAGTAAATGAGCAATTTAGCCCTTCATTCAACAAACATTTACTGAGTGCCTACAGTGTGCCAGGCTCCATTCTGGTGCTGAAAAAACATCCGTGAACAAATCGGACAAACATCCATGGACTCATGGAACTTACATTCTGGCAGGGGGAGAGAGACACTAAGCCAAATTTACAAGCAACTTGTTGGATGGGAAAGTACAAAGAGGATGGTAGTGTTCCAATTTTTAATGTAGTGTCAGGGAAGATCTCATTGAGAAAGTGACATGTGAATAAAGATGTAAATGAGGTGAGCGGATGAATGATGCAGGTATCTGGGGGAAGAGCACTCCAGGCAGATGGATTAAAAAGCACAAAGGCCCTGGGCCTACCTGTAGTTTTGAGGAATGGCAGAGGCCAATGTGCTTTAAGGGGAAGGATGACAGAAGGAGTAGGAGTTGAGGTTAGAGCAGAGCTGTACTGGAGGTGTCAAATCTTGAGGGTCCTGTAGACCAATGTAAGGATTTTGGTTTTTACTCTGAAATAGGAATGCATTGGAGGAAGGATATGATCTAATTAGGGTTTTAACAGGAGCCCATTGCTACTATATTAATAGATTGTGGGGGCCGGGCGTGGAGGCTCACACCTGTAATCCCAGCACTTTGGGAGGCTGAGGCGGGTGGATCACTTGAGGCCAGGAGTTCAAGACCAGTCTGGCCAACATGGCAAAACCCCGTCTCTACTAAAAATATAACAATTAGCCGCGCGTGCTGGCGGGCCCCTGTAATCCCAGCTATTCAGGAGGCTGAGGCAGGAGAACCCAGGAGGCAGAGGTTGCACTGAGCCAAGATCAGGCCAGTACACTCCAGCCTGGGTGACAGAGGGAGGCTCTGTCTGAAAAAAAAAAAAAAAAAAAGATTGTGGGAAGGCAAGAGTATAAATAGGGCACTCACAGTCACTGACTGACTGGTTTATACCAACGGAGGCAGTAAATGGTCAGGTTCTGGACAGATTTTGAAGGCAAATCTTGCAGAACTTGCTGATGGAGTACATGTGGGATATGAGAGAGGAGTTAAGGATCTTAGTAAATGATGTTGCTTAGTACATTGTTGTCATCGGAAGAGGTGATCAAATATACAGTCAAAAAATGTAGAAAAAATAGTTTTTTTTCTGGATTTTGTTATTCGTGGTATTTGTGAGCTAATAAAAATGTTTGTAATTTTTCTCATTATAAAAGGTTCACTTTTATATCTAATATTGTATTTGTAATTTTGGATTTTTTTTTTTTTTAGACAGTCTCGCTCTGTTGCCCAGGCTGGAGTGCAGTGGCATAATCATAACTCACCGCAGCCTCTACCTCCTGGGCTCAGTTAGGTGCGTGCCACCACACCTGGCTAATTTTTCTGGGTTTTTTTTGTTGTTGTTTTGCTTTGTTTGTTTTGTAGAGACAGGGTCTAATTTTGTTGCCCAGGTGATCTCCAACTCCGGGGCTCAAGCAACCGGTCGACCTCGGCGTCCCAAAGTGCTAGGATTTCAGGCATGAGCCACTGTGCCTGGCCTTGATTATTTTAAAGAGGGCCCCCAAATTGAATAAACGTCAAGTCTCCACAAAGCCTGAATTCAACCTTGCTTCTAGCCCATACTTGGGTTGTAATTTAAAATTAACGAAACATTTAAGAATTTTGCTTCCGAAAACAGTGTGCACGAAGTGAATTGTAAGCCTAATATAATATTAAGAATAAACTAAATTTGGGGATAAAAAGATCACCTTGGGGCTCACGCCTGTAATCCCAGCACTTTGGGAGGCCAAGGGATCAACCGAGCTCCAGAGTTGGAGACCAGCCTGGGCAACATGGCGAAACCCCGTCTCTACCGAAAAATACAAAAATTAGCCGGGCGTGGTGGTGCGCGCCGGTAGTCTTAGCTACTCGGGAGGCTGAGGTGGGAGGATCACTTGAACCCAGGAGGCGGGGGTTGCAGTGAGCCGAGATCGCGCCACTGCACTCCAGCCTGGGCGACAGAGCAAGACTCTGTCTCAAAAAAAGAAAAAAAAAAAGGGATGGGCGCGGTGGCTCACGCCTGTAATCTCAGCACTTTGGGAGGCCCAGGCGGGCGGATCACCTGAGGTCGGGAGTTCAAGACCAGCCTGACCAACATGGAGAAACCCCGTCTCTACTAAAACTACAAAATTAGCCGGGCGTGGTGGCACATGCCTGTAATCCCAGCTACTCGAAAGGCTGAGGCAGGAGGATCGCTTGAACCCGGGAGGCGGAGGTTGCAGTGAGCCGAGATCGCGCCATTGCACTCCAGCCTGGGCAACAAGAGCGAAACTCCGTCTCAAAAAAAAAAAAAAAAAAAGATCACCTTGGGCTAGCCTCCCAAATGTCTTCCAAAACTTCCCACTCATTCTCCTTCCCAGTTTTTCTAAATCTACCAAATGCACCCAACACTTCTTACGTTCCTTTTAGCCAGGTAGGGATTACGCGCATTTTTAAAGACCTCCTTAAAAGTGAAGGCTGTAGTACCGTCAGGACTGCCTAGCGCTCACCCAGAAGCTGCTTGTCTCCGAGGCACTAAGAGGGGCGTGGCCATGGGCGTGGCTCGCCGGGCCGGCGGAGTGGGCGGAGCCTAAAAGCTTCCCCGCCCGGTCAGACTCAACACATGCGCCCAGAGGTTTCTAGTGGAACGAGGTGTGGATTGTGAGGTGACTCTGGCCGCTTACTTCCGGTTCCTAGCGATGCGCATCCGGGTCACGCTAACGCCGCGGTTTCCTCCGCTCGATTGGTTCTACTGTGGGTCTGGACTGATCTCCATGTCCTGTTGTGGGGCTTTTACAGCCTTTGGGTGAGTCTCAGCTGCCAACAGGGTCTGAGCGCAGCCGGGCGAGCACAGCGTGAAGGGGGATGGGTCTAGAGTTCTGCCTCGGTCCTTGTGGGTGGGAGTCTCTTCGCCTGTCCCTTGTCACTGCAGTGCTTCACTCACCTCAGCCCTTTCCTTCACGCTGGCCTCGCCTTATTCACCTCAGCTTAGCCTTCTCGCGCTTCCGTGCCTCTGTCGCCTCGCTGTTTTTCCTCAGCCTCATCAGTCCTTTTCCAACCTCGGTTTCTTGCCTTACGCCTCAGCGCTTCTCTCAGCCACTGCCTCTCCTTTTTTCTCCTCCTCCCTTCTTTTAGAACCTCTTTTCCCCTACCCCTGATCTGGGATCTCAGCGTTCTTTCACCTAGCGAGACGGCCCAGCTTCTCATTGTGCTCACTCTTCACCACGAGAAACTGAGCCTCTCCCTAGGGTCCTAGTTCCTTGTCCCCCAACTTTCTTCAGCTTTGATCCTTCCTCCTGGGACCAGTAGGTGACAGTGCTTCTCCTGGGGTTCTTCTGCCTGTCCTTAGCTAGAGGAGAGCTTTGCCAAAGCCCCGAAATGGGAAGACTTCCCCAGCCTGGGGGAAGTTTTGCCTTAAGGCGCCGGGTTAGACTGAACTCTGGTAGCTTCCATAGTTAGGGTACAACAAAGGCGTTCCTAGTTCTTCGCTTTACCTCAGTTTTGGGGCTCTCTCAAGAGCAGCTAACAGGTGGCAGGCACACGGTACTGCTAGCAGTTGGGCTGGCGCGATCTTGTTAATTGACAAGTCATGAAGAAGTTCTGTCAGTTTTGTGTTCCCATGAGAATGGATGTGCACAGCTGAGGCAAAAACGCCAATATTTTGGGACGTTCAGCTCTGTTTTCGGCATGGACGCTTCTTACAGGACACTTGTGATGATAGAGGACAGAATTTGTGGAGAGATCATTAGCCCCAGATTTATGAATTTATTGTGTTGTTTCCGAAAAGTGGTCTGCTGAAGAGTTCACTATAGTAATTTCAAAGTAATCTTTAAACTTAGTATGCACATATGCATTTTTTCATTTTTACTGTATTAAGTTTTCTATTTGTCTTCCTCTTCCTTCATTAGCCAGACTTTACTTAGAATTACATTACTTAGAAGTACATTACTTAGAATATTCTTCTAACTTTTGTATTTTTTTTTCCTTACCATTTCCACCTTTGTAGTAAAACTATCATTTTCTCATTTTGAGATTTAGGGCACCTTTCTTAAATTTCCCTAGAGGTTTAAAGTCATTTATAACATGAAGGAATTGCATTTAATAATGGTTAGTGCTCCCTTTCCCAAATTTTGTGATCTAGAGTATAGGCTTGGGTAATCTTTATTTTTTCCCGATGTTTATAGTGTATATCTAGCACTTGATTGCAGCGGTTTTTGTGTCATCAGTTTCTGTAATCTATAAATTGTGCTTTAAAATGTAGTACTTCAGTATGAACTTAAATACAGCTTTGAGCACCTGCTTATCTTTTGGCTAATTAGCTATAGAAAAATCTTCATTATATGATACATATACATATAAGAGTGTATAGTCCTTGGCTTATTCCAAAATTGGGCTCTCTTCAGCTGTTTTTAGCAAAGGACTTTGGAGCTTGGCCATGTTAGTCCTAGAAGCCACGGAGAAGGACCCTTCTGATTGGCTTTCAGGACTTATCTAACTGCTAAGTGAAGCCTCTTTGAAAGTTTCTTATGTGTACCTCCTCCCCACTACCTAGCTCTAGCTTCTGTCCAACCTGGCCTATTTTCCATCCTTCAAAACAAACCCCAATGTGTATGGCTTACTCCAGCTGCTTCCTTACCTTCAGGTTTGTGGGCTTCATTTAAGCCATGGGAATGCCAGCTTAATTAATGCAGATTAAGATAAGAACATTAAACCCCAAAAATGATGGGAAATCACTCTGTCTTCAAAACAATAGAAAATAATAAAATCTAGTTATAAAGATTATATACCATTGTCACTAGTAAGAAGTGGCACTCTTATTTACAAAACATAAAGAAATTAGGGTTTAGGTCTGGCATGGTGGTTCACACCTATAATCCCCAGCACTTTGGAAGGCCAAGGCCAGAGGATTGGCCAGGAGTTCGAGACCAACCTGGGCAACATAGACAAAATTAGCTTGGTGTAGTGGTGTGCGCCTGTAGTCCCAACTACTCAGGAGGTTGAGGTTGGAGGATTGCTTGAGCCCAAGATTTTGAGGTTACAGTGAGCTGTGATCACATCACTGCGCTCCACAAGGCAACAGAGTGAGACTCTCTTAAAAAAAAAAAAGAAATTACAACTTAAACAGTTAATTTCCAAGGTCATTTTTTTTTAAGTCAAGAAGTCCTATACATGCTCTCAAGAGTAGCGAGTGTTAATTCCATTAAAGCTGTAGGCTGGAAAGCACAATATAGTATTTAGTGGGTCATTTCAGTATATGTCATATATGAATGAGACTATTAGGATAAGAAATCTGTGACATGGATTTTAAAATCCAAAGCCGAAGTCATTTTGCCTTCAAAGAGTGACTAGAGAAAGAAACTGTTTTGTGCAGAAGTAGAAGTTGAAAAGTTTTAGGAGTCTTTTGTTCTTCTAAAATGACTTTGGCCTGTATATTCTGCATTGAAGCCATTAAATGAAATGAGCATCCTGTGTAGTCATTGGAGCAGTTGTGTTCCATGCTGCTGATCTTCAAGCCTGACCCTCCACCTAGCTGCCAAACCAAAACAAACAAACAAACAAACAAACAAACCCAGAGACAGCTTAATGTGTGTTTGTTTTTAAAGCTCAGGAAAAAAAATTACCGTTGATTTTCTACAAAAATTTCTACTTTAGTTGGTAGCCCTAAGGGCTCAATTTAAAATATGTTTCTGCATATTAGTTTTAGGCTTACCAAGTTTTCTTATTTTGGTTTGGTTTGATTATTTTTGGTTCTTTTTTGTCATTTTATTTGCTAATGTACTTTGTCTTACTTGTTTTGTTTGTTTGTTTTTTGGTCCTTGAATCCTGTGTTTACGGAGATGTAGTTTTTTGTTTGTTTGTTTGTTTTTTTGAGACAAAAAACAAAACAAAACCTTGCTCTGTTGGCCAGGCTGTAGTGCAGTGGCACGATCTCGGCTCACTGCAGCCCTGACCTCCTGGGCTGAAGTCATCCTCCCACAGCCTCCAGAATAGCTGGGACTACAGGTTCATGCCACCATACCTGGCTAATTTTGAAATTTTTTTGGAGAGGCAGAGTTTCACCATGTTGCCCAGGCTGATCTCAAACTCCTGGACTCAAGCAATCTGCCTGCCTCGGGCTCTCAAAGTGCTGAGATTAAAGGTGTGAGCCACCACCCACAGGCGGCTGATGTAGTTTTGAAAATTTAAGAAACAAAGTATACCTCCAACAAGTCCTTGTCACTTGTACCTTGTAGCATTATGGTTTCTGTGCTGTGCCTAAGCTGTTTCATGACTTCATTTATTTTGTTTTGATTATAAATAAAAGCCTCATGGAACTTCTTTTTAGGTAGCGGTTTGTCCAAAAGATATTTCTGTTCTGCATGTAACAACAGGATACTTTAGCTCATGTATGATTTAAATGGAGGAAGAATAGTTCAAAATAGAAATGTGTATTTTAAAATATTAGGAATAGTCAGCACTTTGGGAGGCCAAGGCAGGCAGATTGCCTGAGTTCAGGAGTTGGAGAACAGCCTGGGCAACACGGTGAAACCCCATCTCTACTAAAATACAAAAAATTAGCTGGGCGTGGCGGCGTATGCCTGTAGTCCCAGCTACTCGGGAGACTGAGGCAGGAGAATTGCTTGAACCAGGGAGGCGGAGGTTGCAGTGAGCTGAGATCGTGCTACTGCACTCCACCCTAGGCGACAGAGCGAGACTCATCTCAAAAAAAAAAAAAAAAAAAAAAAAAAAAAAAATATATATATATATATATATATATATATATATATATATATTTTGGAATAGTCAATGCTTCCCAGATGTTCATCTAATTGGTTTATACCAAAAGGTTGAATTGTTATATTGATAGTAAGGTGGAAAATAGGTGGACTTTCTGTTTTCTAATTAACTTAAAAATACAAGTGCATATTCTTTTACAAAGTGTATGGCTTAAGCTCTAAACTACCCTGTTGATACTGGTATCTTTTACTGTCAGATAACATAGCAAATAATGGAACATATCATCCTTGATATTTTTATTTAGTTCCATCAACCTAAGTTCCAGGGTAGCTAATTATTAAATGTAGAAGTAATTTAGGCATTTTCTCTGTTCTTTATAGTAGTATATTTAAAAACAGCCATTTAAAATATGGGCTTCCTAAAATTTGTCTTTGCTGTTTTCCCATTTAAGTATGCAATAGTATTTTGAATCAGAAAAGGAATGTGTAGTTTAAATAGTGCCAACTTACTGTAAATAAGTTAACAGATCAGCCCAAGGCAGTCAGTGCTTAATATCGTGAAGATCTTACTACAGATTGTTTTGGATGCACTTTAACTTATTAGCTGTGGTTAATGTTTGTAGCAGTTAGATGGTTTTCATTTTCTTCCCTAGAAAATAATTAGCAATACTCTTTGTAATACATTTATTTCAGCAAATATTGTTTAGGCACCTACTGTGTACAGTTACAGTAATACATATTTAGGCTATTTATGTGGCTAGGTAATATTGTACCAGGCTGATATGTACACTTAAATTCTGAATTTGATCTTATTTGTACATTTCTGAATTAAACGTAAGACAACATAATTAGAATTAAATAAACTTAATTAACATAAAATCATGTTCTTTCGTTATAGATACAATCAAATAATTTTCACTTGGGAAACTTTCACAACTGAACCATGAAACTCTGTAGTGGTAAAACAGTAAAAATAAAAGTGAACTTTATACAGCACTTACTATGTACCAGGAACTATTTTAAGTAGTTTACATGTATTAACTCTTTAATCTTTACAACCCTATGAAATAAGGGTACTATTCTTTTTTTTTTTTGAGACGGAGTCTTGCCCTGTCGCCCAGGCTAGAGTGCAGTGGCACAATCTCTGGTCACTGCAACCTCTGCCTCCTGGGCTCAAGTGATTCTCCTGCCTCAGCCTCCTGAGTAGCTGGGATTACAGGCGTGTGCCACCAAGCCCGGCTAATTTTTGTATTTTTAGTAGAGATGGGGTTTCACCATGTTGGTCAGGCTGGTCTTGAACTCCTGACCTCGTGATCTGCCTGCCTCAGCCTCCCAAAGTGCTGAGATTACAGGCGTGAGCCACCGTGCCCAGCCAAGGGTACTCTTCTTACTATCTCCATTTTACATATAAGGAAACTGAGGTACAGAAGTTATGTAACTTGCCCAAAGTAACACAACTAGTTATCAAAGAGCTGGATTTGAACTTAGTCTTTTTGGCTCCTGAGTTAATCTTATTTGTACAAGGGTCTGCTACTTTAGTGATTTCTTTCTTTATAGGTTGAGGTTAAAAATCTAGTTTGTCTGAAACACAAAAGAATACTGCTTTTGGTTAGGAACCTTAAGGAGGGTTTTACTTGGCCTTTTTACTAATGCTGGCTTAAGGCAAATTGCAAACCTTTTACTACCGATGTTTCTCAGATGGCAAAACCATATATTAAGAAAGCAATAAGGGATCAAATTCCTCCCCCGTTAGAAAAATTATCTTATGGAAGTTAATTACTTTGGAGTTACTTGGAGATAAGTCACTATTTTTTATAAAATGGCCCCTCGAAGTTAATTTTTTTCTTTTACCTTCAGAGTATTAAACAAATTTATGTAATAGTCTTAAAATACTTAAATCTTACCATTCCCATATGAATTTAACAACTTTGAAATATAAAACAGAAGACTAAAACTGAAACATCTGATTTGCCACTGGTCTCATTTCCAAATTTGGAAATTTATGTGAAATTAAGGACATTCATCTCTTCAGGACTATCATGTTTAGAGTACATTCATCTCTTTAGGGCTATCATGTTTAGAGTAGTATATTTAAATTAGTGATTTTATTTTTACTTTAGAAAAGATGAGGGGAACTTTCACAAACAAATTACTTTCTAAATGAGAAGATGCAAATAATAGTCATTTAGAATATTATTGATCATATTAAGATGATTCTTTTGTTCCTTTATTAAGCCCAAATAAAAAAATTTAATCAAATATCTGGGGGAAGGAGATTATTTTATATAAGTTGAGGTGCACCTTAATGCAGGAGTCTTGTACTCAGATAATGATATTATTTTTCTGAATATTTTGAAAACAGTCGAGAATCGTAGAATCTGGTTTACAGAAAAAGTATAAATATTTCTGGTAAGAAGTGACATTTGATTAGGAATACTAATTTTAATTCTCATGTTAACTCTTATTAATTGAGACATTAAGTATACTGTTTTTTTATAGTAGCTTTTGTCCTTTTTCCACTTGGTGGGAAAGTATTGTTATGGAGCTGAACAGAGTAAGCTTTGCTATGATGATAATACTTGTTGATATTTAGAATGTTCTTTACTTTTAGTTAAACATTTAATTTTTGATTCAAAGCAATTCCCTTTTAAATTGCTTCTGCAATTTAATTTAATTTAATGGCTTCCACATTCAAAGCAATGTGGGTCTGATAATCAGTGTATTTAAACATTTCAATAGTTTTCTTTCACCTGAAATTTAATATTGTAGCAATTACTGAATTTAGGAAAATTGGTAGGTAGTTGCTATCAGCACCGTTACTACGGGAATACATTAGAATGATTAGCTTTTAGGTGAAATTGAATTTTTTCTTTAGTTTCCATAGTGACTGAAAACGATTTAGGTCAGCTTCACCTGTTGTGCCCCTCCCCCTTTTCAAAATAAGAGGAACATTTAATTTAGCACAATGATGTTAATTTTTTCCTAGTAGATTGATGAAATGAATGTGATAATCTCACTCTCTTTACCAAAAGAATAATCCAATATATACATGTATGAATTTTGGGGGAATATTTCAGACTTTAGAGAACATTATAGGATAAAAAATAGTACCTAAATATCTTATAAAAATCAGTGTTTTATTACATCACTGAATTTTTCTCTTTTAAATTTAAAAATGTCAAATTTAGGAAACATCTGTGATAATTTAAAGAATAATTTTTGAAATCTGCTTTTGCTTTTCACCAGGTGTTCTTCTGCTATAGGTTAGGAAGCAGTAGTTAGGCAACACTAATGAATAATATTCTTGAGAGTGAGAACTAGAGCTTCACAAAGAGAATAGGCCATCTCTCATATTTAGTGGGGCATTTAATAGGTAGATAAACTGAAAATTTTTGCTTTCATTTCTATGTATTTTTTGTTAGTATGTATTTATTTACTGTAGGTACCTCACATTCTGTGCAAAAAAAAATTTTTGGAAGTAACTCAGTGGTTTCCTTTATCTTTTTTGTTCTCTTTCAGAGGCTTGCTTATATAAAACTACAATTTAGAGAACCATCGGCCGGGCGCAGTGGCTCATGCCTGTAATCCCAGCACTTTGGGAGGCCGAGGCGGGAGGATCACCTGAGAGGCAGGAGTTCAAGACCAGCCTAGCCAACATGGTGAAACCCCGTCTCTACCAAAAAAAAAAATACAAAATTAGCCAGGCATGGTGGCAGGCGCCTATAATCCCAGCTACTTGGGAGGCTGAGGCAGGAGAATCGCTTAAACCCAGGAGGCGGAGGTTGCAGTGAGCCGAGACCACGCTATTGCACTCCAGCCTGGGCAACAAGAGCGAAACTCCGTCTCAAAACAAACAAACAAAAAAGAGAACCATCAAACTCTGAATGTTGTTTCCTCTGTAGTATGAAGTGGTTATTTTCTTCCCTTTTTGACTGGCCATTTTTTTTTTTTTTCTGATAAAGTGGCTTTTAAACTTTTCTGATCATGACCCACTATAAAATACATTTTACATTGCTATCCAGTACTCAGACACATATATGTACATATTAATATTTGAAATCGAAACAGAAGTTTCTTGAAACAGTATCTTTACTACTGGTGATGCATTGTAATATTAATATTTTCTATTCTATTTTGTTTGTTTGTTTGTTTTTTGAGACAGGATCTCACCCTGTATCACCTGGGCTGAAGCGTAGTGACGCTATCACGGCTCACTGCAGCCTCGACCTCCTGGGCTCAGGTGATCCTCCTGCCTCAGCCTCCCAAGCAGCTGAGACTACAGGTGTGTGCCACCATGCCTCACTAATTTTTTTTGTTTGTTTGTTTTGTGTTTTATAGATGCGGTTTCACTGTATTGCCCAGGCTGGTCTTGAACTCCTGGGCTCAAGTGATCCTCCTGCCTCAGCCTCCCAAAGTGCTGGAATTATAGGTGTGAGCCACTGTGCCTGGCCTCTATTTGTTTTATTGTTTTTAATTTAAAACAAACTGCTGGTTTCCATTCACTAAGTTGATATCAGTGCCGTTACTACGGGAATACATTAGAATGATTAGCTTTTAGGTGAAATTGAATTTTTTCTTTAGTTTCCGTAGTTAATGCAATGTACCTGCAGTTTGCAAAATTTTAGTGACTGCTAGATCTTTCCCCTAATATTGTCTTTTTGTAATGGAAAATGTTTAGGTTTGGGGCCAGGTGTGGTGGCTCATGCCTGTAATCCCAGCACTTTGGGAGGCTGAAGTAGGAGGATCACTTAAGCCCAGGAGTTCAAGACTAGCCTGGGCAACATAGCGAGACCCTGTCTCTACCAAAAAAAAAAAAAAGAAAATGTTTAGGTTTGCTAGTTTTTTTCTCTGCAATGTACGTGGATGGATTCTGTAAAACTTAACCTAAATAGCTGCAGAACAATCATTGAGAGAGGGAGGTCCTGTTGCCCTGATTACCATTACTGTCATCCCTGTTCTTTACCATTTCTAGGCACATTATTTTAAAAACTTATTTTGGAATCGTGAGGTTGAAAATGCTCGGTTGTATGCTGAGCTTCTATCGTTAGAATCCTTTGCTAGTTTCCATCTAACAGTCCAAAGTTTAGGTCCTTTCAGTTGGTTTTCACAAACCTTGCTTCTGTTCTTGGCAACTAGTCAAAAGGTTACAAAGCTGCTTTATTCTGCTCTCTTCTGGCCCAAGTCCAGTCTTTGTAAACCAAAAAAAGAGGACTGAGGAATGAAGCAGTTTGCTCATGTGTATATGGTCAGGTGAAATAACATGACTGAAGAGTAATTAGGGTTTGCGACAGTGGATTACATTTATGTATTGTCCCAATTCGTTTCCTGTAATCACAAAGGGGGAAAGGGCGTAGAAATATCAACAGTTCCTTGCCTATCCTAGCTGGTAGAGTGAAACAGGGTCAGCAGACATACTCTACTATTTTTATACCACTACCTGCTCTTAACACTTAGTGAGCACTTACTATGTGCCAGGCACTATTTAAAGCACTTCACTTGTGTTAACTCATACTCATACTTGGGAGGCCTGGGGAAAAAAAATGAGAATGGTAAAGGATAAAGAAGAAGACTTGCCATCTTCTCGTATGTTCTCATTACTTGGCTTAAGAATTCTGGCTGTTGATGACTATAGTATGGCATATCATACATTTTAAGCTCAGTCAGCTTTTAAATATCACCAGTCCTGTCTGCATTGTTCCATTATGAGACACATAGCTGTGGTTTGAGAACTCAGGCTTTGAAGCTAGCCTGCCTGGGCTCGAATACCAGGTTGGTGACTTACTATGTGTATAGCATTGGGGAAGTTACTCTCTGTGCCTTAGTTTTCTCATCTGTAAAATGGTGATAATAACAAATAGCTTCTATTTTATAGACTTATTGAAAGATTAAAATAATTAATGTATTACCTGGGCATGGTGGTGCATGCCTATAATCCCAGCTACTCAGGAGGCTGAGGCATAAAAATTGCTAAACCTGGGAGGTGGAGGTTGCAGTGAGCTGAGATCATGCCACTGCGCTTCAGCCTGGGTAACAGAGCGAGACTGTCTCAATTAAAGAAAAGAAGAAGAAAAAGAAATAGTTAATATATTAAAAGTACTTAGAACGGTACCTGACCCATAAGAAGCATTCCATAAATGTTTGCTATTAATAGTATCAACTCACAGTTGGAGCTCCTGAGAGTGTTTGTGACTATGATGAGTTCTGTATATTTGCTGAGTAACAGGGCATGATTGACATTTAATGTTATATTGCTCAGGAGCTTGAAAATATCTTGTCTTGAGGACCTGTAGGGAAAGTTCTTGTGTAGCGTGTTGGATTTAAAGCTAAAGGTTATCAAGGCTACAGGCCCAACTTTTAAAATCTCTCTTAGGAACCACTTGTTATTTGGGCCGTAATCTTAATAGTTTTAATGGTTTGCTATTTGGGAAAACTTAAGTGGAGCTAGTTAGTGAATTGACTTTCATTCAAGACCAGATTTCTTTCCTTTTTATCTTTGGTGTAAGATATTTATTTATTTTATTTTTCTTTAACAAACACTTATATTATCCTGTCTGATGGAGTTTTGAAGGGGTAAATAAATTTGGAGAAATAAAACATTAATAAAAAAACTGAACCTAGATTTTACAGTTCTTCTAACAGCTAAAGACATAGATTTCAAAAGACTTAGTTCTGTTAGTATAGTGTATAGTCAGTGTTATCCAAACACTGATAAGCTGATATATAGGACTGATGTATAGATGAGATATATAGGTATGTAGAATGTTAGAGAATTGATGACATAGGGTACAACTTTGTATAACTGGAAGCAGCACATTTATAGAATATTCATGTTGTGATTCTCAGAAATTTTAACTGCACAGATTAAAGAAGGATGAAGATAAAGTTTTAGAGTCTTTGAGTCTGGATCTTCAAACAGATTTTTTAAAAAATTTCTTTTATCATATTCTTATTCTTTTTGATTTCTTGTTTTTTTTTCATGTCACTTGTTAACACCCACTACAAACAGAGAAATTCTTATGCTGACAAGTTACTAAAATTGGAGAGAGATCCAAGGAGTGTTGGAAGAAATATAGAAGAACCATTGTACTGTTATTAAGCTCACTTTGACATAGCTAATTCAGGTTAACCTCCTCCTTCTTAATACTTTTTACTATGGTTTTGAAATTTTTCCTTTGGAACACATCTTCCTGTTTCATTAGGAACTTGTTGGGGAAGCACGGTGGCTCATGCCTATAATCCCAGCACTTTGGGAAGCTGAGGCAGGCGGATCACCTGAGGTCAGGAGTTCGAGGCCAGCCTGGCCAACCTGGTGAAACCCCGTCTCTACTGAAAATACAAAAAACTTAGCTGGGTATGGTCATGCACACCTGTAATCCCAGCTACTCAGGAGGCTGAGGCAGGAGAATCGCTTGAATCCAGGAGGCGGAGGTTGCAGTGAGCCGAGATTGCGCCACTGTACTCCAGCCTGGGTGACAGAATAAGACTGTCTCAAAAAAAAAAAAAAAAAAAGATTGTTTTGTAAACAATTTCAAAGGATGATTTTTGTTAAGTAATATTAGAAATTATAAAAACAGACCGGGCGTGGTGGCTTGCACCTGTAATCCCAGCACTTTGGGAGGCTGAGGCGGGTGGATCACCTGAGGTCAGAAGTTCGAGACCAGCCTGACCAACATGGAGAACCCCGTCTCTATTAAAAATATACAAAATTAGCCAGGCGTGGTGGCGCATGCCTGTAATCCCAGCTACTCAGGAGGCTGAGGCAGGATAATCACTTAAACCCTGGAGGCGGAGGTTGAGGTGAGCCGAGATCACGCCATCGCACTCCAGCCTGGGCAATGAGAGCGAAACTCTGTCTCAAAAAAAAAAAAAAAAAAAAGAAATTATAAAAGCAATTATTCTTAGAGAGACATTTTTTTTCTTTTCTTTCTTTCTTTTTTTTTTTTTTTTAGGCAGAGTCTTGTTGTGTCACCCAGGCTGGAGTGCAGTGGTGCGATCTCAGCTCACTGCAACCTCCACCTGGGACTACAGGCATGTGCCACCACACACAGCTAATTTTTGTATTTTTAGTAGAGACAGAGTTTTACCATGTGGGCCAGGCTGGTCTTGAACTCCTGACCTCAAGTAATCCACCCACCTCGGCCTACCAAAGTGCTGGGATTACAGGTGTGAGCCACCACGCCTGGCCGAGATTCTATTTCTGGTAAACTAGTATTTTTTTCTATTAAGAATTTGTTAGAGCCTAAATATATGTATATATTTTAAAAAGCAACTTTCTCAGTAAGTTCTGACAGTGTTTTGTTAAGTGTAAAGTTACTATAAATAGTCCTACAGCTGATAATACTATGATATGTTAGTCATGCCTCCAGAACAAAGTAGCCAGAAGAATTCACCAAATTTACTGCAGTCAGTTGGCTGCACTATTTATTTATGGAAGGTATTGACCAGTATGGTGATGGTTTTTATCTGTCTACAGAAAGTCCCATCAGGGAGGTGTAGGTGGTTGCAGTTTTTCTGGTTACAGAAATGTGATTTGTGCTGTTGCCTAAGTTATGAGAGCTGAAAGACTCTCTTAGGATCACACTAAAGGGAGCCTTAAGAGAGGTTAGCTGAGTGTAGGTCTGCTGGATATTTGTGTCTGCTTTAGCAGGGCTCTGAATACAAAGGATTCTGAGTGGATATGTTAGTAAGTATGTTAGATATTTTTTTAAAGGTATTAAATCAAGAAAGGTGGCTTTCAGCTGATGAGACTTTAATGGATTTCTGAAAGATAGGAAACAGTGAGACCAAATTGTTGGAAAAAATAGGAGAAGAAATCACAGCGAAAAGTATATGTAGAAGTTTCAGAAATGTAGCAGACTCCAGGTAAACAAATATGAAGAACTGAAGGGTACCTGGAATATTTATCAATGGCAGCAATCTGTGAGCATTTATTCAAGAGAAATGGCTGAATCTTGGCAAAAACAGCAAACTTTGTGGCATTTTAATTTGTGCTTTTCCCTCTAGCTCCTCAGTAGCCTTGAAAACCAACAGCCTCCAATCATGGTGAAAACCAGCCACTGGAAGGGATAGATCGAGTTTAGAGTTCTTCAAAACTCCATTCCCAGAGTTGTCATTATTTTACCTAGCTAGTAGTTCCTTGAAAAACCTCATTCACAAGACCATCTGTATTTGACCTGACTTGAAGCTCACTTAGTACAAACAACCTTTCCCCTTGCAGTGTTTATTGAAAACAGTTAAAGGCAGTTGTTGAACAACTTGAGTGCTCACCATCTTGAGTGACAGTGAATAGTTAGATCGAATAATAGGCTAACCAAGAAGCTTAAAAGGAAAAGCTGGGAAATGAGATGTTCATAAGGAAATTTAAGAAGCTCTGGTATATTTCTGGGAATCTAGAAGGCTATGTGCATGTGTAGGGTTGTGTGCTGCATGCTTAGGAAAGAACTAAGAAGGTCCTAAGCTGTCAGTTCTGATTAATCTCTAGACTTTGTGCAAGCAAGAAGTAAAGGCTAAGGAAGGGTTGTAAACTGCTTGGCTGAATGTGAAAGGTATGCCCTAACACATGTAGTTAGGCTGTCAATACACACTGAGTCTTATACTGGTTTTAAGCATTTAAGGAAGTCTCTGCCCAGTCATTAGCTGATCACAAATGAACAGCAGAGACTTTAGTGACCACATATGATAGAAAATTAATATTTTAGATAATTAGTTCAGGAAAGTCACTAAAAGAAACAACAATAAACAGTAACAACAGTAAACAGTAATAACAACAAATACCTGGTAGGGGAAGAATCTGATTTTTCGAGTTGTCACATTACCTTATTTAAAATGTTTAGTTTTCAAGAGACTGTTATTACAAAGCATGCAAAAAACCACTTAAGTATGGTCCACACATAGGAGAGAAAGCAGTAAATTAGAAAATGTTCCCTGAGGAAGCCCAAATGTTAGACTTTAGTATTAGGCAAAGACTTTAAATCAGCCATTTAAAATATGTTCAAAGGGCCTGGTATGGTGGCTTGCACTTACTGAGGAGGGACAATTGCCACTGCACTCCAGCCTGGGTGACAGAGCAAGACCTCATTTCTTTAAAAAAAAAAAAAAAAGAAAGTTCAAAGAACTAAAGAAAACCATGTCTAAATAACTAAAGTAAGGTTTTGTGAACTATATTATATTAGTCCACTTGGTTTGCCCTAACAGAATACTATAGATTGGGTGGCTAAAATAACATGTATTTTCTCACAGTTATGGAAATTGAAAGTCTAAGATCTCTTTTAAATGAGTACTAACTTCTATTTTAGGTATAATTGCTTCTGAATAATTGTATGTTGTATAGTTCTACCTCTAGTGTTTAAGATAGGGTAGAATTCTTCCACCATTTCAATTTAAATAAGGAAAGGGTATCTGAAGGTAGTCACATTTAGAATAAAAATAAGAATTTATACAATTTGACCTTAAGTTATCTATGTAATGGAAAAATTCTTCTGTTATGATGGTAACAGGTAATAGAGCCTACATTTCAATCTCTGTACTCATAAATAAACTGTTGATCCAACTGTTTTTATAGTTTTATCTGCCAGTGTTTCAGATCTCGTTACTAATAAATAAACTATTTATTGTTCCAACTATGTTTATAATTTTGTTAGCCAACATTTCAGATCTCTGTACTCATAAAAAAACTGTGGTCTGTGTTTATAATTTCATTTGTTTGTATTACAGTCATAGAATTTTATGCAGTTTCATATGTGATTTTGTCTAAAAATCTAAGTAGATCCTATTATAACTTTTGAGGTATAATTTACATACATTTAATTCTTTTAAACATACAGTTCTGTAAGTTTTACAGATGCATACAATTTTGTAAAACCACATCGAGATACAGAGGGCCAGGTGCGGTGGCTCACATCTGTAATCCTAGCACTCTGGGAGGCCAAGGCGGGTGGATCACCTGAGGTCAGGAGTTCAAGCCCAGCCTGGTCAACATGGTAAAACCCCATTTCTACTAAAAATACAAAAATTAGGCTGGGTGCAATGGCTCACACCTGTAATCCCAGCACTTTGTGGGGGTGAGACAGTTGGATTACTTGAGGTCAGGAGTTCAGGACCAGCCTGGGCAACACGGTGAAATGCTGTCTCTACTAAAAATACAAAAAAATTAGCCAGGCATGGTGGCACATGCCTGTAATCCCAGCTGCTCGGGAGGCTGAGGTGGGAAGATTGCTTGAATCCAGGAGGTGGTGGTTGCAGTGAGCCAAGATCGCGCCACTGCACTCCTGCCTGGGTGACAGAGGAAGACATCATCTCAAAAAAAAAAAAAAAATTAGCTGGGTGTGGTAGTGCGTGCCTGTAGTCCCAGCTACTTGGGAGGCTGAGGCAGGAGAATTGCATGAACCTGGGAGGTGGAGCTTGCAGTGAGCCAAGATCACGCCACTGCACTCCAGCCTGGGCAACAGAGTGAAACTCTATCTAAAAAAAAAAAAAAAAAAAAAAAATATATATATATATATATATATATAATAGTTTCATCAATCCCAAAAAGGATCCCTTGTGCCTCTTTATAGTCAACCTTTTTTCCCATCCCCAACACTGGCAACCACTAATCTGTTTTCTGTCCTTGTAGTTATGTGATATAAATGGAATTATACAATATGTAGGCTTTTGAGTCTGGCTTTGTCCACTTAGCATAATGCATTTGAGTTTCATCCAGATTGTTCTGTGATTTACTGTACAGTATTCCATTGTATGGGTATACTGCAGTTTGTTTATTCATGTGCCAGTTTGAAGGGCATTTGAGTTGTTTCCAGTCTTTGGCATATATATGAACAAGCTACTGTACACATTTATATACAGGTTTTTATGTGAACATAAGTATTCTTTTCACTTAGGTAGATACCTCGGAATGGGATTGAAGGATTGTATAGTAAGTGTATGTTTACCTTTATAAGGAACTGCCAAACTGTTTTCCATGACTGGCTGAACTGTACCATTTTGCATTCCCACCAGCAGTGTGCAATTTCTAATTGTACATTGTTCTAGTTGTAGAGTTCTTGTTGTTCCACATCCTTGCCAGCATTTGGCCAGTTTTTTTATTTTTATTTTAGACATTCTAGTAAGTGTGTGCTGGTATCATATATACATATATATTCCCACCCTTCCCCCAGGGCTCTCTGTACTAGTCTCTGCTTAGCCTAAACGAAAGGATCTAAATCTACAGAGGCCAACAGTCCCAAACTTTTGGAATCTCCTCTGAATGCAGCTCATTACTGTTTACTAGATTCCAGACTTCATTCAGATTTTACTACTTTTTCTACTAATATCTTTTTTCTACTCAAGGATCCAATTCAGGATACCACTTTGCATTTATATAGTTTAATTTTTATTTCTGGCTGTAACTAACATGTTATTGGTTTATAAGATACTGCTACTAGTTTTGGTTCTGTTTTTTGCAAGACTATTTTTTCAGTTCCTATCTGTCCCAAAATGCTTTATATGTCACATAATTTTTTTGGGGGGAATGAATTCAATTTGTGTGTCATCATTTTGAGTTGCATTCAGAGGAGATTCTTAAAGTTTGGGACTATTGGTCTCTGTAGATTAGATCCTTTCATTTAGGCTAAGCAGAGACTAGTACAGAGGGCCCCTGGGAAAATTGTTTCAATTAAGAGTCTTTATCAAGAAATGATTAAGTTCCTAAATTTTACCCTTATTTACTTTGTTGCTTGAAGTTGGAATTAACAACTTTACTTGGTTAAATTAGCTGAGCTTTTATAGTTTCATTCTGTTTGATCTGTACATTTTTGTAAAGGGTAGTTAAATGGCATATTCAACACTGACATGAACTTTTGATGCAGCAGCCAAAAGTAATTATGATTTCTTTCAGAATATGTCTTTAATACCTGGCATATTTTATCCTGGATTCTATTTCAGTGTTTTTCTTCCAGCTTGAAATATTCTATGAATATGTTTAGAAAGAATTTCAGGGCTCTATTCAAGACAAACAAAAAAGAAATCCCAAAGAAAAATACATGCAAAAAAGTAATTGTTGAGTTAGAAAAGTCACGTTTTTCCAATGAAAAAAATTTCTGATCATTTAGTACCATATTATGATGTGTTTATCAACGTTCTTGATATAGTGCTAAGCACAGTGTTACAAAGTTAAAAATTAAATATTTAGTAAATGATTTATGGAGGAGCATATTACTGTATAACTATTACATGAGAGAAATGCAAAATAGGAACTTCAATCAAAACAGAAAAATATGAGCTCAGTCTTGAGGCATAGTTTACGTAAGATTGTTATTTAAGATAAATTGGAAAGGAGGACTTTTATATATTTCAGGTTTAACTCTAGCAGTAATTTTTTTCCCTAAGCAGAACACATCAAACAGTATGGTGAGGCTAGGCGTAGTGGCTCACGCCTGTAATCCCAACACTTTGGGAGGCTGAGGCAAGCAGATCACTTGAGGTCAGGAATTCGAGACCAGCCTGGCCAACATGGTGAAACCCCATCTCTACTAAAAAATACAAAAATTATCTGGGCGTGGTGGTAGGCGCCTGTAATCCCGGCTACTCCTGAGGCTGAAGTAGGAGAATTGCTTGAACCTGGGAGGCTGAGGTTGCAGTGAGCTAAGAGTGCGCCATTGCACTCCAGCCTGGGTGATAGAGGGAGACTCCATCTCAAAACAAACAAAAAACAGTATAGTGAATGTATGCAGACTTTAAGTGCTGTCTTGCAAATACTAGTGTTGAGTTTGTTAAGGCGTTGGAAAGATCTTGTAAGATTTCTCAAGATCCATGAAGTACCTGGGACTGTCAGTGTTATTGTTACCTGGGTATTTCTTCCACTATATAAATTTAAAGTTTATCCCAGAGTGACAGCAGGAGAATGCTAACTTTGGAATTATGTAACACTTTCATTAGAGAGGCAAACTTGACAATTATTTGGAAAGTTTTTAAGTGTTTTATGTTTATTATTTTTAATGTCTGGAAGCATTTTTTTTTCAGCTGTATGTACAGTTGTGTTCTCTTATCTTATTTACATTTCTTTCTCTTTTTTTTGAGACGGAGTCTCACTCTGTAGCCCAGGCTAGAGTGCAGTGGCATGATCTCGGCTTGCTGCAACCTCTGCCTCCTGGGTTCAAGTGATTCTTCTGCCTCAGCCTCCGGAGTAGCTGGAATTACAGGTGCCCACCACCACGCCTGGCTAATTTTTGTATTTTTAGTAGAGACGGGGGGTTTCACCATGTTGGCCAGGCTGGTCTCGATTTCCTGACCTCAGGTGATCACCTGCTTTGGCCTCCCGAAGTGCTGGGATTACAGGTGTGAGCCACCGCACCCGGCCCCTTACTTAGATTTCTTCATTTCCCACTTTCGTTTTCAGTTTGTCTGTTTCATTCAGTGGTCAGGAGATGGTCAACAAGCCCAAACAGAGAGGTAATAGCAAAACCAAGCAAACAAAAAACATAAACTTTGCTATTTGTATTAGTTTCTTGTGGCTGCCATAACAAATTACCCCAAACAGACTTTGAGGCTTAAAACAACAGAAATTTATTCTTTCACTTCTGGAGGCCAGAAGTCTGAAATCAGGGTGTTGGCAGGACTGAACTTGCTCCAGAGGCTTTAGGGGCAATCATCCCTTGCCTCTCCCAGCTTCTGGTGGCTGCTGACATTCCTTGACCGTAACCCTCCAGTCTCTTCTTCCATTTTCACATTGCCGTCTTCTCTGTATGTGTGTTAAATGTCTGCTTTTCTCTTATAAGGATATTTGTGATGGCGTTTAGGGCCTATGTATAATCTCATCTCAAAATCCTTAATAACATATGCAAAGACTGTTTTTCCAAATAAGTGAACATTCACAGGATCTGGGTATTAGGCTATGGACCCATCTTTGGCTAGAAATCTATTTCATGATAACTGTGTGTATATGTGTTTGGGAAAGGGGATTTCCCCCCTCCTCTCTTCCTCTTCTACCCCCTCTTTCCCTTCCTTCCTTCTCCTCTTCCCTCCCTTTCTCCTTTCCCTCCCACCCTCTTTTTTTTTCTTCTTCTTCTCTCTCTTTTTTTTTTTTTTTTAAATAGATTGGGTCTCTTGCTGTGTTGTCCAGGCTGGTCAACATACCAGATTACCAGATTACTCCTGGGCTCAAGGGATCCTCCTACCTCAGCCGCCCCTTCCCACTTTGACCCCAGCCCCAGTTAAAATTACTTGTTTTGGCCGGCCATGGTGGCTCATGACTGTAATCCCAGCAGTTTGGGAGGCCGAGGTGGGTAGATCACTTGAGCTCAGGAGTTTGAGGCCAGCCTGGGCAACATGGTGAGACTGTCTCTACTAAAATACGAAAAATTAGCCGAGTGTGGTGGCATGTGCCTGTAGTCCCAGCTACTTGGGAGGCTGAGGCAGGAGAATTGCTTGAACCCAGGAGGTGGAGGTTGCAGTGAGCTGAGATTGTGTCACTGCTCTGTTTCAAAAATAAATAAATAAATAAATAAAATTACCTGTTTAATTAACAGTAAGTCAGGCTGGGCACTGTGGCTTAAGCCTGTAATCCCACTTTGGGAGGCCAAGGCGGGCGGATCACTTGAGACCAGGAGTTCGAGACCAGCCTGGCCAACATGGTGAAACCCTGTTTCTACTAAAAATACAAAAATTAGCCAGGCATGGTGGTGGACACCTGTAGTCCCAGCTACTTCAGAGGCTGAGGCATGAGAATCGCTTGAACCCAGGAGGCGGAGGTTGCAGTGACCCAGGATTGTGCCACTGTACTCCAGGCTAGGTGAGATTGTGACACTGTACTCCACCCTGTCTCAAAAAATCAAAAAACAAACAAACAAAAAAACCCAGTAAATCAAAGTCTGTACATTTTAAATTAAGGACTTACGGTTATAAAGAGAAATCAATTTGTTTTTGTGGGTTTTTTTGCTAGCCTGTACAGGGAGTTAATACGTAGCATAAAAAGAATGTCAGGGAGCTCTCTGAGTCTGAATCTTTTCTGATTCTGAGGGCTGCCAGATTCAGAAGTAGCTCTTTGTTCAACTAAGCTCTTTATTCCTCTAAAGAAAAAAAAAAAAGGAATGTTATTTTTGGATTTTTAGGAGGTCCTTAAAGTGCCAATCCATACATTGAAAAAGAAATTTTGAGTTTAAATTTAAAATATTTAAAAACGTTAAGAACATGATGTTATATCATAAGATCAAAGTAATGTAACATAGGATAGAGATGTAATGAAAGAAAAGGAATAAGTAGCCTAAGGTAATAATATTAGGAATGTAATTTTTTTTTTTTTTTTGAGATGGGAGTCTTAACTCTTGTTGCCCAGGCTGGAGTGCGGTGGTGCGATCTTGGCTCACTGCAATCTCCACCTCCCGGGTTCAAGCGATTCTCCTGCCTCAGCCTCCCAAGTAGCTGGGATTACAGGTGCCTACCACCACGCTAATTTTTTTTATTTTTAGTAGAGACGGAGTTTCACCATGTAGGCCAGGCTGGTCTCGAACTCCTGACCTCAGGTGATCCACCTGCCTCAGCCTCCCAAAGTGCTGGGATTACAGGCATAAAGGAATGTAATTTTAAAAGGGAGGGTTTTATGCTCAATTCCACATAAAGAGGACAAAAAACTTCAGACAAGGGAGTTCAGAGTTTTGGATTCCACCACTGTTTCTGCTGCTTACAGGTTCATGAGGCAGTGCCTTCTCTTTTGTTTAATTTCCTCAACTTTAAAATAAGGATTACATTTAATGATCTGTGATACTCTATCCTTTGTAGCATCTTTTGTTATATATTTTCTTGCATTTCCAAGAGAGAATCGTGTCTGTCCAATAGAGTGAAACCAAATGTGAAGTCTCTTCCAATAGCAAATTCTTTAACTATTGGAAGTTCGTTGCTTTTGCTTAGAGCTGTAAAATGAACCAACCCTGAGTTTGTGTACAGTGTCTAAATAACTTCTTAGGAAAGAGATGACACAGCCAGAAAATCAAATGAATCTTTCTGCCTATACTGTTGTCACAAACAGGGTAAGATTTTTTAGGTAAGGCAAGATCACTGTGATTTGAAATGCTTTTCCCTCAAAACTGAAATTTTTTTTCTAATGGAAAAAGTTGGGGGCAAGAATGAAGAATTTGTGTCTAATTTTAGCTTAATGTCTTGAACATTTTTTATATAAGCATTTAAAAATATGTATTTAAACATTTTACTATACTTTTAAATGTAAGCTTTGTATCTGCTTTTGATTCTTATCAAATTATATGTAAGCTATTATTAAACTAACATAAAAACATGTATTCACCTTTTAAATAAGCTTGTATTGAAATAGTTTACAGTTACAGTGTAGTTAAACTTATTGTTCACATGTTGTTTGTTTCTCATTTTTCGTTTCTGTAGACAACAAACTTATACTATTTTTAAAAGTAGAGTTTGCTTCTTTCCCCCCTGTATGTAATTCTTGGGTGAGCACCTAAGAAAAATTATTCAGATTAGGCTGTGGCCAATCTTATGACCTCTTTTATACTTTATCCAGGAACAGTCTGAAGACACATATGATTTTACAGCTGTGCCTGACTGAATATGTCTTTATCTTCTCATAACCCAGATAACACTTGGTTTTATTGTTTAGATTTTTTTTGGTAGCTTAATATGTATGAAGTCGTATCTTAAGAATATTGCAATTTATATTTCTCCAATTAGTAGTGAGACAGTCTTTTTTCTCAAGTGCCGATTGAATCTCTGTGGTTTAAACTGCCTGTTTTTATCCTTTGACAGGTTTATGAGTTAGTCATTGTTTGCTCCCTAATAATAGATGATCGGGAAATGTTGAATTGGTTTGGTTTATATTATAAACATTGTTTTATTTATCATAATTCTTGCAGATATTGCCTGAATTTATAATATTTTAATCTTAGATTTGTTTTTTTCATTGCATGAAAGTTTATTTTACATAATTGGATTTGTCAAATTCTTGTTTATGCTTTCTTTGAATTGACCATAAATTCATCTCTTTTCCATAGTGAGATAAGCTTACTGTTCTGTTTTCTCCAAAGTTTTTTGAATGTTTAGTTTTTTAATATATTTATAATTACTTACAGCATATGTTGATGTGGATATTTTTTGCATGTTGGTATTCAGTTTTTCTGACAATGTTTTCTAAATACTGATTTTTTCTCCATTTATTTCATATTTTAAATACTTTATAGATTTGATCTTTTTTTGGCATTTCTAATCTCTTAGGGTTTTTTTTGTATTTTTTATTGTAAAATATACGTAAGATAAAATTAACTGTTTTAACCATTTTTAAGTAAGGTAGTACCCCCACCATCTGTAGTTTTGCTTTTGGCGGTTTTAGTTACCTTCTATCAACCTTGGTCTGAAAATATTAAATGGAAAATTTCACAGGCAAATAATTCATCAGTTTAAAATTGTGCACTGATCTGAGTAGTGTGATGAAGTCTCTCTCCATTTTGCTCTTTCCTGCCTGGGTCATGAATCATCCCTTTATCCAACATATTCATGTTGTAGACACTTCCCGCCTGTTACTCACTTAGGAGCCGTCTTGGTTATCAGATCATTTGTTGAGGTATCTGCAGTACTTGTGTGTTCGAGTAACTCTTTTTTGTTTTTTTTTTTTGAGACAGAGTTTCACTCTTGCCCAGGCTGGAGTGCAATGGCGTGATCTCAGCTCACTGCAACCTCCGCCTCCCGGGTCCTGGTTCAAGCAGTTCTCCTGCCTCAGCCTCTTGAGTATCTGGGATTACAGGCATGCGCCACCATGCCCAGCTAATTTTTGTATTTTTAGTAGAGATGGGGTTTCACCATGTTCGCCAGGCTGGCCTTGAACTCCTGACCTCATGATCCGCCCGCCTCGGCCTCCCAGAGTGCTGGGATTACAGGCATGAGCCACTGCACCCAGCCTGAGTAACTCTTATTTTACTTAATGGCCCTGAAGAGCAAGAGTAGTGTTGCTGGCAATACAGATACACCAAAGAGAAGTGCATTAAGTGAAAAGGTAAAAGTTCTCCACTAAATAAGGAAAGAAAAAAAATCATATGCTGAGATTGTTAAGATCTACGGTAGGGCTGGGTGTTGTGGCTCACACCTGTAATCCCAGCACTTTGGGAGGCCGAGGCGGGCGGATCATGATCCAGACTATCCTGGTCAACATGCTGAAACCCCGTCTCTACTAAAAATACAAAAATTAGCTGGGCGTGGTGGCACGCATCTGTAGTCCCAGCTACTCAGGAGGCTGAGGCAGGGGAATCGCTTGAACCCAGGAGGCGGAGGTTGCAGTGAGCTGAGATCTCACCACTGCACTCCAGCCTGGTGACAGGGAGAGACTCCATCTCAAAAAGAAAGAAAAAAAATCTATGGTAAGAACTAATCTTCTGTCCATGAACTTTTGAAGAAGGAAAAGAAATTCATGCTAGTTTTTCTGTCACACCTCAAACTCCAGGTTTTGGCCACACAGTGTGTGAAAACTGCTGAGTTAAAATTTATCATAGGTATATATGTATAGGAAAAAAGACAGTCTATATGGGTACCATCTGTGGGTTCAGGGGTCAACTGGGGGTCTTGCAGTGTATCCCCCCCTTGGAAGGGGAGACTACTGTATACAATTCAGTGGAATTAAGTACATTTACAATGATCTGCAGTCATCATCACTATTATCTAGTCTCTTTATTTAAGGTATTTTCACTTCAACCTGCAACATTATTGCTGTTACTCTTGGACAAATTGTTTAAATCTCTGAATCCCAGTTTCCTTGTTTGTAGCATGAGGATGATAATACCACCTGCGTCTTAGTTGTGGAGACAAAATTTGATGAGATAGTGAATATAAAAATTACTTGGAGCTGGATGCAGTGGCACATGCCTGTAGTCCCAGCTGCTTGGGAGGCTGAGGTGGGAGGATTGCTTGAGCCCAGGAGTTTGAGACCAGCTTGGGCAACATAATAAGACCCTCATGTCTTAAAAAAATAAAAAAAATAAAAACTAAAAACTTTGTGTATTATATATGCTCAGTAAATGATAGTTCTCTTATCTTTCCCACTATTATTGGTTTTAAAGAATGGTGTAGACAGGTTTTCCTTAAATGGCCTCTGTTGTTCTCCTTTCTCCCAAAATATTCATTATTAATTTTGTCTAATTTTCATTAAGAAATTTGTAGGTATTGGAGTAAACCTTTGTTCACTTCTTTTTTTTTTTTTGAGGCAGAGTCTCGCTGTCTCGCAGGCTCTATATATTTATATATATATATATAGAGAGAGAGAGAGAGAGAGGATGGCTTGCTTCCCTCTCTACCTAACTGCATGTTGAAAAATAAGCATTTGTTAATCTTAAACATCTGTCACATGAGTCATACACTGGGTTGTTTTTTATATACGTGTATGCACACATTATTTGAAATTGAAAGCAACGTCTCAATGGATTTGAAACTATTAAAGGCTATTGTCTAAAACGTGAAAAATGTATAACTAAAAATAAATGCACATATTAATATTTAAAGTGCATAATTAAGAAAACCTATTGGTGTTTTGTTTTTCTTGTATACCAATAATTAAGCCACTACTGTTGACACTATTTGGCTTTCTGTTTTAACATTGAATGAGTGAAAGTACTTCTTATATTTATGAATTTGCTGCTAAAATCTTGGCCAAAAAAAAAAAATTGTCTAAAATGTGTGGGTGAAAAATGTTAATCATGTATGTTTCTACCTTCCCCCCCAAAGTTGGACACCAACTATATACCGTAGGTTGCTTAAGGTGATTTCACTATTGTTAAATCAATAAGATAAAAATGAAATAGTTGTGTATATGCAACATTGTGTACAGAGGAGATAATGAATAGTATTAAACGTTCTCATCTTCCTTTACCTTTTGTTCCCTAATACCTATTCTACCTTTTAAAATTTCAGACTTCACTGCTCTTTGAATTCATAATTCAAATTTGCACATTATTATTATTGGAAAATCATATCTAATAAAGGTTTTAGGCCGGATGTGGTGGCTCACACCTGTAATCCCAGCACTTTGAGAGGCCGAGGCTGGTGGATCACTTGAGGCCAGGAGTCTGGGACCATCCTGGCCAACATGGCAAAACCCCATCGCTACAAAAATTAACCAGGTGTGGTGGCGCACACCTGTAATCCCAGCTACCTGGGAGGCTGAGGCATGAGAATTGCTTAAACTGGGGAGGTGGAAGTTGCGGTGAGCCGAGATTACGCCGCTGTGCTCCAGCCTGGGTGACAGAGCAAGATGCTGTCTCCAAAAAAAAAAAAAAAAAAAAAGGTTTTAGTTATTTCCCCCCCCAAAAAAAATTAAAAATAAAAAAAAATATATATATATATAAGGCACTTTGGAAAGTGTAGTAAATAAACTTAAAATACAATGTAGTCAGTGAGCAAATCTATGGACTACCTTTTTTCTATGTGGGACTGTGTCATAGATATCCAGTTAACTCCTGAATATCTCTGTACATACTTAGCTGCATGCAAATTCTCTTTCTAGGACCTATAAATCAGACTTTGCCTTACTTAGACACTTCTTTTGAAGTTGTAATTAAGAGTGATATATGCCTTGTTTTCATGGAAAACAATTTGACCTTTATTCTGTGCTTTTTTTTTTTTTTTTTGAGATGGAGCGTTAGTCAGTTTCCTGTCGCCCAGCCTGGAGTGCAGTGGTGCAATCTCGGCTCACTGCAACCTCCGCCTTCTGAGTTTAAGCAGTTTTCCTCCCTCAGCCTCCTGAGTAGCAGGAATTACAGGCGCGTGCCACCACGCCAGATTAATTTTTTGTATTTTTAAGAGAGACAGAGTTTGACCATGTTGGCCAGGCTAGTTTGAAACTCCTGACCTCAAGTGATCCGCCTGCTTTGGCCTTCTAAAGTGCTGGGATTACAGGTGTGAGCCACTGCACCCAGCCTATTCTGTGCTTTTAAACAAACAGAACACACACACACACACACACACACACACACACACACCTACATATATTTAATTTCTCTTCCTAAGCCTAAGAGCTTTAATAACACATTGAAGCAACCTAATTTCTTGCTTATGGCCATTTACATTTACAGGGTACATAGTATGTTGAACTTGGGACAAAACAGAAACTATGAGGTAGGAATCTAATTTGAATTTTGAAATAAAATATTTGTTACTAATTATTTCCCTTCTAACTTCTAAAGAGTAAAAATAAAATTTATGGCTGCCATATTACAGAAAGATCCTGCTTTTATTTTTAAGCATGCAAAATCTCAATAGTATTCAAAATTGTGTGGCTCTTGAATCAAACCAAAGTTTCTATTTTTTCACTGTCAGCATTCACAGGTAGAGAAGTGTAAAGTCTTAGGAAATACTATTTCTATTCTCAATTTAAAATTTTCTCAGAATTCTGTCCATGAAGGCAAATGAATACTGACAAGCTCTATTTCCAAAAAAGGTGATAAAACAAGTGTATTTAGAAACCAGTAGTAAGAATTGAAATTAGAAAATTGTGAAAAGACATTACTTTCCAAATGTTCTAAAGGTACTTAAAAGATTAACTCGGGGCATGTCTTGTAATTTCATCAGCTGTTTGACTAAGTTTTAATTTATTTTAATTACATTAAAAATCCACTTTTCACTTCTGTGTTACAACTGTTGTATTACTTGATATTTTAAAAGATGAATCTCACTGAATGTAAAATAATGTCAGGTTACATTAATGGTAAAAACAAACAAACAAACAAAAAAAAACCGTTGACCGGGCGCGGTGGCTCACACCTGTAATGCCAGCACTTTGGGAGGCTGAGGTGGGCGGATCACGAGGTCAGGAGATCGAGATCATCCTGGCTAACACGGTGAAACCGCGTCTCTACTAAAAATACAAAAAATTAGCCGGGCGTGGTGGCGGGCGCCTGTAGTCCCAACTATTCAGGAGGCTGAGGCAGGAGAATGGCGTGAACCTGGGAGGCGGAGCTTGCAGTGAGCTGAGATCGCGCCACTGCACTCCAGCCTGGGCGACAGAGCGAGACTCCATCTCAAAAAACAAAAGACAAAAAAAAAAAACACGTTAAATTCTAGAACTAATACAAGGAAACTAATACTAAGATTTTTACAGTAATTCTGTACTTCTTTTATTACCAAGTTTTGCAATATTGTGTCTTAGTTATACTGTATTTTCATCTCTTGCTAGTAAGTATGACTTTTGATTGTATAGCATGCACCACTTGTGGAAAATGGTATGAAGTCTTAATAAAAGTTTTAAACATTGATAAATGCTGGGACTGTGATGAATACTTGCATTCTTATATTTAGTATGTTCTGATATTTCAGGTCTTTCAGGGTACAAATTATTGGAAGGCAGGAGAATACTGTATTGATGGAAACTAGTATTTAGATGAATGTTTTGGTAGAATTACATAATTTGTGGTCATTAGTGCATTTTATACAGAATGTACCAGAATGTATGTTTGCAAACTTCCCACACATTGTATGTTGCCAGTAGAATCCCGGGGGATTTTGTAATCTATTCTTTCCTTGTAGGCAGCTTTTTGTTTTAAAATGATCAAAATTATTCGTGGTCATTGACCAGTTATTTTGAGATAGCAAGCCTGGTTTTTAAACTTTTCTTTTCTTTTCTTTTTTGAGACAGAGTCTCACTCTGTCACCAAGCTGGAGTGCAGTGGTGCGATCTCAGCTCACTGAAACCTCCGCCTCCCAGGTTCACGCGATTCTCTTGCCTCAGCCTCCCAAGGAGCTGGGACTACAGGCTTGCGCCACCACGCCCAGCTAATTTTTGTATTTTTAGTAGAGACAGGGTTTCACCATCTTGGCCAAGATGGTCTTGATCTCCTGACCTTGTGATCCGCCTGCCTCGGCGTCCCAAAGTGCTGGGATTACAGGCATGAGCCACCATGCCTGGCCAGTTCTTTTCTTCTAAATGTAGAAATTATTTGTGTACTTTTTATTCTCCTAGATTGAAAAGCCAAGAAGACAGAGAATTTTAAAGATGGAAACAACAAAGGGTGCTTATTTTCACAGAATAGATGTAGAAAGGAATGTCTTTAAATGTTTCCCTTAAAGAAGGTTTTCTTGCAGCTTACAGAATTTATGTCAAGAAATAGTAGATTCTTCTTTTTCTATTATAAAATCAATTTAATATTACCATATTTCTAAAAAGCAAAATTCAATATTTTAACATTTATTGATAATTTATATCCCCACCATTTATACTAATGTTTCTATGTTTTTTCTTTTAAAATGATTCTTCATTATTCAACTTGATAGAGCGTTTTCTTACTTTTTAAAACCCATGACCCCTTTTGACCTGTAAGTAGTATTATGTTCTCCTTTAATGTAATTCAGATTTTTAAAACGAATTAGTTTTTGTGTTTAAAAACAAAATTAAACCACATTATTGAGTGTGTATACACATAAATATTTTTTAACAATTATTCTTACCTTCCTCCTATCAGAGATGAAATTTATAACTCTTCCCCCATGGTGGAGTGGATATCCCTTTTATCTCCCTTGCTGAAAATATACTAGAGATTGTAGTTTTATAGTCATGGCCTTCAATTAGGGAAAACATGTAATGTTGTAAGTTTTCTATGGATGAGAACTGGTCACACAAAAAATCAACAACTTGGCCAGGTGTATGCCTGTAATCCCAGCACTTTGGGAGGCTGAGGCAGGCAGATCACCTGACGTCAGGAGTTCAAGACCAGGCTGGCCAACATGGCAAAAACCCATCTCTACTAAAAATACAAAAATTAGCCAGGCATGGTGGCGCGCCTGTAGTCCCAGCTACTTGGGAGCCTGAGGCAGAAAAATTGCTTGAACCCGGGAGACGGAGGTTGCAGTTAGCCGAGATTGCGCCACTGCACTCCAGCCTGGGTGACACAGCGAAACCCTATCTCAAAAAAAAAAAAAAAAAAAAAAATCCAACAAATGAGGTATTGAAGGTATTCCATTTCTCTAATGATGTGGTCCTATTTTGTTGTTTCTAATGGGATGAAATAATATATGTACATAATGTACATTTAGACAGTATAAAATGAAAAGGATTGTCCCTTAAAGAAAAGATACTTCAATTTGAAACTAAGACATAAACTAGTAAAACCAAAAATGTTTGATCTTTCATAGCTGTGAATCAGTTTTAGGTCACATTGACTGTGTTGTTCTAAGCTGAGCAAAACAAGTGCAGGGAAGATAGCTCCTATGAGCTTTACTTATTGCACTCTGTAATTCTGTATCACTAGTTACCTGTGTCATGTAGTAGGAGAACTTAGCTTTTGAGGCTCTGTGTATGAGCTACAGTGAGAGCATTGAGCATCAAGTGCTTCTGACCTTTAAACTTCTTTTTTCTTTTGATATTCTAAATTGGGGTAGGGAATAAAGCTGTGTTAGAGTTGGACAACTTTGCATCTAATTGTAACCTTATGTGTGTTTTCTCTCCTTTTCACATTCTGGAGTGTGGCTCTAAAATAAAGTTGTGTTGTATTGCAACACGACAGAGTAATAGAAGTAGAGTGGTGGTATACTGGCATAACAAGTTTTTGGTTTTCTTGTTATTTGTCTATTTTCAGTACTTGTGTGATAAGATTATATACTTACTTTAGCTTTGTATGTGAGTTAGGTACAGTGGTTGGTAGAAAAGCTAAAAACAGCTGTGACTTTAATTAAATATACAAGCAATCACATCTTTTGGGAGAAGTGCTGGTTTCACTTTTGTTAGATAGAAATGGAGTATTTCATTTTTATAATGTATGCAGCTTTCTAATTTTTGTCTCTTTGTCTCCTGTCAGTAGGACATGGTAAGGTGGACTTAGAATCCCATTTTTCCTTTTTTGTTTGAAAATCAGGACAGAAAGAGCAGGGTCTGAGAACGTAAAGATTTTGCTTAAATAATTGGGCAGTACAGTTAGTAGAAGTTCATTATTTCAGAATTAAATTAGGTCCTATCTTTGGATGATTATTTTCTTTAGTTCTAAAAGTCAAGGTTTCACTCTACTTATTTATTTTTATTATTGAGATGCAGAAGAATTGAGTTTTCCTTGAAATTGATGACATATAGACAGATAGTTGGTTGTGAATGCATTTAGTTGATATTCCGGTTTGTCCTATTTAAAGTGATTCTGTGTGTCTGTGTTAACAGTTATGTAAATGTTCCACATTAAAGCAGGTTAGATGTTATCATAACTTGCTGACTTGCTAGGCCAGTCCCTATCATTTTTAGTGTAACTCTAATCCTTAAAAAAATATTTTATTATCTGCACGTGGCTGTCATTGTAAAATGTTCAATGCATTAGGCACCATAGTAACCAGCAGAAGTGGTTCCACATGTTGGCTTTTGCAAGGTATTATAAAAGTCATTGTGTACACCTCTCTTGATTTGGTGTAGCATGTCATTTTTGAAAAGCCACGTGCAGGTTTGAGATTTTGTGATTGGAACTCACGTAGAAAGCTTGGGGTAGCAAGATACTAAAAAATCATTCTCTGATGGCCTCAATGATAATACTTTAAGAGTGTATAAAGCTTTGAATCCTCCTTTTTAAAAACAGATTGTGAAAACTGCTGAGAGAGACTTGCAATCCAGTCACATAAGTATAATAAAGAAATATTGGTCCTCATGGAAGAAGAGCAAGATTTACCAGAGCAACCAGTAAGTATTTCCTTTAACAGTTTAAAGTTGATTGTAGAAGAGCTAATCTTAAGAGATTTTAATTATTATTCAGTTATAGATTCCAAATTAGAAATAAAAATAAGGAAAAGATTCCTTGTTTCCTTTCAAGAAAACAATGTTATATTTTTCTAACTTAATTCTAAGGAGTCTAAGGAAAATTTAGCATTACGAAATGAATATTGCATTTAGAAATGTCATTTAAAAAAATAAGTGGCTAGTGTTACAGTTTTTAGAAAATAAAAGAGGACGTCTCTTTACTGATCTGACAGTATATCACCATTTCTACCAGAAAATTTAGTTTTGTTTTTACCTAAATTTCCTTGAGAGTTAATTTTTTAAAAAGTAGTAGTAGTGAGGAAGTTATAATTTGACCACTAGCTAATTCTTAAAAACAGATAAAACCCTAGAGACTATATTGAATTCTTAATTTCTTTTAAATATTGAACATAATAAAATAATTTTAAATGTCCCCAGGTGATATGGGTTTATCTTCTTTTTGGTTTTTGGCCCTTAATATTTAAAAAACAAAAGCAATAGTGTCATTCTTTTAAGATAACTTTTATGCTAGAGGGTCTTTTCCTTTTGTCTTCAGTTTCTTTCTCTGAAGTTTGGTAAATACCGATTCAATTTGCTATCCTGAGTGGGCCTCTTACATTTCATATTAAGAGAGGATACAGCATGGTACATGTTTACTTTATGAAAATCTAACCTATAAAAATTTGAATTTTGAAAGCAAATAATAGGATATGTTTTTCGTGTTCTAGTTGTATTCTTTAGGTATACTAGCTCCCATTTAAATGATAAAGTCCTTTAATATATTTTAAATATTTTTCTTTATATTGAGAAATGCATATTGATGATTACTTTGTCATTATTCTTCTAGCCCTCTCAGTTGAGGTAAGTATAAAACTAGGAAGACATTAGCAACTGGTAAAAAGACCTTTTGAAACATTTGAAGTGTGATCCCTATCCCTGGTGGGACTTTAATTATCAGGGAAATGGTAGGGTTAAAAATTATCTTGAGCAGTGTGTTTAGGATTTACACTACTGGAACAAATAGCTGAATTATAGATACTATATGTACCAGGAAAAATTATGCCATTGAGTTTTTAATGTGGTAAGACAAAGGTCTAGTCATATTTTTAAAAGACTTATGTAAGTGTTGACATACTGTTGAAATATGGGTATTGTTAGTTACTCCTTACCTATTTAAGGTAATGAGAATTGTGAGGCTGACCTGCTAACAAGTCATCTATCTCTTCTGCCCTGCTTCATTTCCTTGTCATTCTCTTGAACTTCTGTAACATGATGTGCAAAACCTGATTATTACTTCAGAGAAAGGTAAGAAATTGAAGCACTTTAAAACCAAAATTTCTGCTGACTATAAATGGTTGTCACAGGGCATTATTTCCTTATTGATTTATGCCCAGATCTTAATATAAAAAGGTGATTGAATGACGACATGGAGAGATCAGTGCCACTGAAAGAAAAGTTGAGTGTTTACTCATAGTTCCCCTTGAAACAAGAGGCATAGCATGCCACACGGGGGAAGTACCACTGTTGGTCAGGAGGCAAAAAAGAGTGGGAGGAAGGCACGGGCCACAGACTTAATGAGGTTTCCACAGGAAAAGCAAGGTAGGCAGGGTAAACAGCTTAGCGTTGACTAGTTTGAATAATTCTTCAGGCTTTGTGGCCTGTGGACTATCCCTGGTTTTCTGGTGGTACTTTGTCCTGGGTTGATTTATGATTTAGGGCAGGAGAAATAGGGGCTTAGTGTGTGAGAGTTAGATAAAGGAGGTGGTTCAGAGTATGGGCACTGGATCTCAGGGGAGATAAAAAACAAGTTTGGCCTTGAGTTTGGCTCTGTAATTAATGGATGTCAAACAGACAAATACAGAATCTATGAAAACACAATACTTATTAATGTTTAAAATAGAACAGGAAGAGTAATGACACATTTTGAGGTAAAAAAAAAAAGCTTTTCACAGGCTGTAGTGGAGATCTAAAATATGAGTGGAAAGAATGGTCCCATCCCAAGTTGATGATAAAGCCAATATTTTTAATCCTAGAGATGTTACTGATGGTCGTTATTATTGAAGTTATTTTAATCCCATTGTCTCTTCTTGACTCTTCCTTATTGAATTATCCCTTCTCTTATTTCTCCACTAATTGCTAGCTCTACCTCAAGATTTTGTTCAGATCGGCTGGACGTAGTGGCTCATGCCTGTAATCCCAGCACTTTGGGTGGTGGAGGTGGGTGGATCACTTGAGGCCAGGAGTTTGAGACCAGCCTGGCCAACATGGGGAGACCCCATCTCTACTAAAAATACAAAAATTAGCCAGGTGTGGTGGCACTTGCCTGTAATCCCAGCTACTTGGGAAGCTGAGGCAGGAGAATCGCTTGAACCCAGGAGGTGGAGGTTGCAGTGAGCCGAGATTGTGCCAGTGCACTCCAGCCTGGACAACAGAGTGGGTGAGACTCTGTCTCAAAAAAAAAAAAAAAAAAAAAAGATTTTCTTTAGATAACTCACAATGCAATAAATTTTAACTTCAGATTCTTTCACTTTCCCTTTATTGCTTATCAATCTTCAACTGAGTTGTAAATAACTTTGTTATATTACTATAAATCACCTTCTAAAAATGCAAGAATCTTATCCACAGATGAGGGGATCCTTTTGACTGATTATTGTACAGCCTCTACTTGGAGAATAGAGTATAAAGAACAGCAGTGGATTGAGAATAAGAAATACCTCACACTACAGTTTACACACTGAGAGTCCCTGAAGAAGTAACATCATCACCCTTTGATACCTTAATTAAAAATCTTAGTCTTTCCAGCTTTCCGTCATATACTTTACCTATTTATAGCCTAAATCTTTTAAGCTATCAATAAAGATGTTGAGTGTTCTTAGAGAAAATATATAATAGCTCCAGGTGATTGTCATATCCTTTCTAGGTGTCTACAAAGGTCTGTTCAGTAATCTGTTTTAGAACACTGTCATCAATCAGCATTAAGTTAGCACTAGTTTATAGTTTCCAGCATCTAATTCCTCTCTACCATCACCTTTAAATTAAAACAAACAAACAAACCAAGTAGTGAAACATTTCTTTTTGTTTTGTTTGAGACAGGGTTTCACCCTGTCGCCCAGGCTGTAGTGCAGTGGTGCCATCTTGGCTTACTGCAGCCTCCGCCTCCCAGGCTGAAGCAATGCTCCCACCTCAGCCTCCCAAGTAGCTGAGACTACCAGCACACCCAACTAATTTTTTTGTATTTTCAGTAGACACGGGGTTTTGCCCTGTTACCCAGGCTGGTCTCGAACTCCTGGGCTCAAGCAGGTCCCCCACCTTGTCCTCATTTCTTTATATTCTGTTTCAAGCACCTCTCTTATTCTCTGTGATTTTTCAGAGATGATAAACACTGGTTTAGCAATCATGTTTGTTAAGTTACAGGTCTATGGGATAAAGCTTCTGTGAATCTGGAGGGTTAGAACTTATTTAAAATAATTGAGGTGCTTGCTTATAAATATGGGAATAAACTCTTTTTGAAAAATTTAGGTATGCTATTGTTTACATTTTGTAGATTACTCTTCTTGATAGAGAAGACAAAAAGATTTTTTTGCCTCCATCAGAAGTCACACCTAACATGCAGTGGTAGAACAGGAAGTTGTCTCTGCCATAAATATTTACCTCTCTAATAATTTGGAATGCTTACCTCCCTCTCTAGGTCCTGCTTTCCTTATGTTAAGTTCTTGAAGTCAAATTAATAATTAGATAGCTATTAGTAAGCACAGTCAATGAAAATGGCATTAAATTGTTTTTTGTGTGAAATTTCATCTAGGTTATGATCAAACCCTTTACCCCTCTAGCATATGGAATATGACTTTTTAGTAAACAGAACAGTGTCCTTCTGTTTGTTGGACAGTGTTGGATAAATCTTGACATAAACATCCTTTTTATAGTCTCCATGACGACTTTTACCCTACCATTATATTTATTATTGCCAAGATTACAATTTACCTAGCACTAGCATGCTTTTGCCTCTTGTTTAAACCTTCATAGCCATTACTTGTAAGTCATCACAGAGTAATTTCAGAATGACATTTGAGATGCTTAATACAATTTTCTTAACTAGAGAGTCCTGTTTCTTAAGCCTGTCTTGAAATTTCTGGGATTCAACTTTGTTCTTGCTGTCTATGGTAATAACACTAAAATTTAACAATTACATAGCGCTTTGTTTTTCATAAGCAGTTCACTCTTTTCCTGTTTAAATTTCATCTTTACATATTATGTTAACAGTGCACATCCTTAAGTTTATTCAGCCAGCATCCTTGTACTGTTAATGCTGCTGTTTCCTGCTGTTGAAACATGAGCCCTATGAAGTAGGTAGTTGTATCTTCTTTTTTACAGGTGAAGAAACAGATACAGAAAAGACACGCAGTGAATTAACTCTCAGAACTTAGCCTTGAGCCTGGATATTCTGAATTTGTATACTGGGTTTTTTGTTTCCTTGCTGTGTTATATTTAAAGTGTGATTATACATTGTAGCAGAAGCAAAAATAGAATGCTGATTTATGAATTTGTCAGTGCTTCTTTCTTTTTGTGTTATCATTAGCCATTATATGCCCATAGGATTATGTCATTTTTTAAGATACCAGCTTTATTGACATGTAATTTACATATCCTACAATTCACCCTTTTAGCGTATACAGTGCAGTAGTTTTTAGTCTATTCTAAAATGGTTTTGTAACCATTACCAGAATAAATTTTAAGGCATCTTCCTTTTTTCTTTTTCTGTTTTTTTTTTTTTTTTTTTTTTTTTGAGACGGGGTCTCATTTTGTCACCCAGACTGGAGTACAGTGGCACAATCGTGGCTCACTGCATCCTTGAACTCCTGGGCTCAAACAATCCTCCCATCTCACCCTCCTGAGTACCTAGGATTACAGGTGTGAGCCACCACACCCAATTGTTTTTTAAATTTTTTGTCGAGATGGGGTCTTACTCTGTTGCCCAGCTGGTCTCAGACTCCTGACCTTAAGCAATCCTCACTCTGTTGCCCAGGCTGGAGTGCAGTGTCACTATCTCGGCTCACTGCAACCTCCACCTCCCGGGTTCAGGTAGTTCCCTGCCTCAGCCTCCCAAGTAGCTGGGATTACAGGCGCCTGCCACCACACCTGGCTAATTTTTGTATTTTTAGTAGAGATGGGGTTTCACCATCTTGGCCAGGCTGGTCTTGAACTCCTGACCTCGTGATCCACCTGCCTCAGCCTCCCAAAGTGTTGGGATTACAGGTGTGAGCCACTGCCTCCGGCCTATATTTTTACAAGTGATGAGAGCATACATATTCTCCTAAGAGTTTTATAGCTTTAGCTTTTACATTTAGTGCTTTGATCCATTTTCAGTTAATTTTTGCATATGGCTTGAGGTACGAGTTCAGCTTTATTTGTTGAAAAGACTATTCTTCCTTCGTTGAATCATCGTGGCACTTTTGCTGAAAATAATTTGACTGTAAATGTGGTACCCTTCTTGAAAATCAGTTGACCCAACAAATGTAGAGGTCTATTTCAGGACTCTCAATTCTGTTCCAGTGATCCATATATCCATCCTTATGCCAGTACCACACGGTCTTGATTACTCTAGCTTTATAGTAAGTTTTGAAATTGAAAAATGGGGCTGGGCGCAGTGGCTCATGCCTGTAATCCCAGCAATTTGGGAGGCCGAGGTGGG
The DNA here is from genome assembly GCF_000001405.40 of Homo sapiens. Classification (NCBI taxonomy): domain Eukaryota; kingdom Metazoa; phylum Chordata; class Mammalia; order Primates; family Hominidae; genus Homo; species Homo sapiens. The sequence continues at coordinate 28,052,247 of NC_000001.11, read as the reverse complement.
CAGATCACCTGAGATCTGAGACCAGCCTGGCCAACATGGTGAAACCCCATCTCCGTTAAACATACAAAAAAATTAGCCAGGCATGGTGGCACGCACCTGTAGTCCCAGCTACTCGGGAGGCCAAGGCGTGAGAAATGCTTGAACCCAGGAGGTGGAGGTTGCAGTGAGCCGAGATCGCACCACTGCACTCCAGCCAGGGTGACAGAGTGAGCCTCTGTCTTAAAAAATAAAAATAAAAAAGAAATGGAAAAATGTGAGTCCTCTAACTTTGTTCTTTTTTTTTTTTTTCAAGATTGTTTTAGCTATTCTGGGTCACTTTCATTTCCATATGAAATTTAAGATCAATTTGTGAATTTCTTTAATGCAGCCAGCTGGGATTTTGATTGGATTGACTGTAGACCAATTTGGGGAGTATTACCATCTTTACAAGATGAATTCTTCTTTCCCTGGATATGGGGTGTCTTTGCATTTATTTAGCTCTTCTTAAATTTCTTTTAACGTGTATTGTACTTCTTCTTCTGTTAGGTTTATTCCTAAGTTTTTTTGTTTGTTTGTTTGTTTTAGACAGAGTCTTGCCTTGTCACCCAGGCTGGAGTGCAGTGGTGCAATCTCAGCTTACTGCGACCTCCACCTCCCAGGTTCAGACGATTCTCCTGCCTCAGCCTCCTGAGTAGCTGAGATTATAGGCGTGCACCACCACACACAGCTAATTTTTGTATTTTAGTAGAGATGGGGTTTCACCATGTTGGCCAGCCTGGTCTCGGACTCCTGACCTCAGGTGATCCACCTGCCTTGGCCTCCCAAAGTGCTGGGATTAGAAGCGTGAGCCACTGGACCCGGCCATATTCCTAAGTATTTTATTCCTTTTGATGCTATTGTGAATGGATTTTTTTTTTCATTTTTGAATTGTTCACTGCAAGTATATAGAAATATAATTGATTTTTGTATGTTTGTCTTGTATTTTGCTGCCTTGCTGAACTTGTTTATCAGTTCTAGTGGTTTCTTAATGGATTCGTTAGGATTTCTGTATACAAAATTATGTCATGCAAAAAGAGATTCTGATTTTTTCACTTTTAACCCTAACGGAGCTTTTTCAGCTTTATTGCTTTCTTACTTCCTGGCAGCTTGTATTACTGTCCTACTACTGTCCTGGTATGGCCCCAATTCCTTGGATACCAGCTGCTTGTATAATCTATACTGGTTTTGTTAATGAAAATTGTTCTCTGTAGGACTGGTTGCTACTTGAATCTTTGCTCACTTTGCTGTGTAGTTTTCAGTATTCATTATTGCAAGTACTATGTTACTCTGTAAACTCTCCAGAAAATTGTTGCTCAATCTTTGCTATTTCTCTTAACAACCAGGAATCATTTTCTGTCAGTTTCTAGCTTGTATTGTTTGAACTGATACTTCTATAATTGAGTAAAATCTGTCTGTCTTCTTTAGTTAATTTACCTGCCTCTACTGCCTAGTTAGTACATGCTTCCTATCCCTGCCTTAGAGGGGGGCATAATTGCTCAAATCAAGACAAACAATGGGCCATATGAGGTTAAAAACAAAACAAAACAAAAAAAACATTGTAACACCCTTTCCTTCCCCAGACTTTTCTGCTTGGTAGATATGACTTTAGATACATTTTCTCCCTTTCTATTTATGAATATATACTCTGCACTGGGTTGGCACGGTAATAAATTAAAAATGAAGGAGCGTAAAGAAGCATAATTCTTCCTTGAAAGTAAATAAATTTTTGGCCAGGCGCAGTGGCTCACGCCTGTAATCCCAGCACTTTGGGAGACCAAGGTGGACGGATCACTTGAGGCCAGGAGTTCGAAACCATCCTGGCCAATGTGGTGAAACCCGGTCTCTCCTAAAAATAGAAAAAATAGCAAAATTAGCTGGGCATGGTGGTGTGCACCTGTGGTCCCTGCTACTCGAGAGGCTGAGGCACAAGAACTGCTTGAACCCGGGAGACAGAGGTTTCAGTGAGCCGAGATTACGCCATGGCACTCCAGCCTGGGTGACAGAACAAGACCCTGTCTCAAAAAAAATAATAATAATAATAATAATAATAATAAATAAAAAGTAAATTTAAAAATGTTGCTCCAGGACCTTTTTTTTAAATCCTTTTTTCTTTTGGAGTTGATTAACTAAATTTGTTGCTCTATACCTCTAATAAAATGAAGACTATGATAAGTTAGACTCCTCAGTGCTCTAATTTTCTTTGTTTAAATTACTGTTTGAAGAGTATAGACTGTTTTGGTTACTCAGCCAACCAGCTCGTAATTACATTTCTTTGATAGCAAAGAGTCTTTGGATGAGCTAAGCATAAATTCATCTCCACTATTGGAAGAATATATTATTATCTGACCATATGTAACTACTATCATCTTTAGGTAGGAAGGGCAGAACATTTTATAAAAAAAGGCTATATTTTGTCATTTGTGAAATTATGGCAGGCAGATAAACTAGATAGTTGAATTTTTCTTGTCTTTAGCCTTATAGTTTCCAGGCAAAACACTGTTTTCCTATATTATCTAGGTCAGATCATATTTCCCTCACCTCTTTCAGTGAGATAGTCGTATACATTGGTAATACAGTTAGATTTTTTTGTCACAGTCTGCATACTATCCTGGAATCCCTCAACCTCCTGGTTGTTTTATGGTGTCTTTTATCATATAGAAGTTTAAAATTTTTGTGTAATCATATCTATTTTCTCCTTTATGGCTTTTGGATTTAATGTCATGCTTAATCAGGATTTGCCCACCTCAAGGTTTCGTTTTTTGTTTTTGCTTCAAATGCTTTAATGTAATTTTTGTTTCAAATTTAGAAATGTTTTTTTAAATTGCCTTTGTTTCTTTATTTTCTCCTTTTTGGTAACTATGAAAATTAAGAGAACATTGAATGGAACACATTTTGACATGCCATAAGCAAGGAACCAAGAATGTCTGGTCATGGTTGTGTATTCTCATGAGGAGTATATGGCCACGACAAATTTTATGGGGCTTGCCTGTATTATTTACCTTGTCTGAAATAGTCAATGTAATATTAAATATCTATGATTCCACCTGATACGCTTGCTTCAAATTATCTAGGAGAGTTTCTGCCTTCTTCTATTAGCTTGAAATACTTTTAAATATTCATAATTTGAATGGCTAAGCATATTAGACATGTTTCTACTACAACCAGTTCTAACCAGAGAGTTCTAAAATCAGATTCTCTGTAATATGAAAACAGAAAAATCCATTAGTATTAACCATTATCTTTCATTTGTGGATTCTTACACTGTTTCAATGGAAGTGCCTTCTCCCCAGAAGGAAATAGAAAATGTGAAATATGAAAAGAAAAAATACAGGGTTAACAATATTTTCTAAATTACTGGTAACCTGATAAGAATTCATATTAATTTTTGACACTAAACTAACTTAAGTATAAAGCCATTTTTGTTAAATAAATGAGTAGATGATACTTAGATTCCCATCTTTACTGTTTGTTTAAATATAATTTGCCTGTTACAGTATAAAACCAACTAGTTTGTATCAAAGCTTGGATACTTTATCCTAGTAAACATTCTGTCTACCTTGAGTAAAAATTCTGGTAAACAGTTTTTTTTTAATCAGAAGAACACTTTTTTCATTAAAAAGAAGAGCTCCATTTAAAAAACAAACTTCATTTCTAGCTCTAAAATATAACAAGGGTTAATTAAATCTAGACTAAACAAAATTAAACAGTTATCCTGTAATAGTTAATAGCCTGTTGTTTGAGTAGCTAAATGATTTAAAAAACAGATCAAGTACATTGATACCTTTGTATATTTATTTTTGCAGGTGAAAAAAGCCAAGATGCAGGAATCAGGAGAGCAAACTATAAGGTATGTAAAGTTTGCTTTCTTTTTAATGAACTACTCATAAGTTTTGTTTTTTTTTTTCACATGCTGATTAGCGTATGGGCATGCTTTGCCCTCTTTTTGGTTCTTACCATCAGCTGTTACATTTTGAAATTATTTGGTTTAAGATTAAAATTTCCTTTCCAAATAGTTTTTTCCTGAAACTTGTGCACTGATTTGTTCTTATGCATTCATTATTTATTCAACAATATGTACCAAACTCATGTTGTATATCAGGCACTGTGCTACATAGAGGAGACTTAATGGTAAAGATGAAAAGCACCATATTCTTCAGTCAGACGTACAATATACAGAATAGGAAGCATAAGCGAAATAAATAAAATCCAAGAGATTTGGTATTAATTACCAAATGGTTATGAAATGACTTAGTCATTAACCCCACTCCTCTTATAGAAAAGAGGAAGCTTGCGCCTGGCACGGTCGCTCACGCCTGTAATCCCAGCACTTTGGGAGGCTGAGGCGGGCAGATCACGAGGTCAGGAGATCGAGACCATCCTGGCTAACACGGTGAAACCCCGTCTCTACTAAAAATACAAAATTATTAACCGGGCGTGTTGGCGGGCGCCTGTGGTCCCAGCTACTCAGGAGGCTGAGGCAGGAGAATGGTGTGAACCTGGGAGGTGGAGCTTGCGGTGAGCTGAGATCGCGCCACTGCACTCCAGCCTGGGCGACAGAGCGAGACTCTGTCTCAAAAAAAAAAAAAAAAAGAGAAAAGAGGCAGCTTGTTTGCACCTCACAGTTTGGCTTCTTCATACCATGGTTTTCAGTTTTCCACAGTTCTTACCTTCTGTCGTTTGTGCACCAACCATATGAGCCAGTAACTGCATCACCTCTACCACATTAATTTCAAGAATCCTACACTTTTACCTCCACACACTATCATCCCGGCTCATTTATTCTAGAACTGCCATGCTAGCCATATGATGTCTTAAACTATCAATTAAATCATCTGTCATCTTTTCACCATCACCCCTTAAAAAGAACTTTAGTTTCTTCCTTATAAGAGACCAACATGGCGGAACCTTGTTTCTACTAAAAACACAAAAATTAGCTCGGCGTGGTGACTTGAGCCTATAATCCCAGCTACTTGGGAGACTGAGGCAGGAGAATGGCTTGAACCCACGAGGCGGAGGTTACAGTGAGCCAAGAATGCGCCACTGCACTCCAGCCTGGGCGACAAAGACTCTGTCTCAAAAAAAAAAAGGAACTTAACTGGCCAGGTGTGGTGGCTCCACTTTTGGAGGTCCAGGTGGGCAGATCGCTTGAGTTCAGTAGTTTGAGACCAGCCTGGGCGACATAGCAAGATGCTGTCTCTATAAAAAACACAAAAACAATTATCCAGGAATGGTGGTGCACACCTTTAGTCCCAGCTACTCGGGGCTGAGGCAGGAGGATTGCTTGAGCCCAGGGGCCAGAAGTTGTGGTGAGCCAAGATTGCGCCACTGAACTCCATCCTGGGTTGGTGGCAGAGCAAGATGCTGTCTCATTTAAAAAAAAAAAAAGAAAGAAAAATAAACTTAACTATAAGATCTACTGTAATTAGTCCCTTACAAACATTCTTAACTTCCTCACTTTTTTCTGTCATACTTGCCTAGCAAAACCACAACCCTGATTAAACCCAACTATCCACCTATTCTGTACTTATTCCCAATCACTTGTACATCGTGAGAGAAAAACACAAAATTGTGCTAACTGTTCCTAGTTTCTATTCATGATAAGATCTAAAACAGGCACTTAGTCCCCCTTCCTGGTATGTCTGATTTCCCAGCCTCTAAAATCATCTTAATTCCTTTATTCCCTCCCTCCTTGCCCCCTACCTTCTCCCTTTTCCCTCCCTTTCCTGCTATTTCCATTCACTCAGCTGTGGATCTTGCTCCCTAGTTCAAAGAGAGATTAGGAACATCTCCCTTCTCTCACCAAATCAACCTACTTAATCTGCTTCTCTTGGATATTGTTTATCTTTCCTCTGAAATTCCCTTGCTCTTATCGAAGGCTAACCTCTCCAGTTGTTTGAAAGAACCCATCACCTTCATCTTTTCCTGCAATTATCTCTTCTTTTACCTTCAGCAATTTTTTTACTATGATAAAATACACACAATATACAATTTACCATTTTAAGTGTACAGTTTAGTGGCACTAAGTACAATCACTTTGTCTTGCAACCATCACTACCATTCATCTCTAGAACTTTATTCATCTTTCCAAACTGAAATTCCATGTTCACTAAACAATATTCTCCACTCCCCCATCTCCAGCTCCTGGCAACCACCATTCTACTTTCTGTCTGCATGATTGTGACTGCTCTAAGTACCTCACAGAAATGGAGTCATACAGTATTTGTCCTTTTGTGATTCATCATGATGTCTTTAAGGTCTATCCATTTGTAGCATGTGTCAGAATTTCCTCTTTTTAAGGCTCAATAATACTCCATTGTATGTCTGTTCCGCATTTTCTTTATCCATTCATCTGTTGTTTGTGTTGTTAATAGTTCTGTTGAATGAGAAGGAGGTATTTGTTGTGCCACTTTATGGACTTGGATGTTGTTGGGTTTTTTTGGTCATTTTATTTTAGAGCAGTTGTTTTTTCATGGTGTATTCATTGTTAAGCAAAATTTATGTTTATATAACTTTGAAAATAATTATATTTTGAGGCAGTATGTCATTTCTCTAAGGATAATAATTTAAATATTTAACAAGTGCTAGAGTTAACTCACTGTCTTGGTGCTGTTGTTTCTATTTATTCTCTAGATGCTCAGTTGAGTATGTAGGGGATGTTGCTATAACATAATATTCTAGGACCATTGGGTTTTAGGAACTGGTCCAGTGGATACTGGATCATAGCAATATCACCAACTTCTAAAATATAAGATCTACAAATAGTCTTCAACAGTGGGTATAACAGTGAACCTCATACTTAACCAGGTACATGTAGAAGTCAAACTAGTTATTGATGTCAGGAAAATTCTGGTTCAGTTTTATGCCCTTCCCCTGGTAATTCTATGTAAGTAGGTGTGAGATGGGGTCCAGAAGTCTATTTTTATTAACTATTCAGGTAATTATAATAAATCACCCAGTTTGGGAAACTGACACAACTATTCCATATAATTTCTTGCCCTTACCCTTCAATTTCCATAATCACATCTTAGTACATTAAGTTCTATTACAAAAATATAAACATTTGAGTAACAAGATAAAAATGAACCTTACTTGGGGATTTAGCTTTAAAATTAATTACAAATGAGGAAAAATTATTTGAACATTCAAAATATACCATTAAAGCTGGACACTGTGGCTCACACCTGTAATTCCAGCACTTTGGATGCTGAGGTGGACGGATTGCTTGAGACCAGGAGTTTGAGACCAGCTTGGGCAACATGATGAAACCCTATCTCTACAAAAATTACAAAAATTAGCTGGGTGTTGTGGCACATGCCTGTAGTCCCAGCTACTTCGGAGGATGAGGTAGGAAGATCACTTGAGCCCGGGAGGTCAAAGCTGCAGGAGCCATGATCGAGCCACTGCACTCCAGCCTGGGTGACCGAGTGAGACCCTGACTCAAAAAAACAAAACAAAAACCAACCAAACAAAAAATATATACCATTTAAAAAAAACCCTTATTATACTTGAATATTAGAAGTCAGTTTCAGAAATGATACGAGAACTTTATAAATTTTGTGCTATATATTTTTTATATAAGCAACATTTCTTTTTACAATTTTGCTGTGTAGAAACTACTCTTACCTTTGATTAGTCAGCATTATCTTTCCAGATATATAGAACCTCTGGTACAGTGTCTTCCACCTCTCCCTAGAGAGTAGAAGAACAAAGCAAGCTTCTTTCTAGGGTGCATGAATGTAGGAATGATGCCTGGGCTTTGAAGAAGTTGTAATATAATAACAGTTACAGTTAAAGTGTGCTTACTGTGTTCTAGCTTTGCTCTAAATGTAAACTTATTAGTCCTCCTGACAGCCCTATGAGGTAGGTTTCATTTTTATTCTCGTTGACGGATGTAGAAAGCGGGGAACAGATAAGTTCAGTGACTTGTCCAAGGTCATAGGGCTAGTTATTGGCAGAATAGAATATGAACTTGAGCAGCCTCTGACTCTAGAATCAACACTCCTAACCACTGTGCTATAATGGGACATAATAACTGAAGAATGAAAAGTAGAGGAGATGGAAAAGAGAGAACATTTTGAAGAATGAAAGTTAGAACAATCTTCATTCCAGAATTTCTGTGGAATCTCCCCAGCATTAAACTATCTAACATAATGACTTGTCCTCCCAGTTTATGTGACTTATCATTCTCAATTTCTCTTAATTTTCCTTATAAGTTAAAAAAAATGATGTTGCTTAGTCCTGGCTATATAACAAATAGAAAATGAGGTGTTTGTGTTTTATTTAACTGGGAGATAAGAGAAATATAGTAGAATGAATCTTAAGGGTTTAGAACCCCCGCTTGGAAACAAACGTATAATTTTTGTTTGTTTGTTTGTTTGTTTGTTTTGTTTTTGAGACAGAGTCTCACTGTGTCGCCTAGGCAGGAGTGCAGTAGTGCCATCTCCAATCACTGCAACTTCTGCCTCCTGAGTTCAGGTAATTCTCAGGCCTCAGCCTCCTGAGTAGCTGGGACTACAGGCGTGCACCACAACGCCTGGCTAATTTTTGTATTTTTAGTAGAGACGGGGTTTTACCATGTTGGTCAGGCTGGTCTCAAACTCCTGATCTCAAGTGATCCGCCCGCCTCAGCTTCCCAAAGTGCTGGGATTACAGGTGTAAGCCACCGCACCTGGCCCAAACGTGTAATTTGAAAACACTTCTCATATGATTATGGTTTGTAGCTGATCAAGAACCACTGTCTGAAATCAAACGTCTCCCTACCTTCCTGTGGTACTTTGGGAGCAAGGTAACAGAGCACTGTTGCACAGAATGGTGACTGTAATAAATAATATAGCATTGTATATTTCAGAATTGCTAAAAGCATAGAACTTAAGTGTTTTCACGTTTTTTTTTTTTTTTTCACAAAAAAGCAAAAGGTGTTTTATATATCAAAACATCACATTGTACCCCATAAACATATAATAAAAAGTGGCAGAGCAATGTTTTACCATATGGTGTTAAAGAAAAATCTGACTTGCCAGTGACTTAGCTGGAATTTCTGAATTATATAAAAACTAAAGGGATCTAGAGATATAAGAAAGAACAGTAGACTGGGCGTGGTGGCTCACACCTGTAATCCCAGCACTTTGGGAGGCTGAGGTGGGTGGATCACAAGGTCAGGAGTTCAAGACCAGCCTGACCAACATGGTGAAACCCCGTCTCTACTAAAAATACAAAAATTAGCTGGGCATGGTGGCATGCACCTGTAATCCCAGCTACTCAGGAGGCTGAGGCAGGAGAATTGCTTGAACCCAGGAGGCGGAGGTTGCAGTGAGCCGAGATCGTGCCACTGCACTCGAGCCTGGGTGACAGAGTGAGACTCCATCTCAAAAAAAAAAGAAAGAGCGGTAGAATGCTGAGGGTACTAGCCCTGGCCCGAGCTCTCTTCAAGTAGTTGTTAAAAATCAACAATAAGGATATCACGAAGATTTACTTTGCCTCTTACTTATATAGCCTAGGAGGAAATGGGTTTGAACTCATCACTTTTTAGCAATGCAGCAAATCAATCAGGGGCTAATGTATTCATTTTGGTTCTCCCAGTCAAGTAAGCAATCCAGATGTCAGTGATCAGAAGCCTGAAACATCAAGCCTTGCTTCAAACCTTCCCATGTCAGAGGAAAGTAAGTACCATATTCTGTGCATGATTGAACAGATATTCCTATAACTAGTAATGCTTTTCTTATAGAGTTGGTTTTTCGTAATTGCCTTGTTTGTCCCAAAATATCCTGAAGGCTCTCCCATCCTTGTTTTTGTGTGTGTTTATCCTTGAGCCCTCCTGTAAGCTTTATTGACAGACCAGCTGAGAAAAGATCACATGGAGTCCACTCACCCAAGGAGTCACACGCCGTGATTTTATTTTTGTTTTGAGATTGGATGTTTTAAAGGTAATAGTGTCTTACAGAAAATCAGAGACAACTATACTTAACCATATATACTTCCCATGTATATTTTTTAAAAAGGTGTAACTTTTTTTTAAAAGGTGTGTCTTGAGTTCTATATAGTGTTTCCTCAAAGGTGATTCTATTCTGGTGGTTCTCAGACCTTTAGCCTACATAAGAATCATCTAGAATACTTGTTTGTAATGTAGAATTCTAGTTTCACCTCCAAAGATTATCATTCAGTAGATCTGATGTGGATAGGGAATCTGCATTTTTGACAAGTTAGCCAGGTGATTCTGGTCCATTGGGAAACTGTCCATTTTGTGGAAAACCACTCTAATTTGTAAAGTGTCTCCTCTAATTTCTTGAATTTCCCACTCATCCCCAAGAAAAAGACCTGTTCCCTAAAATCTTATACTTTACATACTTCAGGGTCAGGAAGTAAGTTGAGTATTCTTGCTCCTTCCAAATAATTTCCTTTTTTCCTTCAAATACTTTGGTTCAACTGGGCATGGTGGATCTTGTCTGTAATCCCAACACTTTGGGAGTCTGAGGCAGGAGGATCACCTGAGGCCAGGAGTTTGAGATCAGCCTGGGCAACAAAGTGAGACCTCCTCGCTACAAAAAATAAAATAAAATAAAATAAATAAAAACTTTGGTTCATTTGAAGTCTACATCTATACCTTCCCCTACCTTTCTATTTTTACTTTAGACTGTCATCCTATTCATTCTGTTCTTTATTTTTTTTTTTATGTTTTTTGAGATGGAGTCTTGCTTTGTTGCCCAGGTTGGAGTGCAGTGGCACAATCTCGACTCACTACAACCTCCGCCTCCCGGGTTCAAGTGATTCTCCTGCCTCAGCCTCCCGAGTAGCTGGGATTACAGGCGCATGCCACCATGCCCAGCTATTTTTTGTATTTTTTTGTTGTTGTTTGTTTGTATTTTTTAGAGGTGGAGTTTCGCTCTTGTCACCCAGGCTGGAATGCAATGGCAAGATCTCCGCTCACTGCAACCTCTGCCTCCCAGGTTCAAGCCATTTTCCTGACTCAGCCTTCCGAATAGCTGGAATTACAGGCACGCACCATCACGCCTGGCTAATTTTTGTATTTTTAGTAGAGATGGGGTTTCACCATGTTGGCCAGGCTGGTCTCGAACTCTTGACCTCAAGTGATCTGCCGGCCTCAGCCTCCCAAAGTGCTGGGATTACAGGCATGAGCCACCACACCCAGCCATTTCCTTCTTGTCAGGATGTAAGCAGCATACTTGCTCTTGTCAGATATAGAGGCTATTATTTGTGTTTCATATGCTATCTGTTTTTACCTTCCCCAAGGACTTTGGTACTATAGTTTTCTTGCCACCACTTGTGTGTCATCACGGTCTTCCCTTTTTATCCTTCCTGTCAGTAAAGAAACATCTTACCATTTTAAAACATAAACACTGCTCCCCCGACCCCCCCCTGCCCCTCCGCCCTTGGCTCCACATCTCTTACTAGTTATGGACCTTCTCTTTGTTCTGTGACATATCAGAACTTCTGCAAGAGTTGCCCTCACTTGCTTTTTCACCTCCCATTCACTTTTCCAGCCTCTCAAATTTAGCTTCTATCCTCACTCTTCCAGTGAAACTGCTGTCGTCAAGGCCATTAGTTATTTTCATGTTGCAAATTCTAGAATACGTTTCTCCTCACATTCTCCCTCTCAGTACTTTTCCTCCCACCTTTCTCCTTTGATGGCCCTTCTTTGGTGGGCCTCAGGGCTTAATTCTAGGCTACCATGTTTCCTCTTTTGGGATTCTCCGATCCATTACATTACTTTAAATATCTTGTACATGGTTAATGAATTCCATATTGATATTTCCAGTCTGACTTCTCCCCTGATTTCATTTGTGTATCAGACTGCCTGTTTGACATCTTTACTGGAAGGAAAATCATACCTAAGATCTTCAAAAAAGAACTTTCGATTCCTTTAGCCCCCGTGACATACACTCTTCTCCCAAACTTGCCCATCTTAGGAAGTGGTATCACTCTCCGTCTAGTTGTTTTCCTCATTCTCTACATCAAATCCATCAGAATGTCCTGTTAGTTTTACCTTCAGAATATATTTCAAAGTCTTTGCCTCATCCCCACTGTTGCTATTCTAGTCCAAGCCAGCATATTACTTACTTGATTCTTCTATAGTATAATGGATATTATATCTTGACTCTTTATAATCATTTTGTGGTTCCCAAGTACTGTGAAGATCAAGTCTCATTCATTCTCTAGAGAAGTGAAAATTGGCCTCAGTCTCCTAGGATGTTGTTGATTCCTTCCAGAATTAAATTAAATTGGAGGAAGATAAGGGTTTGGGTTTTTTAATATATGTGTCAACTGAGAACCATTATGTAGAATTCAAATAAACTTACCTTACATTCTTTGCAATGGATTGTCAAAACTTTAGATCTAATTGACATCTTCATTTTTGTCAAAATGATTAGAGGTGAATGTGATCTCCAATAATTATTTTTAAATACCTCAAACAATAGCATTGGACAAGCTCTTCTGTAATAAACTCACAGGTGTTGATTTGTCTTACTCTTGAGCATTTGAGTTGGCCCCTCATCTACTTTTGATCAAGGTTCTCTTTTTGGGTCAGGTACTCTTCCAGGGAACCTAATTAGACATAAAGTTAATTGGTTCACTTTTAATCAGATATTTACAGCGTTCATACCAGAAGTAGTAATCATGAGAGTCAAGCCTTCATAGCAGCTATTCCAGATGAAGTCATGGGGGTCAAGAGGACAATAGCTGGAAAAGTCTTTGAGAGTTCATCAGAGTATCACATCAGTTCCTCACGTCTGTCTGTGATTTGCCAAACTTAAAGCCTTCACTACAAAACAGAAAAAATAATAGTATAGAAGCATACTTGCATCTATTCTGCTGTTGATTATGCATAGCAGTAGCAGTGGTTTTAAAATAAGATTGGGTGCCTCCCCCAAATCTGTTTTCCTGCAAGTCATTCTTAAGGCTTTTACTCAATATAGTAAGCACTCAAAGAACAAATAAGCTGAAGTAGAATAATGTGGTTTTCCAGACATAAAGCTTGCTTTTTAAGTTTGCCTATCAGCATAGCCGAAAGCTTAGAAGGTTGCTTCATCTATTATTTTAGATCAGTAATGGGTAAAGGTAGAGATCCTTACCAACCTTCAGCTCTTTTCCATACCCCACCCTTCTTTTTTTAACTGCCTCTGGAAGTCTATAAACACATGTATAAACAAAAAAGTGAGATATTTTCTACCACATAGTCTTTCTATCTGGTGTCCAAGCTGTATTCTGTTAATTAGTTTGAAAGACTATACAGTGAGATGTGCAGTTTTCCCATTCCATTTTCGAAATGTTCTAACTTTTTAACCTGGTGATATTATCTTTCTTTCAGTTATGACATGCACCGATTACATCCCTCGCTCATCCAATGATTATACCTCACAAATGTATTCTGCAAAGTAAGTTGAATAATTATTTCCAAAATGCATATGCTTTTTCTGTAGATTCATTGCAAAATTTAATATTATTTTTCCTCTAAAATAATAGATATTTAAATTATTTTTACCTCTCTTATTCTATCGTCATTCCAATTTTTAATTCCCTCTAAATATAGTCTATGTAGTATCCTTTTAAAAAGTAGATGGTGTCTGCAATGGATCATTTTACACAAAAGCTTACTCTAAAATGAGTAGGCACTGAACATGCAAAATAGTGTTAGTGATCAACCATATCATTGATTGACCTCTGATCATTTTCTCTGTCCTGTACCTTGACATATAGCATACAGATTAATAAAAACAAGACTGAATTTCTCAGTCCAATCTGTGTTCGGTTTTTTTTTTTTTTTTTTTTTTTTTAAGATAGAATCTCACTCTGTTTGTTGCCCAGGCTGGAGTGCAGTGGCACGATCTTGGCTCACTGCAACCTCCACCTCCCGGGTTCAAGTGATTCTCCTGCCTCAGCCTCCCGGATAGCTGGGACTACAGGCATGCCACCACGCCCAGCTAATTTTTGTATTTTTTAGTAGAGATGGGATTTCACCATGTTGACCAGGCTGTTTTCAAACGGCTGACCTCAGGTGATCTGCCTACCTCGCAAAGTGCTGGGATTACAGTCGTGAGCCATCACGCCCAGCCTGTGTTCAGTTTCTTGATTGAGGAATGTCCTCAGAGTAGAACCGGGCTTGAAGTTAGACAGGTTTGGTGGGTTAGTCACTAAGAGGTTATGTTTTGGGCCTTCATGGGGTAAGATCAGCATTAATATCAGCCAGGTTTTTCATCTCCAAAGTGGGTAGGTGCAGAACAGTGTGTATACCAAGCTACCTATTGTGCGTAATAAAGAGTGGACCTATGCATACAAAGACACATACAAGTGCATTTATTAAGCCAGGATATGTGCTTATGTGCTTACAGCTGCTGGATACATAAAGAAATTGGTAACAAAAGCAAGAGATACTTTATGGGGCTGTTATAAAAAGGAAACTGTCTTTCTTTTCCCTGGTTATATCTGTTTTTACCTTTTGAATTTTCATTAATTAAAAAATAAACTAATTAAAAAGTCAACCCAATGAGTTCTTCTAATTTTTAATCTGGTATTAACACTAATGGTGTCCTTGGGCTAATCATTTTCATGTGACTTTCTTCTGTGAAATAACTGAACCTATTCTCTGAGATTATTATGAAGAAATTAGATACTAAATGTGAAAACACATTTGAGCTTTGGGCTACAAAGACTCTGCATGAAAAAGGACATTATGGTCTTTACCATATCTGGAGATTAATCCATTTAAGGTCACTAAGATTTAAATCATTCCCATGTGACTTGAGTAACAACTCTAACCTGAGCTATTTCCTGGACTCAGATCTGGCTAAGAAGAATAGTTATTTTTAAATTCAGTTTTTTAGAATGTACTGAGATGTTAATATGTTGCAGATTCCAAATTCATTTATTCATTCAGAAAGTATTTGCATACCTGCTACATTCAGAATTCCTTATTAGCTATCTTAATTATTCTATCTTAATTCAGACCTCTTTATTACTTATCTGAACTGTTTTTTAACTGGATCTCCATTTCCAGTTTCTCCTCCCTTTCTAAACCATTTTACAAAGCAGTGTCAAAATAATCTTTATTAAAGAACAGCTCTGATCTTGTCACTCTTTGCTCAATAATTTCAGTGGCTCTCAGTTTCAGATTTGCCTTTTAGCCTGGCATTCAAGGTCTTTGCTTCCTTTCTCTCGCTACTTCTCTTAATATACTTCCCTCAGTTATCTGTGCTCTTTGCAGGCCGAAGCCCTTGCTTTCCTTACTCTATACCCTCCAGGACTTTTTTCTTGTCCTAGAACACCCTTTCTCTCCCAGTTCTGTGCCTCTTATCTGCTCAGCTAGTATATCACTTCTTTATGGCCTTTCTTCATTTTCCTCTTCCCCCAAAGGTGAAAAAAAAAATTTCCCCTTTAAAACACCCCCTGCTATATTTTATTATGCTTACATGGTACAAATAGCATTTTCTTTTTTACTTATATATACAGTGTAACTCACCAAATGAGATAATTGGTATCTAAAAATTCAGTGCAATATCATGGATGAAACAATTATATCTGCTAGCTAGTGTAAAGTCCCAGGAGTTTCACTGCTGAAATCTCTAGCTATCCCTGATATGGTGGCACCAACTAGTGGCAGTATGCCCTGACTTAAATATCATTGAGGAGATTGAGTCCTGTCTGGAACTTCCCAGATTTTGTTACTTACCTGGGTTCTGTTTTGTAGACTTGATTTGAGGATATTGGAACCCATCTCTACTTCCGTTTTTTGATGTGTTTGCTTGCCTTTTCTCCACCAGCCTCACCCGCTTTTCCAGTCTCACTTTCCCTCTCAGAACTTTAGTTTGGTTCAAGGGGCAGGGTGGAGAATGAGAGCCAATTGCCAATCTTGTTCTCTTAGTTTTCTATTATATTAGGATTTTATTCTAGATGTAGGCATAAGAGCATGAATAAGTTTAATCCATCCTTGTGTCTCACATAGGGCCATGCATGTAGCACACTAGAAATGTTTGTAGGATAATTGGAACTTGGAGGGATGTTTGGAACTATTAAATTTTTCATAAAATTGTTCCTTGGGTTGATGATAGGAGAACGTAGAAAGGAGGAAAGACTTCTACTTTCTGATCATAAGAGCCATTTTAGGCCGGGCGCAGTGGCTCACGCCTGTAATCCCAGCAGTTTGGGAGGCCAAGGTGGGTGGATCACTTGAGGTCGGGAGTTCGAGGCCAGCCTGGCCAACATGGTGAAACACCGTCTCTACTAAAAATACAAAAATTAGCCAGGCATGGTGGTGGGTGCCTGTAATCCCAGGTATTTGGGAGGCTGAGGCAGAAGAATTGCTTGAACCGGGGAGGCAGAGGCTGCAATGAGTTGAGATCATGCCACTGCACTCCAGCCTGGGCGACAGAGCAAGACTCTGTCTCAAAAATAAAAAATTTTTGAAAAGAGCCATTTTATGTGGAAGATTAGTCTCCTTGTTGCAGATTCTTTGCTGTTAGTGGTGGTAGCTATTTTACCTATTTTTCGTTACTAAAGTAAATCACACAAAAGTTTTTGTTTTCATGAAATTTTCCAGACCTTATGCACATATTCTCTCAGTTCCTGTTTCGGAAACTGCTTACCCTGGACAGACTCAATACCAGACACTACAGCAGACTCAACCCTATGCTGTCTACCCTCAGGCAACCCAAACGTATGGACTACCTCCTTTTGGTAAGGCACTGTATTGTAAACAATTTCTAAGAATGTTGATTTTATTCCGCAGAAACTTTGATCAGCCATGCATCATTCTTTACAAAGCACTTAGTTACATATGTGGTTGGGTATGCAACTTTGCAACAGTATGTTTGATGCATGTAATAAAAAAATCATAGTTTTTCAGTACTCATTTAGCTATTTTGTATGTACTAAGTCTTGACCCTGAAGCTTGGAATCTTTAAGTGTTTGGTAAATTCTTTGAGGATTTGCTATTGATTTGACTTACTTTATATACAATGTAGTATGGTACTATCATTAGGAAAGCATAATAAATATATTTCGAGGTGGCCAATTTCTTGCTAACACCAGGTAGTCTGAATATGTATCATAGTTTGCTCTGTGGGGTTTTTTTTGCCAACTTCTCCCTCTCCTTTCTCCCCTAACCCCACCCAAAACTGATCAGATATTGTTCTGCTGAACCAAAAAGTCATTTTAGAATACCGGAAATCCCCAATTTTCTTATAACCTTATGTGCCTAGGGAGTTATTTTCATTGGTTTTAGGTGTCTTGGACATGAACTATAAATTAAAATGATTTATCAGAAGTCACTTTAAGGTTCTTTGGGCACTTAATATCTGTGCTTATTTTTCTATGTGTGTAAATGCAGTGTGCTTCATTGCTCCTTCCCTGCTTTCCTGAAATGGGTGCCAGAAAATTAAAAGAATACTATATTATTTAAAAATATGTAATATGTAACAAAATTATATTTCTATAGGCTTTATTTAATCAAGCTACGAATTAGAAAAATTTTCCAGACAGATGACCACACAGATTCTGGATGTATTAATGTACCTGCATCTAGTTTCTGCATTCCTGTTTCTCCTGACCTGTTTGGCTACTCTTTTATGATATTGGCAGCTTTCTTACTTTTAGGCTTGTTAGAATTCTTTGGCTCCTGGTAACTGCTAGAAATAAGAATTGGGAATTATGTTTAATAATAGTGGGGTTGATAACTTCATATGAAATGGGAAACAAATTTTCTTGTTTCCCCATTTGTATATCCATGTTTCCATGCCTGTTAGTACCAGCCAGGGTACTCAGATCTTATATTTATGATATGATTAACCAGCCAACACTGAATGGACCTTTTGAAAGACCCCTCTGTGAATATGTTTGTGTTTATTTCTTTTTGGTTATTTAAAGCTGATTTTTCAACAGTTGACTAATAATAGGCTAGCAATTATAATTTTTAAATTACAGTTTTTTAAATCTTCTGTTTTGATTTGAATTATTATTATTAGCCCTTTACAACAGTTGATCATTCCTGCTGTTCAATATTAAATACAACTCCTATTACATCTCTGAGCATGATTTATGGAATACCTCAGATAATTCTGTGTGCATATGGATCCTAGATATAATTAATTTTTTAAATGATCACTATATTTCCCTTAAACTATTATTATTATTATTTTGAGACAGAGTCTCGCTGTGTGCACCACCAAGCCTGCCTAATTTTTGTATTTTAGTAGAGACAGGGTTTCACCATTTTGGCCAGCTGGTCTCAAACTCCTGGCCTCAAGTGATCTGCCCAGCTTGGCCTGCCAAAATGCTGGGATTACAGGCATGAGCCACCACGCCCGGCCCCGTTTGGGCAGATCTCTTGAGGCCGGGAGTTCGAGACCAGCCTAGCCAACATGGTGAAACCCTGTTTCTATTAAAAATACAAAAAAAAAATTAGCCGGGCATGGTGGTGGGCACCTGTAATCCCAGCTACTCAGGAGGCTGAGGCATGAGAATCACTCGAACCTGGGAGACAGAAGTTGCAGTGAGCCGAGATGGTGCCACTGCACTCCAGCCTGGGCGACAGAGCAAGACTGTCTCAAAAATAATAATAATAATAATAATAATAATAATACATTAAAAAAGAAAAAAATTCTGTAAAGTAAATAGATCTCTATTAAAACCTTGAAGGATACATGTTTATATTGTATGCTGGTAATATTGTTAATAATAGGCTCCTTTAATAATCTGGTTTTGTTTAATATTTGAGGGCAAGGAAGACTTGTGTTTCCCAATTTCTTCTATCAGTAATTCAGAAAGAGATAATCATTAGCTTAAATTTGACTTTAAGTAATGTATGAGACTTACTGGAGAGAGATTTTGGTTGGGGTAATGTGAATGATAGAGATGGCATATTCTCAGAATTTACCAGAGAAATTATAAGAGAGGTTTGTAAAACTTTTAAAAGTGACTGTATTTTGAAAAGATGTTTTCTTGTGTTTTATCATGTGGCTTTTTTTGGTAATGTGTTAAATTAAGTAGGAGAAAACACTTGATTTCTTTCTTTCGAAATCAAGATTTTGATACATTGTGTCATCTTAGTGCTGCCTGTTTTCAGATTAGCTAATTCGTTTTATTTCAGATGCAAATAGGGCTTCAGAAAAATTCATTATAATAATATTACCTTGTCTCTATTATTTACTATAATAAGCTGTATACTAAGAATAAGTATTTCACGCTGTATAGTATTGTCTCATGTAATCCTCAGAACAGCCCTAAGAGGTAAGCTAGCTTTATCCCTTTTTATAGGGGAGAAGCAGAGTTAAATCATGTGCCCAAAGTTCATACAATTAGTAAAAGCCTGGGATTATAATTGAACCCAGGATTGTTTCATTCTAGAAGTGCTCATAACTTTAGGTCTATATCAAAAAGATGGTCTCAGAGTTGAGTTTGAAATTAAAAAGCTTCCTCCTCTTGAAGAAAGGAGAAAAGACTAGAAGAAATCTAAGAAGGCTATATGATGAGTAATCTTTTAAAGTAAAGAAATACTGATCATATTCTTCCCAGAGCTGTATACAAATGGGGTGGGATGGCAGAAAGGGGATTAGAAGTTTAACTTCTAGGAATCTGAAGGAGTATGTGTAAGGAAAAGGGTACTTGTTTAATGTTAGTGGGAGTTATAAAATATGCCTTTAGGTGCCACTGTTCTGATTTCTTTTAAAAGAACTTTAATGTGAGTTGGAGGAGTGGGTGATATGCATTAAGAGCCTTAAGGATGTTCATTTCATTTCCCTCAGTAATTTCACTTCTGGGAATGTATCCTATGGAACTAATTAGAGATACCCACAAAAATGTGCTGACCAACATACTCATTGAAGCATTATTTATAATATGAAAAAACTGAAAACCTAAAACTTGAATATTAAGGTATGTGTTAAATTGTATATGGCTGCTGCATAGCCATTATAAATCATCTTCTTAAAAAATATTTAGGGTCTTGAGAAAACAGTGTATTATTAATTGAAAAAAGCAATATGTAATAGCAAAAACACAATGTTGTAATACCAATTTAGTATTTTTAAAAATATGTGTATAGCCAGGTGCGGTAGTGCATGCCTGTAGTTCCAGCTACTTGGGAGACTGAGGTAGGAGGATCGCTTGAGCCCAGGAGTCCTGGGCTGTAGTGCGCTATGCTGATTGGGTATCTTCACTAAGTTCAGCATCAATGTGGTGACCTCCTGGGGGTGGGGGACCGCCAGGTTGCCTAAGGAAGGGTGAACTGGCCCAGGTTAGAAACAGCAGGTTAAAACCCCATTGCTGATCAGTAGTGGGATCATGCCTGTGAATAGCCACTGCACTCCGGCGTGGACAATGTAGTGAGACCTTGCCTCTAAAAAGAAAAAAAAAATGTGCGTAAAGAATAATTGGAAGCAAAAAAAGTGGCTGTTTTTCCTACAGACGTTTTAAAAAATATATACATATACTTTGTTTATAATCAGGAAAAGTACTTACATTAAATTACTTACTATTTATAATAGCCTATCCAAATGAGCTGCTGAATCAACAAGCCAAAATATCCTTTCATGTGCTTTTTCTAGCATTGGTGTGTACTTCAGTTCCTCACCAGACTAATCTCTAAAGAGCACTATACGAGTTACTATAAATTGAACTGATGAGATTAGTTTGGATAGTGACTAATCAATAGTGAAGTACTTGTGCTGAGAAACTTGGGTAGAGTTTGTGATAAGACCCCATTCTGGGGGCATCAGGAAGGCACTCAGAGACAGACTTACTTACCCATTGTTAGCTTGACAGTTTCTCTGCAGCAGGCTCTTGATGCTTAAAAGTACTTGAGAAACTTGGTAGTTGTTGGCATAGAGCAGTGGACTGGGAGTCCTGTAATTAGGGTTTGGTTTCCTTGTTTACTATGAGCAATAGTGCTGTGGAGTCAAACCATTGGATCATGCTGCCTATTATCTGGAATTCTGGGAGGGTTGCTTTTAGAGGAAGATGATTTGCATGTCTGAAGAGCCAGGTCTACAGTGATGCTGGAGGTACTGTCTGTATTGTTTTTTATTCCTCATAAAATAATTATATATTAGACATCTACTTTATGTTTCTGGCCAAAGATATTCAAAACTAGCTAGCTATCTCCTACTTATTTTGGACATTTGTGTTCTAATTTTTGATCTTATAAGAGGGAGACTATCAAAACATTCTCAGTTGATACTATTGTTATTAATAAGGTATTATTTTCATATAGTGTAAAAATAAACATGTTTATAAATCTACCACCTTAGGGTCAAAACCTATTTGGAAAAAGAAATCACAGTGATGACAATAAATCTGAAAGTTATTGTGACATTGAAATAGCAATTTGTTTACCAAAAAGTGTGATATACAATCAGCAGGAATCATAGCACTGATACTCACATTTTACATCATAAATGTTTTAAAAATGACATTCTCAAATATTTTTATTGTTGAAAATCAGACATGGCAAGAATCTTAATTATGGCTAATCTGGACAAGACATTTAAATGATCATGAATTATGATGGGGCAAACGCTTCTAATTCATGCTAGCGATGTCAGTATTCCTCAGTCTCTTAAAATAAGTTATTTCATGTGATTAATAGATGAGAAAAGAATATTACATTTTCTTTTTATGCATTAAGAGTTTGGGGCAAAGCCAGGCACGGTGACCCATACCTATAATCCCAGCACTTTGGGAGGTCAAGGCAGGAGGATCATTTAAGGCTAGGAGTTTGAAACCAGCCTAGGCAATATGACAAAACCTTGTCTCTGCAAAAATACAAAAAGTAGCCAGGCGTAGTGTGCCTGTGGTCCCAGCTATTCGGGGGTTTGAGGCAGGAGGATCCCTTGATCCCAGGAGGTTGAGGCTGCAGTGAGCTATGATTGCACCACTGCCCTCCAGCCTGGGCAACAGAGCAAGACCTTGTCTCAAAAAAATTAAGAAGTGATTATCATATCCCACTGTTGGTCTTTTTAAGACTTTCATATTTCTCTTTACTATTCCTAAATGTACTTATCAACAAATTGGACAAATCTGAGTTGCACTGAAGTATCTCAGTGCCCTGGTGAAGCAGAGGTTCTCATTCTCAAAGTATTGTATTTTTAATTGCATATATGTGTTCATTGGCTATAAATTCAATCACTCCTAGTTTATCAGAGTAGGAGCAAATAAATGAGATGAGTTAATGTTGAGTTTGAAGTCATGGCTAACCTTAGTATTGATATCATACATGGAATGTGTTTGGTTGATGAACCTTCTTAGACCTAATTATCAGCTTCAACTACACTAACCCAGTAACCATAGCTATTCAGAACACAGTGAACAACCAGGCATTAAGATTTTTGGGGCCTGGCATGGTGGCTTGTGCCTGTAATCCCAACACTTTGGGAGGCTGAGGTGGGTGGAACTCCTGAGGTCAGGAGTTCGAGACCAGCCTGACCAACATAGTGAAACCCCATCTTTACTAAAAATACAAAATTAGCCAGGCATGGTGGTACATACCTGTAATCCCAGCTACTAGGGAGGCTGAGGCAGGAGAGTCGCTTGAACCCGGGAGGAGGAGATTGCAATGAGCTGAGATCATCGTGCCACTGCACTCTAGCCTGGGCAACAAGAGCGAAACTCCATCTCAAAAAAAAAAAAAAAAGGATTTTCTTTTTAAAAGTAGGCTTTTGTGTAGCCAAAATTATCACCAAAACCATGCACTTAAGAGTGTTTCACTCATAAAGAATATCCTTGGACTCTCATGCAGATGCAAAGCTTTGTTTATGGTTGCCTAGTTTATTGCAAATTAAAAGGCAGATACTGCTAAGGAAGTCAAGAAGTGACAGACCACAGAGGAAAAACAGTGAAATTAGAACCTAAAAATCAGAACTATAATTAAGTTATATTTAGTACTAAACAATTGTCTTTACACATCACAGTAGCCTCTGCGGTATCTCTGTAATATATGTAGCACAGCACAGTTTTTATTTTTGAAACAGTAACTGAGAAAATCTAAAGGTATGTGTGCTATTTCCTCCTTGCTCAGAAGGCAGGAAGGGATATAAATATATTTTAGAAAGATTGTTACTCAGGAGCATTATGATAAAAAGAAAATAAAAATGAACAGCTATGATGTTTGTCAGTATGAGATAGATTTATATGTTCTGACTTGGAAAGATGAATCTTAGAGGTATTATGTGGAAAAGCAAATTATGTACACTATGTATAACACAGTCCTTGGCTGGCAGTGGCTCATGCCTGTAATCCCAACACTTTAAAAAGCCAAGGTGGAGGATTGCTTGAGGCCAGGAGTTCAAGACTGGCCTGGGCGACATAGCAAGACCCCACCTCTACAAAAAATTAGTCAAGTATGGTGGCACACACCCATAGTCTCAGCTACTCCTGTAGCTGAGGCATGAGGATTATTTGAGCCTAGGTGACAGAGGAAGACCCTGTCTCTTAACAACAACAACAACAACAAAAAATCACAATCCCATTTTTGTTAAAAAGAAGATTAGTGAATACATAGAAGAAATCTGGACTGAGTGTAGTGGCTCATGCCTATAATCCCAGCACTAAAGGAGGCTGGGGCAAAAGTATCGCTTGAGGCCTGGAGTTCAAGACCAGCCTGGGCAACAAAGCAAAACCCTATCTTATTTAAAAAAAAAAAAAAGAAGAAGAAGAAATCATCTGGGTGACTCTTCTGCAAACTGTTAATAGTGGTTAAGTCTGGATGATGGGATTATATATGACTGTATTTTTTTTCTAAATTATGTATTTCTGTAATGTTTTTAATTTATAAAAATAAGCAGGTATGTCTTTCCTAATCGGAAGAAACAAAAGTAACAAAATAACCAGCTTAAGAAGGCAGAGAAGTATTTAATATATTTTAGAAAAATTTGGTCCTTGTTTAATGGGTAAGTGAATTTTAAACTTATATGGAATGTCTCCTACCTTGACAGTTTGGATAAATTATTTATCACTGTACATGAACATCAGGCACTCTTTATAACAGATACTCCAGTTGGGTGTCAATAACTCTTTTTTTCTGAATCCTGGTCAATTTCCCCCAGTCATTGAAATGAATTTATATACATATTGGGATTTGTGGCAAGCTTTTTGTTTCTTTAGCCTCATCCCCTAATTCTTTGAAAGTGTTATTTGCTTGTGATATATTACAAGTGGGAGATTCAATAATTTTCTCTTACAAGCAAATTTATTTTTGTTTTAAGATTTAGATTTTAAACCTACTGGCTGATATTTGAAAGCATAACCATGCTCCTCAGTCCCAGTGTATTGTTTGTAATTGGTCCAATTTATCTGATTCAGGTGCATTGTGGCCAGGTATGAAACCTGAAAGTGGTTTAATTCAGACTCCATCTCCAAGTCAACACAGTGTTCTTACCTGCACTACAGGGTTAACCACAAGCCAGCCAAGCCCAGCACATTATTCTTATCCCATTCAAGGTAAATAGGCATGGTTGTGTGTGTGTTTTAAAATTATTATTATTGTTTCTTGTTTTTAATCTACCTGTATCTCCAAACAAACAAATTGGATAATACAGGAGCTCTGTCTTCTAAAGTAGAAAGGGGGTGATACTTGGATTTGTGCATGCTTTTTGTGTTAGGCAAACCACAGCTTAGGAGTGTGGTTTATAAGTAGTTTAGCCTTTGAATGTGAGCTGCTTAATAGAATTGAAGCCTTCCCTTTTGCATGTTGGTGTCCAGAAAACGCCTTGATTTTGTTCTAGTCTATTTTCAGTGGCATTTTGTCCTATAAATGAGCAGAAGACTCCATGGGTTGGAATTTTGCTGACCTGTATGAATTGTCATAGCAGTATGTGAGGTGTGTGCTGCTTTTCTGCTGTGTCTTTTGTCACACTTATACCCCATTTACTACTTGATGAGAGCATTTCTCTTGCTCAAGAAGTTCATTCTTATTTCTCTTTCAGGATAAAAAGCATAGTATTAAAGCTTAAGCTCTAAACATCTTTACCTTCCAAGTTCTTCCTCTAACAGAGTTAGAATTATGACAGGACTATTAGGAAAGAAAACAAAAAACTCAAAAGGCACTATGGAGTTAATTGCCTATTCTTCCAAATCCAGGGCAGGCAATTTGTCATTGCTTCAGACTGGGACTAGTATCCTTGTACCTGGCTTCTCATCTGCCTCTTTTCTCCTGATATTTCCCAGCTTTTAAATTTTATTTCTTATAAAATAGATAGTAGAGGGATTAGTATGGGACCTCAAAAACCTATCTGAAGTACTCTTAATGTATAAACTTTGGTGATGAAAAAAAGTTTTAATATAGGTTAATTAGATTTTGATTTTCAGTTTTAACTGTTTTCAGAAATGTTTGAAAACTACTTCTCCTTGGTCTAGTGGAAACAGAACTGGTCTCTATGTTCTGAGACCTTACTCTGAGCTACCTTTACCTCCTGTTGTTTACCAAGTCTCCTCTTTTCTTCACTTGTTTCCTCTTCTTTTTTTTTTTTCTCCCCTTGTCCTCTCCCCCTTCTTTCTTTCTAAGATGGGAACAAACCAGGAGGGAGAAACTTGAAAGAATGGCTTTGCCTGTCTTCTCCACCACTCCCTTTCATTTTTATAGAGTATTTCTCTATGGTTTTTTGTTTTGTTTTGTGACAGAGTCTCACTCTGTTGCCCAGCTGGAATGCAGTGGCGCGATCATGGCTCACTGCAGCCTTCACCTTCCGGGCTAAAGTGATCCTCTCACCTCAGCCTCTCCAGTAGCTGGGACTGCAGGTGCACACCACCACACCCAGCTAATGTATTCTATATTTTTTTAGAGGTGGGATCTCACTATATTGCCCAGGCTGGTCTTGAACTCCTGGGCTCCAGCAATCCTCCCACCCCAGCTTCCCAAAGTGTTGAAATTATAGATGTGAGCCACCACACCTGGCCTAGTATTTCTCTATGTTGATAGGCCTTTTGGGTTCAACCACAGGTAAGTCTAGTTGCCAAGTCTCTTCTAAACAGGTATATCTGATAACTTACACCTAGGTTGTGAAAGAAGACCAAGGGTTCTCTTAATGCTCTACCAAAATGTAAAACCACCATTCCTCTGTAGTTATGTCTAGAATTTGAGGAATGTGATAGCTGTGCTTATTTCTCCCTTGTAAAACAAGAGGAATCACCTCTTTGGGGTCTGTTAGGACCCATTGCTTTAAGAGTCATGAGGCTGGGCGTGGTGGCTCACGCCTGTAATCCTAGCACTTTGGGAGGCCGAGGCAGGCGGATCACCTGAGGTTGGGAGTTGGAGACCAGCCTGACCAACATGGAGAAACCCCGTCTCTACTAAAAATACAAAAGTAGCCGGGTGTGGTGGCGCATGCCTGTATCCCAGCTACTCGGGAGGCCGAGGTATGAGAATCGCTTGAACCTGTGAGGCGGAGGTTGCAGTGAGCCGAGACTGTGCCATTGTACTCCAGCCTGAGCAACAAGAGTGAGACTCTGTCTCAAAAAAATAAATAGAAATTTAAAAAAATGGAAGAGTCATGAAAATATCCCTTAAACTTCACTAACCACCATTCTTATTTGTTATCTGTTAGAACATTTTTTCCTTTGGATTGGCTAACCCGGTTTCCTTCATTTTGCTATTAATGACAATTGCAGGTATTTATGAAGTGCTTACTGTGCTCTTGACATTTTTCTAAGCAGTGGATAGATGTTGCACACGTAATCCTCACAACAACCCAAACCTCATTTTAGAGAGGGAGAGCCTGAGGCACAGAAAAGCTAAGTAGCTTATCCATAGTCACAGTATTAGCAAATAATTAAGGCAGGACATTAGCTGGGCATTCTGACTCCAGAGCATGAGTACAATATTTATGCTTTTCAGTATTGAGGTCATAGTATCAATATCAACTCTCCCATAATTGAGAACCTTTGCTAACAAATATCTAAATTCACTTCTCCTCCCTTTTTGTGGTTAATCTATTGGCCCATTTTATTGTTCATTAGCACAGGGTAGAAATTAAGGCAGAAGTTAACCATTAAGTTATCAATTTTTGCCATTTATTCTGATGAAAAAATTGTTAGGAAAACAATGGGCTAAAATGAAACGTGGGTATTATTGGTATTAAATTACTTAAGTTCACCACTATCAATATTACTCTCCTCGCTCCTACTTTTCCCTTTCCTTTTAGCATGGATAGTGAATGTTAGCTATCCAGGGCTGTTTCTTTCCCCCTGCATAACTACCCAATTTTTTTAAGTGTTCAAAACACCCCAAGCATTCTGCAGTTGACAGCAGCCCATCCTCCCTGGGGGAGTTAGGGAAATTATCTCAAAAACCTAATCTGCTTCTGGCTTGATTAACTCTAAGCAGAACCTTTTCTTTAGTTTGTACTTCAGTGGTACCATAATGAGAAGAGACTGCCTTTGTTTGCTCATAAAAATGTTTTGAATGAGTAGATCTGACTTCTGTAGTATCATCCTTTTCCTAGAGTATCTTGTGACTATGTGGCCCTATCTTTGGTCATTTTCTTCAGCTGAGATGTTTTAATTGGTTAAATAATATTCAAGTGGCAAAATTAATTTCAGAAATTTCAAAATTAATTTTAATTATATATATATTTTGAGACTGAGTCTTGCTCTGTCGCCCAGGCTGGAGTGCAGTGGCATGCTCTCGGCTCACTACAACCTTTGCCTCCTGGGTTCAAGGGATTCTTGTGCCTCAGCCTCCCGTGTAGCTGGGATTAGAGGCACCCACCACCACGCCCAGCTAATTTTTGTATTTTTAGTAGAGACAGGGTTTCATCATGTTGGCCAGTCTGGTCTCGAATTCCTGACCTCAAGTGATCCACCTGCTTCGGCCTCCCAAAGTGCTGGGATTACAGGCATGAGCCACTGCGCCCAGCCTAATTCAATCTTTTAATGAGTGTCTTTGTACTCTAGTATCATTGGTAACACACAATAATCTATCTCTGACCAGGAGATTTTTAAAAAAATTTTTATTAATAGATGTTTTTGTTTGTTTGCTTGTTTGTTGTTTTTTGAGACGGAGTCTTGCTCTGTCACCCAGGCTGGAGTGCAGTGGCGTGATCTCAGCTTAATACAACCTCCACCTCCCGAGTTTAAGCGCATCTTCTGCCTCAGCCTCCTGAGTAGCTGGGATTACAGGCACATGCCACCATGCCTGACTAATTTTTGTATGTTTAGTAGAGATGGGGTTTCACCATGTTGGCCAGGCTGGTCTCAAACTCCTCACCTCAAGTGATCCGCCTGCCTCGGCTTCCCAAACTGTTGAGATGACAGGTGTGAGCCACCGCGCCTGGCCTAGACTTTATTTTTTATTAATAATTTTAGATTTACAGAAAAGTTGAGCAGACAGTACAGAGAGTTCCCATATATCCCTCCTCCTGCACAGTTTCCCATTATTAACATCTTACGTTAGTATATTACACTTGTTACAATTAGTGAACCAGTATTAGTATGTTATTATTAACTAAGTCCGTTGTTTATTCAGATTTCCTGTGTTTTTATATGATGTCCTTGTTCTGTTCCGGGATTCCATCCAGGATACCAAATTACATTTAGTTATGTCTCCTTAGGCTCTTCTAGACTTTGTAGTTTCTCAGGCTTTTCCTTGCTTTTAATGACCTTGACAGTTTTGAGGAGTACTGGTCCAGGTATATTTTAAGATGCCCCACTCTTAGAGAATTTATCTGATGTTTTTCTCATTATTACGCTGGGGTTATGGATTTTAAGGAGGAAGGTCACAAAGGCAAGGTGCCATACTATCATCATTATTTATGACTGTTGATGTTGACCTTGATTACCTAATTGAAGTAGTGTTTGTCAGTTTTCTCCATAAAGTTACTCTTTCCTCCCTTTCTGTACTGTATTCTTTAGATAGAATTCACTATGTACAGCCCACAGTTAAGGAATCATGCTGCCCCTTCTTTAGGGTAGAATATCTACATAATGTATTTGGAATTCTTCTGCCCAGATTTGTCTCTTCTCCCCAGTTTGTTGATTTATTCAGTCATTTTTTTGTGGACTCCTAGATATTTAATTTATACTTTGGGTTATAATCCAATACTACTTTATTTATTTTGTTCCAGTTTGGCCACTGGGAGCTCTTTCAGTTGGCTCCTATGCCTTTTGACATACTCCCATTTTTTTAGTTTTTGGTTTTCCCCCCCCCCCCCACCCAGCACTTTCTTACTTCCTGGCACTACAAGATGCTCCAGGCTCATCTTGTATATTACTTATTCAAGTCCTATTATCAACCATTTTTTTTAAGGAATCCTGGTTCCTTTTATTGGAAAAAATGGTATTCAAAACCAAGATTTGGGCTTCCAGCCTGGGCAACAAGGCAAAACCCCATCTCTACAAAAAATATAAAAATTAGCCAAGTGCAGTGGTGCGTGCCTGTAGTCCCAGCTACTTGGGGAGGCTGAGGTGGGAGGATCGCCTGAGCCTTAGGAGGTCGAGGCCTCAGTGAGCTGTGATCGCACCACTGAACTCCAGCCTGGGTAACAGAGTGAGACCCTGTCTCAAAAAAAAGATCTGAGCTTGAGGGGTGCTAATTGCTACTGAGGTGTCAGGTGACATTTATTTTAGGCTTTCTCAGCTGACAGAGCAAACAAATATATGTAGGTATACTAACCTATGTAAATACACATATCTATAAATATTTCTGTATGTCGTAATCTGTATCTGTGTTGAGTTAAACATGAATTCTTACTGATTTCTTGAGCTCTGATCCATTATTACATAGATCATTCTAAACCCTGTCCCTTATTGATCTGAAAATCTCCACTCCAGCAATGAGAATCTTTTAGGCCGGGCGCGGTGGCTCATACCTGTAATCCCAGCACTTTGGGAGGTGGATGCAGGCAGATCACGAGGTCAGGAGATCGAGACCATCCTGGCTAACATGGTGAAATCCTGTCTCTACTAAAAATACAAAAAATTATCTGGGTGTGGTGGTGGGTGCTTGTAGTCCCAGCTACTTGGGAGGCTGAGGCAGGAGAATGGTGTGAACCCAGGAGGCGGAGCTTGCAGTGAGTCGAGATCGCGCCACTGCACTCCAGCCTGGGCGACAGAGCGAGACTCTGTCTCAAAAAATAATAATCTTTTATTAGGAGATTTTTATTATTTTGATTTACTAAGCTCCTTGTGTGGAGCAGTGCTTGCACATAGTAGGCACTCAATAAATATTTGATAAAGGATTAAGTGAACGAATGACCCACTTAGGCAATCAGTTTTAACCAAAATATGTACAGCTTCTACTGGATCAGGAATTGTCAGTTATATTAGTCACATAATGAGAGTAAGTTTTAGGAACCCACCTGTCAGCCTTTAGCAGAAAATAATGATTTTAGGCTGGGCGCGGTGGCTCATGCCTGTAATCCCAGCACTTTGAGAGGCTGAGGTGGGCAGATCACTTGAGGTCAGGAGTTTGAGACCAGCCTGACCAACATGGTGAAACCCCGTTTCTACTAAAAATACAAAAATTAGTTGGGAGTAGTGTCAGGCACCTGTAATCCCAGCTACTCGGGGAGGCTGAGGCACGAGAATCGCCTGAACCAGGGAGGCAGAGGTTGCAGTGAGCCAAGATCATACCACTGCACTCCAGCCGGGGTGACAGAGTGAGAGTGCATCTAAAAAAAAAAAAAGAAGAATGATTTTGCCCTTCACACTTAGTGCACACAAGATAGATGTATATGAATCCCACAAATATTTATTGACCATCACCTGCTGTATGTCAGGTGCTTTGCTAGATGCTGGAGATTATAAGACAGCAGGATTCTGCCTTTTTGGAGCTTACAGACTAGTGGGGTGCGGGGGAGAAAACAAGTGAGTAAATACATAACAGATTTTGAACAGTGCTCTGAAAAAAAAATTGATCACTGTGATTAAGAAAACAGAAAAGGTCTTGGTTTTAATAGGTCAAAAAGACCCTCTTTGAGGAAGTGAGTCATGCTGAGGAGCCATCATGCTGGGAAGGCAAGGGGGTTGGAGAGAACAGTCTAGGCAGAGAGAACAATATTGCAAAAGTCCTCAAATGATAAAGAGCTTGTCCGGTTTTGAGTAACTTAAAGAAAGACAGTGTGAGCAAAGGAGGTGAAGTGACATGATCTAAAATTAGAGAGGTGGGTAAAAACTAAATCTTGCACAAACTTTTATGTGCCATTAATGCTTGAATTAAACTTTTAACTTTGTAGCACTATCACTTGGTGCAGCTGTGCCACTTACCATTCTGTAACCGTGGTCTTCTGTTCAAAGCTTTATCTGTATATTGTCTGTTTTAAGCGGACATCTAGTGGGGCCTGGTTCTCAAAAGTGGTGTCTTTCAAGTTTTTGCAGCTCCATTGTCAAAACAGGAGTGAAGGCTGTCCAAAAACAGTTGACCATGCCATTAGCATTTGGAGAGCTAGCAGCCTTTAGATACATAATAATAGGAGCCAGCACTTGAGTTTTATTTGATTCTCTAAATTTGTAGTTTTTGTTGCATAGTTCATTGTTGCTGCTTTTGTTTTTAAACCTGCAATTGAATATTATTTTTATTCACACACACACACACACACACACACACACACACACACACACACACACACGATGATCTGTATTTTTTTAAAAGTGCCTGGCTTTTTAGTCATAGCTGTATGTGGGGTAGGGCAGGCAGTGGTTGTATACATTTTTAGGCGAGTTTGCCTTGGGTTCTATGGTGGTTATAAGAGCCTAAAAAAATTACTTAATTATTGACTAACTTCCCTCACTAGAATTTAAACTCCTTGAGGGCCAGGACTTTGTCTTACTATTTTATCCTTCAGTGGCTGAAATGGTTTCTAGGCACATAGTTGACCCTGATATACTTAATGGGTTTGCTGAATGAATGAGTGGCACATGTTAGAAATAATTTGGCTTAGTTGGAGAAAAAAGTGTTATTAAGCCCTATGAACTTTCTGGGTCAGCAGACCAAGTTCCCCTATAATAAAAGCCAACTATTGCTCAGAGAAATTTGTGATTTTAATACAGTACTTGTTAAAAACTCAGAGTTATCAACTAGCTAATCAAGCCATTAAACTTTCTAGCCGGGATATAATAAGAGTTTATGGCTAGTTGTTTTTAAGGTCTACCATTTTACCTCCAGTACAATTCATTAAGTGGTTTGAAAATTGTTAGATTTGTAAAACCACCTTGTCAATCAGAGTACATTTTCCCCCATAGAGATCAGATATGACTGAGTTGTACCTCCCACCATTATTAAGTTATGGAGAAGTAGCCGGGCGTGGTGGCTCATGCCTGTAATCCCAGCACTTTGGGAGGCTGAGGTGGGTGGATCACCTGAGGTCAGGTGTTCAAGACCACCCTGACCAACATGGTGAAACCCATCTCTACTAAAAAAAATGCAGCATTAGCCGGGCTTGGTGGTGCATGTCTGTAATCTCAGCTACCTGGGAAACTGAGGCAGGAGGATTCTTGAACCCGGGAGGCGGAGGTTGCAGTGAGCCGAGACTACCATTGCACTCTAGCCTGGGCAACAAGAGTGATACTCATCTCAAAAAAAAGAAAAAAAGGATATGGAGAAGGTAGGACAGAATTAAAGATCAATAGGTGAAAAAGAGGATTGTATGCCAGGACCAGGGCCAGAAGAAAACTGAACTAAAAATGGACTTGCTGGGGAAGATAAATGATTAAATCAATTCTTTATTTTATTTCCCACCTTAAATCACCTGTGTTCAGTTTTATTGCAGGCCTGCCTAGGATAATGTACTGATAACAAAATCTGGAAACCATTCAAAATTCTTTTCCTACAAGAATGGTTAAAACCATTTACAGAGTCAGTTACCCTGTATATTGTCATGTTTTGATGCTTCCTCTTAGGAAAAAGGATGGCTTAAGCCACAGTAGGAAAGAAGGTGAATATTGGTTGAAAGAAAATACCTTCTGTAAAGCTATAAAACCTATTTCATTTAGTTGTTATGTTTAGGAAAGTAAGCCCTTAAGAGTCCTTTAGTTCCCCTGAAGCAAAACGTGCTATAGAAAATAAAGTTACTCTGGATAGTTAGGAAATTTGTTTTTGTTTTTGTTGTTTTAATTTTTTTTAATTTATTTTTTGAGACTGAGTCACTCTGTCGCCCAGGCTGGAGTGCAGTGGCGCGATCTCAGCTCACTGCAACCTCTGCCTCCCGAGTTTAAGTGATTCTCCTGCCTCAGCCTCCTGCATAGCTGGGATTACAGGTGCACACCATCACACCTGGTTAATTTTTGTATTTTTAGTGGAGATGGGGTTTCATCATGTTGGCTAGGCTGGTCTCAAACTCTTGACCTCAGGTGATCCACCCACTTCAGGCTCCCAAAGTGCTGGGGTTACAGGCGTGAGCCACCACGCACCTGGCCATAGTTAGGGAATTTGAACCCTAGCTTAGCTGCTGACCCTGAGGAAGAAGCACTGGATGAAGAATTGGGAGATCCAAGTTGTCATTTTGGTTATCTTCCATTATTTTTGCTGCTGTGGACAAGTTACTTTAATTCTTCTTTGTCCTAGGTTCTTCATCTTAAAGCTGGGGTTGCAGCAATAGCTGTAACTGAACTTACTGTCTTCTGGATTGTCTTCTAAGCCGAGTACCCTTAGGGAAAGGGATGAAAATTATCTAATTTTGACCAGAGCACTTAAGTTTCTATTGCATTTGTTCTCCTGCCCTGTTCTCAATGGAAGTTTTCTTACTAATTTTCTCTCTGGGGGACTTTGTTAATGGGGCAGGTAGTCAGTTAGTCAGGTCTACCTGATGGTGAACCCATATGGTGTGTGTACCTGCAGTAGGAACCATGTCTAAGTGTGTTTATGATAAATGAGGACAAGGAGTTTGAGAACAGTACTGATAATATCAGTTACATTGTTCACCTGAGAAAAGTCACTGGTTAGTGCTAGTCATTGAGATTTTGATTAAAACCCTAGTAGAATGAACCTATGACAGAAGAAGTATAAAACTTAACCCAAATTACTTGTCTTTATTTTTATTGTTTTATGTGAATGGAAATCAGCATTTTCTTTCTTTTTTTTCTTTTTTCTTTTCTTTTTTTTTGAGACAGAGTCTTGCTCTGTCACCCAGGCTGTAGTGCAGTCATGCGATTTTGGCTCATTGCAACCTCCACTTCCTGAGTTCAAGCGATTCTCATGTCTCAGCCTCCTGAGTAACTGGGATTACAGGCCCGTGCCCACCATACCCAGTTCATTTTTATATTTTTAGTAGAGATGGGGTTTCACCACGTTGGCAAGGCTGGTCTCAAACTCCTGGCCTCAAATGATCTGCCTGCCTCGGCCTCCGAAAGTGCTGGGATACAGGCATGAGCCACCACACCTGGCCTCAAATTACTTAAGACAGCCCAAGTATCATATAAGGTACATTTTTATCTGACCAGAGTAATATTTAATATTTTCTGAGTTTTTCCAGGCTCATTGTTAAAGTCTCTAAATGCTATGTCATTGTGTTTATTGATCCACATTAGTAATCTATTATTTGAGTAGAACTCAAGAAGCAATTCTAAATGCTTTGGAATTTGGAGGACCAGCTCTATTTCTCATGTAATTATGTTGTATTAGGAAAGGCGTAACTTGGGGCAAGTGACAGCAAACAATATCACAGTGTAAGATTTACCAGAGTTCTACTGCTTTACAGTAGGTCACATTGCAGGTGAGTCATTTTTCAGCCTCTGGAGAAGATGGGCTGGAGGAATTGGATTTAGCTGTGATTTCATTGATATTATTAGTATGAGCTGTGAATTGAATATATATCCTTTTAGGCCTTTAATAAGAAGAATTGAAGACTCAAGTTGAAACAGAAAGATGTTTCAAATGTTTTGTTTTTAACCAAGTGTAAATGTAGCTATCCCACACAAAAAAGCAAAACGAGTGTTTGTTTCCTTTGCCAATGTTGTTTATCTCCTTATAAATCTGTTCACTTAAAACACATCTATTTTCAGTTTCTTCTAACCTTTTACATAATATCTTTAATATCTTTTAACCCCATCAATCCTCTAGCTTCAAGCACAAATGCCAGCCTGATATCTACTTCTTCTACAATTGCCAATATTCCAGCAGCAGCAGTAGCCAGCATCTCAAACCAGGTATGATGCTACCTTTGTTCATCCTGTTTGATAGAGTTCATCCAGCTTGCTCTTTCTTCTTTCCATGGTCAATTTGCCTATCTAAGAAACAACCAGGAATAGTATGGGCTGTGGAGACTTTTTTCTGGATACCTTCAGAACTCGGACCCTGGATGGCATCTTAGGTTACTGTCTAGTTTTTGTTGTTCCTCTGCTGGGTCTCTCTAGAATATGGTTATGTCTGTTTCTTTACTGTATTTGTCTTCACTTCCTACTCTGCCCCTACTAGAATGTAAGCTGCATGAAGGTAGGGATTTATTTTTCTGTTTTGTTCATTTACATATTCCCAGAGTATAGAAAAATGCCTGCCACTTACATCAAAGGCACTTGATAAATATTTATGGAATGAACAACTCATTCTTTATGAATTTTTTGTGGTCTATTCTTGATCACTGTTATGTTAACTATGCTTAGGAGATCACTGGTAACACCTTCAGTGTTCTAGAGTTTTTTATTTTTGTTTTGATTTGTTTTCTCTACAGCAATTATCATCACCACTGTCTCCTTGGATCTTTTCCTGGCTACAGTTAACATTACTATTCTGGTTATTATACTGGTTTTGCTTTTTTTTTTTTTTTTTTTAAGATGGAGTCTCACTCACTCTGTCGCCCAGGCTGGAGTACAGTGGTGCGATCTTGGCTCACTGCAACCTCTGCCTCTCAGGTTCAAGTGATTATCCTGCCTCAGCCTCCTGAGTAGCTGGAACTATAGTCATGTGCCACCATGCCCAGCTAATTTTTGTGTTTTTAGTAGAGATGAGGTTTCACATGTTGGCCAGGCTGGTCTCAAACTCCTGACTTAGAGTGAACCGCACCCGCCTTGGCCTCCCAAAGTGCTGGGATTACAGGTGTGAGCCACCGCGCCCAGCCTTGTTTATTCTTTTAGTCCACAAATATTTATTGAGTTCCCACCTGTGTACCTGGTATTTTTCTAAGGACTGTCTCTTTCTCTCTCATAGCTCTTCTTTTTGACCCTGTCTTTGAACGTGGACAGTCTCTATTTGGTTTTTCCACATGTTAATTACTTCATCCACAGGGATGTTTAACCACATAATGTCCATTTACTGTCACCAAAGATTCTAATCCTCCCTCATGATAATTACAGCTTCCAACTGATTGACATTTTTTTCTTTAATGTCTTGCTGTTTCCCTAAGTTCAACATATGTAAAATCAGACTTTTATTCCAGCCCTTTTTATGTCTCTTTGTCTTCCAGAAGTAAAACCACTTTTCCCTGACTTCTTAATTCTTATTAGTGATACTACATTTTTCTTAATAAACCTAGGCCTAAAACCAGACCAGATATCTTCCATTATTTTTCTCACAACCTTACCCAATCTGGTCATTTCTCAAAATCTTTGAGAAGAATTTCTTTTGCTTTTTGCTATCGTCTCCAATGTTTTGGTATTTTCCCTTTTAATCCTGAATTACCATAGTTAATTGCTCATTTTATTTCCAGTTTTTTCCCCCTTGTGCCTGTTCATTCTCTAAAATACTATCTCATTAATTTTTTCTAAATCCCACTTTTTGTCATGTTACTGACCTGCTCAGAATATTTTCATGTTTTTTGTTTGTTTGTTTGTTTTTTGAGACAGAGTCTCGCTCTGTCACCCAGGCCAGAGTGCAGTGGCGCAATCTCTGCTCACTGCAAGCTCCGCCTCCCGGGTTCACGCCATTCTCCTTCTTTTCATGTTTTTATTCGTTGGTTTGAATTTGAGAGTCCCCATTCCCTATTCCCTAGCCCACAGGCTATATACTATTGCCTAAAGAATCCAAGTCTTATTGCTTTACCAATCATTCAGGCCTACAGAGGTCCTTTGTTTCAACCAGACTCAGCATCTGTGGTCCCTGAATAAAATCTCCTCAGAGCCTATTCATGTTCTTACTTTCTCTGCCTATTAATCTCAGAAAGCTTCTTCACCATCATACTTTACAATGATAGTTGTCTGTTCTGTATTTCAGTCATTTGACATATATTTTATTGCCATTTTGTTGTCTGTCTTCTCTCCTGCTAGATTTTTAACTCCCTTGAGTTCTGCTAGTGTGACTTATTCTTTTCTTTAATATTTCCTTCTTCTGCCCATGCACAAATACACACATACATATAATTATATTTGGTTTATGGTAGAGATACCCAATGACTAATTAGAAATAATGTATCTGATCAGTTAGCTTTTTCCTACTTGCCATCATTATCAGTGTCAATGGAATTTTTTTAGCTGCGTATTTGAACTGTCATACCTAGTTTTTTTACAGCTTTATTAGGGAGTAATTGACATACAGTAAACTACACAGATTTAAATTGTACAGTTTAGTAAGTTTTGCCATATATGTGCCTATGAAACCAAAAGTTTTATCCCAATATTTTAAGAAACCTTTTTTTTTTTTTGAGACAGAGTCTTGCTCTGTTGCCCAGTCTGGAATGCAGTGGTATGATCTCAGCTCACTGCAACCTCTGTCTCCCAGATTCAAGCGATTCTCCTGCCTCATCTTCCCTAGTAGCTGGGACTACAGGTGCATGCCACCATACCTGGCTAATTTTTGTATTTTTAGTAGGGGCTGGGTTTCGCCATGTTGGTCAGGCTGGTCTCAAACTCCTGACCTCATGTGATCTGCCTGCCTCAGCCTCCCAAAGTGCTGGAATT
The DNA here is from genome assembly GCF_000001405.40 of Homo sapiens. NCBI lineage: Eukaryota > Metazoa > Chordata > Mammalia > Primates > Hominidae > Homo > Homo sapiens. The sequence goes on along the minus strand of NC_000001.11, from coordinate 28,014,471 downwards.
ATAGGCGTGAGCTCCCGTGCCTGGCCTTTTTTTTTTTTTTTTTTTTTTTTTTTTGAGACAGTGTGTCACCTAGGCTAGAGTGCAGTGGTGCAGTCTTGGTTCATTGCAACCTTTGCCCCCTGGGCTCAAGTTATCCTCCCATCTCAGCTTCCCGAATAGCTGAGACCACAGGCGTGCATCACCATGCCTGGATTTTTGTTTGTTTGTTTGTATTTTTAGTAGAGAGAAGGTCTCACTATTTTGGCTAGGCTGGTCTCAAACTCCTGAGCTCATGCGATCCTCCCACCTCGTCCTCCCAAAGTGCTGGGATTACAGGCGTAAGCCACTGTTCCCGGCCAGGAAACTATTTTTAAAGAAAACTTGATTGTTTTAGGTAGATAATCAGGTTGTTTTTTGTTTGTTTTGTTTTGAGACAGGGTCTCGCTTTGTCACCCAGGCTGGAGTGCAGTGATGCAATCTCGGCTCACTGCAACCTCCGCTTTCCAGGTTCAAGCGATTCTTGTGCCTTAGCCTCCCAAGTAGCTGGGATTTCAGGCATGTGCCACCACGCCAGGCTAATTTTTGTATTTTTAGTAGAAACAGGGTTTCACCATGTTGGTCAGGCTGGTCTTGAACTCCTGACCTCAAGTGATCCACCCATCTTGGCCTTCCAAAGTGCTGAGATTACAGGCATGAGCCACTGCACCCAGCTGATAATCAGTTTTTAAATTAAGACATTTTAATGTAGGATATGTGCTTTTTTTGTTTGCTTAAGTTTAAGTTTTGTTTTGTTGTCCTTAGAAGTGCTATTATCTAGTGCAACAGTTTGTAAACCTCTTAGAGTAGAATCTTTCCCTCAAATTCTGTGCAGAAATTCGGTACATAAAACTGGGGGAAGAGGCTGTTAGAGTACAAAAAGGGACACCATGTGTATGTTTATGAGAGTACAGAAGACCCTTCCCTCTCAGCATTTCCTCATTCCAAGACTGCTCCTGGGACATCTCTTGACTTAGGTTTCCACAGAATGCATTTTGAAAATCATTGATTTAGATTGGAGACTTTTAGGTAGGTAAATGAGAAGTCAAATTAATGTTTTAGAAAAATAATTATGAATAAGAAAGAGGGAGAAGAAAGCCTCTTGTGTTGAGATTAATGTATGCTATAAGAGTCTTGTTTTCTTATTTCCTTTGGCCTGCAGGATTATCCCACCTATACTATTCTTGGTCAGAATCAGTACCAGGCCTGCTACCCCAGCTCCAGCTTTGGAGTCACAGGTCAGACTAACAGTGATGCAGAGAGCACCACATTAGCAGCAACCACATACCAGTCGGAGAAGCCTAGTGTCATGGCGCCTGCACCTGCAGCACAGAGACTTTCCTCTGGTAAGCACCGCAGCTCTGAAAACTTTGGCTTAAGGTCACTTCATCCAACAGTTGTTTTTAGGCAATGGTAAGGATGATTTTGTTCTGTCTTAAGTCATTGTTACCATGCTTTTGGCTTTCCCTCTGAGGTGAGGAGTATTGGAAGCAGGCTGTGAGTCATTGGTAGGCTGAATGTATACCTGATGCTGAGAACGGAACAGAAAAGTATCAAGAACTAAAAGACTCTTTCTGACTCGTACTCTACCCTCCCTGTAGCTTTAACCCACTTGCCACAGGGAGCTTCAGCATGTTATAATATTTTGTAAAAGTTGGAGGACTCCAGTTTTAGTCTTGCGCAGGTTTTGAACTGCTGCTAAGGCCTCAGAGCCATAGTTCTTTCTATGTCCAGGATCCCTTTAAGATTCTGAGGAAAGCATGGTCCTTTTCCCTCAGAGAAATATATACAATTTAACCTACAATTTCAGTATGCTCACAGCTCTGAAGTGTATCAATGAATTACAGTGTCCAACTTAAAAACCTTTGACATAAAAGATTAGACACACATTTAATAAACATATATATACACACACTTTTTATTTATATTTAATGAAAATTTGGTAGTTGGCTTTCACATCATGTGGTTCGAGGAAAGCACTGTTTATCATTGGCACTGATGCATGTTTAGAAACAGTACTATATAACAAGTGAACAGTTTTCTGTGCGGTCACCCTACCAGTCTAATAAGTGGACATACAAATGGTCGCCACTTCAAACTTACATAAATTTGAAATAATTACAAGTGTTGATTAAAAACTAAGGTTTTAAAGTCATTTTTCTAAATATCTTTGTTATAACAATTTTAACTTTTGAATATTGGAGAATTTCAAACATAGAGAAAAGTTGCAAGGCTAGTGTGATGAACACTTACATATCCATCATTCATCTTCAACAGTTATCAACTTATAGACAATTTTGTTTCAGCTATACATCATCTAGCTCCCTCCCCAGATTCCAGGCATTGTTCTCTAAAAGATAAGTATGGTACTTATTAACATAACCACAATGGCATTATCCCATCTTTAAAAGTTCAATATTAATAATGTCTTAATTTTGTATTATCAAGTACCAAAATGTATTTGTATTTCCAGCTTTCTCATAAATGTTATGAGTTTTGTTTCCCTTTTGTTTAAAGTAGGATCCAACCCATTCCACAGTGTATACATATTTCAAAACAACATAAAGCATATACAGTTTTTATCGCATTAGTAAATAGAAATAATAAATAAATAGAAAATTTGAGGAGGGAAAATTAGGATCCAAATATAAGGTCCATAAATTGTGATTGGTAATTATGGGTATTTTGTGTTTCATCTCTATTTTAACCTATAAATCCTCCCGTCTCTTTTTCTCCCCCTTGTAGTTTGTTTGTTGAAGAAACTGGAGTGTTGATCCCATACTGTTTCCCAGTCTGAATTTTGACAGTTATATCCTCATAAGGTGGTTTAACATGTCCTGCTGCCTTCTGTATTTTATAGTAAATTGGTGAATGAACAGTTGTTTTCAACTGTTGGCAATGTATGGAAACATTTTTGGTTGTTACACTAGGTGGGGCGGTGCTTCTGGCATCTAGTGGGTAGATGCTAAGGATACTGCTTAACCAAACATCCTATAATGCACAAGACATCCCCCCACAACAAATAATTATCTGATCCAAAATGTCAGTTGTGCCAGGTTGAGAAACTCTAATCTACAAGTTTGACCATGAAGATTCAGGTTCAGCTTTTTCTTGGCAAAACAACTTCATTGATATTTTCTTCTATCATGGGGTAAGCATATAAAGTCTGGTTATAACTTTTCTGATGTTAGCCAGTGCTGATGCTCAATGCCTAGATGTACACTTCATAATTGCTTACATAAGGTTTAGCTTTCCAACCTTTATCCCTGCATTATGACTCACAAGGGCAGAGAGTCCACTAACCCTCTTCCTGCCCTGATTCTTATAGCCTGTGACTCCTGACAACATATGTTTCACTTTTTCTTTCCAGGAGACCCTTCTACAAGTCCATCTTTGTCCCAGACTACACCAAGTAAAGATACTGATGATCAGTCCAGGAAAAACATGACTAGCAAGAACCGGGGCAAGAGGAAAGCTGATGCCACTTCTTCCCAAGACAGTGAATTAGAAGTATGAGAAGAAACTGATTTAGTTACCTACTTTGTTCTTTCTCACTTCTTAAGTTTATCAAACATGTTTTTGAAGCTCACAGAGATAATGTGCACTATGTTATGTGCCCTTTAATTCCTGAGCAAAATAAACTAAATTGGCCACGTTAAAAGAAAAATGTAAAAAGAACAAATTATTCTGTATATTCCAGAAGAGAACAGAAACAATTCATCATATTCAGAAAGCAGAGGGAGTTACAAGTAAAGTCATACTGTTCTCTATTTAAAATTTTAAAAGGGTCAGGTGCGGTGGCTTACATCTGTAATCCCAGCACTTTGGGAGGCTGAAGCGGGAGGATCGCTTGAGACCAGCCTAGGCAACATAGTGAGACCCCCATCTCTAAAAATATATATATACAAGAATTAGCTGCACACCTGTAGTCCCACCTACTTGGGAGGCTGAGATGGGAGGATCACTTGAGCCTGGCAGGTTGAGGCTGCAGTGAGCTATGATCGGGCCACTGCACTCCAGCCAGGGCAACAGAGTGAGACTCTGTCTCAAAAAGAAAAGAAATTTAAAAGGAAAGGACTAGAGTGCTTTTAGCCAAGTTTCTGTAAGGCGCAAACAGATCTGGTAACTTATTAATGAGACTGGTGCTGATTTATTCTGTAGTGTAAGTACTATATGAGTTTATTATGGACATACATTTGACTTCATCATTAAAGACATAAAGGTCATGCAGAGTGCTAAAATTAGTGGAGTTTTTGTATTATCTTTTTGTTTTCTGTTTTCCGTTTTTCTATAGTGCTATTATGTACTGAGGGGAAAATACATATTTAACTATGAATCCATTGATAAGTGCTCTTAAGACATAGGTGAACTGAGCCTGTATTTGAAGCCTTTTCTCTTTTTTCAGAGGTTTGGAGTGAAGAAGAAAGAAAGAAAAAGTAAATTTCTGATATATTTCTTAGGAAAAACTGATAACTCATTTTTTAATTGTCTAAAATATACATAAAATTTACCATTTTAGCCATTTTTAAGTGTACAATTTAGTGTCATTATACATTCTCAATATTGTCTAACCATCACCACTGTATATTTCTAGAACTTTTTCATGATTCCAAATGAAAACTCTGTACCCATTAAGCAGTAACTCCCCATTCTCCCCTTCTTCTAACCTCTGGTAACCTCTATTCTACTTTCTGTCTTTGACTTCTTATTCTAGATATCTCATATAAGTGGAATCACAGAAAATGTATCCTTTTGTGCCAGACTTATTTCATTTACCATAATGGTTTTTTGTTGTTGTTGTTGTTGTTGTTGTTGTTTTGAGATGGAGTCTCAGGCTGGAGTGCAGTGGCACGATCTCGGCTTACCGTGACCTCTGCCTCCCGGGTTCAAGTGATTCTCCTGCCTCAGCCTCCAGAGTAGCTGGGATTATAGGTGCACACCACCATGCCTGGCTAATTTTTGTATTTTTAGTAGAGACAGGGTTTCAACATGTTGGTCAGTCTGTTCTTAAACTCCTGACCTCGTGATCCGCCTGCCTCGGCCTCCCATAGTGCTGGGATTACAGACGTGAGCCACCATGCCCTGCCTACCATAATGTTTTTAAGGTTCATCCATGTTGTAGCACATACCAGAATTTCATTCCTTTTTATGTCTGAATATTTTATTATATGTATATACCACATTTTGTTTATCCATTCATCTGTTGATGGACACTTGGGGTTTGTCACCTTTGTGCTATTGTGAGTAATGCTGCTTTGACCATTGGTGTACAATTATCTATCTGAGTTCATCTTATCAATTCTTTTTGGTATATATGTAGGAGTGGAATTGCTGGATGCTATTGTAATTCTGTGCTCCACTTTTTGAGAAACCACCAAACTATTTTTCATTGTGGCTGCACGGTTTTATACTCTTACCAGCGATACATAAAGGTTCCAGTTTGTTCACATCCTCGCCAACACTTGTTATTTCCCATTTTTTTGATAATAGCTATTCTAATGGATGTGAAGTGGTATCTTATTGTGGCTTTGATTTGCATTTCCCTAGTGCAGTGGCACAATCTCGGCTCATTGCAACCTCTGCCTCCCAGGTTCAAGCAATTCTTGTGCCTCAGCCTCCTGAGTAGCTGGGATTACAGGCACATGCCACCACGCCTGGTTAATTTTTGTATTTTTAGTAGAGACGGGGTTTCACCATGTTGGCCAGGCTGGTCTTGAACTGCTGACCTCAGGTGATCCACCCACCTCAGCCTCCCAAAGTGCTGGGATTACAAGCATGAGAACCTTTGCCCACTTTTAAACTGGGTTGTTTGGTTTTTCATTGTTGAGTTGTAGGAGTTCTTTGTATATTCTATATTAATATTCTAGAATATTCTAGATTATTAATCCCTTATATTAATCAGATATATAATCTTCAAATATTTTCTCCCATTCTGTAGGTCGTCTTTTCACTCTCTCAATTTTTGTGCTTTGAAGCACAAAAATTTTTAATGTTTAGGAAGTCTGATTTCTATTATTGCTGTGCTTTTGGTCTAATACTTGTTGTTTCTTTTTGTTTTGTTTTGTTTTCTTGGTGTAATACTTAATACACGGTTATGAAGATTTTTATGTATTTTTTCTGAGATTTTCATCGTTTAGCTCTTAAATTTAGGCTGTTCTCCATTTTGAGTTAGTTTTGTATATGGTGTAAGATAATGGTCTAACTTTATTATTTTGCATATGGATATCCAGTTTTCCCAGCACTATTTGTTGAAAAGACGTTCCTTATTGAATGGTTTTGGCATCCTATTAAAAATTAACTTATGATGTTGGCTGTAGGTTAAATACTAAAAGAAGGTAAAAAACTAAACTAAAAAAAGAAAAAGAAAAATTGATCATATTTGTAAGGCTTTATTTTTAGACTCTCGGTTTATTTCATTCGTCTCTATGTCTATCCTTATGCTAGTACCACACTGTTTTGGTTACTGTAAGTTTTGAAATCAGGAAGTGTGAATCCTTCAACTTTGTTCTATTTCAAGACAGTTTTGGCTATTTGGGGTTCCTTGAGATTCATAAGAATTTTAGAATGCAATTTTCTATTTTTTTAAAAAACTACTATTGGATTTTGATAGGGATTGCGTTGAATTTGTAGGTTGGTTTGGGTAGTATTGTCTTCTTTACAATATTAAGTCTTCTAATCCATGAACATGGATGTCTTTCCGTTTATTTAGCTATGCCTACTTGGTTAAATTTATTCCTAAGTATTTTCTTTTTGATGCTATCACAAAAGGTTTTTAAATTTCCTTTTCAAATTATTCATTGCAAGTATATAGAAATACAGCTGATTGGCCGGGCGCAGTGGCTCAGTCTGTAATCCCAGCACTTTGGGAGGCTGAGGTGGGCAGATCACAAGGTCAGGAGTTCAAGACCGGCCTGACCAACATGGTGAAACCCCGTCTCTACTAAAAATACAAAAATTAGACGGGCATGGTGGCAGGCGCCTGTAACCCCAGCTACTCGGGAGGCTAAGGCAAGAGAACTGCTTCAACCTGGGAGGCGGAGGTTGCAGTGAGCCGAGATCGTACCACTGCACTCCAGCCTGGGTGACAGAGCAAGACTGTCTCGGAAAAAAAAAAAAAAAGAAAGAAAGAAAGAAATACAGCTGATATCTGAATTTATTTATTAGCTTTAACAATTTTCTCTGGGTTATTTAAGGTTTTCTACATATAAGATCACATCGGCCAGGGACAGTGGCTCACGCCTCTAATCCCAGCACTTTGTGGGCAGATCACCTGAGGTCAGGAATTTGAGACCAGCCTGGTCAACGTGGCAAAACCCTGTCTCTACTGAAAGTACAAAAATAAAAAAAAATTAGCCGGACCTGGTGGTGCACACCTGTAATCCCAGCTACTTGGGAGGCTGAGGCAGGAGAATCGCTTGAACCTAGGAGGTGGAGGTTGCAGTGAGCCCAGATTGCACCACTACACTTCAGCCTGGGTGACAGAGCGACACTCTTTCTCAAAAAAAAAAAAAAAAAAAAAAAAGATTATGTCATCTGCAAACAGATAATTTTGCTTCTTCCTTTCCAAATTGGATGTCTTTTTCCCCTTTCTTGCCAAATCTCTCTGGCTAGAACTTCCAGTACTATGTTGAATAGAAGTGGCAAAAACAGACATCCTTGTCTCAGGAGTAAAACTTTCAGTCTTTCACCACTAGGTGTGGTACTAGTTATGGATTTATTTTTATTTTTATTTATTTTTTATTTATTTTTTGGAGATGGAGTCATGCTCTGTCACCCAGTCTGGAGTGCAGTGGCATGATCTCAGCTCACTGCAACCTCCGCTTCCCAGGTTCAAGCGATTCTCCTGCCTCGGACTCCTGAGTAGCTGGGATTACAGGCGCGTGCCACCACACCCGGTTAATTTTTTGTGTTTTTAGTAGAGATGGGGTTTCACCATGTTAGCGAGGATGGTCTCTATCTCCTGACCTTGTGATCCACCTGCTTCAGTCTCTCAAAGTGCTGGGATTGCAGGCGTGAGCCACCGCGCCCGGCTAGTTATGGATTTTTTATATATGGCCTTTATCATATTGATAACATTCCCTTCTATCCCTCATTTATTGAAAAAATAATAAACTAGGAATAGAAAGGGTGTTGAATGTTGTCAAATGCATTTTCTGCATCAGTTGAGATTATCATGTAGCTTTTTCCCCCTCTGTTCTATTAATGTGATGCATTACTTTGCATAATTTTTTTTTCCAATAAGCCTTTTGCACTCCTAATTAATTTTTTAATGTTGAATGAACCATCCTTACATCCTTATGTTCTGAGAACTAATCTCACTTGGTTATGATGTTTAATTCTTTTTTTTTTTTTGAGACAGAACCTCTCTCTGTTGCCCACACTGGAGTGCAGTGGCACAATCTCAGCTCACTGCAACCTCTGCCTCCTGGGTTCAAGTGATTCTCCTGCCTCAGCCTCCCAAGTAGCTGGGACTACAAGTGTGCACCACCACACCCAGCTAATTTTTGTATTTTTAGTAGAGACGAGGTTTCACCAGGTTGGCCAGGCTGGTCTCGAACTCCTGACCTCAGGTGATCCTCCTGCCTTGGCCTCACAAAGTGCTGGAATTATAGGCATGAGCCACCATGCCCGGCCATGATGTTTAATTCTTTTAATATGCTGCTGAATTTGGTTTACCTCTATTTTGTTTAGTTTTATAGATGTGTGGTTTTTTGGGGGTTTTTTGTTTTTTGGGTTTTTTTTGAGACAGGTTCTCACTTCGTTGCCCAGACTGGAGTGCAGTGGTGTGGTCCCTGCACACTGCATCCTTGACTTCCCACGCCCAAGTGATCCTCCCGCCTCAGCCTCCCAAGTAGCTGGGACTACCGGCATGCACCACCGGAACTGGGTAATTTTTGTGTTTTTTTGTAGAGACGGTGTTTTGCCATGTTGTCCAGGCTGGTCTCAAACTCCTGGGCTCAAGCGATCTGCCTGCTTCAGGCTCTCACAGTGCTAGGTTTACAGGTGTGAGCCACTGTGCCTGGCCTGTTGAGTATTTTTATATTGATTTTCACAAGAGATGTTGGTCTGTAGTTTTCTTACAGTGCCTTAGTCTGACTTTGGTATCAGGATAATGCCTCATTGCATTAGTCAGGAAGTATTCCCTCCTCTTCCTTTTTTTGTAAGAGTTTAAGGAGGATTCGTGTTAATTCTGTAAATGTTTGGAAGAACTCACCATTAAAACCATCTTGTCTTGGGCTTTTCTTTGTTGGGATGTTTTTAATTATGCATTCAATCTCCTTACTCTAGTTATAGCTCTTACCGGATTTTGTATTCCTTCTTGAGACAGTTTTGGTACTTTATGCTATGTATTTCTAGGAATTTGACCATTTCACCTGGGTTATCCAATCTCTTGGTATACAACTGTGCATAGTATTCTCTTGTAATCCTTATTTCTATAAAACTGGTAGTGATGTCCCCACTTTCATTTCTGATTTTAGTCATTTGAATCTTCTTTTTTTTCCCTTAGTCAATTTAGCCAAAGGTTGTGAATTTTATAGATATTTTCAAAGAACCAACTTTTTGTTTCATTGATTTTTCTCTGTTGTTTTTGTAGTCTCTCTTCTATTTATCTCTGCTCTAGCCATTGTTATTTCCTTCCTACTGCTAGCTTTATGTTTATTTTGCTGTTTTTCTAGTTTCTTAAGATATGCAATTAGGTCATAGATTTGGGATCATTTGTCTTTTTTAATGTATGTATAAAATACATATATATATGTAAAATGTAATACATATATATAAAATAAGCTATAATTTTTCCTCTTAGCACTGCTTTCACTGTATTCCACAAATTTAATGTTTTATTTCTGTTTTCATTCAACTCAAGGTATATTCTGATTTCACTTATGATTTCTTCTTTGACGCATTGGTTGTTTAGGATTGTATTGTTTAATTCCTACATATTTATGAATTTCCCAGTTCTCTTTCTGTTATTGATTTCTGGTTTCATTCCATTGTAATTGGAAAATATACTCATTTTTTATATTTTCTTTCCTCAGCGGGTATTTCTGTGGGACTTGGATGAAACCATCATCATCTTCCACTCACTTCTTACTGGATCCTATGCCCAGAAATATGGAAAGGTAATTTGAGTCTTCTTTGTTGTAACTGTCCCTCTTCTGACTATATAGTCAGTCCCTCTTCTGACACATAACAAATTATTTCTCTGCTACCCCTGTTGGCTGGCTTTTCACTTTCCATGTAAAACTTCAACAAATGGCTTGCAAATGGCTTGTATTAGGCAGGCTACATGGTCAGGCAGAATTGATGGTAAAGTGGTAAAGTTAGAAACTACTAGAACCAATGCTGAAAGCTGAAGTTGTAGGAGAATGGCATTTTGTGAAGATTAAAGTATAGAAATGAGGCTCAAAATAGAGCAGAGTCTCAAGATTATATTAATAAATTCCAGAGGCTGATGTCTTATTCCTTAACACACTTTTAACAGCCCAAATTGAGCATTTTATTTAGCCAAATATATGCCAGATATATATAAGTAAAATATATAGATAAAATATCTTTCTAAAATAGATTAATCCCTTTTTAAACTAAATACACCAAGCAAAACTTGTTATATCTTCAGTGTACATATCAGTTTTAACAGAAGGATGGGCTGTTTTGAGACTATTAGGCTGTGTATTTCTATTCTAAATTACCTCCAAGCTCATGTTTTTCAGTTTATATGAATAAATTTTATACAAATATCTGCACCCCAGCCAGGTGCAGTGGCATGCACCTGTAGTCTCAACTACTCAGGAAGCTGAGGTGGGAAGATTGCTTGAGCCTAGGAGTTCGAATCCAGCTTGGGCAACTTAGCGAGACCCCATCTCTAAAAATAAAAATATTTGCCTCCTTTACCTGTCCTGTTACTTCCAGTTATTTCATATGGTTACTAATGTTTTTGTTAGTAGGTGTGGGTTTTTTTGTTTGTTTGTTTGTTTGTTTGTTTTTTGAGAGAGAGTCTTGCTCTTGTCACCCAGGCTGGAGTACAGTAGCATGATCTCTGCTCACTGCAACCTCTGCCTCTCGGGTTCAAATGATTCTCCTCCCTCAGCATCCCAAGTAGCTAGGATTACAGGTGCCCGTTACCATGCCTGGCTAATTTTGTTGTTGTTGTTGTTGTTGTTGTTGTTGTTGTTGTTGTTGTTGTTTGAGACGGAGTCTCGCTGTGTCACCTGGGCTGGAGTGCAATGGCGTGATCTCAGCTCACTGCAAGCTGTGCCTCCTGGGTCCACGCCATTCTCCTGCCTCAGCCTCCCCAGTAGCTAGGACTACAGGCGCCTGCCACCACGCCCAGCTAATTTTTTTTTTTTTTTTTTTTGTATTTTTAGTAGAGACAGGGTTTCACCGTGTTAGCCAGGATGGTCTTGATCTCCTGACCTCGTGATCCGCCCACCTCGGCCTCCCAAAATGCTGGGATTACAAGCGTGAGCCACTGCGCCCAGCCCTAATTTTTGTACTTTTAGTAGAGACAGGGTTTTACCATGTTGGCAAGGCTGGACTCGAACTCCAGCCTCAAGTGATCCGCCTGCCTCGGTCTTCCAAAGTGCTGGGATTACAGGTGTGAGCCACTGTGCTTGGCCAGGAGGTTTGTGTTTTTTTTTTCTCCTGAGATAATATCTCGCTCTGTCATGCAGGCTGGAGTACAGTGGCGCAAACACAGCTCACTGCAGCTTCGATCTCTTGAGCTAAAGCAATCCTCCTGCCTCAGTCCTCCAGGTATCTGGGACTACAGGCACATGCCACCATACCCGGCTAATTTTGTTTTATTTTTGTAGAGATGGGATCTCGCCATGTTGCCCAGTCTCATCTTGAAATCTGAGGCTCAAGTGATTCTCCTGCCTCAGTCTCCCAAAGTGCTGTGATTATAGGCATGAGCTTCTATACCCAGCCTCTGTTAGTATTTTCTACAGGCTTTTAGTGTCTAGTCTGGCATGCTGACATAAGCTATATAACTAAACTGATTATAAAAATATATAAAATTAAAAAAATTATATATATATTTATAAAATAAGACCAGGCGTGGTGGCTCTCATCTGTAATCCCAAAATGTGTATAAAAATTTTATATATTGGCCAGGCATGGTGGCTCACGCCTGTAATCCCAGCACTTTGGGAGGCCAAGGCGGGTGGATCACCTGAGGCCAGGAATTCGAGACCAGCCTGGCCAACAGGGTGAAACCCCATCTCTACTAAAAATACAAAAATTGCCGGGTGCGGTGGCTCACACCTGTAATCCCAGCACTTTGGGAGGCCGAGGAGGGCAGATCAGCTGAGGTCAGGAGTTCGAGACCAGCCTGACCAACATGGAGAAACCCCGTCTCTACTAAAAATACAAAATTAGCTGGGCGTGGTGGCACATGCCTATAATTCCAGCTACTAGAGAGGATGAGGCAGGAGAATCGCTTGAACCTGGGAGGCGGAGGTTGCGGTGAGCTGAGATCGCACCATTGCACTCCAGCCTGGGCAACAAGAGCGAAATTCCGTCTCAAAAAAATAAATAAAATAAAATAAAAATTCAAAAATTAGCCGGGCATGGTGGCACATGCCTGTAATCCCAGCTACTAGGGAGGCTGAGGCAGGAGGATCACTTGAACCTGGGAGGTGGAGGTTGCAGTGAGCCGAGATCGCGCCGCAGCACTCCAGCCTGGGTGACAGAGCGAGACTTTTTTTTTTTTTTTTTTGAGACAGAGTCTCGCTCTGTCACCCAGGCTGGGGTGCCATGGTGCGATCTCTGCTCACTGCAAGCTCCACCTCCCAGGTTCACGCTATTCTCCTGCCTCAGTCCCCTGAGTGGCTGGGACTACAGGTGCCCGTCACCATGCCCAGCTAATTTTTAGTAGAGATGGGGATTCACCACGTTAGCCAGGATGGTCTTGATCCCCTGACCTCATGATCCACCTGCCTTGGCCTCCCAAAGTGCTGCGATTACAGGCGTGAGCCACTGCGCCTGGCAAAAAAAAATTTTATATATTTACATATACACATAATATTATTTCATGAAAAACAGTTTTTTACATTATAAACAAACACTAAGCTTCATGGTGAAATTTTTGGCTTTGACATTTAAGTTCACCTTTGAGCTGAAGAAGATATAATGGGAAGAGCACAGGACTGGGAGTCAGAAGACCTGAACGTGAAAATACAATGTATATATCTTGTATCATATATATTATTATATAAAATATATATTAAAATAATGTAATAAGTATATTCATATAATATGTGAATATATTTACATAGTGATATAGTTTATATAAATTATATATTACTGTGTATATATAATGTATATATCTTATATAAATATATACAGTGATATAGATATGTGTATAAATACACAAACACACGTACACACTTTGAGACAGAGTCTCACTCTGTCACGCAGGCTGGAGTGCAGTGGTGCAGTCTCAGCTTACTGCAACCTCTGTTTCCTGGGTTCAAGTGATTCTCCCACCTCAGCCTTCCAAGTACCTGGGACTGCAGGTGTGCACCACCATGCCCAGCTATTTCTGTGTTTACTTTTGTAGAGACATGGTTTCACCATGTTGCCCAGGCTAGTCTCAAACTCCTGGGCTCGAGCAGTCCACCTGCCTTGGACTCCCAAAGTGCTAGGATTACAGGCGTGAGCCACTGTACCCGGCCAAATTTTATTTTTTGTGGAGACGGGGGTCTTGCTTTGTTGCCCCAGCTAGTCTAGAATTCCTAGCCTTAAGCAATCTTCCCGCCTCAGCCTCCCAAAGTGCTGAGATGACAGGTGTGAGCTAGCTACCTTGCCTGGTCAGCATTGTATCTTTTTAAAAACATATTTTCTGGCCAGGTGCGGTGGCTCACACCTGTAATCCCAGCACTTTGGGAGGCCGACGGGGGTGGATCACAAGGTTAGGAGATCAAGACCATCCTGGCTAACATAGTGAAACCCTGTCTCTACTAAAAATACAAAAAATTAGCCAGGCGTGGTGGCGGATGCCTGTAGTCCCAGCTACTCGGGAGGCTGAGGCAGGAGAATGGCATGAACCTGGGAGGCAGAACTTGCAGTGAGCCAAGATTGCACCACTGCACTCCAGCCTGGGCGACAGAGTGAGACTCCGTCTCAAAAAAAAAGAAAAAAAAAATCATATTTTCTGTCCTCATTTATCTTTATGAAACTACTAATTTCTAGAAACTAAAGTCCTGAAATTTTTAACTGTCCATATCTTCTCTATTTTACAATCCTGGATTCTCATAACTGTGAATGAAATTGCATCAATGATAGTTTGAAGCACAGTTGGGAGCTCGTGTGTTTTGGCCTTGACCTAAAATAATTTTGAAATTTGAAGATTAGAACCAGGACTGTGACTACCAAGTCAAGCTGATTTTTTCTTATTGTCTTCTAGGACCCAACAGTAGTGATTGGCTCAGGTTTAACAATGGAAGAAATGATTTTTGAAGTGGCTGATACTCATCTATTTTTCAATGACTTAGAGGTAAGCATTTTAAATTGTTTCTGTGCTTCACTGAGACACTTCATTCAATAACTATTTAGAGCTTTTGCTTATTATATTAGAAGATATGTGTTTAGATAGGGTGGATATGGAGAGGCCAGCTGGCCACTAAGGCATACATACATAGTCTTAGAGAAATAGTACTTGTGGTTGGGTCACCACAGTTTTGGTTCTGACATTCAATTTTATTGGCTCAAAAATTTGATTTTTGTTAGTTTATTTGGAGGTGATCTAGCACTAGGGGAAAGGCCAACCCATCAGGCAAAACACTGACATATAAACCAATATTCTAACTTAATAATCTATATTAAATAATATATATAAAGTGAGTTTGATTATTTGTACTCTCAATTATGTTTTGACTTTTCTTCCATTTTACATTCTTAAAGGATAGTCTCCTGATTTGTCGAATCTATAAATGGTTACTCTAACCCATCATATTTTATACATATTTGTTGTTCATATGTAGGTTAACCTTGATATTCAGAATAATTTTATAGTTAGGTGCCAGAAAAACCAGGAAACACTAAGAGCTTCATGGTGAAATTTTTTGGCTTTGACATTTGAGTTCACCTTTAAGGTGAACATGGTGTAGCAGAAGGAGCACAGGACAGGGAGTCAGAAGACCAGAATGTGAATCTCACATAGGGAAAGTTATGTTCCCATTCTGGGCCTCAGTTATGCAGTCATCCTACACAGGAAACTACCAACACTGATTACCATCTATGGAGAGGGATGAGTTGCCAGGACACAAAGGTGGGAGGGAGCACACTTTTCACTTCATGTCCTTTGAATTTTGAGCTGTGTAGTACATGTTTTACCTAGTTTTAAAAATAGTGAAAATTTTAAAGTAAAGTAATATAGGATTTTATAGGCTGGGCGTGGTGGCTCATGCCTGTAATCCCAAAACTTTGGGAGGCCGAGGCGGGCAGATCACTTGAGGTCAGGAGTTCGAGACCAGCCTGAGCACCATGGTGAAACCCCGTCTCTACCAAAAATACAAAAATTAGCCGGGCATGGTGGCGCACACCTGTAATCCCAGCTACTCAGGAGGCTGAGGCAGGAGAATTGCTTGAACCCAGAAGGGGAAGGTTGCAGTGAGCAAAGATTGCACTACTGCACTCCAGCCTGGGCAGCAGAGAGAGACTCTGTCTTTAAAATAAAAAATAAAAAGATAGTATTTTATAAACACAAAGTAATCATTTTTTTAATCTTTTTTTTTTTTTTAGTAATAGAGATGGGGTTTCACTGTATTGCCCAGGCTGGTCTCAAACTCCTGAGCTCAAGTGATCCTCCCACCTTGGCCTCCCAAAGTACTGGGATTACCGGCGTGAGCACTGCACCCAGCCAACACAAAGTAATCCCATCTCTTTTAAAATAAACGTCTGTTCTACTCAACAGACAATTCTTCAATAAATTAATAGTGCCCCGAGCTCCAGTACTTTTGTCTAAACTCCATAATGCTTTAATCTTCCCTCAACTTCATATGTTGATAAATTAGGACATCATAGTTTTTATTCAGCAAACATTTATTGAAAACCTACTACATGCCAATAATTATTGCCAATTGTATTTGTAATGATTTTCTAGACATAGTCCTCACTCAGGAACTGAAAGTTCTGTGAAGAATTTGACCTGAATGTGTTCCTGCCCCCCAGGTCAGTGCTTCTCAACTTTAGGGGGCATAAGAATCACCTGGGGAGCTTCTTAAAAGTGGAGATTCTAGGACTTCACTCTCAGAAATTCTGATTCAAGTAGGTCTGGGATGGACCCAAGAATATGCATTTTTAAAAAACTTCCCCAGAGGATTCTGATGCAGGTACCCTAAGTGGTATCAGAGGAGTACATCCATCAGTTAGGTAGTGGGCGGCATTTTATGTCAGTAGTAGCATGGGCTTGGTGGAAAGAACCTTGGATTAGAAGCGGGGGAAAAAAAGAAGCAGAAAACCTGGGTTATTTCTAGTCTCTTTCTGCCACTCACTAATTGTATGACTTTGAGAAAATCATTTCACCTCACTTTTAAAACATGAGGAGATTGATTTAGATGACCTCTTCTAACTCCTGACTTTGAAGTTAGAAATTTCAGTCATTCTCGGTTTTGATACCACACTACCAGCGTCTGTTTTGTCTATAAAAATTTATTGGGCACAACCTACGTAAGGATACTGGACTAGATCAGAGAGATGCAAAGGAGATGTGAGATGTGGCTCCTGCCCCAAGAGACCTGCATTGTAATAGGACTTACAGTCTGGTGTAGGACATAAGAACATTTGAAGTGTAAGGGAGCTTGTGCTTATTCCCATGAGCTGTTGGAGAAATGAAATATTGAGATAGGAGTAGAAACAAGGGATGGGATAGTTACAGAACTCATGAAGACTGGGATGTGAATCAGGTCTTAAGAGGAATTGGACAGCAAGGGGTGTGAGAGTGATCACCCACACATAAGAGATTCCATAAGGCATTTCATTATCCTGCCACTGTATATGGTCTTTTTATAGTATGTCATGATGGTAATATCACTTCTACTCCCTGGACTGAAGTAATATGTTTTGTCTTTTAACAGGAGTGTGACCAGGTACATGTGGAAGATGTGGCTTCTGATGACAATGGCCAAGACTTGAGGTGATAAACATAATGATTCTTGAACACCAGTACACCTGTTATGTGCAAGATCTGTCTGTCTAGGTTTGGAGGAAAACAAAGATAAATAGAATATATCTCTGAAAGAGCTCACAACCTGTTAGAGGACATAGAAACAAACATAGTTAACCGTGATGTATAGTGTGAGAAGGTGACAATAGAAAATGCCGTGGAGCACGAGAAGAAAGAATTCTGTTGGGATAGGGAGTGGGTAGTGCCAACACTGGAGAGGTTTCTCAGTGGAGTAGCATTAAAGCAGAACATTAAAGAATGGGTAGCAAGCCAGGCACAGTGGCTCACACCTGTAATTGCAGCATCTTAGAAGCGCGAGGCAGGAGGATCACTTGAGTCTTGGAGTTCAAGACCAGCCTGGACAACACAGGGAGATCCCATCTCTGTAAGGTAGTCTTCCACATTTTATTATAGTGAAAGTTAAACCAAGGAGATCTCAGTGGCAAAATGCTTGCTCAGGCTCCTCATTCCTCTTTGTTCTGGCCCACTAGCCTTAGCTAAGAAAGATCCAAAAATTTATCTAGCTTAAAGACTTATAAGAAAAAAACCTGTCACATCTTTTCATATTAGTTTGTTTGAATGTTTATCCCTTTTTATAAGTAAAATGTTCTTCCCAGTAACTACCCCAAAATTCAGTGTTCTATCCACCAGTTCTCAAATACGGAGTAGAACTGGACATACCACCTTAATAAGGACCTAGTCAGGTAGAGCTGAGAATATTGGAAGGTTTCACTTTCAGGTACAGCATCCAGTTGTACATGTTGTGGTGTCACATGGTCATGGAGGGCACAATTCTTATGACACTTTACTGTTCTTTTCAGGGAAAAGTCTGGTCTGAAGAGTTTATATTCTGCTCTGAACCCCAGTTGTTTTTTTTCCTCTTATACGTGTGGCTAACCAGTAATTACTTATCATGTCTTAGCAGCTATATTTTCTTAAGCACAGAATCTCACTCTTAGCATATTGGGATCTATTTTAACTTTTGATTGAACCAAGTTGTTCAGTCATTTTTAGATCTTTACTTATGAAATATTAATCCTTCCTAGTTTGTATAATTGTATTATCTGTTGCTATGCAACAAATTACTCCAGAGTTTAGTACCTTAAAACAGTTAAATGGCCAGATGCAGTGGCTTACGCCTGTAATCCCAGCACTTCAGGAGGCCAGTGCGGGCCAATCACTTGAGGTCAGGAGTTCGAGACTAGCCTGGCTAACATGGCGAAACCCCGTCTCTACTAAAAATACAAAAATTAGCCAGGCGTGGTGGCATGCGCCTGTAGTCCCAGCTACTTGGGAGGCTGAGGCAGGAGAATTGCTTGAAACCGGGAGGCAGAAGTTGTAGTGAGCCGAGATCACGCCCCTGCACTCCAACCTGGGTGACAGAGTGAGACTCCGTCTTAAAAAACAAACAAATAATGAAACATTTATCCTCTCACAGCTTCTGTAGGTGAGGAACTTAAAAGTGACCTAGCTAGTTTTTCTTTTTAAGAAATACTTAATATTTTTTATTTTATTTTAATTTATTCATTTTATTAATATTTACTCAATTTCTTTGTTCATTTTTATTTTTTATTTTTGGCTGGAGTGCAATGGCACCATCTCGGCTCATTGTAACCCCTGTCCCTGGCCTCCCTCAAGCAATCCTCCCACCCCAGCCCCCAAAATAGCTAGGACCATAGGCGCATGCCACCACTCCTGGCTAATTTTTTGTATTTTTAGTAGAGGCAAGAGTGCCATGTTGCCCACACTTGTCTCGAACTCCTGAGCTTAAGCAATCTACCCACCTCAGCCCCTCAAAGTGCTGGGATTACAGGTGTGAGCAACTACACCCAGCTTGTACTCATTGTCTTTTTTTTTTTTTTTTTTTTCCTTTTAAGATAGGGTCTCGCTCTGGCACCCAGGCTGGAGTGCAGTGTTGTGATCATATATGGCTTGCTGTAGCTTCACCCTCCCAGGCTTAAATGATCCTCCCACCCCAGCCTTCTGAGTAGCTGGGCCCACAGGCGCATGCCACCATACCCAGCTAATATTTCCATTTTTTTTTTTTTTAGAGATGGGGGTCTCCCTGTGTTGCCCAGGCTGGTCTCGAACTCCTGGACCCAAGTGATCCCCCCTCATTGGCCTCCCAAAGTGCTGGGATTATAGACATGAGCCACCACACCCAGCCTACTTAAAGGATTTTAAATCTAGAAAATCTATTGTTAATTTATTTTTTCACTGTTACAAATTTTATTTTGTCAAGGTAAAATATACATATACATATAGAATTTACCATCTTTATCATTTTTTAAGTGTACAGAAGTGGTTCCTTTTTTTTTTTTTTCCAAAGAGACGGGGCCTGCTCTGTTGCCCAGGCTAAGGTGCAATGGTGCAATCATAGTTCCCAATAGCCTCCTGGGCTCAAGTGGTCCTCTCACTTCAGCCTCGTAAGTAGCTAGGATAACAGGTACACACCACCATACCTGACTAATTAAAAAATTTTTTTCTTAGAGATGGGATCTTGCTATGTTGCCCAGGCTGGTCTCAAACTCCTGGCCTCAAGCAATCCTCCCATTTCAGCCTCCCAAATAGTTGGAATTACAGGCACCAGCCACTGCACCTGGCCAGGGGTAGTTCTTTTCCCCCCGCAAGCTGAAGTGCAGTGGCGTGATCTTGGCTCATTGCAACCTCTGCCTTCCAATCTCAAGCGATTCTCCTTCCTCAGTCTCCCGAGTAGCTGGGACTACAGGCATGCGCCACCACACCCAGCTAATTTTTGTATTTTTTGTAAAGACAGGGTTTCACCATGTTGGCCGAGGCGGGACCTCAGGAGATCCACCCGCCTCGGCCTCCCAAAGTGCTGGGATTATAGGCATGAGCCACTGCATTCAGCCCCAGAGGTAGTTCTCAATTAGAGTTTCTGGGGTTGAAATCAAGATGTTGGCTAGAGCTCTAATCATCTGAAAGCTTAACTGGAGCTGGAGAATGTGCTTCCAATCTCTGACATGTGGCTGATGACAGAAGGCTTTAGTTCCTCATTACACATACCTCTCCATGGGGCTGCTTGAATGTTCTCACGTGACAGCTGGCTTCTTCCAGAGCAAGTGCTCCAAGAGAGAGCAGAAGAAGCCTAGTCTCTGAAGCCTAACACTATCAGTTTTATCACTTTCTATTTATATTTTAAGTATAGTCCATACCCAAGGGGAGCAGAATTAGAAGAGAGGAATATCAAAGAATTTGTAGATATATTTTGAAGCTACCACAGTGACCTATGAACATAAACCAGCCAGCAGATCACTTAAGGAAATATCTGCCATTATCTTACCATTGTTAGCATTTTAGCCTATTTCCTTTCATTATTTTTTCATGTTTCTCCTTTTTACATAGTTGCAATCACTGTGTGTGTAAGTGTACTCACAAAATTTTATATTCTGCTTTTTTCACTGTGTGGTTATTTTCTGTCATTAGTGAAAAAGATGCCTTATCCCAAGTCAACCTCTAAGGAATGCTGGTGCTTGAATTGTTTCTACCTTTCATTCCCTCTCTCATTTCAGTCCTTTCTTTGATAGAAGTAATAAGTGTGAGATAGAGAACTAATGAAAGATAGACTCTGACATACAGAGATTAAGGAAGAAGATCCTTAAAGCCATTGGCCTTATTTATCAGATACCAAGAACCCAACCAAATAGCACTCAAACAAAAACTTTATGCTGTATAAATTTTAATTTTTATTATCTTCTCTCCTTGCAGCAACTACAGTTTCTCAACAGATGGTTTCAGTGGCTCAGGAGGTAGTGGCAGCCATGGTTCATCTGTGGGTGTTCAGGGAGGTGTGGACTGGATGAGGAAACTAGCTTTCCGCTACCGGAAAGTGAGAGAAATCTATGATAAGCATAAAAGCAACGTGGGTGGTAAGTGTGGCATATAACCAGTCTGATTCTCTGTTTCTTCCTGGTTTCCTCCTTTTCTTTCCAGGGATTCCTTAGATTCCCCATGACAACTGCTTATAAATTATGCCACAGTTATATGTTAAACTCTGTATTTAAAAAAATAGAGGTTTGGTTGAAACCTTTTGGGAGGAAGCTCTATATTTCTAACGGGCTTCTCTAAGCATAATTTTGGAAAGTTCTCTTGTTGTCTTTGGACAAATGCCTTTTTAAAGGAAACATGTTCTGTAGATTATGTTTGATGACATGTATCACAACTGCTGTCAACGCTAGTTAATAGGGTGCCACATTTTTTTTTTTGGCTGGTTTATATAACTATCAGGACAAGTTAAGTAGAACTAGCTAGTAACTTTTCGTGGACAGAAATCTAGGTCCAGGATTGTAGGTTGGTAGTATCAATGTGTTGTGATTTAAAGAATCTTGGAAATTCTTTCTGACCAGAAATATTTCAAATGCCAGATGCCACTAAGCCTAAAATTCTATTATTTAGAATTAATTAATCATAGATTGTTTGAATTAAAAGAGACAGAAGTCTAATCTGAATTCCTCATTTTACAGTTGAGAAAAGTGATGTCCATCATAGGGGTAGTGGGGGCAGCTTATTCATGGTCACATTGCAAATTTGTAACCATACCATGTTTGAAATTCACATTCCCTAACTTTTTGGTCCAGTGCACTTTCATGCAGCTCCTTTTATAGTGAGGTACTCTTTTGAGAAAATATTTAAAACTGTAAACCATCACCATCAAAGATACAAATACATACAAAATGTTGCTCAAAGATTCAGGGATTACATAGCCTGCCTAGAGCAGGGGTCCCCAATTCCCGGGCCTCAGACTGATACCAGTCAGCGGCCTGTTAGCAACCAGGCAGCACAGCCACATAGCAGGAAGTGAGCAGGCCGGCAAGTGAGTATTACTGCCTGAGCTCCACTTCCTGTCAGATCAGTGGCGGCATTAGATTCTCATAGGAGTACAAACCCTATTGTGAACTGCACATGCAAGGGATCTAGTTGCATGTTCCTTATGAAAATCTAACTAATGCCTGATGATCTGAGGTGGAACAATTTCATCTCGAAACCTCTCGCCCCCCACCCAGGTCCATGGAAAAATTGTCCTCTACGAAACTGGTCCCTGGTGCTGAAAAGGTTGAGGACTGCTGGCCTAGAGGTATTTTACTCAAGGTCAAGAGCCCTTGTACTATACTATGCTGCCTTACAATATGGCGCAGAAAGTAGGAACAAGACTTTACAGATCAATTTGGTTCATTTCAGTTACAGCTCTCTAATACCAGATAAAAATCATGGGCTTCCAGACTTCAGGAATCTAATTTACTTTTTTCAGATTCCCCTTTTTGTTGCTTATTTCTTCTCATGATTCAAAGCCAGTATTTTTTATTTTGGTAACTCCACATCTTTTTGCATTTTCTTTCTCACAAACATTAGCCTTTCTTTTGTTAGTTTTCATATACAGCCTGAGTCTCTTTATCTTTTCCCTGCCCAATGCCTGGACCTGGTTTCCTGAACAAAGCGATGTAACCCTGTGTGAGAATCCTCTGAGCCTACTTTGGAGAATAGATTAAAATTAATGGCCAGCTGTATGTTTTGTACAATATGAATTGATGAAAGCGCCACATCATGTATTAGTTGAGTATATCATATATAGGTACTGGTTTTGTTGTCGTTTTGTTTTATCCAAAATGTTAAGAGTCATCTAATTCTAGGCTTACATTGTGGAACCATCAATCTGAAAACAAATTATACTCCAGTTCTCCTCCTCACAAAAATGCCATCTGCTTTTATGGAGTATTACTAATAGAATACAGGATTTTTTTTTAACCTTCACTGTAGAAAATTCAGATCCAGATTTACTGCTTGAATATTTTAACTGAAGTGTCTGAGAGCAGGCTCCCATCATATGAGCTCTCTTTTGTGCTTAGATATCTAGTCTTGGGTAGTGTTTTAGTGTCTTATCAGTTGGAGTTGTTTCAGAAGTACAGTATGGAGAATTAGTCATTCAACCTGGAATTTCATGTCAACATGTTCTGAAGCAAGTGGACAAGTAGTCACCATGGAAGTTCTGTGGAGTAGTGGAAAGACTTCTTAAGACCAAAAGCTGCAAACTTACTGTGTAATCTTAGGGCCCTTTTTTTCATTGGGTTTCGTTTCTTTACAGAGAGATTAGAAATGCTAAGGACTCTTCTAGCTGTAACACTAATTTTTCGCACTTTGGTTCTTGATGTCATGTTCTAAGCAGTGCAATTCAAAGTGTGGTCAACCAGTCTGCAAAAGATATGCTATTGGTTGGTGATGAAAGAAGGAGCTTGCACCAGAATCTAAATTATTTCTGTCAGCTGATTTTATTGTTGTTATTGTGTCCCCGTAACAAGATTTTTCTAAAAATTTATCTTTGCCTGAACATCCCCAAAACACTGTGATAAAGAAAGTAAAAATGGCATTCTGGGTAGCACTACTCTAAGGTTTCTCCAAGAAGAGAAATTAAAAAAAAAAAAAATGCCAGGCACGGTGGCTCACACCTGTAATCCCAGCAGTTTGGGAGGCCAAGGTGGGTGGATCATGAGATCAGGAGTTCAAGACCAGCCTGGCCAATATGATGAAACCCCATCTCTACTAAAAATACAAAAATTAGCTGGGTGTGGTGGCAGCTGCCTATAATCCCAGCTACTCAGGAGGCTGAAGCAGAGAATTGCTTGAACCTGGGAGGCGGAGGTTGCAGTAAGCTGAGATTGCACCACTACACTACAGCCTGGGCGACAGAGCAAGACTCCATCTCAGAAAAAAAAAAAAAAAAAGGACAACTGGTCTTATCTTGACACCAAGAACCACACTTCCAAATCCTTGTTCACTCACGCCAACACTGGCCTCCCGACAAATTAGGAGATGTTCAAGGAGAAACACGAGGTTGCCATGCTAGGGGCACCCCATAGCTCTGCTCCCTTGATGTCCTCTGTGATCCACATCTGCAGTGAGACCTCCATGCCCAAACCCTGTTCAAAATGCTCTTCATAAACTAGTGCTTCCTGGGCTTCATAGCATTAGTGTACTGCATGAAGTCTAGGGACAGGAAGATGGTGGGTGATGTGACCGGGGCGCAGGCCTGTGCCTCCACCACCAAGTGCTTGAACATCTGTACCCTGTTCCTCGACATCCCTGTGGTCATTGCACTCATCATGCTTTTCACCACTAGCTCAGTGATAATCTTCCAAGCAATTTCTCAGAAGATAAAGGATCTCCAAGGCCAGTAGTAGAGCCCATGTACTCCACTGCTGACCCTGCACCCTGGGGCTGTTGGTCCTGCCCTTTTGACCCCACCCCTATATACAGCAGTTTATATTCACCTGTCTACAATGGAATTCAATAAAGCACATGTGTTCATGGGAAAAAAATACGTATATGTATATATATATATATAAACATACTCAGTAGAATATTTCAGTGACTCACACTTTTTAAATTGAATTTAGAAGTTGCTTTCTCACTGTCAGCAAATATATGTTGTCAAATGATAAATGTGTCTGCTTTTATTCCTAAAGGTCTCCTCAGTCCCCAGAGGAAGGAAGCACTGCAGAGATTAAGAGCAGAAATTGAAGTTTTAACAGATTCCTGGTTAGGAACTGCATTAAAGTCCTTACTTCTCATCCAGTCCAGGTATGGAAATGGTTCTTTTAGGTCTCATCCTCTCAGCGACATATTCTTCTACTCCAGTTCAGGATAAGCCATTCTCTAAAATAGGGTTTGGGATAGGGGTAGAGAGGAGTTTAAATGATGTAGGGAAGTATTTGTGTTAGGTGAGAAGCAAGGTCATTTTATGTTAACAGCACAACTTCTAGTTTTAAGAGAATATTTATATATGAAATCCTTTTTCTTTCTCCTTACTTTTTGCTCACGAAATTAAAACTCAGTAACCCATAATCTCTTGTCCATAAGTTGGACCTGGTGACGTCAAAGAATACATGGAGGAGATGTTATTACAATGTCCTAGGTACAGGAAGCTCCAAGAAATGTATCCAAACCCACTAAAGAAGGCAAGATTCAAAAGAAAAAGGGTACATTAAGCAGATTAAGGAGATTTCAACGTGAAGCTTAGACTGGGAAATAAATGCACCAGTCTGTGTCTGCACCAATACCCTATTACTCCCTCCCGCAAAGCAGTAATTCCAGATCCACAACGTAGTAAACAGTAAAGCTGACACCAAGGAGTGGATATCTGGTGAAGGTAAAGGACATATAAAATTAATGTGTATTCTAGAATCTATGTTGCTATTGTGTGAAGAGCAAAGCGAACACAAATCATATCTCATTTATGGACTGACTTGCATTCAGATGAAAGAGTACAGCTCAGAGCTTTTTGTTGTTTGTTTTCTAAAATATGCTATCAGTGACATGGGTTGGTGGTATTTATCAAGTACTTGTGACTAGAATGGTCAGAGGGGAAAGAAGGCAAGAACTAAGTTGTTGCTGTGTGTCCACTAAGATAACAAAAATGAGTAGAATCTCTGCCCTTTAATATAGAAAGTAAATGAACATGAAATAATGAGTAGTAGCTGAACATTGGCTCTGAACAGTATAATACCAGGTCCTTTAAAGTTAATTTTTAATAATTAAATTCTAAAGAGTTGGCACATACGAATTCTTGCTCCCAGGTTGGTTTAGTTTCACCTTTTCTTTTCCCTTTTACTCCCTTATAGAAAGAATTGTGTGAATGTTCTGATCACTACCACCCAGCTGGTTCCAGCCCTGGCCAAGGTTCTCCTATATGGACTAGGAGAAATATTTCCTATTGAGAACATCTATAGTGCTACCAAAATTGGTATGGTTTCTATGCTGTTTCTTGTCACTGGCCTTGCAATAAAACTTTCTACTCATGATGCACCTATTATTTTCTAGCCCCTCTTGTTAGACACTTTATTTGTAATACCTACAGTCCTCACAACAGTCTTCTAATATTTTCAGTAATGCAATTGAGGCTTAGTAGTTATATAGCTTGCTCAGGTTCTCACAGCTAGTAAGTTACATAAGCATGCTCTTTGATAATATTTGAAAGAACATAATATCTAGCTTAGAAATCTAGTTTTGCCTCATTTCAAGTTTCTCTTTTTCACAGAGAGTATGTAGTATAATAGAAAAAGCACTAGGTTAAAAATCAAGCTTCTAAACTATATACCTAAAAATGGTGGCCAGACAAGATGAATCATACCTGTATTACCACCACTTTGGGAGGCTGAGACGGGAGGATCACTTGAGGCCAGGAGTTCAACACCAGCCTGAGCCACATGGCAGACCTCCGTCTCTACAAAAAAGTTTTTTTAATTAGCTGGGTGTGGTGGCACGCAGCTGTAGTCCTAACTACTTGGAAGGTTAAGGTGGGAGGGTCACTTGAGCCAGAAGTTCAATGCTGCAGTGAGCTATGTGATCTTGCCACTGTGCTATAATCTAGGTGACAGAATGAGACCCTATGTCTTAAATAAAATAACAGGTATTGACCAAAAAATTAGCTGGGTATGATGGCAGGCGCCTGTAGTCCCAGCTACTTGGGAGGCTGAGGCAGGAGAATGGCATGAACCTGGGAGGCGGAGCTTGCAGTAAGCTGAGATCGCGCCACTGCACTCCAGCCTGGGTGACAGAGCGAGACTCCGTCTCTAAATAAATAAATAAAAGGTATTGACAAGGATGTGGAGAAATTGGAACCTTTGTGCACTGTTGGTAAGATTATAAAATGATGCAACTGTTGATAGACACGGTGGTGCATACCTGTAGTCCCAGGTATTTGGGAGGCTGAGTCAGGAGGATCACTTGAGCCCAGGAGTTTGAGTTCAGCCTGGGTAATCTTCTGCGTAAATATCTGAGAGAATTGGGTCTCAGGTTCTTGAAATATATCCAAATATCCAAAAGCAGGGTCTCAAAGAGATACCTGCACACTCATGTTTATAGCAGCATTATTGACAATAGTTCAGAGCTTAGAAGCAGCTCAAATGTCAAATGTGGATGAATGGATAAACAAAATGTGGTATACACGTACAGTGAAATATTATTTGGCCTTAAAAAGGAAGGAAATTCTGTCACAGGCTACATCATGGCTGAACCTTGAAGACATGCTAAATGAAAGTGAAAATAAGACAATCACAAAAAGACAAATACTTTATGATTCCATTTATATGAGGCTTCTAAAGTAATCACATGCATAGAACTGAAAGTAGAATGATAATTGCCAGAGGCTGGAGGGGAAGGGAAATGGGAATTGTTCAACGGGTATAGAGTTGCGGTCATGCAAAATGAAAAGGTTCCAGACATCTGTTAAATAATAGTTAACATGACAGAACTTTACACTTAAAAATTGTTAAGAGGCCGGGTACAGTGGCTCACACCTGTAATCCCAGCACTTTGGGAGGCTCAGGTGGGTGGATCACAAGGTCAGGAGATCGAGACTATCCTGGCTCACACGGTGAAACCCCATCTCTACTAAAAATACAAAAAATTAGCTGGGCGTGGTGGCACTCGCCTGCAGTCCTAGCTACTCAGGAGGCTGAGGCAGGAGAATCCCTTGAACCTGAGAGGCGGAGGTTGCAGTGAGCCGAGATTGCACCACTGCACTCCAGCCTGGGTGACAGAGTGAGACTCCATCTCGAAATAATAATAATTGTTAAGAGAAGCCAGGCACAGTGGCTCACGCCTGTAATCCCAGCACTTTGGGAGGCCAAGGCAGGTGGATCACTTGAGGTCAGGAGTTCAAGACCAGCCTGGCCACAATGGTGAAACTCTGTCTCTACTAAAAATACAAAATTAGTCGGGCATGGTGGCGTGAGCCTGTAATCCCACCTACTTGGGAGGCTGAGGCAGGAGAATTGCTTGAGCCTGGGAGGTGGAGTTGCAGTGAGCCGAGATCGCGCTACTGCACTCCAGCCTGGGCAACAGAGTGAGACTCTGCCTCAAAAAAAAAAAAAAAAATGTTAAGAGAGTAAATTTTATGCTACTTTTTTTTGAGTTGGAGTTTCGCTCTTGTTGCTCAGGCTGGAGTGCAATGGTGCGATCTTGGCTTACCGCAACTTCTGCCTCCCAGGTTCAAGCGATTCTCTTGCCTCAGCGTCCCAAGTAGCTGAGATTACAGGCATGCACCACCATGCCCAGCTAATTTTATATTTTTAGTAGAGACGGGGTTTCACTATGTTGGTCAGGTTGGTCTTGAACTCCTGACCTCAGGTGATCCATCTGCCTCAGCTTCCCAAAGTGCTGGGATTACAGGCATGAGCCACCGCACCTCGCCAAAATTTTTTGTTTTAAAGATTAGTGAATTTCATGTTATGCATATTTTACCAGCTTTTTTTTTTAAAGGAAAAAGAAAATAAACATCAAGGACAAGGATTTAAGTCCTGGCCTCCCTACTACTAGCTCTCACCTTAGGCAGATTATCTTCTTTCCTGAGCCTCAGTTTTCTCAAGTAAAATGAGATCTTAGAAGTGAGTACAGGCCAAGTGTAGTGGCTCACACCTGTAATCTCAGCACTTTGGGAGGCCAAGACGGGCTGATTACTTGTGGCCAGGAGTTCAAGACCAGCCTAGTCAACATGATGAAACCCCCTCTCTACTAAAAATACAAAAACTAGCTGGGCTTGGTGGCAGGCGCCTGTAATCACAGTTACTCGGGAGGCTGAGGCAGGAGCATCGCTTGAACCTGGGAGGTGGAGGTTGCGGTAAGCCGAGATGGCGCCACTGCACTCCAGCCTGGGTGACAGAGCGAGACTCCACCTCAACAACAAAAAAAGAAGTGAGTAGAGATAGAGAAGAATAGAGGTCTAAGAACTACGCCCTGGGGTCCTCTAATGTTTGGATCATGAGGAAGAACCAGCAAAATGTGTCAGGAAGATTGACCTGTGAGGCAGGAGGAGAATGAGAAGAATGGTGTCTTGAAAGAATGAAGGAAGAGTGATCAACTCCTTCTAATGTTGTTGATGGGTCAAATGAGACCCAAGGGCCAGGTACAGTGGTTCACACCTGTAATCCCAGCACTTTGAGAGGCTGAGGCAGAAGGATTGCTTGAGCCCGGGGGTTCAAGACCAGCCTGGGCTACATAGTTGTTTTTGTTTTTGTTTTTTTTGTTTTTTAATTAGCTGGGAGTGGTGGTGCATGTCTGTAGTCCCGGCTACTTGGGAGGCTGAGGTGGGACAATCGCTTGAGCCCAGGTGGTCAAAACTGCAGTGAGCCGTGATTATGCCACTGTACTCCAGTCTGGGCAACACAGTGAGACCCTGTCTCAAAAAAAGACTTGAGAATTGAATTGAAGATTGTTTTTAGATACATGAAGATCATTAATAGCTTTGACATGCAGTTTGAATAGGGGAGTGATCGGGATTAAACCCTAATTGGAAGTAGTTTAAGAGAGAATTGAAATTTTATAGAACTGGTCTAACAATATTTTTATTAGGCCTGTTCTAATATTTTTACTAACTTATTAGTAAATGAGAGAGAATGGAAGGAGAGTTGGAGAAGGGAACTATACAACTCTTTAGAGGAGGTTTGTTTGGAGAGGAACAGAAAAATGAAGTAGTGGCTCTAGAGTTATATGGACTTCAGAGGATTTATAAGATTCATAAGAGAAATTATATCTATTTTATATGCAGATGGAAACGATCCACTAGATGAGGAAAAATAATAACGGTGCTTATTGTGTGCTAGGCAACGCCAAGGCACTAGGAATACAGCAGTGACAAAAGTCCTCTGTCCTCATGGAACTTACCTTCGATCAGTGGTGCTAAGATAACTGGATTATCCATATAGGAAAAAAGGCAGAATTGTTTTCCTTCTTTATGTTATATGCAAAAATAAATTACAGGTAGATTAAAAACTTACCGCAAAAGGTAAGTTTTTTAATTTTTAGGAGAAAATATAGAAGAGTATCTGTGTGATCTTAAGGTGAGGATGGGCCTCTTTTAAGAATCAAAAGATAGTATAAAAAGCAAAAAAAAAAAATCATTGATTGCATGGAACTTTTAATTTTACATACAGTTAAATATAACAAAGTGACAAGCTGGGCACATGCCTTTAATTCCAGCACTTTGGGAGGCCAAGGCATCACTTGAGGCCAGGAGTTCAGGACCATCGTGGGTAACATAGTGAGGCCCCATCTCTACAAAAATAAAAATAAAAATTAGCCGGGTGTGGTGGTGAGTGCCTGTAATCCCAGCTACTCAAGAGGCTAAGGCGGGAGGATCACTTGAGCCCAAGAGTTCAAGGAGGCTGCAGTGAGCTGTGACTGTGCCACTGCACTGCACTTTAGCCTGGGCAACAGAAGGAGACCTTGTCTCTTGAAAAAAGGTAACAAGACAAGCCCACATTTTGGGATAAGGTATTTACAACACATTTAATTGGCAGTTAGAATACAGAATCTATGAAGAACTGCCAGGCTTAATGGCTCATGCCTGTAATCCCAGCACTTTGGGAGGCCGAGGTGGGTGGATCACCTGAGGTCAGGAGTTTGAGAGCAGCCTGACCAACATGGTGAAACCCTGTCTCTACTAAAAATACAAAATTAGCTGGGCGTGGTGGCACACGCCTGTAATCCTAGCTACTGGGGAGACTGAGGCAGGAGAATCGCTTGAGTGGGGGAGGCAGAGGTTGCAGTAAGCCAAGATTGCGCCATTGCACTCCAGCCTGGGCAACGAGCGAAACTCCATCTCAAAAGAAAAAGAATGCAGAATCTATAAAGAATTCCTGCAAATCAGTAAGCAAGAGACAATTTTGAATATAGAAAAATAGGCAAAAACCTTGAAACAACCAGTTTGCCGAAGAGGAAAACAAAACTGTCAGTAAATATATGAATAAGTCCTTAACCTCACAAATTAAGGAACTGCAAATCAAGAAAATGCAAATTTAAATGTGGTACATTCTCCAACCATCAGATAGACAAAAACTTAAATCTAACAATGTAATGGGAACTCTGCCTCTGCAAGTGGGATTGAAAATGGATATAACCTGCTTTGGAGAACGTTAATGTCTAATGAAGTTTGAGGTGTACATAACCCTATGATCATGCAATTCCACTTTTAAGATATATATATACTTTAGAGCAGGGGTCTGCAAATTACAGTCCATGGGCTAAATCCTACCCTCTGGCTGTTTGTGTAAGTTTTTATTGAAACCGTGCCCACTTATTTATATAGCTGCTTTCACACTACAGTAGCAGAGCTGAATAGTTGCAACAGGGACCATAGGGCCTGCAAAGCCTAAAATATATACTATATACTCTCTGACTCTTTACAGAAAAAGTTTGCTAACCTCTACCTTTGAGTAATTCTTACATGTACAAGGAGACATGTACAAGGATTTTTTTGATGCACACTTGCTTATCATAGAAAATAATTGGTCTGTAAACCTGTCCATGAACAGAAAATTGATAGATATATTCAAACAACAGAATGCTATATTGCAGTTAAAAGTGGATTAAGTAAAATTACATATACTCATAAGGATTAATATTAAAAACAATAGGCCAAGCGCGGTGGCTCACGCCTGTAATCCCAGCACTTTGGGAGGCCAGGGTGGGTGGATCACCTGCCTGGCCAACATGGTGAAACCCCATCTCTGCAAAAAATACAAAAATTAGCTGGGCATGGTGGTGTGCGCCTGTAATCCCAGCTCCTCGGGGGCCTGAGAATAGCTTGAACCCAGGAGGCGGAGATTATAGTGAGCCAAGATTGCACCACTGCACTCCAGCCTGGACAACAGAGCAAGACTCTGTCTCAAAAAAAAAGAAAAACTGATGAACAAAAAACATTGCAGACAGATAAATGTACAGTATGTAATATCTATATAAAGATTTAAAATATTTACATTTTAGGAGTACTTGAAAAGTTTTGTTCTGTAATGTCTTGATTTTTTTTTTTTTTTAATCTAGAGCAACTATAAGGGTCAGGTGGAGTGGCTCACGCCTGTCATCCCAGGGCTTTGGGTGGCTGAGGTGGGAGAATCACTTGAGACCAGGAGTTTGAGATCAGCCTGGACAACATAGTCAGACCCCATCTCTACAAAAAAAATTTTTTTAATTAGCCAGGTGTGGCCAGGAGCCGTGGCTCATGCCTGTAATCCTAGCACTTTGGGAGGCCGAGGCAGGTGGATTGCCTGAGCTCAGGAGTTCAAGACCACCCTGGGCATCACGGTGAAACCCAGTCTCTACTAAAATTAGCTGGGCATGGTGGCGGGCACCTGTAGTCCTGGCTACTTAGGAGGCTGAGGCACGAGAATTGCTTGCGCCTGGGAGGCGGAGGTTGCAGTGAGCCAAGATCACGCCACTGCACTCCAGTCTGGGCAACAGAGAAAGACTCTGTCTCAAAAAAAAAAAAAAAAAAATTAGCCAGGTGTGATGGCTTGTACCTACAATCCTAGGTACTCTGGAGGCTAAGGTGGGAGGAGCACTTCAGCCCACAAGTTTGAGGCTGCAGTGAGCTATGATTGTGCCACTGTACTTCAGCCTGGATGGCATAGCAAGACTTTGTCTCATAAATAAGTAAATAAATACAGCAACTGTGAAGTGTTAAGATTTTACAAAGCTTCGTTGGTGGTAGGCATTTTTTTCTTTTTTTTTTTTTTTTGAGACAGGGTCTCACCAGGCTAGAGTTCAGTGATCACGACTCACTACAGCCTCGACCTCCCTGGCTCAAGCAACCCTCCCACCTCAGCTTTTCGAGTAGCTTGGGATTATAGATGCACACCGCCATGCCTAACTTTTCCTATTTTTTGTAGAAATGGGGTCTCACTTTGTTGTCAAGGCTGGTAATTCTCCATGCTTTTTTGTATGGTTGAATTATTTCATTTACAAGGGATTGGGTGGAAGGGAACATATATGAAAGCGCTCCCTTCAGATATTGTTCCTGCTGCCGGTTGCTTTATGTATATCATAGGAACCCAGAGCACTCACTGAGCCTCCCACATCTGAAAGACAGATTTTCTGTAGTGCTTATTATACTGAGACCTGGCACCCGCAGGCTCATCAGGCTAATGGAAATGATCTCATTCCCTCTGTCAGTAAGTGTGCTTATTTGGTATTTTTCCTCAGTCTCAGTTCATCCAGAGCTAATTTGCAAAGCTGCAGTGGGATCTGGTGCTATGGTAACCACAGTAGGAGGCTTGAGGCTTTTCTTCACAGAACTGTGAAATGGGAGCAAGGAGAAGAAATACTTTTTCACTTCCTCTGAAATGATAGCAAAATATGGTTCTCTTAATGGCCATTCTGTGATTTGGGGACATTAAAGAGAATTCTCAAAATAATTTCTGAAAATGTCAGAAGTTTTTTTTGTTTTGGGGGGTTTTCTTGAGACAGGGTCTCACTCTGGTACCTAGGCTGGAGTGCAGTGGCACGATTATAGCCCATTGCAACCTTAACCTTCCCACGCTCAAGCGATCCACCCACATCAGCCTCCTGAGTAGCCAGGACTTCAGGCGTGTTCCACCACCATACCCAGCTAATTTTTTAATTTTTTGTAGGGAAAAGGTCCCACTGTGTTGCCCAAGCTAATCTCAAACTCTTGTGCTCAAGTAATCCTCCTGCCTTAGGCCTCCCAAAGTGCTGGGATTGCAGACTTGAGCCACCGCTCCTGGCTAGAAATATTTTAATAGAGAAAACCCAGGGACTAATATTCTCCAAAGATTTGGCTGATCTTACAGTTCACCAGCTTCAATTGCTTGACATATGGTAAACTGATTAATCATTGGCCTCATCCTCCTGAACAGGAAAGCTCATATCCAGAAATGGAAGTATTTTACCAACTGTATTGGAGTGAGTCCTGTTTTCATGGAGCTGCTTCTTTACTTTGAGCTGTTAATAACTCTCTTGGCCTCTTAATCCTTTTAAAGGAGACATTACAGAGTATATTTCATCCTTGATCATTGCATGCCAGGACAGTGAAAATGTCTGTGTTCTTATCCTCAAAATATGAGTTACTGCCTTTGTTGAGTCTTACAAGAAAGTCAAACTGACTCACTTAAAAAAGTTTTTTGCTACAGACAGATCATAGTAGACTGTGCATCTGGTGGAGGTTGGCTTAGTTTGTAAAGCTGTAATGGGTGAAATGGAATTAAAGAACTCTTCAACACCATGAACATAATAAGAATTTATTATTAGTTGAATGGTTTAATGTTTGAACTGAATTGAGGCATAAGACCTGGACTACAGTCCTCCACTGAATCATTTGTGAGATTAATATGAATTTACTCAGCAAACATTGATTGAATCCCTCATATGAATGTAAGGCATGACAATTCTATTGTAAAATATTAGCACTAAAAGAGACCCAAGTGCACCTAAGCCAAGCCTTGTATTGTAAGTGGCCAGCTGAGCCCAGAGTGATCTAGTGTCTGGTCCAGTTGACTAGTCCGTCTGTTTTGAAGTGCCACTGGGTTAAGGATGTCAAAGATTTGCAGTTACATATCTGCACAACTTCTGTGCCAAGTAGGACTTCTGCGTATGGAAGTATAAGTTCTGGCCAATTATGTTACAGTTATCTTAGATTTGTATATTTATATATTACAGTGATTTTCCAGCAGATGGCAGTCAAATGTCTTGAGGAAGAGGCAGCTTTATCTTATTTACACAGGAACCCTGGTGCTAAGTCACTCTGTTGGGCAAGGGGAAAGAACAAGAAGGTTAATAGAGCAGGATGAAGAAGAAAGCCAAAGTTAGGACCTTGTTTAACTGAAGAAGGTGGCAGAAGCAGGGAGATAAAAAGAGCAAGGGATATAACTTCTTTTTATTTATACAAATAAAGTATCTTTCCCACAGCAGTATGATCTGTGTATGTTTTAGGTGTTGGTTGCAGATGGGATTTGAGTTTTGATACACTGCCATGTTTCTCAAAACTGTCTGCAGTTCTGAGAAATGGATTTAAATCACCCATTTCCCAAGGTCAATTTCAGTGATGCAGTATCTTGGTTACAACTACAAGGTATAGTAAGTAAGGAGGTTCCAGATATGACAAATGTTGATGCCATATTTATTGGTCACTGTTCTCAGTTCTATTCTGGGGCTGTTCTCTCACTGAAAGACGTAAGGCCTATACCCAGGACTGTTTCTGGGAAATGAAGAATTGGAGGGAAATGGCTTTTTGTTTGTTATTGTTTCTAACAAGAAATCAGGGCCTTGTGTTTTCACTTCTCTTTTCTACCCTAAAACATTTCACCCCAAAAATCATTCATTCATTATGACACAATGACCAGAGCCTAGATTTGGAGTCAGGGGCCCCAAGTTCTAGCTACTTGCTTGTTTGTGATCTAGGGGCAAGTCACTAAACCTATTAATCTTTCCCATTTATAGAAATTCCCTCACACTAAGATCTTAGGGACTTCACCCTCAACGTGAAGGTTAAAATAAGTTTTTGGGTTGTTTGTTTGTTTGTTTTGAGACAGAGTTCGCTCTTGTTGCCCAGGCTGGAGTGCGATGGCATGATCTCGGCTCACTGCAACCTCCGCCTCCCGGGTTCAAGCGATTCTCCTGCCTCAGCCTCCCCAGTAGCTGGGATTACAGGCACGCGCCGCCATGCCCAGCTAATTTTGTTTTTTAGTAGAGACGGGGTTTCTCCATGTTGGTCAGGCTGGTCTCAAATTCCCGACCTCAGGTGATTCGCCCGCCTCGGTCTCCCAAAGTGCTGGGATTACAGGCTTGAGCCACCATGCCCGGCCAAGTTATTTTAATGGCACAACTTCACATTCTTTGGGCAGAGGGTCTACTGGATCTCTAGCTCCCATCCCTACTCCCCAGCAAGCAAACTACATGGGCTGTCACTTAGTCCACCTAAGCACAGGCAGGTGAACCTAGCAGCAGCCCTCTTCTTTGGTTTTGAAAAGAAGAGAAGAGTATTCTAACAGGAAATTTCTTTTTCTCATCAGGTAAGGAGAGCTGCTTTGAGAGAATTGTGTCAAGGTTTGGAAAGAAAGTCACATATGTAGTGATTGGAGATGGACGAGATGAAGAAATTGCAGCCAAACAGGTAACCATGGTAAAGAAAAATAGTCTATGTGGTTGTACATCGAGTAATGAGAAAAATGGGAAAAACTACAAAATCTTAGCAATCTATTATGCATTTATAATATTTTCTCTTTCTTCCTCTCCCATTTTTCTTTAAAGAAAAAGAGGGTCTTTTTTTTCTCCAGATGGAGTTTTTCCTCTTAAGTTTTTAGATCCATCCCTTCCTCTTCCTCCCTGTCACTCAAGAATCTTAAAATCTTTAAGCCCTTCTACAGGGATCCCATCATTAAACCTGAGATGTGCCCCATCTTCCATCTTCAAAGACAGTGCCTTCTCAAGCATCAGACTTGACTGCAAAAAGGCTAATCATTCTTTCTTTTCCATGCTTCAAGTTCTCAGACAGTACAACCAATAGCTGTTTCTGTAGAGAAAGTCTTTCCTGCCTTTGAGCCCTGGAAAGATTGTTCTGATGTTAACCCCACCACTATACAGGTCCCAACTTCAGGTCACCCCTTCTTTTTTTCTTTTTTCTTTTTTTTTCTGTTTTTGAGATAGAGTCTCACTCTATCTCCCAGGCTGGAATGCAGTGGCACAGTCTTGGCTCACTGCAACCTCCGCCTCCTGGGTTCAAGCAATTTTCCTTCCTCAGCCTCCCAAGTGGCTGGGACTACAGGCACCCGCCACCATGCCCAACTAATTTTTGTATTTTTAGTAGAGACGGGGTTTCCCGTATTGGCCAGGCTGGTCTCGAACTCCTGACCTTGTGATCCGCCTGCCTCGGCCTCCCAAAGTGCTGGGATTACAGGTTTGAGCCACCACGCCTGGCCCAGGTCACCCCTT
This sequence comes from Homo sapiens, assembly GCF_000001405.40. Lineage (NCBI taxonomy): Eukaryota > Metazoa > Chordata > Mammalia > Primates > Hominidae > Homo > Homo sapiens. The sequence goes on along the minus strand of NC_000001.11, from coordinate 27,977,555 downwards.
CTTAATATAGGAAACAATAGATGAAAGAGTCTTGGCTATAGAACTTAAAATCCCATCTGTGTCTCAGCTATGTGAATTTGAACAATTATCCTCTTTGAGTATCCTCATCTGCTAAATGGATCTGTAGAAGTTCTTTCCCTCCCTATCCCAATTTATTTTCTTCCAGCAACTCTATTTCTTAGACATGGAGGCATTGGGTTGCCAGCTAGAACCAACTGCCCTGATACTCTTCATCCAGTTAAGTGGAAACCTTAGCAACTATAATAAACTATGAGATTGGTAATCAGTTGGCATTATTATCTCATGTTTTCATTTGTCACTTTATGTAGCAATTCAGGGATCCTTATTTTTTCACATATGTTATGAAGCTTTGATTCTAAAGTGCTTCTTGTTGCCCTCTTTGGGAAAGACACTAGTGGGTGTAGGCATCAATGTTTCCTGGTCTGAAGAAGGGTATGGGGGAGAGAACAACTCATCAGCAGAGTTGGTAACTCTGAGCTAATGTCTTTAATCATCTACAACAGAATACATCCATTGAGGCTGGGCACGGTGGCTCATGCCTATAATCCTAGCACTTGGGGAGGCTGAGGCAGGCAAATCACCTGAGGTCAGGAGTTCGAGACTAGCCTGGCCAACATGGTGAAATCCCGTCTCTACTAAAAATATAAAAATTAGCCGGGCATGGTGGTGCACTCCTGTAATCCCAGCTACTCGGGAGGCTGAGGCACAAGAATTGCTTGAACCCTGAAGGCGGAGGTTGCAGTGAGCCGAGATCGTGCCACTGCACTCCAGCCTGGGCAACAGAACAAGACCCTGTCTCAAAAAAAACAAACAAAGTATATACCAATTGGAAAATGCCTTAGCACTTTATCCAGTTCAACCTATACTCTGTGAAGGATATTTTCTGCAGCCTTTCTGACAGAAGTCTCTCTAGTCCTTGCTTGAATATGCCCAAGGATGAGGACACTGGTTCCCAGTAGCCTATTCCACCGTGGGATCAACCAAGCTGTTAGGGTGTTCCCCCTTCCACTGAGCAAAAATTTCTCTACCTTCACATACTAGTCTGGCATTCTTTTTTTTGTTTTGTTTTGTTTTTGAGATGGAGTCTCACTCCATCGCCCAGGCTGGAGTGCAGTGGCATGATCTTGGCTCACTGCAGCCTCCGCCTCCTGGGTTCAAGCGATTCTCGTACCTCAGCCTCCCAAGTAGCTGGGACTACAGGTGCACACCACCACTCCCAGCTAATTTTTGTACTTTTAGTAGAGACAGGGTTTTGCCATTTTGGCCAGGCTGGTCTCAAACTCCTGACTTCAGGTGATCCACCCACCTCAGACTCCCAAAGTGCTGGGATTGCAGGCATGAGCCACTGCACCTGGCCTCTAGTCTGGCATTCTTGAACATAACAAGTCGGTTTCCTCTTCTGTATGTTAATAGCCTTTTAAATATTATGTGTGAGCAGCTGTCTTGAAAAACAACTAGGGTATATGCCAAAATAACTGTGTTCTAGGACCTCAATATTCTGAGTAACTTGGAACCAGTTTCAACTAGATGATAGGAAAGTTAATCTCCTCAGCTTCATAGAACATGGTTTCCAATACTTGGATTTATCAAAGCCCTCCTTTAAAATATGGCCTCCACATGAGAATCACCTAAACCTGGGAGTGGAGGTTGCAGTGAGCTGAGATAGCACCACTGCACCCCAGCCTGGGCAAAAGAGTGAGACTCTGTCTCAAAAAATATAAAAAATTAATTTAATTTAATTTAAAAATATCGGCCGGGCACGGTGGCTCACGCCTGTAATCCCAACACTTTGGGAGGCCAAGACGGGCGATCATGAGGTCAGGAGATCAAGACCATCCTGGCTAACACGGTGAAACCCCATCTCTACTAAAAATGTAAAAAATTAGCCGGGTGTGATGGCAGGCACCTGTAGTCCCAGCTACTCGGGAGGCTGAGGCAGGAGAATGGCGTGAACCCGGGAGGCGGAGCTTGCAGTGAGCTGAGATCGTGCCACTGCACTCCAGCCTGGGCGACAGAGTGAGACTCTGTCTCAAAAAAAAAAAAAAAATATGGCCTCCAGGCACAGTGGCTCATGCCTGTAATCCCTAGCACTTTGGGAGGCCAAGGTGGGAGGATTGCTTGAGCCCAGGAGTTCAAGACCAACCTGGACAATATAGTGAGGCTTCATCTCTACAAAAAATAAAGAATTAGCCAGGCATAGTGTCACATGCCTTTAGTCCCAGCTACTTGGGAGGCTGAGGTGGGAGGATCACTTGAGCTCAGGAGGTCAAGGCTGCAGTGAGCCATGTTCATACCACTACACTCCAGCCTGGGTGACAGAATGAGAGCCTGTCTCAAAATAAAATAAAAAGTAAAATATGGCCTCCAGAACAGCACACAGTTTTCTGGACATGATTTTGACTACATAATATAATGGGATTATTATTTCCCAGATCTGTACATTCTCCATCTTGGACATAGATAAGATTTAGGTGTTGCAGTTCTGAAACTTACAAGAAATTGACCATCCATGAGACAGTATAATCTTATATCAAATACTAATTTTTCACCTGGGCCATTTTATTTGATCCTTAAGACCCTGTATGATAACTGGAATGCCTGTAGTTCCAGCTACTCAGGATGCTGGAGTAAGAGGATTACCTGAGACCAGGGGTTCAAGGCCACAGTAAGCTATAATCACACCACTGCACTCCAGCCTGGGTGACACAGCAAGACCCTGTCTTCAAAATAATAGCTAGAACAGGTAATCTCTCAAAAGCACAAAGTACCACTGAAACCTATTTAAAATTTCTCACATTTCTAAAGTGTGCAATGTACAAGGTCCTTATGCATATGATTATTTGATCATTATAACAGCCCTATGAGGCAGGGATAGATAGGGTTACCATGTACCTTGGGGAGAGGTGTGTTGAGGAAAGAGTATGGGCAAATATTTATATAAGCTCTCAGAAGAAGTTGGATTAACCAGCTATTCCCACTCTCTTCCAGCACAACATGCCTTTCTGGAGGATCACAAACCATGGAGACCTAGTATCCCTTCACCAGGCTTTAGAGCTTGATTTTCTCTAAGAACTGGAATGAGGAGCCTTCCCCTTGAGCTCCTTTTCACTCCTGAAGGGAGCTGGAGACTGGAACCAACTGAGAACTTTCTCTGTCTGTCTCTCTCTGTGTCTCTGTCTCTATCTCTCTCTCTTTCTCTCTTTCTCTCTCTCCCTCTCTCCCTCCCTCCCTTCCTCTCTCCCTCCCTCTCTGCCTCTCTCTCTCTCTCTCTCTCTGTCTTTATCCATGGAATGCTGGCGAGAACACAATCAGAACCAACAGCTGCAATTTTTGCTAAGAGTGAGCTGCAGCCCCGTGTTCATCTCCATACAGAAGCAGGGACAGTTGGATAGAGAGAACAATGGACTCACTGCAGCTACAGTGCTTTTAATTTTTCTGTGTTTTGTTTTTGTTTTTTTGTTTTCAAAAAATGAAAAAGAAAAGGAAATTCCTGGGGCAGAGTTGCACTCTTAGTCCATGACCAGATTGAGAATTACTGATAACTTGTGGTGATCAGATAAATGCAGCAGACTTTTATGATAACATCTCTTGCAGTCTTAGAGTCTCCTTAGCTTAGAATCTCACTTATTTCCAGCGAATGTGTATGTTATTTTTATAGGTAAGGGTCTGATCTTTGACGCAGGTTTCCCCCACTTTCTTTTTCTAGCAAGAAGGGGTGTTTAAAGTCTTGAAAATAGTAATTGAAATATCTAAAATACCTCCCTGTGGCAGTAGCACCTCTATAGCTGCTCCAGTGGTCTGCTCTCTAGGATGATACCTTTCCTGTTCTTCTATCTCCTAGCTGGTGAACTGTGGGGCACTGGACACTGAGTAACTTAAACTTTGGCATTTCCCATCTAGAAGCCTTAGTCTTCTTTCCAGTCCCTTTTCCCTTTAGTCAAATGGCACAACCCTAAAAACTCCTTCAGCTTGACTGTCATTCAGACTGTATCACAGGAGGCTTAGCTTCCAAACTGGAGAGAAGGAACTAAAGTGTCTTATGAATTTCAGCTTCTTGGCTCTTGAGACCGAAAGGTTCTACCTATTCCCCCTGCAGAGAAGCACCCATTTCCCATCAGATGCTCGTCCCTGCAGCTTCTTCCTTCTTGGTCATCATAATGCTAGGTTCTTACCCCTTTCCTGCCCTCTGCACCTCATGTCCACCTCCAGGCAGCTCTGGCCAGTCCCCGGGTATTAGACCCAAGAATTCAAATCAAATCTAAAAACATGCTTATAACTACATTTTGGCCAAAACTGCCAATGTATTTGACTTCCTTTGTGGAAGCCCTAAGCCATATGAAGGATGTCCCAGGTATGTATTTACCCAGATCTCTGCCTGAAACTGAAGAGCAGATTGCTGTATTTAAATTTTCCCATGGAAAACCCTGCTTCTCAAATCCCATTCTAAAGTAGGAAACCAGAAAGACTTTGCTGATTGTGGGGGGAAGGGAGAAACAGACAGGTTTTCACATTGTTGCCAAGGCTGGTCTTGAACACCTGGCCTCAAGCGATCCTCCCACCTCGGCCTCTCAAAGTGTTGGGATTGTAGGCATGAGCCACTGCACCCAGCCAGACTTTCCTGATTTAAATGAGAGTACTGCATCATTCCCTACTTCATGGCCCAAAACTTAATCCTGGGCCAAATGCAGGAGCATCTCTCGACCTCTGGGCAGATTGGTGGGTGCCCAGGCACTAGTCACAGCCTTCCAGCCCAGCCATGATTGTTGGATGCCCCATCCCTCCAAGAGCAATTTGGGCATCTACTCAGGCAGGATAAAATTCCCTAGAGCTGAGGAAGTTCAGCCTCTCCCAGGCTACACAGAGAGAGATGATACAAGCACCTCAGATTGAGATGCAGGATTGGTCCGCAGAAGGAGGCATTGTTGACCAACCCCAGCTATAATTGCTTGTCACCAGAGATTCTGCATACCCATTTCCAGAGATGTTGCAGCACAAAGAGGCAAGACTCCTTCCAATGCCAGGCCACCCAGATAGCAAGAGAGAGAGGCTGGTATACACATTCCTTCAGAACTCATTGAAAAGCGCTCATAACTCGTGATTTTAAGGAGTAAGTTTTTGCTGAGTAGCTGAAGTCAGTGCTCCTTTACTTAGCTGCCTCTTTGGCCTTGTTTCCTGTGGGGTTGGGAGGAGGGAGATGTAGTGTGAGGTAGGCCTTCCCTTGGTCTGTATTCAGCATAGTTGCCTAGATGCTGCTCTGCCTTGTTTGATGGTTGATCTTAGGAAGCTCTAGGTTTTACTCTGAGGCCTCAAACCCTCCCCCTATGCAGTATAGCTGTTGGGTTTTTGTCCTGGACAAAGGCCACGGCTGTTGTGCTGCGCTTCAGGTTTGTGAGGCTGCGGAGTGGTACCCCCACCATGCACGCAAGCACACACACACAGATACTTCCCTCTCCACCCTTTTGGGAGCTCTTTATTTTAGAATGTAACTTGAACTCACTTTTATCATTGGCCTTTTTCCTCTTACTCTGACTTCCTAGCTTAGCTCTTTCCAAAAGGAACTTGAACTTGGCCAAGAGAGGTAAGGAGGCTGAGCAGAGCAGTCTTTGCTCATTCCTGGTTGTTGCCACCCTCATTTAAATGGAAGAGAGAAAACAGGAGCTTCTTGGCTGTTTGCCAAAATGAATTGTCCAGGGAACACAGTGCTCTCTGTAATTACCCTGCCTTTTTCTCCACCCCAACACAAAAATCTGGAAAGGAAAATAAGTGGGTAGGATTAAGAGCTGTTAGAAGCTGAGGACCAAAGGACACTGTGGGTCCATTCATCAAGGGGGAGACCCTCTTCATTAGAGTCCTCATGAAATTAGCCAAATGATGAGTCCTTCCCTAGCTGGGCATGGTGGGTTCTCTTTTTTTTTTTTTTTTTTTTTTTGTTGTTGTTGTTGAGATGGAGTCTCGCTCTGTCACCCAGGCTGGAGTACAGTGGCATGATCTCGGCTCACTGCAACCTCCGCCTCCCAGGTTCAAGCGATTCTCCTACCTCAGCCTCCTGATTAGCTGAGATTACAGGCGCCCACCACCACGCCTGGCTAATTTTTGTATTTTTAGTAGAGATGGGGTTTCACCATGTTGACCAGGCTGTTCTCAAACTCCTGACCTCAGGTGATCTGCTCACCTTGGCCTCCCAAAGTGCTGGGATTACAGGCATGAGCCACCATGCCTGGCCAGGCACTGTGGGTTCTACAGGATGGGTCTGTAATGTCACGGTGAGGGCTCTCTCTAGTAGTAGATCTGGAGTGAGGTGTGTCTTGGGTTGAGGAGGTGGCTTGACTTTCGAATGTAAAACTGACTGTGCCTTAGCATCACCCTGTCCAGTGCCCCTGGGGCAGCTGGTAGTGTCCAGAAGAATGGACACCTGCTCCAGATTTAGATGCCCATCTGGGCTTTTGTTTGATTTGCGGCGTTCCTGTCTTCTGTAAAGCTAGTGAGTTGTCCCAAGAGACTGATGCCACAGCTTGTTCGCAGTTTACACAAACTCAGCTTTAAAATTCCAAATAGAATCTGACTTGCAAACTCTAGCTGCAGCATGTGGAGCTTCTAGATGTTTACTACCTTGAATGGTTGTCAGTGTCACTGAACCACAGGGGAGAGGAGTATGGGGTAGAGCAATGGTCTGGGCCAAGGAATGGTGAGCTTAGGGTCTTCCTCTGACTCCTTACTCCTCAAGGAGGCAGTTAGGGTCCCTCTTAAGCAGGCTTCTATTTCTTACCACTAAATTGGTTTCCTTTTTCATCCAGAAGTTAGAACTCCCCAGATATTCACACTATAGGATCTGAATTCCGAGATTCTAAAATATCTTAAACCACAAGAGAGAAAATCTAGTTCTGCCTCAGCCCCAGTCAGCAGGCCATCTGTCCCTTCCTCTCCTCTGAGTCAGACAGCTCTGGCAAGCAAGGCTCCTTGGCTAGTTCCTAATGCACTGACAGGAGCCCTCCCATTAAGGACGACTTCTACTCAAAATGCGACTCTCCCTCTGAACTTCAGATGCCTCTGTTAGCAGGAAAAGGCATTGATTGGATTGGATATATTTATGTGACTGCGGGCATTTGTGGCTGTAGAATCCGTGACCGTAATGTTATATGTAATGGGAACTATCTTATAAACTTGAAAAAAATAAAGTTTTTATTTTCTATAGTTTGCTCCTGTGTCTTTTCTGAATAGGATCAGCACAGTTGCCCAGCTGTGTGGGGTCCTAATTATGGCTTCATAAAAATTCTAAGAGTTCATTAGAAAGATGTCACCCTTTCAGTAACTGGGTCATTTCACCAAAAAAGTAAGAACAAACCATTTGGTATAAATATACATGGGAAAATATTTTAAAATAATTTGTATGGGAGAATGTATTGTTTCTAAAATATATTGCTTTTAAAGTTTAGAACTGGAGTGAGAAAAGATTTCATTCACTTCCAAATATGCTGAAATTTATTAAGGAGAGAAATCAGTACCTTGCTGCACTGCACTTAAACCACAAAAGCGATAAAACTGACAAACTGATACCAAACCTCATTTGATTTGCCCTGATTTCCTGTCACATCAACTACTTTTTCTCATTTCATTTCTCTGATTTGGGTCTGGCTGTATCCCTCTGGTCTGGAAAACAGTCACAAAGCCTTTCTGCCTTTTAGTCCAATGAAGGAAATCAGAATTGGGTTCTAGCTTCCAAGTACCATACATGTCAGACTATAAGATGTATTTTTCCAAAAATTCCCCAGAAAAGAGGAAGTTGCCTATTCTAGTTATTAAATGTTTTCCTCATTAGGTGCACATTAGTTGAAGCAAACGCGTTAGCTGCTATATCCCTACTCAGTTATAAATACAAATATTAGAGGCATTGATTTCAAGCACAGAGTAGATAAACATCTCCATCTCTTCCTGCAATTTCAGGTGTGTGTGTATGTTTACATGTATTCAATTAGAAGAATGGTCTTTGTTCTAAGATTGGTACATCCTTTTATGAGATGATGAAAATAAATGGTGGTAGTTTTTTGTTTTGTTTTGTTTTGTTTTGTTTGAGGCGGGGTTTTGCTTTTGTTGCCCAGGCTGGAGTGCAATGGCACGATCTTGGCTCACCGCAACCTCCGCCTCCCGGGTTCAAGCAATTCTCCTGCCTCAGCCGCCCAAGTAGCTGGGATTACAGGCATGCGCCACCACGCCTGGCTAATTTTGTATTTTTAGTAGAGATGGGGTTTCTCCATGTTGGTCAGGCTGGTCGCGATCTCCCGACCTCAGGTGATCCACCCGCCTTGGCCTCCCAAAGTACTGGGATTACAGGCGTGGGCCACCATGCCCAGCCAAATGGTGGTAGTTTTTAATGCCCTTTTTTGTTAAAATTAAGTTGCAACCATGTTGGCCATTTTATAGGTACATGATATTCAAAAGCCTGAAAATCACTAGACAGGATGATCTGCAGGATCCTTTCTGCCTCTAACCATTGCTTGTATGTAAAAGTCACCAGCATCATCTCAGATCCTCTCCCTGCCCCCACCCTTCATCTCTGGGTCATCTTTAGTTCCAGGCCAACAGAGTGGTTACAAGTGCTTATTCATCCGGTGGAATTCTGTTTGCATCATTCCTTCCACCACAGTGGTTCAAGCTACCAGTGACTCCAGGTTCTGCTCCTTCTCGTGACATTTATAGGCCACACCCAAGTCACTGCTAACCAGCTTACCGGTTTTGCAGGAAGGCCTTCCCCAGCCATTCTATACAAAGTTGTAATTCCCACCCCCAACACACAAATACTTACTCTCTCTCCCTATCCCTTTCCCTTTTTCTTTTAGCACTTCTTAACACTATCTGATATACTAAATGTTTTACTTATCCTGGTTTTTGTGTCTCCACCAGAATAGTAACAGAGCTGAGACTATCCTGGATCCCATCACAGCAGTGACTAGAACATTTTCTTCTCTATCTCAATTGACTTTTCTGTCCCGTTTCTCCAAACCATGGACCTCCTAGAACAGCAAAAGGTTCCACTTCCCCAGCACCATCACCCACCACATCCACATCCCCTGAGGCACCTCATCACTTAACCTCTCAGAGCTCCCAGCAAAAAGACCTTTCTTCACCAGGCAACTATATTCACTTCTTGGCCCTAAATGTGTCTGTGGCCACTCCTGCTGGGCCCAGCAGCAGAGCTGGTGTTGAAGAGGATGCACTAAGTCAGCCCAGATCTGGATTCTGATCTCCAGCTGAGCTGTCTACCCCACGCTGGCTCACCAGCTCCTGAAACTTCAAACACGAGGTTGAGAAACCCCACCTAAGCCAGCCCTCTCTCTGTTCGTGGACCTTGACTGATTTTGAGAGGTAGATTTTATGTCCCTGATCTCTTCCAGTTCAGGCTCTGAACTCCATAGGGGATTTCGTTTGATGACACAGACTAGGTTGGAGGATTTCATGAGGCTTTATTCATAACCTAATAATACTGTTGAAAACAACACATCTGTCACTTGTAGAGACCCACAGGCACACACATTCTCTTCCTCTCACATAGACTGAGGTAGGAGGTACACTGGCTAAGGCAAAAAAAATACTCAGTGGCTGTGCAAGGCTCAGACCAGGCTCACAAGGCTCTTGGTTGAAAAGCAGCCCCTTGAGAGCAGGAGCAGAGGCCAGGCCAGCTTCACTGAGATCCCAGAGGTTCTGACTGGGGCCACCCAGAGTTGGGCATCCCTGGCTTCTAGCATTTGGGATCTAACCCGGGACTGGTTGGTGCAAGTAGCGGATGAAGCTAGGCTGGTAGCTGGTCTTGTTCCAGGTTGCAAGGACAGAATGATGTTCCTGGCACATAAACTGCTCTTGGCAAAGATTTGTTTCATGAATTGAATGAATGGTGTGGGGGAGGGAAGGAAGAATTCTAGAGGACAGCCCCTGTGGCCTCCTAGCCCAGGATAGGGGAGCTAAGGGGTGGGGCAGCACCTATACCAGTCATTTTAGAGGTAGCCAGGGAGGGAGGTGGAAGTTTTGGGGCACCAGCTATACCAATGGCAGGGGGAAAAGGTAGTCTTCTTTCCTCCCAAAGTGTCTTGTACATAATTGGGGCTCTTGACCCTCCAGGGCCCAGCCCTTCTCATCTTGTTCACTGTGAACTCCTTGAAAGGAGGCCTCTGCCCGACTCAGCACCATCCCTGGTGCCCGGCCCAGCACAGGCGTCCCGCTCTTGCTGAGTGCATAGAGGCCACAGCAGCATCGTTAGCTTATCCTCGCCTGCCTTCTGCCAACAGAGTCACTCTCCATCTCTGCTGGCTGGGTCTGATCCTGCTTCAAAGGACGCCGTTCACCTATCCCTTCACTGGCGAAGCAGCCTCATCCTTAGCCTTGGGGAAAAACTTCTGTGCTAAATGGGTCATGCGCCTGTTCTGAGGCAGCTGATACCCCTCTGGAGAAAGCAGACTCCGGGCCCCGTCTACCTGGTCAGGGTCGGGCTTCCAGCAGCAGCTAGGGTGCAGCCAGTGGTAGTACACAAGCCGCAGAGCCAGGCCCAGAAAGAAGCAGCCGCATCCCACAGGCAGCCACAGCTGCAGTGGAATCCCGCTGGGCAGCCAGGAGCTATGAGTCACCCAGGTGGCCACCAGGAGAATGCTGTCACTCAGGAGGAAGGCGAAGTGGATGATGGCCCGGCCTCGGGTGCGGCCCTCAGCCACGTTGAACCAGGAGAAATAGAGGATGGTGGCCACCGTCACCCGGTACAGCCACTCGGAGCTGGGGTCCGGCATGAAGTCTGTGCCCTGAAGCCAGACCCAGAGCAGCAGTACCAGCCACAGGCCCAGGAAGTGCAGGGCCACATAGCTGGGGAAGAGGGCTGAGAACAGGGCCACAGCCAGGACTCGGGGCCACAGCAGCAGCAGGTTCCACAGGAAGTAGATCACGGAGGAGCCCAGGCCCAGGAGCGGCTTGGAGGGGAGGCAGGTGCGCAAGGCCCGGTGGTAGTCGAGCAGTGCCCACGAGATGCCCAGGAAGGATGTGCAGATGCCAACCCCTGCAAAGAGTAGGAGGGAACAGTGAGTCCTGGGGCCAGCCTGCTTGGCACTCCCCAGCGGTCACAGGTACCGTGGGGGCCCTCCCAGCAACCCTGGGGTAGGTATTAGAATCCCTCGTTTGTTGAAGGCAAATCTGCAGCTAGAGAAGACCCAGTGAGTTCCCACAACCAAAAACAAAGCTATGACTCCTAATATAGAGCCTGCCCCTCACCACAGCGCTTTGCTGCGTAGGTGCTATCCGGGTGGTATTTGTCAAAGATGAGAGGATGTGACCTGTGGCCCACCCAGCACTCAGCACCCCTGGGCCTTGGCTGCATCCTGGGCATCTTCCAGGGCCCCATAACCCTTTCTTTCTGGGAAGAACACAAGCCTTCCTTGTGTCTAAAAATCAACAGTCTCAGTTCCGTCTTTCTTAGTCTCAAAAAGGGAGTAGAAAATCCCATGGGGTGGCAACAGGCTCTGGCTAAAGCTGCCCTCAGGGCCAGGAGAGATGTCCCTGCTGTGTGGACAGAAGGTCTCCCCACTCCCCTCCCCTCCCCTCCAAGACCAGAGGCCATCGGACTGACCCCTAACCTTGATTTTCCAAGATCCAGAAGTTTACAACAGGGGTCCTATCCCACCTCCTGGTTGCCAATCCTGGAGCAGAAGCACAAGGGCCTCCAGGGAGGGATGGAAGTGGCACCGGCACGTCTCCCGACTGCTTCCTCCCCTGTCCCCGTCCACCGCAGTCATTCGACAGATGTTTACTGGGAACCTATTAGGCGCCCAGAACCCACTCCTAGCCTGGAAACAGATCTGTGCTCATTAGCCTTGCCCAGGTCTCAGCAGGGCTGATGTTCTTCCAGTTTGCCCAGCATGCCACCTTCCGTGACCTTGACAAGCTCTGCCCAGGATGTTAGGTCGCCAGAAGCACAGGCCCCACTTCCCCGGCCTACTCCTCCATTACCCCGCAGGCCCCAGCTTGAAGAGCCCCGGGAGTCACCCACCCTGACCCCATGCCACCCACTCAGCTGTGTCAGGTATCCCTGTAACATGCCACCCACCTCTGTCTGGAGTCTCATCACACAGTAATTATCTATTTCCTTATCTCTGGGCTCCTCGAGGGTAGAAAACAGACTCTGCTCACTTGGGATCCCCCAGCAGCCCAGTACCTGGCACATAACAGCAGCGAAAGAGATGTTTGCTAAATAAAAAGTAGGGAAAATCTGTCTCGCCCCCTTACCCCCTGCCACACTCACAGTGCAGACTGTCTGCACTTGGCCCTGGTTCTAGACACCCCCAACCCTCAACAGACAAAGACGTGTGCCCAGTGAGTGCCCAGTAACCCAGGGCAAGTCACTCACCTTTCTGCACCTCTTTAAAAATGAAGATCAATATAGCACAAACCTACAGGGCTGCTGTGAACATGAGCAATGATGACTGTAAGTGCTTCCCACAGGGCCTGGCTAATAGCTGGCACTCGATTGTGACAGCCGCTATTATTGTTTTTTCAATCAATATATAGACTCAGACTAGCAAGACGAAAGGGCCCTTGGAGATCGAGTCCAACCTCCATCTTCCACAGGAAGGCTCTCCAGGTCACACAGCGAGTGACGGTAGAGTGAGGACTGGTTTCTTGAGAGGCTGTGGCATTTATGGCAGCGGTGGAGGAAGGCAAAGGGGAAGGCTTGGACCCTGAGTCGGATGTGAGTGGGGGCCCTCTTTAGCTTGGCCACTGTCCAGGTCTGTGGAAATGGGCAAGTCACTTTCCTTTCATGCAAAAACCCTCCCAAAGCTCCTCACTGTAAACTTCACCCATGCTTAGGGGGCCCTGTGATCCTCTGCTCCCTGCCTCTCCCTTTTCCAGTCACTCAACCGTAGCTACTTGTTTTAGTCTATCATCCTGGCAGGGCAGGGGCTGGGTTCATCTTGTTCACTGCTGTGTCCCCAGCACAGTAACAGGCACAGAAGAGATGCACAATGAAAACCTGACTGGATGAAGGCATTCAATATATTGTTTCTTGTTTCTCTTTTAAAATTTTGAAGAGATGAGGTCTCACTATGTTACCCAGGATGGTCTCCAACTCTGGCCTCAAGCGACCTGTGCACCTTGGCCTCCCAACGTATGAAATTGTTTCTTAACTAAAAAGTTACCTATGCTGTATCAGGCACCTTACACACTTCATTATCTTCAAAATTATAAAAATTACAATTAAGACTTGTGGGCCAGGCACAGTGGGCGACACCTGTAATCCCAGCACCTTAGGAGGCTGAGGTAGGAGGTTACTTGAGCTCAGGAGTTCAAGACCAGCCTGGGTAACAAAGTGGGACCTCGTCTCTACAAAAAAAAAAAAAAAAAAAAGAAAGAAAAATTAGCCAGCATGGTGATACACACTTGTAGTCCCAGCTACTCAGGAGGCTGAGACAGGAGGATCACTTGAGCCTGGGAGGTGGAGGCTACAGTGAGCCATGATCAGGCTGCTGTACTCCACTACGGGCGATGACAGAGTGAGACTCTGTACCAGGAACTTATGTACCAGGAAATGGGCTTTCTTTGCATCACCTCATTTAATCCTTTCATCAACCTTATGAGGCAGGAGGATTTAAGCCCATATTTCAGATGAGAACAAACATACTCAGAGAGGTCAAGGCATTTGTCCAAACTCAAACAGCTGTAGAGTGACTTTAGGTTTCAAGCCAGATCTGCCTGACTAAAGCCTGTTCTCCTGTTTTCTAAGCAGCCTTTATAAAAGACTAAAAACAGTTCCAACATTTGAGAGACCCCCCACCAAGCCACGACAGGGGGGCCAGCCACAGGCCTTCACTCACACTGGTAGTACTCAGCCCGGCCACTCTGCAGCATGATGGCCAGCACCAGCGTGAGCTGTGGTGCCGTCTCCAAGAAGGTCTCGAAGAGCCGCAGCATGCTGATGTCCAGGGCGAGGAAGTCGGCGTAGGCCAAGTCAAACTCAGAGGGCTCCTCCTGCTGCCACACCAGCAGCCCCTGCCGCAGCTCCTGCACGCACCTAGGCACCACACACAAATGCCCAGAGGGCCAGGTTAGTGTCCTGTGAATTCCTCAGCCTCCCACCCATCTAATGAGTGGACACAGGCTCCAACCTGTCTCCTCACATCCATGCTATGGGGCCTTCGGCAATGTCCTAACCTCACTGAACTTGTTTCATCTGTAAAATGAGGATCGAGGCCGGGTGTGGTGGCTCATGCCTGTAATCCCAGCACTTTGGGAGTCTGAGGCGGGCTGATCACGAGTTCAGGAGATTGAGACCATCCTGGCTAACATGGTGAAGCCTCGTCTCTACTAATACAAAAAATTAGCTGGGTGTGGTGGTGCGCGCCTGTAGTCCCAGCTACTCAGGAGGCTGAGGCAGGAGAATCTCTTGAATCTGCAAGGCGGAGGTTACAGTGAGCCGAGATCGTGCCACTGCACTCCAGCCTGGCGACAGAACAAGACTCCGTCTCAAAAAAAACAAAAAAGCAAAAATGGGGATCAATACACCTTCTACTCCCGCTGGCTAAGCACTGTCCCAAGCTCATCACAAACCTTGTCCTGTTTACTTCTCACAAAAGCCCATTTTACAGATGGGGAAACAGGATCAAGAAGCTAATAAGGTCTGGGTGCAGTGGCTCGCGCCTGTAATCCCAACATTTTGACAGGCCAAGGCAAGAGGATCACTGGAGGCCAGGAGTTTGAGACCACCCTGGGCAACACAGCAAGCCCCATCTCTACAAAGAATTTTTTTTAATTAGTTGGACGTGGTGGTACAAGCCTGTAGTCCAAGCTACTCAGGAGGCTGACGCAGGAGGACAGCTTGAGCCCAGGAGTTCAAGGCCACTGTGAGCCATGATTGATTGTGCCACTGCACTCCAGCCCAGGCAACAGAGACCCTGCCTCTCTCTCTCTTTTTTTTTTTCTTTTTTTTTGGAGACAGAGTCTACATCTGTCGCTTGTCGCCCAGGCTAGAGTGCAGTGGCACAAACTCGGCTCACTGCAACCTCCACCTCCCAGGTTCAAGCGATTCTCCTGCCTCGGCCTCCAGAGTAGCTGGGATGCTGGGATTACAGGCATGCGCCACCACACCTGGCTAATTTTTGTAGAGATGAGCTTTTGCCATGTTCAGCAGGCTGGTCTCAAACTCCTGACCTCAAGTGATCCACCCACGTCAGCCTCCCAGACTGCTAGGATTACAGGCATGAGCCACCAAGCCTGACCAGACCCTACCTCTTTTTAAAAAACAAACAAAAAATTATAAGCAGCTAATAAGTACTGGAATGAGGATTTGGATCCAAACCTGAATTGGAAAGGCATGCTATAAAGTTGCCTGAGGCAGTAGTTCTCAAACTTTAGTGTGCCCAAGATCTCCTGGGGTCCTGTGGGCAAGAGGACATTTGCCTCTTGGGCACTTCTGGGCACAGGCCAGATGGAATCAGACTCTGCCTTGCCCCGGCCACACAGGGGAGGGGCTGGAGGAGGGTTAGATTGGAAGGAGGGATCCCATTTAAGAGGCTGGCCCTGAGTGGTTAAGGATGGAGATTGGGGCGGAGTTAAGAGAGTCCAGAGTTTGGACAGACAGGTCTGGGGTACCCACTGGCATGAAGAGTAAGTGGAGGATGCACCAAGGACCCTCCACCCAGAACTTTGCTCTCAGTTGCCTATTGGGAGAGAACCCCGTTCACTCATCACAAGCTCATTCACCAGACATGTACTGTCACTTCCCCTGGAAGGACACAAGAACACACTGAGGAGCAGGCAGGCAGGACAGGCTGGGGTTCTCCCTCAGCAGGAGCCTTTGCCTATGGTCCCCAGTGACCTAGCAGGGACCCCTGCCTCGGCCAATTCACAGGCAGGAACAGAGACCCATTTCCAAAGCCAAAGCTAGTACAGTCTGTCTGACTCAAGCTCAGCAGAAATATTGGCCACAAAGATGCATAAGGTAGTTACAGATTCACGGCTCATGGAGGCCTGCCCAGGACTTAACAACTGCACCCCTTCATGCCCACCCGGGGTTTTCTGATGTCTCTATAATCCCTCAGGCAAAACTGCCACATTCAAAGCTCCTCTCTTCCACTCCTGGAGACTCCGTGTGGCTTTGTCAAGGCCAGATCTCAAGAGTTTGTAAAAACGGATTCAAGAGCAGATCCTGGCCCTGGCCACCCCATCCCAACCCACACCACCCTCTGCCCTGACTTTGTCGCATGCCTCTGAGCCTTGGGTTTGTTTTCCCATCTCTACGAGGCTCCACCAGGTCCAAAAAGGAGCAGAATCCACACACATTTTCCAGGACCCAGCCTATGCCCAGCCCTGGCTGGCTCCATGGGCATGGATGAGTCAGAGGCCATCTCTGCCCTCTTGCTGGGTCTGGGGTGGGAAGCCAAGTTTCAGGGGGAAGAATACAACCAGGCAGACAGGGTGAGAGGCGGCCTTTGTGAGGGGCAAGCGCTGTGGTGGGGTCAGGGCTGCTGAAACTCCCAGGGAGGCCCAGGTCAAGAAGCCAGCTGAGGTTGCTGAGTGCTCACTCTGAGCCAGGGCAGTGGACAGATGTCATTTCACTGCATCTTCACCAAACGGGCAGGCGCTATCCCCATCCCAATGGGAACAGCAACCAAACAGCCCCACTGAGAGGTCAGTGACTTCCCAAGGCCCTGCCCATGCTGAAACATGGGATGCTGAACTGAGTCCGCAGCCCCTGCCATTACAGGCCAGGCACTGTGCGAGGCACTTTCTCATTCTTTCGCTCACTCTTCACAACAGGCCTGCCCGTCACACCTGTCTCAGGGTGACTACCTCCTTTCTACGCAGGAGGAAACTGAGGCTCAGAGAAATGCAGAAGTGAGGCGAGAGGGGGCAAAGCCAGAAGTGGATCCCTGAGAGGTCCGACTTCAAAGCCCATGCGCCTCCCTTTCTTCCCTGGGCCTCAGTTTCTTCGCCTGTGCCAGGAAAGCTAGGGCTAGAATGAAGGCAGTCTACCGGGATTCCCTTTCCGTAAAGGGCTGCACGCTCACCTGTAGGCCAGGCGCCCACAGGACTTGGTTCCCTCTCCCAGTCCCCTTCCCGGCATATGGCGTGTCACCTGTACAGGTGACCCAGCTGACGGAGGTGCTGGGCTCCGACACTCCTCCCCTCCCGGGGCGAAGCACTCACCTGTACAGGTAACCCAGCTGCAGGAGATGCAGCAGCGCCAGGCAGCGGCGCGGGGGCTGCGACCCGTGCAGGCCGGCAGGGTCAGCGCGCAGCCAGAGCCAGCTGAAGAGCTGCAGCGCCACGGAGGCCAGGCCCAGCAGCGCCAGCACCAGCGCCGCCCACAGGTAGCGGCCGCCGAGCGCATACTGGACGGCGGCCCACAGGTCGGTGCCCAGGTCGAGCAGGAAGGCGGCGGTGCCCAGCACGCCCAGGACCAGGTCCCGAAGGAGGGCGCCGCGGGACGACCAGGGCATGGCCCGCCGGCCTCCGCCCTCTCCTGCTCCTCCGCGGTTGGGGCCTGCCCTCAGGGCCCGGGGTTGCCGAGGCAGGAAGGAGGTGGGCGCAGCCCTCGGGGCGGCCCGGGGCCTGGGCCTGGTGGGCGGGACTTCCCCGTCCCGCCCCGTCCGGGGAGGAGCGAGGCCCGCGGTTGTCCCAGGTCCTCCGCCCGAACCCCAGCTAAAAGCCGCTCGATGCTCTGCTCCCGCCGCCAGCCCAGGGGTCCACCGACCCAGCCCAGCCAAGCCCGCTAGGCCTGAAGACCGACTGCCCTTCGCTTCGCAGGCTTCAAATGGCCTAGTTTTACCTTTGAGGCGCCCGGAGGCCCAAGAAAGCGAGAGGGCGGGGAGACTAGAGCCTGGACCAGGGCTGCGATCCCTCACACCTGTATTGTTGCAAAACAAAACGAAACGCAAAGGCACATTCTAATCCCTAAGTGCGAGACTTTGCAACAACGCGTGCGCCTCGATCCAGGGATACCCGGAGAGCACGGGGCCGCTGGGTTCACGCCAGCGATCCGAGTCGGGGGAGGGCGGGCGTTAGGTTCCTGCAAATGAGTTAACCTCATTTCCATACGGAAGGGAATAGAGGCCGGGCGCGGTGACTCACGCCTGTAATCCCAACACTTTGGGAGGCCCAGGCGGGCGGATCACCTGAGGTCAGGAGTTCGAGACCAGCCTGGCAAACATGGCGAAACCCCGTCTCTACTAAAAATACAAATTAGTCGGGCGTGTTGGCGCGCGCCTGTAGTCCCAGCTAGGAGGCTGAGGCAGGAGAATCGCTTGAACCCGGGAGGCAGAGGTTGCAGAGAGCCGAGATAGCGCCACTGCACTCCGGCCTGGGCGACAGAGCGAGACTCCGTCTCAAAAGAAAAGAAAAGGAACACAACACAGAATCAAACGCATGATGAGCTTTGTTTTGTGAGTTAAACATAATACGCAAAAGAAGTATGCTTGTAGGGGGGTCTTGGGTCGTCATTTCTTTTCTGTTTCTGGTTTGTTTTTGGAGAGAGTCTGGCTTTGTCACCCAGGCTGGAGTGCAGTGGCGCGATCACGGATGGCTGCAGCTCCTGGGGCTTCGCTTCCTGATTCGGTTGTCCTATTTCAGTTCACTCCTCAGGCGCGGAGGAAATGGTGGAAGGCCCAGCTCTGGGTGATCCTGGGCGCTGCCCCCGTTACCCGTTACCAGGAAGAAGGTGAGCCTGGCAGGTCACAGCACGAGCGTGCACAGGCCCAGCAGGGCCATCAGCAGCAGCGGGAGCTGGGGCACGGGCGTGGTGCCAGAGGCATACAGACAGGTGGTGTAAGCGTCAATGTCCACCTGGCGCATGGCACACACGTGCTGCATGCTGCAGGCCTCGTCGCAGACCCCAGCAGAGTAGCTGACTGAGTTATAGACGTAGTAGCGCTGCAGTGTGCTCTGGTCGCCAGCGATGCGGTCCAGCACTGTGTGCATGGAGTGGGCGCTGGCGTCCGGCACCCCATAGGCCTCGGTCAGCTGGTACTCGAGCTCCCAGCGCGGCGTCCCCTGAGCATTCGCCTGGCTCAGGTTCATGAAGTAGGTCACCATGTCCTGGAAAAAGGGTTTGGGGTAGACCGGCTGTGAGCAGTTGTCTGCTTCCATCCCCATCCTGCACCTTGCATTTGCCCCCAAGTTCTTTAGAGCAGTGACCATGACCACTAGTAGTTATTGAGCACTTAGCTGTGCACCCATTGTGCTTGGCAGACATCCTCTGAATCGAATGAGGTAACTGCGCTTATTACCTAGGTTTCACAAATGAGGAAACTGAGGCCTAAAGAGGTTAATTCACTTGGCCAGGGTCATACAGGTATTCATACAGGTATTCAGTGGTAGCAGGATTGGACCCCAGGTTTACCCCAGGTCCCACCATGCTAGGGTACACATAGAAGACGCTCAGTAAATATTTACATAATGAATAGATAAAAGCAACATAAAAAGAGCAACACTAAGCATGAGAGAGATTATGAACTGTAGACTCCTAGGACCCAGGTGCATGTTCACGGCTAGACTCTGCAGGGTTCATCAGTCCAGCGGGTTCCAGGTACATTTATGAACCTGCTTCAGGCCACTGCAGACGGGGTAAGAGGAGCTGCCCGTATGCATGGCCACTCTGTGCCAGGAACATTCCATTATTTCATGTAGTCCTCCTCAAACCCTGCGAGGTTCTGTTACTCCCATTTTACAGATGAAGCAAGTGAGGCACAGAGGTCAAAAGATCAAAAAGCTTATGAGTGGTGGAGCCAGGATTCAAGCTCAGGGCTGACTCCCTCCCTGAGGAGAATGGAGGGCCTGTTAGGGGGTGATGGTGCAGCCTGCCATTCCCCTTGCTCAGACCCTTGGAGTGCCCATGTGGACAACAGGCCACTCTTTAAACCCCTCAGACCTCTTCTTAATCTACCTTTACTAGAATCAAGGACCTGGGTTAGCTCATGCAGTCGTTGGCTTTAAATGTCCTCTCTCCACTCCCAGATCACATCTCTATCCTCACCTCTTCAAGCTCCAACTTGCCCCTTCCCTGTCCACTTTCACTTGATGCCATTTAGCCCTCCCAAAGGTAACAGGTCCAAAACAAGACCTCTGACTGACCCTCCGAAGCCTGATCACCCTGCCACTTATCTCAGTAATCGGCAGCCACAGCCTACCGTTGCACAGGCCAAGAGCCTTGGAAGCCTCCTGGATTCGTCCCTTTTTCTCACAGCTCATATCCACTCTAGCAAATCCTGCATCCAGAATTCATCTGGGACCTGGCACTTTTCACCATCTCACTGCCTCCACCCTGGGCAAGCTACTATCCTGTCATCTGGGATTTGTCCTTCCCTCCAAACGGCCTCACTGCTCCCCCACCTGCCCCTACAGCCTGTTCCCTGCACAGCAGACATGATGATTCCATAAAATTATAAGTCACAGGATTTCATTCTTCTGCGCAAAACCCTCCAAATCCAGAGTCCTCATGGAGGCCTGCAAGATCGGACCTCCCCTCCCACTCTCCCCTTGTGCCTCTTACTGTGGCCACATGGCCTCCGTGCTCTTCCCCTAACCTACCACGCACATTCCCACCCCGGGGCCTTTGACTTGCTGTTCCCTCCACCTCCCCAAGATACCCACTGGGCTCCCTCCCTCAATACACTCAGAACTCAAATGGCACCTTATGTGGACACTTCCCCTTCCCACCTATCTAACACAGTACACACCTCCCATAGCTGTCACCCTGTCGCCTCACTGTTTTGATTTTCTCCTTAGCCCTTCTCTCAGTACTATAATTAATTCTACATATTTATTGTCCCTCTCCTGTAAGATGTCAGGTCCAGGAGAGGGGTGACTTTGTTTTTAAATTTACATATCTTCTGAGATTAGAACAGGGCCTGGCCAATGGCACACACTTAATGCATTTTGTTGGATAAATAAAGGAATAATATTTTTCATCTCAACAACCACAAGCTCATCCTACGAGGTGAGGGACTGCCCAAAGAATTAGGGGCTGGAGCCTCGTCTGTGTACGGAAAATGTGGACAATGGGCTTGAAGTCAGACTGTGGGAAGCCTTGAGTACTAGGTCAAGGAGACACAACTTTATCTTGAAGGCACTGGGGAGCCACTGAAGGTTTTTGAGCAGGACGGAGACAAGATGAAAGTGGTGCTATAGGAGATTAGTTTCTTCTCTCTTGTGTAGCGGATGGGCCATAGCAGGGCAGGGCCAGAGGCAGGGAGACCAGGTATGAAGCTGTGACAGTCATCCAGGGGAAAAGGTGACTTGGTGAGGCACTGCCCTGACTCGGTGGCAGGTGCCTCCAGGGTTCTGATCCTGAGCTGGAGAAGGGTGGAAGGAGCTCAACCTTCCTGAGGCTCAGTGGTCAGGGGAAGGTGGATAAGCTGAGAGTGAGGGAAGGTGGTGATGCATTTAAGCCCCTCCCACCCTCCTCCTCTGGCCTCCGCAGGACTCCTGACCTTCAGGCTCAGTGTGGCTCGGTCATATTCGAACACCCGGATGGCTGGATTGTTGGCCCCATTGACCACTCCAGGTAATGTGGTTTTCCATGGGGTGACTCCAGGTGTGATGAACATGGCGCTTATGGGGACACCTGTCAGGAGAGAGACAGCAGGACTGAGCGGGTCTGGGGAGAGAAGGAGGGAGGGAGCTGGCAGTTGCCCTCCAGGTTGAATACCTGCATCATCATAGAGCATCCGAAAGCTGTCGGTGTGGTGGTGCCCGAAGAACTGCCCTGCTATGACGCGATGATGCTTCCGGACCACCTTCAGGTATTTTTCATTGAAGCCCTCCCGGAACCATGCCTTGTTTTGCGTCTTCTCAAAGAACCCCGGGGGCACGTGGCCGACAATGTACACCTACAAGGGAGGGGTTCCCAGAAGAGGCTCACAGATGCCCTCTCCAGACCCTCATTTCTACTTCTCAAAACCTGCAAATTGCCCCAAAGGCAGGTAGACAGGCCCAAATGTATCTCCTCCCTGAAGGCCTCCCGGATTCCATGTCCCACTTTCTCCCTGTGCCCTGCAATGAATGCACCACATACCTTCCCACCTCTGTGCCTGCCACCTGGAGTACCCTTCTCCTTTTCACTTCTGTAAATCCTCCCCACACTTCAAAGAGCACCTCCCCCATGAAGCTTTCCTAATCCTTCAAAGACTACTCTTCTCTTGGAGAGCTTGAACACTGCAACGAAACCATTCTTGCGTGGTTGTGTGATATGCTACACGGTAATGTGCATTCGTTTCTTACATTCCTTGAGTCACTCATCTGACAACACCTGGGCACTTGGCCACCATGGCAGGAGTTAGAACAGGGGACAGAGTTAAATGTATGAGTTTTGGAGTCAGACTGCAGCTTAGACACCAGCTGTGTATCACCTCTCTGAGCTGCTGTTTTCTCATCTGGAATAGCACATAGCTGGTGGGGTTTTGAGAATGATGGACTCGCTACTGAGCCGGGGTTTCCATAGTTCTGCTACCTGAGATCATCCGCATAATGTCCTAAACAACGTGCCCAATGTTGGCATAGTGCATGCTCATGGGCACCAGCTGTGAGATCCTCTTGGGATGGGCTGGTCAGTGCAAGGACTTGGGCAAATGAGACACTGAGCCAGTCCTTGAGGAGCTGTCAGGCCAGCAGGCTAGCTGGACACACTCAAGGGCAGGGCATCCCCTGGAGATCTGGCACACAGTACTGGCTGCAGCTGTGCATGTGGTGGGAGTGGAAAGAGCACTGGACTTGGAGTCTGGTCTTCTAGTCTGGGCTTCGTCACTTATTATGTGACTTGGGACCGTCACCACTCTTTATGAGCCTCAGGGTCCTCATCTGCAGTGGGCTCCAGATCCCAGCACACAGGGCTGTGGTGAGGATGGAGGAAGCCCTCTGCTGGTGCCGGGCTGATAAAGGACCCTCTGGGATATGGGCATCTTTGGGTGGGTGGGTGAGTTTGTGCCAAGCGGGAGACTTGTGCAGGAAATAACCCCAGATGAGAAAAGAAAGAAGCAGGGCCTCTTACCATGTCCCCAGCTTTGGATGCATCGGTCAGCACATCTTCCAGCCACTGGAACTGCTGGCCAGGGTCCGCCATGTCTGCTGTCAGCGCATTGCTGGTATAGTACAGATTGGTGTTGAGGACCACAATTCGCCCAGCCCCGCTGGGACCCGGCAGCTTCTCACAGTAGAAGGCACCTGTCACAGCCAGGGACAATATGAAGGAGGCCCCCACCTCTGGCCAGACAGGCTTCCGCCCCTTCCACCTCAATGTCCCACTTTCTTTTTCCGTTGCATCTTCCCCTCCCATCTTTCCCATGGGTGGGACATCAATCTGGAAGATCAGAGGCTCTGGAGCCAGGCGGCCTGGATTCAATTCCTGGCTCTGGAACTCATTCGCTGTGCAACTTGGGAAAGTAACTTCACCTCTCTATACTTCGGTTTCCTTATCTGCATAGTGAGACTAACAGTGATGTGTGTTTGCCCATCCAGATCCACTGTCGACCCTTCACTGCTCAGCTGTCTTTTCCAAGAGCTGATCTATGTGGACTAAATCAACAGGCTTCTGTGGCACAGGCTTCTGGTCGGCTTTAACCACTGGGGAGTCCCAACAGCAGGAGACCGAGGAAAGGGAAGAGTAGGGTCAAAGTCACCTTGGGCTGGCTGTGTTTCTGAACCAGTCATTCTCAACCAGGTGCTTCTGGCCCAAGAGAACACTGGGCAATGTCTGAGACATTTTTGGTTGTCACAGCTGGGGGTGTTCCTGAGGGTATCACTCTAGTGAGTGTTTGCAACATTCTGCAACACACGTGGCAGTTGTCTGCGACAGAGTTATCCAGCCCATGGTGTCAGTGGTGGCAAGGTTCAAACCTGCTGGAAATGAAACCACTCCTTCCAAGGGTTGTTGTGAAGTGTCTAGGACCAGGCTGAGAGGGCAGTGCCTCGCACACAGTAAAGGCTCAATAAATATGAACTTAGGAGCATCATCAGTGTCGTGGGGTTTAGAGGAAGGGCTTTGGAGTTAATTCTGGAGTCTGCTCCCAAGACTGCCTTTTCTAAGCTGTATGACCCTGGCTTCCTTATCTGTAAATTGGGGATAAAATCAGTACTTATTCTAAGAGGTTGTTGTGAAGACGAAGATCAGACCCTGGCATACAGTAAGTGCTCTTGATAGGAGCAGGTGGTGTTGGTACCTTTTTTGAAGAGAGCGATGGACTCATTACTAAGCCAGGGTTTCCATAGTTCTGCTATCTGATTGTAGATGTTGTTACTTCCAGCTGGGAACTGGTTTTTGGGGTGAAAATCATGATTTCCCAAAGCAGCATAGACTTTAGTATCTAGGAAGAAAGGGTGAAATATCAAAATATATATGCAAAAGCACTCGGGGGAGTTAATCATTTTCTGTTGGCCACTGGCCATCAGAGCTCAAGGGGAAGAGCGATAGCACAGATGAGGAAAAGACACAGATAGGAAACCCACATTTGATAGAATCTGACTGAACTTTGCTTAGACTTTGGAGGGAAGAGCAGTGGGTTCTTTCATCACAGTCCCTAAACCCATTCCCAGCAGAAAGTTTCCTAGTTAGAAGGAAAGCAGCAGATGATGAGAAGGGGAAAACTAGGTCTAAATGAGTCCGATCGTCATCAGCCACTTGGTAATTTAGTGTTCCCAATTCCTGTTGATTCCAGATCATCTTACTGTTAGGGAAAGGGTCTGCGTCACTCTGGGAGGCCTTAGGAGTTTCACTCATCCATGCAGTCAGCAAGTATCTTATTGAGCACCAACTATGAGCCAATGCATAGAACTGGAAACCAGGCTTCCAGCCCCAGAGGTCCTGCAGTTCAATAGGGTTGACAGGTATTGAGTAGAGGTGTAAGGGATGTCACAGAAAGGGAATGGCCACTTGCTATGGGAGTAATAACAGAGGGTAGGAGTGGGTTTGGGGAGGCCTCCCTGAGGAAGGGGCCTGTGAATGAGGCCTGGAGGTGTAGGGGAACCCATTAGACTCATTTCCTCCACATGAACAGCCTCATTTCTGTTTTTATTTTATGCTCAGTGTCTGGCACCTAATCGGTGCTCAATAAATATTTGACAATCAACAAAAATAACTCTTGGACTCAGAACAGGGCTGGGCCCTTATATGAGCTTAGTCTATCACAGGGAGTGACCTGGAACAAATGAGGGAGGCTGGAGCCTCCCATTCCAGTTGGGAAATATCTCTAACACACCCTTTGCCCTGTACAGCCGACAAGACCTGGAAATGCTGAGAACTCTGCCAAAGTAGGAGGTTGTCAAAACGCATCACTGTAACTGCCTAGAAAAACCTCACCTCTCTAAAGTAAATGCCAGCAGCCATTAAGAATCCATTTAAGAAAAAAAAAAAATCCCTATGAGAAGGGAGGGACTCACTCCTGTGTTTTCACTGCTTCTGTGTGCCCAGCTCCTTGCAAACATAAGCTCCATGAGGGTGCGACCTGGTGTCTTGTTCATTGCCATGTCTTCTACTCCTGGAATGGTGTCTCACCCATAGTGGATGCTCAATAACTATTTGTTGATTGACTAAATGAGTGAATGAATTACCTTATTTAATCCTCATAACAACCCTGTGGACAGGTACCATTATTTTCCTTTTTCACAGGGAGCAGACTGAGTCTTTATGAGATTACCCAGCTAAACCATACCAGAGCTAGAATTGGGCCCTGCATGACAGGGTCTTCCTTTGCCTCCCAGGCTGCAGTGCAGTGGCACGATCATAGCTCATTGTAACCTCAAATTCCTGGGGTCAAGTGATCCTCCTGTCTCAGCCTCCCAAGTAGCTAAGAGTATAGATACACAGCACCACACACAGCTAATTTTTTTTTATTTTTTGTAGAAGCAGGGTCTTGCTATGTTGCCCAGGCCAGTCTCAAACTCCTGACCTCAAGCGATCCTCCAGCCTTAGCTTCTCAAAGTGCTGGGTTTACAGGCATATGATCACTGCACCTGGCCCAGGGCCCTGGATTTGTTTGCCTTGCGTGCCTGTGTTGTCAACCACTTGGCTGTGCTGATGAGGTGAGGACCAGTGTTCACAGCTGACTCTGGTGGGTAAAGTTGAACACAGCAGGAAGAACACATGATGTGGAACCCTGAATCTCGAGTTTCAGTCCCTTCCTCTTCTTAGGCCACTTACTCGACCTCTCTGTACTTCAGTTTAGTTATCTATAAGATGGGAGTGTTCTGCTTGACTTGTGTTTTTAGAATTCTCAGCTAGATAATACCTTCATTTCATCTCTTCCAATTTGTTCTCATAGTACCATCTCTAAAAGTGAGGTGTGGCCATGAGAAAGCGCTGTGTCAGATTATAATTGGTAGCTGTTTTTTCTTAGTTATACATAATGATGCATCTTTCAGTCAATGGCATCTTGGATATTAGGAAATTCAATAAACATGCAAGTGTAGTAGAAACTACAAAATCTTATAATTTACATTTGTGTTAAATCATAGTCAATAGGCCAGGCATGGTGGCTCATGCCTGTAATCCCTACACTTTGGGAGGCTAAGAGAGAGAATTACTTGAGCCCAGGAGTTCAAGACCAGCCTAGGCAACACAGCAAGAACCCCATCTCTACAAAAATTGAAAACAGGCCAGGCGCAGTGGCTCACGCCTGTAATCCCAGCACTTTGGGAGGCCAAGGCGTGCGGATCACTTGAGGTCAGGACTTTGAGACCAGCCTGGCCAACATAGTGAAATGCCATCTCTACCAAAAATACTAAAATTAGCTGGCTATGGTGGTGGATGCCTAGAGTCCAGCTACTCAGGAGGCTGAGGCAAGAGAATCACTTGAACCCATGGGGGTGGAGGTTGCAGTGAGCCAAGATCGCACCACTGCACTTTAGCTTGGGCGACGGAGCAAGACTCAGCCTTAAAAAAATAAAAAAATAATAAAAATAATTAGTAGGGCGTGGTGGCGTGTGCCTGTAATCCCAACTACTTAGGAGAGTGAGATGGAAGGATTGCTTGAGCCTGGGAGATGAAGGCAGCAGTGACCCTTGATTGTGCCACTGTACTCCAGCCTGGGTGACAGCAAGACCTTCTCTCAAAAAACAAAACAGTCAGTGAAGCATTTTCTTACTCATTATTTGACTTGTGTTCCAGAAGCCCCATGTGAAGCAAAGGAGAGGTACTCCCAGTTGGATCTGAGTTTGAGTCCCTCCCTCGGAACCGACTAGCTCGGAGCCACAGGTTCCTTTTCTATACATTGGGAATAATGGTGCCTGCTGTTGGGGTCAGGGGAATGTCCTGGTTTGACCCCTGCTGGAAGACAAAGGAAACCAAGCAGCCTGACTTGGGTTGGCTGGGTTAGATAACCTGGAAGCATCCAGGCATCTCTTTGCCTAGATTGACTTTGTTGAGGAAAGGAAGCAGCGGGAACAGACAGTAAGGGCAGTGCTCACACCAGGATTTGGGCCTCTTAAGTAAATGTGACCTTCACTAGTTTATTTAACCCTAAGGCTCACCTCCCTCATCAGTAAAATTGAGGTCACAGCACCTCCCCCAAGGCTTATGGTGACAGTGAAGGAGCTAAGGCTTGAATATTCTTAGAGCCAGCCTGACCCTTTACACTTGATCTAGAGTAACTGCTGCTAGTGCCATTATTTATTTTTATTATTACTCCATATCTGTGTCCTGGGACCCATGATGAAGATCTTTAGAGGGGGCAGAGGTACTGGAACCCAAAAAAGGTGGGGGTGGGGGCTATGGGCTGCTTTCTCAGGCGCCCAGTTGGCAGCCTGGCAGCCAGATTTAGCCTCCAGGATGTTGTTTTCGGTGCAGACTGCTTTAAAACATTTGCAAGGGCCATCAGATGGGGCACGCAGACCCTATTCACCCTATAGTGTCCCGTAGGGCTGCTGCCTCACTCACCCCCAGTCCCTGCCTGCTCTGCCAGACTCTGAAGTCCTTGGAAGCA
Organism: Homo sapiens; assembly: GCF_000001405.40. Lineage (NCBI taxonomy): Eukaryota > Metazoa > Chordata > Mammalia > Primates > Hominidae > Homo > Homo sapiens. The sequence goes on along the minus strand of NC_000001.11, from coordinate 27,949,602 downwards.
ACAAGAAACAGCACCTTGGCTGGAAATTAGCATTTCCCAGAGGCCCTGGCAGCCAGGACAGTTTGAGGGTGATGGATGCCAACTCCAGAGCAGGACACAAGGGCTGTGTGTGAGACTCACCCAGGGACGACACCTGTGTGCAACTCTAGACACCTGGAGAAGGGCTCATGAGTCTGGAGATAGGCAGGAGCAGAAGTCAGTGAAAGGCTGGGCATTTCCTTTGATAGGATTCTGTGTGTATCCACCGGCCCATGGGCTTGCATGTTGCCTTCGGGCTTGTTAGGAAGGTGAGAAATGGTCACCATGAAGACCTGGCCAACAGCCATCGCTGTCCATGGATGAAGGTCAGCCAGGACACTCGCTGCTGCTGTTGTCCCACTGTGCCAGGCAGTGCCTAGAGTTCCGAGAACACTGTGGAGGGACTGATGGCACAGTCTTACCTGGAAAGACCTCTCTGATGAGCTTGGTCAGGCGTTCCACAATTTCCAGTACAGCTGCCTCTCCCAGTTTCTCATCGGGCACATGAGGCGTGTCATCACTACAAAACACCACCAAGCCAATTTGGGGCAGGCAACTCAGGAAGCAGCAGAAGAAAAGGAAGGGACAGCTCTGCAGTGAGAGGAAAACCTATGGACCTGGGCCTCAGATGTCCCCTTGAGGGGGAATGGCCAGGCTAGAGTGGAGTCAGATGGGACAGAGCTGAGAACTAGGCTTTGCCATTTTCCTGCTGTGGGTCCCTTGATTGGCTGTTTAACCTCTCTGAGCCTCTATTAACTCATCTGTAATGTTGGGATAATACAGTTCTTACTCACAGAGTGTTTGTTAGGTATCCATCAAGGAGGAAAATTATATACATAATATAGTACAGTAAGAGTAGCTGCTAGGTTGTAATGAATATTATTATTTAGAGAGGAAAGCTCTGGAGTTCCAGTCCCATCTGCAAACCCCGAGGGAGCTCAGGGTTGAGAAGCCATCTCTGAATTCTGTTCCTTTCCAGAAGAGTTCAAAGGAGTTTGAAGCTGGCTTCAAGTGTAGGGTTCAGATCTTTTCCAGGGCAGATACTGATTCTGCCCTGGGACCACTGTGCCCTTCATGCCATGAATCAAAATTCTTGGGTCCACCTTAGAAATGCTTGGCAAGGGGAGGAGAATGGTGGCAGGTGGAGTGTAGGGATGGGGAGACGTCCGGACAGTCAAAATCCTGGGGCCTCTGCTGCCCAGGTATTCCCCCAGGGAAACTAATTAGCATAATAGTATTAATACTGCTGCTAGAAGCTCACACCGGCTGACTTTCTGCCAGGCACTTTCTGTGTGTTGTTGCCACAGCCACTAATTTTTTCCCCATTATAACACTGCAATGTAAATTCTATTATTAGTTTAGGCCCGTTTGACAGATAAAGAAACCAAGACACAGAAAAGTTAAGAATTTTGCCTATCCTAAATCAAGCACCAGAGACACGGGGGAAAAATTGTACCTAAGTGTACACCACTAGAAAGTGGTGGGGCCAAGATTTGAGCCCAGTCAGCCTGGCCCCAGAGTCTATGCTCACAGCCACTGCATCCTATAGTGTCTCTGATACCCACATTAGGGCAGCAAGAGGGGCTGTTTTGCCCTGAAAACTCCCTGGGGACAGGCCGGAAACCCAAAGACACAGGGACAAAATTTCATATTTTTAATTTCTAGGTTAGAGAATCTAATTCTGTCTGATAAAAAACACACCTAGGCCGGGGGCGGTGACTCACGCCTGTAATCCCAGCACTTGGGGAGGCCGAGGCAGGCGGATCATAAGGTCAGGAGTTCGAGACCAGCCAGGCCAATATGGTGAAACCCTGTCTCTACTAAAAATACAAAAATTAGCCAGGCGTGGTAGGGGGCACCAGTGAGCCGAGATCGCACCACTGCACTCCAGCCTGGGCGACAGAGCGAGACTCCATCTTAAAAAAAAAAAACAAAAAAACACCTAATTTCTTTTTTTTTTTTTTTTTGAGATGGAGTCTCGCTCTGTCACCCAGGCTGGAGTGCAGTGGCGCAATTTCGGCTCACTGCAACCTCCGTCTCCCAGGTTCAAGCGATTCTCCTGCCTCAGCCTCCTGAGTAGTAAAACATACCTAATTTCTAATGGCCATCCTCAAAGGGACTGCAGCTCTCTTAGAAGTCAAATTTTATTATAATTGAAGAATTGTAAAGGGTCCTAGAGATCTTCTCATCTGATGCTGTGTACCTCTTCAAGGTCTCAGAGATTTCCCAGGAAAAAAAGGTGCAACTGTGGCCGGGTGCAGTGGCTCACGCCTGCAATCCCAGCACTTTGGGAGGCTGAGGCGGGCAGATCACCTGAGGTCGGGAGTTTGAGACCACTCTCACCAACATGGAGAAACCTTGTCTCTAATAAAAATACAAAATTAGCCGGGCGTGGTGGCGCATGCCTGTAATCCCAGCTACTCGGGAGGCTGAGGCAGGAGAATCGCTTGAACCCAGGAGGCGGAGATTGTGGTGAGCCAAGATCACGCCATTGCACTCCAGCCTGGGCAAAAAGAGCGAAACTCCATCTCAAAAAAAAAAAAAAATGTGCATCTGTTAAAGGATCATGAATTTCCTGAGGGATCCCATCTGTCTGAATGCTACACATGCTCTCCCTTCTCGGAGAAATCAGAAGCTCCCCTCAAGGGAGCAGGCCCAAGGTCATGGACCAAATCTCACTCTCTTCTTAGATTGATTCCTGAGCCCAAGGAAGCCAGAGCTGTCCAGGCCCCTCCTGAGACAATGTCACATGTCTTCTTATGTGTCCAGCCTGGCAGGTTCATCTGAGGGTCCTTCCTGGTCACACCCACAAACCACATCACAGCTAGGGGCATCATGGGTTTCACCCTGCCTTATAGAAGTGTCCACTGAGGCTGGTAGAGGGAGCGCAAAGTCAGAATTCCTTCCAGCCTTCCTCGAGAGCTCCCCTGCTCCACCACCTCCTGCAGGATGTCCTTCCCCTAATCCTGCCAGATGGGATCATGTGCCCTGTGAAGTTCCCACATCCCCCCAGGTGACTCTCTCTCCTTGCTTGGATGTAAGGGTAGGGTCAATGGGTTTGTCTGCATTGCCCACAAGAACGTGAGCTCCTTGGAGCCAAGTGTGGGTGTCCATCATCTCAGATCCCTAGCATCTACCCCACAACTGAGCACGACTTGTTGCCCTGCCAAGTGAGGGAGCAAGCGAGGAGATGGGGGTATCTTTTTTTCTTTTTCTTTCTTTTTTTTTTTTGAGACAGAGTCTTGCTGTGTCACTCAGGCTGGGAGTGTAGTGGTGTGATCTTGGCTCACTGCAACCTCTACCTCCCAAATGCAAGCGATTCTCCTGCCTCAGCCTCCCGAGTAGCTGGAACCACAGGCGTGCACTACCACGCCAGGCTAATTTTTGTATTTTTAGTAGAGACGGGGTTTCACCATGTTGGCCAGGATGGTCTCAAACTCCTGACCTCAGGTGATCCACTGCCTCGGCCTCCCAAAGTGCTGGAATTACAAGCATGAGCCACTATACCCAGCCGGAATGGGGGAATCTTGAATGATAAGGAGGCAAGTTCCCAGGAAAGTTGAAGGAATTAGAGCAGCAACCTTGGACAGGAAGCAGAAACTGGGTCTCTGCGGCTGAGTGGGATCGGCCCTCAAGCTGTCACTCTGTAGAGCAGAGCTCTGACTGGTGAGAAAATCCAGGACCACTGGGCAGCCCAGGGGTGGCCAGCAGCTGGCCAGGACACTAGGACCCCAGGCTGGGCCACCTTCAGCCCTCATAACTTCTTCCCTCCCTGCACTTGGACCTCTCAGACTTAGAGTCCCTAAGCCCCAGGGGAAATGGCTCCAGTGTCCACCCATAGCTTAAAACCTGGACACTCTCCGGGTGCCCAGGCATGCCAGGACCACGTCCAAAAGCCTGATTGAGAGCTGCGTTCTGCCACAGCCAGGAGACATGGAGGTCGAGGACACAGACTGTGGAATCAGTTGGACTCAGGAATCCCCGGGCAAGTTACAAAATTCCTTTGAGCTTTAGGTTCCTCAGCCTCACGTGAGACTGATGTGAGGATTAAGGGAGATAATGTGGGCAAAGGGCCAGACTGGTATGTAGCACATAGCAGATGCCTGGCAAAGGGTAGCTGCCACCTCAACTGTACTCACCCAGTCCAGAGAATGAAGTCTGGCTCTGGCTCAATCTCCTTCATGGCATAGATGGAGGAGTTGATGAGGGCCCAGGGAGAATCACAGAGGTAGTCACCCCAGGGGCCTGCGTCGGGCACTGGCTGGGATCCAGCTGATGGGCACACCTGGAAGGGGTCTTTGGATACCTTGTAGTCAGGGTCAAGGTGCAGGTCAGCGATGTGCCAGAACTTCCCTGCAGGGGAAAAAACATCCTCCTTCAAAGCTGGTCTCTCTCTCAGCCTGGAAGCAAGGAAGTCCAGGGGAGCCCTGGGCTGGGGCAGGGGCGTTACACAGGCAAATGGAAGTCTTCTCTGAGCACCCCGGGTTCAGAGAAAAGGCCCACAGGCCTGGCTCTGCCCAGGGACACATTGAGCAGAGCACAGAACAGGCTCAGCTCCATCCCTGAGCGCTGACCTTTGGCAAGGCCCCGTCCTCCTCCCCACATTGGATGGGCAGCCACAACATTAGAGCTCAGGCATTCTAATGAGGGGGCTTGTTTTAAAGCAAAGGCGGGAGAGGGTATGGGTTAAGTGCTCAGGCTCTGAGCCACTTAGGAGCTGTGTGACCTGGGCTATGTCACTTTTCTAAGCCCATTAACTAGAGCCATATCCTCTCATGCTGCAGGGAAATATAACTACATATGAAAATCTGACCTGTCCTGGAATTTCTTGGAAAATTAAAAAAAAAAAAAAAGAAAAAAGTCTGACCTGGATGGAAAAGGCTTACACACCAAATGAGCTGGAAAACCTTGCTAAGCAATACCAGCAAAGCCCGGGTGCAGTGGTTCATGCCTGTAATCCCAGTACTTTGGGAGGCCAAGGTAAGATGATTCTTTGAGGCCAGGAGTTCAAGACCAGCCTGGGCTACATAGGCGGACCTCATCTCTACACAAAATTTAGAAAATTCGTCGGGTGTGGGGTCATGTACCTGTGGTCCCAGCTACTCAGGAGGCTAAGGTGAGAGGATCGCCTGAGCCCAGGAGGTGGAGGCTGCAGTGAGCCATGATCATGCCACTGCACTGCAGCCTGGGTGACAGAGCAAGACTCTGTCTCCAAAACAAAACAAAACAAAAACAGCAAAAACCTGGGGACTACATGTGGAAGTGAGTATAAGAGTACTAGACCAGGGAAAAAGGAACGCCACTTCAGATCGGGCTGACCTCCTCTGGTAGGTATATTTGCTGGTGATTCTGGATCCAAGGTGTGGCTCAAGCAGCTGGGAGTGGTCCTGCTTGCTGAGGTGATTGACCGAAACCTAGACTCAGTTTCCGACCAAAGGAGGCTGAAGTGGCAAAAAACTTCACAGTGTAATAAAGAGAAAGGAATCCAAAGAAACAGGTGAGATGGAGTAGACTTCTCATGCGAACCCAACACGGCCTGGCACAGTAGTTTCTTTTTTTTTTTTTTTTTTTTGAGACAGAGTTTCGCTCTGTGCCCAAGCTGGAGTGCAATGGTGCAATCTCGGCTCACTGCAACCTCTGCCTCCTGGGTTCAAGTGATTCTCTGGCCTCAGCCTCCCAAGCAGCTGGGATTACAGTCATGCGCCACCACGCCCAGCTAATTTTTTTTTTTTTGTATTTGTATTTTTAGTAGAAATGGGGTTTCGCCATGTTAGCCAGGCTGGTCTCAAACTCCTTGACCTCAGGTGATCCGCCCGCCTCAGCTTCCCAAAGTGCTGGCATTACAGGCGTGAGCCACCGCACCTGGCCAGCACAAGTTGTTTCAATGACTGCTTACTGAAGGAGGGTTGAGCAGATCTGGCCTCTGTTCATCCTGTTTCTCGATAAAACAAGAATGACGCCCAGGATTTCCTCACCCTCTGCTATTGCAATCACTTCCTCCCCCATTTCTTGTGTCACCTAGAGCCACAAGTCAACATCACTGGCCCCAAGAAGCTGTGTCTGGGCCTGGGAGACTGGACTTCTTTTGATCTCAGGGTTGGATAGCCAGGGCCCCACCCAGGCCACAGGACATTCAGTGGACAGCCTGCAGATAAAGGCTGGCCCCTGACCCTCACTCCTTGACTTTCCCTCCCAGATGCTCTTGAGCTTTTCCCCACCTCTCCTGATCTAAACAGTCTCAGGAAAGGATGTGAAACACATTCATACTAAAGTGTAAATGGCTGATTAAGCAAATCATTATCCCTCCCACATGCATTGTTACAGTGTTCTCCGCAGAGCCCTGGGAACATTATCCCACTTTACAGATAAGGAAACTAAGGTCTGGAGGTCAACATGCCTAAGATCACATGGTAAATGATGGGGATCTCTGGGCTCCAATCCCTCCCAGGAAGATGTGATTGTGAAAGGGGTTAAAAACCAGTGCCTTTCTATTTTAGATGGGTCTTTTTGTTGACAGCATATTCCCACATTTTTATTTTTTATCCAAACTGAGCCTTTGTTTATAATGGGGAAAATTTAACCTTTCCACACATATTGTGATCACTAATATATTCCTGCCAGGCATGGTGGCACAGTGGCTCACACCTGTAATCTCAGCACTTTGGGAGGTTAAGGCAGGAAGATTGCTTGAGGCCAGGAGTTCAAGACTAGCAGGGGCAACAAAGCAAGACTTCGTCTCTACAGAAAATAAAATTCAGCCAGGCACAGTGGCTCACGCCTGTAATCCCAGCTACTCAGGAGGCTGAGGCAGGAGAATTGCTTGAACCCAGGAGGCGGAGGTTGCAGTGAGCCGAGATTGTGCCACTGCACTCCAGCCTGGCGACAGAGCGAGACTCCATCTCAAAAAAAAACACAACAACAAAAAACAAAAAAATAGCCAGGCATGGTGGTACACTCTTTTAATCCCAGCTACAGCTACTTGGGAAGCTGAGGCAGGAGAATCGCTTGAACCCAGGAGGCGGAGGTTGCAGTGAGCCGAGATTGCACCACTGCACTCCTGCCTGTGCGACACAGCAAGACTGTCTCAAAAAAATTAAAAAGAATACAGTGACAAAACCCCAAGCCAGAGTAAAGGAATGAACTGCCTCATACCAGTTAGTTGGTGGGCAGAGTTGCTGGGCATCCCAAGTCCCTGAGCTGAGACCGTGAGTGGCTCTCACCTGCTTCCAAGCCCGGAGCCAGGCTGGCCAGGATGGATGTTGGGGGAGGCCCTTTGCCTTTCTCTTGGGCACATGGTCCTTGCGCTTCCTCTGCAGACAGAGAAAGAGGCTATTCCCCTGCCTCAAGCTGGCTCTTTCTCAGTTAACTACAAACACTGAGCAGTTTGGCCCCTTTGACGTCAGCCCTCAAAGTATTCAGGAACATTTCTCCACTCCAGAAACTCCTCATCTCACCTGTCAGTTGTCGTTTTCCAGCCAGTGTGTAGAACTGAAACTACTTTCCAGCCTCTCTGGCACATACTGCTGAAGGGTGTGTGTACATGCATGTGTGTTTATGTGTGTGTGCGTGTGTGTCTGTGTGTGTGCATGTGTGTGTGCTGACTCCAGGAGAGGCCAGGCTAGTGGACAGAATGGTGGAGAGAGCCAGAGGTCCAGGCGGGCAGCTCCACCTCCTTGGGGTCCAGGTGGGCAGCTCCAACTCCTTGGGGTCCAGCCTCCTCATTGTGGGAGTGCAGATCCCAGCGACCTTGTCAGCTCAGCCCAACCCACCACCCTCAGCCAAGCTGCTTCTCCTCACAGGGCCTCTTCCCTGACTACGCCATGGCCTCGCCCAATCTTCCCACATCATCATGCGGCTGCCTCCTCCTCATTCAGGCCTCTGCCCCAAGGTCACCTCCTCAGAAGACTCCCCTGACCACCTCATCTCAAGTGCCACCTCTCCTGCCTGTCTGGTCGCTATTTCTTCCCCAGCTTCCTTTTTCTCAGAGCACTATCACATGTGAACTTACCTTGTTGGCTTGCTTATTGTCCATCTTCCCTGTTTACAATGTCAGTTCCATGAGAGCACCAAGCCCGTCTTGTTTACCTCTATGTCCTCAGTGCCTAGAAGGGTGCCTGGGACGTGGAAGACGTGCAAATGCACATTCGATGAATGAACAAGGCTGTGGGGAGGCCAGTTAGAATTGTAGGCACTCAGACAGTGTTGGATAGGTGCCCAGACTTTCATACACTGGTCTTATTTCATCCTGGCAGCCAGTCTGTGAGATAGGGATTCTTATGCCCACTGCATAGATAAGCAAACTAAGGCTCAAACCCAGACCTCTCTGACCCCAAAGCTGAGACACAATGTCGTCATGCCTGTTGACTTGGAACCCCCCGCCGCCCAGAAGGTGGCTGTAATAATAAATACATGCTTTCCATAAGAATATGGGATCCATCAGCTTCCAGGCCCTACATCAAAATAATTAAGCTCTAATTAGCATGTCAGGACCATGGATGGGGAGGTGGGAGATCTGGTTTCTAATCCAGCCTCTTCCATGTGTTTGCCTAGGGGCTTTGGGCAAGCCACCAGGCCTCACTGAGCTAGAGGATGTTGACATCTGGCCTGCCTCTCAGTGAGCATCAAATAAGATAGTGAAGGAGAAAGGGCTCATAGAGGACAATCCCAACGCACCATACCGTTACCTGCAATTACCCCTTGGGCCAGGAGTGAGACTGGGGAGGTGTGGGCGCCTGGGTACTTTAATGCTTTACCCTTTAGACCAGAACTTCTCAAATGTTACTGTTCAGATGCTTCACTGGGGATCTTGTTAAAGTTAAGAGGCTTTCTACATTCGCACTGCTTGGACCTTTTACAGTAAGACAGTATTCATCTATAACTTGAGTTTTATAGAAAGGTACACCAATCTCAGCTATCATTATTATTCATTTATTACTGAGAAGATAAATAAATTTGGTATTGAGTACAGTGAGTAGCTGAGGCCACAGACCTGGGAGGGAGTCCTACTGCACCACCCCATAGCTGTGTGAACAGCGGAACCTTCCCCTGGGCCCGTTTCCTCCTCTGTAAAATCAAGATAACAGCGCCCCCTACCCCTTGGGGCCCTCGTGAGAATTAAAATGAGAAATGTGAGATGATTTCATAAATGGGAAGCAGTGGTTACTCCACATTTGGTTCCTGGGGGGTTCTACAAGGCCCCCTCTCACCATGAGAGACAGGACAAGGTGGGGAGTGGCCACGTTCTACCCAGCCAGCCCCAGCGTGTCCTTGGCTACTGTCCACAGGTAAAGTGCAGGGGCAGGGCAGGCAGGACATCTGAAGGGAAACAAGATGAAGATAGAGCCTGTCTGCCCCAGATGACCATCTCTAAGAGGAGGACTGGTGGGCACAGCGCGTCCCTGGGCAGGCAAAAAGTGTCCTGGCCCGCCTCCTCCTTCACCAAAGGGGATCACCAGGCCTTTATGCTCACTAGGGACAACAGACATAGGGCCCAAGGCCTCATAGCTCTGCAAGGCCCACAGAAATATCTGAGACTTGGAAAAAAATGCATTGACTCTAAAAGTGCAGGAAAGACAAAAATTACAAATATCAAGTAAGTCATCAAAATCAACAATTCATTTCAAAAGCAATATTAAAAATCTCATGGGCCACATGCATTGGCTCACACCGGTAATCCCAGTGCTTTGGGAGGCCAAAGTGGGAGGATCACTTGAGGCCAGGAGTTCAAAACCGTGCCTCTACAAAAACAAACAAACAAACAAACAAACAAAAACAAACAAACAAAAACCCAGGCTGGAGTGCAGCAGTGTGATCCTGGGTCACTGCAGCCTCAACCTCCTGGGCTCAACTGATTCTCCCACCTTAGTCCCCCAAGTAGCTGGGACTACAGGCACGTGCCACCAGGCCTGGCAAATTTTCTTGTACTTTTTTGTAGAGGTGGGGTTTGCCATGTTGCCCAGTCTGGTCTCAAATTCCTGAGCTCAAGTGATCTGCCTGCCTCGGCCTCCCAAAGTGCTAGGATTACAGGTATGAGCCACCACACTAGGAATGCAGGTATATGCCACCACACTCAGCTACTTTTTAAAAAGAAATTTAATTTCTCCGTACTTGGGAGGCTGAGGCAGGAGGATCCCTAAAGTCCAGGAGTTTGAGGTTACCTTGAGCTATGATTGCAGCACCGCACTCCAGCCTGAGCAACAGATAGAGACCCTGTCTCCAAAAAAGAAAAATAAGATAAAAAAATTAAAATCATACATGATATGGGATCTTTTTAGTATGATTTGTGATAGGGGTGGGGAGAACTCCCATAGTCATAGTCATTTATAAAACCTAAGTTCTTAAAATGGCTAGAAGGTGAGTTCCCTTATGGTTGGAGACAGGGGGGCAGGAAGGCATCTGCCATTCATTTAGCACCTACTGAATGCCAGACACTGTGCCACACACTCTATCCATGCAGCCTCATGACAACATTATGAAATGCATCCTAAGATGTACTCATTTTACAGATGAGGAAACTGAGCGAGTGAGCGGCAGACCGGGGATGCCGAGCACGTCAGAATGGAAATGATCACAGTGCACTATATTCTGCCACCACCTACCAGCATGGCCTTGGAGATATATACAGGTTTTCCTTGACTTACAATGGGGCTACGTCCCCCAAAATTGAAAATATCATAAGTCAAAAATGCATTCAACACACCCAACCTACCAAAGGGCATCGTAGCTTAGCCCAGTCTACCTTAAAGGAGCTCAGAACACTTACATTAGCCTACAGTTGGGCAAAATCATCTGATGCAGACCTATTTTATAATTAAGTGTTGAATGTCTCTTGCAATGTATTAAATACTGAATTGAAAGTGAAACACAGAGTGGTTGTATGGCTTCTCGAAGTGTGGTTTCTAATGAATGCCTAAGGCTTTCGCCCCATCATACAGCTTAGTGGAATCTTCGTAAGTCAGGGACCATCTGTGTGTATGCCTCCTTAAACTTTTACAACATTTTACAATGTACCTGGCATGATCTCACTTAAGGCCATCACATTTAATCTCTCCTCTGCTAACATCCCTATTTTATAAACAGTAAAATAAAGGTTGCAGGTCACACAGGTATTCAAAGGCAGGACCACAGGTAGGACCTAAGTTTTCTGGCTTCAGGCAGTAAGTTATTTCTGCAAGGACATGCATGAAACCTGCAATCAGGGACATCTTATTTTGAATCCTGGCTCTTCCATACAGGCAGTGGCAACTTAAGCAAGGGATTTTCAGAGCTGAGCCTTAGTTTCCTCATCTATAAAATGAGGATTAGAATGCACCCAGCAGAGGGATGCTTGTGATGCAGAGCAGGTGAGCCCCAAAGTGGAGCTTAGCCCATGAGGGTTCTTGGCTTTGCCCAGGAAAAAATTCAAGGGCAAGCTTGAGGTTGAAGCAAACAGCTTTGGTGAACAGGTGATGTACAGCTCCATGACTGCTCCTGCAGAGCAGGGCTACCCCAGAGGCAGAGAGTAGCAGCTCAGGGCAGTTTTGCAGTCACATTTATACCCACTTTTAATTGCCTGGAGATTAAGGGGCATTTATGCAGAAATTTCTAGGGAAGGGGTAGTAACTTTTAAATCATTGGGTTACTGCCATAGAAGGGGCAGTAACTCCTGGGTGTTGCCATTGCAAAGGTAAATTGACATGCCACACTGCTGGGTGTGTTTGAAAACTGCTTTTGCCCAGGCCGTATTTTAGCTAGTCCTCAATCTGGTCTGGTGTCAAAGCCCTGCCTCTGGAGTCCAGTCCCACCTCCTGCCTCAGTTGTGCAGGTAAAAGAGTTCTCTTATACAGAGCACCTGGCTGTGGGGTGAGCAAGGCAGCCTTAGGACTCATTCCCTGGGCCACACTGCCCCTCAGCCTCCGTTTCCTCAAGTATAAGATGAAAGTACTGAACAGAGGTTCCCTGAAGGCCCTCCTAGTCTGACTCCTGTGATTCAGTGGCTTTTGTCTGTTATTGCCTATAACCCACACCACACAATGGTCTCAGTCTCTATTTCAGTCCTTTGCTATTAAGGCTAGCATTAGCCCCAAAACACAATTGTAATTCATCCTTTGTAAATGGAGGCCCTCCAAAACCCATGGAGTTCATTTGTTAAAACCTACATTTACGGACCACCTACAGTGAATACCCTCTGTTCACAATAGCTCCAGAGGTAGGTGTTACCATTCCTGCCCTGGTCCTGCTCCCTCAGCCCTGGGCTGGCCTTCCAGGGAGTGTTTTCCTACCAAGCTAACCCACAGGGGAAGAACCTGTCTGCTTCTCTGCAGTTAGAAGCTGAGGAAGGAGCGAAATGTTACACAGGACATGTGTAGGAGGAGAAGGAGCCAGCAAGTTGGCATCCACCCAAGCTCCTGGCTAAGGAAAGTGGAGGCAGAAATCCCACAGTTTAATGCAAAGCAGGGATGATGCTGTCTGATCCCCTGTCTCAGAATCCACCTGTGCTTCAGGAAGACACCTGGAGTTGGAAAAACCTTACAGGTGCTGCGGAATTCCTTTTTTTGTTGTTGTTTGTTTGTTTGTTTGTTTTTTGAGACGGAGCCTCACTCTGTCGCCCAGGCTGGAGTGCAGTGGTGCAATCTCGGCTCACTGCAAGCTCCACCTCCCGGGTTTACCCCATTCTCCTGCTTCAGCCTCCCAAGTAGCTGGGACGACAGGTGCTCATCACCACGCCTGGCTAATTTTTTGTACTTTTAGTAGAGTATTTTTAGTTTCACCGTATTAGCCAGGATTGTCTCAATCTCCTGACCTCGTGATCCGCCCGCCTCGGCCTCCCAAAGTGCTGGGATTACAGGCGTGAGCCACCGCATCCGGCCCGGAATTCCTTTTAAATTTACTTTAAAAGGAATACATTCCAGCAAGTTTGGAGAAAAGAGAAAAAAATAGTACCTCTAAACCCCACCATCCCAAGAGGACATGAAGCATAGTACAGCCAGGCACAGGCTTTGTCCTGCCATTTCCCAGCTGGGAGATCTTCAGCAAGTGCAATGTCCCCTCTGAGACTCATTTGCCTCATCTGCAAAATGGGTATAATGATATTAGCACCTACTTCAGAGGGGCTATAAAGAGAATTTTTTTCTTTCATTTTCTTTTTTTTTTTTGAGATGGTCTCATTCCCGTCACCCAGGCTGGGGTGCAGTGGCACAATCACAGCTCACTGCAGCCTCAACCTCCCAGGCTCAGGTAATTCTCCCAGCTGAGTCTCCCAAGTAGCTGGCACTACAGGCACCCACTACCACACCCAGCTAATTTTTGGTATTTTTAGTAGAGTCAGGGTTTTGCTATGTTGCCCAGGCTGGTCTCAAACTCCTGGACTCAAGCAATCCACCCTCCTCAGCCTCCCAAAGTGCTGGGATTACAGATGTTAGCCACTGCGTCTGGCCTCAAGGGTCCTTTTAAACATACAGAAGTCAGAATAGATTACACCTGTGCCTAGAACCCTCCAATGACATCCCATTTCACCCTGAGCAAAAGCCTGCGTCCTTCCTATCTACAGGCACGTGGAAAGAAAAATGTCTGAGTCCTCAAGAGAGTCTTCGAGGCTATCCATGATTTGGCACCTGCCCCACCCCACCATCTGCCAACCTCACCCCCACTTGTCCTGCCCACCCTGCTTCAGCCACGCGGGCTTCCTTGCTGTTCCTCATGCACATCTCCTGTGTGTCCACCTCAGACCCCGTGCACTGTCCTCTCTTCCTGTAATGTTCTGGACACCCATGTGGCTCCCCCACTCACTGCCTCAAGGCTCCACTTGAGTGTCACCTGATTTGACAGCTCTTCTCTGGACGTCTTGTAAGTACCCCCTCCCCACAACCCGCCTTCCCTGTTCTACTTTATTTTCCCCATAACACTTATCATCTCCTCCAATGCTGCGTACTTTACTTGTTCGTGTGGTTTGTTTTTTTCTCCCCAGATGAAGGAATTCTTCATTGAGACGGGGACTTTCTTTTCTTCTCTGATATATCCCTGGCTCCTAGAATAACGTATGGTACAGGAAAGGACCTCATTTGTTGAATGAGTCCACGAATCTTTCCTGCCACCTCCTACCTCTACTAATTAGCTAGCTCTCACGTACCCAGACCTCTTCGCAATGTCGGTGTCCCTCCCTGGCCAGCTGGCGCCTCCACTTAAAATCTTCAGCCTCAAACAGCACTTGCTAAGGCCCACTAGCTCTCCCCACCTGCCTCCCTGCCTAGCTCCTGCCTTGCTATCTTTAGAAGCACCTTCAAGCTGGCTGCGAGCAGCTTCCCGCAGCCCCAGAGTTCACAGTACAAAACAAAGGCATAGCAGACATTCCCAGTGCTGTACCTGGTTCAGCCCTGGCACCTCCCCAGTTAGCCAGGAAAATCAGCCAGGCGAGCAGCCTCATCCTCGGGGCTCACTTCCCCAGAGCCGTGGGATTCTCAGGCACTGTTGTTGTTCTCACCACAGGCTTCCTAAGTAGTTTTCTGTGGCCACGTGCCTGAGCAGAACTCCTTGTCCTGTTACAGGTGTTCCAAGTCCTCCAAGGCGTCTGGATCCTCTGGCTCTTCCTCCTTTGCCCAGCAGGGTATGATCTGGGCTGGCCCGAGGAGGCAGGCATACCGGACCCTTAAGTGGAAGCCACACCTCTCCTGCCAGTGCAGCCCCTGCCCCCAAGAGGGAGGGGCAAACAACAGAATTGCCGGTCAGCACATCAGGTGTATTGGCAAGCCCCGGAAAGGGGGATCTAATTCAGACTGAGGAATGTGAGAGGGCTTCTAGGAGGGGGTGACACGTTTAATCCTTTCTTAACATTGTATTATGGAAACAGTCAAACAGAAACAGGAGAGAGAATGGTGTAATGAACCCCCAAGTACCTTCCTCCAGCTTCAGTAATTATGAACTTATGGCCACTCTTATTTCATCTATACTCACTTTTGATTATTTTATGTATTTAAACAACTTTTTTTTTTTTTTGAGACGGAGTCTCATTCTGTCACCCAGGCTGTAGTGCAGTGGCACCATCTCAGCTCACTGCAAGCTCTGCCTCCCGGATTCACACCATTCTCCTGCCTCAGCCTCCCGAGTAGCTGGGACTACAGGCGCCCGCCACCACGCCCGGCTATTTTTTTGTATTTTTAGTAGAGACGGGGTTTCACTGTGTTAGCCAGGATGGTCTCGATCTCCTGACCTTGTGATCCACCCGTCTCGGCCTCCCAAAGTGCTGGGATTACAGGCATGAGCCACCGCGCCCGGCCCTATTTAAACAACTTTTAAAATTTTTTATTATTTTAACTTTTATTTATTTATGTATTTTTTTAGAGAAGTGTCTCAGGCTGGGTGCAGTGGCTCATGTCTGTAATCCCAGCACTTTGGTAGGCTAAGGCAGGAGGATCGCTTGAGCCCAGGAGTTTGAGGCCATCCTGAGCAACATAGTGAAACACCATCTCTACAAAAAATAAAAAAATTAGCTGGGCATGGTAATACATGTCTATAGTCCAGCTACTTGGGAGGCTGAGGCAGGAGGATCCCTTGAGCCTGGGAGGTAGAAGTTGCAGTAAGCCAAGATTGCATCATTGCATTCCAGCCTGGGTGATAGAGCAAGACTCTGTCTCAAAAAAAAAAAAAAAAAAAAAAAAGAAGGGGGTTGTCTCACTCTGCCACCCAGGCTAGAGTGCAGTGGCAAGATAATAATAGCTCACTGCAGCCTCGAGCTCCTGGACTCAAGCTATCTTCCTATCTTCCTGCTTCAACCTCTGGAATAGCTGGAACTATAGGCACTCGCTACCTCACCTGGCTTTTTTTTTTTTTTTTTTTAGAAACAGCATCTCACTACATTACTCAGGCTGGTCCCAAACTCCTGGCTTCAAGTGATCCTCCCACCTCAGCCTCCCAAAGCACTGGGCTGACAGGTGTGAGCTATCATACCTGGCCCTCACTGTATGATGTTAAATTCCAGTGATCATATCATCTTGAACGTAAACAGTATTTATCTCTAAAAGGTAAGGATTCTCTTTTTCTTTCTTTCTTTTTTTTTTTTTTTTTGAGATGGAGTTTCACTCTTGTTGCCCAGGCTGGAGTGCAATGGCAGGATCTCGGCTCACCGCAAAATCGGCCTCCCGGGTTCAAGTGATTATCCTGTCTCTGCCTCCCGAGTAGCTGGTATTACAGGCATGCGCCACCACACCTGGCTAATTTTGTATTTTTAGTAGAGATGGGGTTTCTCCATATTGGTCAGGCTGGTCTCAAACTCCCAACCTCAGGTGATCTGCCCAACTTGGCCTCCCAAAGTGCTGGGATTACAGGCGTGAGCCACTGCACCCGGCTAGGACTCTCTTTTTCTAACACATTATCAGATCTAAAAAAAAAAATAGTAATTCCACCAGGCGTGGTGGCTCACACCTGTAATCCCAGCTACTTGGGAGGCTGAGGCAGGAGAATCACTTGAACCCGGGAGGCGGAGCTTGCAGTGAGCCGAGATAGTGCCACTGCACTCTAGCCTGGGCGACAGAGCGAGACTCCACCTCAAAAAAAAAAAGAAAGAAAAAGAAAAACAGTAATTCCTTACTTCCACCAGGCAGATATGTGGTCAGTTTCCCTGATGTCACCAAATTTCCCTGATGTCTCTTTTTTTTTTTTTTTTTTTTTACAGCGGGTTCTTTCAAATCAGGGTCCAAACAAGGTCCACACATTGCATTTGGTAGATGTGTCTCTTAAGTCTCCCTTAATTTGTAGCTCTCCTGCCCTCTCCCCATTTTTTCCTTGTTCTTTGTCCTGTGAATTTCCCACATTCTGGAGGATTTGGCTGATTCCTTTCTGGTGGTGTCATTTAACATATTCCTCTGTCCCCCATATTTCCTGTAAACTGATAGTTACAGCCAAGGGTTTGATGACATTCAGGTTTGACTTTTGGGGAAGAAGACTTCTCAGGTGGTCTTGGGTCTTTCCTGTTGTTTTGCATGGCAAAGCACGTAAGATATGGTTGTCCCACCAGCTTAACCTTAATTTACAAGTAGGAGTTAGCAGGAAAAGGAGAAAGCTGGGGAGGAGGGTATCCCAGGCAGAAGGAGCTGAATCATCCCAGAGAGCTGAGTTGGGTGATATTGGGCTTGGGGTGCTAAGCCTGGGGAAGCAGGCAGGAGCCAGGTTGTGCTCAGCTGTTTGAGCTGAGAGCTGTGGGGAGCTATGGCAGAGACACAACCTAATTTGCATTTTAGAAAGATGCACTGGCTCTGTGGAAGATGGATTTTTGGGGAAACCAGCAAGCAAGGAGGCTAAGGCAGGGAAGTTGTCATAGTCCTTTCTGTGCTGTTATAACAGAATACCTGAGACTGAGTATTTAATAAAGAGCAGAAGTGTATTGGCTCACAGTTCTGCAGGCTGGAAAGTGTAAGATCAAGGCACCAGCAGGCTGGGTGTCTGGTAAGGCCATTCGCTTCTTCCAAGATGATGCCTTGCATGCTGCATCCTCTGGAGAGGAGAAAGGCTGAGTCCTCACATGGCATGTCTTGGCAAAGGGCCAAGACAAAAGAAGACCAAACTTGCCCTTTTGTAACAGCATTACTCCCACTCATGAGAGTGGAGCCCTGATGGCCCAATCACCTTCTAAAGGTCCAACCTCCCAATACCTCCATAATGGTAACCAATTATAACACCAGCTTTAGAGCGAACAAGCATTTAAACCATAGCAGAAGTCTTGGTGAAAAGCTGTAAGGGGCTACGCTTAGGAACTGGTAACTAGTAGTAGGGAGGAACTGAAGAGGCTGTGGCTGGGTAATTGGTTGAGTAGTTCCTGTTCTAACTGTATTTTTTTTTTTTTTTTTTTTGAGACGGAGTCTGGCTCTGTCCCCCAGGCTGGAGTGCAGTGGTGCCATCTCGGCTCACTGCAAGCTCCGCCTCCCGGGTTCACGCCATTCTCCTGCCTCAGCCTCCCGAGTAGCTGGGACTACAGGTGCCCGCCACCAAGCCCGGCTAATTTTTTTGTATTTTTAGTAGAGACAGGGTTTCACCATGTTGGCCAGGATGGTCTCGAACTCCTGACCCCATGATCCGCCCGCCTCGGCCTCCCAAAGTACTAGGATTACAGGCTTGAGCCACCACGCCTGGCCTCTAACTGTATTTTTAAACCCCATTCTAAGTAGGTAGCAAAGATCCCTTCCCTTGGAGGAGGATGTGGCAGAGTAGAAAGCCACAGCTTCTTGGAGACAGCTACCTCCAGGGTGTGTCCTCTGACCTCCTAGAGGGGGTAGTGAAAGGAGGGAGGGAACAGTCATAAGAGAGGGGAGACTGGCATAGCCAGGGCAGCAAACAGACGTTGCTGGATCTTAAGAGTTCAGGTTGCCCCTGGAAGGTAGCAGATTCTCAGACAGGAAGTCCTTGGACATTTACTTGGGTTCAATAAATATTGGATGTCTAGAAAGTGGTGAACAGGCTGGGCGCGGTGGCTCACACCTGTAATCCCAGCACTTTGGGAGGCCGAGGCAGGCAGATCACCTGAGGTCAGGAGTTCAAGACCAGCCTGGCCAACATGGTGAAACCCCATCTCTACTAAAATTACAAAAATTATCTGGATGTGGTGGCAGATGCCTGTAATCCCAGCTACTCGGGAGGCTGAGGCAGGAGACTTGCTTGAGCCCGGGAGGTGGAGGTTGCAGTTAGCTGAGACCACGCTATTGCACTCCAGCCTGGGCAACAAGAGCAAACTCCGTCTGAAAAAGAAAAGAAAAAAAAGACAGTGGTGAACAATGCAACAATGCAAAGCCTCTGCCTTCACAGGGCTTACATTCAGCTGAAAACATGGGCATTGCACAAATGAATCAACCACAAGGCTCCTGGCCTAGCTAAGTCCCTGGGGTCAGAGGTGCAGCAGAATTTCCAGCCCCTAGGAACTGTGTAGCCTTAGCCGATGAGTATATTATGTCCACAAACAACTACAGACTAAAGCCCCATTTCTGTTTAGGGCCTAGGTCACCCCAAGGAAATGAGGGGCATCAAAATAATCACTGAGACTGAATCTTCTGCCAGTCCCGAGGGAAGAAAGCTCAGAGACCCACTGCTATTGATTTAATGAAAATAAAGCCGTGTGACTTTTCTTGCCCCTGAGCCTGTGGCCTGATTTATAATCTAGGGCATGTCGAGGTATGCGTGGAAGGTAACCTATGGGACTGGTGGGGAAGGAGGGCAGGCAAGGAGTCTAGGGCAGCCAGTGCTCCCAGGGCTGAGCAGGCAGTTGGCAATGGTTACACCTGAAATTGGAACAAGGGAGAGAGTTCTGGGAGGGCACAGGAGCTCCTCATAAGCCCATCTGAGGGGTGCTGGAGTCTTACTCAGCTTTTGACTGCATGCAGGGCTTCTTTTCTTTTTTTTTTTTTCTGAGACAGGGTCTTGCTCTGTCACCCAGGCTGGAGTGCAGTGGCACTATCATGGCTCATTGCAGCCCTGAACTCCCAGGCTTAAGCAATCCTCTCACCTCAGCCTCTCAGGTATCTGGGACTACAAGCGCACACCACCACGCCTGGCTAATTTTTGTATATTTAGCAAAAAGGGGGTTTGGCTGGGTTACCCAGGTGGGTCTCAAACTTTTGGGCTCAAGGGATCCGCCCACCTCACCCTCCCAAAGTGCTGGCATTACAGGCATCAGTCACCACACCAGGCCTGCAAGGGCTTCTTTTAAATACCTCAGCTTTTTGGTCAGTGTCCCCTGAAGACGCCATCATCACCACCACCAGTAACCAATAAGATATCTTTGTGAATGTAGAAAAGGGGACTCCTCTAGGCCTTTGTGTGAATTAGAAAAAGATGCCTCCAGCCGAGCACAGTGGTTCACACCTATAATCACAGCACTTTGGGAGGCCAAGATGGGAGGATTGCTTGAACCCAGGAGTTCAAGACCAGCCTAGGCAACACAACAAGAGCCCATCTCATTAAATAAATAAATAAATAAATAGGCTGGGCATGGTGACCTCACACCTGTAATCCTAGCGCTTTGGGAGGCCGAGGCAGGCGGATCATGAGGTCAGGAGATCGAGACCATTCTGACCAACATGGTGAAACCCCATCTCTACTAAAATTACAAAAATTAGCTGGGCATGGTGGCGGGTGGCTGTAATCCGAGCTACTCTGGAGACTGAGTCAGGAGAATCGCTTGAACCAAGAAGTTGGAGGTTGCAGTGAGCTGAGATCGTGTCACTGCACTTCAGCCTGGCAACAGAATGAGACTCCGAAAAAAAAAATTAATTAATTAAAAAATTTATTTTTTTTAATTTTAATTTTTTTTTTTGAGATGGAGTCTTGCTCTGTGGCCCAGGCTGGAGTGCAGTGGTGCGATCTCTGCTCACTGCAAGCTCCACCTCCCGGGTTCACACCATTCTCCTGCCTCAGCCTCCCGAATAACTGGGACTACAGGCACCCGCGACACGCCGGGCTAATTTTTTGTATTTTTAGTAGAGACAGGGTTTCACTGTGTTAGCCAGGATGGTCTCGATTTCCTGACCTTGTGATCCACCCGCCTCAGCCTCCCAAAGTGCTGGGATTACAGGCATGAGCCACCGCACCCGGGCAAAATATATATATATATATTAAAAAAAAAAAATAAAAAAGGAAAGATGCCCCCATCCCAGACAGACACAGCCAGGGCTCAGAGTGGAAGCAGGGGTGGGGGTGGGGAGCTAAGCCCCCACTCAGTGCTCTGTCAGGAGCCTTTGACTCAATGGCAGTGCTTCTTCCTGGGCCTGACCAGCTGGAGGCGCCTGTGCTGGGTTTGCTGAAAGAGGTAACTGAAGAGGGAAATCCGAGGGGTCTGGACTTTGCCTTCTTAGCTACAAAACAGCCCCTCTTCTTCAAATTGCCCAAACCACTTGTTTGACTCTTGGCAACTGTAATTTCCAGGAAATCCCCACCACTCTTAAGAGAAAAGCATGTTGGCCAGGCACAGTGGCTCACACCTGTAATCCCAGCCCTTTGTGAGGCAAAGGAGGGAGGATAGCCTGAGCCCAGGAATTCAAAACCAGCCTAAACAACATGAGAGGCTCCATTTCTACAAATAAATATATAAATAAATAAAATTAAAAATTAGCCAGTTGTGGGCACGCACCTGTAGTTCCGGCTATTTGGGAGGCTGAGATGGGAGGATAGATTCAGCCCAGGAGGCTGAGGCTGCAATGAGCCAAGATCACCACTGCACTCCAGGCTGGGCAACAGAGTGAGATCCTGTCTCAAAAAAAAGACATGTTGTGTGAAGCTGACAAGAAGCAAGGGCTCTTCATGTTTTTGTTGTATCCCTTTTTGTCCTATAACTTCAGTAGTGCACGTTAGTAGAAAAACCAAACTCTGTAAAGTATTTTAAAGAGGTTTTTTCTGAGTTAATATGAGTGACCACACCCAGTGGAAACACAAACCCAAGAATCCTTGAGTACGTGGTCCCAGGAGGTCGAATTACAGTTTGGTTTTATACACATTAGGGAGGCAGGAGTTACAGGCAAAGACATAAGTCAATACACGGAAGGTATACATAGATTTGGTCTGAAAAGGCAGGATATCTTAAAACAGGGGCTTATAGTTTTATTTATTTATTTATTTGTAGACAGGGTCTCACTCTGCCGCCCAGGCTGGAGTGCAGTGGCCCTACTGCAACCTCTGCCTCCTGCAACCTCTACCTCCTAGGCTCTAGCAATCCTCCCACCTCAACCTCTCAAGTAGCTGGGACTACAGGTGCAAACCACCACACTCAACTAATGTTGTTCAGACTGGTCTCAAACTCCTGGGCTCAAGTGATCTGCCCACCTTGGCCTCCCAAAGTGCTGGGATTACAGGCATAAGCCACCACAACCCACCCAGAGATTCTTTTTTTTGAGACAGAGTTTCGCTCTTATTGCCCAGGCTGGAGTGCAGTGGCATGATCTCGGCTCACTGCAACCTCCACCTCCCGGATTCAAGTGATTCTCCTGCCTCAGCCTCCCAAGTAGCTGGGATTACAGGCATGTGCCGCCATGCCTGGCTAATTTTGTATTTTTAGTAGAGACAAGGTTTCACCATGTTAGCCAAGCTGGTCTTGAACTCCAGACCTCAGGTGATCCACCCACCTCGGCCTCCCAAAGTGCTGGGATTACAGGCGTGAGCCACAACACCCGGCCCAGAGATTCTTTAATTTGCACTTGGTTAAAGGAGTAAGGTTCTGTCTAAAACCTGAAGTCAGCAAAAAGGAACGTTTTACTTTTTTTTTTTTTTGAGACGGAGTCTCACTGTGTCACCCAGGCTGAAGAGCCGTGGTGTGATCTTGGCTCACTGCAACCTCCCCCTCCTGGGTTCAAGCAATTCTCCAGTCTCAGCCTCCCGAGTAGCTGGGATTACAGGCAACTGCCACCAAGCCTGGCTAATTTTTGTATTTTTAGTAGAAATAGGGTTTCACTACATTGGCCAGACTGGTCCTGAACTCTTGACCTCAGGTGATTTGCCCACCTCAGCCTCTCAAAGTGCTGGGATTACAGGCGTGAGCCCCGGCGCCCCACCAGAAAGGAATGTTTTAAATGATGATAAGATGCTATGTAGCAGGTTGATGGCATGCTGGCATGACTTAACCCTTGACTGGCATGGCCCTAGATCTTGTTTATAATTTGGTATCTTATTGCCACAAAGAGTCTGTTTCATCAGTCTTACCATCTCTATTTTAACATTTATGCTGGTCAGTTGTTGTGCCTGACTCCAAAAGGGAGCGGGTATAATGAAGTGTGTCATCATGGCCAGGAATTCAGTTTTTAAGGTTTTTGTGGAGTCCCCGTGGCCAAGAGGGGTCCGTTCGATCGGGGTGGGACTTAGGATTTTATTTCTAGTTTGCATCATATAAAACAAACACCCTGGTGGCAAAGCCTTTGAAGGAAGGGAAAGCCCTCAGGTGCTGATCACCTTTGCCCATTCCTGGCCTCAGAGCCTCTGGGAAGCCAGGCTGCAACTGTGGTTGACTTGGGGTTCAAGTCCACAGAAGACCAGGACAGAATCTCTGACTGCTGACCTGTAGCCCAGGCAAAGGCACTTTGCTCTTTTGCATTCATTCACTCATGCATTTAACATTTGTTCAACATCCATTTATTAAGCAGCCTCTATGTGCCAAGAACTGTGACAAGTGCTGGTGATACAATGGTGAACAAAACTCGATTATAGATTAGTGAGAGAAACAGGCTTTGACAGAGTCATGCAGACAAATTAAAATTATAACTGTGATGGTGCTCAGTTTGCGTGCCATTCTAAGAACCTTGAACTTTTTCATACAGTTCATGGGGAGCCACTGAAGGTTTTGGAGGAGGAAAGTGAAAAGATCAGGCTGGGTGCCATAGCTCATGCCTGTAATCCCAGCACTTTGGGAGGCCAAGGCAGGTGGATCACCTGAGGTCAAGGAGTTTGAGATCAGCCTGGCCAACATGGCAAAACCCCGTCTATACTAAAAATACAAAAAAATGAGCTGGGCGTGGTGGCAGGCGCCTGTAATCCTAGGTCTGGGGAGGCTGAGGCAGGAGAATTGCTTGAACCTGGGAGACAGAGGTTGCAGTGAGCCGAGACTGTGCCACTGCACTCCAGCCTGGGTGACAGAGTGAGACTCCACCTCGAAAAAAATAAAAAATAAAAAATAAAAGAAAGTGAAAAGATCACTGAATAATTACTCAAATTTTCCCCTTTGCAGCAGCAGTGACTGCTCAAAAGAATAAGTAGTGAGCTAGGCGCAGTGACTCACGCCTATAATCCCAGCACTTTGGGAGGCCGAGGCAGGTGGATCACCTGAGGTCGGGAGTTTGAGACCAGCCTGACCAACATGGAGAAACTCCGTCTCTATTAAAAATACAAAAGTAGCCGGCCATGGTGGCGCATGCCTGTAATCCCAGCTACTCGGGGGGCTGAGGCAGGAGAATCGCTTGAACCCAGGAGGCGGAGGTTGCAGTGAGCCGAGATCGTGCCATTGCATTCCAGCCAGGGCAACAAGAGTGAAACTCTGTCTCAAAAAAAAAAATAAAAATAAAAAATAAGTAGTGATGAAACCTGGGAGGCCTCAAATTATACCATCTATTAGTGTCTTCTCTTATCTCGGCTTTTTGTGATGGCTGGTCCTTAAAAATCTCAGAAATTCTTAAGTTGTCCACAATTGACAAACTTGGCCTGGCCAAACATTAATTGAAGAAACCTGCTTCTGTTCCACTCTATTTCTCCTCATCCATTTCAGAATTTCACCCAGATTCAAAACTAGAGTCACTTGAGGGTTAGCACAGCTCCTGGCACTGAATATATATTCATCAAATAAATGTATGGTGGAATGAGTAAGTCTGGATGAATAAAAAAATTAATGACTTGAAGACACCCAAAGCTTTGCCCCTTCCTATGCCTTCTGCTTGCTCTGCCCCTTTCTTTCCCACTCCCTCGGCCGTGGTGCAGGTCCGCGTCATTGCTACCTGGGTCTGTTAATCCAGCTTCCTAACAGATCTCCCTACCTCTAGTCTCAGGCAGTTCCCGGCCTCTCCACACTCCTTCACTCTGCCTCACTCAATCTGGAAGTGATCTTGTAATTCTCTTGCTCCAAAAACCTGTGGCTCCTCATGGCTGTGGGAAAAAAAATCCTAAGTTTTTTGTTTTTTTTTTCTTATTTTAGTTTGTTTATGACATTAGTTAATTCACATTACGCACTCACTTTACATATATACGCACACATATTTATATATATAAAATGTGCATAACTATATTTTATATATACAGATATATATGGTTGTAGGTTACATAGTTTCTTCAAATAAATTTTACCCTTTAGAAGTGTTTATTTCTGAATAATCTCTCATACCTTTTAAAAAAGGATGTAATATAGATCATCTATATACATATATATTTGTATTTTATAAACTCACTATTAAGAATGTGAATTTTGTGTGTTCTAAGCTAATTTTTTTTATCATGCTACAAACTTGATTCTTTTTCTCTTCTAACATTTTCAAAAATTAGATCTTTCAGGGATTTCTCTGACAAATAGTTTTGATTTTATCATTCTAACAACCGGAGAGCTGCACAGATTCTTCTGTTAAGCAACTTCATTTGGAAAACCTATGACTAAAGAAATATGTGTTGCCTTTCTTGCCTGGTGCCATTTGCCTATATTGATTTTTGACTGGTAATTTTCCAAAACCTGTTTTTGTATAAATTTTTAAATGAACACAATCTTATCATTTATTAAATATATCCCACACATAATTTAAAATAACAGTTGCATAAAATAGATTTTTCTAAGGATCATGAAAATTAAATTAATGTACATTATGGTAGAAGAAAAGTCAGAAAGACTAATCTGTTACAGACCTTTGTTGCAGAAACATCTTAATATAGTCTTCTAGGAAACAATAAACTTTTTAGGCCTATATAATAAAAGTTTATTATGAACAAAGATATTATGCATTAAACAAATTATTGCTATATTTTGCATAAACATCTTATAGCTCTTATGCAAAAATGAATAGTGAATCTTTAATAATGCAGTTTTTTCAAATTTATTTAACTTGACTCTCTAAGACCATATAGTTTTTTTTTTTATACTTTAAGTTTTAGGGTACATGTGCACAACGTGCAGGTTTGTTACATATGTATACATGTGCCATGTTGGTGTGCTGCACCCATTAACTCATCATTTAGCATTAGGTATATCTCCTAATACTATCCCTCCCACCTCCCCTCACCCCACAACAGTCCCCGGTGTGTGATGTACCCCTTCCTGTGTCCATGTGTTCTCATTGTTCAAGTCCCACCTATGAGTGAGAACATGCAGTGTTTGGTTTTTTTGTCCTTGCAAGTTTGCTGAGAATGATGGTTTCCAGCTTCATCCATGTCCCTACAAAGGACATGAACTCATCATTTTTTATGGCTGCACAGTATTCCATGGTGTATATATGCCACATTTTCTTAATCCAGTCTATCATTGTTGGACATCTGGGTTGGTTCCAAGTCTTTGCTACTGTGAATAGTGCCGCAATAAACATACGTGTGCATGTGTCTTTATAGCAGTATGATTTATAATCCTTTGGGTATATACCCAGTAATGGGATGGCTGGGTCAAATGGTAAAAAAAATCCTAAGTTCTTAGCATGACATTTAGATTGGGCACTGTCACTTCTTTGTAGGTGTCTCTCTTACCATCTGTCCTCCTGGGTACACCTCTTCCTAGAGTACTCTTTAAAATTATACATAGTGGCTGGGCACAGTGGCTCACACCTGTAATCCTAGCACTCTGGGAGGCCAAGGCTGGCAGATCACTTGAGGCCAGGTGTCAAGACCAGCCTAGGCAACACAGCAAAACCTCGTCTCTAAAAAGAGTTGGGCTCAGGAGTCACACAGAACTGGGTTCAACTCCAGCTCCTCCCTCTACTAGCTCTGTGACCTTAGGCTGATGACAGTCTCACCAGAGTGGTCAGGCACACCATTACAGCACCCAAAGGTTACAGGAACAGTAAGACATTCATCCATAGGTCAGCCAGAAACCCCCGACCAGGGTAACTAACCGTCTTAGTTCAACTGGGACTGGGTGGTGAGGAGGCTTCTGGAATATGGGACTTGGGACTTTCACTTAAAAACTGGGAAAGTTGGCTGGGCACTGTGGCTCACGCCTGTAATCCCAGCACTTTGGGAGGCTGAGGTGGGCGGATCACAAGGTCAGGAGATCGAGACCATCCTGGCTAACACGGTGAAACCCTGTCTCTACTAAAAATACAAAAAATTAGCCGGGCGTGGTGGCGGGCACCTATAGTCCCAGCTACTCAGGAGGCTGAGGAAGGAGGATGGTGTGAACCTGGGAGGCGGTGCTTACACTGAGCCAAGATGGCGCCACTGCACTCCAGCCTGGGCAACAGAGCAAGACTCTGTCTCAAAAAAAAAAACAAAACAAAACTGGGGAAGTCCTGGGCAAACCAGGACTAATGGTCACCTTGTACCTTTGGCCCCAGCCAGTGTCTTGTGTTTAATCCAATGTACCATGCAAACATTATTTTCTACTTGTGGCTGTATGTGGAAGAGGTTGGGGGGCAGTTTCCTTACCTGTAAAATGCGGATGACATACTGCTTCCCTCATTTGGTGATCATGAAGATTAAGTAAATAAAGCAGGACCTTTGACCCTACCCTTTTTGCCAGAGGCACACCCAGATCCCATGCCTTTTCCAGTGTAATGATCTTTACTCCAAGATCTTAGAAAACACCCACAATTCATCTGTCATTGTGACAAATATAAAGTATAG
Source organism: Homo sapiens (assembly GCF_000001405.40). NCBI lineage: Eukaryota > Metazoa > Chordata > Mammalia > Primates > Hominidae > Homo > Homo sapiens. Next base: position 27,922,344 of record NC_000001.11, on the reverse strand, counting down.
CAACATGCTATGTTGAACTGGAAAAAGAAATGTAAACGTCTAACCTTAAAAAATAAGTATTTTCAGACAGGCGTGGTGGCTCACGCCTGTAATTCCAGCCCTTTGGGAGGCCAAGGTGGGCGGATTGCTTGAGCCCAGAAGTCCCAGACCACCCTGGGCAACATGGTGAAATCCCATCTCTACAAAAAAGTTATAAAAATTAGCTGGGCATGGTGGTGCACACCTGTTGTCCTAACTACTTGGGAGGTTGAGGTGGGAGGATGGCTTGAGACTGCGAAGCTGAGGCTGCAGTGAGCTGAGATTCTGCCACTGCACCTCCAGCCTGGGTAACTGAGTGATATTCTGTCTCAAAATAAATAAATAAATAATGGTACAGAAGCCTTAGGAGGATAACAAAATAAATAAAGCAAGGATCCAAAGAAGTATGGGACATGAGGATCTAGATTTTGTGTGGCCAGAAGCTTACATAATTTGGGTGGCTTTCTTTAAGAAAAAGAATGCAAAGTAAGATACAAAAGTAAGTATGAATGTAGACCCTTGGAAGAGGCTGTGCAAGTGAGGGGCCCTGAAGCTTAAACCTCACCAGCTTCCCAGTAAACCATTGTTTCTGTATGTTTTGTCTGCTCTTTAAGATATCTGAAGTATTTATAAGAATCAGCCATCCTAAAACTTTAATTGCACTTTAAAATTTTAAGCATATTTAATTAAATGTGTAAACAATGTTTAAATACCCAAAGGTTTGATTTCTTTTTTTTTTTTTGAGACGGAGTCTCGCTCTGTCGCCCAGGCCGGACTGCGGACTGCAGTGGCGCAATCTCGGCTCACTGCAAGCTCCGCTTCCCGGGTTCACGCCATTCTCCTGCCTCAGCCTCCCGAGTAGCTGGGACTACAGGCGCCCGCCACCGCGCCCGGCTAATTTTTTGTATTTTTAGTAGAGACGGGGTTTCACCTTGTTAGCCAGGATGGTCTCGATCTCCTGACCTCATGATCCACCCGCCTCGGCCTCCCAAAGTGCTGGGATTACAGGCGTGAGCCACCGCGCCCGGCCTTGATTTCAAGTTTTATTAGCTATTAGAGTTTAATAAATTTAGCATTGAACAATAAGTTGACCCTTGAACAACACAGGTTTGAACTGCACAGGTCCACTTATATGGGTTTTGTTTGTTTGTTTGTTTGTTTGTGTTTTTGAGATGGAGTCTCTCTCTGTCACCCAGGCTGGAGTACGGTGGCGAAATCTCAGCTCACTGCAACCTCTGCCTCCTGGGTTCAAGCAATTCTCCTGCCTCAGCCTCCAAAGTAGCTGGGATTACAGGCGCCCACCACCACGCCCGGCTAATCTTTTTGTATTTTTAGTAGAGACAGGGTTTCACCATGTTGGCCAGGCTGGTTTCAAGCCCCTGACCCCAAGTGATCCGCCAGCCTCAGCTTCCCAAAATGCTGGGATTACAGGCACGAGCCATCGCGCCTGGCCCACTTATTATTATTATTATTATCTTTTTTTTTTTTTTTTGAGACAGAGTCTTGCTCTGTTGCCCAGGCTGGAGTGTAATGACAGGATCTCTGCTCACTGCAACCTCTGCCTCCTGGGTTCAAGCAATTCTCCTGCCTCAGCCTCCGGAGTAGCTGGGATTACAGGTGTCCACCACCACGTCTGGCTAATTTTTTGTATTTTTAGTAGAGACGAGGTTTCACCATGTTGGCCAGGCTGGTCTTGAACTTCTGACCTCATGATGCACCTATCTCAGCCTCCCAAAGTGCTGGGATTATAGGCATGAGCCACCATTCCCAGCCCCAGCCCACTTTTACGGATTTTTTTCAACCAATTGCAGATTGAAAATATAGTATTTTCAGAACACGAAACCTAGTATAGGAGGGCTGACTTTGCATATTAGCAGGTTCCACAGGGCCAACTATGGGACTTGAGTATGGGCAGATTTTGGTATACTGGGGGTCCTGGAACTGATCCCTTCTGTATACTGAGGAACAAATGTAGTTGTGAATGAAATGTTCTGCTCCACTCTCTGATATTGAAAGTAATTCTATCAGTATTATCCATTCATAATGAGTATTACTGGTAGAAATAATCAGTGTAATTTAAAACTGAAAACAGCTAAAACTCCATCTAGTAAAATTACCTTAGACCAAAAAAATTTTTGGAAAATCACATGTGTTTAACATTGAAAACTATTTTAAAAAATCACCCCAGGCCAGGTGTGGTGGGTCACACCTGTAATCCCAGCACTTTGGGAGGCCAAAGCGGGTGGATTGCCTGAGGCTGGGGGTGTGAGACCAGCCAATGTGGTGGAACCCCGTGTCTACTAAAAATACAAAAAATTAGCCGGGCGTGGTGGCAGCCACCTGTAATCCCAACTACTTGGGAGACTGGGCCAGGATAATTGCTTGCATCCAGGAGAGAGAGGTTGCAGTGAGCTGAGATTATGCCACTGCACTCCAGCCTGGGCTCGACAGAAGGAGACTCCCTCTCAAAAAAAAAAAAAAAAAAAAAAGTTGGGCGAGCATGGTGGCTCACGCCTGTAATCCCAGCACTCTGGGAGGCCGAGATGGGTAGATCATTTGAAGTCAGGAGTTTGAGACCAGCCTGGCCAACATGGTGAAATCCCATCTCTACTAAAAATACCAAAAAAAAAACTTAGCTGGGCGTGATGGCACATGCCTGTACTCCCAGCTACTCAGGAGGCTGAGGCAGGAGAATCACTTGAGCATGAGAGGCAGAGGTTGCAGTGAGCTAAGATTGTGCCACTGCACTCCAGTCCGGGTGACAGAGTGAGACCCTGTCTCAAAAAAAAGAAAAAATCACTCCAAATCAAATTATACTTCATACAAATAAGGAGCACCCATAAAATGACAGTGGCAGATGTAAAAAATCTGTAAAATTTGATCGGGATCTAATTTTTATTGATGAAATAAATTTTCATTGTAAACTCTGCCCAGGAAATACTCCACAAAAATGATTTCTGCAGAATTAAAATGGCAAAAATTGGAAATGGGTAACTTACAGTGTACAGAATATTGAACAGAGAATTAAGTATAAATGGAAATTCACCAATATTGGGTCAGATCTGATTAAAATATGTATATTTATGAAATGGAGGCAAAATGACATTGGAGGTTAAAATGGCAGGTCTAAAACATTGAGACATATATTAAACACTTAGCAGAGCAAATAACGCATGTACCTGGCAGGTGGTACGTACTCAACAAAGAGCAGATTGGGTTAATTTTTCCTCTCTCTTTAAAACAATAAAGTTTTTAATTGTGGTAAAATATATATAACCTAATACTTAGGACTTTAACCATTTCAAGCGTACAGTTCAGTGGCAATAAATATATTCACGTTGCTGTACAACCATCACCACTATCCACCTCTGGGACTTTTCCATCTTCCCAAACTGAAATTCTTTACTCATTAAATACTAATTATCTATTGCCCTCTACAACCACTATTTGACTCTTTTGTTGCTGTTGTTGTTGTTGTTGTTGTTGTTGTTGTTGTTGTTTTGAGACAGGGTCTGGCTCTGTCACCCAGGATGGAGTGCAGTGGCGCGATCTCTCCACCTCCCGGGCTCAAGCCATCTTCCCACCTCAGGTCTCCCAAGTAGCTGAGATTACAAGTGGGCACCACCATGCCTGGTTAATTTTGTATCCCTTTGACTTTCTGTGCATATGAATTAGACTACTCAAGGTACCACATATAAGTGGAATCAGATAATATTTGTCCTTTTGTGACTGGCTTATTTAACTTTGCAGTTTTTGAGGTTCTCCACATTGTAACATGTCTCAGAATTTCCTTCCTTTTTAAGGCTGAATATTAATCCACTGTATATCTATACCACATTTTGTTTTGTTTATCCTTTTATGTGTCTGCTTCCACCTTTGGATATCATGAATAATGCAGCTATGCACGCAGGTGTTCAAATATTTCCAAGTTCTCCCATTCAATTCTTTTGGGTATAGACACAGAAGTCGAATTGCCGGGTCATATGGTAATTCTATTTGTAATTTTTTGAGGAACCACCATACTGTTTTCCATAGTTGCTGTGCCATTTTACATTCCCAGTAACAGTGCACAAAAGTTTCGATTTTCCACATCCTCACCAACATTTGTTGTTTTCTATTTTGTTTAATAGTGGCAATCCTAATGGGTGTGTCACCAGATTGGTCTTAAAGGATGATCTCAGCTGGACCACACCTGTAATCCTAGCAGTTTGGGAGGCTGAGCTGGGCGGATCACTTGAGCCCAGGGGGTCGAGATCAGCCTGGGCAACATGGCAAAACCCCGTTTCTACAAAAAATACAAAAATTAGTCAAGTGTGGTGGTGCACACCTGTAGTCCCAGCTATGTAAGAGGCTGAGGCGGGAGGTTCACCTGAGACCAGGGAGGTTGAGTCAAGGCTGTGGTGAGCTGTGATCATGCCACTACACTCTAGCCTGGACAATACAGCAAGACCCTGACTCAAAAAAAAAAAAAAAAAAAGACGACGATTTCTCTTCTTCTCAGTCTTACTTTAGATTTCCCTGACAGCCCCCAGTCTGGGAATAAAGTGTACAACCTGCCTGGAGAGGGAAGTGGAAGACCTCCCAGAAATTACTTTTATGTGACAGGAAGACTTCAACTTGACAAAACTAAATTAAGAGATGAGTTTACTACCACATCCACACACAGAGTACATACCAATTACTTTAGCACTGATTGAGAACTGACTCCTCTATTTGACTTATCAGATCACCCTGGTCTTGAAATCCTGGGTGAAAGTCTGATTTCGATATTTGGCATTGTGTTATATTTTAAGACATTTTAATTTCTTTCTGTTTTCTATTTTGTTAAGAGATAGGCTCCTGCTCCCTTGTCCAGGCTGGAGTGTACTGGCCATTCACAGGCAAGATCATCACACACTGTAGCCTCGGACTCCTGGGCTCAAGCAATCCTCCAGCCTCAGCCTCCCAAGTAGTTGGGACTGTATGGTGTGCCACTGCACTTGGCTGTTTCTGGTTTATTTATTTATTTTTTGAGACGGAGTCTTGCTCTGTCGCCCAGGCTGGAGTGCAGTGGCGCAATCTCGGCTCACTGCAAGCTCCATCTCCCGGGTTTACGCCATTCTCCTGCCTCAGCCTCCCGAGTAGCTGGGACTACAGGCACCCGCCACCATCTGATTTATTTTTAAAGAGGAAGGAGGAAGGGGAAGGAGGAAGGAGAAGGAGGACAAGGAGGAGAAGAAGCAGGAGGAGGAGGAGGGAGGAAGGAGGAAGGAAGGGGAGGGGGGGAGAAGGAAGGAAGGAGGGAGGGAAGGAGGAAGGAAGGAGGGAGGGAGGGAGGAAGGAAGGAGGAAGGAAGGAAGGAAGGAAGGGAGGGAGGGAGGGAGGAAGGAAGGAGGAAGGAGGAAGGAAGGAAGGGAGGGAGGGAGGGAGGGAGGGAGGGAGTTGGGTTTGTAATCCCAGAAGGATTACGAACGAGGCTGAGGCAGGAGAAAGGAGGAGGAGGAGAGAGGAGGAGGAGGGTGGAGGAGGAAAGAGGAGGAGGAGGAGAGAGGAGGAGGAGGGTGGAGGAGGAAAGAGGAGGAGGAAGGGGGAGAGAGGAGGAGGAGGAGAGAGGTGGAGAAAAAAAGAAGGAAGGGGGAGGGAGCTGGGCCTGTAATCCCAGAGATCGCGCCATTGCACTCCAGCCTGGGCGACAGAGTGAAACCCTGTTTTACACACACACACACACACACACACACACACACACACACAAAGCCAGGCCTGTGGCTCACGCCTGTAATCCCAGCACTTTGGGAGGCCGAGATGGCAGATCACCTAAGGTCGGGAGTTCAAGACCAGCCTGACCAACATGGAGAAACCCCGTCTCTACTAAAAATACAAAAAAGAAATTAGCCGGGCATGGTGGCGTATCCCTGTAATCCCAGCTACTTGGGAGGCTGAGGCAGGAGAATCGCTTGAACCCGGGAGGCGGAGGTTGCAGTGAGCCGAGATCGGGCAATTGCACTCCAGCCTGGGCAACAAGAGCGAAACTCTGTCTCAAAAAAAAAAAAAAAAAAAAGAAAGAAAGAAAAAGAAAAGAAGAGAAAAAGAAAAAAAAGGAAGGGGGAAGGAGTTGGGGGAGGAAGGGGGATGGGTGGGAGGAAAGGGGAGGGGGCAGGAGGGAGGTGGAGAGGAGGCAACCAGGGAAATCTGTTTAATTAAAACACGCGATGCGATTTCTGCCCAGTGCTCTGAATGTCAAAGTGAAGAGTAGGAGGAAGAAGAAAGAAGAAAGCAGGGTGCAGTGGCTGACGCCTGTAATCCCAACACTTTGGGAGGCCAAGGTGGGTGGATCACTTGAGGTCAGGAGTTCGAGACCAGCCTGACCAGCATGGCGAAACCCCCGTCTCTACTAAAAATACAAAAATTAGCCGGGCGTGGTTGCACGTACCTGTAATCCCAGCTACTCCGGAGGCTGAGGCAGGAAAATCGCTTGAACCCGGGAGGCGGAGGTTGCAGTGAGGTGAGATCGCACCATTGCACTCCAGCCTGGGCAACAAGAGCAAAACTCAGTTTCCGAAAAAAAAAAAAAAAGGAAAAAGAAGAGAAGAAAAAAACACACAGTCCTGGAGCCCAAAGGCCATGTCTATCTTACTTAACCATTGAATCCCAGTGGCCAGCACAGGGCCAGGAACAAAGAAGGCATAAACAATTCTATTTTTTTTTTTTTTTTTTTGAGTCGCAGTCTCTCTCTGCCACCTAGGCTGGAGTGCAGTGGCAGCATCACAGCTCACTGCAGCCTGGACACCCCAGGGCCAGGTGATCCTCCCACCTTAGCCACCCCAGTAGCTGGGACCCCAGGCACTTGCCACCACACCAGACTAATTTTTAAAAATATTTTTTGAGAGAGGGTCTCACTATGTTGTCCAGGCTGGTCTCAAACTTCCAGCCTCAAGCGGTCCTCCTGCCTCAGACCCCATTTGCTGGGTTTACAGGCATGAGCCACAGCACCTGCTAATTTTTCTTAAATACATAAATGAACATAAAATTCTAACAATGCATGAGTATTTTGAGGAAGGAACTGACAAAATGTTCCACTCCCTATGGGAGGCACGTTATATGAAGAATTATGAAAAATGGTCGAAATGACTGGAGAGGCCAAGCCTGGATGAGACTGGGATGGGGACAGGTGCGGGACGAGGGGCACCACCCTCACATCTTTCACAAGTCTGTCATAGGCAAGAGGGCGTAGGTTTCTCACAGCCCCACTGGGGAGAATCGGCACCATTGGTGGCATTACACGAAGAGAATGTGACCTCCTATGTAAAAGAACAAGCAACTCCACGCGGTGCTGTGAGGCTAGTGCTGCGAGTCCCTGAGGTGCGCAATTCCCGCACGACCGTGGGTGGGAAACACCGAAGCCAAAACTCCGCTACAGCCCTTTAGATGAAGGCGTCGTCTGATTGGTGATAGTTTGGCGCGAACCTGAGCACGCCGAACAAAGGAAGTGACGGCAGAAGTCGCGCACTTGACGAGGGTGGGATCACACGGCGCTGCGTCGCGGTAGTATTGTTCTGATTGGTTGATTTCTTGCGATACCGCTCTGCCAGCCCCTTGCTTCCGCTAGTGCGGAGGGTTTTGCCCTTCGTAAAGATGGCCGCGGAGGCTTTTGGAGCCAACTGGGAGCGCAGTACGCGTTTTCTGGAGCATGGGCAGAGGAGACAGGAACAAGCGTAGCATCCGTGAGCACCGATTGGCTGAAGCGAGCACCCCGGGAGCTGACTGGCTCCGCCATTCGCGGGAAGGCGTTTGTGGTGCCAGAGAAAAGTAGCCAGAGCGGCGCAGTGGCGGCCGCGTTCTGTGGTTTTCCGCTATTCCCCCAGACCCGCACCTTCTCGGCCTCTTTGCGGAGAATCGTGACCAAGATGTGGAACAGTAATGATGGGGGTGCGGGGTGGAGGAGGAAGAGAATCGCAGGAGGTTTTAGCAAGAGGGCGAGCCTAGGGTCCGAGAGGCGTGTGGTAGCGGGAGAGGAAGGGCGGGAGCGGAGCTGGGGCGTTTGGGGGTCACCCGCAGGAAGGCGGCGAGGAAGGTTAGGGAGACTCGGGCAGTGTTTGAAGGGGCGAAGCCTCCGGGAGCCTGCGGGTTTCTCGGAGGCGTGGGACGTGGCACAGGCACTAATCCTGTTGTTCAAAACAGGTGGATTCGAAAGCTATGGCAGCTCCTCATACGGGGGAGCCGGCGGCTACACGCAGTCCCCGGGGGGCTTTGGATCGCCCGCACCTTCTCAAGCCGAAAAGAAATCAGTAGGTTGAAAGGAGTATTTAGTTTTGTTTTATCCTGTCCTGAAGTCCCTGAGTCATCTATGACAGAAACTTTATGCTTTGAAGGAAGATTTCAACGTGAACTGATGCGATAATGATCTATTATTATCTGCATCTCTTATAATTAAGTGCTGTAAGTTTCAGAAATGAAATCTTGCCAAATTTTCCACCTCCTGTTTCCCTGGCTTTTCCCGTCGTTGGCCTTATTTTGAAATTGATCAGTGTAGCTAATGAATCAGTCTTGTGTGAACGCCCTCAACTTGGTTTTTAAATTTATTTTTATTTTTTAAAATAGAGATGGGGTCTCACTATGTTGCCCAGGCTGGTCTCCGACTCCTGAGCTCAAGCGATCCTCCCACCTCGGCCTCTCAAAGTGCTGGGGTAACAGGTGTGAGCCACTGCTCCTGGCCTGAACTTATATTAATAGTCTCTTTTACATTCTTTTTTTTTTTTTTTTGAGATGGAACCTCACTCTGTTGCCCAGGCTGGAGTGCAATGGCGCGATCTCGGCTCCCCGCAACCTCCGCCTCCCAGGTTCAAGCGATTCTCCTGCTTCAGCGTCCCGAGTAGCTGGGATTACAGGCATGTGCCACCACGCCCGGCTAATTTTGTGTTTTTAGTAGAGACAGGGTTTCTCCATGTTGGTCAGGCTGGTCTCCAACTCCCGAACTCAGGTAATCCACCCGCCTCAGCCTCCCAAAGTGTTGGGATTACAGGCGTGAGCCACGGAGCCCGGCCCAAAGTCGCTTTTAAATTAAATGGGATGAGGCGACATCAGGAGTGTGGTTTTTGGGCCAGCCGCGGTGGCTCACGCCCGTAATCCCAGCACTTTGGGAGGCTGAGGCGGGTGGATCACCTGAGATCAGGAGTTCCTGACCAGCCTGGCCAACATGGTGAAACCTCGTCTCTACTAAAAATACAAAAATTAGCCAGGCGTGGTGGCAGGCACCTGTAATCCCAGCTACTAGGGAGGCTGAAGCAGGGGAATCGCTTGAACTCTGGAGACAGAGATTGCAGTGAGCCAAGATGATGCCACTGCACTCCAGCCTGGGTGATAGAGCAAGAGCAGACTGTCTCAAAAAAAGAAATGTGGTCTTTGAAGTCATAGACGTGTGTTCTGCCGTTGCCGTGCTGCTTTACTTATAGGGTGTCACTGGACACATTTCTTAACTGGCTTGGGAGTCAGTTTTGCCCCTGTGAAGAGGGGCTAACATACCTTAAAATGTCATTGTGAGACTTAATATTATATACAAAGAATACAGGCTATGGAGCCAGAACATGGGGGCTCCAGAATCCATCTTGCCTTTTAACTGGCATTGTGACTTCAGGAAAGCATCTTGAAGGCTGTGGCCCTTGGTTTTTCTCATCTGATGATACTGGTAGTACTCATGTCACGGGGTGGTTCTGAGAATTGATGAGTAAGGCAATGTGTAGGAAAACAATCTATAGAAAGCTGTCTAAATGTTTAGTCACTCTGAAATGAGTTTGCCTTTTTTTTTGAGACAGGGTCTCTGCCAGGCTGGAGAGCAGTGGTGTGTGATCACAGCTCACTGCAGCTTGGACCTCCATGCCTCAAGTGATCATTCCCACCTCAGCCTCTCTAGCAGCTGGTACTACCTATGTTCACTGCGGTGTCAGGCTAATTTTTGTGTTTTTTTTTTTTTTTAGAGGTGGCATTTGGCCATGTTGGCTAGGCTGGTCTCAGGCTCCTAGCCTCAAGCAATCCACCCACCTCAGCCTCCCAAAGTGCTGAGATTACAGGTGTGAGCCACCATTCCCAGCTGAGTTTGCATTTAACAACTGCAATTTCATTTTATAAATGTGAGGTTAATTTGACTTCTCTTTAGGAATCACTCAGATATGTTAAGATTCAGTGTAAGCAAGTTAAAAAACTCAATGATATTCTGGTATATTTGGACATTGCTTTATAACTTTCTTTCTTTTTTTTTTTGAGACAGAGTCTCACTCTGTCGCCCAGGCTGGAGTGTAGTGACACAATCTGGGCTCACTGCAACCTCTGCCTCCCGGCTTCACGCCATTCTCCTGCCTCAGCCTCCCGAGTAACTGGGACTACAGGCGCCCGCCACCACACCCGGCTAGTTTTTTGTATTTTTTTAGTAGAGACAGGGTTGTACCATGTTGGCCAAGATGGTCTTGATCTCCTGACCTCGTGATCTGCCCGCCTCGGCCTCCCAAAGTGCTGGGATTACAGGTGTGAGCCACCGTGCCCGGCCGCTTTATAACTTTCATATAAATTATTTTATGTAATTCTGTAAGGAATTTATTGTTTATTCCAGCATACTAACAGAGACTCAGGTATATTAAGGGACTGCCTAAGCTTACATAGCTAGTAAGGAACTAGAATCAGACAGTACGCACATGATGCTGAACAAATCCAACATCTGATGAGCAGCAACTTCTCCCTGTTGTAGTTTTCTCTTTCCTAGAAGATCTCAAGGGACTTTAATTCTCTATTCTGATTTTCTTGAGGTTGTGAAGGAGAAAACAAGGTAGATGATTGGTTCTCATCTTTTCTTCCCAAGCTTAACTATTTTTCTCCATTCTGGTTATTATAATTTTTATCTCAGAATTCCTAAAAGCTGGGTATTAAGATAGCTTTTCAGAGAATAATGCTTGTAAGTTGGAGACTCAATCCCAGTCTCTGAATTTTTTTTTCTTTTTGTGGAGACAGGGTGTCACTATGTTGCCCAGGCTGGTCTCAAACTCTTGGGCTAAAGCAGTCCTCCCACCCTTGCCTCCCGTGGTGCTGGTATTACAGGCATGAGCCACCACACCCGGACAGTCTTTTTGTTTTTATTTTTATTTTTTTTTTGAGACAGTCTCTCTGTTGCCCAGGCCAGAGTGCAGTGGAACAATCTCAGCTCACTGCAACCTCCACCTCCTGGGTTCAAGCGATTCTCCTGCCTCAGCCTCCCGAGTAGCTGTGACTACAGGCGCATGCCACCATTCCTGGCCAATTTTTGTATTTTCAGTGGAGACGGGGTTTTGCCACGTTGGTCAGGCTGGTCTCAAACTCCTGACGTCAGGCGATCTGCTCTTCTTGGCCTCCCAAAGTGTTGGGATTACAGGTATGAGCCACTGCGCCTGGCCTTGTTTTGTTTTTAAATCTAGTATTTTCCACAGTTAAAAGTTAGGTAAACGCCCTATTCTTTTTTTCTTTTAAAATTGAGACCGTCTCACTTTCACCCCCGCTGGAGTGCAGTGGTGCAGTCATAGCTTACCACAGACTCTTAACTCCAGGGGTCAAGGGATCCTCCCATCTCAGCCTCCCAAGTAGCTAGGATTACAGGTGTGCAGCACCATCCCTGGGTGATAAAGAACTCTATCCAAAATGTTTCCTGTTGATTATGTATTTGTTCAATATGATTGAACCATGTGAAGTTTCAAATAGCGACCCAATTTTAATCTGTAATAATGGTACTTTCCTGAAGTACTGTCAGAGTAGTCTGTGGTTCATAGTCAGCTATGAAAATTTTTTTAGTTTGAAAGTGTTTTTGTTTTTGTTTTTCCAAAATTAAGCATATTTTTATTGACACTTTGTGAACCTCTTTGGAGCAGACTAGGAATTCCTTGTGATCAATTCCTACATAAAATATATGCTCAATAAAAAATAAATACTTGATTTGAGATGAATTTGAAGGCATTGTTAACATCTCAACTGTTACCTATATGTAACATTTTTACCTGAGAGGTAATAATATTTGTCAAACATCTACTACATGTAGAGATTGGTATTAGCACTTCATATATGTTATGTGTCTCATTTACAACTTAAGAGGTGTATATCCCCAGTTTTCAGAAAAGGTGGTCATGTGTCCAGGACTTTGGAGCTGGGATTTGAGCATGGGTCTACAGGACTCTCTGGCTCCAAACCTCATGTTCTTGCCACTTTACCTTACTGGTTCTTAAGTTTTCTTATGCTGAAGATACAATGAAAATCTCAGCTGTGATAGGTAAAAACAGAAATATAGTAGTTTGTGAGAGGTAAATCCTGGGACCCCTGCAAATTTTAAGACTATAAATATTAACATAGCATGTAACTTTACCTATAAAATACCATAAAGTAAAATTGAAAAAGTTGATCCTGTCAACGTTGTTATTAAAAGCTATTGCAAATGTAAAGAATGAGGAACAATAGCTAATATAATAATAGCTAAAATTTGTTATTGAGTGCTTTGTGCTGGGTAGTATTCTGAGTCCTTTACCATGTAATTTTTATAATATCATTCCTAGTTTTGCAGATGAGGAAACCGAGGTACAAATGAGTTAATACATGTGACCAAGAGCGACCGCTCTTTTTTTTTTTTCTCTTTTTGAGGAGAGTCTCTGTTGCCCAGGCTGGAGTGCAATGGTATGATCTCGGCTCACTGCAACCTCCGCCTCCCGAGTTCAAGTGATTCTCCTGCCTCAGCCTCCCCAGTAGCTGGGATTACAGGCATGCGCCACCACACCTGGCTAATTTTTTTTTTAAATTTTTAGTAGAAATGGGGTTTCGCCATGTTGGCCAGGCTTGATCTCAAACTCCTGACCTCAAATGATCTGCCCGCCTCGGCCTTGGGATTACAGGCGTTACCCACCACGCCTGGCCAAGCAGCTGCTCTTGAGAATAGAGCCACAATCTTAACCCTCAAGCTTGGCTGCTGCCTTTTGTGGCATATGTGCCAGCGGTTGACTGAGCTTGCTTTATCCTGTTGTGGCAATACTCACCATTCACAATCATGCTTCAGCAAAATGAAATATTGGCAGTGTCGTGGATGTTCAGGTCAGAGTTGCGACTGCTAAATCCATGAAGGCCAAGAGTCTACTGTGTTCTAAGTCTTCCATGTAGTACAGGTATTGGTCCACTTCCTCTTGGCTTCTGACAGGAAGAGCTCTCATCGTTTTTGTGCCTTGTACATATTCCCTCTAGGAGACTGGGAGTACATACTTGCCCTCAGCCTGTTACCTGCTACTTTTTCGCTGTTGAAATTCTCGTGCTTCAGAGTTCAGCCTAAAGCCTCCCTCTTTTGCCAGTAAGCTTTTCTGAGGTCCCACATGGCATGTTTCATTTTACAGTGTATCAAGATCAGGTTTATTGTTTACCTTTGTACCTCCCCTAGATTAGGAATATGTTGAGGGTAAATCCTGTCCCATCATATTCATCTTCATGTTACCCAGACTACCTCTTGCCACTGGTAGGCAAAAATAAGTTTACACTGTTGTCTGGCTGCTTTAAGATATGATTTGGGCCTGGCGCGGTGGCTCACGCCTATAATCCCAACACTTTGAGAGGCCGAGGTGGGCAGATTGCCTGAGGTCAGGTGTTCGAGACCAGCCTGGCTAACATGGCAAAACCCCATCTCTAGAAAAAAATAGAAAAATTAGCTGGGCATGGTGGCGTGCACCTATAATCCCAGCTACTCGGGGGGGCTGAGACAGGAGAATTGCTTGAACCCAGGAGATTGAGGTTGTAGTGAGCTGAGATCGCGCCACCACACTCCAGCCTAGGCAACAGAGTGAGACTCCATCTCAAAAAAAAAGATATAATTTGAGTGTGCTCACTAGATACTGTTCTGCCTACCCTATCCTGCCTCTTCCCCCTAAGACGTCCAACATGAGTCCAGCACAGTGGTTTATGTGTGTCATCCTAACACTGGGAGGCTAAGGTCGGAGGATCACTTGAGACCAAGAGTTTAAGACCAGCCTGGGCAACATAGCAAAACCCCATCTCTACAAAAAAAAAAATGTTTTTTTAATTGACTGGATGTGGTGGTGTGCCTGTAGTCCCAGCTACTCAGGAGACTATAGCAGGAAGATTGCTTGAGCCCATGAGTTTGAGGCTGCAGTGAGCTGTAATGCCACTGCACTCCAGCCTGAGTGACAGAACAAGACCCCATCTCAAAACAAAATTTGGCCGAGGGCAGTGGTTCACACCTGTAATCCCAGCACTTTGGGAGGCTGAGGTGGGCAGATCACCTGAGGTCAAGAGTTCCAGACCAGCCTGGCCAACATGGTGAAACCCCATCTCTACTAAAAATGCAAAATGCTGGCACATATAGTCCCAGCTACTCAGGAGGCTGAGCCAGGAGAATCGCTTGAGCCCGGGAGACGGAGGTTGCAGTGAGCTGAGATCACGCCATTGCATGCCAGCCTGGACAACAGGAGCGAAACTCTGTCTCAAAGAAAAAAAATTTAAAAAGATGTCCAACATGGCCAAGCTCTTACTCCATTTCCCCAGGAGCTCCATTTGATAGTCAAAAAATCTGTCCTACAAGAAGCTATTCTTCTACCTTTTACAGTTCATCACAAGACCTACAAGCAATTCCAAAGTCCTGTCTCCATTAGTCATTTCTCAAACCTTTTCCCAATACCATCTCATTTTGTCAGTGACCTGAACAGCAGCACCAGCCTGTCTACACCCTAAAGCTGGGGTTTCCTCTTGAAGGTCTGTTCTGGCAGCAGCAGGTCATTCTTCCTTATCCTGTCCCCCACTCTGACCTATTCATTTTGGTGAATTCTCAGAGCAACATGTGTATCTATTCAGCAGGAGCTCTGGAGTTAGACAAACCTGGGTTTGGATTCTAAAAGTGTGGTATTGGTTTGCTATATGACCTTGGTTTCCATCTCTCTGAAGCAAGGATAATGAGATTTGTTTTGAAATTCAATGTTCTAATATATTTAAAGTACTTGGCACATGGCAGGTGTTGAATGAGTGGTAGTTATTACTTTCTTAATTGAATTTTGCATGTTTTTTCTTTTCAGAGAGCCCGAGCCCAGCACATTGTGCCCTGTACTATATCTCAGCTGCTTTCTGCCACTTTGGTTGATGAAGTGTTCAGAATTGGGAATGTTGAGATTTCACAGGTATGTCAAATAATTTGTGAAAGAATCACTTACTCATAATAAAGAATGAAATAAGACTTCATTAAAAAATACAAAAATGTAGCCTTGGTTTCAGGGGGAACCAGACCTTTTTTTTTTTTCTTTGTTTCTTCTAACCTAGGTCACTATTGTGGGGATCATCAGACATGCAGAGAAGGCTCCAACCAACATTGTTTACAAAATAGATGACATGACAGCTGCACCCATGGACGTTCGCCAGTGGGTTGACACAGATGTAAGTGGCTGTTTTTGAATCATGATGGGGTTACTTTGGAACTGTGGAGATGTTGAACTTTTTTAGTCTTTTTAAAGTTTTTTCTTATAAAAATAATACAAAAAGACATCAAAGACAGATACTCTAAAGTAAAAGGTTAGTAGATTTGACTATATACCTTCCCAATATACCAAAAACAGAATTAAAAGTCAAATGACAGGAGACAGTAGAATGTTAAGTTCCATTAGAACAAAGTTTTTTTTGAGACAGAGTCTCACTCTGTCGCCCAGGCAGTGCAGTGGTGGAATCTCGGCTCACTACAACGTCCGCATCCCGGGCTCAAGCGATCCTGTGCCTCAGCCTCCCAAGTAGCTGGGATTACAGGCACCTGCCACCACGCCCGGCTAATTTTTGTATTTTTACTAGAGATGGGGTTTCACCATCTTGGTCAGGCTGGTCTTGAACTCCTGACCTTGTGATCCACCTACCTTGGCCTCCCAAAGTGCTGGGATTATTACAGGCTTGAGCCACCACACCCAGCCCCTGCTTTTTTGTTTGTTTGTTTGTTTGGTTTTTTTTTTTGAGACAGAATCTTGTGCTGTCACCCAGGCTGGAGTGCAATGGCGCAATCTCAGCTCATTGCAGCCTCTGGGCCCCAGGTTCAAGCAGTTCTCCTGCCTCAGCCTCCCAAGTAGCTGGGATTACAGGCACCCGCCACCACACCTAATTTTTTGTATTTTTAGTAGAGATGGGGTTTTGCCATGTTGGCCAGGCTAGTCTCAAACTCCTGACCTCAGGTGATCCACCCTCCTCAGCCTCTCAAAGTGATTGGATTACAGGCATGAGCCCTCACGCCCGGCCTAGAACAAAGATTTTTATCTTGGTCACCGCTGTAGCCTTAGCACCTAGAGCAGTGCTAGTCACATAGTGGTCCTGGAATAAGTATTGTTTAAATGAATGTGGAAAATATTTGCAACATATTACAAACATTTAAATTTTTAATTAATATAAAGCTCCTTTTTGGCTTGGCATGGTGGCTCACGCCTGTAATCCCAGCACTTTGGGAGGCCGAGGTGGGCGGATCACGAGGTCAGGAGATCAAGACCATCCTGGCTAACACGGTAAAACCCTGTCTCTACTAAAAATACAAAACATTAGCCGGGTGTGGTGGCAGGCGCCTGTAGTCCCAGCTCCTCGGGAGGCTGAGGCAGGAGAATGGCATGAAGCTGGGAGGCGGAGCTTGCAGTGAGCCAAGATTGCGCCTCAAAACAAAAAAAGACAAACAGTGGTGACCTAGCAGAACTCCACAGCTTAGGAGTTTACATCAAGGAAAGAATTAAAGACAGGTACAAAGATTTAGGCCAGTGAAGTGGCTCACGCCTGTAATCGCAACACTTTAGGAAGCCAAGGCAGGCAGATCACCTGAGGTCAGGAGTTCGAATCCAGCCTGGCCAACAGGTGAAACTCCGTCTCCTAAAAATACAAAAATTAGCCGGGCGTGGTTCTGCGCACCTATAATCCCAGCTACTCAGGAGGCTGAGGCAGGAGAATTGCTTGAACCTGGGAGGCAGAGGTTGCAGTGAGCCGAGATCATGCCACTGCACTCCAGCCTGGGCGACAGAGCAAGACTCTGTCTCAAAATGAATAAATAAAAATAAAGCAATCTCAAAATACTAGCAATAAAGGATTATTAAGTAAACCATGACACATTTATAACATACTACAAATGATACAGAAAAGCGTGTATTGCCACAAAGAAGTGTTTGCCATAAATTGTTGAGAAAAGCATATTACAATGTGGTATGCAGGATTTGACCCAATTTTTACAAAGCAGCATATATATAAGTGTCTTTATAAACATGGATAAAATAGACTGAAATACAGTATATACTTTTTATCCTTTTATTTTTCAATTGTGCAGAAGGCCTCTTGGTGTTTTGTATTTTGTTTTTGAAATACATTCATTACAGAAAATTTGGATAATAAAGACTGTTTTAGGCTGGGCATGGTGACTCACGCCCGTAATCCCAGCACTTTGGGAGGCCAATGCTGGCGGGTCACCTGAAGTCAGAAGTTTGAAACCAGCCTGGCCAACGTGATGAAACTCCATCTCTACTAATGATACAAAAATGAGCTGGGTGCCTGTAATCCCAGCTACCCAGAAGCTGAGACAGAAAAATTGATTGAACCTAGGAGACAGAGGTTGCAGTGAGCCAAGATTGCGCCACTGCACTCCAGCAGATTGCGCACTGCTCTGTTGCTCTGGGCAACAGAGCAAGACTGACTCAAAAAAAAAAATGCGGTTCTCCTTCAAAAACCACAAGTTATCTATAGAGAAATAACTTGGTAGTTATGTAATTTTTAAATTTTTTCCTTCTCAGAAAAATAAAGGATAATTCATTCAGCAGTTATTGTTGGAGTACCAATTCTGAACTAGACTGTGCTTGGTTCCAGGTATAAAAAGAATGAGGTAGACACAGTCCCTGCCATCAAGCAGGGAGGTAGATACTATGGATACCTAATACTACTTGTTCATATAAAATGCACTATGCTTGCTTATAAACCATTTAAAAAATCACCTGACATCTCATGTCTCTTAAAGAACTACTATTACGACACATTTTGGAAAATACCCTTTCAGACATCTGTCTCTGCATATATGTACATACAGGTGTCCACATACCTCTTTTACTGTAGAAGGGATAATATGCTATGCAACTGCTAAGTAATTTGCTCTTTTCACTCAAAATTATGTTGTGGAACTGATTTTTTTTTTTTTTTTTGAGATGGAGCTGTGCTCTTGTTGCCCAGGCTGGAGTGCAATGGCGCGATCTCCAGCTCACCACAACCTCCGCCTCCCAGGTTCAAGCAATTCTCCTGCCTCAGCCTCCAGAGTAGCTGGGATTACAGGCATGTGCCACCACACCTGGTTAATTTTGTATTTTTATTAGAGACAGGGTTTCTCTGTATTGGTCAGGGTGGTCTCGAACTCCCAACCTCAGGTGATCCACCTGCCTTGGCCTCCCAAAGTGCTGGGATTATAGGCATGAGCCATTGGCCTTTTTTTTTTTTTTTTTTTTTTTTAAATAGAGACAGGGTCTTGGCTTGCTGCCTAGGCTGGCCTCAAACCTGGGCTCAAGTGATCCTTTGGCCTTAACCTCCCAAGTAGCTGGAACTATAGGCTGATGCCACCGTGCCTGGTGAGGAGCTGATTTTTTTTTTTTTTTTTGAGACTGAGCTTCACTCGTGTTATCCGGGCTGGAGTGCATTGGTGCAATCTTGGCTCGCTGCAACCTCTGCTTCTCGGGTTCAAGCGATTCTCCTGCCTCAGCCTCTCGAGTAGTTGGGACTATAGGCGTGCACCACCACACCCAACTGATTTTTGTATTTTTAGTAGAGACGGGGTTTCAACATGTTGGCCAGGCTGGTCTCGAACTTTTGACCTCAGGTGATCCTGCCTCAGCCTCCCAAAGTGCTGGGATTACAGGCTTGAGCCACCATGGCCCAGCCAAGAACTGATTTTTTAATGTTATCTGTAAAGATTTACATCTATCATTTTAAATGACCACCGATTCCATTATAAGAATACATCATCCCTTACTTAACAGTGGACCCAGTCAGGGAACAACATTTAACTTCTTTTCAGTCGTTTGCTATTATATACAATGCTCCAGTGAGTATCTTTGCATACATTTCTTCATGATTATAAAATAATCGTAAGGCCAGGCGTCGTGGCTCACGCCTGTAATTCCAGCACTTTGGGAGGCCAAGGCAGGTGGATCACCTGATGTCAGGAGTTCAAGACCGGCACCGCCAACATGGTGAAACCCCATCTCTACTAAAAATACAAAATTAGCTGGGCGTGGTGGCACACACCTATAATACCAGCTACTCGGGAGGCTGAGTCAGGAGAATCAGTTGAAGCTGGGAGGCAGAGACTGCAGTGAGCCAAGATCGTGCCATTGCATTCAGCCTGGGCAACAAGAGCAAAACTCCATCTCAAAAAAATAAAATAATCATAAGATGTATTCCTAAAAGTAGGTTTTCTGGGGGGAAATACACATTTGACATTTTTTTAACATCTTAGTTTTTGCATTTTTGTACTGTCTTCTCTAAAGGTACCAGTTTACGCTTCAGTCATGCATGAGAGTGCCCAGTTAGTTTCCATACCCTTAACATTTTTTTTTTTAAGAAATAGGCTGGTCTCAAACTCCTGGGTTTAAGCAATCCTCCCACCTCAGCCTCCCAAAGTGCTGGGATTACAGGTGTGAGCCTCTGTGCCTATCCTCCATACCCTTTATAACAATGGGTTTTTGTCTTAAATTTTTGCCAGTGTGATAGTTGTTTTAAAAAATAGTCTTTTTGACTAGGTGCGGTGGCTCATGCCTGTAATCCCAGGACTTTGGGGAGGCCAAGATGAGTGGATCACCTGAGGTCAGGAGTTTGAGACCAGCCTGGCCAACATGGTATAACCCAGTCTCTACTAAAAATAAAAAAATTAGTCTGGCATGGTGGTGCACGCCTGTAGTCCCAGCTACTCGGGAGGCTGAGGCACAAGACTCGCTTGAACCCAGGAGGCAGAGGTTACAGTAAGCGGAGATCTTCACACCAGTGCACTCCAGCCTGGGCAACAGAGCAAGACTGTCTCAAAAAAAAAAAAAAGTATACGTAAAAATAATAAAAAAAATTAAAAAATTAGCAGGGCATGGTAGCACGTGCCTGTAGTCCCAGCTATTCGGGAGGCTGAGGCAGGAGAATTGCTTGAGCCTGGGAGATGGAGGTTGCAGTGAGTCAAGATTGCGTCACTGCCCTCTAGCCTGGGCATCAGAGCAATATTCCATCTCAGAAAAAAATAGTCTTTTCAGTGAAAATTTTGTCATTTTTTTATGTGTATTTCTTTGGTTTTAGCCATATATATGTATTTTTTTTTTTACTATGTTTAATGTCAATTTGTGGGGTTTTTGTAAATTTTCTCTTTGATTCCCCTTCCCCTAACAGTGTTTTTGTTTGCAAGAACTTGAAAATGATTATAGTGACCTCTTATAATGAGGCCAGGCACAGTGGCTCACACCTGTAACTTTAGCACTTCAGGAGACTTAGGCAGGAAGATCACTTGAGGCCAGAATTTCAAGACCAGCCTGGGCAGCATGGGAAGACCCTATCTCAAAAAGAAATAATTTTGAAAAATAAATTGTGCAGTTTTTTCTAGTTTACCTTTCGGAAGCTTCTACTAGTCCCAAAGTTTGTTTTTTTTGTTTGTTTGTTTTAGTTAAAAAATACTTTATGGTGGCTGGGCGCGGTGGCTCACGTCTATAATCCCAGCACTTTGGGAGGCCGAGGCGGGAGGGTCACCTGAGGTCAGGAGTTCAAGACCAGCCTGGCCAATGTGGTGAAGCCCTGTCTACTAAAAATACAAAAATTAGCCAGGTGTGGTTGTGGGCACCTGTAATGCCAGCTACTTGGGAGGCTGAGGCAGGAGAATCGCTTGAACCCAGGAGGTGGAGGTTGCAGTGAGCTGAGATCGCGCCATTGCACTCCAGCCTGGGCAACAGGAGCGAAACTGTCTCTCAAAAAAAGAAGAAAAAAAAAAACTTTATGGCTAACAAATTGTAATAATCAGTTATCCGAACCCTCAGCAATTCATAATGTTTTTGCTAGTGGACATTCTTGCCTCACTGTTGATGGCTGCTGACTGAGGAGGGTGGTAGTTGGCTGAAGGTTGAGCTGGCTGTGGCAATTTCTTGAAATAAGACAACAAAGTTTGCCTGAGTAACTGAGTCTCCTTTTCACATAAAATTTCTCGATATTATATCATGCTGTTTGATAGCATTTTACTTACAGTATAACTTCTTTCAAAATTGGATTCAATCTCAAACCCTGCTACTGCTTTCTCAACTAAACTTATGGAGTAGTCTAAATCCTTTATTGTCGTTTTAACAATGTTCACAGCATCTTCACTAGGAGGAGATTCCATCTCAAGAAACCAGTTTATTTGCTCATCCATGAGAAGCAACTCCTTTGAGAGGCCCAGGCGGCCAGATAGATCATTTGAGGTCAGGAGTTTGAGACCACCCTGGCCAGCATGGTGAAACCTCGTCTCTACTAAAAATAAAAAATTTAGCTGGGCATGGTGGTACATGCCTGTAATCCTGGCTACTCGGGAGGGTGAGGCAGGAGAATCACTTGAACCTGAGAGATGGAGGTTGCAGTGAGCCAAAATTGTGCCACTGCCCTCCAGCCTGGGTAACAGAGTGAGGCTCAGTCTCAAAAAAAAGGAAGCAACTCCTCATCCACTCAAGTTTTACCATAAAGTTACAGCAATTCAGTTATATCTTTAAGCTCCATTTCTAATTCCAGTTCTCCTGCTATTTCCACCACATCTGCTGTTACTTGCCCCACTGAAGGTGGAGGTAGCAGTGAGCCCAGATTGTGCCATTGCACTCCAGCCTGGGTGACAGAGCGAGACCTTATCTCAAAAAAAAAAAAAAAATCTTAAGCAGCCACCCAATATATACTTCAGATTAAAAAAGAGCTGTTGGCCAGGTGCGGTGGCTCATGCGTGTAATCTCAGCACTTTGGGAGACTGAGGCAGGTGGATCACTTGAGGCCAGGAGTTTGACACCAGCCTGGCCAATAAGGTAAAACCCCGTCTCTACTAAAAATGCAAAAACTAGCCGGGCACAGTGGTGCATGCCTGTAATCCCAGCTACTCAGGAGGCTGAGGCAGGAGAATCACTTGAACCCGGGAGGCACAGGCTGCAGTGAGCCGAGATCCCACCATTGTAATCCGTCCTGGATGATAAAACGAGACCTTATCAAAAAACCAAATAAATAAATCTCAGCTGGGTTCGGTGGCTGACGCCTGTAATCCCAACACTTTGGGAGGCGGAGGCGGGTGGATCACCTGAAGTCAGGAGTTCAAGACTAGCCTGGTCAATGTGGCAAAACCCTGTCTATTAAAAATACAAAAGCCGGGCACCGTGGCTCACGCCTGTAATCCCAGCACTTTGGGAGGCCGAGGCGGGCGGATCACGAGGTCAGGAGATCGAGACCATCCTGGTTAACAGGGTGAAACCTTGTCTCTACTAAAAATACAAAAAATTAGCCGGGCGTGGTGGCGGGCGCCTGTAGTCCCAGCTACTAGGGAGGCTGAGGCAGGAGAATGGTGTGAACCCATAAGGCGGAGCTTGCAGTGAGCTGAGATCCCACCACTGCACTCCAGCCTGGGCGACAGAGCGAGACTCTGTCTCAAAAAAAAAGAAAAAAATTGTTCATATTATTTCTATGGTTTCTTTTATTATAATTAAACCTATGATCTACATGGAATATATTTTGATAAAAGGAGTTGAGGTAGAGATCTTTTCTCAAGTGGATTCAAAATGTTGTATATGGGAATACAATTGTTTTGTTTGTGTGGTTTTTTTTTTTTTTTTTTCTTTTTTTTTTTGAGATAGAGTCCTGCTCTGTTGCCCAGCCTGGAGTGCAGTGGCACAGTCTCTCACTGCAACCTCTGCCTCCTGGGTTCAAGTGATTCTCCTGCCTCAGCCTCCCGAGTAGCTGGGACTACAGGCACCCACCACCACACCTGGCTAATCTTTGCATTTTTAGTAGAGACAGGGTTTCCCTGTTAGCCAGGCTGGTCTCGAACTCCTGACCTCGTGATCCGCCCGCCTCAGCCTCCCAAAGAGCTGGGATTACAGGCGTGAGCCACTGTGCCCACCCTTTTTTTTGTATTATTAACAGAGGCAGGGTTTCACCACGTTGGCCAGGCTGGTCTCGAACTCCTAACCTCAAGTGACTTGCTCGCCTTGGCCTCCCAAAATGCTAGGATTACAGGCATGAGTCACTGCACCTGGCCAGAGTTTTTATTTTTAAGCATATATTTTCTAGTTTTTTGTTTGTTTTTAGAGACGAGGTCTCACTATGTTGCCCAGGCTGGTTTCAAACTCCTGAGCTCGAAGGATCCTCCTGCCTTGTCCTCCTAAAGTGCTAGGATAACAGGTGTGAGTCCATATACCCCGATATATTTTCAATTTTTTTTAAAGTAATACATTTTATGTAGTCAGAAAAGAACTTTAAAAATCAGCTAATGGGCCGGACACGATGGCTCAAGCCTGTAATCCCAGCACTTTGGGAGGCCGCGACGGGTGGATCATGAGGTCAGGAGATCGAGACCATCCTGGCCAACATGGGGAAACCCCGTCTCTACTAAAGATACAAAAAAAATACAAAAAAATTAACCAGGTGTGGTGGCAGGCGCCTATAGTCCCAGCTATTTGGGAGGCTGAGGCAGGAGAATCACTTAAACTTGTGAGGCAGAGGTTGCAATGAGCCGAGATCATGCCGCTCCACTCCAGTCTGGGTGACAGAGCAAGACACTTCGTCTCAAAAAAAAAAAAAAAAATCAGCTAATGTATTTTTCTTATAAATAATGTGTGCATATTCTAGGAAACTGATAAGTATTAAAATCGTTTTTAATTATCTTAGTCAACCATTATAAACAGTTTAGTGTGTATTGTCCCAAATGGGAAATCAGCTTTTTTCCATGTATCATGACTTGTTTTTCCAGGCAGTAAATAGAATTCTATGTTATCATTTGCAACAGTGTGGAGTATCCTATTATATAGAAATGTGTACTTTATGTTGGATATTTAGGTTGTTTTAAAATTTTTAATATTCTATACTATGATAAATCTAAATCTTAATGCATGTTCTTAATTACTTCCTTAAATTCCTAAAAGTAGAATTGCTTTGCCAATAAGTATATCCACCAGAAAATTGTGTGCCTGCCGGGCGTGGTGGCGGGCGCCTGTAATCCCAGCTACTGGGGAAGTTGAGGCAGGAGAATTACTCAAACCCTCCCTTGGGAGGCGGAGGTTGCAGCGAGCCAAGATCGTGCCACTGCACTCCAGCCTGGGTGACAGAGCGAGACTCCCTCTCAAAAAAAGAAAAAAGAAAATTGTGTGCCTAAGAGCTTGAACGAGAGTGTCACAATTGTTTGCTTTTTTATGATGTGCTACAGAACTTTGGAACTGATAATTACCTTTAGAGATATTTTTATTCTAATTCCTGGTTTTACAAAATAAGTTGTAAAAGGCAGGGCAAACTACTTAATGCCATTTTAGGATCCTTTAACTCTTCTACTTCGTAACTTTCTCTTTCTATACATAATATAGAAACGTTAAAGAGGCTTTTACCAGCATCACTAAAACTTTAATGACATGTTTGTATTTTATGTTAGGACACCAGCAGTGAAAACACTGTGGTTCCTCCAGAAACATATGTGAAAGTGGCAGGCCACCTGAGATCTTTTCAGGTAAAGTCAGAATAAAATAACAGTTAAAGTGTTTTTGCATGAAGCAGTTTCTAGATTCATGTCATGGCTTTTGGATAGTTAAAATACTTAAGTCTCCCTGTTTAATGGGAAGTTATTTCTTACTCTCTTCAAAAGGAAATAACTTTTCTTTTTTTTTTTTTTAACCTTAACATGAAATTAACAGAATGGTAAAGAAAGAACAGAATCTCCTTCTACAATTGCTATCTGTGGCGTTCATTAGTTGGAGAAAGGAGAACACTAGATTCGGAGTCAGGAGTCTAGATTTTGCTTGGTTATGCAATCTTGGGAAAATTATTAATGTCCCTTAGCTATTAGTTTTAGTTTTTTTTCTCCTCATGTTTGACCATATTTGGAATACCTCTGAGAGTATATAACATTTTTCTCATATTGGTGAAATATTAATATTATAACCAAGGAAAGAGCCACAGTGTTGACCTGAAATTAATGTATGTTCATATTTTATTCACATTTTTTTCCTTCATTTTAATAGAACAAAAAGAGCCTGGTAGCCTTTAAGATCATGCCCCTGGAGGATATGAATGAGTTCACCACACATATTCTGGAAGTGATCAATGCACACATGGTACTAAGCAAAGCCAACAGCCAGGTGAGTAGTCTCGCTTTCCTAGCTTTTTCTCTTCCCTGGAAGAACACAGGCTACTTTTGTGTTCCAGCTTTGATTTCCTTGATATTTTGAAGGCCGAGCCAGAGAAAGACATCACTAAGTCCTCAGAACACTTTCTCCATTAGCTTTGTCATTGTATTTTATTCCAGATGAAACACTCATGTTTCTCTCAGAATTAGGAGTTCCTCTGACTCCACTGGCCTGGACAGCTGAGGCCTGTGACAACCCTCAGGTGTAGACATGTAATTATAGGCTCTTAGCTCTTATATAGCTCTTAGCTCCAGGATTGTCAGTGCATACTCAGAGAGTAGTCCCCTTCAGGACAGCATTTTGCTGTCTTCCTTCCAACTTACTGGCTAAGTAGGAAAAATTATGTATTATTATTTTTTCCCTGAAATTATATTTCTTGGTTCATATTGAAATTTCTCCCTAGTATTTTCCATTGTGTGAATTCACTTTGACAAGTCCATCTAGGACCATGCAAAACTAGAGTTGACTGTAGTATTAGAAAGCCCTCAGGGCAAGGTGTGGTGGTTCATGGCCTGAAATCTCAGCACTTTGGGAGGCTGGTGTGGGGGCATCACTTGAGCCCAGTTCAAGACACCACGCTGGGCAACATAGGGAGACCCTGTCTCTACAAAAAAAATTAAAGAATTAGATGGGCTACTTGGAAGGCTGAGGTTGGGAGATCACTTAAGCCCAGGAGGTCAAGGCTGCATTGAGCTGTGATCGTGCCACTCACTGCAGCCTGGGCAACAGAGCAACCTTGTCTCAAAAAAAAATAAAGAAAAAGAAAAATATTTATTGCGCCTACTTTGATTTGATAGTCCCAATCATTCTAGTCGGCATTCGAGTATAGCAGTGAACACTATATACTTACATTCTTGGGAGAAACAAGTAATAAACAAAAATATATGTATAATTTTAGGTAGTTATATAGGTGCTCTGAAGTAAATAAAACAGGAGAAGAGGCTGATGGAGGGAACAAGAATGGTACAATTTTAGATGAGGAACATTCTAAACCAGAGGGACTAGGATGTGCAAGAGCCAGGAGTGTGGAGTAAGCATGACATCTCTGAAACCAGCAAGGCCAGTGTCTGGAGTGAAGTGAATGACAGGGGAGAGGGAGAGGGTTGTAGGCAAGGAGGCAGGGCCCAGATTATATGGGGCTTTGGAGGCCATGGTAAGGATTACCTTTACTCAAATTTTTAAAATTTTGTTTATTTGGGTTTTTTGTTTTTGTTTTTGTTTTTTTTGAGACAGAGTCTCGCTCTTTCGCCCAGGCTGGAGTGCAGTGGTGCGATCTCGGCTCACTGCAAGCTCCGCCTCCCGGGTTCACGCCATTCTCCTGCCTCAGCCTCCCGAGTAGCTGGGACCACAGGCGCCCACCACCACACCCGGCTGCCACCACACCCGGCTAATTTTTTGTATTTTTAGTAGAGAAGGGGTTTCACCGTGTTAGCCAGGATGATCTCGATCTCCTGACCTCGTGATCTGCCCGTCTCAGCCTCCTTTCAAAGTGCTGGGATTACAGGCATGAGCCACCACGCTTGGCCCTTTTTTTCGAGACAGTGTCTCACTCTGTCACTCAGGCTGGAGTGCAATGGCGTGATCTCGGCTCACTGCAGCCTCCGCCTCTCGGGTTCAAGCAATTCTCCTGCCTCAGCCTCGCCAGTATCTGGGATTACAGGTACGCACCACCATACCCAGCTAATTTTTGTATTTTTAATACAGGCGGGGTTTCACCATGTTGGCATCCGGTTAGCAGTCCGGCTGGCAATGAGGATTTGTGGCCTAGGAGGCGGTCTGGGATGAGATCCTGGGGACACTGTCAGCTTTTTGGGAGACAGATAGAAGAGGCTAATGAGGGATACTGAGAAGGTTCAGTTTGAGAGGCAGATGGAGAACCAGAAGAATGTGGTGTCAAGAAGCCCAGGGAGGAATACATTTCAAGAGGAGTGTGGTCAGCAGTGTCTGCTTCCGAGAGGTCAAGTATTAGGAGGACTGAAAGAGACTTTTGGATAATTGGTTGAAAAGTCTTTGGTGACTTTGGTGAAAACAGTTTCAGAGGTGTACTGGGGGACAACCCAAATATGGTGGGCTGAGGAGTGACTGGGGAGAAAGGAAATGAAAATAGTGATTGCAGAGCATTTTAAGAATTTGGTGGTTAAAAAAAAAGAAAGAAAGAGAGGACGATAGGGACTGTGTCTCCTTTTCTCTGCCTGTGGTGCTTCATGCCTATTGACACTCAGTGAATGCTTGAATGATTGGGCTCCATGGATACCAAAATAGCAGACTCTGGGTAATTTTCTTCTTGCTGCTACTCTTCTCTGGTTCGTCTGACATCACAAACAAAAGGAGCCAAGAGTATCTTTCTCTTTTTGATATTTATGTGCTTCGGGGAGTTACTTTATCTTCCTGTGAAATACTCATTAGATAATAGCTGTCCACTCCAATGTAAGCAGTGTTATAAACTGGGAAACTGTTTATAAATTGTTTTTTGTAAGCTGCTTAACGAGCTATTTTAAGTAGTAAAGACTGTTTAACTTGATGGATTTTCTAATATTGCTAACTTATTTCTTAATTCAGCCCTCAGCAGGGAGAGCACCTATCAGCAATCCAGGAATGAGTGAAGCAGGGAACTTTGGTGGGAATAGCTTCATGCCAGCAAATGGCCTCACTGTGGCCCAAAACCAGGTAACCTCCACCAGAGTGGCTTCAGAAATACAAAACACAGATAGTCTTAAATTTTGTTACTTCCTTAATGAGCTACGACTGTTTAAGTACCTGGTTCATTTCTTTTCTATAAAGGGACTCAGGTTTGCAAAGGGGAGGCTGATCCAAAATAATTGCTAAAATCTTTCTGATTTGAATCTTCAGGTGTTGAATTTGATTAAGGCTTGTCCAAGACCTGAAGGGTTGAACTTTCAGGATCTCAAGAACCAGCTGAAACACATGTCTGTATCCTCAATCAAGTAAGTATTTGATTTTCATGAGCTCAGGCTCTGGCATTGTACCTATTTCACCTCACAAGGGTTTCCTGATAGTGAGAAGTGGGTTTAAAAAGTAAAACTTGGCAGCCGGGCATGGTGGCTCACGCCTGTAATCTCAGCACTTTGGGAGGCCGAGGCAGGTGGATCACCTGAGGTCAGGAGTTCGAGACCAGCCTGGCAAACATGGTGAAAACCCCGTTTCTACTAAAAATACAAAAATTAGCCGGGCATGGTGGCACGCAACTGTAATCCCGGCCACTCCGGAGGCTAAGGCAAGAGAATCGCATGAATCCAGGAGGCGGAGGTTGCAGTGAGCCACCATCACACCACTGCACTCCAGCCTGGGTGACAGAGCGAGATTCCATCTCAAAAAAAAGTAAAAGTTCGCCAGGCATTAGCTCATGCCTGTAGTCCTAGCACTTTGGGAGGCTGAGGTGGGCAGATTGCTTGAACTCAGGAGTTCAAGACCAGCCTGGGCAACGTGGCGAAACGCTTGTCTCTACAAAAACAATAAAAACAAATTAGCCGGGCACAGTGGCGCATGTCTGTAGTCCCAGCTACCCAGGAGGCTGAGGTGGGAGGATCGCTTGAGCCCAGAAAGTCAAGGCTGCAGTGAGCCATCATTGTGCCACTGCACTCCATCCTGGATGACAGAGTGAGACTGTCACACACACAAAAAAAACTTAACTGCAACCCTGTTGGCAGAATGGAAATCGTTCAGCTATGGAAAAATAGGAAAAAGACTATGGGCCAAAATGGTGCTACCCATCACATCACTCATTCAGCAAGCACTAAGGACCACTATATGTGAGGGATATATAATAATTCTGAGCAAAAAGTTGACCTGATTTCATTATGGGATTTAGACTGGAGGAAGGAAGTCCTTAGCTCCTGGTCGTCAGGTGTACAGTCCTGTTGCTGTTACTGTCCCCATTGTGGACATGAGTGTATTAGGCTATCTGTACCTTATTAAACAATCAGTCCTTCCAACACCCTTGTCCTGATTCCATCTTAGACAAGCAGCCTCCTGATTCCAGTGTAGTAAACCAATCAAACAAACTGACTTATGGTGCTTGTGATAGTTATTTGTTACTATAAATCAATTGACCTGCCAGGCCTAGATAGATAAGAAATGCTCAGGGCTGATTCCATTTCCTGTCCTGTAAAATTAGGATAATAATTCCTATCTCAGAGTTGCGTGCTGATGAGGTAGAGAACTGCTGTTACTTAGGTGCTCTGTAGATTGTGGCTATTAAATACGTTACTGACACTAACCCTGAGGACCTTGAAGGGTTTGAAGGTTTCAGAGTGTTTCCTTTGCTTCCCACAACTTTACTTCCCTGAGAGGGACCAACGGGGTTTCAGTGTGTGGCTGGAAAAGGGGGACTTTTAAAGACAGTGGTTTCTACTAGGAGATTTTGTGTGCAAGTGTGACTACAGCTTTAGATCCTTGTTTTCCTGCTTAGACTGTATTTAAGTGAGGCCCTGTTGTCTTTCCTTTGCACAATTTGGGAGAGGGATCCAAGACAGCCCTAATAGCCATTGTCTCCATGAATAAGCTCTGTTTTGCTATTTTACTGGCATTTCTCCCTGTGAGAGCTTTCTATGTGCAGAATACTTGTGAATTCTTAGCTAAGGTAGAAAGTTGGGAGATAAGCGAAGTTTGCATATTTGGCCATATCCAAAAGGCAGTTTCCTTCTGAATTGGCCTGAAAATGACCTTTTTTTTTTCTTCTTTCTTTCTAGGCAAGCTGTGGATTTTCTGAGCAATGAGGGGCACATCTATTCTACTGTGGATGATGACCATTTTAAATCCACAGATGCAGAATAACTGGATCTAACTGGGTACCTGAGATATTTTACAGCTGGACCTAGTTTCACAATCTGTTGTCTCCAGCTCTGCATATGTCTGGCCAGGGGGCTTCTAGGAAGTAGGTTTCATCTATCAAATGTCTCCTCTGACTTCCTTTTGAAACTTACTGCTCTTCTGTTTTATTTTGTTTTGTTTGAAGCTCAGAGGGAGATGGGCAATTGACAGGGATGCAATCCAGGGTGGGATTTCTTGAGGAAGTTACAAATAAGCTTGTTACAACATCAAGATAGATGGAATTGGAAGGATGCTACCAGGAGAGTACTTACATAGTGCTCAGGAGTTTCTCTTCTTAAAATGTTTACTGCTGAAAGATGAGCAGGACCAGGGCGTTATAGGCAGAGCCCTAGCCGAGAAACCTGCTGGCCTCTGCCTGTTTTCATTTCCCACTTTGGTTGTGTGGCATTACTTTCAGAATTGCACTTTCCTGCTTGTCATGACTTTTTGACACACTTGCCATGACGTGTGTTTCTGTGAACATGAAGTTCTGCGGTAGTGCCTCCAGGGGCAGAGGAAAAGAAGAAGTGTTACTGCATTTTGTACAAAATAAATACAGTCATATGTTTAATAAAACAGTTCTATTGTAGTAACTTGTAAAAATTCTCGTTTTTCTTTCTGAGCAGTGTAATGACCACTTTATCATCTGAGGCAGTGTAACATAGTGAAACTTGGATTTGAATTCTGGCTTTCCCACTTTTTAGTTAGAATCTTGAGCAGGCTATGTCAGCTCTGAGAACCTCCATTTCCTCATTTACAAAAAGAAAACGTTATTTCCCCTGGGTTTGTTGTGAAGATTGAAAAAAACATAGTCTGTAAAGCGTCTAAATCTAGTATTGCCATTTAAAGGGATTATATAATGGACTTTAATGTTGACTCTTTGGCAGTGTGTGATCATGTAACTGAATCAAATAGCTACCCATTTGGCCTCAAGATGAGACTTTCCAAAAGCCTATGGTCATTTTTTGGCCAACTTGATTGGCTGTTTCTTACAGAAAAAGAAACTAGTTCAATGATGTTTTTGACAACTCCTGAAAGTAATCTACATCTTGAATAAAAGAACCAATTTTGAGATAAAGTTAGTGAGACGTAACATCCCAATAAGAATTCTCTGGCCGGGCGCGGTGGCTCACGCCTGTAATCCCAGCTCTTTGGGAGGCCGAGGCAGGCAGATCACAAGGTCAGGAGATCGAGATCATCCTGGCTAATTCGGTGAAACTCCATCTCTGCTAAAAATACAAAAAATTAGCCAGGCAAGGTGGTGGGCGCCTGTAGTCCCAGCTACTCAGGAGGCTGAGGCAGGAGAATGGTGTGAACCCGGGAGGCAGAGCTTGCAGTGAGCCGAGATTGCACAACTGCATTCCAGCCTGGGCAACAGAGCGAGACTCTGTCTCAAAAAAAAGAATTCTCTGCTTTAACTCTGTTTCTAAATGAGATCTAGCAGCTGTGTAGAGAAGGCTCCACCTACTTGGTTTCTAACAGTGGATGAATGTATGGTTGTTTTCTATACATGCAGAGTTGTTAACATCTGCGGAACTATGCAAATGTGTAAAACTCAGCCAGCATGTTCATTTGCAAGTGTGTTCCTTCTTGGTTATTTTCTCAAAGAACAATGACTAAAAACAAGTAAAATCGTGTATTTGAATTTGGAATATATGACGGGATACTTTTATGGTTGGTAAACTTCTCTTTCTAGTTATGAAGCTGGGTGCCCTCAAATGGGCAAAGCGGTAGCAGTACTTGTAGGTGGAAGTGGTTTTCTTTTTTCTTTATTTTTATTTTTATTTTTTTTTAGACAGAGCCTTGCTGTGTTGCCCAGGCTGGAGTGCAGTGGTGCAATCTCAGCTCACTGCAAGCTCCGCCTCCCATGTTCAAGTGATTCTCCTGCCTCAGTCTCCCGAGTAGCTGGGACTATAGGCGCATGCCACCATACCCAGCTAATTTTTGTATTTTTAGTAGAGACAGGGTTTCACCGTGTTAGCCAGGATGGTCTCGATCTCCTGACCTCATGATCCGCCCACCTTGGCCTCCCAAGGTGCTGGGATTATAGGCGTGAGCCTGACCGGTTTTTTTTTCTTTTGATAAAAATCAGATGACGACTTAGCAATTAACAACTGCTTGTTAATTTAGTGCTTATTGGATACCTGCTGTATCAACCCGTAGGTCAGGTACTAGGAATATAAAGCACAATAAGAGATTGGCGTCACGGGACAGGCTGGTTCAGCATTCCCAGCAGCACAGAATAGTTGCTCAGTGGTGCTGGATTCCCTGCCATCTTGCCATTTCCACAGTCTCATGGGGGTTGTGTGATTTCTGACCGCTGCTGGGACCTGTGGGATGAGCACAGGCAGGAGAGCCAGCCAGGCCACTTCTCAGAATGAAACTCCAGGCTTTGTAGAGCTTCTGCTCTGCTCAGGCAGGACAAACTTGCATCTTGGGCATTTGTGGTCCACCTGATAGGTCACATGTACAGTGTTCTCTTGGCCCATTGTTGAGATAGCCGTGTGACCCAGGTTCTTAGAAACCACCAGTGTCACGGCCTAGCAATGGGTCCAGCCTGCTCATAGGAGAATCCCTACATATACAGGTGGGAAATGAGGCTCCTTGGAGAATAGTACTACTTTATTGGGTTTAACTAGAGGAAGGCCACTAAGAATTAGTATCTGGTGTGGATTAATAGATTTGTTTTTAAAAATGCAGTTGGCGGAAGGGAAGTCCAACCCATTGATAAGTTTTTGAGCATCCATCTCCAGGTTATAGTCATTTGTTTAGCAATTATTTATGTCTACTACTGTATTGGTATGTTAAATATAATCATTCAAAGGTAGAAATGAGAAAGAATATTAAAAATCAATATGGGGCCAGGCACAGTGGCTCACACCTATAATCCCAGTACTTTGAGAGGCCAAAGTAGGAGGATCACTTGAGGCCAGGAGTTTGAGACCAGCCTGGGCAACATAACAAGACGTGCCATCTCTAAATAAATTAAAAAATGTGAAGGGATGTGCTAAAAATTACTTTCTGTCTCCCAGTGATCATCTTGTGTTTCCCTAGGGCTGTGTGCTCCCCACTTTGGAGACCACTGCCTAGGGGGAATCCCTAGTCCCATTATAACACCCCACCACCCTGTGGCTTATTCCAGGGGTAAAGAAAATAAATGCACTCTGAGGCTGGTATCTACCTCTAGTTGGATCCCTGCTAATCCTCATTGTTCTGACGAAACGGCCAGACCCAGTGGCTCACGCCTGTAATCTCAGCACTTTGGAAGGCTGAGGCGGGTGGATCACCTGATGTCAGGAGTTAGAAACCAGCCTGGCTGACCGGGCGTGGTGGCTCCTGTAATCCCAGCACTTTGGGAGGCTGAGGTGGGAGGATCACCTGAGGTCAGGAGTTCAAGACCAGCCTGACGAACATAGAGAAACCCCATGTCTACTAAAAATACAAAATCAGCCCGGCATGGTGGCTCATGCCTGTAATCCCAGCTACTCGGGAGGATGAGGCAGGAGAATCGCTTGAACCTGGGAGGCGGAGGTTGCGGTGAGCCGAGATCGTGCCATTGCACTCCAGCCTGGGCTCAAAACTCCATCTCAAAAAAAAAAAAAAAAAAAAAAAAGAAACCAGCCTGGCCAACATGGTGAAACCCCGTCTCTACTAAAATACAAAAATTAACTGGGTATGGTACACACCTGTAGTCCCAGCTACTTGGAAGTCTGAGAATCACTTGAACCTGGGAGGCGGAGGTTGCAGTGAGCCGAGATGGTGCCACTGCACTGCAGCCTGGGCCACAGAGAGAGACTTCATCTCAACAAACAAGAGAAAACAGTCACAGGTGTGGCTTTCAAGCCCAGCGTTCGCTGCTGTGAAATTTTTCTCACTGCAGCATTTGGCTACTCAGCCCTTTTTTTTTTTTCTTTTTTTTTTTTTTTTTGAGACGGAGTCTCACTCTTTCGCCAGGCTGGAGTGCAGTGGCGCGATCCTGGCTCACTGCAACTTCCACCTCCCGGGTTCAAGCGATTCTTCTGCCTCAGCCCCCTAAGTAGCTGGGAGTACAGGCACATGCCACCACGCCCAGCTAATTTTTTTGTATTTTTAGTAGAGATGGTGTTTCTCCATGTTGGCCAGGATGATCTTGATCTCTTGACCTCATGATCCACCTGCCTCGGCCTCCCAAAGTGCTGAGATTATAGGTGTGAGCCACTGCACCTGGCCTACTCAGCCCATTTTATAGGAACTGGTAGCCCTCTTTTACCCCTGCTTTTGTGGCTTTGTTACTCATCTTGCTCAATTTTGTGCCAAGAGTAAATGCAAATGTGGAAATGAAAACTATTGGCATTTTGTGCATCACCCTAGCCCCTCCGGATTCTGTGCCAAGGAGGAACTTTCTGTCTGACTTTCTTGCCTGTTGCTTCTCCCTATGGTACTCTCTTCCTCAGGGTCCTCCTTTGCAGCGCAGGTTGACTTCTCTGGAGAAGGGCATGGGAGCTGGTGGGCAGATGAGGATGGGATGTCAGATCCTGGTGACTGGCCCAGCAGCCTGTAGGAGCCACTCAGTAGTCACCTGGAGAACTCCATGCTGGAGTATGGAGGCCTGGAGGCTAAAAAGTGCAGCGAGTCCAGGCAGCCCAGGGAGATGTTAAGCAAAGGAAGGACACACCCAGGGGCGATGCCTAGAAACCAGGAAGTGGGCATCTCACCCTCTTTAGGCTCCCATCTCAGCTGGAGTCTCAGTTCATCTCTTTGTCTGTTTCCTGCCTTTGCTGTCTGTGACCGCATCAGTCCATAAACCAAAGTCCCACTACTTAGAGGAAATGTGGCCTGTGGTCTTGTCTCACTGAACGGGCCTTGACTGCCTCTGAAAACTGGGTTAGTCTCTGCACGGACAAAGGCTTGTATTATCTCCACTAAAGACAGGGAGGCCCACCAACCAGTCAGTATACTCTATCTCCACAGTCTAGGGATATGGTATATTTTTAACACTGGGATGTATTCCGTGACTAGGAAACATTGTGGAGGGGTGGAAAGAGTATAGGCTTTGGAGACAGAACAGCTACACGATCTTGCTCAATAATGATGCATGTTTGTTGAATGTTTACTATGTGCTAGGCACTGTACTAAATGGTTTACAAAGATTATCTCATTTGATCCTTAAAACAGTCAGTCTTCTGGGGTAGTAACTATAGTTTCATCTGACATGTCAAAAAACTGAAACTTAGGTTAAAATAACTTGCTCATAGCCCTGGCTGGTAGGTAGCAAGCTGGGATCCTAACCCAGTCTCATACTTTCCAGGTCCTCACCCTTAACTGCAACTTGTCAGCGTCCTAAGGTACTTGACCATGCAGCCTGTTCCCTAATCTTTAAAATCAGGCATTCTGGAAAGTTGAGGATTTGGATATGGTTTGTAAGTGCCTGGCACGCAGTCAGAATTTAATAAATGATACCGTTCTCATTCATAGAGAAGCTCAGGTGTCATTTTTATTCTATGGTTTTAAAATGAAATAATCTTGGTTAGTCACTTACAACTTTGACGACTTTAACCACCTGATGAAACCTACCAGTTTCTGCAGCCTCAGGTCTCCATAAGGGTCTTCTTAAATTGGCTCCTCCTCATTTCACCACCAGCTTTTGGGGCCCAAGGTCCTAAGGTTGTGTTCTTGAAGCCAAGTTCCCACATTAATCCATGTTAACCACATGTGGTTAAACCCCTGTTTACCATATACAGATCTATCAGGCTTGGTGCTACAGAGATGAGGAAGACAGTCCAGGCCTCCCGGGGGCTTAGAGCTTGGGGGTGAGAGTGGGGGTGGCAGACGTTAACAAAATCTCCCATGCAGTGTGATCAGCATTGGCACTGCGCTGCTGTCACCAAGGTTGATGGCCTCGGATTCCCCTCTGCATCCACCGGTGGGACAGCTGGGGTTGCAGGATTGAGAGGAACCCTGCCAGCTGCTCTGCATCCCAAGGCTCTGAGGCTGAGGGAGTCACGTGCGAGATGTTAGGTCCAAACCAGCCCGCCCTAAGTAGCAAGAATCTAGAACCTGAAGGAAGCTGGTGCAGTGTCCATCAAATCAGTTTCCACAAAGCTACTCCCCGTCTGCAGCTCAGTTTCTGTGAGACTTGCCCGAGGTCTTTTAGAGGCTTAAAATGGTTGGCTGGTGTCGGATTCCCTGAGAAGCAGCAGTTAGGAAGCGTGGTTCCTCCAGCACTTAGATGGTTTTCTGAAATTGCTCAAGTATTTCTTCATAATCATGTTCATCATCATCTGCAAAAGAGTCCGAGTCAATGAGGATCTTTAGCGTTAGGCAAGTTCCTTCCCTTCTGTAGGGCAGTTTCCTCATCTGTGCAGGGAAAGAGGTGGCCTGGATGCCCTACGGTCTTTGCTAGCCTAGAAACCACGATTTGTTCTGTCTCAACACTTTGCAACCCTTTCATTTTCCTGTATGCTGCAGGGAGGGTAGTATGTTGGGGACTGAACTCATTTTCCTTGCCAAAGCCCTAGAGCCCATGGGAAAGACAGTAGGAACCTTTCTACCTGAGCCCACCCCATAGAGGCCTGTCCATCAAACTGGGACCATAGAAGGGTCTGTCCCTGGACAGGGCCACCAGAGGCAAAGGAAGCAGCAAGGTAGGGAGGGGAGACACAAGGACAAGGGTGAGCAGCGCCCACAGGGACTCACCTAGATCCTGCCTTTGGGGCTTAGCGGGCCTGTGGCCCTTCCTGTGGGCAGGAATCTTGCTGTACGTACTGGAGCCATCCTTGATGAACTCTGGCAAGGTCTTCGCCTTGGGTTTGGGCAGCCGAGCGTGTTGCTGCAATCCTAAGACTTGAGAAGACTTTGGGAGAAAAAGCAGAAATCATCAGGGTCTCAAGAAATGGGGAAGCAGAGTCCATGAAAAACGGTCATTCACGTTAAGTGTCACTTCCTCTG
Organism: Homo sapiens; assembly: GCF_000001405.40. Classification (NCBI taxonomy): domain Eukaryota; kingdom Metazoa; phylum Chordata; class Mammalia; order Primates; family Hominidae; genus Homo; species Homo sapiens. Next base: position 27,885,199 of record NC_000001.11, on the reverse strand, counting down.
CTTCTCTCTCTACTTCCTTTTCAGGCTATGACCTCTCAAGACCCCTGGTGTTTTTGCTACATGCATGTGAAATATTCTCTGGCAAGGGAGAAAGGGATCAGGGTAGAAAATGAGGATAGGGTTGGGGGTTGGAGACAGGGTGTTCCTGGGATTTTCCACTTAGGAATTTGGTCAATGTCCTTTAATTCTCTTGCTGAAGGGGAAAAAAGCAAAGTGGGGATACCGTAAGAAAGGAGCCACAAAGCCTTGTGACGACGCCTGAGCTGAGGTGGCCCAGAAGAAAGAGGACTTCCATTGCGTTCCCCCATGTGCCAGATGCTACATGACGTCTGCTCTTTAATCCTCAAGTTACCCTCTGAGTGGTTTCAATTCCCAGTTTATGTAGGAGAGAAAGTGTGCCTTGTCAAAGGTCACACGGGGATCCACAGCAGGGCCAAGGTTTGGACCCAGAGCCACGCCTGTGACCTGTAGAGGCAGAGGTCTTGGCGCCCCACCACGCTTTACAGAGTGTGCGGCACAGCTCCCTGATCAGCACCAAGATTCCAACGCACAGAGGGGAAAAGTTGTGGTTCCAGGGCGACAGCAGTGACCGGGCCCAGAGTCCCTCCACTGGGAGCCAAGACACGGGCTAAGGTCTGTCGGTTCTGGAAAGTACCCTTTTCAGCACTGGCACAAGGCCTGTGTTTCGGATGTTTCAGTCCAGCCATTGTCAGAAAATGACTTCCCACGCTCACGCCACAGATAAAAGCCCCTGCTGGGGCTGAGACCACTCAGGAGTCATCTTGTAATTTCCACTGCCACCTGCTGCCTACCACACGTGATTAAATACGAGTCACCCAAGATCCCAAAACAAGAGCTGGGGATAGTAAAGGACTTTTGATCTGTCTCATCCCCTCCCGTTCTCAGCAGACCACGGTAGTTAGAAGCTCAGGCTGTGTGGTCAGACCCAATTGCAAGCTCTGGCCCTGCCACTTGTTGGCTGTGTGATCTCAGGTAAACTATTTGACCTCTCTGTGCCTCTCACCTTCTCAACTGTGAAGCAGGACACCGGTGTGTAACTCAGAAGCACTGTGAGAATTGGTTGGGACAAAGCATATCAGGGGCCTGCCACAGAGTAAGCAGGTCACAGAAAGCAGCTGCAGAGGATATCACAGGTCTACTGGTGAGAAAAAGGACGCTCGGAGGAGTACCCAGCACAGGCAGAGTAAGTGAACCGGAACGTAAACTTAGTCTTTCTGACCCCATGCCTGGCTCTCTCCCGCTCATCTGTGATTCTGTTTGGCCCCGTTTAGCAGGTCCTCTCTGGCCTTGGAGCAGGTAAGGTCCCTGCCCCGACAGAACTCTTTTCAGCCAGAGACTCAGGTAGGACTCACTAAAAACAACCTGTCCTGAGCTACGTAGAGCGTGCAGTGGGAGCACAGAAGAGGAGGCAGGACCACCGCTGCTGAGTGAGAAATCCGAGTCCCACCTTGCCTGTGAGCCTGAAGGAGGAAGAACACTGCTGGCAGAAGGCCTGGGTGTGGGGCTCTGGAGCAGGAGTCCCGGCGCCATGAGGGAGCTGCGGGCATTTCTCTCGCTGGAGCGTGGACAGCAGAGTGAGTGGAGGAAGATGGGTCGGGGAGGTGCGACAAGTCAGCTTATAAAGGACCCTGGATGCCATGTTAAGGGGTTTGCATCATCCCATGATGATGGGCAGCCACAGAAGGTTCCAGAAGATGGAGCTGAGGTCCATCAATGACTAAGAAAGGAGTTAGGAGGCCTTTCTGACAGCTTTTGTAAGAGCCTGCTGAAGTAGTTTAGGAGAAAAATGATGAGGCTCGAACTAGGGAGTGAAGGCAGCAGTAGTGGAGAGAGGAAAGCACCATGAACTTGGAGTTAGACTGTCCATGGCCAAGTTCAGTCCTCCCACTTATTAACAGGGACCCTGGGCAAGTCTTAGGGTCTCCAAGTCCTTGTTTTCTCAATCATAAGATACTGATAATCATGCCAACCTCAGGATTAATTGTGAGGTGGAATGAGAATAATGGGTGCAAAGTGTGCAAGTTTATAAACTACAAGTTTACACAGTTGCAAGAGAAACATGACAGGCAGACATGACAAAGAAGCAGTGATCCCAATAGGTGACCCCTCCGTGCCCTCTGGGATTATACTAGTACCTTGACGCCTCCCTCACTGCTGTGTCTCCTCTGCTTGCTGAGGCCCTGATTTTTAGGGGGCCTGGGTGGGGGGGCTTGGATCTCACAGGCTGGTAACTTCCGAAGACGATAATAGAAGGTGTCTGTCAGCTCCTCCACTGTGGCTATGGGGAGAGACCCCTCTGGCAAGTCTGGCTGCCCCTTGGCCTTCACAACAGTCAGGTCCAGCCACCGGGGAGGGATCTCAAAGCACATCCCAGGCTCAGAGTCTAGGCTCACCACCAAGAATGGCTCTGTGATCTTCTCCTCCAGCCGCAGGCCCAGGAAGGAGGTCAGAGGGTCAGTGGGGTGGCTGGTGTCCTTGGCCACCACCTTGACCTCACAAGGCAGTGAAAACTGGGCAGTCAGATCTGCCAGGCTGTAGCGCCGGCTGTCACTCATCTCCTCCACGAAACTGCCAGGGAAGTGGAAGGGCAGCAGGACCCGCTCTGGGCTCTCTGCCTCCTCTTTGCACTCTTCCTCCTCATCCTCCCCAGCCTGGTCACTCAGCCGCTGACAAACCAAGACATCCACGTCACTGCCCTGGGCCCCATGGGCCTGGCCAGGCCCCAGCACCTCCAGCCGGTCACCCACAGCCAGGGACGTGAACTCGGGATTCTCCTCCCTCTCGCCCTCACAGTCCTTTGTGGCCACCACCCGGAGTGGCCGGCCTGGCTGGAAAGCACCTAGGAGGTCATAGGCCGTGGGGAACTCCCTTGGCCGCCGCCGCAGCTTGCCTTGGTAGCCCCCTGACACCAGGAAGTGCCTGGGCACCTTGCGGCCCTTGCTTGAGGCCAGGACCCGCCAGGGTGGTGAGGCTAGGCCATAGACGCAAAGCCTCTGGCCTTTTTGCAAGGAGCCCACCCACGGGCTGAGGAAGATGGGGCGGCCCTCAGGAACCTCCAGGATCTCCATGGACAGGGGGAAAGGGCCTTCCCAGGCCAGGACCTCGCTCAGCAGCAGCGGTTTGATAAAGTGGACGTGCCGGGAGGAGGCGGTGACGTCCTCCACGTCGACCTCCAGGGTAGAAGGGATCTTGACAATGGTCCTGCGCACTGTGGAGAGGGGCAGCTCAGTGGCACTGCATGCCACCCCAGGAGTGGCCCCCACCCCAGGCATAGAGCATTGGCTGGGCCGGCTGGCCTCCCTCCCGCTGCTGTCTTTTCTTTCTTTTTTTTTTTTTGAGATGGAGTTTCACTCGAGATGGAGTGCCCTTGTCGCACAGGCTGGAATGCAATGGCACAGTCTCGGCTCACTGCAACCTCCACCTCCCAGATTCAAGCAGTTCTTCCACCTCAGCCTCCCGAGTAGCTGGGATTACAGGCGCCCGCCACCATGCCCAGCTAATTTTTGTAGTTTTAGTAGAGATGGGGTTTCACCATGTTGGCCAGGCTGGTCTCGAACTCCTGTCCTCAGGTGATCCTCCCACCTTGGCCTCCCAAAGTGCTGGGATTACAGGCATGAGCCACCACGCCCGGCCCCCGCTGCCATCTTTTCTTTCCAATCAGAATCTTCCAATTTACACTACGCCACATTCCCACACATGCTTTCCCTTCAACCTTCTTTTTTTTTTTGAGATGGAGTCTCGCTCTTGTCGCTCAGGCTGGAGTGCAGTGGTGCGATCTTGGCTCACTGCAAGCTCTAGCCCCTGGGTTCACGCCATTCTCCTGCCTCAGCCTCCCAAGTAGCTGGGACTACAGGTGCCCGCCACCACACCCGGCTAATTTTTTTGTATTTTTAGTAGAGACGGGGTTTCACCATGTTAGCCAGGATGGTCTTGATCTCCTGACCTCGTGATCCACCTGCCTCGGCCTCCCAAAGTTCTAGGATTACAGGCGTGAGCCACTGTGCTTGGCCCCAACCTTCTTAAAAAAATTACTATTTTTATTTTTTTTCCTCCAAGTATTAAGAAAAAAGAAAAATAAATTTTAAAATTATTATTTTTAGGCTGTGCTCGGTGGCTCACGCCTGTAATCCCAGCACTCTGGGAGGCCGAGGTGGGCAGATCACCTGAGGTCAGGAGTTCCAGACCAGCCTGGCCGATATGGCGAAACCCTGTCTCTACTAAATATACAAAAAAATTATCTGGGCATGGTGGCGGGCGCCTATAATCCCAACTACTAGGGAGGCTGAGGCAAGAGAATCGCTTGAACCTGGGAGATGGAGGTTGCAGTGAGCTGAGATCAACCATTGTACTCCAGCCTGGGTGACAGAGCAAGACTCTGCTTCAAAAAAGAGAGAGATGAGGTCTCGCCCTGTTGCCCAGGCTGGAGTGCAAGGGTGTGATCATAGCTCACTACAACCTTGAACTCCTGGGCTCAAGTGATCCTCCTGCCTCAGCCTCCAGAGTAGCTGCTACTACAAGCACTAAGCCTAGCTAATTTTTTAAAAAAATTTTTGTAGAGATGGGGGTCTTGCTATGTTGCCTAGTCTGGTCTGGAACACCTGAGATCAAGCGATCCTCCAAAGTGCTGGTATTACATGCGTGAGCCACTGCACCTGGCGTAGCCGAGATAATTTGAGCATCAATAAGAATAACTGGCCAGGAACGGTGGCTCACGCCTGTAATCCCAGCACTTTGGGAGGCCAAGGCGGGTGGACCACCTGAGGTCAGGAGTTCAAGACCTGCCTCGCTAACATGGTGACACTCCGTTTCTACTAAAAATACAAAAAATTAGCCGGGCATGGTGGTGCACGCCTGTAATCCCAGCTACTCGGGAGGCTGAGGCAGGAGAATCGCTTGACTCTGGAGGGTGAGCCAAGATCACACCATTGCACTCCAGCTTGGGCAACAAGAGCGAAACTCCATCTCAAAAAAAAAGAATAACTTCAGTGTAATACAGAGGGAGCAACCTGAAGTTCCAGCTGATCCTCAGGGATGGGGTGGGGGTGTCTTCCATCAGAGCAGCTCCCAGGGGCAACCCTCTTTCTCTCCCCCAGCAGCGCGCATCCATCTGCCCAGGCAACTCACTGTGCATGATGGCTTGGATCTCATACTGGGGCCGCAGGATCAGGGAATGCCAGGGCAGGGTGGGGCAGGTGAGGACGAGGTCTTTCAGGGCTGGATCCTGTAGGACCTGGAGCAGAGTTCGAGGGGCACTAGGCTCCCATGTCCAGAAGGGCCCCTTCTGGGATAGGGGCAGGTGCAGGATGACCTGCTGACCCTCCATGCCCAGGACACAGCGGGCAGAGCGGATCCCGAGGTGCATCACCACAGCCTCAAGCATGAGGAGCTGGTCCTCAGTCACCACCCTGCCCTCTGTGACAATCCTGTGGGTCGACATGAAGCAAGTGGGCAGCTGCTTGGAGCTCTGAGTTGTGGCAGAGACCAGCTCCTCCAGGGTTTCATAGCTCTGTGGGGTGTTGAGGGGGGTGAAGTAGCCTGTGGGGGACAGCAGAGAGCAGGCAGGTCACTGTGGGGTGTCAGGGTGGGGCAGGCCTTTGTCAGGTCCAGACCCCAGTCTGGCCCTGCAGATGACCCAGCCAGAATCCCCCAGGGACAGGTGTCAATGACAGATTTGCATCTGGACATCTGGGCTGCAGGGCTGAGGGACACAGGGCAGAAAGTGGCAGTGCATGAAGGGACAGGGAGAGACAGGAAGTAGGAACCGAGAGAGACTTGTCACCAGAGACACAGAGAATGGAAGAGGGACACATTCCCTGACAGACACACTAGACTTCCACACTCTCCAAGCTCCTGACCCTACCTGCCTCTAACTGCCATCTTAGCCTTTCCTCCAGATGCCTCTCCACAGGTCCGATCCCACTCATCCAAAACCTGCCGTCCCTCTCTCCCAAACGAACATCCCAGGAGCTGCTGGCCAGAGCCACCTCAGACCACCCACTTTACCCCTGCATCCTGGCTGCCAATAGTGACTGCCCGACTGTCCCTGCACCCCCTCCCTCCAGCCCCCACCCATTCCGCCAGCAGCTGGCCTAAATACCTCGCTTCCAGACATGATACCGCTTTTGGGAAGCAAGCTTTTCCTGCCCCAAACCCACAACCTGAAGCTAATCGAGGAAACACTGCACAAGCTGGGACTGAGGGATATTCTACATAAGTACTGGTCCAGATGCTTCAAAATGTCAATGTCAAGACAAAGGCAGAGGAACTGTTCCAGTCTGAAGGAGAATGAAGAAACAGGACAACTGAATATGATGTGTGATCTAGGACTGGACTCTGGATTGAGGGGAAAAACTGCTATAAAGCATATTATGAGGATAGTTGCTGGAATTCAAATACAGCCCATGGATTAGGCAGTAGTACTGTACCAAAATTAAGTTTCCTGAATTTGATCATTGAACCATGTGAATGAATGTCCTTGTTTTGGGGAGATACTATAATATTTAGGGGTAATATATAGATGTAAAAGGGAACATGTCTGCAATTTACTCTCAAATGGTTCAGAAAAAACACATCCATATATACACATATAGTAATACATTCGTGTGTGTGTATGTATGGAGAGGGAGAGAAACACATGTAACAAATGTTTAACACTTGACGGGGGAAAGAAAAAAGGAAACCTGAGGCCGTTTTTGGCTGGGCACACTGGCTCACGCCTGTAATGCCAACACTTTGGGAGGCCGAGGCAGGAGGATCACATGAACCCAAGAGTTTGAGTGAGACCAGGCTGGAGAACATAGCAAGACCCTGTCTCTACTAAAAATGAAACAAAAAACCCTCACTGGCTCCTCATTGCCTTCGAAATAAAGAACAAACAGTGTCAGCACACCACATAGCCCCCAGGTGGTGTGGCTCCTGCGGCTCCCCACACAACTTGCCCCTAACCTGGAAGCCACACTTTCCCGCATCTGGCAGGCAGTCACATAACAGCCAGTCCTCAGAGTGTGCCTGCTTTGTACCAGGTGCCCCCTCCCCACTTTTTTTTTTTTTTTTTTTGAGAGACAGAGTCTCTCTCTATTGCACAGGCTGCAACCTCCACCTCCCAGGTTCAAGTGATTCTCATGCCTCAGCCTCCTGAATAGCTGGGATTACAGGTGCCCCCCACCACCCCTAGCTAATTTTTGTATTTTTAGCAGAGATGGGGTTTCACCATGTTGGCCGGGCTGGTCTTGAACTCCTGACCTCAGGTGATCCACCCGCCTCAGCCTCCCAAAGAGCTGGGATCACAGGCATGAGCCACCAGCCACTGCACCCAGCCTGTCCCAGGCCCCCTTCTAAGTGCTGTATACATATCAGCTCATTTCATCCTCATATCAAGCCTAATCGCCCTCATTACAGAAGAGGAAACTGAGGCCCAGGGAGGTCCCAGAGAGGCCCAGAGAGGAACCTGCCTAGCTTGCCCAAGGCCACTGGGATTCAATTCCAGGCCACTGGCTTCAGGGTCCAGGCCATGGCCCACCACACTACATGCCTCTTAAAATAATTGAGCTCTGGCCGGGCATGGTGGCTCATGCCTGTAATCCCAGCACTTTGGGAGGCCAAGGCGGGCAGATCACGAGGTCAGGAGATCGAGATCATCCTGGTTAACACGGTGAAACTTTGTCTCTACTAAAAATACAAAAAAAATTAGCTGGGTGTGGTGGCGGGCGCCTGTAGTCCCAGCTACTCGGGAGGCTGAGGCAGTAGAATGGTGGGAACCCGGGAGGCAGAGCTTGCAGTGAGTCCAGATCACGCCACTGCACTCCAGCTTGGGTGACAGAGCGAGACTCCATCTCCAAAAAGTAAAAATAAAAAAAAATAATAAGAATTGAGCTCCTTGGGGTTTCCTGAGCACCAAATGTGCACATGCTACTCCCTGTGGCTGGGATCTTTCTTCTGGTTCAGATGCCACCTCCTCCAAGAAGCCCTCACAGATCCTGAGGCAGGTTACTGTTGCTCAGACCCCTCTCTAAAGCTTATGACTCCTTTTACTGTTGGCCTCCTCTCACTGTCATCCCAGAAGCTCCCCACTGGAGAGGGTGGCACCTGATTCATCCTGACCCCCATACCCACAGCCCGCCACACGGAGCCTGGCACACATGGGTGTCTGCAGATGTTTGGGGAGTGAATGTGTGAGTGAACTCAGAGACAGGCACCTGGACAGGGCTTGGAACAGAGGCAGGTGTGACCAGAGACTGAGAGGGAGAGGGTGCAACCTCTCTGAGTCCAGGGCATTGCCGACCCTCTGAGGACATCCCCACCCTTGAGGCTGGGTTGTGGTGAATGTGAGGGCCTCGGGAGCAAACCCCGAGGGGAGGGAGTGACTGCTGGACGTGGCAAGCCCACGAGCAGCCTGCGGGTGTGCCAGGAGAGTGCCAGGGCACATGGGGAGGCAGAGGTGCCCACCTTACCCTGGAAGTTGGGGGCGAGCTCCATGGTCTGGCTGGTCTTCGGGTTCTCACAGACCACCTTCTGGAGGCGGACCTGGGTGACCTTGATCAGGTCCCCCGTGGAGAGGCAGCACTCATTCCCAGAGATCTCATAGATGGAGCCTGCGGAGACAAGGACTCCATTTCCCCATTGGACAAGGGCCAAGTGCTGGGCAGCCTGTGCCCTGGTGCCCAACAAGCTCTGCTCTGCCATGCCTTTGCACATGGTGCCTGCTGCCTGGCATGCCCTGCTCTGTCGTTCCTGCCTCATGCCCACAGGTTCAGTCGTCCTCAGCTGTCCTTGCCCCTCCTGGCATCGGTGCACCCCGCTGTGGCACACTTCTCTGGCCTTTTTCACATCCCCGTGCCTCCTCCACTGAGTTCACAGGCAGGGCTGATCCATCTCAACATCACTGCAGCCAGCACAGGGCTTGGCCTCTGAGTATGTGGTAAGTCCACAAATCAGTAAATAACCCAGTGAATCCCCCTCTCTGAGCCTGATTTTGTAGCTGTACACTAAGGGAGTTGGGATTCCCTTAGTGTACAGCTACAAAATCAGGCTCAGAGAGGGGTCAGTGGCTCCCTGGAGATCACCCGGAGCCAGGGCCGGTACCCAGCCCTCCTAGCACCCTGGAAAATAGAGGGGCACTGACAGAGTGAGGCCCAATGGGCAAAGTTCTGCTTTCCTGGTTTAAAGTGTGTAAGTGAGGGTTGGGCGCGGTGGCTCACGCCTGTAATCCCAGCACTTTGGGGGGCCAAGGTGGGTGGATCACGAGATCAGGAGATCGAGACCATCCTGGCTAACACAGGGAAACCCCGACTCTACTAAAAATACAAAAAAAATTAGCCAGGCATGGTGGCGGGCACCTGTAGTTCCAGCTACTCGGGAGGCTGAGGCAGGAGAATGGCGTGAACCCGGGAGGCGGAGCTTGCAGTGAGCCGAGATCACGCCACTTCACTCCAGCCTGGGTGACAGAGTGAGACTCCGTCTCAAAAAAAAAATAATAAATAAAAATAAATTAATTAATTAAAGTGTGTAAGTGGTGTCGAGAACACAGAAGTTGCTCAATAAAGATCTCTCACGCACACACGAGTGCACAGTCTCTCCATCCAGCTAATGGAGGACAACAGACTACGTGGCAGGACCTTGAGGCCACCTGAACCCAGCCCCACCCACAGGGCAGCTCCAACATCAGCCCTGAGAAACTGATGAAAACCTCCCCACGTACTGCCAGGAAAATGCCCACCAGTCATAAACCACAGTCTGTTTACAATGTCAGAGCATGGGCCTTCCAGACTGGTGAGAACAGCAGCTGTGGTACTACAGATACCCGGCACTGTGCCAAGGGCTACTGATGCGTCATTGTGTTTAAGACCCATGACTGCTCTTGCGGAGACAGGCAGTTTCAATTTCCTAAATAATGAAACAGCTGGCCAGGAATGGTGGCTCATGCCTGTAATCCCAGCACTTTGGGAGGCCAAGACAGGGGGATCACCTGAGATCAGGAGTTCGAGATCAGCCTGGCCAACATGGTGAAACCCCGTCTCTACTAAAAATACAAAAATTAGCCCAGTGTGGAGGTTGGCACCTGTAATCCCAGCTACTCAGGAGGCTGAGGCAGGAGAATTGCTTGAACCCAGGAGGTGGAGGTTGCAGTGAGCTGAAATCAGGCTACTGCACTCCAGCCTGGGTGACAGAGGGAGACTCCATCTCAAAAAAAAAAAAGAAGAAGAAGAAAAAGAAACAGCCTCTCAGGGGCTGAGTAGGTTGTACATGATGATCAGGTAATAGGAGGCAGAACTGGAAGTTATGGCTGGGTGCGGTGGCTCACGCTTGTAATCCCAACACTTTGGGAGGCTAAAGTGGGAGGACTGCTTGAGGACAGGAATTCAAGACCAGCCTGGGCAACACAGACCTCGTCCTTTTTTTCGAGACAGAGTCTCACTGTCGCCCAGACTGGAGTGCAGTGGTGCAATCATAGCTCACTGCAACCTCAACCTCCCAGGCTCAAGCAATCCTCCCACCTCAGCCTCCTGAGTTGCTGAGACTACAGGCATGCACCATCACACCTGACTAATTTTTTTATTTTGTGTAGAGACACGGTCTCAGTATGTTACCCAGGTTGGTCTTGAACCCCTGAGTTCAAGTGATCCTCCTGCCTCAGCCTCCCAAAGTGCTGGGATTACAAGCATGAGCCACCACACCCTGCAATTTTTTATTTTAAAATTTTTTGTAGACATGATGTCTCACCATGTTGCCAGGGCTGATCTCGAACTCCTAGGCTCAAGCAATCTTCCCACCTCAGCCTCCCAAAGTGTTGAGATTATAAGCATGAGCTATCACACACAACCTATGTTCTATTAAACAAAAAACAGGGCCTGGTGTGGTGGCTCATGCCTGTAATCCTAACACTTTGGGAGGCCGAGGCAGGCAGATCACTTGAGTCCAGGGGTTTGAGACCGGCCTGGGCAAAATGACAAAACCCCATCTTTACAAAAAATACAAAAATTAGCTGGACGTTGTCCTGGTGCGTGCCTGTGGTCCCAGCCTCTCAGGAAGCTGAGGTGGGAGGATCACTTGAGCCCAGGAGGTCGAGGCCGCAGTGAGCTGTATCGTGCCACTGCACTCCAGCCTGGGCAACAGAGCCAGACTCTGTCTCAAAAAAAAAAAAAAAAACCTAGGTTGAACCCAGGGTGTTTGCCTCCAGAGCCAGTGCTCCTAACCAACCACGCAGCCAGCCCCTTCTGAGTGCCCTGTAGACGCCTGCCCCTATTGGCATGGCCATCTGTCCTCCGCACTCACCCCATCCGCACACCCACACCCTGTCAGGGCCTTCTCTAGTCACCATCACTCTGACTTCCACCATTTCCACCATCCCGCGTCAGGCAGGATGAGGAAACAGGTGTTGTAACACCAGCAGGCAAAGGGTGCTGGGAGGACGAAGACGCTTGGTCCTGGGCTGGGGGAAGAGCAAACAGATCCCAGGCGCCTTCCTGCAGAAAGCCCCTGGAGGTAGAGTCAGAATTTGAACCCAGATCTGCCAGATTCCCAAGCAGACCTGGAGAGACCCACTGCGAGGTGGTGGCCCCCTGCGGGACCCTTCATGAGGGACCTCCTTGGTCTAGGACCCCACTTGGGACCTCAAACACTCTGCTGGAAGCTGCTGCGACAGAGCGTTTTTCTGCAGCCAGGGAACAGGATGGGGCAGGGCCTTCAAGCCTCAGTTCGCTCTCTAAGGAAGGAACCCGCACCCCCACACAGCATCTCTCTCCTCCACCTCCATCTCCCCTACTCGGTGGCCCACGGGTCCTCCCTGCCCACAGAGCAGCACTGGCCACCCATCCACTGTGCTGTCTTACCCTGCCCTCCACTGTCTGTTATTCCCTCACCGCTTGCTCCTTCAGGCAATGACTAGTGACTGTGCGCCTGCTGTGTGCCCATCCCTGTGAACCAGGCCGCTGCGGGCAGACGGCAGATGTACGGGGGCGTGCAAGGAGCAGAGAGCCAGGAAGGCTTCCGGGAGGAAGCGCCATTTAAGCTGAGAACTGAAGAGCTGATCAAATCAAGTACTGCCCATGGTCAAACAGAAGGCCAAGGTGGACGCAGGGACTGAAGGAAGGCAGTGTAGAGGAGGGCCGGGGGAGGAGTGGGAGGACACAGACGGGAAGACTGACCCTGCACTTCAGAATCAAGACGCAGCCACGACCACCAGCGGCCTAATGCTGCGTCCCGGCGCGGTCGGAGCTCTGTCCCATGCGCACCGCGGGGCCACCTAGGAGTGGCCCGGCTGCATCCACCTCCCGCGCCTCAACCCACTGACTTTTCATCACTACCCTGCGGGGCAGGTCAGCGGTCCCCGTTCCACGAAAGCAAAAGCCGAGGTCCAAAGAGGTTGAGTGCGGCCCCAAATCACACAGCTTGGCCAGTGGCAGTGTCGGGATTTGAACCCAGGGGCAGTTTCCCCGGATTGCTAACGTCTTCTCCGGGTCTCTGCCCCCGCCCCACACCAAGGGAGTGCTCGGAGGGGTTCCAGCCCCCGCTCACCCTCGAAGTAGACCCCCGAGCAGACCCGCAGCACGCGCGGGAGGGAGGCGGGGTCCAAGGCGCGCACGAAGTCCTGCAGCGGCACCGGCTCCATGGTCCCCGCGGCTCTCTGGGCTCAGACTGAGGGGCGGGCGGGCGGTCCCCGGGAGCCCTGCAGCCCCGCCCCGCCGATGCCCCGCCCCGCACGCCGAAGCCGCCCCGCCAGCCCGCGGGAGCCCTGCAGCCCCGCCCCGCCGAAGCCCCGCCCCCCGCCCCCTGCAGTACCCTATGGGGAAGGGGCGATGATGAAGATGAAGAAGTCCCAGACGCCCCCTCAGCAGTGCTCCCAGTTAGAAAAAGGGGACGCGGCCCGACTTGTTCTGCGTCTCATAGGAGGGACATGCCTCTGCCCTTTGGGTTTGAGGAGGGAGATGTAGTGTCAGGGCTCCCGAATGTCCCTCCAGGACACTCCATGGTCCTCTATCGGAAACCTCCTGGTGAAGGGGATCTCATTACCTCTCCAGAACTCCCATACTCTTTCGATAATTATTGTCTACGTTGGCCTCGAACTCCTGGACTCAAGTGATCCTCCCACCTCGGCCTCCCAAAGTGCTGGGATCACAGGTGTGATCCACCTGTGAGCCACCACGCCGGGCCTCACCAATTCTAGTTAAAAATTCTTCCTAAGGCTAAAGAGAAATCTGCTTAGAAGCCGGACCAACCACTTATCCTGACCCCACAGGCTCGGGATAAGCCTTTTCCATTTCCCTGTCCCTCAGGAGTCAGACCAACATAGGTTCAAATCCCAGGTCTCCTCTTGCTCGTTGTATGACGTTAGGCAAATCACTTTGATTGTGTGAACCTCAGTTTCTTACTCTCTAAAACAGGGAGAAGAGGGCCGGGCGCAATGGCTCACGCCTATAATCCCAGCACTTTGGGAGGCCGAGGCGGGTGGATCACCTGAGGTCAGGAGTTTGAGACCAGACTAACATGGTGAAAACCCGTTTCTACTAAAAATACAAAAAAACCTAGCCAGACGTGGTGGCACACACCTCTAATCCCAGCTACTCGGGAGGCTGAGGCAGGAGAATCGCTTGAACCTGGGAGGCAGAGGTTGCAGTGAGCCGAGATTGTACCATTGCACTCCAGCTTGGGCAACAAGAGCAAAACTCCGTCTCAAAAAACAAAAACAAAAACAAAAAAACAGGGAGAAGAGGCTGGGTGTGGCCTGTAATCCCAGCACTTTGGGAGACTGAGGCAGGAGGATCACTTGAGACCAGGAGTCCTAGACCACCCTGGGCAAACTAGCAAGACCCTGTCTCTTAAAAAAAAGAATAAAATAAAATAAGGCCAGGCGCGGTGGCTCACGCCTATAATCCTAGCACTTTGGGAGGGTGAGGCGGGCAGATCTCCTGAAGTCAGGAGTTCAAGACCAGCCTGGCCAATATGGCAAAACCCTGTCTCTACTAAAAATACAAAAAAATTACTGGGCACAATGACTCACGCCTGTAATCCCAGTACTTTGGGAGGCCAAGTTGGACAGATCACCTGAGGTCAGGAGTTCGAGACCAGCCTGACCAACAGGGAGAAACCCCGGCTCTACTAAAAATACAAAAGTAGCTGGGCGTGGTGGCACGTGCCTGTAATCCTATCTACTCAGGAGGCTGAGGCAGGAGAATCGCTTGAACCCGGGATGTGGAGTTTGCAGTGAGCCGAAATTGCATCATTACACTCCAGCTTGGGTAACAAGAGCAAAACTCTGTCTCAAAAAAAAAAAAAAATTAGCTGGGTGTGGTGGTGCGTGCCTGTAATCCCAGCTACTCGGGAGGCTGAGGCAGGAGAATCGCTTGAACCCGGGGGGGCAGAGGTTGCAGTGAGCCGAGATCACGCCACTTTACTCCAGCCTGGGTAACAGAGCAAGACTCCATCTCAAAAATAAATAAATAAATAAGTAAATAAATAAAATATCCAGGCATGGTGGCATGCACCTGCACTCTCAGCTACTCAGGAGACTGAGGCAGGAGGGTGGCTTGAGCCTGGGAGGTCGAGACTGCAGTGAGCTATGATCATGCCACTGCACTCCAGCCCCAGCCTAGGCAACAGAGTGAGAACCTGTCTCTAAAAAAATAAAAAAATAATAAAATAGGAGAAAGAATTATATCTCAGCAGATTGTGAGGATTGAATAAGATGATATAGGTATTGTGCAAAATGCCATATTTAGTTTTTTTGTCACTATAAAAGTAACAAAAGACTTTTAATCAAAGATAATAACAGAAGTTTAAAATACAATGAATAAATTCTAACTAAAGAACATTTGATTAATAAAAAGCAGGCATTCTTTACCCACCACCCAAAATACTTACACTAACTACTAATATTTTGTTGTGTTTCTTTCTAGTTTTTTTTTTTTTTTTTTTTTTTTTGAGAGGGGTGGGCGGTCTCATTCTGTCACCCAGGCTGGAGTGCAGTGCTGCACACACAGCTCACTGTAGCCCCCAACCTCCTGGGTCAGGCTTCACAAAAGTGAAGGGTCTTGCCTAAGGTTATGCCAAGTGGAGACACTGGGATTTTAACCCGGCTCTGCTAGGCTCCTCCTGCAGGCCAGAGAAAATGACCGTTCTTCACTTCTTTCCCAGGTGCTTAAGCAGATTGTGGAAGTTTGCTGGATTTCTGCTCAGCCCAGTTATGTCTAGAATTTCAGTAGAGGATGGGCTTTGGAGATAGACAGAGCTGGGCTCAAACCCTGGCTCCACTACTTCTTAGCTGTGTGACCTTGGGCAAGTCCCATACCCTCTCTGAGTCTCAGTCTCCTCTCCCTCTTTACAACCAAGGCTGGCAGGAGACAGGTGTTGGTAAAAATGTTAGTGTAACCCAGGCACATGGGGACATGCCCAGTACCCCATATCTACAATCATTACATGATATTGTTCTTTCCCAAGACCTCCTGTGCCTCTGACAAGAGTTCTCATCTTCTTTATTTCTCCCAACACTCTGCATTCTATTTGAGGAAATAAGACACTCAATGGGAACCTGACTTCCTTGCGGTTGCCCGTGTAATGGAGGAACTAAAATCTGAACCGAACCTGCAGGTGGTCACGGCCCAAGCCCTTTTCACTTCCCCAGGTTGGGAGCACCAGCCTGGGGATCTGTCCTTGGCTCCTCAAGAGCTGAATGGGGCAGAGAAAGAAGCTCAGATTCCCACAGTAGGACAGGGGCAGAAAGGAAGTCCCCCCGCCCCCACCAGCTGTGAGGAGGATGCCTCCAGCCACCGGGAACAGAAGTTCCTCATTTCATCAACCCATCTCTGTCAGCTTTTGGACTCTGAAGGTGGATGGCTCAGGACCTCCTTTGGACAGTGCAGGAGGCAGCTGGCCACAGCGGCAGGGTGACAGGATGGGGTCAGACCCGTGCCTGCTGTGTGGCACCACACACTCCGGTATATGATGTGTCACGTGACTTGGTGTTTTTCAGCAACTTGCCAGGCAGGATGTGGGGTCCTCCCTCTCCTCCCGTGTTTCCTCCCACTGTAGAGGAAGGTAAGGGCCTAACACTGACACAGCACTGGGCAGCGGTTGTTAAGGTGTCCTGCCATCCACTTCAACACCCACCGGCGTGGCCCACTCACCCAAAGCGGTGGGAAACATCCCAGCAGCCAGCAGGGTCAAGGGCAGTGTGGCAGGGACAGGGAGAATGCCTGTGCTCTGAGGGCGAGGGATGGAGGCCCAGCACATCCCTGAGCCTGCAGAAGGGCTGGAAGCCCTCCGCATGCTGGCTGGAAGTTACCAGTGTCCCTACCGTGTGATGCTGCCAAGCAGTTTGCCACTCAGTGATACTCCAGGCACCCAGGCTGCCCACCAGAGCAGATACACGCCTGGCCTGTGGGTCCCGAAGTTGTCCTCGAGTTGCTCCCTCACTGGGAGAGCAAGATCCACCAGCTGGCCCAATGGCTTCATGGCGCCCTTCCGCAATGACCACAATACAAAGACGGCACCACAGCAGCCCACAGGTCTCCTGCAGAAATGCTCACAGTTCCCAGGCGCGACGGTGGCAAAAGGGCATGTCTTGTCTTGTAACTGTTTTCTGGATTTTCCAGAACACAGTTTGAGTACTTAAAAGAAATTTTTTTCTTCCAGTCTGGAGCCTTGTCTTATTTTTAATTTTTAAATGTTTTTTAGAGACAGGGTCTGGCTATTTTGCCCCCTCTGCCCTTGAATTACTTTCATATTAACAAAAACAACATGAACAGACCCTGCATGGCCCCTCTGAGACAACTGTGGAGATCATGGGGGAGGGGTTCTCCCCCCAGTGCAGGTTTTCACAGGAGTAAAATAGGTCACTTTCGGGAAAAGATGCTCAGCATATCTTTTTTTTTTTTTTTTTGAGATGGAGTCTCGCTCTTGTCACCCAGGCTGGAGTGCACTGGTGTGATCTTGGCTCACTGCAACCTCCGCCTCCTGGGTTCAAGTGATTCTTCTGCCTCAGCCTCTCGAGTAGCTGGGATTACAGACGTGCCCACCACGCCCAGCTAATTTTTTTGTATTTTTACTAGAGACAGGGTTTCGCCATGTTGGGAAGGCTGGTCTCGAACTCCTGACCTCAGGTGATCCACCTGCCTCGGCCTCCCAAAATGCTGGGATTACAGGCGTAAGCCACTGCACCCGGCCAATGCTCAGCATATCTTTAAGGAGGCAGGCGTGTCTGCTTGTAAAGCCTCAGAGGGCTGGCTCATGCTCCTGTGTGGTGGAAAATTAGTTCGACTCCCCTCTTGGCTTTTTTCTTTTGTTTTCTTTTTTTTCGAGATGGAGTTTCACTCTTGTTGCCCAGGCTGGAGTGCAATGGTGCGATCTTGGCTCACTGCAACCTCCGCCTCCCAGGTTCAAGCAATTTTCCTGCCTCAGCCTCCCGAGTAGCTGGGATTACAGGCATGAGCCACCATGCCTGGCTAATTCTGTATTTTTAGTAGAGATGGGGTTTCTCTGTGTTGGTCAGGCTGGTCTTGAACTTCCAACCTCAGGTGATCCACCCGCCTCGGCCTCCCAAAGTGCTTGGATTACAGGCATGAGCCACCACACCAGCGCAAAACCCTTAATTAAAAGAAATTAAGGAGTGTGTAAGCAGAAACTCAGTTGTATGTAAGAAAACCCAGTTCCCCCGAGGAAGAGAAAGAGCTGGAGTCCTTTAAAAATTAACTGCCTGTGTTTCTGTGGCTAGTGAGTCTTATCTGTCCCTTTCCCAGACATTGTGACAACCCTGTTTCTCTAGATGTGCAGCTGCAAGGTCACTAGGCAGATAAACTCAAGTCACAAAACGTGTTTTTCCTTGAAAAATAAGAAATGATGTAATACGTGTCTCAATTGATTAAATAACTGCCTTTGTTTCTCGCTTCTGTAGTATGCTTCCGCCTGCACAGTTCTCCCCCCGCCCCACGAAATGCTTAAAAGGTAACTTAACTCTTTGTTCAAGGCTCAGTCCTTTGCATGTTAATCTGACTGGGCCGGTGCACCTAAATAATTAACAAATATCCTCCTGAACCCCATAGATCTCTCTGATTCCTTATAAATCCAGCAACACTGTCACCCAGGCTGGAGTGCAGTAGTGCAATCACGGCTCACTGCAGCCTCAACCTCCCAGGCTTAAGCAATCCTCCCACCTAAGCCTGGTGCATGCCACCATGCCCAGCTAATTTTTTTTTTTTTTTTTTTTAATTTGAGACAGAGTCTCACTCTGTCGCCCAGGCTGGAGTGCAGTGGCGCGATCTCGGCTCACTGCAAGCTCTGCCTCCTGGGTTCACGCCATTCTCCTGCCTCAGCCTCCTGAGTAGCTGGGACTACAGGCGCCTGTCACCACGCCCGGCTAATTTTTTGTGTTTTTTAGTAGAGATGGGGTTTCACCGTGTTAGCCAGGATGGTCTCGATCTCCTGACCTCGTGATCCACCCACTGCGGCCTCCCAAAGTGCTGGGATTACAGGCATGAGCCACCATGCCCGGCCCATGCCCAGCTAATTTTTAAACCTTTTTTTATAGAGAAGGAATTTTGCTATGTTGCCCAGGCTGGTCTTGAACTCCTGGGCTCCAACAATCCTCCAGCCTCAACCTCCCAAAGTGCTGGGATTACAGGCATGAACCACCATGCCCGGCCCATACAATGAATATTATTCAGCCTTAAAAAGGTATAAAACTATGACACACGCCACAATATGGAGGAAACTTCTGGACATTACGCTCAGTGAAATAGGCCCATCACGAAACGACAAACACTGTATGATTCCACTCAGATGAGGAACCTAGAGTCGTGAAATTCATAGAAAGTCAAAGGGAGGCCTGGTGCAGTGGCTCACGCCTGTAATCTCAACACTTTGGGAGGCTGAGGCGGGTGGATCACCTGAGGTCAGGGGTTCAAGACCAGCCTGGTCAACATGGTGAAACCCGGTCTCTACTAAAAATACAAAAATTAGCTGGGCATGGTAGCGGGTGCCTGTAATCTCAGCTACTTGGGAGGCTGAGGCAGGAGAATCTCTTGAACCTGGGAGGCAGAGGTCGCAGTGGGCTGAGATCAAGCCACTTCACTCCAGCCCAGGCGACAGAGCAAAACTCCGTCTCAGCAAAACAAAAAAAGAAGAAAGTCAAAGGGTGGCTTTTCCCCAGCCACTGGGGGAACGGGGAATTTGGGAGTTGTTGTTTAATGGGTGAAGAGTTTCAGTTTTGCAAGATGCAAATGTCCTAGAGATTGGTTGTTTGCACAATGTGAACATACTTAACACGACTGAATTATACACTTAAAAATGATTAAGGGCCAGGCGCGGTGGCTCAAACCTGTAATCCCAGCACTTTGGGAGGCCGAGGCAGGGGGATCACGAGGTCAGGAGATCGAGACCATCCTGGCTAACACATGAAACCCCATCTCTACTAAAAATACAAAAAAATTAGCTGGGCATGGTGGCGGGCGCCTGTAGTCCCAGCTACTCGGGAGGCTGAGGCAGGAGAACGGCATGAGCCCGGGGGGCGGAGCTTGCAGTGAGCCAAGATCAAGCCACTGCACTCCAGTCTGGGCAACAGAGCGAGACTCCGTCTCAAAAAAAAAAAAAAAAAAAAAAGATTAAGGGCACATTTCTCAAGGTCTCCTGAGGACTGTGTCATGAATTTTTTTTTAACTGTTAAGATGGCAATTTTTTTTTTTTTGAGACAGTCTTGCTCTGTCACCCAGGCTGGAGTGCAGTGATGCGATCTCGGCTCACTGCTACCTCTGCCTCCCGTGTTCAAGCAATCCTCCTGCCTCAGCCACCTGAGTAGCTGGGATTACAGGTACCCGCCACTATGCCCAGCTACTTTGTGTATTTCTAGTAGAGACGGGGTCTTGCCATGTTGGCCAGGCTGGTCTTGAATTCCTAACCTCAGGTGATCTGCCTGCCTCGGCCTCCCAAAGTGCTGGGATTACAGGGGTGAACCACCACACCCGGCCAAGATGGTTAATTTTATGTTACGTGTATTTTACCACATTTTTTTTTAAAGACTGCTTCTAACCCTAAACCCAAAGTGTAGCATTGTTTATTCTTCAGCAGTGGTCTGGCTGGTATTGAGTTCCCGGTTGAAACAATGTTCCCCGCAAATTTGGAAGCATTGGTTCCATGGTTTTGCAGTCCTTTTTTTTTTTTTTGGAGACGGAGTTTTACTGTTGTTGCCCAGGCTGGAGTGCAGTGGTACTATCTCCGCTCACCACCACCTCCGCCTCCCGGATTCAAGCAATTCTACTGCCTCAGCCTCCCGAGTAGCTGGGATTACAGGCATGCACCACCACACCTGGCTAATTTTGTATTTCTAGTAGAGACGGGGTTTCTCCATGTTGGTCAGGCTGGTCTTGAACTCCTGACCTCAGGTGATCCGCTTGCCTCAGTCTCCGAAAATGCTGAGATTACAGGTATGAGCCACCACGCCCGGCCCAGAGTTGAATCTTCACACATGCAGAGGCAATGGGAAGGCCTGGGACTCTGGGAAGGGGAGCTGTAACTGGCTGGCTCATTAAGTTCACAGCAACCCTGAAATGCGGGTTTATCTGGTTCTTTCCATTTTATATATAGGAAAAAACTGCACCTAGAGAGGTTAAACTGTGTGCCCGAAGTCCCCCAGCCAGGAAAAGACTGAACCAGGGTTTAGTCAGGGTGGAACCCCACACCCACAGTGCTCCTCAGAAGAGGAAGGCCTGGGGAAGTTCCCTTTCTCATGGGGCCTCTGGAGCCCTCCCCATACGAACTCCCTGCTTGTATCTCCTTGCTGCTCTTACTTGCCCTAAGGGTTTGAGAATTTTGTTGAAACATGACTTCAGTTTGGTGGCCCCACTGTGTCACTGGGTTCAAGGTTGAGGCCATGTGGGTAGCACAGATGAAGGGACAGCCTCTGGATTTTGGTTGCTCCTTCTAGCTGGGAGGAAGAGGAGGGTGTCTTAGTCTGTTTCCTGTTACTGTAATAGAATGCTGCTGACTGGATAATTTACAAAGAAAATAAATTTATTTCTGGCCAGGCACGGTGGCTCATGCCTGTAATCCCAGCACTTTAAGAGGCCAAGGCGGGTGGATCACCTGAGGTCAGGAGTTCGAGACCAGCCTGGCCAACATGGTGAAACCCCGTCGCTACCAAAAATACACAAATTAGCTGGGTGTGATGGCTTATGCCTGTAATCCCAGCTACTCGGAAGGCTGAGGCAGGAGAATCGCTTGAACCCAGGAGGCAGAGGTTGTAGTGAGCTGAGATTGTGCCATTGCACTCCAGCCTGGGCAACAAGAGTGAAACTCTGTCTCCAAAAAAAAAAAAAAAAATTATTTCTTACAGTTTTGGAGGCTGGGAAGTCCAAGGCTGAGGGGCTGCAGCTTGTGAGGACCTTCTCACTGCATCATAACATGGCAGAGGGCATCACATGGTGAGAGGGAAGAGCCTGTCAACTCAGGCGTCTCTTCCTCTTCTTGTAAAGCCACCAGGGTGACCATGGGGGCCCCACCCTGATGACCTGATCTAATCCTAAATACCTCCCAAAGGCTCCACTTCCAAATGCCATCAACATAAGAATTTGGGGATTAAGTTTCCAACACCTGAAATTTGGAGGACACATTCAAACCACAGCAGAGGGTAATAATACCTGCCCACCTAATGGGGCAGGATCCAAGGACCTGGAGAGGAAAGGAAGAAGGAGCTTCTTAATGCATTTCAATTCAACTCTGTCCATGCTGCTGGCCTGCTGTTTAGGGCACATTGTGGGGTTGCCAGGAAACAGTGGTGAGTGTCCTCCCAGCACTCACACAGGCAGGACATAGGGTGTGAGGATTGCTCAAGCAGATCTTCTTTCCACAGCTTGAGGACTAGGGAAGCATGCCCAGAGGAAGTCATGGGTGAGTCAAGGGTGAGTGGGACACAGAGCGAGAGGGAAGAACAGAGGAGAGCATACTGGGGAACTGAAAGAGATTTCGAGTAGGAGGCAGAGAGCAGCCAGGCATGCGGGACCCCAGAGGCCTCAGTAAGGAGTTTGCTCTTTGGGGAAGAGTTCTTGATTGATTCAAATGAGTGATGTGGTGTGAACTGCATTAGGTGTGAAGATGGCTTGGCAGGGCAGGGAGGGGCAGTTAGGAGGCTGGTGAGGTTGCTCAGAGGAGAGGATGGAAACCCAGCCTGGAAGGCTGAGAAGAGAGGCAGGTAGGAGGCAGAATGGAGTGAGGGGCGAAGCCCGTGGGGTCTAGGTGAAGGGGCTCATCTCTCCTGTCTGGGCAAGGTGCTTCTCGCTCTGCTCAGGGTCCAAGGTGGGGGTTGTTGAGGGGCCATGTGCGGGGAAAGGAGCCCAGCAGGCTATGCTGGACTTGCTTGCAGCCCTGCTGGGACCATGTGAACTGCGACATGCCTCAGGCCCAGTCCTGAGCCTTACCAGAATAACTAGGGCCTGAGTCCCAGGTCCATGCTGTCATCCCCTCCAGGTGGGTGCTGGGTTCCAGAGGGGCTACTGCTGCAGCCATCTGTGCGGGGGGCCTCCTCCCTGCTTTCTAAGGAAGCCTGGAGCAGTCAGTTTAGAGGTCTCTCTCCAAGGGAGTGATTCCAGCCACTGGGGGCTGCAGGGGCCAGTGGAGACCTAGAGACCGCCCAGAGGACAGAGAGAGGAGGAGAGGTGGGGAGTGGGCCACCCTCTGCCCTTCCCTGAAACCCTGCCACCTGAGCCCCCTCTTCTTACAGTTTTGTAAGTAGAAGTCCTCAGAATCATCCTCCCCGATGTGGGGGATGTGGCCTCACCCTGTCCCGCTTCCAAGCCTGTGTCCAGGCCAGTCTTGAGCTCCAGGTGTGCACACATCTGCCCTGATTTCTACGGCATAAAGGGCCTCAATCTCAGCACCTTCCCCATAACCTGCCCCTCTCCTGTGTTCCCCTCCACAGTGAATGACACCTCTAAACCCTGGATGCCCAGCCAGAGTCCCCAGAGGCACCTTGGGTCTTCTTCCTTCTCCCTAGACTCTCCAGCGTGGTCCAGGCCACATTGTCTTGCCCTGAGACCATCTCACTGCTAGTCTTCCCACCTCCAGCCTCACCTCCCCGGGACTGTCCCCTCCCTCCCATCTGCTCTTCCTTAAAAAAAAAATTTCATCCTCACATTGTGGTGGCACTAAATACAATTTGCACAAATTCTTCCACAAATATCAAATTAATATGATTTTCCTCTCTGATCTCCTTGCACAACATATTGGAAATTACAATTATTATTAAAACAAAAAATACCTATATATTTATTTATTTGTATATTTATTTATTTAGAGACTGGGTTATTAGACTGGTTAATTTTTGTATTTTTGGTAGAGATGGGTTTTGCCAGGTTGCCCAGGCTGGTCTCGAACTCCTGGATTCAAGCGATCCTCCTGCCTCGACCTCCCAAAGTGCTGGGATACAGGTGTGAGCCACAATGTCCGGCCCCTCTGCTCTTCCTAAATGCAGCTCTGACATATCACCTCCTGCTTCAACACTTCCAGGACTCCCCATGGCCCTCAGGTGAAGTCTGAGCTCCTGATGACGTGGTCTTTCGTGTCCTGGCCTCTGACAACATTCCAGCCTCATCGCTTGCCTTCCTTTTCCAGAACATTCTCTCCGGCCACATCAAAGCACTTGCATTTCCTCAATCCTGAAACACCTCCTCGCTTCCCCAGCCTTTTGCACATGGCTGGAATACTCCTCCCACTCTTTCTTATTTATTTTTTGTATTTTTAGTAGAGGCGGGGTTTCACCATGTTGGCCAGGCTGGTCTTGAATTTCTGACCTCAAGTGATCCACCCACCTCGGCCTCCCAAAGTGCTGGGATACAGGTGTGAGCCACTGCGCCCGGCCTCTCCTCCCAACTCTTGTGCTTGGATAACCTTTATTTATCCCTCAGATCCCAGCCCTGACAGCCCTTTTCCAGCGAAGCCTTCTGGTGGCCAGGCTGGTTAGGCGCTTCCTTGGTTTGCTCCTGTCCCAACATCGATTCATTCATTCAACAAATTTTTATGGCGTGCCAGCGATGTGCTAGGCTGTTCCAGCCATTTTGAATACACTGGGAATCAAAACAGACAACAGCCCCTGCCCCTAGTGGAGCTTACACTCAAGTGAGGGGAGGGGAAAGGCAGACCATAAACAATATGCAGTCAATAAGTAAACGATACCACCGTAGGGTGGTGTGTGGTAGAGGGGATGGTGCTGTGGGAACAGTGGAGCAAGTGGGAGGTCGGGGATAAGGGGTTGGGAGTGAGGAGGGTTGGCCTCATTGAGATGTTAGCCTTGGGGCCAAGACGTTGTCAATGCCCTCCAGCCACAGACTCCCAGGAACAGAGGGGCATCTGAGTAAGTTGGGTTCGTGACTATGTGCTATCATAGGGATAGCACATGCCATGGGAAACTGTGGGGCAACTCAGTAAGCTGTGTTAGAAAGGACTTACAGGATTTGGGTTAGATGACTTTTGAGTGCTTAAGAAAGCAGGGCTTCGGGCTGGGCATGGTGGCTCACGCCTGTAATCCCAGCACTTTGGGACGTTGAGGAGGGTGGATCACTTGAGGTCAGAAGTTCAAGACCAGCCTGGCCAACATGGTAAAACACCGTCTCTAATAAAAATACAAAAAGTAGCTAGGCATGGGGGTGCGTGCCTGTAATCCCAGCTACTCTAGAGGCTGAGGCAAGAGAACTACTAGAACCTGAGAGGTGGAGGTTGCAGTGGGCTGAGATCATGCCACTGTACTTCAGCCTGGGTGACAGTGAGACTCCATCTCAAAGAAAGAAAAAAGAAAGCAGGGCTTCACTCTGGATTGGATGCTGTGCAGAAGCAAGGGTATTTCTATGGCTGAGGACATTAATACATTTTATCTAGAGGGAGGCAAGACTAGACCAAAGCTAGAGCTGTGATCAGTAAGAAGCAACAGCGTCTCCTATGAGCCAGGACAGGGGGATTGTATTCGTTTCTGGGTCCGCTGTAACAAATGACTACAAACTTGGCAGGTTAAAGCAACATAAATGTATCCTCTCACAGTTCTGGAGGCCAGAAATCAAAGTGTTGTAGGGTTGGTTCCTTCTGAAAGCTCTGAGGCAATCCTCGTGCTCCTTGGCTTGTAGACAGATCATTCTAACCTCCACATCTTCCCATGGCCTTTCCTTCTGTGTCCCCGTCTTCTCCTTTTCCAGTTTTTTTTTTTGTTTGTTTGTTTTTTTTGTTTTTTTTTTGAGATGGAGTCTTCCCTGTCGCCCAGGCTGGAATGCAGTGGTGTGATCTTGGCTCACTACAACCTCTGCCTCCTGGGTTCAAGCAATTCTCTTGCGTCAGCGTCCCAAGTAGTTGGGATTACAGGCGCACACCACCATGCCCGGCTAATTGTTTTGTATCTTTAGTAGAGACAGGGTTTCACCATGTTGGCCAGGCTGGTCTCAAACTCCTGACCTCGTGATCCACCCGCCTAGGCCTCCCAAAGTGCTGGGATTACAGGCGTGAGCCACCACTCCCGGCCTCCTTTTCTGTCTCCTATTAGGTCATTCCTGGATTAGGGCCCATCCTAATGCAGGACGATCTCATCTGAAGATCCTTACCTTAATTACACTTGCAAAGATCCTACTTCAACTGTGACATTCTGAGGTCCTGGATGAATGTTTTAGGGCCTACAGGTCAACACCCACTGCAGGGATGATTGGTCCTTTTTGTGGCTTGGACATTGTTCATGTTTTATTTGTGCTCAGACATGACTGTGGAGTGGCCCTGTTTGTGTCGTGATCCATCGTGGTCCCAGGTGGTTTGTCTGTTGCTGATGTCCTGTGAAGTCATTTAGGTTCAGCTGGAGAATACCGAAGCCCCGCTGGGCTCCAGGCGGGCTCCAGGAGGTCAGGGCCTGCTTTTCTCTTTCTCAACGTAGGGACAGGGAGCGAGGGAGCCCTGCTGATGCCTGGGAGAGAGGCCCAGCCACAGGGGCAGGGCAGGCATGTGCCCTGAGGGTGGAAGGAGCAGCCAGAAGCCCATGGGCTATAGGGGAGCGAGCAAGGGGAAGCAGAGAGGTGACGGGAGGGTGACGGCGTGCAGGGCAGGGTGAGGCTGGCTCTCACTCAGAGGGAAATGAGGGGCCGCAGAGAAGCAAACATGACCAACTGTGGAGGGAGCGAGTGTTGGGGGAAGAGCCTGCCTGGAGTAGGTTCAACAGCAAATGGAGGAGAGGAACTAGGGACAGAAAGTGGAGCAGAGAAATGGGAGGGCGGCTGGGGCAGCTGGCGGGGAGTGGAATCAAGAGGGTTTGCTTAATTTTCCATGAAGGAGAGGACAGTAATGGTGAGTCTGGATGCTGCTGCCAGTGACCCAAAGGAGAGGGAGGACTGCTGCCAACAGGATGGGGCACAGTGGGAGCAGATGCCTTGATTGGGGAGGCGGGGATGTGGGGGCCACCGAGGCAGGCAGGCTGGGAGCCGCGGTGAGGGGCTCAGGGGTGCACTTCCTGCTGGTAACCCTGCCCCTGGCTATGGGCGCCAGCCTCTATGGGGAGCTGCCCAGGCCCAACCTGGCACAGCTGTGGAGACTCAGTAGTACTTGAAGCCCCACATACCACAAAGGGGACAGAGATAGAGACAGAGGGGACAGGAACTCGAGAAGGAAAAAAACTCAGGGAACAAAATCCAGAGCCTGTCACAGATGTGGAAAGAGCAGGGGAGGAGCCTGGGCTGGAGACTCCCCTGCACCGTCCCTGCTCCAAAACCTCAGGGCCGGGCTAGAATCCCCACTGCATGGCTTGCCAGGGCTGTGACCTGGGTCTGTGTACCCTGAGCCTCAAGTTCCCCATCTGTAAAATGCAGACACTGCCAACCTCCTCTCAGGGCTGTGCCCGGGGGAATTAAGGAGGTAAGTCACATAAAGTGCCCGGCAGTGAGCCAGATTATCTTCCCTCCCTCTCTCATCTCATGCCCCACAGCCCTGAAGGTCTTTCAAAAGTGGGCACAGGGCCCAGCCTGCTGGCAGAGGCTGGAACTGCACCCATGCCCCTGTTAAAGGTAGAAGCTTCAGCATCCAATTCCCTCCAGGGAACAGGCAATGGTTTTATTCCCTCTCCACAGAGAACATCCAAACTCCACAGGCATTCAAGGACCTTCCCTCCACCCCGGCATATGCCAGACTTTAGTCCACTCTGCCCCATCTGTGCTCCCACAGTAGCCCCTGCGTGGAGCACCCTCCCCTCCACCACGTGGAGACATCCAATGTCATGCTCTTTGAAGCCCCCCCTCCCCTCCCACAGGCAGAACTAACGGAGAACTCTCTCTTCAGTCTTTTTTGTGTGTGTGTGTGATAGAGTCTCGCAGTGTCACCCAGGCTGGAGTGCAGTGGCACGATCTTGCTCACTGCAACCTCTGCCTCCCGAGTAGCTGGCATTACAGGTGTGCGCCACCATGCCCGGGTAATTTTTGTATTTTTAGTAGAGATGGGGGTTTCGCCATGTTGGCCAGGCTAGTCTCGAACTCCTAACCTCAGGTGATCCGCCCGCCTTGGCCTCCCAAAGTGCTGGCATTACAGGTGTGAGCCACTGAGCCCAGCCGTCTTCAGTCTTCTTGAAACACCTGGACTTTTCTCTAGATCTGCTAAGCTGTGAGAAAGAGAGCACTAGAACACCTGCTTGTCTCCCTGCGTGGAGAGATTCATGAGAGGCCAGGGACCCCTTATTCACCTGCTACCCCATGGATTTTCTATCATCTGAACCTGACCATTCACTGCCCGTGCTGAGACCTTCCCAAGGAAGCCTCCCCTGCTCTAGGTGAGGGTGTGTGTGATGTCAGTTTCTCTGCATTTTCCAAAACATCTACCTGAGCATGTCTTTTTTTTTTTTTTTTTTTTTTTTTAAGAAAAATATCCTTCAGTGCCTTCCTGGTAATTCCCTAGCAAAGCTTATAGGGTAGGCTCTCCTCCCCGCTCCCACTCACCAGCCACCCCCATCCCATGTCCTCTTTCCACACCCCTCTCATGGTGGCCCCTCTGCTGGGAAAACCATGGTCCACATGCCTCAGGTAATAAATTCCTATTGCTATTCTCGCCGGCTCCATCCTTCCACTCGAGCTGTCAAGGGTCTAGACAGCATCTGAGTGCCTGGCTGTCTCCCTCTAGGTGAGCCTCTTGTAGTAGCTGGGGTAGCAGGGGTGGTGCACTTCCATAGGCCCAAGTCATAGACGTCTGATCCATCCAAGTTGAATGAAGCAAGTCCTCACTGCCATAGTTTGCTCATTTGCAAAATGAAGGGTCTAGACAGAACCTCCCAGGTCTCTTTTGACTCTGAAATTCTGACCTATATTTAGTAGTGGGCATATTTTAGGCAAACGGTCATCAAACAGCTGATCCTGGGCCAGGATCCCCTGGGGAACGGGCCGTTCAGTCAGTAGATGTCTTTCTCCACAGGATTTGCCACCGTCTCCCCCCCGGGGAGGGGAACATGGGTCTCCCTTCCCTTCTCAGCAGGTGGCCCACCAGTAGGCACAGGATTTCGGGGAAACCAGCAGTCAATTCTCATCCGGGGTGGGCCTGTGTCCCAAGATAGGGACAGGCTGTGTCCCTCAGCAGCACTGTGCTCACATGAGTATGAGGCCACTGCTGATCCTGGGAGTGAACAGAAGGGGCTCATCCATCTGTATTGTCATCCAGAGCTAATTAGGGTAACAGGCAGTTGAGCCCCATCTTGGAGTGCTCATCTCTGAGGGCACCTAAAACATAATTGGAATCAGAAGTATGGCGCCAGCTAAGCCAGGTTTCCACACATACATGCCTCCCCAGTTCTGCTTCCGCTTAACCGGGCCCTTAAAGTACATGAAATATCAGCCGGGGGCCATGGCTCACGCCTGTAATCCCAGCACTTTGGGAGGCTGAGGCAGGCAGATCACCTGAGGTCAGGAGTTTGAGACCAGCCTGGCCAACATGGCAAAACCCCACCTCTACTAAAAACACAAAAATTAGCTGGGCATGGTGGCTGGTGCCTGTAGTCCCAGCTACTCGGGAGGTTGAGGCAGGAGAGTCGCTTGAACCAGGAAGCGGAGGTTGCAGTGAGCCGAGATCGCACCACTGCACTTCAGCCTGGGGGACAGAGTGAGACTTTTGTCTCAAAAAAAAAAAAAAAAAAAAAAAAAAAATCCTTGCAGGTATGTATATTCTGTTGTGCCTTCTTTGAAATGCCAATCCAAGTTTCACTCTGCAACTCAGATTCTGAAAGCAAGAATGCATGGTGGCTCAGTGGCTCACGCCTGTAATCCCAGCACTTTGGGAGGCCGACGCAGGCGGATCACGAGGTCAGGAGTTTAAGACCAGCCTGGCCAATACAGTGAAACCCCATCTCTACTAAAAATACAAAAATTAGCCAGACGTGGTGGTGCGTACCTGTAATCCCAGGTACTTAGGAGGCTGAGGCAGGAGAATTGCTTGAACCTGGGAGGCGGAGGTTGCAGTGAGTCGAGACCGTGCCACTGTGCTCCAGCCTGGGTGACAGAGCAAGACTCTGTCTCAAAAAAAAAAAAAAAGAAAAAGAAAAAAAATGCATGGCATAACCTTCTCATCAGGAAGGACTTCATCTCAGCTATATCTAACATACTTTAACACACTTCCAGTAAGTTGTTCAGTTTGGACATCTTTTAAAGAACTACAAAACAGGCCAGACTCGGTGGCTCACGCCTGTAATCCCAGCACTCTGGGAGGCCAAGGCAGTTGGATCACCTGAGGGCCGAAGTTCGAGACCAGCCCGGCCAACATGGTGAAACCCCGTCTCCACTAAAAATACAAAAACTAAAGGGTGTGCCACCTATGGACCAAGCATATCCCCACCTTAAACTCTGGATTCAGACTAGAGTTTCAATCCTGTCTTCAGTACAGGGGGCTCATAGGGAAGTTTGTTTAGTCTCAGTCTCAGTTTTCTCATCTATAAAATGGGGATAAAAACAGAATTCCTCTTGGGGCTATGAGAATTAGATGACGTGCTGTAAATGGATACATGGTAGGTAGGTAGGCAGGTGCTTAGTGATTGTTCACCACTACCAACAGTACCATCTTCACTAAAACGAGAGGAAGGTATTGTCCTGATGAGGACACTCATTTTTTTTTTTTTTTTTTTAATTTATTTTTTTATTGATAATTCTTGGGTGTTTCTCACAGAGGGGGATTTGGCAGGGTCATGGGACAATAGTGGAGGGAAGGTCAGCAGATAAACAAGTGAACAAAGGTCTCTGGTTTTCCTAGGCAGAGGACCCTGCGGCCTTCCGCAGTGTTTGTGTCCCTGATTACTTGAGATTAGGGATTGGTGATGACTCTTAACGAGCATGCTGCCTTCAAGCATCTGTTTAACAAAGCACATCTTGCACCGCCCTTAATCCATTTAACCCTGAGTGGACACAGCACATGTTTCAGAGAGCACAGGGTTGGGGGTAAGGTCACAGATCAACAGGATCCCAAGACAGAGGAATTTTTCTTAGTGCAGAACAAAATGAAAAGTCTCCCATGTCTACTTCTTTCTACACAGACACGGCAACCATCCGATTTCTCAATCTTTTCCCCGCCTTTCCCGCCTTTCTATTCCACAAAGCCGCCATTGTCATCCTGGCCCGTTCTCAATGAGCTGTTGGGCACACCTCCCAGACGGGGTGGTGGCTGGGCAGAGGCGCCCCTCACCTCCCGGACGGGGCGGCTGGCCGGGCGGGGGGGGCTGACCACCCCCACCTCCCTCCCGGACGGGGCGGCTGGCCGGGCAGAGGGGCTCCTCACTTCCCAGTAGGGGCGGCCGGGCAGAGGCGCCCCTCACCTCCCGGACGGGGCCACTGGCCGGGCAGGGGGGCTGACCCCCCCCACCTCCCTCCCGGACGGGGCGGCTGGCTGGGTGGGGGGCTGACCCCCCCACCTCCCTCCCGGACGAGGCGGCTGGCCGGGCGTGGGGCTGACACCCCCACCTCCCTCCTGGACAGGGCAGCTGGCCGGGCGGGGGGCTGACCCCCCCACCTCCCTCCCGGATGGGGCGGCTGGCCGGGCGGGGGGCCGACCCCCCCACCTCCCTCCCGGACGGGGCGGCTGGCCGGGCAGAGGGGCTCCTCACTTCCCAGTAGGGGCGGCCGGGCAGAGGCGCCCCTCAACTCCCAGACGGGGCGGCTGGCCGGGCGGAGGGCTGACCCCCCCACCTCCCTCCCGGACAGGGCGGCTGGCCGGGCGGGGGGGCTGACCCCCCCACCTCCCTCCCGGACGAGGCGGCTGGCCGGGCGTGGGGCTGACCCCCCCACCTCCCTCCCGGACGAGGCGGCTGGCCGGGCGGGGGGGCTGACCCCCCCACCTCCCTCCCGGACGAGGCGGCTGGCCGGGCGTGGGGCTGACCCCCCCACCTCCCTCCCGGACAGGGCGGCTGGCCGGGCGGGGGGGCTGACCCCCCCACCTCCCTCCCGGACGAGGCGGCTGGCCGGGCGTGGGGCTGACCCCCCCACCTCCCTCCCGGACGAGGCGGCTGGCCGGGCGTGGGGCTGACACCCCCACCTCCCTCCTGGACAGGGCAGCTGGCCGGGCGGGGGGCTGACCCCCCCACCTCCCTCCCGGATGGGGCGGCTGGCCGGGCGGGGGGCCGACCCCCCCACCTCCCTCCCGGACGGGGCGGCTGGCCGGGCAGAGGGGCTCCTCACTTCCCAGTAGGGGCGGCCGGGCAGAGGCGCCCCTCAACTCCCAGACGGGGCGGCTGGCCGGGCGGAGGGCTGACCCCCCCACCTCCCTCCCGGACAGGGCGGCTGGCCGGGCGGGGGGGCTGACCCCCCCACCTCCCTCCCGGATGGGGCGGCTGGCCGGGCAGAGGGGCTCCTCACTTCCCAGTAGGGGCGGCCGGGCAGAGGCACCCCTCACCTCCCAGACGGGGCGGCTGGCCGGGCGGGGCGCTGACCCCCCCACCTCCCTCCTGGACGGGGCGGCTGGCCAGGCGGGGGGCTGACCCCCCCACCTCCCTCCCGGACGGGGCGGCTGGCCGGGTGGGGGGGCTGACCCCCCCATCTCCCTCCCGGACGGGGTGGCTGGCCGGGCTGAGGGGCTCCTCACTTCCCAGTAGGGGCGGCCGGGCAGAGGCGCCCCTCACCTCCCGGACGGGGCGGCTGGCCGGGCGGGGGGCTGACCCCCCCACCTCCCTCCTGGACGGCACGGCTGGCCGGGCGGGGGGGCTGACCCCCCACCTCCCTCCCGGATGAGGCGGCTGGCCGGGCGGGGGGCTGACCCCCCCCACCTCCCTCCCAGACGGGGTGGCTGCCGGGCGGAGACGCTCCTCACTTCCCAGATGGGGTGGCTGCCGGGCGGAGGGGCTCCTCACTTCTCAGACGGGGTGGTTGCCAGGCAGAGGGTCTCCTCACTTCTCAGACGGGGCGGCCGGGCAGAGACGCTCCTCACCTCCCAGACGGGGTCTCGGCCGGGCAGAGGCGCTCCCCACATCTCAGACGATAGGCGGCCGGGCAGAGAGGCTCCTCACTTCCTAGATGTGATGGCGGCTGGGAAGAGGCGCTCCTCACTTCCTAGATGGGATGGCGGCCGGGCAGAGACGCTCCTCACTTTCCAGACTGGGCAGCCAGGCAGAGGGGCTCCTCACATCCCAGACGATGGGCGGCCAGGCAGAGACACTCCTCACTTCCCAGACGGGGTGGCGGCCGGGCAGAGGCTGCAATCTCGGCACTTTGGGAGGCCAAGGCAGGCGGCTGGGAGGTGTAGGTTGTAGTGAGCCGAGATCACGCCACTGCACTCCAGCCTGGGCACCATTGAGCACTGAGTGAACGAGACTCCGTCTGCAATCCCGGCACCTCGGGAGGCCGAGGTTGGCGGATCACTCGCGGTTAGGGGCTGGAGACCGGCCCGGCCAACACAGCGAAACCCCGTCTCCACCAAAACCAGTCAGGCGTGGCGGCGCGTGCCTGCAATCGCAGGCATTCGGCAGACTGAGGCAGGAGAATCAGGCAGGGAGGCTGCAGTGAGCCGAGATGGCAGCAGTACAGTCCAGCTTCCGCTCCGCATGAGAGGGAGACCGTGGGGAGAGGGAGAGGGGGAGGGGGAGGGGGAGGGGGAGAGGGAGACACTCATTTTTACAGACCCTGTGGGGAAGTCAACTCTTTGCACAGCTGATGTTATGAATTTCTGTTCTTCAGAAGGTTGCTCCTCCTACGAGTCTGCACTTGACCCAAGGATCTGGAACCTAGCTGGCATCTTCATCTCAAAGCCACATGTAAGTCTCACAAACACAGTATACTTACTGCAAATGAGATTCCGTATGCAGGCATATTCCTTCAATTCAAATTCTTGCTGAAATCCCTCCTAAACTTACTTACCTTTAGCTTCCGTTTGCTCCTGTGTCACCAAGCTATGGCTCAAATGCACAGAGCTCTAACTGCAGGGTGGGTGATAGGGCTTATGCAAACGCCCTAAAGCCCCGTCTCCCGTCATGAGGTCTCCTGATGAAGGGCACCAAGCACTTCCGAACCAACGCTGCTTTGTGAGGCTTCAGTCTGGGGACTACATTCTCTCATTAGAATTTCCACACTCATTTAGGGCATCTTTATTTGTAATATAATGGGGATGGAGCATTGCCTCCCAAGCCCAGTGACTGTGCCTTTAGCAAACATTTCCAGATGGCAGTGGCAATCAGTGACTGAGAGACAAATTCACAGCCTGCACCCAAATGACAAAAGTTACGTTTAATTTACAATGTAATAAAGGTTACAGGTAAAAAGCTACACATAAAGCATGAAAAGGCCTATTACACAAATGTACAAATCTCTGTACAAAGCTTGTATCAATGTTTCCTAACTTTGTCTCCTATGTTTGTTAGCCAGGTCTAGTCTTGGAGCTCTGAATAACAAGAGCTCTCAATTGAGGGGGGAAAGAGCCTCCAAACTGACATCTAAAAATTCCTCTTAGAGACACCAGTTACTTCCAAACAAATCTTTTCCTTTTTAATTTGAATTACCCCAACTGGTCATATCCTTTGAAAACTGCCTTCATAATACACTTAAAAGTAATGCCTTAGAGTAGAGGACAGTACTCTGGAATTAAATAAGAAACTTCAGCAGGAGGAGTGCTCAGGTTTGACAAGAAAAACAGGTAAATTTCAAACAATACTGTAAGTTAAAACTATAAACCTGTGTCTATGGCACCAGTCACAGATGAAGGAAAATCGAAATGTTTTCATTCCAACAGGAAGGACAAAAGAGAAAAGCCTAGCTACTGGACCTCAAAACCACTGACCCAAGGAAACATTTTTTAGTTTAAACCTCAGCTTAACTGCAGAATTCTAAGCCTTCTTTTTGATCAAACTGAGATCTATGGCAACCCTTCTGCTACCCGGGACTTGGAAGGATAGTGAATATAAATTAGGCTCTGGACCCCCAAGGCTGGTGATGCTACTGTAACCTCTACAGCTCTGGATTCAACCTGAGGGCCTGGGATATGTGACTTTACATAAAAATGATCCTAGAAAGTGGGAGAAAGAAAGGAGGTAGTGGAAGGCCTAGGAAAGAGCCAGGGCAGTCTATTGAAAAGGATATAAGAAGCCTTTCTCTACAATGCAAGTGTTGTGAAGACAGGTCTTTATGGGCTATTTCAACCCCACCCCCAATTGTCATATTACATGGTTAGGATGCCAGGAGACATTCTGAAAGACGATACCGCACACATGGAAAGTTTTTCTCCCTAGTTCATTAGCTCCCCATCACCCTTCCACCCCATTCCCACCCAATCCCACCCTTCTCCATGACCAAAAATATCAAATCAGCAAGGAAGGTGTGGGCTTCTTGCCTGGCCAAGCCTCTTTTGCATATTTCTTCTTCTTGGGTTCATTTACAGCTTCAGGGTTATAGACTGCAGGGTTTGGTGCAGGGTTCATGTTCACTGCTGACGGCACAACAGGAGTCAAGTCCACATCAGGGGCAAGGTTTGGGTATGGCATGGGCAAGCCACCGATGAGTGCTGTCCCATGGATGCCATGTGGCTGGGAGCCTGCTTCACTGTGTGTGGGGGGCAGGCCCCCGTAGAGTCCTCCGCTGAAGGCAAAGTTCTGCATGCGCCTGCTCCCTGATTCCTCCAGGCCCAGGGAGCCAGGGCCCTCCACACGCTTCTTCTACAGTTCACGATGAGGAGAGGGGAGAGATTGGAGAGAGAAGACAAGAGGTGAGGCCCAAGAGTGGTTAGCTTTTTCTATTCCAGCCTTAAAAAAATGGCTTTTGGGAAAGATTCCTAACTTCTAGCCTGTTCTCCTTTCCAGACAACCTATTTCATGATGTTGAAATCTTACGGTTTGAAGAGACCTTTCCAGTCATCTACGATGGTTCCCAAACACTGCTCCATAACAAAGTTTTCACCATCCTACATCAGCCAAGGATGGTGTTGTGAGTTTTACATAAAGTAAAACATATCAATTTAATTTATCCTAAAGTTACATAGCTCACTTTCTTATTTCATATTAAAATGCCCTTTTAGGAGGAACACATGAGATCAGGAGTTTGAGACCAGCCTGGCCAACATGGCAAAACCCCATCTCTACTAAAAATACAAAAATTAGCCAGGCGTGGTGGCAGGTGCCTGTAATCACAGCTACTCGGGAGGCTGAGGCACAAGAATCACTTGAGGCAGAGTTTGCAATGAGCTGAGATGGTGCCACTGCACTGCAGCCTGGGTGACAGAGTAAGACTCTGTCTCAAAAATAAAAAACATTTTTAAAAAAATCCCTTTTAGGAAATGGAAATGATAAAAGATGGCAATAGATATTTTACCCTTTTTTGAGGGGGAAAAAATGTGGTATGTCCATGTTTGGTGTGCAATTTTTTTTTTTTTTTTTTTTTGAGACAGAGTTTCACTCTTGTTGCCCAGGCTGGAGTGTAATGGCTCGATCTCAGCTCACAGCAACTTCTGCCTCCCGGGTTCAAGCCATTCTCCTGCCTCAGCCTCCGGAGTAGCTGGGATTACAGGCATGCGCCACCACGCCTGGCTAATTTTGTATTTTTAGTAGAGACAGGGTTTCTCCATGTTGGTCAGGCTGGTCTTGAACTCCGGACCTCAGGTGATCAGCCCGCCTCGGCCTCCCAAAGTGCTGGGATTACAGGCGTGACCCAGCACGCCCGACCTGGTGTCCAATTTTTAAACATTAATCTGAGAGCAAAACCAATCTACAGTGAAGAAAATATTTACTGGCTGCCTGGGCCTGGGAGTGGGCTGCTGCAAAGGGCTACGAGGCAACTTTTTGGAGTGAGAGAAATCTTCTCTATCTTGATTATGGTGGTGGTTACACATATATTTGCCAAAACTATATACGTAAATGTGTAGATTTTATTATATGTAAATTATACTGCAATAAAATTGACATAAAACTATACACCTGTTGATTTTGTACTTTAATGACAAGAAAACATTCCAAAGGAATAACAAACAAACAAAAAAGCTCAAGGGGCATTATGGAATCCCACAGAAAAACATCTACTTTTCCATACTAGACTAAAGCTCATGAAACATCCTGCTCAATCCTATACTCCTTTTGGATTAAACAAAGTCTAAGCAGGAACTCTGACAGATCTTACTTAGTCTAATATATTTTAGAGATTTTTTTTTTATAAAAAGTAAAACTTTCTATATCATCTCTAACCAGCATTTTCTAATCACCTTCTGAATATTAACAGGGATCTCACTACTCTTAAGGGGAAGTTTGTTGCTGTTTGGACAGTTCTAGCTATCTGATAGTTCTTCCACATGCTGAACGATCGGAGCATCTCTGTAACTTCTACCCCTTGGTTCTTCAACATACAATCTTTTTTATTTAGATGGAGTCTCGCTGACGACCAGGCTGGAGTGCAGTGGTGTGATCTCGGCTCACTGCAAGCTCTGCCCCCCGGGTTCACGCCATTCTCCTGCCTCAGCCTCCTGAGTAGCTGGGACTATAGGCGCCCACCACCACGCCCAACTAATTTTTTTTTGTATTTTCAGTAGCGACGGGGTTTCACCGTGTTCGCCAGGATGGTCTCGATCTCCTGACCTTGTAATCTGCCCACCTCGGCCTCCCAAAGTGCTGGGATTACAGGCGTGAGCCACCGCACCCAGCCAACATACTTATCTTTAAATTTAATCCACATCTGGGCTGACATTCCTATCTGTGCCATTGCCACTCATAAAATAAAGGCATGGCAAACTGTGTGGTATTGCAATAATGCATCTCCTCCACCTAATAGCTTACTTTGAGTCCGAAGAGAAAGGCCAAAAGAAGGTGGGCCTCTCTCTGCACCCCTCTGGAAAATGAATTTACAGATTCATATTGCACATTATTTACATGAAACATCAAGCTGGCTAGTTATCTACAGCCTTTCTGTGGTACTCCAGGATTCCCTAAACATAGATTTCATTTCCACAGAATGAGAAATGGGAGAGGAGCATGGTATGTATTTTAAAATTAAGCACTCACTCAACAGCACATAAAGAGCAGGTTATTTTTTTTTTGAGATGGAGTCTCGCTCTGTCACCAGGCTGGAGTGCAGTGGCACCATCTCAGCTCACTGCAACTTCCACCTCCCCGGTTCCAGCGATTCTCCCACCTCAACCTCCCAGTTAGCTGAGACTACAGGAATGCGCCACCACACCCAGCTAATTTTTGTATTTTTAGTAGAGACAGGGTTTCAACATGTTGGCC
The DNA here is from genome assembly GCF_000001405.40 of Homo sapiens. Lineage (NCBI taxonomy): Eukaryota > Metazoa > Chordata > Mammalia > Primates > Hominidae > Homo > Homo sapiens. Next base: position 27,847,539 of record NC_000001.11, on the reverse strand, counting down.
AGGATGGTCTCAATCTCTTTTTTTTTTTTTTTTGAGACAGAGTCTTGCTCTGTTGCCCAGGCTGGAGTGCAATGGTGCGACCTCAGCTCACTGCAACCTCCGCCTCCCAGGTTCAAGCGATTCTCCTGCCTCAGCCTCCTGAGTAGCTGGGATTACAGAGACCTACCACCACGCCTGGCTAATTTTTGTATTTTTAGTAGAGACAGGGTTTCACCATGTTGGCCAGGTTGGTCTCGAACTCCTGACCTCAGGTGATCTGCCTGCCTTGGCCTCCCAAAGTGCTGGGATTACAAGTGTGAGCCACTGTGCCTGGCCTCGATTTCTTGACCTCTTGATCTGCCTGCCTCAGCCTCCCAAAGTGCTTGGATTACAGGCATAAGCCAACGCGCCTGGCCTAAAGAGCAGGTTTTAAAACACAGACTGTATGGCATTTCATGTGCTTCCTACCTTGACTGGGACCACTGCAGTTTGCACCATGTTCCTGAATCGACCAACTGAGGGATCCACATCCTCTGCAAAAAGAGAAGAGGGCAGGGTTGGGTTGGTACTTTACTGGGAGGAATAAGGGCACAGGAGTCACTGCAAACAAACCATCACAACAACTCATATTAAAATTGTAAAACACAGAGAGTGCTTCCTGGGTGCTGGGCATTGTGCTAAATCCTCACAAAGACCCTGTGATGTAGGTACTACCACAATCAACATTTAGTAGATGAGAAAGCAAACTGAGGCTTGGAGGAGCAAAGGGACTGGCCCAGTTGCTCTGGTGGAGAGTACAGGAGCCAGGACTTGAGTCCAAGTAGTTCAAAACAGGCCTGTGATCTGCACCACTGTGCTGTGCTGCCCTCCCCCAAGTTCTTTCCCATTCTGTATAACTCCCTCTTTTGAGGGGAAAGAAAAGAAGAGTAGACATTATCAGTTCCATATCAGTGACAAAACAATGACATGTCAAGAGGTCACATATCAAATGCCTTGCTAATGCCTGCTTATTAGCAAAAAAACGGATTTTGGTTTCAAAGCCAGGGCTTCAAACTGAACCTGGCCTTTTGACTTGAACGGCCTGAACTGTATATAAGCAAGACTTGCACTAAAGGCTCTGATGCCCCCGTCTACACGGGAAATGAAGAGCAAGATACTGTCCCACCCTTGAATTCACAGTCACAGAGCCAGATAGGCTACAACACAGAGGTGCTTCAAGAGAAGTGCACAACAGTGTTTCTGGAGCACAGAGGGGATGACTGGGCTGGATCACCAAGGATGGTGGAGTTTTCTCACTGAAGGTTGAATGTGAGTGGAAACATGCAGAGGCACCAACTTATGTACCACTACTAGAGAAAACTACTCCAAGCCCCAGTTAACTTAATATAGTGATAGAGAAGGAATCATTTCCCTAATAGATGTTGTCATCTTATTTTCAATGAGGTTGCTTGTTATTGAAAGAAACACTCCTGGCCGGGTGCGGTGGCTCACGCCTGTAATCCCAGCACTTTGGGAGGCCGAGGTGGGCAGATCATGAGGTCAGGAGGTCGAAACCATCCTGGCTAACATGGTGAAACTCCGTCTCTACTAAAAAATACAAAAAATTAGCTGGGTGTGGTGGCGTGCACCTGTAGTCCCAGCTACTCGGGACGCTGAGGCAGGAGAATGGCGTGAACCCGGGAGGTGGAGCTTGCAGTGAGCCGAGATCACGCCACTGCACTCCAGCCTGGGCGACAGAAGGAGACTCCGTCTCAAAAAAAAAAAAAAAAAAAAAAAAGAAAGAAAGAAAGAAAGAAAAACTCCCAGAAATCCCTTTGGAAAACAAAGAATCACTATTTAATTTGAGTAATTATAATTAGCCCCTGGTTTATTTGCTTTAAGTCTGGATTTTTTCACATATTAGGATCCATGCCTTTAAAGAGGACACTCTGGTATTATATTCACCATCAATCTATGCTCAATGAACAAATGGCTTCTATATAGACGAGAAAGGACAAAAATATCCAAGCTGATTAAGAAAGAGACAATGTCTCTAAAAAGGTATCCCAAACTTCTCTCATGGCCCCTCCGGTTTCAGAGCCTGTGCTCTTAACCACTATGCTATACTGCCTGAACACATTTCCCTAAGAAAGCTCGAGGGCACTAATTTTCTTTCTTTCTTTTTTTTTTTTGAAACGGAGTCTTGCTCTGTCGCCCAGGCTGGAGTGCAGTGGCACCATCTCGGCTCACTGCAAGCTCCGCCTCCTGGGTTCACGCCATTCTCCTGCCTCAACCTCCCAAGTAGCTGGGACTACAGGCGCCCGCCACCACACCCAGCTAATTTTTTATATTTTTAGTAGAGATGGGGTTTCACCGTGTTAGCCAGCATGGTCTTGATCTCCTGATCTCGTGATCCGCCCACCTCGGCCTCCCAAAGTGCTGGGATTATAGGGGTGAGCCACCGTGCCCGGCCGAGGGCACTAATTTTCAGTGAGAAAAACAGAGCAGATCAGATCCTCACTCCTGAAAGAGACTTAAGAAATTTGTCAGGCCGGGCATGGTGGCTCACGCCTGTAATCCCAGCACTTTAGGAGGCCGAGGCGGGCGGATCACGAGGTCAGGAGATCGAGACCATCCTGCCTAACACGGTGAAACCCCGTCTCTACTAAAAAAAAAAAAAAAAAAAAAAAAAAAAAATTAGTCGGGCATGGTGGCGGGCGCCTGTAGTCCCAGCTACTCGGGAGGCTGAGGCAGGAAAATGGCGTGAACCCAGGAGGCGGAGGTTGCAGTGAACTGAGATCGTGCCACTGCACTCCAGCACTCCAGCCTGGGTGACAGAGCGAGACTCTGTCTCAAAAAAAAAAAAAAAAAAAAAAAAGAAATTTGTCTAGTCCAGTGGTTCCCAAATTGCTGGCTGTTGTACAAACAGGAGCTCATTAAAAAATATAAATTTTGGGCTGGGCGCGGTAGCTCACGCCTGTAATCCTAGCACTTTGGGAGGTTGAGGGCAGATCACCTGAGGTCAGGAGTTCAAAACCAGCCTGGCCAACATGGTGAAACCCCGTCTCTACTAAAAATACAAAAAAATTAGCCAGGTGTGGTGGCAGAAGCCTATAATTCCAGCTACTTGGGAGGCTGAGGCAGGAGAATCACTTGAACCCAGGAGGCAGAGGTTGCATGAGCCGAGATTGCGTCACTGCACTCCAGCCTGGGTGACAGAACGAGACTCCGTCTCAAAAAATAAATAAATAAAAATAAAAAATAAAAAATAAAAATTTCAGCCAGGCATGGGGACTCATGCCTGTAATCCCAGTGCTTTGGGAGACTGAGGCAGGAGGATCGCTTAAGCCCAGGAGGTCAAGACCAGCCTGGGCAACATGATGAAACCCCATTTCTACAAAACATATGACAATTAGCTGAGCGTGGTGACGTGCACCTGTTGTCCCAGATACTCAGGAGGTTGAGGTGGGAGGATCACCTGAGCCTGGGTGGTCAAGGCTGTAGTGAGCCGTGACTGTGCCACTGCACTCTAGCCTGGGCGACAGAATGAGATCGTGTCTCACACACACACAAAAAAGAAAAATTAAAAAACATATAAATTTCTAGGTCCAACCCTGGAAACTCTTTTTTGGAGACAGTCTCACTCTGTCACCCAGGTGGGAGTGCAGTGGCACAACCTCGGCTCACTGCAACCTCTGCCTCCCAGGTTTAAGCGATTCTCCTGCCTCAGCTTCCTGAGTAGCTGGGACTGCAGGTGTGTGCCACCATGCCTGGCTGATTTTTTTATTTTTTGTAGAGACAGGGTTCTGCCATGTTGGCCACCCTGGTCTTGAAATCCTGGCCTCAAGCAATCCACCAACTTCAACCTTCCAAAGTGCTGGGATTATAGGCATGAGCCACTATGCCTGACCAACCACAGCTTTTTCTTTCTTTTTTTTTTGTCACCTAGGCAGGAGTGCAATGGCACAATCCCGGCTCACTGCAGCTTCTGCCTCCTGGGTTCAAGCAATTCTCCTGCCTTAACCTCCCAAGTAGCTGGGACTACAGGCGAACACCACCATGCCCAGCTAATTTTTGTATTTTTTTTAATAGAGATGGGGTTTCACCTTGTTGGCCAGGCTAGTCTTGAACTCTTGACCTTAAGTGATCCACCCTCCTCGGCCTCCCAAAGTGCTAGGACTACAGGCGTGAGCCACCGCGCCCGGGCCAACCACAGCTTTTTCATCAGAATAAACTAGCAAGATACCTCACCTGGGTTGATGATCTCATCATCCTCACTGAATGTCACCCGTGAGTTCTTCCTCTTCCTCTTTGGTCTTTGAATGTCCAGATTTCCCTCCTCAATGGTAAGGGTAGAAATCCGCTTGTTGTGGGCAGTGTTGAACTCTGTCAGGTTCTAAGCCAGGGTTCATACAGGAAAGACAGCAGTCAGTACAAAGGGAATCTGATGGAGAAAATCATACTAAATAAAGGTGAGGAAGGCATGAGGGGCTAATCTTGACCTCCAAAGGGAGTTGAGACACTTCTGCATTTAGAGAAGATTCATACTGTCCCGAGACTACGAATACTAACAAGTCTCAAGTCTCATTAGAAAGAATGTGGAACATCCTCATTGACTAGTGGGGCAGTGATATTCAAGAGGTAAAGGGCCTTGAGCTGAGAACAGGTCATCTGTGCAAATATCCTTGAGTTGTGTTTTTTGTTGTTGCTGAAGAAAGGCTATCATGTCTTCATGCCCACAATAAGCTGAGAATTAAAAGGAAATGTGGCTGGAAGGAACGCCAAGAATTGTTTTTAAGTAACAAAATTGAGATGAAAAAGGACAACTGGCTGCTTCCTTCCTAGTAGCTTTCTCCTTCAAAATTAAGGACACTGCTAGTGCACTTAATTTTTGGCGTTAATATTTTGTCATGCCCCATCCTGTGTCTGGCCCCAATTCTATTCATAACTATCTCAATAATTAACTTGGCCTTAGCTCTGTTGCTTGCCTCTTCCCAATCCACTGAAATTATTCCTTTCTGGTACAAACCACAAGTTTGAGATATTCTAAATGTCTTAAGAATGAAGATCCAGGGAGTACCTAACATACTGAACTAAAAGCCATGGAAGTATAGCAGCAGCCTGGATAAGGTGGCCTAAAGGGGAAATGGGCAACAGCAAGGTCCCTGGCTATGAAGCCACTTCTTCAAAACAAAACGACTTCTTAATTGTAAAATTTCTCTTTTTTTTTTTTTTTTTTGAGACGGAGTTTCGCTCTTGTTGCCCAGGCTGGAGTGCAACTGCGCGATCTTGGCTCACCACAACCTCCACCTCCCAGGTGCAAGTGACTCTCCTGCCTCAGCCTCCTGAGTAGCTGGGATTACAGGCATGCACCACCACACCCAGCTAATTTTTTGTATTTTTAGTAGAGATGGGGTTTCTCCATGTTGGCCAGGCTGGTCTCGAACTCCTGACCTCAGGTGATCCGCCCACCTCGGCCTCCCGAAGTGCTGGGGTTACAAACATGAGCCACTGTGCCCGGCCTAAGTTGTACAATTTCTATCGTGCTTTTCTTCCTAAGAGCCAGGAAACTGCCTTGGTGTACAGGAATAGTAAATGCAGGTGGGTGGTTAAGGACATGATTGCATTTGGTCTATTTGAACAGACCAATCACACCAGTGCAGTGACAGCTATGTAAAGGACTATAGCCACACCAAACTACTGGGGTCAGTTTCAAAAAAGGAAAACTTCTAGCACCTTAAAATTAAATCTTATAAAATTCATGGCCCTCAGGACAGCGAGGCCCATGGAAGAACAAAAGCAGTCTGGCTCTATTCAGAAGATTCCTGGACTGTTCAGATAGCACCAAAAAAAGCTACATGAATGAATGAAAATGTCAGTCTCTCTAAGCCAGTGCTGTCTGACAGAACTTTCTGTGAGGATGAAAACATTCTCTCTTTGCACTAGCCAACATAGCAGCCACTAGCCATATGTGACTACATAATACTTGAAATATTGTTAGTGGCTACCATATTGGACAGCATTAGCTCTAAGCAGTCAAGGGACAGAGAAATGTAGCTTCCAGTCTTAGCTTCTAACAGCCAGTGAAGGTGCACAAAACAGCTCAAGGAGACTAGTGGCTGGGACTCAGCCTCCTTGTTAGGCCTGGTGATACACAACCAAATCCATACAATGTGGCTCTCCGAGAGCTGTCACAGCTGGCCACACCAGATTGCCAAAGGCCCATTACTGGACTCAAGAGAACCCCCTGCTGCTAAGTCACTGGCATTTCCAGCTACATAGAACAGCTGTATACTCCAAAAACCAGGGTCCCCAAAGACAAAACAATGACATAAACAGGGAATTACATCAAGCTCAGTTTCCTCCTCTGGAAGCCCCAGTAAGCCCTTGAGTTCATCATCCTCTCCACCCATCTTCTCATCTCCTTTCACAGCCGATGGCAATGTCTGAGGCTTCTCGCGCAGAGTGTATGCCCTTGTGGATGCGCCAAATGAGACCGTGGAATCGATGGGAATTTGCTGAGGCTTGTGAGGTTCCAACCGAATGTGACCCAAGAAAGTGCCGTGTGCTGGGAATAACCAAATCAGAAACGTAAGGGGGAAAACAAAAACAACCTGAGTTTTAGAAGGAAGAGTATGATCGCCAACTCTCTTATCAGGTCAGCTTCCCCCCAGCACATCAGTTTTGCTTTTTTGTCTGTTTTTAATTTATTTTAAAAATGCCATAGTCAGGATCATGGTCAGAAACTCCAGCTTTTTAAAAAATGAAAATGGCACTGGGTCCACCACATCCATCATGTGTTACAGTGAGAAGGAAACTCCCTCACTGAGCCTTGAATCTCCTCGGTGGGTTTCTTATATCCTCAGACCTGTTGTTCCCCCAGATAACAAATACCACTGACCGTTCTCTGCTGCCATACAGGCTTGGCTCCATTCTGGGTCAAATAAGAATGGCTCCAACCCAGCAGAAGCCACGCCTCCCAAAGCAGGAGCTGGACATCACTGTAGTTTTCCCTCTCCAGCTCCAAGTCAAAAGAATATAGAAATTGCTGGCCTGGTGGCAGTTATGCTTAGGTTTTCCCCAGGACAAGAAAGAGCTTGGCTGAAACAGGTGCAATATCAATGCCAAAGCAAGCCAAAATCCTACTATAGATTCTGAATATTTTCCCCTGTTGGCATTCTGCATGTTATAAAATGGGAGAGAAAAGATAAGTATTTGCGAGACAAAGCTCTCCAAGACCCTTATATAAGCAGATTAGGGTGATGTGTGAGTGTATGTTTCTGCGTATGGTAGTAGGAGAGTGGTGGAGTCCAACATGATATGCCCAGGAAGCAGGACCCTTTACATTTTACACTGTATTCACACACGGGCAAAATGAACAAACTTCAGGGCCCCATGCAGTTAAATCTCAATTGCATTTCTGTGGATTATCTTAGGCGAAGTTTAAACTCTTATTAATTGGTGTATGCTTATGGATACTTCAATTAATTAATACTTATGGAGTATTTTATTTTTATTTTTTTGAGGTAGGGCTTGCTTCGTCACCCAGACTGGAGTACAGTCATGCGATAATGGCTCGCTGCAACCTCCACCTCCTGGGCTCAAACGATCCTCCCACTTAAGCCTCCCAAGCAGCTGAGACCATAGCGCACTCCACAATACAGGGCTACTTTTTGTATTTTTTTGTAGAGACGCGGGTCTCATTACATTGCTCATGCTGGTCTTGAACTCCTGGGCTTGAGAGATTCACTGACATCGGCCTCCCAAAGTGCTGGGATTACAGGTGTGAGTCACCATGCCTGGCCTTGCTTATGGAATTAAAACTGGTATTATTCACAGTCAAAGCAAAACAGAGATGGGATAAAGAACCAGAATAATGAAATTTTCCTCAAGACAATCATTCTTAAAATGCCCTATGTTGCTGCTCTATTACATCAATGGAGCTAATCATGGCTTCTGCTGAAACAGAATCACAATTTATTATGGTCCTATAAACACTTGAACACACATGGTCCCTAGTTCCTGGGTGCCTTTTTCCTTTTCTTTATTTTTTTGAGACAGAATCTTGCTGTGTTGCCCAGGCTAGAGTGCAGTGGCACCATCTCAGCTCACTGAATCCTTCCACTCCTGGGTTCAAGCGGTTCTCCTGCCTCAGCCTCCCAAGAAGCTGGAATTACAGGCACCCGCCGCCACACCCAGCTAATTTTTGTATTTTTGGTAGAGGCGAGGTTTCACCATATTGGCCAGGCTGGTCTCAAACTCCTGGCCTCAAATGATTCGCCCACCTCGGCCTCCCAAAGTGCTGGGATTACAGGAGTGAGCCACTGCACCCAGCTCTTTTTTGGTTGTTTGTTTTTAAGAGATGGGGTCTTGTTCTGTCACCCGGACTGGAGTGCAGTGGTGTGATCATAGCTCACTGCAGTCTTGAACTCCTGGGCTCAAGTGATCCTCCCGCCTCAGCTTCCTGAGTAGCTACAGATGTGAGCCCCCACATCCAGCTTATGTTTGCTTATTGATTCCTCCAGGACAGTGCTCCCCAAACCCCTCTTCTCTCCACAGTCAGTTAGCAATTATCTCAGGAAAATAGAAAAATCACAGAAATAGAGAAGGGTGGATTTAAAAACCAAACATTAACTTTTTCCATAAAACGTAATTTCCAAACTAAAGAACCCAAAGAGTATTTTCATATTGCCTAAAGGTAACATGTGAATTGGGAGGGAGTTACTTACTACTGTTGAGATCTATCAGGAAAACTCTCTTCAGATGCTTGTGGTAGACAAGTGCAGCATGGACCCGAGAGCAAGACTGGTGGTCAATGGTAAAGTCACACAAATCAGGGTTTCTCCCAAATAAGTAATACTTCTTCTCATCAATAATCAGTTTCTAAATAAATATTAAATTAAATATTACTTAAATCTTGTTTCAACAGCATTTACCAAAAACTCTCCCAAATAGAGAATCTTGAGTAGATAAAATTCCTTTCCATTAGATTGAGTAAAAACTCCATCTCCTTGCATCAAAAAAAGAAAAATAAATCCTTTCCAAGGAGAAAAAAATATCTCCCATTATTCTTCAACATAAAGTACTCAGAATAATTTACTAAAATAACATTTTTTGGAGAATGGATGGTAATTCATCTCCTCAATGTAGTGTTTGTCTAGTGTTGGTATGAAAATAACTTTTCTTTCTCTTTTTTGTTTCTGAGATGGAGTCTCACTCTGTTGCCCAGGCTGGAGTACAGTTGCATGATCTTGGCTCACTGTAACCTCTGCCTCCTGGGTTCAAACAATTCTCCTGCCTCAGCCTCCCAAGGAGCTGGGACTACAGGCGTGCACCACCACGTTCAGCTAATTTTTTTTTTTTTTTTTTTTGAGATGGAGTCCCACCCTGTCACCCAGGTTGGAGTGCAATGGTGCAATCTTGGCTCACTGCAACCTCCAACTCCTGCGTTCAAGCAATTCTCCTGCCTCAGCCTCCCAAGTAGCTGGGATTACAGGCACGCGCCACCATGCCCGGCTAATTTTTTGTATCTTTAGTAGAGACGGGGTTTTACCATGTTGGCCAGGCTGGTCTCGAACTCCCGACCTTATGATCCGCCCATCTCGGCCTCCCAAAGTGCTGGGATTACAGGCGTGAGCCACCGAGCCTGGCCTACTTTTTGTATTTTTTAGTAAAGACAGGGTTTCATCATACTGGCCAGGTTGGTCTTGAACTCCTGACCTCATGATCTGCCCACCTCAGCCTCCTAAAGTGCTGGGATTACAGGTGTGAGCCACCATGGCTGGCCAACTTCTTTTTTTTTTTTTTGAGACTAAGTCTCGCTCTGTCGCCCAGTCTGGAGTGCAGTGGTGCGATCTCGGCTCACTGCAACCTCCGCCTCCCGGGTTCAAGAGATTCTCCTGTCTCAGCCTCCCAAATAGCTGGGATTACAGGCGCCCGCCACCACGCCCAGCTAATTTTTTGTATTTTTAGTAGGGGTTTCACCGTGTTAGCCAGGATGGTTTCGTTCTCCTGACCTCGTGATCTGCCCTCCTCAGCCTCCCAAAGTGCTGGGATTACAAGCATGAGCCAACCGCTGCGCCCGGCCCAACTTTTCTTAATTCTATTAGATATAAGTGGCCTGCCCTCAAGACAGTAACAACTCTTTTTTTTTTTTGAGACGAGTCTCTGTCACCCAGGCTGGAGTGCAGTGGCGTGATCTCGGCTCACTACAAGCTCTGCCTCCCGGGTTCACACCATTCTCCTGCCTCAGCCTCCCGAGTAGCTGGGACTACAGGCGTGTGCCACCACGCCCAGCTAATTTTTTGTATTTTTAGAAGAGACAGGGTTTCACCGTGTTAGCCAGGATGGTCTTGATCTCCTGACCTCATGATCCACCCGCCTCAGACTCCCAAAGTGCTGGGATTACAGGGGTGAGCCACCGTGCCTGGCCTGAGATCAACAATTGTATGAAGAGTGGCTGTCTTCTGAAAAAAGGTTCTGTTGGATCTTAATTTTAGATCAATTAGGAAACAAGAAGCACAATGCATGTCTATAAGGTAACAAGATTGCTTTTAGCCTAGTGAAACCGAAAAAAATTGTAATAAGATTGCTTCTCAGAAAATAAACATTCAAATGTATATTTGGGAAAGGAATGAAGTGTAAACACCTATTTCTATTCTAATCATGCTGCCATAGTCCCAAAGTATTTTTGTTTGTTTTTGAGACAGTCTCAAAACAAACAAGTTTCACCATGTTGCCCAGGCTGGTCTCGAACTCCTCACCTCAGGTGAATGGCCAGCCTCAACCTCCCAAAGTGCTGGGATTACCGGTGTTAGCCACCGTGCTAGACCTGAGCTAAATTTAGCTTTATAAAAAACTTGCTGGCCGGGTGCGGTGGCTCAAACCTGTAATCCCAGCACTTTGGGAGGCCGAGGCAGGCGGATCACAAGGTCAGGAGATCAAAACCATCCTGGCTAACACAGTGAAACCCCGTCTCTACTAAAAATACAAAAAAAAAATTAGCCGGGCGTGGTGGCAGGTGCCTGTAGTCCCAGCTACTCGGGAGGCTGAGGCAGGAGAATGGCATGAGCCCGGGAGGCAGAGCTTGCAGTGAGCCGAGATCGGCCACTGCACTCCAGCCTGGGCGACAGAGCAAGACTCTATCTCGAAAACAAAAACAAACAAAAAAATAAAAATAAAAAACTTGCTATACCTGTCCTTATATTTCTTTTAATCCTGGATCAGTAAAGCCTTTGCCACAGATCGGTTATAAACTGGACTGTTATAGATGAAGGACTCTAGATGAATTATTGCTAAAGCTTCTTCCAGTGCTAGTGGTCTAGTAATCCAGTGGGAGCACTTGAGGAATAACTCTCATTTGGGTATGTTGTGTTTTTCCTTTAAACATGAGGTCTCATTAAACGCTAGTTCACATTTCACACTATAGTCCTAAAATCCCTGAGAAAATATAGCATAAAGCTGAGTAGAGTATAGTCAAGTTAGTACCCGGCTGGGAATCAAGAAGCTTATATTTCATTCCTGGCTAAGTCCTTTAACTCACAATGGGCTGCTATTATCCCCTTACAAAACCAAAAGATACACCTCATGCAAGCACAATTTCAGCACTGATTACAGTAACAACTGCTAGGCGCTTCTATGCCACACACTATGCTATGAGTTTTACATTATATCATTTCATCCTCACAACCACCCTATGAGGTGGGTAATACTATTCTCTTCCTATTTTTATAAATGACAAAATTGAGGCATAAAGAAATTAACATACTCAAGTTCACACAGTTAGATACTTGTGGGCCGGGTTAGAAATTCAGATTTGTCTGGCTTCAGAGTCTAAGCTGTTTTAACCACATTATATATTTTCTTCATTCTACTTACATCAAAAAATGCACCATATGGCAAGGAATATTTTAAGGAGAGAATAAGTACTGTGGGTCACACTCTTTTCCTTAAACAATCACTTAGCCAGTTTCTTTCAAGCTCAGCCTTAAGGTTCAATTAATTCAGGCTAGCTTGGATATGTGGGTCACCTCTGGGAAACCCTATCTGGCAGTGCCCATCTGCTGCTGGAAGAGCTTGTTCTGGGCCCACACTACTATGGAGAACCAAGATTCAACAACAGCCTGACAGCTCAGTCAGTCACCTTCATGTCTGCTTTGACCCAAGGTTTTTAAGACTTGAGTTAAAAATAAGACATTATTTCAGGATTAAGAGAGAGCCCAGAAATTTCAACAACTTGTTCTCTCTAGGTAATAGTTATTTGGGCTGAATCTCATTGCACTTCTCATTCATATTTATATGCACATGGATTATGCTGTCACAAACTTAAATTTGCTAACCACAGTGCTCACAGATTGTGCTGAAGGAACATGAAAGACCACCAGCTCTTGGGTTCTAAAATAACAATGACTAAATTTCTATGAATCTAGGGTGCCAAAAGACATACTAGAGATTTAGGGATTTCTTTGAGAGGAAAAAAAAAGAGTGCCTCCAAATTAAATGTACACATTCAGTATTAAAGGCACCCCAATTACAGAAATGTTAAAATGAATGAATTTTTTTTTTGAGATGGAGTCTTGCTTTGTTGCCTAGGCTGCAGTGCAGTGGTGCAATCTCCACTCACTGCAAACTCTGCCTCCTGGGTTCAAGCGATTCTCCTGCCTCAGCCTCCCAAGTAGCTGGGATTATAGGGGTGTGCCACTGCACCTGGCTAATTTTTTTACTTTTAGTAGAGACGGGGTTTTGCCATGCTGGCCAGCCTGGTCTTGAACTCCTGACCTCAGGTGATCTGCCCGCCTCGGCCTCCCAAAGTGCTGGGAGGCCAGGTGTGAGCCGCCACCGCACCTGGCCAAAATGTATGGAATTTTAACAGAAAACAGTATGTCTTAGAACCAAGGAAATGTGTTAGATGTTGAACAATGTGCTGCTTCTGTCCAAGTGAATGAAATAATGCACTGGCTTTCAACAGTCACTAAAGCCGTAGCTTCTTGACTAGCTATGGCCAGTACTGCTATCCAGTTGTGCCTCTGAGTTATAACTCAGAGTGTATCTTTACACACTGGGCTTAAAAGACTCATGGCTTTTGTTTTAATATTGCACTTCTTAAACCCAGCTATCACAACACATCACAAGCCTTTGACACAAGGCTAGGATATAGACAGCTCGGTTAGTATCAAGTGCTGATCAAGTTTAAATCTAAAAATAAGCACATCTCAGGTCTACGCCTCTCAAGAATACAGTGATGTCTAAGGATTGTAACTTGACAACTTTGTGGCAACTCAGCACACTTAACAACATCGAAAGAGAACGTTATCAGCTAATAGACACCAATGATCAGAGGAGTGTCTGGCAAGTTAGAGTGTTTTGAAAATGTAATACCAATTATTCCACAAAGGAATGTGATGTTATCATTAAGACTAGGCAACCCTGTCTGTTTCTTCCTGTTGCAAACTAAAGATTTGCTAAATTCTAGTAATAAAACAGATCCCTATATGTCTTCAAGCTTTGTGCTATTCAGCAACAAATATTTTGTAACTGTGGAACAATCTATAGCAAAAAAGGTTTTACAGATATTTTAGCTAAATTATTTCTTTGAATAATCTTGAGGTTTTAAATCTTTAAGAGAGAAGAACCCATGACAAAGGGGCTCTCTGTGACTGGCTGAGTCCATGATGTATTCATAACAGGAGAAATCATTAAAACTCGTGCATGCCTTAATACTTTGCAAAATACCTGGTTATCTCTACAACATCTCAAAAGTGACAACAATATATTTACAGAGTAACCTTCAAAAGATCTCAGATAGCTTTTCAATCTAGCAACCGTGGAACTGCAACATTTTTATTAAATACCAAAAAACCACAATGAAAAAACTGCATTCAATAATGGGGCCTTGAACCTAAATTCTAGCTGAGCAAGCAAATATAAAATTGGTCTAATATGGGAGACTCACAGCTACATGGTCATAGTGGGCTTAATATCCATCTCTTGGTAAATAAATAATACCGTAAGGATTATAAAAAATTTACGCAAACTAATAGCTAATAAAAACTCATGTTCTCTTGAACTCCTATGTGGTGTTCTCTCTAGAGGCTTGTATAAAAGCTGGAATTCTGCTAAACTTTTATAGTACTTAATTCAAATATAATTATGTAATTTTTTGGTGTGATTCTGTCTCTCCCACTGGATGACTTGAGGACAGAAATTATGTTGGTTTTGCTTACTGCTGCAATCTGTATGCCAAGCACAGTAACTGGCACATAGTAAACACTCAATACATGTTTTGAAAGAATCAATTAATGAATTTCACCACAATTCCATTATCTTTTTGAGTAAATGTCTTAGTTTACCATACTTCTTATAAGGAGTTGGGCCTGAATGTCTTAAAATTAACTTAGAAGTTAAACTCAATATATATCATTCACTTTCTTCAGTTACTGCATACCTTGCACGGTTTACACAACTCCATGTACTCAGGGAGAGGGAATTAACCAAGCTAACAGGGCTTCCAGTTTGACTGGGGCCCACAGGACCCATGACCTATTAAAACCCTTCATTTGAGAGAAGTCACAAAAAATTGAGTGTCTGTGGTAGACATAAGCTTTAAATGTGTGATGTCACCATGTGCTTTTAACAGAAAAAAAAAATCAGGATGAAAGAAAGTAGCATTGCTGGAAAACAAAGCACAGGAGAGGGGGTGGAAAAGTGAGTCACTGGCAAAAATCTTTAGTGTGGCAGCCAAAAAAGTAAGACATGTATTTCCATACCTCAATTAGTTTGTCTCCTTTGACTACATCCAGATGTAAACCGGGAGGGGGCTTACCTGCCCTGAAAAATAAAAATAGAAAAAAGCATTTTCAGGATGGGTTTATAAATGCTATTTACAACCATTGTCCCATTCAACATTGCAGCTCTCCTACCAGCCTATAATTAGTTCATGTTCAAGCAGAAATGTCATCCACTTCACTGTTATTACAGCTCCATTCTACGTTTGACACTTACTTCCCTAGTGATTCAATTGCTCTGCAACAGATTTTAGTAGATCTGTATTTAGAGCAGCACCAAGAAACCTATATTTTAACACTGGATCTTCACCTCAGAGAAAGAACTGCATAGAGAGTGCAAGTACGATAGCTGGGGTGGTCTAGTCACCTGGAGTTTGAATCTGAAATCCACCCCTACTCCAATATCATATAAAGACCGAATAAATTAGTTGCTGTTTGGGGCTCATCAAGATTAGTCTCATCACAGAGTAAGCAAAGAGTACTGTCCTGAGCTCTGAAACCAAATCAGAGGTGCATAATTAGGGAACTAGGGCAATTCAAAATCATGCCCCATGAAACCAGGTACCAAATGAATATGTTACCCTTGAAACAGGTCTTTCTACAACAGCATGATTAGGGGACGTTTCCTCTATATCCTACAGCCATACCATTCAAGGGAGACTCATATGTCAAAGCACCTAACGGTGCCTGGTACCTACCAGATCCTAAGGAAAGGGTAGGTGATCTCAAAAACAGTGCTTTCTAACTATGTTTGCTATCTCGGCCCAAATTTGAAATCAATACAGCGAGGGATCAAAATGGATACAGAATTTGTAGACTGAAGCAACTACTACAAAAGTGCAAAGCGATCCAGAAAATAGCCACACATTTGCTTGCTTTTTGGGTTTGCTAATTTGAAGTTAGAAAAAAGAACCACCTCACTAGAACCTTTAGATTTGCACATGAAAAAACGTATCCTTGTCTAGCTAACTGAAGATTCAACACAGTCATCTCACAATCCTGCCCCAACCCCTCCTCTATGGAAAGGACAATGCACCGGACAAAAGGCCATTTTGTCCAGGAAAAAGGAGGAATGTTACATCCAAAACATACTTTCTGAATTCCTACTATGTGCCTGACTCAGGCCTAGGAGCTGGGAATACAAAGATGCAGTCTTTGCCCTTGAGGATGGCAATACAACGGGAGACAGAGACAAGCAACAAACAATACACTGCGATGAGCTACAGCAGAAAAAAACTCTTAATTCAGAAGCGTTTCCTTGTAAGGTAATTCATATTTATTCAACTTGTACCCTACTCAAAGACCAAATTAAATTATTTCATTATTCCCAAGAACTTTCGAAGGGATAAAAAGGGTTCATGCCAACCATTACTAATGCCTACTAGTGCCACAGACTGGGAGCTCCCTGAGGGCAGGGATGGCGCTAACCTACCCTCGTATTCTCTGTGGCAGACAGACAAGTGCCGCACGAGGGATGCAGCAACCACAGAGGGATGCGGGGCTTGGAGGTAGGGTTGGGGCCGGGGCTGGCTCGAGCGCGCTCGGGACGTACAGGAAGGGGCCAGATGCGATGCTCCACGAGAGCACCAGGCACTCAGTCAAGAGTTGGGCGTAAGTTCGGGCCAAGGCCTCGAAGCGCTCCGGCGACTGGCTAATCGCTCAAAGGGGCTGCCTAAGTGAGCGCCTTTGAGCCCCCAACCCCGGGTTTCTTCAGTTCCTGGGCCTGGGCTCCAGGCTCTCGGTTCTTCAACACGTCGCCCGGCCCGGTGCAGCAAACAGTTTTTCCTCAACCATTCCGGGGTTTCTGAGCCGTTCGGCTCGCAGCAGAAAAGTAAAAAAAGAGCCGCCCTTCCAGCCCAGGCTAGCTCCGGCCGGGCCACTCTAGCCCTGGCCGCCCCGCCACTCACCAGGTTGGGCAGTCGAACAGCGGGAGGCTAGAGCCGGAGTTCGCGGCTGCCGCCATCTTGCGTCTCCCCCTCCCATTTGGCGCGCCCTAAGCACGCCGGGAAACTGGAAGACCGAGAAGGGAAAAGCGGCATCCCAGCAGCCTGTGCGTACGCACGCTCACGCACGCCCGTACGGGGGGCGGTGCTTCTAGTGGGGACAGAGGAGCTTTTGGGATTTTTTTTTTTTCAGCGTTTGTGCGAGTTGGCCGTCTCTGGAAGTCTCCAGTGGTTAGGGTTTTCCTTGGCCAGGAGGTGTCAAAGGAAAAGGGGCTTTGTAGGGAGGGGAGTCAGTCTTTCCCTACGTCCTCCTGCAAACGCTTCTTGGCTCTAAAATCTTGGGACTAAGCCGTGCGCGATGGCTCACGTCTGTAATCCCAGCACTTTCGGAGGCTGAGGCGGGCGGATCACTTGAGGTCGGGAGTTTGAGACCAGCCTGACCAACATGGTGAAACCCCGTCTCTACTAAAAATACAAAAATTAGTCGAGTGTAGTGGCACATGCCTGTAATCCCAGCTACTTGGGAGGCTAAGGCAGGAGAATCGCTTGCACTCGGGAGGCAGAGGTTGCAGTGAGCCGAGATCGCGCCATTGCACTCCAGCCTGGGCAACAGAGCGAGACTCCGTCTCAAAAAAAAAAAAAAAAAAAGTAAAGAAAGAAAAAATCTGGGGACTACATCCTCCTCCAGAGTTTAGGTTAAGACCGTCAGCCTTTTGCCCTCAAAGCGGAGAAGCTAAAGGGCAAAACTCGGAGATTGGAGTGATTATTGTTTCTCTTCAGCCCTTCTCCAAAAAGTGGCACCCTACTCACTTTTTTCTAATTCACGTTTAGGCCTGTAGATTGTCAGGGAATCTGCATTAGGGGTCACCTAGTCTGTTTATGAAAACTCTGGACAAGCAGGAGCCAGGAGCAGGTCCAGTCAGAAAGCAGGGGTCCAAATCATCACTGTGCTTGGCTCAAATGGTTAATTTTTTTAAAAAGGATTTTTTGCTTTTGGTTATAGGGCAAGGAAGCATAAGGATTGCTCGCTTGCCCTAGATCACCAGCTGGTTTTAAGAGACCATTAGCAGGGCCTCTGGTTTTTTATTTTTTATTTTTTTATTGATCATTCTTGGGTGTTTCTCGCAGAGGGGGATTTGGCAGGGTCATAGGACAATAGTGGAGGGAAGGTCAGCAGATAAACAAGTGAACAAAGGTCTCTGGTTTTCCTAGGCAGAGGACCCTGTGGCCTTCCGCAGTGTTTGTGTCCCTGGGTACTTGAGATTAGGGAGTGGTGATGACTCTTAATGAGCATGCTGCCTTCAAGCATCTGTTTAACAAAGCACATCTTGCACTGCCCTTTATCCATTTAACCCTGAGTGGAGAGAGCACAGGGTTGGGGGTAAGGTCATAGATCAACAGGATCCCAAGGCAGAAGAATTTTTCTTAGTACAGAACAAAATGAAAAGTCTCCCATGTCTACTTCTTTGTACACAGACACAGCAACCATCCGATTTCTCAATCTTTTCCCCACCTTTCCCCCTTTTCTATTCCACAAAACCGCCATTGTCATCATGGCCCGTTCTCAATGAGCTGTTGGGTACACCTCCCAGATGGGGTGGTGGCCGGGCAGAGGGGCTCCTCACTTCCCAGTAGGGGCGGCCGGGCAGAGGCGCCCCTCACCTCCTGGATGGGGCGGCTGGCCGGGCGGGGGCTGACCCCCCCCCCACCTCCCTCCTGGACGGGAGGGCCTCTGGTTTTAATGGCATTGTCTGTTCAGCAGTTACCTGGGCAAGTATGTATTTTATATGGATCATCTCACTTAATCCTGACAATACTCTTGAGTTAGGTATTATTATAATTCCAGAGGAGAGGCTTAGAGAGATTGAGTTACCCAGCTTCACCCTAGAACAAGTGGAGTGGGATCAAAAACCTAAACCTATATGATGCCGAAGGCCATGCTCATGAGTCACTATTCTCTCTTACACTTTGATGTTGGTATAATTATATTTATTATTAGCATGCAACTGATGCCCCTCTTTTTCACTTTTGTAGACGCGTTGGGAGGATTATCTGACCAGTTTTTCCTTTTTTAAATAAATCAATTGCTAAGTTCCTGTTCATCCAGAAAGAGGCACTGCTCAGCAAGTTGAGGAATCTATGATGAAAGTAGTTCTTTTCTTGCTTCCATGCTACTGGTTCTGTAGAAAATCAGCCTATTCAAAAGATTTTTGCCCTTGATGAAGTCTCCAGCCCTCAAGATTTAACTGCAATATAACTTAGAAGGAGTGAGAAGATCAAAAAAGTAACTGCAATATAACATTAACTTGGATTTTAAGATTATCAACTCTTAGGTAGACTGGAGAAACACCTTTTCCTCTGGCCTTTAAAGCACAATAAACTTATCCAGCAAGGATGGCGACTAATCAGATCACTTATCAAATGGCCTGTTAATATCCTCCTTTTCAGCCTTGTGATTCCAAAGTAAGACTAGGCTGATTGGAAAAATTCAAATTCTAAACTTGGTTTCAAGAAAACAGAAATAATCCTATGTCCCTCTCTTCTGAATACAGGGCATGATTTTTTAGAAGGAATTAGTCCCAAAAGTTTTTGAGTCTAACAGAAAAGAAGAAGATACTTTTACCTACAGAAATTGTGTGGGCCTTTGAGGTTCTATGCTCCTTTTAGGCATAACATGGTGTTGAAGCCATTTGCAGTTAGCAGTGACCTGATAGTATCTTATGGCAACTTTGTATTTCAACTTCTCAGCTTGTGTGATCCTTCTATTGCTGACTATAGACCCAGGAAACCTAAAAGCTACATCTTACCTTTCTAATTCTTTACTCCTTGGCCATGTTCTGTTTCTAGCACAGTAGATATTCACACGTGGCACCTTATGCTTACCTAGGCCCTCATAAAGCAAAATGCTCTTTGTTTGGGCACCAATGATGTCAGTATAGACCAGCAAACTAGAGGGCAGCAATCTAGGTCCTTAACCTTTTAAAATAGACTGATGTACTAGCTGCCTTTGGATTTTGGTATCTCAATAAAGAGATTAGTATGTTGGCCTTTGATAGATTTCCTTAGAATAAGATCTAAAGACATTAGAAGAATATTGAGGTCAGAAAACTTTAAAAAGTTTTTAAATTATTATGTTTTGAGACGAATCTTATTCTGTCACCTAGGCTGGAGGGCAGTGGCAGGATTTCGGCTCACTGCAGCCTCCACCTCCCAGGTCCAAGCAATTCTCCTGTCTCACCTTCCCAAGTAGCTGGGATTACAGGCATGTGCCACCATACACGGGGTTGCACCATGTTGGTGAGGCTGGTCTCGAACTCCCGACTTCAGGTGATCCGCCTGCCTCAGCTTCCCAAAGTGCTGGGATTACAGGTGTGAGCCACTGTGCCCTGCCAGAAAAAGTCTTGCTTTTGTCTCCCAGGCTGGAGTGCAATGGTGTGATTTCAGCTTACTGCAACCTCCACCCGCCAGGTTCAAGTGATTCTCCTGCCTCAGCCTCCCGAGTAGCTGGGATTACAGGCACACACCACCACACCTGACTGATTTTTGTATTCTTATTATTTTATCATTTTTTTCTTTCTGAGATGGAGTTTCGCTCTTGTCGCCCAGGCTGGAGTGCAATGACACAAACTTGTCTCACTGCAACCTCCACCTCTCGGGTTTAAGCGATTCTCCTGCCTCAGCCTCCCGAGTAACTCGGATTCCAGGTGCCCGCTACCATGCCCAGCTAATTTTTCTATTTTTAGTAGAGACAGGGTTTCATCATGTTGGCCAGGCTGGTCTCAAACTCCTGACCTCAGATGATCCACCTGCCTCAGCCTCCCAAAGTGCTAGGATTATGCTGGGATTACAGGCACGAACCACCATATCCGGCCTAGTTTTTGTATTGTTAGTAGAGACAGGGTTTCACCACCTTGGCCAGGCTGGTCTCGAACTCCTGACCTCAGGTGATCCACCCGCCTCTGTCTCCCAAAGTGCTAGGATTACAGGCATGAGTCACTGTGCCCGGCCCTAACTATGCTTTGAAAAGCGGGGAAGCAGCAGGTGATTCCCAGACTTAGGGAACAGGATGGACTGAGATCTGAGGTGGGCTCTGGTCTGCAATTAGTGACCAAAAGCAAAAGCTGAGTTCCCATGACTGAGGACAGTCTCTGAATAGAAAAAAAAAAAACAAAAACACTTAATAGAGGTGGCTCAGAATGTTTTACTTTGCATAGACTGAACAGTAATTTCATTTTGATATTTTGCACTGCGGTGGGTGAACCCTCCCATCCCTACCCCTTAGCAAAACACACACACACACACACACACACACACACACACACACACACTCCCCTGGGAGTATCTGTCTAGCATCTAGCAAGTTCTTATTCTGGAACATTCCCAGATTAAGTAGCCACAGTAACATTTCTACTTTACCTTATACCTTATACAGTATCATAGTTTTTTATTTTTCTTTTTTCTTTTTTTTTTTTTTTTTTTTTTTGAGACAGAGCCTCTGTTGCCCAGGCTGGAGTGCAGTGGTGCTATCTTGGCTCAATGCAACCCCCCACCTCCTGGGTTCAAGCAAAGCTCATGCCTCAGCCTCCTGAGTAGCTGAGATTACAGGCGTGCGCCACCATGCCTGGCTAATTTTTATAATTTTAGTAGAGGCAGAGTTTCACCATGTTGTCCAGGCTGGTCTTGAACTCCTGGCCTCAAGTGATCCACCCGCCTCGGCCTCTCAAAGTGCTGGGATTATAGCCGTGAGCCACTGCGCCCAGCCCATAGTTTTATTAATAACTCATTGGAAGAGAGAATGCTAGATCTACCCAGTACTGCTAGGATATTTCATAAAGGAAGTAGAAAAGGGGATGATGGCTCACGCCTGTAATCCCAGCACTTTGGGAAGCCGAGGCAGGTGGATCACGAGGCCAGGAGATCAAGACCATCCTAACAAACACGGTGAAACCCTGCCTCTACTAAAAATACAAAAAATTAGCTGGGCATGGTGGCGGACGCCTGTAGTCCCAGCTACTCGGGAGGCTGAGGCAGGAGAATGGCGTGAACCCAGGAGGTGGAGCTTGCAGTGAGCCGAGTCACGCCACTGCACTCCAGCTTGGGCAACAGAGCGAGACTCCATCTCAAAAAAAAAAAAAAAAAAAAAAAAAAAAAGAAAAGGAGATGAGAAAATGAAAGGAAGATAGAGGTAAAAATACAATTTGTATGTTCACACTAAACTGCCGTGGGTCCTTATAATCAGAAAATTTCGTAGCTGGAAAAGAGCTACCAAGAAAACTTGGGGCCTAAAGGTTAAGTTACTTTTTCTTTTTTCCCCCGAGACAAGAGTCTTGCTCTGTTGCCCAGACCTAGAGTGCAGTGGCATGATCTTGGCTTACTGCAACCTCCACCTCCTGGGTTCAAGCAATTCTCTTGCCTCAGCCTCCCAAGTAGCTGGGATTACAGGTGTGTGCCACTATGCCTGGCTAATTTTTGTATTTTTAGTAGAGATGGGGTTTCACCATGTTGGCCAGACTGGTCTTTAACTTCTGACCTCGTGATCCACCCGCCTCAGCCTCCCAAAGTGCTGGGATTACAGGCATGAGCCACCGCGCCCAGCCATAAGTGACTTTTTCAAATACCCTCAGCAAGTTAACGGCACAGCTAAGGTCTTTTGTACCCCAGTCTAGTTTCTGACATCCAAACCAATGCTTCTCAACCACAGTTACAGGTAAGAATTACCTGGGGCCTTTAAAAATCCCTATGCCCAAGCTATATATACTCCAGACTAAATTAAAATCTTGGAGTTGTGGGACTGAGGTATCAGTATTTATTTTTTATTTTTTAGCAAGAAGAGGAGCACAGAGAATATTTTTTTAAAAATATAGAGCACTTCGGCCAGGCGCCAGTGGCTCAGGCCTGTAATTGCAGCACTTTGGGAAGCCGAGGTGGGCGGATCACTTGAGGTCAGGAGTTCCAGACCAGCCTGGCTAACATGGTACAACCCCATCTCTACTAAAAATATATTTTAAAAAATGAGTCAGGCATTGTGGTGAGCACCTGTAATCCCAGATACTTGGGAGGCTGAAGCATGAGAATTGCTTGAACCCAGGAGGTGGAGGTTGCAGTGAGCTGAGATTGTGCCACGGCACTCCAGCCTGGGCGACAGCGTGAAACCCTGTCTCAAAAAAAAAAAAAAAAAAAAAAGTATATATATACATACACACAGAGAGAGAGACAGAGAGAGAGAATTCATGAATTTGCAAGTCATCCTGGTGCAGGGGCCATGCTAATCTTCTCTCTATTGTTCCCATTTTATATACGTGCTGCCAAAGTGGGCACTGTATTTTTTTAGTTTCTAATGTGAAGCCATGTTAAAAACTGCTGTCCTAGATTGTGATGCTCCCAATGATAATCAAGGCACAGATAAGGAGAATTCTGTGAATAGGTTTATTAAGACCACCTAGGAGAACCTCTTTGGCAACTACCACAAATTCTAGGCCATTTAAAATCCAGGCCAAGTTCATATTTGCTCTCCATGATCACCATTACAACAACCACAGGTCACACAGTATTACAGAACAAAAGCATGGTCACTTTATTTTACCCAAATGCAAATCGTTTTTCACAACCAAGACTTTTTTCTTTCCTACAATGTTACAAATGATGTATCCAAGTCCGACTGTAATTTGGAGTTAAACAGGGATCATAGAACCAAGGAATTATCTCTGAAGCTGCTCTTTGGGCCACTGTGCCACCCCAACAGCTCTATCCTGTTGTTCTTTTTTTTAATTAAAAAATCATTAAAAAAAAAATGGAGATGGGGTCTTGCTATACTGCCCAGGCTGATCTTGAACTCTTGGGCTCAGACGTACCGATATACTGATCCTCCCGCCTCAGCCTTCCAAAGTGTTGGGATTACAAGTGTGAGCCATTGCACTCAGCCATCTCTACACACTGTTTTTCAAGGAAAGGCAGCTACACCTATTCCGTCTCCAAACCAACCCTCACCTGGTGTCCAGTTTTCTTGGAAGTCTCAATTTTTCTCATGACAGCACATTACCTAATACCTACCACATTAGGATGTTAACTCATAAAAACATACTACAAAAGCTTTAAAAAACATTTATTTGTATTAAGTAAGTGCAACAGTGCAAAGAAACTTATGCATTTGGGCCCTTGCTTCCCTACTGTTCACATTAGTTTAGTTTAGAAGATTAAGTATAATAACAGAAGGAGAACAGAAGAAATGAATATAAATATACTCAGGGTAGCCAAATCCTCTAATTCACTAAAGGATGAACCAAAGTTGTTGGCCAGATTCACATTTATGTGGGAGCCTAAACAAATTATGTTCCCTTTAACTGTTCTAGGCCTGTGGAAAAGGGAAGTGGACAACATTTATATTACAAGACAGTAATTTTATTGAAACATCTTTTTTTGTCTAAAACTATGCATGGAGATATTAATCTCTTGTTTATAAATTAGGTTAAGTCTAACATCACTATTTGAAACCAGTGTTATTTACAAAAATGAACCTCTTCTTTGCTTTATTGTTGGTTTACAGGAATAATTTTAAACCAACCTCAATCTATCTTTAAAAATCTTCCTGCCTTCAAATGCCCAGCAACCCTTATAAGGTAGGGGGCAGCCCTTTGACAGCAACATTCATCATTCACCAGGAATGTAGAACCACAAGTGAACAACAACAACAACAACAACAAGATTAAATCATTCCCAACAATTCCTATTTGCTTTTCCAAAGCATGCTATGTCTAATTCTGCCTTTCTATGCAGACAGGTGGGAGAGGGAGCCCATAGAGTATATTAATGTTAATTAAATTAACTTCCTTTAAAAGCTAACAGGATGGCTTAGTGTGGATGAGGATGAACTGCTGTGGATGACACTAGCAGATAATGAAGTAAACTTTAAACCCAGATTAGTAACATGTACTCCAGTAACTGACCAGCTCAGATAGAGACTTCTCATTTACTCTGGATCACATGTACAATATTTTACCTTCCAATTAAATATAGTGCCAAAATCTTTCAAAATAGATAGAGAATAGGCTTCTTAGAAATTCAAATAAAAATGTTAAATAATAAAAACTGGTGGCCTATTATAGAGTTTCTGACAGACTCCAATATACTGGGTACCAGAAAGTAACTCTATCTCAGATGCTAGTAAAAAGGTAAATTTTGTATATACATAAAAGACAATATTACGAGACTGTAGTGTCATTTGTCAAAACAAGAATATCTAGAATGGAATTTTCAGTAAACACTTGGGATGAAGGGCAATCAGAATACAAGAGGAAGCAAAATCCACATAAGTTAATTCCTAATTTGAGAAATCAATAGAATCAATAAATTGATAATTACTGTCTCCATAGGTCACGAATTCCAAAGACTAGTTAGTAGTTAGTTTCTAACTAAATGATTACAGGACGTTCTGATATATGCTGTCTTCTTGTGATCAGTTTGTTCTGGCAAGACTTCAACAAGCACTTGCCCTTGAAAACAGCTCAGCGGGAGAACGATCGGAGGCAATCACTTCGTTTTATAAACTAGCCAGATAATAAGTCCCAAGATTAGAATAATCACTGACAGGACAAGCACCAGGATACACATCTTCTTGCGAGATTTTTTCTGAGGAAAGAAATATGTAAACAAGATACTCATGAAACAAGTAAAATTTGTATGTGTAAGACTCTAAGAATGCTTCATAAATCTGCCTCCTTGTAATTAAAGATTAACTCTATCCATGCAAAATTATGCACAGACTTTCCCAGAAATCTTAAGTCAGCAGCACTAGGTAGTAGTGCAAGTGTTTTTTGTTTGTTTGGTGTTTTTTTTTTTCTTGAGACAGAGTCTCACTCCGTCACCCAGGCTGGAGTGCCGTGGTGCGATCTTGGCTAACTGAAACCTCCACCTTCCAGGTTCAAGTGATTCTAATGTCTCAGCCTCCTGAGCAGCTGGAATTACAGGCGTGTGCCACTATGCCCAGCTAGTTTTTGTATTTTTAGTAGAGACGGGGTTTCACCAGTGTTGGCCAGGCTGATCTCGAACTCCTGACCTCAAGTGATCTACCTGCCTCGGCTTCCCAAAGGGCTGGGATTACAGGCGTGGGCCACCGCACCCAGCCGAGTAGTATAGGTTTCAAAGTTTTAATTCCAAGTCCCCACATACAATTTTGCAAAGGAACTATACCTGTGCTGCCAGGCATTATTTGCAATAAAATAAGTTATTTGTGCATGTGTATTTTAATAACATTTTATAATACGTATAAAACTGTTATGTTCATTGTAAAAAAAAAAATACAGCAAGCGGAGGGAGAAAAAAAAATCACCCATAGATAATACCGTCAACATTTTTGTATTTCTTTCTGATTTGTTATCTATGTATATTATTTGACATAACTGGATCACATTGTATGATGTTTGATGTTTTTCCTCACTTAATGTTTAGTATAAACATTTTTCTGTTTAAACTCTTCAGAAACATCTCTTAATTCCCATATGCAACAATGAGTGGATGTATATAATTTACTTAATTATTCCTTTACTGTTGGACACTAAATTAATCACCTAGTTTTTAAAGGAAACACTATTATTAAATACGAATTTCTTTACGAGCACTCCCAGGTAAAATACAGCTATCCCAGGAACACGGAAAACAACTGAAATGCTATTTCTTCTTTTTTTTTTTTTTAATTATACGTTAAGTTTTAGGGTACATGTGCACAATGTGCAGGTTAGTTACATATGTATACATGTGCCATGCTGGTGTGCTGCACCCACTAACTCGTCATCTAGCATTAGGTATATCTCCCAATGCTATCCCTCCCCCCACCCCACAACAGTCCCCAGAGTGTGATGTTCCCCTTCCTGTGTCCATGTGTTCTCATTGTTCAATTCCCACCTATGAGTGAGAATATGCAGTGTTTGGTTTTTTGTTCTTGCAATAGTTTACTGAGAATGATGATTTCCAATTTCATCCATGTCCCTACAAAGGACACGAACTCATCGTTTTTTATGGCTGCATAGTATTCCATGGTGTATATGTGCCACATTTTCTTAATCCAGTCTATCACTGTTGGACATTTGGGTTGGTTCCAAGTCTTTGCTATTGTGAATAATGCCGCAATAAACATACGTGTGCATGTGTCTTTATAGCAGCATGATTTATAGTCCTTTGGGTATATACCCAGTAATGGGATGGCTGGGTCAAATGGTATTTCTAGTTCTAGATCCCTGAGGAATCGCCACACTGATTACCATTCAGGACATAGGATGGGCAAGGACTTCATGTCTAAAACACCAAAAGCAATGGCAACAAAAGCCAAAACTGACAAATGGGATCTAATTAAACTAAAGAGCTTCTGCACAGCAAAAGAAACTACCATCAGAGTGAACAGGCAACCTATAAAATGGGAGAAGATTTTCGCAACCTGCTCATCTGACAAAGGGCTAACATCCAGAATCTACAATGAACTCAAACAAATTTACAAGAAAAAAACAAACAACCCCATCAAAAAGTGGGCGAAGGACATGAAATGCTATTTATTTCTAAAAAGCCATGCAACACCAAATTGAAGGGAAGTGAGAAAGACTTCATTCACATTATTTGTACACTGAGATAAAGACTTGGATAAGTAAAAAAACCAGAGTTTCAACTAACATGTAGAAGGATTTCACTTTACAGGAACAGTTCCAGAATGATTATCCTTATTTATTCATATATAAATAGCAGTCGAAGTTGATTCTATGTCCATCCTCTATGGCAACACTCAACATAAAGAATCTATGAAGTCTTCTACTTTAACTGTACTTCTTACTATCCTAATTGAAATACATTCAGCTGTTCGGGATATAAAACAGCCTCATAGCAGATTTAGGTATCATATTAGTGTATAGGGTTAGCTTTGCAGTTACTAGCCTTCTGATAAGTTTATTCAAGGTGTGATTATTTTTTGTAGATCTATCTGCAAAGGAAAATAATAAAAATGGAACTGGGACTGCAATTATGACTACTTTCCTTTAGCTTAAACCTAAGCAAAGGCTGTAGCTGTTCTCAATATGTCAATGTACTCTGATGGCCTAAAAAGTCTGCAACACAGAGTGACTTTCTTTGGTACCCGCTTTTACCTGATAGTAAGCAGCTCGCTGTAACTGTTCAGTGGCTCTTTCGACGTGCACCTCTGAGCTTTCCACATTGGCTTCTATGCTATCTGCAAAAGGAAGGACAGAGGATGTTTTAACACACTCAGATGTTTTAAGACTGCAAATTGAACAGATTTCTGATGTTACATGTCCTGGTTTCACTACCACTATCCAAACTATCCAGCCATGAAATCGAGTTACTACCTTGGTAAGAGACTAGCCTTTTCTTTGGAGAAAAAACAATGAATTTTTGGGGGCTATGAAGTATTTAACTTACCCATAAATGATTCATAAAAAATTATGTAGATACACATAGAGAAAGAGAGAAAGAATACATAATAAAGCAAATGGGGTAGAATGTTAACAAGAGGTAAATCTGGGTAAAGGGTATAAAGAAGGTCCTTATAATATTTTTATTTTTGCTACCTTTTTTTTTTTTTTTTTTTTAAGAGACGGGATCTCACTCTGTCACCTAGACTGGAGTGCAGTGGTACAATAATAGTTCACCGTAGCCTCCAACTCCTGGGTTCAAGTGATCTTCCCACCTCAGCCTCCTGAGTAGCTAGGACTACAGGTGCATGTTACTATGCCTGGCTAATTTTTTGGTAAAGACAGGGTCTTACTATGTTGCCTAGGCTAGTCTTGAACTCCTGGCTTCAAGTGATCCTCCCACCTCAGCCTCCCAAAGTGCTGGGATTACAAGCGTGAGCAACCATGCCCAGCCTATTTTTGCAACTTTTAATAAACTCGAAATTATTTCCACATAGAAAGCTTTAAAAAAAAGAGTTACTGGCCAGGCGTGGTGGCTCACGCCTGTAATCCCACCACCTGGGAGGCCAAGGCGGGCAGATCACCTGAGGTCGAGAGTTCAAGACCAGCCTGACCAACATGGAGAAACCCCGTCTCTACTAAAACTACAAAATTAGCGGGCGTGGTGGCACATGCTTGTAATCCCAGCTACTCGGGAGGCTGAGGCAGCAGAATTGTTTGAACCCAGGAGGCGGAGGTTGTGGTGAGCCAAGATCGCACCATCGCACTCCAGCCTGGGCAACAACAGCAAAACTCCGTCTCAAAAAAAAAAAAAGGGTTACTAACCCCATAATTTTGCAAGTTTGTTGAGATAAAAGCTGGGAAGCTGAGAGCTATTTCTCTAAACAAAGATGTACAAAGAAGTCAATGGGACTGAGTATTCATGAGGCCTCATTTAACTTCTACATTTGATAACATAAAAAAATTGCTACGAAAAATAAATTTGGTAATTTTTAAAACGGCATTCCTAAACATACTTTAACTCTATAGCTGATATGACTAACTCCATTTTTTTTTTTTTTTTAATTGAGACGAAGTCTCATTCTGTCACCCAGGCTGGAATACAGTGGCGCAATCTCGGCTCACTGCAACCTCCACCTCCTGGGTTCAAGGGATTCTCCTGCCTCAGCCTCCCGAGTAGCTGGGACTACAGGTGCATGCCACCAGGCGTAGCTAATTTTTTGTATTTTTAGTAGAGACGGGTTTCACCGTGTGAGCCAGGATGGTCTCCATCTCCTGACCTCATGATCTGCCCGCTTGGGCTTCCCAAAGTGCTGGGATTACAGGCCTGAGCCACCACGCCTAGCCTAACTCCTTTTTCTTTCTTTCTTTCTTTTTTAAGAGACAAATTCTCATTATGTTGCCCAGGTTGGCTTCAAACTCCTAGATGGTGCTTCAGCCTCAGCCTTCTGAGTAGCTGGGATTACAGATGCATGCCAAATACTATCAACTCACCTTGAGGTTAAAGGTATCAATAATACATACCAATCAGATCACCCTGGTCATGGATCATCATGGCCAAATCTTTAAATATCTGATTGACATCCAAAATGTCAGCCTAAGGAAGACAAAAAACAATTAACTAACATTAAGCAACATGTTAGAAGATTTGTTTCCCTCACGTACCTAAAGTTTTAGCTATTAACACGTGTGTTTTTAAGGCTCTACAAAGCATGCTTTCTCCATAAACAGAAAATAATCTATTGCTGCCTACCCAATATTGTAAAACAGAAGGCACATAAACTCACTCTTCAAGCAACATTAATGGGACATGCTACATGAGAACCAGTAAGAGCGCCCAAGTCCAAACAGTACAGCAGAAGGCTGGAGTGCTGATATAGACAAATTCTTGGTGTGATAGCCCTATGTGGAGACTGCTAGGCCTTGTGACAAAAGCCTGTTGAGTGCCTCCCGATGACAACCACTGGGACTTTGGACTACAGAATTTAAATGTTTATACAAGATCATGCTATCTGAGGAATGCAAGGAGGAGCTACAAGTAAGGAGCCTCTTTTCCCCTGGGATTGACTCTGGAACTGTGTGAGGAGTTGCTGGATTCTGTCATCACTGGACAATGCCCTATGGTAACTCCCAACTGACTGACAAAAAGCTGATGGTCTGTGGATAGCAGTTCCAAAGTGAATGGACTACAACCTATTTACTGCTCTGATCAAAGAAGGTAAACACAAATCAGCTCAGTGGGCTGAACTGCAGCTTGTTTTCCTAACAGCAGTGGAAGAATTTAACATTGGCAAAATCCCCTATATTTGGGTCTTTCTCCCTCCCTCCCTCCTTCTCTCCCTCCCTTTCTTTTTTCTTCCTTTTCTTTCCTTCCTTCTTTCCTTCCTTCCTTCCTCCCTCCCTCTCTTTCCTTCCTTCTCTCTCTCTCCCTTCCCTTTCCTTTCCTTCCTCCCTCCCCTTCCTTCCTTTTTTCCCTCCCTCCCTTCCTTCTTTCTCCTCTCTCTTTCCTTCCTTTCTCTTTCTTTTTTTTTTGAGACAGAGTCTTGCTCTGTCACCCAGGCTGGAGTGCAGTGGCACAATCTCGTCTCACTGCAACCTCCACCTCCCGGATTCAAGCAATTCACCTGCCTCAGCCTCCTGAGTAGCTGGGATTACAGGCCCATGCCACCACGCCCGGATAATTTTTTATTTTTAGTAGAGACGGGGTTTCACCATGTTGGCCAGGCTGGTCTTGAACTCCTGACATCGTGATCCACTGCCTTGGCCTCCCAAAGTGCTGGGATTACAGGCATGAGTCACTGTGCCTGGCCTCCCTCCCTCCCTCCCTTCTCTCTCTATCCCTCCCTCCCTCCCTTCCTTCCTGATCCGCCTGCCTCGGCCTCCCAAAATGCTGGGATTACAGGCATGATCCACCGCGCCCAGCCTCCGTCCCTTCTTTCTTTTTATTTATTTTTATTTATTACTTGTTTTTTTTGAGACAGAGTCTTGCTCTGTCATCCAGGCTGGAGTGCAGTGGCACAATCTCAACTCCCTGCAACCTCCATCCCCTGGGTTTGAGTGATTCTCCTGCCTCATCCTCCCCAGTAGATGGGATTACAGTCGTGCACCACCACGCCCGGCTATTTTTTTTTTCTGAGGTAGAGTTTCACTCTTGTTGCTAGGCTGGAGTGCAATGGTGCAATCTCGGCTCACTGCAACTTCCGCCTCCTGGGTTCAAGCAATTCTCCTGCCTCAGCCTCCCAGGTACCTGGGATTACAGGATGTACCACCATGCCTGGCTAATTCTTTATATTTAGTAGAGATGGGGTTTCACCATGTTGGTCAGGCTGGTCTCGAACTCCTGACCTCAGGTGATCCACCCACTTTGGCCTCCCAAAGTGCTGGGATTACAGGCGTGAGCTTGTACTGTGCCCGGCCCTAATTTTTGTATTTTTAGTAGAGACAGAGTTTCACCACATTGGCCAGGCTGGTCTCGAATTCCTGACCTCAACTGATCCGCCTGCCTCGGCCTCCCAAAGTGCTGGGATTACAGGTGTGAACCACCACGTCTGGCCTATATTTGAGTTTTTCTGACTCATGATCAGGCAGAAGAAAGACAATGGAAACCTGTCTTATTAAAGGGGTGCTCATATGGGGCATGACCCTATGGAAATTTGAGGGCAATTCCCTTCCAGGTTTGAAGGGTTATTGGAATCATAACCTGGCAAGCATTTCAATCACTTGCTAAGAGTCTACTATAGTGGACTATCTGCTAAAGCAAGTCTTGTCAGCATTTCAATCACTTGCTAAGAGTCTACCATAGTTGGGGTAGTCTGCTAGTTGCTGTGAATACAGCTAACTGGGGTGGACGTGGGGAATAAGTGCACAATAAAATAAATAAGAAGGAAGAGTACTATATAGGAAATGGCTGAATTAATGGTATAGAAAGGTGTGGAGAAAAGGAAGACTCTGCAGAAGAGGTAAGACATGAGTTGTGCCTTAAAGCAAAGGAGAGGTCATATGAACAGAAAGGCAACTCAGTTAAAGAGCAAATAACCTAGCTTTGCCATAACATAGAATGTGTATGTCAGAGTTTGGAAATTACTAGATACGAAAATTGAACCTAGGCTAAGGAATTTGGACTTTCCTCTGTTGAATATGAAATGATCCATTATACCCTGGCATCCATTACATTTCTTTCCTTAGCTCCATATGTCTCACTCCACTTTGCTATAACGGTACATTCGTCCCTTGGTATCCGTGGGGGATTGGTTCCAGGACTCCCTCCCTCTAAGTCACTGATATAAAATGGCATAGTATTTGCATATAACTTGTGCCCATTCTCTCCTATATTCTAAATCATCTCTATATTACTTATATAATGTTACATTACTATTTTATACTACATTACTATTTTACATAGCACTTACATTGTATTAGTAATGTACTGAACTAATACAATGTGTTATATAAAATACTGTTACACTGTATTGGTTTTTACATTTGTATTATTTTTTATTGTTGTATTATTTTTTAGTTTTTTTTAAATATTTTCACTCCACGGTTGCTTGAGTCTGAGGATGTGAAACCTAAATATATCGAGGGCCAACTGTATTTTTTTTTTTTTTTTTGAGACAGAGTCTCGCTCTGTTGCCAGGCTGGAGTGCAATTGCTCACTGCAACCTCCGCCTCCCAGGTTCAAGCACTTCTCCTGCCTCAGCCTCCCCAGTAGCTGGAATTACAGGCATGCACCACCACACCCGGCTAATTTTTTGTGTTTTTAGTAGACACGGGGTTTTACCATGTTGGTCAGGCTGGTCTTGAACTCCAGACCTCAGGTGAGCCACTCGCCTCAGCCTCCCAAAGTGCTGGGATTACAGGCATGAGCCACCGCGCCCGGCTAGTAATTTTTCTTTGAAGGAAGGATTATTATTATTATTTGAGACAGAGTCTTGCTCTGTTGCCCAGGCTGGATTGCAGTGGCACGATCATGGCTCACTGCAGCCTTGATCTCCTGGGCTCAAGTGATCTTCTGCCTCAGGCTCCTGAGTAGCTGGGACCACAGGTACATGTTACAGCACCCGGTTAATTTTTTATTTTTTGTAGAGGTAAGGTCTTGCTACACTGCCCAGGCTGTCTTGAATTCCTGGGCTCAAGCAATCATCCTGCCTCAGCCTCCAACTTGCCGGGATTACAGGCATGAGCCATTGCACTTAGCCATATTTCTAATGTTAGACAATTAATTCAATTAGTAGTAGCAGTAGGTGAAAAAGAGTAAAGATATGACATTTTTGAAGGCAATAAAATAATCATAACTTAAGGATAAACTATCCCATCTAAAAACAGACAAGACCAGCCTGGCCAAAATGGCAAAACCTCGTCTCTACTAAAAATACAAAAATTAGCCAGGAGTGGTGGCGGGCACCTATAATCTTTGCTACTCAGGAGGCTGAGGCAGGAGAATCGCTTGAACCCAGGAAGTGGAGGTTGCAGTGAGCCAAGAACGCGCCACTGCACTCCTGCCTGGGTGACAGAGTAAGACTCTGACTCAAAAAATAAATAATAAATAGATAAAAACAGACATTGATGGCCTTTAGGGCAGTGGGTCTCAACCCTGGCTGCATATTATAATCACCTGGGGGAACTTTTTAAAAAAATACCCATGCCCAGGGCCTCACGCCCAGAAATTATGATTTATTAGTTTGAACCATATAAAATAATGGATATTTGCCCATTTTTAACATATAATAAACAGGAATTTCACATTATCCCATCAGGTAATTAGTGGTGGATGAGAGCTGGGGCATTAAAAAAAAATCTTCTCCAGGTGATCCTCATGTGCACTCACAGTTCAGAACCACTGCTACAGATGGAGGCCAAGGAAGAGCTCAAAATTTCCCTCTCTCCTTTTCTCCTCCCCTGATCCCAGCAATGGCAGCCTTCTACCTTCGGAGAAAACTAAACTGGAGAAAACTCAGGTTTAAGGATATTTTAGCTGGGCACAGTGGTTCATGCCAGTAATCCCAGCACTTTGGGAGGCTGAAGCAGGCAGATCACTTGAGGTCAGAAGTTCAAGACCAGCCTGGCCAAAATGGCAAAACCCTGTCTCTACTAAAAATACAAAAATTAGCCGAGTGTGGTGGTGCGTACTGGTAGTCTCGGCTATTCAGGAGGCTGAGGCAGGAGAATCACTTGAACCCAGGAGAGGGAGGCTGCAGTAAGCTGAGATAGTGTCATTGCACTCCTGCCTGGGCGACAGAGCAAGACTTAGTCTCGGAAAAAAAAAAAAAAGGATATTTTATTAGTCACTGTGCAAAATTAAAGTTGAAAGCTCAGTTAGGTAAGAAAGGCCTACAGACTTCTCCCTCAACCTCCACCTCAAAAACTGTTCCTATTTCTCTGACTCACTGAAGGGATAAGATGTACAACTTGGGATTAGACTTTAGGATATACAAAAATGGAGCAAGACTTTTGGCCTGCCTTTATTCTGGGCTCTTCAGACTAAGCAAAGGGGCTCTCCATGGAGTCCTGCCTAACCCGGAGGTTGGCATTGAGATTTGAGGTCAAAGTTCTAATGAGCAATAAAATATCTGTCTGCCTTGTTCTGTTCTCCATGTACATTTCTCCAGGAGAAATAAGATGTGGTGATCCGTATAAGATGTGGTGATTGAGGAAAGGATTTGAGTACTCCTGGGCACCAAGGCCAATGCCATTATAACAGTAGTTCATGCCAGGAGCGGTGACTCACGCCTGTAATCCCAGCACTTTGGGAGGCCGATGAGGGTGGATCACCTGAGGTCGTGAGTTCAAGACCAGCCTGACCAACATGGAGAAACCCCGTCTCTACTAAAAATACAAAATTAGCTGGGCGTGGTGGCACATGCCTGTAATCCCAGCTACTCGAGAGTCTGAGGCAGGAGAATCGCTCGAACCCAGGAGGCAGAGGTTGCAGTGAGCCAAGATCACACCACTGCACTCCAGCCTGGGCAACAAGAGCGAAATTCCATCCAAGATAAAAAAAAAAACAAAAAAAACCGGTAGTTCAAACCCACCATGATTACACTGAGACAGAAAAAATACAAATCACACAATGACACATTTTATGCCTTTTCATAATCACTAAGAGAATTAAAGTGAACTAAGGAGTTCAGATACCTGCAGACACACTGAGTCAAACAAAAAACATGACGTGGCTCTCACCTCCAGCTGCCGAATTGCCGTTTCTCTTTCTTTAATAAGTTCCAAATCCTGCTCAGTGATGGCCACCTCATCCTCCTGGCTCTGCATCTGGTTCCACTCCTCATGGCTGCAGGGAAACAGGCACACTAGGTGATTTCTCCTCTCAAAGGCATAACAAGACATATCTCCAACATCTCTACTGCCAGCAGAACCTATGCAAAGACATTACCAGGGCTCCAGTCCTCTGCTATCAATAAAGTCTTGGAGGGCCACATTCTTCATATCCAGAAGCAAAGAGCTGATGATATCAGGAAAACAAAGACTCAGCTTCCATGGGCAAAGCTGACATGTGGCAGAATTATGACGGATGGGACTCCTGGCTGTTTCCATTTAGGGGTATACTCTGTAATCTCACTGGGGCTTGCCAGACAAGGAAAGTAGCCAGAGATTTGAACTCATTGAATTATGTTGCACCATCATCTTCCAGGGCACTCTCAAAGTGCAAGCTGCATTAGTACCTTCAGTACTAAGTGGGTGGAGAAGAGCAAGCTAAGTGACCTATCAGTGCTTTGCCAGTTAGTTCAACAGAATCACATCTCCTAGTTTTCCAAAATTTCCTTGGGGTTATGCTTTGGGTTAAATACCTCTTAACAGGCCAGGCGCGGTGGCTCATGCCTGTAATCCTAGCACTTTGGGAGGCCGAGGCAGGAGGACTGCTTGAGGCCAGGAGTTCAAGACCAACCTGGCTAACATAGCAAAACCCTCATCTCTATTAAAAAACAATCCATAAAAAACCCTCTTAACAGAAAGCTAGTGAAATGTTATAACACTTTTTAAAAAATTCTTTTTAGAAATGGGGGTCTTGCTTTGTTGCCCAGGCTGGTCTCAAACTCCTGGCTTTAAGCTATCCTCCTGCCTCAACCTGCCAAAGTGCTGTGATTACAGGCTTGAGCCACCATGCCTGGCTTTTTTTTTTTTTTTTGAGACGGAGTTTCGCTCTTTCATCCAGGCCGGAGTGAAGTGGCGCTTACTTCACTCCGCCCCCCGGGTTCAAGAGATTCTCCTGCCTCAGCCTCGAGAGTAGTGGGGATTATAGGCACCTGCCTCTACACTCAGCTCATTTTTGTATTTTAGTAGAGATGGGGTTTCACCATGTTGGCCAGGCTGGTCTCGAACTCCTGACCTCAGGTGATCCACCCGCCTCGGCCTCCCAAAGTGCTGGGATTACAGGCTTGAGCCACCATGCCCCAACGCCTCTTTATTTTCAAGCATTTAAAAGGAAAACATATTACTTATTATACTAGATATAAAACACTTTGAAATTTTCCATTATTATGTGTTTTCCCATCAGTATCATAAATCATACTTCACCCCTACAATGTTTAAATAACGTCCTCTTCGTGCTAGAGATACAAAACTAAGTAAGACAGAGTCCCCAAGCCTTTGAGGTGCTCATAGTGTAGTGGGGAGGGATGGATGTGTATCTATGCTAAAACATATCAAGTTCTGAACTAATACCACAAATACACTTCCATGTGATTAGTTTGGAGAAGTTAAGAACATCATTCAGATACAAATTGTCTGGTTTCCCTCTTAATACTCCTAGAAGGATGAGTTGCTTCCATTTTATAAATGAGTAGAGACCCAAGAACTCTGATGGGTTTAAATCTGCATTAGAGGTAAGATGACTTAGACTTCCTAATCTGTAGACATGTAGGTTCATACTTATTCCTAGGGAGTCAAGCTCTCTGCTTAACACATAGACATCAATGGTTTCTTGGAAGTTTTTATTCACCTTGAAATTACTCCTTCCAATAACTCAAAGAGCTTGGAAAAGCCCATGGTTTTGCCTTTTTAATTTTATTCTGTGGATTATGTTATCCACTCCAGGTGCCCCCTTATTTTTGCCCTCTATTTTTTCATTGATTTTTAAAATTAAAATATAACGAGATAGATTCCCATCTCAACTATCCAGCAGGTTGTATGAATAATTCTATTACCTGTCAAATGAGACCAGCTGCTCCTCTCTTTGCCTCTCTTCTGCCTAGAAAGTAGATGGTATTATTGCTGCTGTCATCCAGAAACACATCACAGACACACAAAACAAGGGCTTCCTTAGCACAGTATAAAGAAGCAACATCCTTTGACACCCACAGAATCTGTAAGATTACATAGGACTCTGGCAATCTGTCTCAACTAAGAAGTGGGTGTAAAGTGGTTGAAGAAAATCTGCATTCCAGTTTGAGTCCTGAACAGAAACCATACTGAACAGGGTGGAGAATAATATGCGTAGGAGAAAGGGCTAAAAATAAAAATAACAACAATAAAATATTTTAAAATTTAGGGGGAGGTAGATAAACTTGCAAGAATACAAAATTTCAGAACATGTAAAAATTTTTTAAATGGACATAGCACAGTAGGCACTAAAGCAGATTCACTTCAAAAATCAGTCTAATGTAAATGGTGTTACCTTTTTTTCTCCTAAGGTTTTTTTGATTTTTACTGATGTGTGGTCAAAAGTATATGAGATCTGGCCGGGCGCAGTGGCTCACGCCTGTAATCCCAGCACTTTGGGAGGCTGAGGTGGGCAGATCACAAGGTCAGGAGTTCAAGACCAGCCTGGCCAATATGGTGAAACCCCGTCTCTACTAAAAATACAAAAAAAATTAGCTGGACGTGGTGGCGGGCACCTGTAGTCCCAGCTACTCAGGAGGCTAAGGTAGGAGAATTGAATCAGGGAGGCGGAGGCTGCAGTAAGCTGAGATTGCGCCACTGCACTCCAGCCTGGACAACAGAGCAAGACTCCATCTCAAAAAAAAAAAAAAAAAAGAGTATATGAGATCTTTGAGAACGTTGCTAATCAATCTATTATCAATATATATTAAACTCTGGAGAGATGGGATTTGGCATAAACACACATAAACTAACCTTTCTTTTCTTTTCTTTTTTTTTTTTTGAGATGGAATCTTACTCTGGTCCCGAGGCTGGATCGAGTGGCACGATCTCGGCTGCACTACCACCTCTGCCTCCCAGGTTCAAGCGATTCTTCTGCCTCAGCCTCCTGAGTAGCTGGGACTACAGGTGCACGCCACCACGCCCAGCTAATTTTTGTATTTTTAGTAGAGACGGGGTTTCACCATATTGGCCAGGCTGCTCTCAAACTCCTGACCTCGTGATCCGCCTGCCTCGGCCTCCCAAAGTGTTGGGATTACAGGCGTGAGCCACAGCGCCCAGCCCACTAACCTTTATTTTCAAGAAGGCTGCTTCAAATCGTGGCAGATTTTGATTTAACAGAACTTATTGGGAACTATTATTCTGTATATTATTTTGTTTAATTCTTACAATAACTCTGATTTATCATAGTCTCCTCTTTGGCATATAATAACGTTTTTGAAAAATAGTCTTTCCAATGGTAATTTATCTAATACTATTGAATTAAGAAAGTTAGGCAAGCATATAGTGCTACTTTAAAAGAGAATTCACCAGGATTTTTGGCATTTGGTGAAAGACTAGCAATCGAATCTTTCAGGTGTTACTGTTTGATGAGGAAAAAGTATGCTTTATAATCAAGCTGTAAGAATAAATATCATTATTATTAAAAAATCAGTCTAATGGATGTATTACTTTTATAATTTAAAAACAGGCTGGGTGCGGTGGCTCATGCCTGTAATCCCAATCCCAGCACTTTGAGAGGCCGAGGTGGGCAGATCACTTTGAGGTCAGGAGTTTGTGACCAGCCTGGCCAACATGGTGAAACCCCGTCTCTACTAAAATACAAAAATTAGCCAGGCATGGTGGTGGGTGCCTGTAATCCCAGCTACTCGAGAGGCTAAGGCAGGAGAATTGCTTGAACCTAGAAGGCAGAGGTTGCAGTGAGCCAAGATCGTGCCACTGCACTACAGCCTGAGTGACAGAGTGAGACTCCCTCTCAGAATAAATAAATAAATAAATAAATAAATAAATAAATAAATAAATAAAAAACAAAGCAAAAATGGTAAAAATCAATGTATTTTCATTTTTAAAAAGCTTACCCTTTTTATAATAGCAATACAGGACAAGCAAAATGAAAAGAATTTCAAATTTCTATCCACTCAGAGGAACACTGTGGGTTTTTGGTTTGTTTTTTTCTTTTTACTTTATCTTTTTCCCCAGATCAAGAAATAACATTGCCAGAGTCCTAAAAGCCTACTCATGTGCCCTTCTCCAATCACAACTCCATCCCTCC
Source organism: Homo sapiens (assembly GCF_000001405.40). Lineage (NCBI taxonomy): Eukaryota > Metazoa > Chordata > Mammalia > Primates > Hominidae > Homo > Homo sapiens. Next base: position 27,808,064 of record NC_000001.11, on the reverse strand, counting down.
CTTTTAAAGTATCTATTATCTTGACTTTGTGAAAATCATTTTCTTGCATTTTAAGAATAGTGAGCTATATTCTTATTCAATATCATTTTGCCTGTTTTTGAACTTTACATAAATGGAATTATACTGTTTATATTCTTTAGTGCTTTTTTTGAATCATTCCAGATTATGCCAGATCCATCTCTGATACTGAATGTAACTGTGGTTCAATCATTTTCTTTGCTGTATGATATTATAGTATATGAACATAACACAATTTATCCATTCTACAGTTGACAGACATCTGGATGTTTCCAATTTTTGACTACTACAAACAATGCTGCTATGCACATTCTTGTACATACATCCTGGTATAACACATACAGGTTTCTCTAGGGTAGAATTGCTGGATCACAAGGTCTGCATGTGTTCTGAAGATACAGCCAAAATGTTTTCCAAAGTAGTTGTTCTAACTTATACCACCGGCCAGATAAAAAAGTTCCTGTTGCATCATATCCATAATGACAACTCCCAGTGTTCACAGAATTTTAAACTTCTGCCCTCCTGGTGGGCATGAAATAGTATTTCATTGTTATTTTAATCTGTAATTTCACCATTACTAAAGAAGCTGAGTACCTTTTCATTTGTTTGACCATTACTCAAAATAATACTAACGTGTTTATTTGCTCCATGAGTGTAAATATCAACAGGACGGAGCAAAAGCAATGGTGGGGGACTGGTGGCGGGGAAGTGGGGATGGTTAATGGGCACAAAAAATAGGAAGAATGAATAGGACCTAGTATTTGATAGCACAAATGGGTGACTATCGTCAATAATAATTTAATTATATATTCAAAAATAACTAAAAGAGTATAATTGAATTGTCTGTAACATAAAGGATAAATGCTTGAGGGGATAGACACCCCATTTACCATGGTGTAATTATTACACATTACATGACTATATGAAAGTATCTCATGTACCTCATAAATATATACACCTACCATGTGCCCACAAAAATTAAAAATTAAAAAAAGGCAATGGTAGTGATATGGTTTGGCTCTATGTCCCCACTCAAATCTCGTCTCGAATTGTAATCCCAACGTGCGAAGGGAGGGACCTGGTGGGAAGTGATTGGATCATGGGGGTGTTAGTGTTCACGTGTTAGTGAGGGAGTTCTCATGAGATCCGGTTGTTTGGTAAGTGTCTGGTATTTCCCCTGCACTCTCTTTCTCTTTCTCCTGCCACCATGTAAGACATGCCTTGCCTCCCCTTAGCTTTCTACCATGGTTGTAAGTTTCCTGAGGCCTATCCAGCCACGCAGAACTGTGAGTCAATTAAACCTCTTTTATTTATAAAGTATCCAGTCTCAGGTAGTATCTTTATAGCAGTGTGAAAATGGACTAATACAGATAGATAAAATGGCTGAAGGCAGTGGCACCGAATTGCACTAGTATTATTGTATTCTTCATCACCACACACTCACCGTATTTTAAAAGCCAATGTATTCTTGAAGCCATACAAATTATTAATTAAACCTTGACCCCTCAATACATATCTTTCTACTATTCTGTATTGTGAAATGGGAAGTGCACATAAAGTACTTCTGCTGCATAAAGAAATACAATGTCTGTCTCTAGGAAAAGCACTTGTGTAATGGAACTGCAGGCTGAACTAGCCACTTTTTTTAGGGAATACCATTTTTACTTATTCAATATAGTTTTATAAGAACTTACTAAAAACTTATTTAAAAGCTTTAAAACTTTCATAAACGTATACATATAAACTTTTCAGATGGGTATTTGGCAGACAACTTGTTGAAAAGAAGTATGAGCCTGTCACTTCAAGGAAAACAACAGAGGGTGTTTGTTGCCAATGACAAAAATGTAGCTTTCAAGTAAAAATAAAAATAAAATTTCGGAAGACTTGTATCTACCATTGTAAGAGTTTCCCAATATTTAAATACTTTTCTGGTGAAACTGATGGAAATATGTATTTTTTTATATTGTAAAATGAAATGTATCGACATTTGGAAGAGCTGCATAACTCAGGGAACCAATACTATCCAAATGATAAATACATGATGCTATAAAAATCATGCATGGATAAAAGATCCAATCAAAGTATAATATAGACCAACAGATGTTAATGTAACAGAGTATGAAGTCATTATAATGGTTTTAGATTGTACAATGCAACTAACTTTTGTCAAGTTTTGATGTAGTATCAAAGAAGAGTATCAACAAGGTTATAAAAATATTCCTTTTCCAATTGTATATTTCTGCTAGCTTGGATTTTCTTCAGATACTTCAACCAGAACAATCTATCATAATAGACTGAATACAGAAGCAGATATAATCCTAGACGAAAAAAGCTGAGAGAGTTCATCACCACTACACCTGCCTCACAAGAAGTGCTAAAGGGAGTTCTTCAAGCTGAATGAAAAGCATAATAATTAGTAACATGAAAACATATGAAAGTATAACATTCACTGGTAAAAGTAAGTAAATAGTCAAATTCAGAATATTCTAATACTGTAATGGTGTTATATAAATCATTTACATCTTTAGTATGGAGGTTAAAAAACAAAAGCAGCTATGAAAATCTAGCTGCCTTCTGGTAAGCCAGACATTAAAATAAAAAAAATTTGCAAAAATGAAAATAATGCTACTCTGCCCACTAATTTTTTTTCTTGGAAACACAATTTTTTAAAATGAAAAATCTAATTTAATTCCTTCTTTCCCCATGTGCATAAAAAATCTAATTTATATTCATGTTAATATGTAATAAGTGTATTATTTGTAAATGAATAAACAAACATCTAAAATTTTTCTCAGTTTTAATTTCTAATACAGTATACATCAATAGATATGACTCATATAAACAAAACTTCTTTGGGGTCTGATATGGTTTGGCTCTGTGTCCCCACCCAAATCTCACCTTGAATTGTAATAATCCCCACGTGTCAAGGGCGAGACCAGATGGACAAAACTGAAGCATGGGGACAGTTTTCCCCTTGTTGTTCTCGTGATAGTGACTGAGTTCTCACAACATCTGATGGTTTTATAAGGGGCTTTCCCCTTCTCTCCGCACTCATTCTCTCTCCTGCGGTCCTGTGAAGAGGTGTCTTCTACCATGACTGTAAGTTTCCTGAGGCCTCCCAGACATGTGGAAATGTGAGTCAACAAAACCCCTTTCCTATATAAATTAAATACTTCAATATAAATTAAAGTAAATTACCCAGTCTCTGGCAGTTCTTTCTTCCTTTTTTTTTTTTTGAGATGGAGTCTCACTCTGTTGCCCAGGCTGGAGTGCAGCGGTGCGGTCTCAGCTCATGGCAATCTCCGCCTCCCGGGTTGAAGCGAGTCTCCTGCCTCAGCGTCCTGAGTAGCTGGGATTATAGGCACCTGCCACCATGCCCGGCTAATTTTTTATATTTTTAGTAGCGATGGGGTTTCACCATGTTGGCCAGGCTGGTCTTGAACTCCTGACCCTGTGATCTGCCCGCCTCAGCCTCCCAAAGTGCTGGGATTACAGGCGTGAGCCACCACGCCCAGCTTCGGGCAGTTCTTTATAGCAGAGTGAGAACAGACTAATACAGGTCCTTAGTAATTTTTTTTTTTTTTAAGATTCAAGAAGATAACTTAATGATATTTTTTTTTGAGACGGAATTTCACTCTTTTTGCCCAGGCTGGAGTGCAATGGTGCAATCTCGGCTCACTGCAACCTCCACCTCCCAGGTTCAAGTGATTCTCCTGCCTCAGCCTCCCAAGTAGCTGGGATTACAGGCATGCGCCACCATGCGCGGCTAATTTTGTATTTTTTAATAGAGACAGGGTTTCTCCATGTTGGCCAGGCTGGTCTTGAACTCCTGACCTCAGGTGATCCACCCGCCTCGGCCTCCCAAAGTGCTGGGATTACAGGCATGAGCCACTGCGCCCGGCCACAGAATTTAATGATTTTTAAGAGTGTAATGGGTTCCTGAGATTAAAAAGTTTGACAACTTTTGTTCTATTGAGTTGTATCTTTCTTTTTCATATTGATTCATGGGAATTCTGGGGTTTTTTTTGTTTTGTTTTTTGTTTTTTGAGATACAATCTTGTTGTGTCGCCCAGGCTGGAGCACAGGGGCACAATCTCAGCTCACTGCAACCTCTGTCTCCCTGGTTCAAGCGATTCTCCTGCCTCAGCCTCCAGAGTAGCTGGGATTACAGGCACGCGCTACCACGCCCAGCTAATTTTGTATTTTTAGTAGAGACAGGGTTTCACCATGTTGGCCAGGCTGGTCTTGAACTCCTGACCTCGTGATCTGCCCACCTTGGCCTCCCAAAGTGCTGGGATTACAGGTGTGAGCCACCACGCCTGGCCGAATTCTTTATATATTCTAAATGCTAGTCCTTTGCTATTAAATATATATAGCAATGTCTTCTCCCTGTGACTAGTCTTTTCACATCTTTACCACTTTTTTTGTTCTTCATTTCTTTCTGCTTTTCAGACTTTCCATCTGAGATCACTTTCCTTCCATCTGAAATACATTATTTAGAATTTCCTTCAATAAGATGTGCTGACAGAAAACTCTCTTTTGATTGAAAATGTCTTTAATTAGCCCTCATTCTGACATATATTTTCACTGGGTTTAGAATCCTAGGTAGGCAGTTATTGTCCTTCATCAACATTCAAGATAGCACTCTACTGGCTTCCACTGTTGTTGAGAAGTCAACTGTCAATCTAACTATTGTATCTTTGAAGGTATTCTAATGTTTCTCTAGCTATCTTTATGATTTTTCTCTTTGTCTCTGGTCTGAAGTTTGTCTTTGATGTATCTAGATTAGAGATTTTATTTATCCTGCTTGGGATTTGTTAGGCTTCTTGAAACTGCAGGCTAGTGTTTTTAATCAGTTCTAGAATATTATCACTCATTATTTCTTCAAATATCACCTCTGTTCTATGTTTGCCCTATTCTCACTCTATAACTCCAGTTAAAACTACGTTAGATCTTTTCTCTCCATTCTCCATTTTTCATAATCTTTCTTCCGTATTTAACCTCTTAACCCCCTATGCTACATGCTGGATAATATATTCTAACCAATTTTTTAGTTAAACCACCCATCCACTAAGTTTTTAAATTTCTATATTATATCTTTCCATTTTAGAAATTCTTTTGACACTTTTTCAAATCTTTGTGTAGTTTCCTGCAGAGGTTTTCAGCCTTTTATGTCTTTAAACACAATAAGTATAGTTGTCTTATAATTCTAATATAAAAAGTCTTTGTAGGTATATTTCACTTCATTGTTGTTTCTACTAATTCTTGTTCAGAGTAATTTGTTTCTTTGCACACATGGTTATTTTTAGTGACTGGTACTTACTGCCCTAGAAAAATTATTTGAGAGTATTATTTCAGGGCTAGGATAAAGGTGTCTTTCTACAGAAGGAATTTGTGTTTGCTTCTATCCCACACATAGGTGGCTCTCCCAGTCCAGGACCACTGAACCATTCAGGTAGGATGAATTTGAGCAGAAAATCTGCCTGAAGAAGGTTACTTTGTGGTAACCTTGTCTAGATTTCTCCTCCCTCCTGCCCTCCTCCTCCATCTGCTCAGTTCAGTGCTAATGCAATCTTTCTGTAATCTGCCGGGGGATAGAAGAGCTTACTTTTGACTTAATGTTCTAAGGATATAGTCTCTTAGGGCCCAGTTTAATTTGAGTTGTACCTTCTTTTATATTCTCTCTCTTGCATGGACCTTTGGCTTTGACTTTTATCCTCCCCATGCCATGAGGATATCAAAACTGAAGTTCAAGTTTGCCTTCAGTAAAGACATTCAATGCAAAAGCAGTTTCAGTATTCTGCTGACCTCTCAGGCTTTACCTTAATATTTTCATAATCTTTGATACTTTTGAGAAGTTGGATTTTTAAAATCCAGTATTTGAAAATCCTTTTCAAAAACAGAGGGCTAGTCCAAATAAACTAGCCTGTTATATTCCAGGAAACAGATTCATTATTTTTATTTTCAAGTTTTTAACGTTAAAACCAATATATCAAAATGAAAAAGAAAATTAGACATAGTTCTTCCTCCTATATCTCTTAACCTTCATTCAGATTCCTTTCTAGGCTTTGATCACATGCATATATGTTTTTTACATAGGTTACACCAACCTGCCATTTTCACAGCAGCTAACTTACATGTTTATTGGTCAAAGAGAAAAAGAAAAAAACCCACAAACTTGGAAAAGAACATTCTGATATTGCAAAGGTCTTCTTTTGGGAATCAACTTACAGAAAGACGAGATCCAGCTCTTGCTCTGGCAATACTCTCCTTTTCCTTTTCAGATACCCTTCTCTGCACAGCCTGGAAATTGTTTAAGGCTGCAGAGAAGTCATTCATGAGGCGTTCCTTCTGAAGTCTCTGCTGGCGCTAAGGAAATCAAGCAAGAACTTGAGATTTCATATTAACCCAGAATCATTTGGTTTTAATTTCCCTTAAAAGTAAAATTATACCCCTTAAAGATTTCCAACTAGGAAAATTATTATGAAATAGTCTCTTCTTTAAATTAATAAATTTGCTCTTTGCTAGCTCAAGTCCCTGGTTAATACTATAGACCAAGTCAGAATTTTTCTTCTTTCATTCTGACAAACCTGGAACTGGGTTGCATTTAACTTCTTCTTCTTTTTTTTTTTTTCTTTTTATTGAGACGGAGTCTTGCTCTGTCGCCCAGGCTGGAGCGCAGTGGCATGATCTCAGCTCACTGCCAACCTCTGCCGCCCGTGTTCAAGCGATTCTTGTGCCTCAGCCTCCTGAGGAGCTGGGATTACAGGCACCCACCACCATACCTGGCTAATTTTTTATTGTATTTTTAGTACAGATGGGGTTTCGCCATGTTGGCCGGGCTATTGTAGAACTCCTCACCTCAGGTGATCTGCCCGCCTCGGCCTCCCAAAGTGCTGGGATTACAGGCGTGAGTCACTGTGCCCAGCCTGTATTTAACTTCTAAAGTAATCTCCAAAGAACTGCAATTCAGAATTTTGGTGCCCTGGAGAATATAAAAGAGAATAAATACCTCTGGACTCCAGTTGAATCCAAACAGAGATGGGTTTTAGCTAAAATGTTAAAACCCTATTCATCTATATTGAATTCACAGCTTCCCTGTAAACTATAGAAGCATTTCACAGGCTTTTAGTGGTTTAAAATCTTTGAGACTTGGTAAGTACTTCATTTATCTACAGACTACCTCTACTAAGCTTGTTACTTCTATGTCTCAAAAAACATATGCTGAGGTTGAGCACAGTGGCTTATGCCTATAGTCCTAGTATTTTGGGAGGCTGAGGCAGGAGGATCACTTGAGCCTAGGAGTTCAAGACCAGCCTGAGCAACATGACAAAATCCTATCTCTACAAAAAATAAAAAAATTAGCCGGGCGTGGTGGTACACATCAGCTACTCAGAGGCTGGGGCAGGAGGATCATTTGACCCTGGAAGGTTGAGGCTGCAGTGAGTTGAAATCATGCCATGTACTCCAGCCTCAGCAATAGAGTGAAACTCTGTCTGAAAAAACAAAACAAAACACACACACACACACACACACACACACACACACACACACACACCACATACTGACAGCATTGTCCTGTTCTATGAACACAGAAGTAAAAACTCACCCCTGACCTCAAACAGCTGTCTATTTGTAAATAAAGGATATAGACAGACAAGTAACAAAGTTATTATAAATAACTGCTATATCCAATTGGTACTACAGGAGTTCAGAGGGCAGGAATAATCAGTAAGAACTCAAGCGGCCAAGAAAGGCCTCAAGAGAAGGTGGACAGTGAAGTAAGAGGAAGGCATGAATAAGCAGAAAGAAGGGGTAAGGCAAATCCAAGCAAGAGAATAGTGTGAGCAAAGGCATGGTGGCAGAACTTGAAGAGGATCTCTAGACAGACTGTTTGGTTGGAACTACACGTTTAGTAATGAGAGTAGCTAAAATACAAAATTGGAAAGTTAAGAAAGGGGCCAACCACAGCAGGTTTTAAATGCCAAGCTAGGCCGGGCGCAGTAGCGCATGCCTGTAATCCCAGCACTTTGGAAGGCAAGGTGGGTGGATCACTTGAGGGCAGGAATTATTCAAGACCGTCCTGGCCAACATGGTGAAACCCCATCACTACTAAAAATAGAAAAAATTACCTAGACATGGTGGCAGGCACCTGTAATCCCAGCTACTTGAGAGGCTGAGGCAGGAGAATTGCTTGAACCAGGAGGTGGAGGTTGCAGTGAGCTGAGATCGTGCCATTGCACTCCAGCCTGGGCAACACATGTGAAACTCCGTCTCAAAAAACAAAACAAAACGCCAAGCTATTGGGAGGATGAGGCAGGCAGATCACGAGGCCAGGAGATGGAGACCATCTGGCTAACATGGTGAAACCATGTCTCTACTAAAAATACAAAAAATTAGCCAGGCGTGGTGGCGTGCGCCTGTAGTCCTTTGCCACTTGGGAGGCTGAGGCAGGAGAACTGCTTAAACCTGGAAGGTGGAGGTTGCAGTGAGCTGAGATCGCGCCACTGCACTCCAGACTGAGCAAAAGAGCCAGGTTCTGTCTCAAAAAAAAAAACAAAAAAAAAAACAAGCTAATGAGTTTGGGGTTCAACCTCTAAAGAACAAAGAGCAATGAAGATTTTTGAGCAAGAAACATCATGGGTACAAAATAGTAACTTAGAAAAATTAGTCTGTGATGAGACCTGGGTCACCGTTTACACAAAGGTGGAATGGAAAAAAGAAACAAGTCAAACAGAACACTAATTCAATAGTCTAGGTTTAAGGTTAGGAGGACACAGTATCAGTAATAAAATCATAAAGAAATGAATTTAAGAAACATTTTGACTGGTGGTGGGGAAAGAGAGATAAAGTCAAGAATGACTGAAATTTCAAACCTGGAAGAGTGATGGTAATACTAAAAGCAAATTTAGATGAGCAACCCTTTTCTTCTGAGATTTTTATTTTTGCATAAACAAAATTATAACAATAACGGGGAGGACATCATTCCCTAACCTTACCGTGCAAAAATATTATCATAACTTTTAAATACATCATAAACATTTTCCATGTTACCATACTCTTCACAATTATGTTTTTGTTTTTTTTTTTTTTGAGACAGGGTCTTGCTCTGTCACCCAAGCTGGGGTGCAGTGGTGTGATCTCAGCTCACTGCAGCCCCAACCTCCCAGACTCAAATGATCCTCTCACCTCAGCCACCTGAGTAGCTGGGACTACAGATGTGTACCACGATGCCTGGCTAATTTTTTTTTTTTTTTTTTTTTTTTGAGACGGAGTCTCGCTCTGTCGTCCAGTCTGGAGTGCAGTGGCACGAGTTTTTTTTTTTTTCTTTTTTTGAGATGGAGTCTCGCTCTGTCACCCAGGCTGCAGTGCAGTGGCGCGATTTTTTTTTTTTTTTTTTTTGAGAGGGAGTCTCGCTCTGTCACCCCGGCTGGAGTGCAATGGCACAATCTCAGCTCACTGCAACCTCCGCCTCCTGGGTTCAAGCAATTCTCCTGCCTCAGTCTCCCGAGTAGTTGGGATTATAGGTGGCCACCATCACGCCTGGCTAATTTTTGTATTTTTAGTAGAGATGGGGTTTTGCCATGTTGGTCAGGCTGGTCTCAAACTCCTGACCTCAGGTGATCCGCCCACCTCGGCCTCCCAAAGTGCTGGGATTATAGGCATGAGCCACCGTGCCTGGCTAATTTTTGTAGAGATGTTGCCCGGGCTGGGTCTCAAACTCCTGTACTCAAGCAATCCACCCGCCTCAGCCTCCCAAAGTTCTGGGATTACAGGTGTGAACCACTGTGCCCGGCCATGATCTTTAATCGCTTACATATATTCCATCAAGTTGACCTAAATTTTATGTAAATAATCCTTCTAGATTTTTCACAGTTATTAAATATTATAAAGTAAGCCCCAATGTAATGGCTAATATTTATATAGTGCTTAAATTGTACCAGTACTACTGTAAGTGCTTTACATAATAATTCATTTATCTATACAATGACCTATAAATTAGGCATTATTATAGTCCCAACTTTACACATCAGAAAACCAAAGCACCACAGAGGCTATGTAATTTGCCCAGGATCACACAGTAAGTGACAAAGATGGATTTAAATCCAGGAAATTTGGCTCCAGAGTATATAGACTCTGTGTGTGTGTGTGTGTGTGTGTGTGTGTGTGTTTACCTTCAGAATTTTTTTTCCCCTTAGGGCTAATTAGCATGAGTGAGAATATTAGGTCAAAAGGCACAAACTTTTCTGTGATGTTAAGTATTGTCAATGAACTTAGTTAAGGGGTTTGGGAGAAACATGAGAAACTCAGTATAAGACAAGTTTTATATGAAGGTAGTTTATTTCAGGAGGAGATGTCAGAACATGAATTGAAGATATGGGCCACGCACTTAGAGGTGAAGGGGTTAGATTGGAAAAAGATCTGAGGTCATGATCATAAAGGTGAAAGGGAGGTCATAAAAGCAGGTGACTCCTAAGGAGAAAGCATACAGTGAAATAATTCGAGGATCAATGGCACAACCTTGGGGCATGCCCACTCTTAGGAGGATATGAAGTCCGGGAAGGAGGCTGACTCAACCTGGGGATCTCCAGAGTTGGGGGACACAATGAAAGAGAATCATGGCAAGAAGAAAGTTTCAGGGCAGACGGGATAGGCAAGAGGATCAAAGGAAACAGAAAAAAAGTGAATAGGCCAGGCATGGTAGCTCACACCTGCAATCCCAGAACTTTGGAAGGCCGAGGCAGGCGGATCACTTGAGGTCAGGAATTCAAGACCAACCTGGCCAACGTGGCAAAACCCTGTCTCTGCTAATAATACAAAAATTAGCGTGGTGGTGTGCGTCTGTAGTCCCTGCTACTTGGGAGTCTGAGGCAGGAGAATTGCTCGAACCTGGGAGACAAAGGTTGCAGTGAGCCTTTGCTCACTGGAGTGCAGATCATGCCACTGATCTGGTTGGAGTGCAGATCACGCCACTGCACTCCAGCCTGGGTGACACAGTGAAACTGTGTCTCAAAAAAAAAAAGTGAATAAAAACTCTTTATGGCCAGGTGCGGTGGCTCATGCCTGTAATCCCAGCACTTTGGGAGGCCAAGGCTGGCAGATCACCTGAGGTCGGGAGTTCAAGACCAGCCTGACCAACATGGAGAAACCCCATCTCTACTAAAAATACAAAATTAGCTGGGCATGGTGGCACATGCCTATAATCCCAGCTACTCGGGAGGCTGAGGCAGGAGAATTGCTTGAACCTGGGAGGTGGAAGTTGTGGTGAGCCGAGATTGCACCATTTGCGCAGTCCAGCCTGGGCAACAAGAGCGAAACTCTGTCCCAAAAAAAAAAAAAAAACTCTTTACAAAGGGCCTGGTATGGCAGTTCATGCCTGTAATTCCAGCACTTTGGGAGGCTGAGGAGAGAGGATTGCTTGAGCCCAGGAGTTTGAGACCAGCCTGGGCAACATAGCAAGACTCTGTCTCTATAAAACATTTAAAAAGTAGCTTGGTGTGGTGGCACATGCCTGTGGTCCTAGCTACTCGAGAAGCTAAGGTGGGAGGATCACTTGAGCCTGGGAGGTTGAGGCTACAGTGATACAGCGAGCCACGACTGCGCCACTCCACTGCGCCTCAGCCCGGATAACTGAGTGAGACCCTGTCTCAAACAAACGAACAAAAAACCTCAAAAGCCACTGGACTGGGTAACTAGATCATTGATGATAGTATATAAGTATGGAAAAAAACTGAAAGTAGGAGTATGGTTTGATGTATAAGATAGTAATGAAAAGACGGGTGATGGGGCTAAGATTAATTAGATGAGAAAAGAGTAGAAAGACAAAAGGATACAGAGCATAACAAGAGGAGGGGAATCAAGGAATTATATTTCACCAGAGAGAGTATGTTTGTAGATCTAGTTCGTGTTCTTAATGATCCAAGATAATGGAAAGGAACAACAGCATGCATAATCCAAAAATAACTTCTATTTGGTTTTAGAAGATGTTTGATGAATTTTGTTTTGGTAGCAGATTTGATTTTCTATTTATATTTTGCTTAGGCTACTACTTAACTCTTAAATACTTTCACTACTCTGCATTAGACCCTTCAACTCCTTTTTTGTTACTATGAAAACTGTCTACAAGTGTGTATTCCCTAAGTGCATGGTTAGGAGGAAGAAATGGGTAACTTGGCAGCAGTTTGGAGATATTGGATGGCAAGGGGGAAATGGCCCATAACTGAAACATCAGCATGAGTAATAATTAGAATAAACAGCCCGTATATAGACAACCAAAGGGTAACTACTTTGTAGCAGGATGACAAAGCATCTTGTCCTCCTCTCTCTTCTGCAAGTGGGGGCCAAAACTCCAGATATGCTACATGGAACAGTTTATCAGGTTAAACTAGTGATTTTCAATTTTTTTTTGACAGAGATTTACAATAAGAATTTGACAACATGGGCCAGGTGTGGTGGCTCAGGCCTGTAATCCCAGCACTTTGGGAGGTCTAGCTGGGCAGATCACCTGAGGTCAGGAGTTTGAAACCAGCCTGGCCAACATGGCAAAACCCCATCTCTACTAAAAATACAAAAATTAGCCGAGCGTGGTAGTGGGTGCCTGCAATCCCAGCAACTTGGGAAGCTGAGGCAGGAGAATCGCTTGAACCTGGGAGGCGGAGGTTGCAGTAAGCCAAGATTATCCCACTGCACTCCAGCCTGGGCGACAGAGCAAGACTCTGTCTCAAATTAAAAAAAAAAAAGAATTTGACATCATGATCCATCCATACATACACATATGTATGTATGAAACAACAGTTCCATATAACAATATTTACCATTATTACATAATATAGACTCTGATACTTCTACTCTAAGTTTTTTAAAATGCTGATCTCAATACACTAAAATGACTTCATGTTCCACTAGCCACAACCCATACTTTGAAAAACAACCCACGACAGGGAAGTTGAAAGGCTTTGTCTTCAGAGCCATCAGATATAGGACATTATCATTTAAAACGTTCAATCATAAAAAACGATATAAAGGTCAGGCACAGTGGCTCATGTCTATAATCCCAGTACTTTGCAAGGCCAAGAAAGGAGGATCACTTGAGCCCAGGAGTTTGAGACTAGCCTGGAAAACATAGCAAGACCTCATCTCTACAAAAAATTTAAAAATTTAGCTGCGTGTGGTGGTGCGCACTTGTGGTTCCAGCTACTCAGGAGGCTGAGTTGGGAGGATCCCTTGAGCCCAGGAGTTCAAGGTTGCAGTGAGCTATGATTGCCACTGCACTCAGCCTGGGTGACAGAGTAATACCCTATCTCAAAAATAAAATAAAATTTAAAAAGCAATACAAGTTAAGTGCCCCCACGAATGGTATAGAAGCTAAAAGCAAAACAGGATCATAATAGGAAGGTAGACGGAGAAAGTTTTTTTTACTGGAGACCTGAGGTAGATCATGAATGACAAGTCAAGCCACAATGAAGGAGGGGCACATCTGACTTCAGGAATGTGGCATATTAAGGGAACAATGAATCTCAGTAAAAATTGTGTGTTTCTAAAGGATTTAAATGGCCACTGAAGAAAATGACTTGAAAAGAGAACCCTTTTTCCCTGAGCAGTTCCTTAACCTGAGTGAGACCTGTGAATAACTCATGACAGAACATGAAGGTAACTGCAAAACATGAAAGAAAGATGTTTCATTAAAATGTAAAGATAATGGATACAAAACAAACTAGGAACCCTGGGCATGGGGCTCACGCCTGTAATCCCAACACTTTGGGAGGCTGAGGTGGGAGGATTGCTTGAAGTCACAAGTTCAATACCAGCATGGGAAACAAAGCAAGACCATGTCTGTACAAAAAAATTGTTAAAATTAGCTGGGTGTGGTGGCACATGCCTGTAGTTGCAGCTACTCAGGAGGCTGAGGGGAGGGGACTGCTTGAGCCCAGAAGTGGGAGGCTGCAGTGAGCTATGATTTCAACACTGCGCTCTACCGTAGGTGACAGAGGGAGACCCTGTCTCCAAAACGACAACAACAATAAAAATAATAATAATTAAAAAAAAAAAAAACTAGGAGAAAGGAGGAAGCCTACAAACATAAAACTGCTAGCCAAACCCCAAAGAGATGCAAATGTTGAGATTTCTCTTCAGTTAACTCCATTTTATTAATATATTAATAATGTTAATAATAGCAGCAGCCACCACATATTGATTACCTACCAGACGCAGACACTTTGCCACATCTGGTGTGTACATTCTTTCTATTGCCCCAACAGTCACATATCCCCCACTTGATGGATAAGAAACTGAGGTGCAGAGGAGGTCTATCTATCTAGCACCAAAGGCCAACTTATTTTTTTTTTGTTCTACACACTGCCTTTCTACTAACACAAAGTCCTTTCCTATTAATAAACAAAACAGAAAATACCAACCTGTTCTGAAGTAGATAAGGGAAGGGGCAAGGACCCTAATTCTTTCAGCAATTCATTTGTTTCCTTGGCGAGCTGATTTGTGGAGTGTTGTAACTGTTGCCTAAGAGAGAAAAGATATGTTTCAGGATGTTGTCACTTCTTGAGAGGGTTATACACAGAACCACTTTGTTCTCAGAGTGTCTCATAACGTAGGGAATGAAGGGCCATTTGAAGAAATGAGTCCCTAGATGCCCAGGTTCACAACAAAATTCCAGAAATATTACCCAGGCAAACCCACTTCAAGGTATCTTCACTGAGCAGAAAGAATCTGCTTCAATAGCCTGCTGAAGAAAGCACAGATCGGGAATTTTAACTCTTTGGGAAGAGAAGAAAAGCATATCAGCAGTTCTGATAAAAATATAAAAAGAACAATTGCCGCCCACACCTAAATCAAGTAGTTTAAACATACTGAACTCTCTTATTGTCCAGGAGTTGACTGCCACAGTCCACTGACTAGAATCTAGGCACAGACAGTTAGATGAAATGTGCATTAAAAGCGTAGCTTCCTACCTACCCTAGGGAACAACCTCCAAACATCTAATCCCATGCTCTTGCTTTAAAAAGCTGGCTCTTTTCTAGCCTTATCCTTGGCTTCCTACCTGCTCTTTATACCTGAGTTTCTGGCTCTTCCCTCCAAAACAAAGAAGCCTTACCTGTTAAAAATACAAAAGGAGTAGGGAGGAAGGGGAATTGAAGAGGAAAGAATATGTAGTATATTAAGTGGAACTTAAAGTAGTAGAAATACAAAAAGTACTCTTTTCATTTGTGGTTTCCTCTACTATCCAGCCATTTCTACAAAGGCTTTCTGAGACGACAGTGAAACCACATGCTATGATCTGAATGTTAGTGTCCCTGCAAAATTCATATGTTGAAATCCTAATTCCCGAGGTGATAATATTAGGAGATGGGGTCCTTTGGAGGGTGATTAGATCATGGAAATAAAGTTGTTGTTTATAAACTACTCAGTTTATGGTATTTTGTTATAGTAGCCCAAATGGGCTAACACACCACACTAATTATTAATGGTTTTTCTGTACTGCAAATGGGCCTCCAGGATTTAAAAAAAAGGAGTCAAAAGCAAGAGGTACCCAATCAGTGGCTTGAACATCCCAGGCAGTAGAAAATATCCAGAGATATTTCACATTTCCCTGGAAAAAGCTCACAATAATAGTCATTCTCTTACCTCACACTGTCTAGGGTAGGAAACAAAAAATATTGCTTGATATATATATACATATATATGTATCTACATATATATAGATACATATATATGTATCTACATATATATAGATACATATATATGTATCTACATATATATAGATACATATATATGTATCTACATATATATAGATACATATATATGTATATACATATATATAGATACATATATATGTATATACATATATAGATACATATATATGTATATACATATATAGATACACATATATAGATATATACATATATAGATATATATTATATATTTATATACTATATATTTTATATTTATATACTATATTTATATTTTATATATATTATAGATATATTTATATACTATATTTATATTTTATATATATTTATATACTATATTTATATTATATATATATATTTTTTGAGATGGAGTCTTGCTCTGTCGCCAGGCCGGAGTGCTGTGGCGCGATCTTGGCTCACTCCAACCTTCGCCTCCCGGGTTCAAGTGATTCTCCTGCCTCAGCCTCCCAAGCAGCTGTGACTACAGGCGCAAGCCACCACGCACAGCTAATTTTTGTATTTTATTTTTTTGAGACAGAGTCTTGCTCTGTCACCTAGGCTGGAGTGCAGTGATGTGATCTCAGCTCACTGCAACCTCCGCCTCCCAGGTTCAAGCGATTCCCCTGCCTCAGCCTCCCAAGTAGCTGGGACTACAGGCACGTGCCACCACGCCTGGCTAATTTTTTGTATTTTTAGTAGAGACAGGGTTTCACCGTGTTAGCCAGGATGGTCTCGATCTCCTGACCTCGTGACCCACCCACCTCGGCCTCCCAGAGTGCTGGGATTACAGGCGTGAGCCACTGCTCCCGGCTTGCTCAGAACATTTTAAAGATGAAGAATAGCACTAAAAGCAGAAATGGAGCAGAAAAGGATGTGATAAAAAGAATCAGGAGTCCCTACTATCAGTCTACTATTCTCTCCCTCAGGCTCCCCTTGGGCCATTCTGATTACATATGCAGTAGTCCCTCAGTATCCACGGGGGATTGGTTCCAGGCCTCCTGCCAAGTCCTTAATATAAAATTGTGTAACATTTGCCTAGAACCTATGCATATCCTTCCATATACTTTATTTATTTATTTATTTTGAGACGGAGTTTCGCTCTTGTCACCCAGGCTGGAGTGCAATGGCACAATCTCAGCTCACTGCAACCTCCGCCTCCCAGGTTCAAGTGATTCTCCTACCTCAGCCTCCCAAGTAGCCGGGATTACAGGCACGCGCCACCATGCCCAGCTAATTTTTGTATTTTTAGTAGAGATGGAGTTTCACCATGTTGGTCAGGCTGGTCTTGAACTCCCGACCTCGGGTGATCTGCCCACCTCAGCCTCCCAAAGCGCTGGGATTACAGGTGTGAGCCACCACACCCGGCCCATATACTTTATTTTTTATTTTTATTTTTATTTTTTTGAGACAGAGTTTCACTCTTGTTGCCTAGGCTGGAGTGCAATGGTGCGATCTTGGCTCACCGCAACCTCCGCCTCCTGGGTTCAAGCTATTTTCCTGCCTCAGCCTCCTGAGTAGCTGGGATTACAGGTGCCTGCCACACATCCAGCTGATTTTTGTATTATTAGTAGAGACAGGGTTTCATCATGTTGGCCAGGCTGGTCTTGAACTCCTGACCTCAGGTGATCTGCCCGCCTCAGCCTCCCAAAGTGCTGGGATTACAGGCATGAGTCACTGCACCCAGCACCCCCTTCCATATACTTTAAATCATCTCTAGATTACATTACTTAATACTTAGAGGTGAAGCCAGCTGGACTTCTGGGTTGGGTGAGGACTCTGAGAAATTTTCTGTCTCACAGGAGGATTGTAAAATGCACCAATCAGCACTCTGTAGCTAGGATTGTAAAATGCACCAATCAGCAATCTGTGGCTAGCTAGAGGTTTGTAAAATGGACCAATCAGTGCTCTGTAAAATGGACCAATCAGCAGGACATGGGTGGGGACAAATAAGGGAATAAAAGCTGGCCACGCCAGCCAGCAGCAGCAACCTGCTCAGATCCTCTTCCACGCTGTGGAAGCTTTGTTGTTTTGCTCTTCACAGTAAATCTTGCTGCTGCTCACTCTTTGGGTCCGCACCACCTTAAAGAGCTGTAACACTCACCACGAAGGTCCACGGCTTCATTGTTGAAGTCAGCAAGACCAAGAACCCACCAGAAGGAACTAACTCCAGACACAATACAATGTAAATACTATGTAAATAATTGTTCTACTATATTGTTTCAGTAATGACAAGGAAAAAAGTCTGTACATCTTCAGTAGAGACCTTCCTTTTTTTTTCTGAATATTTTCTATCTGTGGTTGGTTGAACCCACAGGTGCAGAACCTATGGATATGGAAGGCTGACTGTAGCTGGAAATCCAGTTAGACTAGATCATGAGGAGTCCTACGCCAACAAGGAAGCTCATTTAGGCAGAGTTGTGAGCAGAATATAGTTTAATAGTGGTACGAATTCCCTTTTCTACTTCCCTAAATTGTTCTGCTAAACTGCCCAAGAGGAGAAAGAACCAGAGTTCAAAGACTTTGAAAGGCAACGGAAATTACAATCCATTAATATACTTTGTTGCCCCGCCCCTCTTTTAGATCCAGCTCTTATCTCATGACCCACTGCCTCTCATTCTGACTTCCCAGACCTGAAACCTAAGCTGCTGTCTGGCAAGGACACTGTGTCCTCAAATGGCCCTCACAAAACCCAACCTTGTCAGGAAGTTACTCACAGATTTTCCTGTAGCTTGCTTGAGTCCTGCTTAGTTCCTAGCTGGCTCATCAAATTCTTTATCTGAGCAGCTGGGGAGATAGGAAGAAAAAGATTTATTTAAAAGAAAAATACATTCATCATGAGTACCCTACTTCTAAGATTCCTGGTCTCTTCCCATTCAGAATAAGTATTAATACATGCAACTAATAGAGACCATGCTATGATCAAAACCTTGACACACACATTCCTCCAAAAACTAATTACAAGGTTCACCTTTCTCCTATAGAGTAACTGTGTCACAAAGTAGAAGGTGGTAGTTTTATCATCCCCCTAAAATTTGCTAGTTTTCCTAGATCTCCTATTGCAATGGTTAAAAATTTCAACACCTTTAGAAGGGCCTCTAGGCCAGATATCAATTTGCAACAATAAAAAAAAAATCAAGTCAAATACAATAATTTTTCTATAGCAAACATTTTTGGAAAGACAATGTATACTTATTACTAATAATGGGTTACCACCAATTGAGCACCTCTAAGTGCCAGGCACTATATACTAAGAGCTTTGTATACACTCTGTTATTAATTTTCACAACAGCAATCTCCAGTAGATGTACTTTTTTATTTATTTATTTTTTTTTTTTGAGATGGAGTCTCACTCTGTCACCCAGGCTGGAGTGCAGTGGCACGATCTCAGCTCACGCAAGCTCCGCCTCCTGGGTTCATGCCATTCTCCTGCCTCAGCCTCCTGAGTAGCTGGGACTACAGGCGCCTGCCACCACGCCCGATTAATTTTTTTGTATTATTAGTAGAGACGGGTTTTCACCATGTTAGCCAGGATGGTCTGGATTTCCTGACCTTGTGATCCACTCGCCTCGGCCTCCCAAAGTCCTGGGATTACAGTCGTGAGCCACCACGCCTGGCCTTAGTAGATATACTTCCATTTTGCAGGTAAGGAAGTGTATTTAGAGAGATTAAGTATCTTATACAAGCATACACAATTAATAAGTAGCAGAGCAAAAATTCAATGCCCAGTACATCAGATTCCAATGGCTATGTTCTTTCAACTGTGCTGTCTATACCATAATACAGTCAAACATATGGTTTTGTTCAGCCTTCTCTACCTTTTCCTAGATATTTGCTAAGACTAGGAATGGTCATGTTTGAATCCTGGATGTTTAACTCCTATCCTAGACCAAGAAAGCAGAGGTCCAGAGGAACTGATCATCTATCAATAAGGAGGAACACTCTAACGCCAGCCTGCCTGGGACTCTGAACACTCCTGTCCCTTACTGATTTCTGCAACAATAGAGCCCTTCATTTATTTTATGCCTTGCTTTCTATTTTCTTTTTCTGGTTACTGGGGAGGGTGGGGGAGATTTATTCATTCATAGAGGTTGGAAGTTAGTTATATGATTTCTTGTTTGCTTGCTTGTTTTCCAAGAGCATTCACTGTCTTCTATTACAAGTAGCTGGAGTACAGAACATATGAATAGAGTACTCATTGCCCAGAAGTAACACACTTACCATCAAGTTTCAACAGAACTTCAAGAAATCACATAACACAATAAGTATAAGGCTCTTCCAGCCATTCAGCTTTCTTTGTGAGAGCCCTTTCTATCCTCTCTGGATTAATGCCAGTTTCACTTGTGAAACACCAGCCTGCTAAATGACTAGTTCAGTGGAAGAAAATGAGGAGACCAATGTATATTGTATAATTTGTGAATATTATAGAAACAGTATACATATAATGCTCCCATGTCCAACAAGAAAGAACCTTCACTTATTAGAATTTTGAAATTTAAAAATTAATTGTTCCAAATTTACTTTTTGGTAATGGTACTCTTTAAAATAACAATATTTGGGGGACACAGTCATAATCTTGTCCCTAATTTGGTCACCAAGATCAGTAAAAAAGTAAGCTAAAATGTATTGAGTACCAGTTACCTTACAATACCAATGACATGCTAATAGTCCCTAAATCTTTTTTTTTTTTGATACAGAGTCTCACTCTGTCGGCCAGGCTGGAGTGCAGTGGCATGATCTCGGCTCACTGCAACCTCCGACTCCCAGGCTCAACCAATTCTCCTGCCTCAGCCTCCCGAGTAGCTGGGATTACAGGCGTGTGCCACCACGCCTGGCTAATTTTTGTATTTTTAGTAGAGATGGGGTTTCACCATGTTGGTCAGGCTGGTCTCAAACTCCTGACCTCAGGTAATCCACCCGCCTCGGCCTCCCAAAGTGCTGGGATTGCAGGGTTGAGCCACTGCACCCGGCCAGTAGTCCCTAAATCTGATAAGAAGCAACGATTAGGCAAAAATCTTCTAACTTATTGCTGGGTGCTTCTATTCCTAAACAGAAATGGAACAACTCAGTCCTTAGTAGTAAGTACACGTTATTTCTCCCTAGCCAAAATTACTGCATTGTTGGGGATACAAAGCAAACATTTCCCGAGTCAAGTATATATAGGCTGGTAGCACTTCAGATTATGATTTCATCTTATTTTGAGACCATATTTTCCTAACAAAAATGTGATTCCAGTTTTATAACAGAAATATAGGATTCACTTAATTCAAATTTTGCCTTTTGACAAGACTTCTCTAAAAGATATCTATTCTACTAAGTGAGGAACCACTATAGCTCAGTGGTTCCATGGTTCCAATTATAAGCACTATAATTACTGCATTCTGCTAAGATAGCATTATGTGTGACAACCACTTTTCTTCATCACTAACATGTGGTATGTCCTTCTTATCTAAGTCAAATGGGAATCAGGATACAACTAAAGCTATTAACTGGACAGCCATAAAAATAATTTATGAAAGAGGGCATGAATTTTCATTTACTGAGCATCTACTATGAGGTACTAGACACTGGGCTTGACAAGCATTAACTTATTTGACTCCAACAATCCTTTAAGTAAGTATTATTATTCCATTGTTGCATATGAGCACAATGAGGCTCCTGAGAGTTACAGAACTCATTCATTCATTCATTCATTCAGAGTAGAGTATCTACTCTACACTATTCCATGTCCTAGAAGACACTTGCCTTCGAGAGTCTTCTAAGGAAAAGAGATAGACAATAAACATATCAGGTAGTGAAAAATGGTATAAAGAGAAATAAATTCAGGTAAAAGCTGAGGTGACAGCGGTGGGCAGAGGATACTAGTTATACAGAGTGGTCAGAGTATAAAAAGAAATAAATTCAGTTAAGAGCTGAAGTGACAGTGGTGGGCAGAGGATACTAGTTATATAGAGTGGTCAGAGAGACCTCTCTGATAAGGTGACACTGAGCTGAGATCCAAAGTGAAAGATCAAGCCACACAGCTATCTTGGGGAGAAGCATTCTAGGAGAAGAGAGTAATCAGTACAAAGTCCCCAAAGCAAGGGTACTTGATGTGATGGAGGCCAGGGTGGCTAGAGCAGAGTGAGCAAGAGACAGCAGAGAGGTGGCCAAGGAGGTAGTAGGGACCCAGATTGTATAGGGCCTTGCAAACAATTATGAGGACTTTGAATTTTAATGAAGTGGGAAATCACTGGTAGGTTTTGAACAGAGTGTCATTACAACCAGAATTTAAACCCAGGGCTAACTGCAGTGGAATGTGCCACATTACAGTCTCTCAAAAGGCTGACTCTTACAGGAAAAAGAATGTAGTCACACAGGGCAGGCCTAGATTTCCCAGTGTTCCACTTAGCCCCACCCTACTTATCTGATACCTAAGTTAATAGGTCTCTGCTCCAGATAGGCTGATGTCCTTCCTCTAACCTGCTCCCTTCTCCAGCTCCCTGGCACCTATGGGAACACTCCTCTGTACTCACTAGAGTTCAGCAGAGTGCCAGGCACCCAGGTGATACATAATCAATTACTGATTAATTGAGTTAGCCTCCCTTTTCCATTCTGGCAAGCTCTTTGAGGCAGAAGATATGAATGAAGAATATAAGCTAGGAATAATGAGGCCTGAAATCTAAGCCAGACTTGACGACTAACTAGATGCAGGGCACTAAGCAAGTCATTTCATTTGACTGGGTCTCTTTTTCACCAATTATAGATGATATTCAGATTTCACTGACATTTACTGAATACTTAAACTATTTGTGTAAGGTTTTTATTTTATCTCATTAAATCCTTACAACTATGTAAGAACTAAATGATCTCTAAGTACTCCCACCACTGCTCAATTCCAAAATTCAATAACAGTGAAATAGCTCCAGTCAAAGAATTATGCTGTGTAACCAAGGAGTACTTTTGCAACCCGAAAGTTTGGCTTAGAAAGGTTCCACCTGTGACTTTCTTAACTTCATAAATGCAAGGTACAAACAGGACTGGACTGACTATATCCCTCTAGAAGGCAGGGACTGCATTCTACTCATTTTTGTGTATGTATAACTCCTCCCAACACACACACACCCATCCAGAAAATGGTTGAATATATGATAACATGTAAACGTAGATCTGACAAAAAAAGTCAAGGAAATAGGTCTTTTCTTATTGAGTGTCTTTAAAAAGTAGAGCATTCCTTAGAAACTTTAGAAGTATGCCAAAGTATCAAGTTATTAATCATCTATCAAAATTTATTAAATAAGCTACAGAGCTATGGGAATTTTATAGAATATGAAAAAATCAATTAATAATCAGCTGTTCTCTGCATATTCTCAGTGGAGAACTCTTCTTCATCTAGACTTTTCTGATTTCCTTTGTTGGGATGACCTAAATTTGGGGGGTGGAAAGATAGGGAGGGGTTGAGGAAGTGGGGGTGTTGGGAATATTATAGGGTCATTTGCTAGCTAAGCACCAGAATTAATCTAAGCCTTAACACTTTCTAAATTCCTAAATATTAAGATATTTTCTTTAAAGTTTCCAGCAAGACTCAGGTATCAGATACCCTAAAACTCAAATCATAAGGACAACAGTGTCGTAGTTTACTGGAACCCAGAGAAGCAGGACTTTTTGTATATTGCCCTCTATAATCACCAACATCAGGGATTTGTTCAAAACTAGTAACTCAATGACTCATGTATTTTACATCTAAGAGATGTATCTTTCAGTAAACCTAAAGCACACAAAGGAATAACGTGTTTACAGATACATTTATTTGCCCTTGAGCATACTTAAAATATCAAAAAGAAAAGTGAGGCCAGGCACAGTGGCTCACACCTACAATCCCAACAATTTGGGAGGCCAAGGTGGGCAGATCACTTGAGGTCAGGGGTTCAAGACCAGCCTGGGCAACATAGTGAAAACTGCCTCTACAAAAAATTTAAAAATTAGCCAAGCATGGTGGCGCATGCTTGTAGTCCTGGCTACTCAAGAGGCTGAGAGAAGAGGATCGCTCAAGCCCAGAAGTTTGAGGCTGCAGTGAGCTATGATCATGCCACTGCACTCCAGCCTAAGCAACAGAGCAAGACTCTGTCTCAAAATAAATAGACAAATGAATAAAAATTTAAAAAGTAAAGTGACACTTTTTTTTTTTTGAGACAGAGTTTCGCTCTTGTTGCCCAGGCTGGAGTGCAATGGTGTGATCTCAGCTCACCGCAACCTCTGCCTCCCAGGTTCAAGCGATTCTCCTGCCTCAGCCTCCCGAGTAGCTGAGATTATAGGCATGTGCCACCATGCCCGGCTAATTTTTTCTATTTTTAGTAGAGATGGGGTTTCTCCATGTTGGTCAGCCTGGTCTCAAACTCCCGACCTCAGATGATCTGCCTGCCTCAGCCTCCCAAAGTGCTGGGATTATAGGCATGAGCCACCACGCTTGGCCAAGTGATGCTTTTTGGAAATATTTTTACCAGGATGAGTTGAATCTTCTGGCTAACTTGGTTAATGAGAAAACTCCTTTTCCAAGCATTCTACTAAATGAAGGTTTTATGTTAGACTGATGTGCTACAACTTTTTGAAGGAAAATAATTGGGTATTTCCTATGAAATGTTACATAATCCTAGAAACCAGATGACTAGGCCAAAGGTAAAGACAAGTCCTTCAGTTCTGTGTAAGCAATTTTGTTCTTTTTAAAACTAGGACTCAGCTGGGCGTGGTGGCTCACACCTGTAATCCCAGCACTATGGTAGGCCAAGGTGGGTGGATCACCTGAGGTCAGGAGTTTTGAGACAAGGCTGGCCAACATGGAGAAACCCCATCTCTACTAAAAATACAAAAATTAGCCAGGCATGATGGCACATGCCTATAGTCTCAGCTACTCAGAAGGCTGAGGCAGAAGAATTGCTTGAACCCGGGAGCGGAGGTTGCAGTAAGCTGAGATCGTGCCACTGCACTCCAGCCTCGGCAACAGAGCGCGACTCCATCTCAAAAAAACAAAAACAAAAACAAAAAACAAACAACTAGGACTCAATTTCTCCTATCGCTGACCTCTCATTTTAAAAAAGCATATCCTGGCTAAAACTTTTAAAAGAGTATGAAGCAAATCAATTTGTTATACATTACAGCTAACATCCACACTAGGAACTACTCTAAACTGAAAATTCTTTTTGTACTTTAAGCTGATATCGGCAGAATCTGAATCTCCAAATGAACCTTCATCCAAAGCAAAGTCAAATCAAAGTCAAATTATATTGAAAGTAACTATCATCAGAGGTGGGAAAAAGATTTCTCTTCATTTGACAGGATCGAATGCTCTAAGTCAGTATTTTAAACAAATTCAACAACAAAAAAACATTATTTACACCAAATGAGAAAATGATAGCCTATGTGGTGATTATGAAAATGAAGTCATCTCAGTGTTTTACTCTGAAAATTAGGTTTACATTCTGTTTTTATATCACTACAATGAAAATTACCTTTTTTAAAAAATGTTTCATTTTTTTGAGACAGAGCTTTGCTCTCTTTGCCCAGGTTGGAGTGCAATGGCACGGTCTCAGCTCACTGCAACCTCCACCTCCTGGGTTCAAGTGATTCTCCTGTCTCAGCTTCCCAAGTAGCTGGGATTACAGGTGCCCACCACCATGCCGGGCTAATTTGTATATTTTTAGTAAACAGGGTTTCACCATGTTAGCGAGGCTGGTCTCGAACTCCTGACCTGAGGCGATCTGCCCACCCTGCCCTCCCAAAGTGCTGGAATTACAGGTGTGAGTCACCGTGTCCATCAACCTGACTTTAAAAAATAGCCACTGTACCATAACAGTAAAGTTCTAGACTAAAGTGAAAATGGATACTAAATATCAAAGGTATAATTTTCCTTTAACCATACCAGTTTCAGAATATGCAATGGTTAAGAGCATAGCTCTGAATTAAGACCGCCTATATGGCCAGGCATGGTGGTTCAAGTTTGTAACCCCAGCACTTTGGGAGGCCAAGGTGGGAGGATCACTTGAACCCAGGAGTTTGACACCAGCCTGGGCAACAAAGTGAGCCCGTCTCTACAAAAAATTAAAAAATTACTTGGACGTGGTGGTGCGTGCCTGTAGTCCTAGCTACTCGGAAGGTGGAGGTGGGGGGATCCCTTGAGTTCAAGGTTGCAGTGACCTATGACGGTACCACTGTACTACTGGCACATCCTGGGTGACAGAGCAAGACCCTTTCTCAAAACAACAAAAAACAAAAAACCACTGCTTATGCCTATGCTTGTCGTGGTCCCGCTACTTCCAAGCAAAGTGATCTTGAGTAAAAGGCTCCACTCCTCTATGCCTTAGTTTCTTTGCCTTAAAAATGAGAATAAGAGAATCTTCATATGGTTGTTGTGAGGATGAAATGAGATGATACGAAGCTAAATTTAGAACAATGGCACATAAAAGCACTCAATTAAAGATAGCTATTATTATCAAACTCAAGACCAAGAAAAATGTACTTAGCAGTAATAAAATCAATTAAGTACATATTGAATGCCAACTATATATGCATTGTTGTTCCAGGCACTGTGACTAAAGACAAATGTATAATGCATGGTCTCCACAAAACTAACAGTGATCTCTCTGCTTGGGGTGACAATATCAAAAAGCTTGAATTAATTAAAGAATATATAATATAAGTGCGTGCTAAACTGTGAGGGAAAATTGCTTGTATTATAAATTCAAAGGAAATACACCAAAATGAGAGCTAACATTTCTTAAGCACTTACTATGTAGCAGGGACTGTAGATGAATTATCTCATTTAATCATCACAACCCTATGAAATAGGTATTATTAACTCCATTTTAACAATAAGGAAACTGAGAAATAGGTAAAGCAATGTGTTTACACAGCTAGTAAGAAGCAGATCTAGGATTCAAATCCTGGCAATATGACTCCTGAGCCTGCCTACCTAACTATTAAACTATTGCAGGGCAAGGGATTCAACAAGTATTAATAATGTCACCACTGGGGCTGGTCGTGGTGGCTCACACCTATAATCCCAGCACTTTGGGAGGCTGCAGTGGGCAAATCGCCTGACGTCAGGAGTTCGAGACCAGCTTGGTCAACATGGTGAAACCCTGTCTCTACTAAAAATACAAAAATTAGCTGGGCGTGGTGGCATGAGCCTGTAATCCCAGCTACTCAGGAGGCTGAGGCATGAGAATTGCTTAACCCCGGGAGGCAGAGGTTGCAGTGAGCTGAGATTGCGCCACTGTACTCCAGCCTGAGTGACAGAGCAAGACTCCATCTCAAAATAATAAAAATAATAATAATGTCACCATTTATTGAACGCCTGCTATGTGCCAGGCAGGCAGTATACCAGACACTTTCAAACATCCCCCCTTTTTTTTTTTGAGACAGGGTCTCACTCTGTCACCCAGACTGGAGTGCAGTGACGTGATCTCGGCTCACTGCTACCTCTGCTTCCCAGGCTCAAGCGATCAGCGATTTGCCCATCTCAGCCTCCCAAGTAGCTGGGACTACAGGTGTGTGCCACCACACCCAGCTAATTTTTGTATTTTTGGTAGAGCCAGGGTTTCGCCAAGTTGCCCAGGCTGGTCTCAAATTTCTGAGCTCAAGAGATCCACTCGCCTCAGCCTCCCCAAGTGCTGGGATTACAGGTGTGAGCCACTGTGCCCAGCCTCAAACATCCCCTTTTAATAATTTCACTCATTTTATAAATGGGGTTACACACGGCAGGGAAAATAACCTGCTCGAGGTTAATACATGGAAGGGGAGGGATTCAGTCACAGATCTGCTGACCCCGGAGAGTCCATGATCTTTCTGACTTCACTTTGTCTTTCAAAAGCAAAGGAAGGCTGGGCGCCTGTAATCCCAGCACTCTGGGAGGGCAAGGCAGGCAGATCACCTGAGGTCAGGAGTTCAAGACCAGCCTGGCCAACATGGTGAAACCCTGTCTCTACTAAAAATACAAAAATTAGTCGGGCATGTGGTGCACGCCTGTAATCCCAGCTACTGGGGAGGCTGAGGCAGGAGAATTGCTTGAATCTGGGAGGCGGAAGTTGCAATGAGCCTGATCGCCCCACTGCACTCCAGCCTGGGAAACAGAGCAAGACTCCGTCTCAAAAAAAAAAAAAAAAAACAAGCAAAGAAAAACTTAATTGCTATCAGCAGGACTTATGCACAACTGAGAGGATTTGTATAATTTAGATAGCCAATGAGGTAGGGAGAGAAAAGATACTAAAAAAAGGAGGAACCAAAGGGCGGACGCAGTGACTCATGCTTGTAATCCCAGCACTTTGGGAGGCCAAGGCGGGCGGATCACCTGAGGTCAGGAGTTCAAGACTAGCCTGACCAACATGGAGAAACCCTGTGTCTACTAAAAATACAAAATTAGCCGGGCGTGGTGGTACACGCCTGTAATCCCAGCTACTCGGGAGGCTGAGGCTGGAGGATCGCTTGAACCTGGGAGGCAGAGGTTGTGGTGAGCCGAGATCGCACCACTGCATTGCAGCCTGGGCTGTTAACAACAGCGAAACTCTCTTTCTCTAAAAAAAAAAAGGAGGAACCAAATGAGCAAAATATAAACTGAAAGATAGAGTTGAGAAACATAAAGAAAATAGCCTTCCTAGCAAAGAGTAAGGAAGAGTAGAAAATATGGCTAATTTGGGTTAAGATCGCAGGGAGTGAAAGCAAGGTGAAATATTAAGATCTGATTCAGGCCAGGCACGGTGGCTCATGCCTGTAATCCCAGCACTTTCGGAGGCCGAGGCAGGTGGATCATCTGAGGTCAGGAGTTCGAGACCAGCCTGGCTAACATGGTGAAACCCTGTCTCTATAAAAATACAAAAATTAGCTGGGCGTGGTGGCAGGTCCTGTAATCCCAGCAACTCGGGAGGCTGAGGCAGGAGAACTGCTTGAACCCAGGAGGTGGATGTTACAGTGAGCCAAGATTGCGCCATGGCACTCCAGCCTGGGCGACAGAGTGAGACTTGGCTCAAAAAAAAACAAAAAAAAACAAAAACAAAAAAAACCATCTGATTCAATAGACAACAGAGAGCCACTTTAGGCTCTTGAGGAAGTGAGCAGTATAATAAAAACAGGACTTTAGACATAGTGCTGATAGCACCATCAGTATAAACTAGAATGGGGCAAGACCATAATCAGAGACACTATGAATATGCTGTTGAAATACAGATGTTGAGCTGATGAATACTTAAGAGGATAGCAAAGAAACATAAAAAATAAGGGGCAAACATGAAAATAACTTTGAAAGTGGAACCCCAAGGATTTCATAATAATCAATTTTAAATGTTCAACTCTTCTTGCTTTGGGAGACTGAGGTGGGAGGATGGTTTGAGGTCAGGAATTCAAGACCAGCCTGGGCAACACAGCGAGACCCCCGTCTCTAAAAAACTTTTACAACTTGCCAGGCGCAGTGGCATATGCCTGTAGTCCTAGCTATTTGGGAGACTCAAGTAAGAGGATCGCTAAAGCCCAAGAGTTTGAGGTTACAGTGGACTACGATTGCACACTGCATTCCAGCCTGGGTGACAGAGTGAGACCTCCACTCTTCTTATTTTGTTAGTAAACAAGATCACATCAATTAGCAACATAAAGAACAGAAATGCTGTTCTTTTTTTTTTTTTTTTCCTGAGATGGAATCTCGCTCTGTTGCCCAGGCTGGAGTGCAGTGGAGCGATCTTGGTCTTGGTTTACTGCAACCTGCACCTCCCCAGTTCAGGCGATTCTCCTACCTCAGCCTCCCGAGCAGCTAGGACTACAGTCGCCTGCCATCACACCCGGCTTACTTTTTGATTTTTAGTAGAGGCAGGGTTTCGCCATGTTGGCCAGGCTGGTCTCGAATGCCTGACCTCAGGTGATCCGATCGCCTCGGCCTCCCAAAGTGCTGGGATTACAGGCGTGAGACACCTCGCCCAGTCAGAAATGCTGTTCTTTAATCCCTTCAGAGTTAACTTTGAGGCTAATAGGTTTTCAGCTATATCTGCCTCAGCAATACTTGCCCAGACACTTTGTTCCACAGTAAGTCAAATATTTTTCTTCTGTACCCAACACATACTGATAATCACCACTTGTACCAGGCAGTCAACCTTAGCTGTACCTGTAACAACCCACGCAGTGAGCTGCCTTATCTCAGGCTGATGTGCTCAGCAATTCCAACCCCACATCTGTGGCTGAACAGTTTAGAAAAAAGAATAACTATGCTCTCAGACTTTTAATGGGTACAAGTCCTTGCAGGGCTGTATGGGTGTGTGGGTAATATATATGTCTGAGAGCTCATATTCTAAGGGTATATTTGGGTGTGCTGGCCTCTTGGAGAGGTTTGGGGATAGGCACTAGCTTGATAACTGAGTAGATGCAACGTCATCCCATCAATTTCAGATTTCCCATTTCTCACCAAACAATTCCAAAGGAAGAATTTCTTTCTTTTTTCTTTTTTTTTTGAGACTGAGTCTCGCTCTGTCATCCAGGCCAGAGTGCAGTGGCGCAATCTCGGCTCACCGCAACCTCCGCCTCCCGGATTCAAGCAATTCTCCTGCCTCAGCCTCCCAAGTAGCTGGGATTACAGGCGTGCACCATCACGCCTGGCTAATTTTTTTGTATTTTTAGTAAAGACAGGGTTTCACCATATTGGCCAGGCTGGTCTCAAACTCCTGACCTTGTGATCCGCCTGCCTCAGCCTCCCAAAGTGCTGGGATTACAGGCGTGAGTCACCGTGTCCGGCCTGGAAGAATCTCAACTCACACTGCCTAGGGTCATAGGATATGGTATGTACTACACAGTACAAGGGGAAAGAGGCAGGAAGAGTTCCAAAATGGTAGAAATGCCTCATTCATTCAAATCAATTTGATACAATTTATTATGCATCAAGATCCTATATAATGTGATCCCTGGTTACCTCTCTGGCCTCTTTTCCTATTCTGCCTCCCTTTTCTAACGGTACTCCAGCCAAACTAGCCTCCTTGCTCTTCTTTGAACACATCAAAGTCCTTGCTCTTGCCCTCTACCTAGAATGCCTTTCCCAGCTACTCACACAGCTCTTGCTCATTTCATTCACATGTCTACTCACTCAAATGTCAGCTCCTCAGAGATGCCTTCCTTGATCAACTAAAATAATGCACCCACCCTCCCTCTTCCCTGACTCTCTACCCACTTACCCTGCTTTTTCTTCATAGCATTTATTATTACTTGACATTATTTATATGTGTATGTACGTATGTGTGTATACATACTCCCCCCGCACACAGAAACACACATATACACACAATCAGGGGAGGGATTTTATCTCTTGTTCTGCTTCACCCCAGCACACAGCAGGTGCTCCAGGAATATTTGTTGCATAGTGGATCAATGAATCTTTCATATGTTTGGGACTGAGATAAGTACTGGAAATATAAAGATGAATAAGTCATGTCCCTTGACTCAAAGGAGCTAACAATCTGGCAGAGGAGATGAACACACCACGAGAAGAGAAAGCACCACGGCTTCAGGTATTTCCCCCACAGAGTGTCCTCTGGAGAGTGAAAAAACAAGTTATTTGCATACTTGTAAACCTGAAGTGTTAACTGCTATAGCACTGTTATTGATTTATTTATTTTTAATTTATTTATTTAGAGACAAAGTATTGATCTGCCACCCAGGCTGCAGTACAGTGGCATAATCACAGCTCACTGCAGCCTCCAACTCCTGGGCTCAAGAGATTCTCCAGCCTCAGCCTCCTGAGTAGCTAGGACTACAGGCACATGCTACCATGTCTGGCTAATTTTTAACTTTTTTTTTGTAGAGATGGGGTCTCACTATGTTGTCCAGGCTAGTGTCAAACTCCTGGCCTCAAGTAATCCTCCCTCTTTGGCCTCCTAAAGTGCTGGGATTACAGGTGTGAGCCACTGAGCACAGCCCAGAACTGTAATATTAATAAAAAGTAATAAAAAGACAAATTGCTGGTCATAAGAGACCTAGTTTCAAATTCAGATATTGTCATTTGTTAGCAGGGCAACTATTTAACCTTTCTTAGTTTGTTTCCTAATACATAACATGGAAATGATACTGGTGCTTCAGAGTTGTTATAAAATAAGATAATGTATGTAAAGCACTTTTCATACTGCCTGGAACACAGTATGTACTCAAATGTTAGCTATTAATATTACTAACAGTTGACTTAAATGATCCCCTGAGGCCCAATGCCCAATCAATAGCTAAATCTTACCAATTCTATCACCAAGGAAACCTCTCCTATCCTTTCCTTTCTTTTCATTTTCACAGCCCTAACTGGTATCTCTGATTCCAGTCTCTCCCTTTGAATTCAATTCGCACTTTCCTAAATAACTAAATCCAAGCCCCTTAGCTTAGCATTTAACATCCTTCATGTTTGGGCCACAATTTACCTTTCAATCCTTTTTTCCCACTACTTTCTGGAATCCACCACTCTAGCCAAATTAAATTACTCTTCTAGATATACTCTATGCTTCCCCACTATGATGCCTGTTCATTTTATTCCCTCCTGGAATGCTCTTCTCCTCTTTACCTTCGAAGGTCCAAATCTTTCCATCCTCTTTCCAGACATAACTCAAATGCCATAATGCCTTCTCAATTAAAAACAATCTCTCTCTTCCCAGAATACCTGCATGTTATTTATATGTCTTCTATAGCACCAATCCCTTTCAACTTTATATTTTGGTTATGAACTCTGCAGGTTCCCTGTTGAAAGATCCATGCCAGTTCTTATACTTACTACATACTCAAATAAATATATGTTGAAGGCCAGGCATGATGATTCATGCCTGTAATCCTGGCCTATTCGGAGGCCAAGGTGGGTGGATCACTTGAGCACAGGAGTTCAAGACCAGACTGGACAACATGGTGAAACTCCATCTCTACAAAAAATATAAAAATTAGCCGGGCGTGGTGGTGCACACCTGTAGTCCCAGCTACTTGTAGGGCTGAGGCAGGAGGACTGCTTGAGCCAGGGAGGTTGAGGCTGCAGTGAGCTGAGATCATGCCACTGCATACCAGCCTGGGTGACAGAGTGAGACCCTGTCTCAAAATAAAAATTTAAATTTAAATTTAAAACTGTATGTCGGATCTACCTTTGGGAGTATTCTGGTTTTATATATATATAAAATACACACGAAGATGGATAGATGGATACATGTTGAATGAATATTTCGCAAATAGATATTAAAATTAGATTTAGCTTCAACAAGAAAATTTCAGCCTTGAACTAGAATTTTCTGATCTAACCTGTATTACAGCTCCTTCACAAAAGGAAACTGGAACAAACAGTACTATACTTTCTAACCAGTGGTCATATTAATTTTTTTTACTTCTGGATTTTAACAGGCCACATATTCTTCCTTTCACTTCCAGAGTCTCAATCCCTTTTGATCAGAAACTTTCTACTTCTCAAATTCTACAATATACATTTAGATTTAAAAGCAAAGTGAGCCTGGGCAACATAGTGAGACCCCATCCCTACAAAAAATTTAAAAATTAGCCTGGCACGGTAGATGCATCCTTGTAGTCCTTGCTACTCAGCAAGCTGATCAGGAATTCAAGGTTATAGTGAGCTAGGATTGTACCACTTCACTCAGATCACTGCATTCTGCCTGGGTGACAGAAGTAGACTCTGTCTCGAAAAAATAAATTAAAAATATTTTAAATCAAAAAAATTAGGCTAGGCACAGTGGCTCACGCCTGTAATCCCAGCACTTTGGGAGGCTAAAGTGGGAGAAGTGCTTGTGCCCAGGGGTTTGAGACCAGCCTGGCCAACATAGCAAGACTTCATCTCTACAAAAAAGAAAAATTTTTAAAAGTTTAAAAACGAAAGCAAAGTGACACTCTTTAAAATATAGAATATAATTGTAATTCAGGACTAACTAGTTCTACCTATTAACAGAGTACGCCAAGCTCACAAAACAATAATAAACAACAAGGATGATGACCACCATTCTTTCCAAGTAAAGCTGCTGCTGATCTCCTGTTTATAAGGCTCCAAGATGATTTTCAAGCACAAGAAACACCCTGTATTTGACTCATTCAGCTACAGTTTCACTCAGACCCTAATGGGGAGGAGGGAGTTTTAAGACAAGCAATAGCATTCTGAATTCCACCAACAACTCTACCATGCCTTACTTGCTATGTGGTTGTGGCTAAGTGTCTTAGCTTCCCTGTGTACCAGATTTGTTCAAGAGCAGCTAAGTAGGGAAGGAAAACAAAAGCCTCATCTGCCTGAAATCCAAAAATACACCCCAATTATTTGTTACAAAAGACAAAATAATGTAAATTGAAATGCTGTTGGTGAATTCTCTTTATTAAAATGAAGTCATCCCACCTTTCAAATACCAGTCATTGTGTCTGATTTCCGAATTCATTACAGGAAGAACTGTGTATGAAGTCACCCAAACACATGCACTCTCCACTTCCCTTAATTGAAAGTTGCTGATTTCCGAGGAGCCAGGGGCTGAGCAGAATGTAAACCTAAAGGCTAAATCAGTAAACAACCCCATCCAAACTGGTCTAAGAGGAAAGCGAGGTGGGTGGGGAGGAAGGTGGGTGACAGGAGAAACTCGGCTGACCACTGCGCCAAGTCAACGCACTCACAGCTCTCGAGGTGACACACACTCCCCTTCCCACCCTCGGGCTGTCAAGTCGGCTGTTTTGGTCCCAGCACCGTGGGGGCAGAACTCCAGAGAAGCAGCTCAAGCTTCAGCTGGGGCCGGGGACCCTCGGGCAACCCGGGCCTGACAGATTGGGGGATGGCAGCCCACCGCCCCCAGGGTGGACAGCCCGAGACAGCCCCAGGTGTGGCCTCGGCCGTAGCCCCAGCCGGGCCCTGCGTCCCGGCAGCCTCACCCAGGCCTGTCCCCGGGACAGCTCCCGCCCCCCAGCTCGGTACCCCGGCTCACTGGCTTGGCTGATCCGCTGGATGTTGCCGCTGCACGTCTGGATGATGCTGCTGAAGTCCCGGAGCTGGGGCCCCGAGGGCCCCGGGTTCCGGTACATGTCTAAGGGACCGTATGACATGACGAGGAGCTGAGACCTGCTCGCTCTACACCGCTCTCCTACCGGAAGCAGCCGCCAGCCGGGACCCGCAGGCTGACGGAGAAACTGGGAAGAGCAAGGGCGGGGAAGGAGCTAAGGCTGCGTGCGCACTAGCCCCGCCCTCACGCGGCGCGCACGCGTCCTCCCCGCCCCGGTCCAAAGTGCGCAGGCGCCGCTGGGACTGGAGCTGGGACTGGAGCTGGGACTGTAGCTTAGAGACAGGACTCCCCGAGGCTTGGGGATGCAGGGCGGGGAGATGACGTCACCTAGTTGGGGCTGAGATTGGATGAGCTTGGGTGGAGGTGTTGTTTCTCGCCAGGGCACAGTGACAAGAGGCAAGAATTTTCGATTTGCATAAAACTGTACCAGATGATCTCAGCCCTTACATCCTATTCTGTTCTGAGAATTCAGGCCCAAATATGGGAGAATTCAACGTTGAAACTCAGACCCGGAACCAAATCGTAACCCGAAATTCCTCTCTACTTCCATCCCCAGGGCTTTGGTAGTGTTTGGGGTTTCCAAACCACTTTCATTTCTCCCTCCACCCCTCTTCTAATCTAAACAATAAAATAATGTTTATTGAGCACATACTATGTGAATCCTCACCGCAATTCACTTGTTCATAAGATTTTTCACAGCAGGGGACGATGCTCTATCTATATTTTTATCATTAGAATAGATAACGGAGAGTCGGTTTTTTAAATGTTGAAGTAAAGTAATTCATCAAAGTAAGCATTATTATTTTCCCTCTTACCGATGAGAAAATTAAGACCAGCGAGGTTAGTTCGCCTTGCTGAAATTTGACTGCAAAACCCAAACGCTAAGCTGACTCTCTCCTCACCTCGCTACTTCTCTAAAATTCATTCTCGTCTAAATCTCTCCCAAATAGCTCGTTCATCTATATCCCAAGCCGGGATATCTTGGAGAACTAGATTCCTAAAATTTAAAAATCGTTCCCTTAAGTAATTTGGAATGCATGACCTCAATGTTCCCACAGAAAACTGCATTTTTGTAAGCCTATGTTAAAAGGAAAGACATAGGATTTTGGTTTGGGAGGAGATCAAGATAGTGAGAAGTGAAGGGGAACTGGCTGCGTTTCCTGTGTTCTACACCCCACCCCACCCCACCCCAGCCTGCTTTGTAGTCTTTGGAAAATGCAAAGACAGAAAGCTGCTTGCCTGGATGAAAGGAGACCCAAAGTGAATGAGCCTGTATATGGCCTTAGGATTTTTTCTTTATTTTATTTTTTTTGAGACAGGGTCCCGCTCTGTCACGCAGGTTGGAGTGCAGTGGCGCGATCTCTGCTCACTGCATCCTCCTTCTCCTGGGCTCAGGAGGTCCTACCACCTAACCTCTGAGTAGCTAGGATTACAGGCGTGCGCCACCACGCCCAGCTAATTTTTATATTTTTTGTAGTGTTGGGGTTTGGCCATGTTGTCCAGGCTGGTCTCAAACTCCTGGGCTCAAGCAATCCACCCACCAGCCTTAGGATTTTTTAAGGGTGACTATCTCTATTTTTCGTTGGAGAATTTATGAGAGCATTTTTTTTCCCTGTCTCTAGAAAGAGACGGATGACATTTGGGGACTCTTATTTTGGTTATTTTATTTTATTTTATTTTTGAGACAGAATCTTGCTCTGTTGCCCAGGCTGGAGTGCAATGGCGCAATCTCGGCTCAATGCAACCTCCGCCTCCTGGGTTCAAGCGATTCTCCTGCCTCAGCCTCCCGAGTAGCTGGGATTACAGGCGTGTACCACCACGCCCGGGTACTTTTTGTATTTTTAGTAGAGATGGGGTTTGACCATGTTGGCCAGGCTGGTCTCGAACTCCTGACCTCAGGTGATCCACCCGCCTCGGCTTCCCAAAGTGTTGGGATTACAGGCGTGAGCCACCGCACCCAGCCTGTTTTGGTTATTATTATAAAACCTTACCGTTTCTTAGAATCTGTAGTTTTATGTCAAATCTTAAGCAAGTCATGTAAATTGCACTTTTTTACCTATATAATAGTACTGATGATTTTTTTCATTTACATTTGACACTATTTAAAGTGAAGTTCAGTAAAGATATTTTTCTTTTAGGAATTAAAAATATTGTTTTCTTTCTCCATGTAAAATAAAAGTGGTTTTTAGGCTGGGCGCGGTGGCTCACAACTGGAATTCCAGCACTTTGGGAGGCTGAGGCAGGCTGATCATTGCTTGAGCTCAGGAGTTCGAGACCAGCCTGGGCAAAATGGCAAAACCCTATCTCTACCAAAAATACAAAAATTAGCTGGGCATAGTGGCCTGAGCCTGTAGTCCCAGCTACTCGGGAGGCTGAGGCAGGAGTGTAGCTTAAGCCAGGGAGGCAGAGGTTGCAGTGAGCATCTCTCATAGCAGTAAATCTGTGCCTTGCAAATACTGGATGTCAAACAAACATTTATTGAATTAACACATGAATAATAAAAATAATAATTTTATCATTGCTTAAATGCCTGTTAGGTGCCAGGCAGTATGAACACATTTTGTGTACGTTATCAGTAATCTCCAAGATAAAGCCCATCTGATAAAGACCACCTGTAGTCAGACAAAGTTAAGTTTATTAACTTGCTGCTGCAAGGGAAACTGCACACCAAAAGAATCATGGAGCATGTCACAAAACACAGGAAGACAGTGAGTTATTCCAGGATTTGGGGGAAAGAAATGTAGATAAATTTTTAAAGAAGCAGTGTTTTGATAGCCCCCAAACACACCAGGCTATGTGTAAAGGGATTATCATCAGGCCCCAGCTAACAAGATCCTGTTTCCTTGGAAACCATGATGCCAAGATAAATGTGGAATGTTGTGTCTGGAAACCCCTTATCTGAAGCTCTGCACCTGCGTTAGAAATTGAGGCTGCTCTTCTGCATCAAAGTAACTGATCCTCCAGGTAAGAGTGATATATTCCATTCTTACTGATAATTTGAGCAACAAATTTTCTAAAAATCTATGGCTTTAGAGAAAATGTCTCTCAGCTCTACATACTTTTGTTAATTAACGAAAGTAGTCTTCATGGGTTTGCACCCATCAAGGCGATATTAGCTCCTTGGTACGGATAAAGAAACTAGAGATTCTGGGTACTTGCCTAATGTCATACAGCTGTTAAGTGACAGAGCCAGGATTCCCATGCACCTTCTGACCCAGCAATTCTACTCCTAACTATATACCCAACTATGCGTGTTCCAAAAATCAGGTATAGTTCATAGGAGCATTTTTAGGACCAAGCAGCATTTTTCTATACTTATTTACTTTTTGTTTTTTTTTTTCGGAGACAGGCTGGAGTGCAGTGGCGTGATCTCGACTCACTGCAGCCTCAATCTCCCTGGCTCAAGCCATCTTCCTACCTCAGGCCTCCAAGTAGCTGGGACTACAGGCACGCACCACCACACCTGGCTAATTTTTGTATTTTTTTGTTGAGATGTGGTCTTGCCATGTTGCCCAGGCTGGTCTCAAACTCCTGGGCTCAAGCAATTCACCCACCTCGGCCTCCCAAAGTGCTGGGATTACAGGAGTGAGCTATGACACCCAGCCCTTACATTTAATTTTTATTGAGTTATAATTGATATACAATCGAATGCACAGATAGTAAGTGTTCAGCTCAATGGATTTTGACACTTGTACACATCCATGTAACTGCCACACCCAAATCAAGAGATAAAACATTTTTATCATCACCCCAGAAAGTTTCCTTGACTTATGCTCCTTTTTAATCCATTTCCCTCATCACTGGAAGTTACTTACTGATTTTTTTTTTTTTTTGAGATGGAGTCTCACTCTGTCGCCCAGGCTGGAGTGCAGTGGCACGATCTTGGCTCACTGCAACCTCCACCTCGTGATTCAAGCAATTCTCCTGCCTCATCCTCCCAAGTAGCTGTGAATATGGGCATGCGCCACCATGTCCAGCTAATTTGTTTTGTATTTTTAGTGGAGACAGGGTTTCACCATGTTAGTCAGGCTGGTCTCGAATGATCCACCCGCCTCGGCCTCTCAAATGATCCGCCTGGCTCAGCCTCTCAAAGTGCTGGGATTACAGGCATGAGCCACACTGCACCTGGACTTTACTTTCTGATTTTTGTCACTACAGATTAGCTTTGTCTGCTCTTGGACTTCATACTTTATATATTCTTTAGTGTTTGGCTTTTTTCAATTAACACAATGTTTTTGAGATTTATCCATGATGTCACATATATCAGTAGTTTGGTCTTTTTTTATTACTCATTAGTATTTCCTCATATAAATATACTTACAGTTTGATTATCCATTCTCTTATTGATGGATGTTTGCATTGTTTCCAATTTGGTGTTATTATGAAGTTCATAGCAGTATTTATTTTTACTAGTTCCAAACTGTAAACAACTCGAATATCCATCAACAGAGGTTTGTATAAACAGATATTATAAAGCACAAAAATAAATGGCCTACTGCTGTGTGAACAACATAGGTGACCTCTTCCCAACAATGCATAGCTAAAGAAGCCAGACACAAATTAGCTAGGCACAGTGGTGCACACCTGTAGTCCTAGCTACCTGAGAGATCAAGGTGAGAGGATCCTTGAGGCCAGGAGGTCAAGGCTGCAGTGAGCTATGATTGCACCACTGCACTCCAGCCTGGGCGACACAGCGAGACCCTGTCTCTTAAAAAAAAAAAAAAAAAAAAAAAAAAAAAGGAGAAGAGGAAGCTAGACATAAAATGAGTACAATCTGTATCATTTCATCTTTATTAAGTTCAAAACTGGCCAAATTAAATCTATGTTATTAAAAGTCAGAATAGGGCCAAGTGCAGTGGCTCATGTCTGCAATCCCAGCACTTTGGGAGGCCAAAAGGATGGATCACTTGAGCTCAGGAGATCAAGACTACCCTGGACAACATGGTGAAACCCTGTCTCTACAAAAAATACAAAAATTAGCTGGGCATGGTGGCACAGGCCTGTAATCCCAGCTACTCGGGAGGCTGAGGTGGGAGGATGGCTTGCACCCGGGAGGCAGAGGTTGCAATAAGCCAAGATCATGAAGTATCACTATTACTATCAGTATGGTGAGCTTCCTGGGGACTGGTAGGGAGGAGTTAATGGGGAAATTCACTTAGGTTGCAAATAATACTGTATTAAAATTAGCACTCATCATATATTGCTGGTGGGGATGCAAAATGGTACAGTCACTTTGGAAAATAGTTTTACAGTCTCGTATACAGTTAAGAATAAATTTACCATACAACCCAGCAATTCAGCAGCTCCACTGCTATATATTTACCCAAGAATAATAAAAACACATTTCTATTAAAAGACCTGTATGCAAATGTTTACGGCAGCTTTATTCGTAATAACCAAAAACTGGAAGCAGCTCAAGTGTCCATCAACTGCTGAAGAGATAAACTGTGGTACATCCATACAGTGGAAAACTATTCAGCTATAAAAAGAAACTACTGAGACATGGAATAAATTACTGAGACATGCAAAAACACGGATGAATCTCAAACACATACGCTAAGTGAAAAAAGTCAGACGTAAAAGGCCATATCCTATATGATTTTATTTATATGACATTCTCTTTTTTTTTTGAGATGGAGTTTCACTCTTGTCGCCCAGGCTGGAGTGCAATGGCATAATCTCGGCTCACGGCAACCTCTGCCTCCCAAGCTCAAGCGATTCTCCTGCCTCAGCCTCCCGAGTAGCTGGGATTACAGGCATGTGCCACCATGCCTGGCTCATTTTGTATTTTTAGTAGAGATGGGGTTTCGCCATGTTGGTCAGGCTGGTCTTCAACTCCTGGCCTCACGTGATCCGCCCACCTTGGCCTCCCAAAGTGCTGGGATTATAGGCGTGAGCCACCGCACCTGGCTACATGACATTCTTGAAAAGGCAAAGCTATAGGAATATAAATCAGATTAGTGGTTGCATAAAGGCTGGTGTGGAGGGAAGGGCACCAAAGGACTCAAGGGAACTTTTGGGGTTGATGAATATGTTCCATGTCTTGATTATGGTGGTGATTACACAGCTGCATATACTTGTCAAAACTCATTGTGCACTGAGGGTTATTTTTGTGTATGCCAATTTTATACACACACACAGAGACACACATACTTAAATGACACTCTAGAAATCAACGCAATAAAGTGGCATATATGAGGTGGGTAATGTGGAGTTGAAAAAGAGGTATAAAAGTTGTGGGTTGCAATAATGGTCTGACGGCCTAGAAGTGACATAGGACTAAAGTGACTTCGGAAGCAAAAAAACAAGTAAACATACATGTTCATTCTAATTTATGCCTCTATCACCTTCCTTCTTAGGAAACATAAAATGTTGATTCTGTAGAAGTCATAGATGATAATAGCTTACAAAATTGAGTGCATACTATGTACCAAGCACTGTTCTAAAGACTTCTACATGTAGCTGGGCATAGTGGCTTGAGCCTGTAGTCCCAGCTTCTCGAGAAGCTGAGGTAGGAAGATTGCTTGAGTCTAAGAGTTCGAGGCTGCAGTGAACTGTGATCACGCCACTGCTCTCTAGTTTGAGCAACAGGGTGAGATCTGAGTCTTTTTTTTTTTTTTTTTTTGAGACAGAGTCTCCCTCTGTCACCAGGCTGGAGTGCAGTGGTGCGATCTGGGCTCACTGCAACCTCCGACTCTCTGGTTCAAGCGATTCTCCTGCCTCAGGTTCCTGAGTAGCTGGGATCACAGGCACATGCCACCACGTCCAGCTAATTTTTGTATTTTTAGTAGAGATGGGGTTTCACCATGTTGGCCAGGATGGTCTCAATCTCCTGACCTCGTGATCCGCCTGCCTCAGCCTCCTAAAGTGCTGGGATTACAGGCGTGAAACGCCGTGCCTGGCTGAGATCTGATTCTGAAAAAAAAAAAAAAAAAAAAGACTTCTATATGTGTTATTTAATCCTCACAACAACTCTAAGGTAAGTAGAGACAGGAAGTCTCTACTTCAGGCAGCCTGACATCATAGCACCACACAGTCTCACTTTTCAAATAGGGTTGATAATTTGCTGGAAGTACAGCCTGGCAAGCCCTGGTAGTTGGAGAAGTCATGGATTCCAGTAATAGCTAAGAAGTATGAACTACTTTCCCCCAAAAGGTAATTTTTATTGCTATCTTCAAAATCCAGAGGTTCACACAGTCGTTACTTGATCCTATTGGCCAAAAGTCAATGTGGTAGCTAGCCTCCAAGGTGGACCCTCAATATCATCTTCTGGTATTAATGCACCTGGACAGTCTCTTCCCACATTGAAGTGTCAGTAACTTGACCCCTGTAACCAATAGGATATTGCAGAAATGATGGAGTGTGATGTCTGAAGGTAGGACATAAAGGACATTACAGCTTGCTCTCTCCGATCTGGTTTAGTTCCAAAACCCATTCCCTCTGTGGCAGGTTGTATTTTATAAGATGGTCAGCACAATAGCCTCCACCTCATATGCTCTTCTACTTTGTTGTCCTCTGTCCAGTGAAACGGCTGTATATGCAAAGTGAACTCCAAATGCCGAAGGAGCTGAGGAGCCAAAGGAGGAGGCAGACAAATCCAATTTGTCAGTATTGGTTGATTGACTGAGGGAACTTACACACAGAAGCATAGTCTTGGGCAGCCACAAGACAGGTAGATTTCTGTGCTGTTACTCCCCAGACCCAAAGCTTATATACCATAGTGAATAGGTATACATGTTCTAGGAAGCCAGTTAATTAAAGGCAATCCTCCAGGACAGGCAAAAGTGCCATGTGCATCATAGACTATAATTTGTGCAATTAACATCAAGGCTGACATGTTCTTACACCAGGGACAGTAAATAAAATAGCAACCAGCTAATTTTTGTATTTTTAGTAGAGATGGGGTTTCGCCGTGTTGGCCAGGCTGGTCTTGAACTCCTGACCTCGTGATCTGCCCACCTCGGCCTCCCAAAGTACTGGGATTACAGGCATGAGCCACCGCTCCTGGCCTGTTTATACTATTTTCTTACCCTACAGTGGTTTTAAAGGCTGAGTAAATGAGTCAATTAAGATAATTCACACAATAATTGTAGTCATAAATATAGCCTACAAAATAGGCGGGGCACGGTGGCTCACGCCTGTAATCCCAGTACTTTGGGAGGCCGAGGTAGGTGGATTGCTTGAGGCCAGGAGTTCGAGACCAGCCTGGCCAACATGGTGAAACCCTGTCTCTACTAAAAATAGAAAAATTAGCCAGCTGTGGTGGCGGGTGCCTGTAGTCCCAGCTACTCGAGAAGCTAAGGCAGGAGAATCACTTGAATCTGGGAGGCGGAAGTTGCAGTGAGCTGAGATTGCACCACTGCCCTCCAGCCTGGGTGACAGAGCGAGACTCCATCTCAAAAAACCAAAAAAACAAAAAACAAAAAAACAAAAACAGGCCTGGCACAGTGGCTCATGGCTGAAATCCTAGCACTTTGGGAGGCCAAGGCAGGTGGATCACCTGAGGTCAGAAGTTCAAGACCAGCCTGGCCAACATGGCATAACCCTGTCTCTACTAAAAATACAAAAATTAGCTGAGCATGGCGGCGCATGCCTATAATCCCAGCTACTCAGGAGGGTGAGGCACGATAATCCCTTGAACCCAGCAGGCAGAGGTTGCAGTGAGCCGAGATCGCACCACTGCACTTGAGCCTGGGTGACAGAGTGAGAGTCTGTCTCAAAAAAAAAAAAAAAAAAAACAAAGAAAAAAAACAAAACAAAAACAACCATAGCCTACAAAATAAAAGTATCTTCAACTTATTCTGAGAAAATTAGCTTTGAGTTTATAGAATGACCAGGATGTAACAGTGAGTGTCTGAAAGGCACTTCTCATTTTAAAACCTGCTGGCTCTAGGGTTTCAAAGGGATGCATTCCTCCCCTTCTGAGATGACATTTCAAAAAGCTTTCACTCATACTTCATGCAGATTCATTCTGTATTATATTTTGA
This sequence comes from Homo sapiens, assembly GCF_000001405.40. Taxonomy (NCBI): domain Eukaryota; kingdom Metazoa; phylum Chordata; class Mammalia; order Primates; family Hominidae; genus Homo; species Homo sapiens. Next base: position 27,764,363 of record NC_000001.11, on the reverse strand, counting down.
ATAATAATAATAAAAATCAAGGAACATTTGGCTGAGTGAGGTGGCTCACACTTGGGTAATCCCAGCTCTTTGGGAGGCCAAGGCGAGAGGATCACTTGAGTCCAGGAGTTCAAGACCAGTCTGGGCAACATACTGAAACCTCATCTCTACAAAAAATAAACAAAATTAGCCAGGAATGGTGGTACATGCCTGTAGTCCAAACTACTTGGAAGGCTGAGGTGGAAGGATCAATTGAGCCTGGGAGGTCAAAGGGGCAGTGAGCTGAGATCGCACCACTGTACTCTGGCCTAAGTGACAGAGACTGTCTCAAAAAATTTTTTTTGGCCAGGCACAGTGGCTCACACCTGTAATCCCAGCACTTTGGGAGGCTGAGGCGGGCGTATTACCTGAGGTCAGGAGTTCGACACCAGCCTGGCCACCATGGTGAAATCCCGTCTCTACTAAAAATACAAAAAAATTAGCTGAATGTGTTGGTGCGCCACCTGTAGTTCCAGCTACTTGGGAGGCTGAGGCTGGAGAATCACTTGATCCCAGAAGGCAGAGGTTGCAGTGAGCCGAGATCATGCCACTGCACTCCAGCCTGGGTGACAGAGCATGACTCCATTAAAAAAAAAAAAAGTTTTTTTTAAATCAAGGAACAATGGTGGTGTGGTGGTGTCCAATATTCCACTAAATGGAAGCCCCATAAGTACAATAACTTGGTTTTGTCACTGCTGTAACCGCGCTGCCTAGCACAGTGCCTATCACAACATGAGCACTTACACTGGGTAAACAGAATCACCAAGAGGCTGGGTGTGGTAGCTCATGCCTGTAATCCTAGCACTTTGGGAGGCTGATGAGGTGGGTGGATGGCTTGAGTCCAGGAGTTGGAGACCAGCCTGGATGGCAAAACCCTATCTTCACAAAAAATACAAAAATTAGCTGGGTATGGTGGCGTGCATCTGTAGTCCCAGCTACTTGGGAGGCTGAGGTGGGAGAATCCCCAGGAAGTCGGGGCTGCAGTGATCTACTTGCCACTGTACTCCAGCCTGGATGACTGAGTGAGACTCTGTCTCAAAACAGTCATAGAAGAGAGAAAGAAAGAGTTTATTCTCTAATGGACAGGAAATTCCCAATTAGCAGTTAGGCTTTTAATTTTTTAAGTCTATAAGCAAGACAAACTTTTCTAGGCTGAAGGGCTGAAGGGGATAACGGGGTATGTCTACTGGTAAACAGCAAGAAATAAAAACAAAATCCAACAATTACACTTGAGTCAATATGAATTTTTATTAACACACATTTGTCAAAGTCTGTACAAACCAAAACATTCCTGTGTTTTAAAATGTCCATTATTACAAACATACAAAGAAACAAAAGGTGTTACCAAAAGTTAGCTACTCAATTTCATGGTAAAACAGTGTCATGATTTTTAAAAATCAAAATTTCAAGACTGAGGTTTCTTCTTTCCCTTTTTGGAACTTATGGAAAGTTAGAAAACGTGTGAATTTGCTTTATATTAAATGCCAAGACCTTAAAAAAAGATTTAGTATAAAACTAAGTATGTTTTTATATTGTCATACATCATGTAACAGAATTTCAGTCCTTAAAATTAAAAAAAAACACCATGACTGTCATTTCCCCCTAATTTTTCTCCCATAGTCAATGCAAATGCATCTGAAAAATATTATGACAGTTTATCTTTACCTAAAAGCTTCTCATTCAAAAACTTTACAAAACTATTTAGCACTGCCATTTCCCTTGCTTAGAAGGGAAAATTATATCCCCTAGTAGGGTGATATATAAGCGACATGGTCCACTGTATCCCTTATCAGAAGGAAACCACCATTTCCACATCTCTGTCCAATTATGTGTAGGACTCCATTTATGAGAATGCTATCACAAATTATAGAGCATCTGCTTCCAGGAAACGCCTAGAAGTTAAATTTAGTACTATAATTTTTTGGTAGACTGAGGTACAAATGTTATCTGCCCTCATTATTATTTCTAACTCTAGTACCCCCTGCATAAATGATTCTAGGGTAGTTGGTTTTGTTGTTTCATGGCACACATGACACACCCTAATTCCTTTCACAAACATCACATAGAGGACCTGAGAGTATGCCTAGAAATGTAAATCTATCCCCTTTCCTGGAAAAGTAAATCCATATTCCTACAGGGTTAAGAAGGGAAGATAGGCAGGGCATACATAACTCTGGTTGAGGCAAAGTGCTTCTGAGAAGCACCTGTTTTCAATACATATCCATGAAAAGCAGGGAGTGTATGGGCTCGGGTGGGTGAGGAGTGGGGAGAAGGTATAGTGATACCACTTTTCCCAGACTCAAGAGTCCTTACTAGAGCAGCTCATGCTGACCCCAAAAATGCTCTGTAGTTCAAATATTATTCCTTTTTTTTTTTTTTTTGAGACGGAGTCTCACTCCATTGCCCAGGCTGCAGTGCAGTGTTGCGATTTCAGCTCATTGCAACCTCTGCCTCCCGGGATTCGAGCAGTTCTCCTGCCTCAGCCTCCTGGGTAGCTGGGATTACAGGTGCATGCCACCAGGCCCGGCTAATTTTTGTATTTTTTTAGTACAGATGGGGTTTTACCATGTTGGCCAGGATGGTCTCAAACTCCTAACCTCAAATGATCCACCCGCCTTGGCCTCCCAAATTGCTGGTATTACAGGCGTGAGCCACCGCACCCGACCATATTATTCCATTTTTAATCTGTTCATTCATGTAAAAAAACATTCTCTGACAGCAGCCCAGTATGACAACTGATATAAGCAAATAAAGGATTTTATTTTTTAAAGAAGTGGCAGTGTGAGAATTTAAAATCAATCACATAAAACAATCAGGAAAGGGGTGGGGAGAGAAGTGTCCAGTACAACCTGGACAACCTTGCTTTCTGCCCTTACTTAAAAAGACAGACGGTTCAAATCTTTGCTACCTCCCTTAAGTATCTCCATAAATGCTCTTCCAAGAAATCCTCCAAAAGGCACTTAGCTCCATACTTATGCATTGAATTGTTTCACCTTAGCAATCAGTTTTTAAGACTCCAAGGTAACAAGAAAGAAAAGATCTGATTCTTTTACTAAAAGCTAGTGAATAGGACTGTTTTTTTTTCAAGAGGCATCACTTTTACAAGAACTAGCTAGACCACCATTATTCCTTTATCAAGAAAAAGTTTCTTTTTTAAAAAATAAATAAAACTCTGGCTATACATAGTACAAAGTTCATACATAATACATCTGGAAAAAAACCGAAGAGTATACCCTGAAGCAAAAGGTTTATTGGAGAGAGAAAGCCTCTTCCATTATACCAAGTCTGAAGATGGCAGTTTTCAAAGTTCAGAGGGTGGCAGTGATATATAATTAATGCCAAACTGTTTGCTCATGGGTATGGCAGGATGCAATGAAGGACCAAAAAAAAAAAAAAAAACAAAAAACAAATCATTCTGCACATTACACTGAGCAGTGACCACCACAAAAAAAAAAAAAAAAAAAAAAAGAAAAAAGAAAAAAAAAGAATAGAACCAAAATAGAGAGAAGAGGAAGAAGAAAAAGAAAAGTCCTAATAGTGAGAGAAAGAGAGCGAGCTTGAAATCCCAAACACTCAAGCATGCAGTCTAACACAGCACAAACCAGGTGTTTCCATTCAGCCCACTGCAATCGCACAAAGAAGGATAACTGTAATAAAATAGAGATTTCTTAAGAAAGCTTGCAATTCCCACAGAACAGCCAGGTCTCCAACCCTAACCCTGGACAACTCCATTTGCTGTTGCTAGGGAGCCTCCTTGAGGTCTGTCATGGAGAGGTTATAGCTCCTGACTTCTCTGACTTCTTGCTCTTGGACAAAGCAGCTGCCTGCTTCAGGAGCTCTCGGTTTTTGGCCTAAAGAAAAAAAAAATCAGTGCAAGAAGGATGTTTCAAACAGGATATAAGCTATTTTTCATGCAGAGTAAGTGCAGATGCTAAGGCAGACAATGTGGAGGGTCAGAAAGAGATGAACAATTCTAGAGGTGGAAAACAACAGGAAGCTCTAGGGCTTGAAACTTGGTTCAGGAGAAAAAAGTATTTGCCAGAGGTTAATCAGTGTACCTCAATCTCTTGGGACCCACTGTTACAAAGGGATGCTTTATGCAATACAAACTGTGAAGTGACTTCATGAGCTGGATAAACAGAATCTATAATTCAGACATCTGGAATCACATCTGGTTTATTCAAAAATCAAAGAACATACTTAATAATTCTACTGTTTTTGAGGGGAAAAGATCAGAACACATCCAAGAGTGAAACAATACAAAGTATCTACAGGCTGGGCATGGTGGCTCACGCCTGTAATCCTAGCACTTTGTGAGGTTGAGGTGGGAGGATTGCTTGAAGCCAGGAGTTCAAGACTAGCCCAGGCAATATAGCGAGAGCCCATCTCTACAAAAAAATTAAAAAATAAATTAGTGGGGTATGGTGGTATATGGCTGTGGTCTTCGCTACTTGGAAGGGTGAGGTGGGAGGATCACCTGAGCCTGGGAGGTTGAGGCTGCAGTAAGCCATGATCGTGCCACTGCCCTCCAGCCTAGGCGACAGAGAACCTGTCTCAAAAAAAAAACAAAAAAAAAAAACCTAAAAGGGGGATTAACATGATTTGTTAATACTTTGAGAAAAAAAAGAAATCTAAGAGATGATCACTTAAAATACAATCAGCTAGGTATACCAGGTAGGTACACAATTTTAGCACATAAAATAAGCAGAGTCAGTCACCTGCAGTTGTTCTGTGACTTCTTTGTGGGTTTTCTCCATCTGGTTCATTTTGGCTCTCATCTGCGATTCCTGGTACTGAAAATCAGCCTTCAACTCTGTAATCTGAGGGAAACAAGGCAGAATAACCAGAAGAAATTTCTGTGCAATAAAAAAAAATTGCTTTCAGAGAGCTAAATGGTCACCCAAATTAATGAAATCCAGGGCTCTCCTGCAGATCCGTATCTAAATCAAAACCAGGGAATTCCACACCCTCTTTTTCTCTAAAGCTTTCCTGAAAATTACACAAAGTCCTGAACTAACATTTCTGAATATTTGAGAATAATAGTTGCTACCAATTACTGAACTTTTACTATGTTGCAGAAAAACTGATTATATGATTATATTACTTCAGTAGATCTTTATGATAACATTGTGAGAGTAGTAGTCCCATTTTATAGAGGAGAAAACTGATCTTTAGAAAGGGTTAAGGAATGTGGCCAAGATCATATACAGAGTTAGCAAGGGGCAGAGCTAGATTTCAAACCCCAGACCCCCTTCTGTTGACTGCTCTTCAAGGAAATTCTAAATCAGAGGTGATGTGTGAGCTGAGCTTTGAGATGTATTAACAATAGGCACATAAGGTGAGCAGGAGGGCAACCAAGCAGAGAACAGTATAGGCACAGGCAGATAAATGTGAGATAACAGAGATTATTTGAATGGCTGATGAGGTTGGAGAGATGGGCAGGCATTATGCTAAAGAGCCTGTATTCCAAGCTTCCTGAAAGCTTTGGGAAACAATCTGCTTTTGCTCCTTTAAAAACCCTAACTCTGGGCCAGGAGTGGTGGCTCATGCCTGTAATCCCAGCACTTTGGGAGGCCAAAAGGGCGGAATACTTGAGCTCAGGAGTTTGAGACCAACATGGGCAACATGGTGAAACCCCATGTCTACAAAAAAAAAAAAAAAAAAAACGAAAATTAAAATAGCTGGGTGTGGTGGTGTGCGCCTGCAGTCCCAGCTATTTAGAGGACGGAGGTGGGAGGATCGCTTGAGCCAGGGAGGTTGAGTTTACAGTGAGCTGAGACTGCACCACTGCCCAACAGCCTGGGCAACAGAGCAAGACCCTGTCTCAAAAAAATAAAAATAATAAATAAATAAAAACTATCTCTGCAAAGCAGTAGAAACAAGTGTTCATCTTGTCCCTGTTTTACAAAAATCCTTTTATGTGCCATTCTGATCTAGTCCATGGAGAGAATATACTTGGGCCATTTTCACTTGACAGTCATGTAGTTATGTGGATAGAACACAGATCTCTTCCCATGAATTTCCACCTTCCTAGCAGGAGAAAGCATAGCACAGTAGAAAGAACAGTAGAGTCAGAAAGACTTCCAGTCCCTTGTTCCGCCATTTACTAGCTGTGTGGTTTGGACATATTAACCTCTTCGGGTCTGTTTCCTCATCTGTAAAATGAGGTAGAAATTAGATGAATGCAAGTAAGGAATTTACATCAATGTCTTAGCTATTCAGAATGAATCACAGCATTCTGAACTTGGCAGAAAACAACATAAAGAGCCAGGGGAGATCAGAAACCCCTAAGAAGAAAAATACTGGAGGCATTCTTCATCTATGAAATGATTGTAACAATTCCCACCTCAAAGGCTTTTTTTTTTTTTTGAGATGGAGTCTTGCTCTGTAGCCCAGGCTGGAGTGCAGTGGCACGATCTTGGCTCACAGCAAGCTCCGCCTCACCGGTTCACGCCATTCTCCTGCCTCAGCCTCCCGAGTAGCTGGGACTACAGGCGCCCACCACCACGCCCAGCTAATTTTTTTGTATTTTTAGTAGAGACAGGGTTTCACCGTGTTAGCCAGGATGGTCTTGATCTCCTGCCCTCGTGATCCACCCGCCTTGGCCTCCCAAAATGGTGGGATTACAGGCATGAGCCACCAAGCCCGGCCTCAAAGGCTTTTTATAAGAATAAATGGGCCAGGCATGGTAGCTCATGCCTGTAATCCCAGCACTTTGGGAGGCCGAGGTGGGCGGGTCACTTGAGGTCAGGAGTTCAAGACCAGCCCGGCCAACATGGTGAGACCCCCATCTCTATGAAAAATACAAAAATTAGCTGGCTGTGGTGCCACATGCCTGTAATCCGAGCTACTCGGGAGGCTGAGGCAGGAGAATCACTTGAACCCAGGGAGGCAGAGGTTGCAGTGAGCAGAGATTGCACCACTGCACTCCAGCTTGGGTGACAGAGCAAGACCCTGTCTCAATCAAAAACAAAAACAAAAATCAGCCAGGTGTGGTGGTGCACGCCTGTAGTCCCAGCTAGCTATTCAGGAGGCTGAGGCACAAGAATCACTTAAACCCAGGAGTCAGAGGTTGCAGTGAACTATTGCACCACTGCACTCCAGCCTGGGTGACAGAGCAAGACTCTGTCTCAAAAAAAAAAAAAAAAAAAAAAAAAGAATAAATGAGTTAATACATATAAAGCACTTAAAACAGAGCTAGGCACGAAGTTAGCATCCAATAAAAGTTAGCTATTATTATTATAATATTAAGGCAAAATGAGATATTCTTTTTTGTTTGTTTTTGGAGACAGGGTCTGGCTCTGTCACCCACAGGCTGGAGTGCAGTGGTATGATCACTGCTCACCACAGCCTTGACCTCCCAGGCTAAGGTGATCCTCCCACCTTAGCCTCCCAAGTAGCTGGGACCATAGGTGCACACCATCAAGCCCTGCTAATTTTTGTATTTTTTGCAGAGATGAGGTTTCACCAATGGCCCAGGCTGGTCTTGAATTCCTGGGCTCAAGCAATCTGCCTGCTTCAGCCTCCCAAAGTGTTGGGATTACAGGTGTGAGCCAGTGTGCCCAGCCTAAAAATGAGATACTATTTAGAAAACCTGAAAACAAGATAACAGACATGAATCAGAGTAAGAATGTAAAAATGGAAGACAACTTCAGACCATAATAAGACTGGTCTTATTCTGAAGATATTAATGTGAAGATATTAGAAATATAAGATAGAAGATATTCTGATGTGAAAATAAAATATTAACACTGAGGCCGGGCACAGTGGCTCACACCTGTAATCCCAACACTTTGGGAAGATGAGGCAGGCAGATCACTTCAGATGAGGAGTTCGAGACCAGCCTGTCCAACATGGCGAAACCCCATCTCTACTGAAAATAGAAAAATTAGCCAGGCATGGTGGCAGGCACCTGTAATCCCAGCTACTTGAGAGGTTGAGGTAGGAGAATCGCTTGAACTCAGGAGGCAGAGGTTGCAGTGAGCCTGGGCGACAGAGACTCTGTCTCAAAAAACAAAAAAAGAAAAAAAAGAGTATTAATACTGAAGATAAACTAAGATATTAAAATATTAACATATTAAAGATGGGTCACTTAGTAAGAGTTGTCAGCAGTGGAAGCACAGTGACATAAGAGTCATGGCAGAAGGCCCACATGAACGCTGTTCAGGGAAGAGGAAGAAATGTCCCATGAACTTTGAGTATTATTGTCCCACAGACATGGCCATCCCCATGAGAAGAGAAAGAGACATTAGGTTCTTTTAGCCGGACAGCACTGAACATTCCAGTTACATAACTACCTCCTCGTGTCCCAACTCTATGCTTATTCAGCACCTTCTGATTACAGCCTCTCCAGGTAGCTCATGCCAAGAACTGTGTACTGTTTGTTACATGCTCCGCTGTGAACTGAGATGTGAACACTGGTTTTTTTATACATTGTCTCTGTAAGCTCAGTTAACAAATGTCCTCTCTGAGGCCAGGGGCAATGGCTCACATTTGTAATCCTAGCACTTTGGGAGGCTAAAATGGAAGGATCACTTAAGACCAGGAGTTCAAGACCAGTCTGGGCAACATAATAAGACCATGTCTCTACAAAAAATTTTAAAAATTGGCCGGGTACAGTGGCACATGCCTGTAGTCCAAGCTACTAAGTGGGCTGAGATGGGAGGATTGCCTGAGACTGGAAGTTAGAGGCTGCAGTAGCCATGATTGTGCCACTGCACTCCAGCCAGGGTGACACAGCTGAGACCCTGTCTCAAAAACAAAACAAAAAACAAAATGTCCTCTTTGAGAAGTGGAAGCTGCAAGTGCTGAGAAAAATCAGTTTTTTGAGCCCAACTGACTGGAGTAATGCCATCCCAAAAGTCATCTTGGCAGACAGCCAGCCTCTCCCCAGGATATCCCAACCTTGACATAGGCTCTCAACAAACATCAGTTAAAAAGGGTTATTATCATGTCCCATACCACATATCTCACCCTCGCATCATTCTGGTCAGAGAGGAATTAACTAAACCATACCTTCTTCTCTTTCTCTAAAATCATTTGATCCTTTTGATGCAACATCTTCTTCAGGGTAGCCACTTCTTCCTTCAGTTGGGCAATGATGACAAAGTGGTCAGTGCCTGGTGAGTCCAGAGCCAGGTCTGGGGAGAAGCTAAATTTAAAAATCAGGGGAAAATATTTTAACTTGGATGGATAAACTTTTCTCTACCTGAGGATGCATCCTAGACCACTTGTCTGCAAGCTCCTAAAGGGCAGGAATCCTAGCATCAAGCACATTGCACCACACATGCTGGGCTCAACGGCACTTGCTGAGCTGAACTGCAGAGGTAAGGTGGCCATCAGATAACTCTACGAACCAAAGCCACAACCTGGCAGCATCCCTGCAGCATCTTCTCTCACATTTAGGACGGAAATAAATGCCACATCCCAAGAGCTAAGGATACTGTTTCAGGTTCCTTAAAGATCCCCAGTGATGTACTAGAAAAACCATCCTAATTTTTGTGATTAGATAAATTCCTTAGAATTCCAGATAAATTATAAACTGTGAGCTCATGCATTTTTCTTTAATGCTTCCCTCAGAGCTCATCTTTCAGGTCCTTGTCTTCTGTCCCAAAGCACCGCAATGCAGTCAGTGTATCTGCCGAGAAGCTGCTGGATTCCCACCCAGGAGCAGTCAGTTCTTTTTCAAAAAAGATGAAACAGGAATGAAGCCAGCTTCCCCTACACTACAAATGGCCTGCAGATTGTCATTTCCAATATCAGGAATTCTGTAACATTGCTTTAGTAACGGAACAAAGAGGTGGCAAACTCCAGAGTCACACAACAACTTGGGCTTTTAACAGATTCCTCCCAATAACAGCATTAGAGCACTCTATTTTGTCAAAGTGCCAGATGGACTCCATGTCCTTTTAGCAGAGCCTCTTAAGAAGGGGCAGTTTTAGGCCGGGCGCGGTGGCTCACGCCTATAATCCCAGCACTTTGGGAGGCCAAGGCAGGCGGATCACCTGAGGTCAGGAGTTCAAGACCAGCCTGACCAACATGGAGAAACCTCATCTCTACTAAAAATAAAAAATTAGCTGGCCGTGGTGGTGCATGCCTGTAATCCCAGCTACTTGGGAGGCTGAGACAGGACAATTGCTTGAACCTGGGAGGCGGAGGTTGCAGTGAGCCAAGATTGCGCCATTGCACTCCAGCCTGGGCAACAAGAGCGAAACTCCGTCTCAAAAAAAAAAAAAAAAAAAAAAAAGAAGGGATAGTTTCAGGAAATCTGCAAAACCCCAAAATTATATGTACAATCTTGTCTACACATATAATGGGTGGTTTTTAGAGTGAGGATCCATAGCTTTCAATGGCCAGTCAGAAGTGCCTCAGACTCAAAGCAAGTTAAGGAATCACTGCCAAGAGGGTCAAATCCTGTTCTCTAGAGAGTTCTCAAAGAACGCTCTTTACTTTTCCCAGGACAATCTTTAAAGTAAAACACAAACCTGTTTTTCCTAAGCAGACACTGGAATACTCATTCTCAACTCCCTATATATAGTAACGACTCACTGTTCTTATATCCTAAACCACATCTAATAGCCAACATTTCTCTACACAGGAAGAAACTCCAAATAGCAAGCCTAACCAGTGGACAAACTACCTCACAGTTACCAAGTCAAACATTTCTATGGCTAGGACTGGAAGACATAAATAATCGACAAGAATATTCCTACCCTCCTCTCAGTTTACATGAAGCATATGAGAAGACTGTCAGAGGAAGAATGAATCAATGCTCTCATAACTAATGAATGGATGGAATTACTGCATAACAAAAATAAATGCAAAATCATAAAACAAGGTGTGCAGGAGAAAGTACTGAAAGGACCTATTACAGTCTCCACTAGTTTCAGATCTGGAAGCACCCTTAGAGCTGCAGTCTCACATCTGTTTCAATACCTGCTAAGGACCTGTCTTTCTTCAACTGAATAGAGTCTATTTAAACCCATAACTAGAGTAATGAGCTAATGTAAGTAACTTTTTGTTGTCCCCAAACCTCTTAATGCCCTACCCTTCCTGCTTCTTGTGAGAGGATTCCCCCCATACCAATAAATAGTTGACAACACCCATCCTTTCTATCCTGTGTTAGGGACTGACCTCACTAACTCTCTCTTTTCTCTTTTTTTCTTTTTGAGACAGAGTTTCACTCTTGTTGCCTAGGCTGGAGTGCAATGGCATGATCTCGGCTCACCACAACCTCCAGCTCACCACAACCTCTGCCTCCTGGGTTCAAGTGATTCTCCCGCCTTAGCCTCTCAAGTAGCTGGGATTACAGGCGTGCGCCACCATGCCTGGCTAATTTTTGTGTTTTTAGTAGAGACGGGGTTTCTCCATGTTGGTCAGGCTGGTCTCGAACTCCCGACCTCAGGTGATCCACCCACCTTGGCCTCCCAAAGTGCTGGGATTACAGGCGTGAGCCACCGTGCCCAGCCCTCACTAACTCTCTAATTCCTGGTTCAGTAAGAACTACTAGAAATGAAAAAAGATGGCTAGGGTAACAAGGCAGAAAAACCAGTCTCTTTCCTAATGGCTCCAATGACAGGGAACTACTACTTCTCCAGAAAAATTGTCTTTTACAAAAGCTCGTACTGTAAGAACAATTTTCTTGGGTTGAGCCAAAACCTGCCTCTCTATAACCCTACATATTGGTCCTGAGTCAGTCCTCAAAGGCTATACAGATTAATCTTTCAGGCACATTTCAGACGGAGAATAAAATGAAACTACGAGTTAAAAAAAAGAATGTCCTTTAGAAACAATAAACCACAAGCTGTGCCTGAGTGCCACCAGCTGTTGTGGCTGCTTTTTTGATTGCCTATGGAAAAATAAACACACATGATTAAAAAGTAGCCAGTGTATTTTCTAGAGGAAGGAAAACTAGAAATTAACTTATATTTTCCTAAAATTGAAAAGTTTTTGTTATAATTTCAACAAACAAATTAGGACATATTGAGACAGAGACTGTGGATGTTGTAGGATACTTAGAAAAAAAAGACTAAAGCATCTTATAAAGCCATTTTTGAAAGCTAAAATGTGTTCTGTCTAAAAAAAATAGAAGGCTAATGGATAAACAAAAAGGAGGAAAAATAATCAAACATAACTCAATATTAAATAAGAGAAGAGAATGTAGTAGTATAGAAAGGTCAGTGAAAAACCATTAGGCAGCAACTTGCAGAAAACATGGGGAATAAAAATAAAAGAATAAGAGCATAAATTTAAAAGTATATGAATATTTTAGGGGCTGGGTCTGGTGGCTCATGCCTATAATCCCAGCATGTTGGGAGGCCAAAGCAGGAGGATCACTTGAGGCCAGGAGTTCGAGACCCCATCTACACAAAAAAATTAGCCGAGTGTGGAGGCATGTGCCTGTAGTCCCAGCTACTTGGGAGGCTGGGGTGGGAGGATCGTTTGAGTCCAGGAGGTCGAGGCTGCAGTGAGCCATAATTGCGCCACTGCACTCCAGCCTGGGTGACACAGTGAGACCTTGTCTCAAAAGAAAAAAAACAAAAAAAGCCAGGCATAGTGGCTCATTCCTGTAATCCCAGCACTTTGGGAGGCCAACATAGGAGGATCACTTGAACCCAGGAGTTCAGGACTGGCCTGAGTAACATAGTGAAACCCTATTTCTACAAATACAAAAATTAGGCAGGCATGGTGGTGCATGTCTATAGTCCCAGCTACTTGGGAGGCTTAGGTGGAAGGATCACCTGAGCCCAGGAGGTCGAGGCTGCAGTGAGCCAAGATCGTGACACTGCATTCCAGCCTGGGCAACAGGGTGAGACCCTGTCTCAAAAAAAAGAAAAAAAAAAAAAAAGAAATGGGTAGCCAGTGAAATTTTGGTTTGGATGACATTAAAAAAGGACTGTCAAAAAAAATGTCAGAATGCTTTTTTCAAAGCAAAGTAAATGCAGGGAAAAAAAACCCACAACAAGTAAAGAGGACAGCAAAGTGGAATTTATCTTGTGCTATGAACATTTAAAAAAAAGAAATGCAAACAAGTAGAATAGAATGTTAAAAATGCTAATGCAGGAACATTTTAAATGGGTATGAAAATAGTTTTTGTGACAGCAGAAAACATTTCCAAATTTTCAAATTATAAATTACTTAGAAAAATAAATTAGCATGTCATTTTAAGGAAAAAGTTATCTCCCCTACCTTTTTTTTTGAGACAGAGTCTCACTGCCTAGGCTCAACTGCAGTGGCGCAATCATGGCTCACTGCAGCCTCAACTTCCCCAGGCTCAGGTGATCCTCCCACCACAGCCTCCTGAGTAGCTGGAATTACAGGCACACGCCACCATGCCCAGCTAATCTTTAGAGATGGTGTTTCATCATATTGCCCAGGCTGGTCTCAAACTCCTGGGTGATTCACCAGCCTTGGCCTCCCAAAGTGCTGGGATTACATGTGTGAACGACTGTGCCTGGTCAAAATGATCATTTAATATCTTTTCTGGAGGACACCATGAAAGACCATGTACCTATGTCAAGGATCAGCTTTCTACTTGAGGAAAACAGCATTGCTGATGACTGGATGCAATAAAACACTGAACAGAAAACTTGAGTTTTTAGCTTGGTGTATCCATAGCAATGGACAGCAAGAATAGTGGCAGTATCTCAAGAACAAAATAAGCTAATAGAAAGTGAACATTAAGGACTGGTTGGTTAAACTGGAAGATACGAACGAGCTTTTTCCAGGTCATTCAAACACAGCCTGGATCATAAATGAGCACAAAACAGAAATGAATCTAAAGCCATAGGTCTTGGCTTAGGCCTTTATAAAGCAGGGTGTTCAAAAAGTTCATTCCTTGAAGTAGTTTTTGCAGGGTCACATGCCCTGGCAGAGGTGATGGACAACCTGTGCCACATCCCTTTCTTCACAATGGCCAGACTAGCTTATGAGAGAACAGTAAAGCTGGCCAGAAAGATGATCTTTATGGTTCCTCCCCCCATGTAATCTGACTACCTAAATTAAGCATTCCAGAAGGTTCAATTCAAGAAGTTTAAAAATCAGTGAAACTAGTTCTAAAAACCTTGTAGAGTCTGAAAGCAAGTTAACAAAAAAGGCAATGGGAAAGAATGTTTTGTATCCCTCTAAATAAACAAAATCAGTCCTGGTAAGCCTATATGCTGGTCTGCTCCTATATCCACTACTGGCTGGGAAGGAGAACTGTGAATGGGAGGAGTTTTCAGGATGGAGATGATTTCAAAGATCGCAGGAAGTGTGTCAGGTGGTTTCACTTCAGGATGCCCAGGCCTGGAGGAACAGAAAAATGGTTGGTCCCAACACTTTGTTGAGAAGCAGCCCACTGTACCAACACAGATGGGACACTCTGGATATTAGGACCCAAGCAGCTCACAAGAGGAAGTACCACTGAGGAGGGGAGAGGAAAGTGAGGACTAAAAGTATGCATTTAGACTGGCTTGAAATGAAACAAAAACATGCAAATGCATCTCATTCTCTCCTGATCCAGAATCTGCACTGGGCTGGCTTTCTGAATGTTAAGGAAGTGTGGATCCTCACAAATTTGGCAACATTGCCTTAATCCCAACCTGTCTTTACCTCTCAAGATCAACTCCTCTCCTGCCTGCAGGAAGATATGGGCAGAGATCACAAAGAAAAGCATCCAGCTCTGGACTTCTTAGAATTAGTGTAGGGGAAGCTGGGCAAGGTGGCTCATGCCTGTAATCCCCGCACTTTGGGAGGCCGAGGTGGGCAGGTCACTTGAGGCCAGGAGTTCAAGTCAACATGGTGAAACCCTGTCTCTACTAAATGTACAAAAATTAGCTGGACATGGTGGTGCCCCTGTAATTCCAACTACTTGGGAGACTGAGGCATGAGAATTGCTCGAACCCAGGAGACAGAAGTTGCAGTGAGCCAAAATCGCGCCACTGCACTCCAGCCTGAGTGACAGAGTGAGACTGTCTCTTAAAAAAAATTATAATTTAGTGGACTGCAGAATTCAATTGCTATTAAATCAAGTTATGAGTTCTTATCTTTTAATGACAAGATTAGATTTATAAACAAATATCAGTACTGCTTACTTATAAGATTCACTGACAGCCACAGACTAATTCCAAGGCAGACCCTAAATGTATTCCTGTTTCAGGAACTGTGTATGCATTTCAAATGTGTGCGCACACATACTCCAACTGGCTCACCTGTCTCCATTAGTTGTGATTGACTCAAACTTGGACTTTTTCTTTGGGATTTCATTTTGAATTGAAGATGTAGAAAGTGTTTTCTGGCTTTTAATGGCAAAAATAGAGAGACACACATTAGAAATCAAAGATTAACAAAACATCACAATGAAAGTCTGTCAAATAGACCAATGTTAAGACAGCAGCTCTTCTATGCAAGAGCTAATAATTCTTGATTAATAAAGAATCTACCAAGGTGATGATTTTGTAGGCCTGGATGGATGGGTAGCTAGTTTCCACAGGATCAAAAAAAAAAATTCTTGGCCTTAATTAATTAAATATTACCTGCTTTATTAATAACCATGAGAACAAATATCAATAAAACTTCAATAAGAGGCCGGGTGCGGTGGCTCACGCCTGTAATCCCGGCACTTTGGGAGGCTGAGGCAGGCGGATCACGAGGTCAGGAGATTGAGACCATCCTGGCTAACACGGTGAAACCCCATCTCCACTAAAAATACAAAAAATTAGCCAGGCGAGGTGGCGGGCGCCTGTAGTCCCAGCTACGCAGGAGGCTGAGGCAGCAGAATGGCTTGAACCCCGGGGGCGGAGCCTGCAGTGAGCCGAGATCAATCCACTGCACTCCCAGCAATCCACTGCACTCCAGCCTGGCGAGACTCCGCCTCAAAAAAAAAAAAAAAAAAAACTTCAATAAGAAGTATAATCTGTCTTCTAGTTTAAAAAGTTCTTTTGGCTGGGCGCGGTGGCTCACGCCTGTAATCCCAGCACTTTGGGAGGCCGAGGTGGATGGATCACGAGGTCAGGAGATCGACACCATCCTGGCTAACACTGTAAAACCCCGTCTCTACTAAAAATATAAAAATCAGCCGGGTGTGGTAGCGGGCACCTGTAGTCCCAGCTACTTGGGAGGCTGAGGCAGGAGAATGGCGTGAACCCGGGAGGCAGAGCTTGCAGTGAGCCGAGATTGTGCCACTGCACTCCAGCCTGGGCGACAGAGCAAGACTCCGTCTCAAAAAAAAAAAAAAAAAAAAAAACTTCTTTTACATTTACTGTCTCACATGCATCTTATAATTCTGTGAGGTATAGATAAGTTATTATTTCTACTGTACAGAAATAGCTCAAGATCAACTTATCTACCAAGACACATATAGCTAGTTAGAAGTAAAGCTGGGACTAGAAACCAGGTCAATATATTTGAACTCCTAGTCTAGTTTTATTTTTATTTTTATTTTTTTGAGATGGAGTCTCACTCTGTCACCCAAGCTGGAGTGCAGTGGCACGATCCTGGTTCACTGCAACCTCCGCCTCCTGGCTTCAAGTGATCCTTCCACCTCAGCCTCCCGAATAGCTGGGACTACAGGTGCGCGCCAGCCACCACACCCAGTTAATTTTGTATTTTTTGGTAGAGACGGGTTTCACCATGTGAGCCAAGCTAGTCTCGAACTCCTGACCTCAAGTGATCCACCTGCCTCGGCCTCCCAAAGTGCTGGGATTACAGGTGTGAGCCACCACACCCGGCCAGTCTAGTTCTTCTTCACTATATTTGTGTTAACCTACTGGTATCTCAGTCAAACTACAAGACTAAAAATCAGTTTTAGCCCCAATAAGTTCACTCAAAACTGGTCTTGAAACAAAAGCTGGAACTCTGTCTCTGCTATGCAATCCTTTCACTTTGATGGGTGTTCAACAGCCAAGTTCAAAGGATTCCTCAGACCTTTTCTTACTTGACCTCTCTTCAGCATTTGATACCACTGATACTGCATCCTTCTTCAAATGTTCTCCTCGTTTGGTCATCCCACTTTTGTGACAGCTGCTTCTTAGTTCCTAAAACTTAAATACTGAATGCTTGTAGAGTTCCATTCTCAGCCCTGAATCTGAATTACATCATTTAAGAGCATGATTTTAACAACTACCTATCATAAGTGGTTGGAAATGGTGTTAACTATATCACCTGCATTAGAATCATCTGGGATGTTTATAAAATAATGTAGATTCCTGGCCTCTATCCTAGGTCCTACTGAATTAAATTCTGGGGTGGGACTGCTGCAGGAATCTGCTTTTTAATTTTTTTTAATTTTAGAGAGAGTGCCTTGCTCTGTTGCCCAGGCTGGAGAGCAATGGCATAATCATGGCTCACAGCAAGCCTCAAACTCCAAGGCTTAAAGCGATCCTCCTATCTCAGCCACCCAAGTAGCTGGGACTACAGGTGTGTGCCACTACACCTGGCTAATATTGTTTTTTGTAGAGATGGGGTCTCATTATGTTGTTCCTGCTAGTTTCAAACTCCTGGCATCAAGCAACCCTCCCACCTCGGCCTCCCAGAGCGTTGGGTTTACGGGTGTAAGCCAGCCAATGTATCTGGCCGGAATCTGCATTTTCAAATAATCCCTACCCCCAGTGATTCTTTTTATTGTTGCTGTTTCTTTTTGAGATAGAGTCTCGCTCTGTCACCGAGCATGGAGTGCGGTGGCACAATCTCAACTTACTGCAACCTCCGCCTCCTGGGTTCAAGCGATTCTCCTGCCTCAGCCTCCTGAGTAGCTGGGATTACAGGCATGCAACACCACACCTGGCCACTTTTTGTATTTTTTGTTTTAGTAGAAACAGGGTTTCACCATGTTGGTCAGGCTGGTCTCGAACTCCTGACCTTGTGATGCGCCCGCCTTGGCCTCCCAAAGTGCTGGGATTACGGGTGTGAGCCACCGCGCCCAGCTAGATTCTTATGTGCTACCTATGGCCCATGTCCAAACCTCTCTTCTAAGTTCTAGGCTAAGCTCCTAAAAGTAATTCTTCATGCTTCAAACTCAACTTTCCAAAACTAGACCCATTTCTCCCCTTCCTACATTCTCTCTCAGTTAAGGCTCTATCTATTCACCCAAATAAGAAACCCGGGAATTATCCTTTACTTACTCAGCTCTTGCCCATGTGTCTGTTCATCAGATTATCTGTTTCTCATAATTCTCCATCCAAAACATCTTCCTGAATCAACCTTTTCAATCTTCCACTGCCACTGCCTCAGGTGAGGTTCTTGTTTTAACATCTCTTACCCAAACTCTTAGAAAAAAGCCTTTAATTAGCCCCCAGTCCCTTTTTCCTCCAATGCATTTTCCACACTAGTAGTCAGGGTTAATTTTTTAAATGAAGATTTGGTCTCTCCTCTGCATAGATCCCTTCAATAGCTTCCCACTAACACCCTGACCTCAGGATCAAGTTTCCATTCCTTACCAGGATGCAGGACCCCTTTTTCCTTCCATTCCCCAGCTCCCAGCCAAAAGCTCCAGCAATATAAAAGGACTTACAATTTTCCAGGGTTCCATTTGGTCTCATGCCCTCCATGCCTTTGCAAATGCTATTCTCTCAGCCTAGAATGCCTCTGCCCATTCCTTCCCTGAGGATTCCAACTCGTCCTAAGATCTAGCTCTAATGCCAGCTCTTCTCCAAGCCTGCTTGCCTGACTTCTCAAGGCAGTTAATTACTACCCTCATGTCTGCATTCTTGACACGTTTCCACTGTGGTACCCGTTACATTATACTAAGATCATCTGTTTATAAGTCTGTCTTTCCTACCAGACTGCATACTCTTGGAGAGCAGCATGACTTGTATTCAGCTCTTCATTCCCACCAGCATCCCTGACCCGTGAGAATACTTAATGCTTGCTGATTAAACAAAGTCATAATGGTAATAACAAAACAAACAAACAAAAAAACCTGAAATGTATTGAATATTTTCTATATGCCAGTTATAAAAACAATCACTGTGCATGTACTATCTAATTTATCTTCACAACAACCCCTTGAGGTAATACTATCACTTCCCTCATTTTACAGATGAGAAAACTTGCCCAAGATCCCCGCAGAGAACCTGGCAGAGCCAGCATTCCATCCAGAGCCAGAACCGTTAACAATACTAGATACTCTGAAAGGACGCTTAAAACAACAATGAAAAGACATCTTTTTGACTAGGTGCCACCAGGACAAACCTAGGACATCTATCAGCCTCCTGGCTAAATATGCATTGAAAAAGCTGTATCTCTCAGAAAGTGAAATGTCCAATTTTCTGGAGAGAGAATCCACTCTAAGGGTGAGAACACTACAAACGAAGTTCCACAAACATTTCAGACACAATACAAAGTCAGGAAATCCTGACACTTTATGGAAATCTCTCTGGTCCTTGGAAGATATATGAACTATAAAATATGACAAATGAGCTTCCTCCTACAGACTAGTACCTACAGAGAATATAGAAAATGTATATGAGATGGTAGTATGTACCATGATGGTTATGTGAGCATTACATCTGACCTACCAGCACTTCTAGTCCCATCTCATGTGTCTTGAGGTTACCTGTTATAATGGCCACCACCACTCAGGCGACTATACTGCTCCTTCTCCTGGTGGCCAGCACGAGAAGAGCTACTCAGGTGTTTCCTCTGCTCTTTGGTCTTCTGAAGGACCCGTTTGTATGAAAGTGTGCACAGCCAGCACAGCAATTTCCCATCTACCTGAAAGACAAGGAGACAAAGATAAAGAAGAGGGAATTTAGCGCAGTGGCTGCAAACGTGGTATTGGGAGCTAGAATCTTTGGGTTCAGTCCCAGTTCTGAAACTTATGTGCTGTGACTTTGGGCATGTCACAGGGGGCTGCTACAAGGATCTAGTGACATAATGTAGGTAAAGCACTTAACATAGTGCCAGGCACATAAAAGTTGCTTAATAAATTTCAGCTGCCGGGCCGGGCGCGGTGGCTCATACCTGTAATCCCAGCACTTTGGGAGGCCAAGGTGGGTAGATCACGAGGTCAGGAGATTGAGACCATCCTGGCCAACGTGGTGAAACCCCGTCTCTACTAAAAATACAAAAATTAGCCAGGCATAGTGTCGTGCACCTGTAGTCCCAGCTACTCAGGAGGCTGAGGCAGAAGAATCGCTTGAACCCAGGAGGCGGAGGTTGTGGTGAGCCGAGATCGCGCCATGGCACTCTAGCCTGGCAACAGAGCGTGACTCCATCTCAAAATAAATAAATAAATTAAATTAAATAAATAAATTTCAGCTGCTAATTTTATGTATTTTTGTTTTGTTTCTCTTCAAGTTAGCAAACACAGACGAGTAAAATTCTCACAAGACCACGGTTCTCATTAAGGAAAACTCAGCAGGGAGAAGAGAAGACAGAAGATGAATTATAAAATTCACATTTACAGTTTTTTGGATTTTTTTTTTTTTAGTGATAGGATCTCACTCACCCAGACTAGAATGCAGTGGTGTGATTGTAGTACACTACAACCTTAAACTTCTGGGCTCAAGCAATCCTCCTGCCTCAGCATCCTGAGTAGCCAGGACTACAGGTACATGCCACCATGCTCACCTAATCAGGTGTTCGTTTTTTTTTTTTTCCCCAAACAGGGTCTTGCTCTGTTGCCCAGACTGGAGAGCAGTGGTATGATCTCAGCTCACTGCAACCTCCACCTCCTGGACTCAGGCAATCCTCCCACCTC
The DNA here is from genome assembly GCF_000001405.40 of Homo sapiens. Lineage (NCBI taxonomy): Eukaryota > Metazoa > Chordata > Mammalia > Primates > Hominidae > Homo > Homo sapiens. Next base: position 27,743,665 of record NC_000001.11, on the reverse strand, counting down.
AGCCTACTGAATAGCTGGAACTACAGGTGTGCACCACCATGTGTGGCTAATTTTTGTATTTTTTTGTAGAGACAGGGTTTCACCATGTTGCCCAGGCTGGTCTTGAACTCCTGAGCTCAAGTGATCTCCTGTCTTGGCCTCCCAAAGTGCTGAACTTACAGGCGTGAGCCACTGCACCTGGCCATTTTTTAAAAAATGACAAAATTTGTATATATTTATTGTGTAAAACATGTTTTGAGATATGTACACTTCAGGAAGCTGAGGCAGGTGGACTGCGTGAGCCCAAGAGTTCGAAACTACTCGGGGCAATGTGGCAAAACCCACCTACAAAAAGAAACACAACAAAAATTAGCCAGGTGTGGTGGTGCATGCCTGTAGTCCCAGCTACTAGGGAGGCTGAGGTGGGAGAATCACTTGAGCCTGGGAGGTCAAGGCTGCCATGAGCTGTAAGCATGCCACTGTACTACAGTCTTGGTGACAGAGCGAGACCCTTTCTCAAAAATGAATAAATAGATATTTTTTAAAAATGTATACATTGTGGAATGGCTAAATCAAGCTAATTAACACGCATTACCTCATATAATTTTTGTTTGTTTGTTTTTGAGACAGAGTCTTGCTGTGTTGCCCAGGCTGGAGTTGCAGTGGCACAGTCTCAGCTCACTGCAACCTCCATCTCCTGGGTTCAAGCAATTCTCCTACCTCAGCCTCCCAAGTAGCTGGGATTACAAGCGCCTGCCATCACACCCAGCTAATTTTTTTTTGTATTTTTAGTAGAGACGGAGTTTCACCACGATGGCCAGGCTGGTCTCGAACTCCTGACCTCGTGATCTGCCCGCCTCGGCCTCCCAAAGCGCTGGGATTACAGGCGTGAGCCACTGCACCTCGCCCAGTTGTGTTTTTGTTTGTTTTTTTGTGGTGAGAACATTTAAAATCTACTCTCTTAACAATTTTCAACTATAATTTCAACTATAATTTTATTAACTATAATCACCATGTTGTACAATGGATCTCTTCAACTTATTCCTCCTATGTAACTGAAATCCTTTGGCCAACATCTCCCCAAACCCACCCTCCTATACCTCAGTTTTAATACTTTATAAATGGTTCACAAAGTGGTATGCTGGATACCATCTCTCAGATGGAAAGATGGTCCCCAGAGAAAGAACAATGAGTGAACAGCTTCCAGGGCCCAGTCCCTCGTGGTGGCCTGCCATGGCACTGTTTGAATTAGAAAAAGTTGACTCCTTTGAGCAAAAGTAACTCTGCACCATGGAGCAGGGCCCAAAGCTAGGAAAGCATAACATGGCTTCTGCCACCCTCTGAAGCTGTGGTGTCTCTGTGCAGCATTCAGACTGAAAAACCACTGGAGGACACACTAGGACAGGTGACAGGGCAGCAGGGCTGGTTGGAATTTCTCAGGTTAGACAGGGAGTATGCTGATACATTATGGAATTTTACAGTTTTCATTTCTTATTTCTGAAATTAGATCTTGTGCCTCATCTTGAACATGGGTAGGCCACGTCATCATTTACCTGAAGTGTTTTATTTCATTGGCAAAAGCCTCTTTGCTCCCCATCCCCCAACCCATCAGTAAGTCCATCAGTCTGAATCTACTCACTTCTTTCTAACTCCACTGCTTCCATTTTACTAAAGACATACTCATCTCTCACTGCTGTGAGAGCTGCCCAAATGATCACCCTACCTCCAATAAGCTATTTCCCCATAGCCGCCAAAGGGTTTCTTAAATGTAAATGATTACATCCTCTCTCTTTTTTTTTTTTTTGAGATAGAGTCTCACTTTGTCACCCAGGCTGGAGCACAGAGACACTGTGTTGACTCACTGCAACCTTCGTCTCCTGGGTTCAAGCAATTCTCCTGCCTCAGCCTCCCAAGTAGCTGGGATTACAGGCGCCCACCACCACGCCTGGCTAATTTTTTTATATTTTTAGTAGAGATGGGGTTTCACCACGTTGGCCAGGCTGGTCTCAAACTCCTGACCTCAGGTGATCCACCCACCTTGGCCTTTCAAAGTGCTGGGATTACAGGTGTAAGCCACCGTTGCCTGGCCTGTTTTTCTATTTCTCTCTACTGTAAAATGGAAAAAAAATTTTTTTTATAGTGTAGCTAATATGCCCTCCTTAGGCATTAAGACACATTTCTGTTTGTAACCTTAATGCAGCCATATTTTTACTCTTTATGAAAAATCAAGTGGGCGCAGTGGCTCACACCTGTAATCCCAGCACTTTGGAAGGCTGAGGTAGGCAGATTGCTTGAGACCATGGTGAAACCTTGTCTCGACAAAAAGTACAAAGATTAGCTGGGCGTGGTGGCACATGCCTGTAGTCCTAGCTACTTGGAAGGATCGCCTGAGCCTGGGAGGCTGCGGCTGTAGTGAGTCTAGATTGTACTACTTGTACTCCAGCCTGGATGACAGAGTGAGACTCTGCCTCAAAAAAAAAAAAAAAAAAAAAATCAAATCTCCCAATAAAAACTGGGTATTTCACCACATGAATTGTTGTTGTTTTTTTTTTTTGAGACGGAGTTTCGCTCTTGTTGCCCAGGCTGGAGTGCAATGGCGTGATCTCGGCTCACTGCAACCTCCGCCTCCCAGGTTCAAGCAATTCTCCTGCCTCAGCCTCACGAGTAGCTGGGATTATAGGATTATAGGCATGCACCACCACGCCCGGCTAATTTTGTATTTTAGTAGAGATGGGGTTTCTCCATGTTGAGGCTGGTCTCGAGCTCCTGACCTCAGGTGATCCTCCCTCCTCGGCCTCCCAAAGTGCTGGGATTACAGGTGTGAGCCACCACACCCGGGCCCCACATGAATTGTTAAATTGCTTCACTAAAAATGTAGTTAGACATGCCAATTTGTAACCTCTTAGAATATTCTGCACAATCAATTTTAATCATTAGAATGAATAATTGCTCAGAAAAGCAGTATTGCCTCAGCTGCAATATGATTTGGTAGTCAATATTCCTGTTTTCTGGTAAAAAGGAGATCTCACGAGCAGCAACATTGGGCTCCTTGTGGTCTCACTGATCAAGAGAATGTTTTTGAGTGGCTTCTGAACATATATTTCTTAACAAGTCAATCACAGATCTGGGGTCCTCACTCCTCATAACAACGCTTCCAGACATAATCATGTTAGCTCCTGCCTCTGCACACTTGTGGACAGTGTCAGGACCTACTCCACCATCGACCTCTTATCCAAAGATGGGAACTGGGTCCTCAACCAGTGAATGTTTGGCACCATATCATCCATGAATTTCTGCCTTCCAAACCCAGGTTCCACTGTGATAACCAAGGCCGTATCTATTTGATTAGTCCATGGTGCCAAATACTCAACTGTAGTTCCTGGTTTGATGGTAAGGCCAACCTTCATCCCATTCTCCCAAATGTCTTCAATCAAAGCCTCTGAGTACTTAGTAGCCTCAAGATGAAAGGTGTACTGACTGGCTTCTGCTATAGCTATTGATTTTACCCACTGTTCCAGCTTGGACACCATCACATGTATGTCAAAGAAAAGGTCCTGGACTAGCTGCTTTTGAAAGCTTTCTACCACAGGATAACCAAAGGTGACGTTGGGAACAAAGTGCCCATCCATGACATCCAGGTGGACCCAGAGTCTAGAATACGGAGGCACTTGACCCCTAAACTGGCCAGGTTGCTGTTGAGGATGGGCGAGCCAATCTTGCAGCCTAAAGCCATAGCACTGGCTCCCAAGGGTAAGTTACCCTATGAGTCCATCTTCTCTCCTTAAAACCCAATGGTTTCTCATCATAGCTTAAAATTCAAACTCTGTACCATAGCCTATTTTTTTTAACATTATCATTTATTTATTGCTAACATGAATTCAAAGCAAGTATGCATTTTTGTGACAGGGTCTCACAATCTCGCCCAGGCTGGAGTGCACTGGTGCAATCTTGGCTCACTGCAGCCTCGACTTCCCAGGCTCAGGTGAGCCTCCTACCTCAGCCTCCCAAGTAGCCGAGACTACAGGCGTGCACCACCACATCCTGCTAATTTTTTGTATTTTTTATAGAGACGGGCTTTTGCCATGTTGTCCAGGCTGGTCTCCAACTCCTGGGCTCAAGTGATCCACCTGCCTCGGCCTCCCAAAGTGCTACGATTACAGGTGTGAGCCACCACACCCTGCCATATGCAGTTTTTTTTTATACTAGAACAAATCAGAAAATCGAGACATAATTGCCATCATCAAATCTTAATCCTTAGAGAAAAACATTTCCACGAGGTTGGCCTGAAGACACTAAGATTCTACCAGTTTTTGAGGTGTTCCATATTTAAGTAGTGTAGGCACTGTGGTTACTTCCAAGTTTTTTCTGAAGTCATTATTTGGATCTTTCCAATAAGGCTTTTCTTCTACTTGGCAGTAGGCGAACACACATCCTTCACTAACATGCTTCAGCCCCTGGTTCAGCATGCATACAATAGGGGCACCAGCTTTTCCTCCAGCATCCTTAGAACTGATAAAGTAGGTGAAAATGGTCTTGTCATTGTGGCGTTCCACAGCCCAGGTGAACTCCTCAAAGCTTCACACACACCTCCTTGTAGTGTAGTGGGCTATCTGCAGTGTGCCTCATGGCCTATGTTGACTTAAATATAGCCCCTTACCTGCCTCTATAACCTTGTTTCCTTCCTTTTCCCCAGGTTCACTCCATCTTCTTTCTGTTCTAATCATGTGCCAAGCTCATTCCTGCCTTAAGGATTTTCCACAGCTGGTCCTTCTTCCTGGAATTTTTGTCCTCCAGAGCTTCCCATGGCTACCACCTTTTCATCATCCTAGTTTCCACTCAAATGTTACTTCCTCAGAGGTTCTCCTGATTGCCCAATATAGGCTGACTTCCCAGTCACTCTCTGTCATGTACTTTATTTCTTTATAGCACTAATATCTAAAATTTATGTTAATTTATTTTTCTCCTCACCCTTTTCTCTTTCACACACATAAATGTAAGCTCTGTGAGAGTAAGGTCTTGTCTGTTCAGTTCATTAGTTTATTTCTAATACCTGGAACAGTGTCTGGTACATGATAGGCATTTAATTTTTTGTTAAGAAACGTAACAATGAACTTTGAAACCAAACTTCAATCTGGTTCATTTCACGGTTATGGGATACGACCTGAAAGTCTGTTTATTATTATTAATATTATTATTATTATTTTTTTTTTGAGACAGAGTCTTGCTCTGCCACCCAGGCTGGAGTGCAGGGGCGTGATCTTGGCTCACTGCAGGATTCAAGCTATTCTCCTGCCTCAGTCTCCTGAGTAGCTGGGATTACAGGCATATGCCACCATGCCCGGCTTATTTTTGTATTTTTAGTAGAGACGGGGTTTCACCATGTTGGCCAGGCTGATCTCGAACTCCTGACCTCGTGATCCACCCTCCTCAGCCTTCTAAAGTGCTGGGATTACAGGCGTGAGCCACTACGCCTGGCCTATTATTATTTTTTTAGAGACAAAGTCTCACTATGTTACTCAGGCTGGACTCGAACTCCTGGGCTCAAGTGATCCTCCCACCTCAGCCTCTAGGGTAGCTGGAACTACCACAGGATGCCATCAGGCCTGGCTTGAAGACCTAATTTTATTTATTTTATAGATAGGGTCTCATTCTCTCACCCACATTGCAGTGCAGTGGTATAATTACAGCTCACTGGAGCCTCGTACTCCTAGGCTCAAGAGATCTTCCCACCTCAGCCTCCCAGGTAGCTGGAACCACACATGCACCACCACGCCTGGCTAATTTTTTTTTTCTGTTTTTTTTTTTTTTTTTTTTTTTTGTTGTTGTTGTTGTTTTGAGATGGAGTCTCACTCTGTTACCCAGCCTGGAGTGCAGAGGCACGATCTCAGCTCACTGCAACCTCTGCCTCCCAGGTTCAAGCGATTCTCCCACCTCAGCCTGCTGAGTAGCTGGGATTATAGGCACATGTCACCATGCCCGGCTAATTTTTGTATTTTTTGTAGAAACAGTGTTTCACCATGTTGGCCAGGCTGGTCTTAATCTCCTGACCTCAAGTGATCTGCCTGCCTTGGCCTCCCAAAGTGCTGGGATTACAGCCGTGAGCCAACGTGCCCGGCCGAGATTTTTGTATTTTTAATAGTGACAGGGTTTTGCCATGTTGCCCAGGCTGGTCTTGAACTCCTGGCCTCAAGCGATCCGCCCACTTCAGCCTCCCAAAGTGCTGGGAATACAGGCATGAGCTACTGCACCTGGCATTTAAGGCATAATTTTAAAACACCCTGTAAGACCTTCCCCAGGTAAGAGCTTTCATTAAAGGGTTTAAAACAATACAACTCTACTAAAAGAGAACAAACAATGAATATAAAAATTGCACATAGATCCACAAGACATTTTTTTCAGATCTGTCTCTTAAAAATAAACTTTAGAAATAAAAGAGCAGGCCGGGCACGGTGGCTCATGCTTGTAATCCTAGCACTTTGGGAGGCTGAGGCGGGTAGATCACCTGAGATCAGCAATTCGAGAGCAGCCTGACTAACATGGAGAAACCCTGCCTCTACTAAAAATACAAAATTAGCTGGGCATGGTGGCGCATGCCTGTAATCCCAGCTACTCGGGAGGCTGAGGCAGGAGAATTGCTTGAACCTAGGAGGTGGAGGTTGTGGTGAGCCGAGATCGTGCCATTGCACTCTAGCCTGGGCAACAACAACAGCGAAACTCCGTCTCAAACAACAACAACAACAAAAAGAAATAAAAGAGCACTGGCCAGACGTGGTGGCTCACATCTGTACTCCCAGCATTTTGGGAGGCCGAGGTGGGCTGATCACTTGAGGTCAGTAGTTTGAGGTCAGGAGTTCGAGACCAGCCTGGCCAACATGGTGAAACCCCATCTCTACTAAAAATACAAAAATTTAAAAAATAAAAAAATAAAAAAATTAGCCAGGCGTGGTGGCGTGCACCTGTAATCCCAGCTGCTCTGGAGGCTGAGGTAGGAGAATCACTTGAACCTGGGAGGCAGAGGTTGTGGTGAGCTGAGGTCGTGCCACTGCACTCCAGCCTGGGTGATAGACTGAGACTCCATCTCAAAAAAATAAAATAAAATAGCATCCTCTGAGATTTAAACTATCAAAAACAAATCATCATAGATAACACTGAGTATTTTTCATGTACCAGATTCCGTTCTAAGAGTTTTACTAGTATCTTGACCTTTGTAACAGCACTAAGATCTGATCATCCCCTTTTACAGATGTGGAAACTGAGGCATTGATAGATTAACATGCCCAAAGTCACACAGTTAATAAGTGACAGAACTAAGATTTCAATCCACACATTCTGAGTCCAGATACCCTCCCCGCTTTCCTTTTTTTTGAGATGAAGTCTTGCTCTGTTGCCCAGGCTAGAGTGCAGTGGTGTAATCTTGGCTCACTGCAACCTCTGCCTCTCAGGTTCAAGTGATTCTCCTGCTTCAGCCTCCCAAGTAGCTGGGATTACAGGTGTGCGCCACCACGCCCGGTTAATTTTTTTATATTTTTGGTAGAGACGGGGTTTCATCATGTTAGCCAGGCTGGTCTCAAACTCCTGACCTCGTGATCCATCCACTTCAGCCTCCCAAAGTGTTGGGATTACAGGCACAAGCCACCAGGGTTGGCCCAGATCCCCTACTCTTAATCCCTAAATTTAGCTCTCTCCTAAAGTTTATGAACATGTAGATGTCTAAAAATATCTAAATACTTGAGACAGGATTGTAATTTATAAAGCAGAAAGGTAATGAATTCTAGTATAACCAGATTAGTAAAAATGAACTATTCCTATCAGTAATAATACAGGAGCCATTTACTCAGTTATATTATGTGCCAGGTTCAATATTGTTTTATATACCTATCTGAATTACATTTCCCCATGTGTTTGTGAAGTAACTACTGTTATTCCCATGGAGAAAGATGAAGAAAGTGATGCATAATGCGGGTAAGTAGCCAGGGTCATTCAGCTAGCCCCAGGAGTCGGATGGGACCCAGGTTTGGGGGACTGCTGCTTGTGCTACCTCCTGATTACTAATTCAGATTCTTCAGGATCTTGATACAGGGAAGAGATGTCCTGGTTGGCAGGCAGGAGTATCCTGGTCAATAGAAAGTTATATCCTTCCATTGTAAGTTAATGAATTTGGTAAGCAAGAGTCAGCCCTTGAGCCCAAGCACCTCTTAAAAGCACCTCTGGCCACTGAAAAAGAGTTTCTCAACTGCCATCTTTTATTCAACAAATACTTATTGAGCAGCTACTATGTGCCAGGCCACTGGAAATAAAGCAGAGAACGAGATGGACAAAGAGCTCACATTCTAGTCGGGGTGGACAAACATGCAACCAAATAAGCAAGACTAGTTTTCGATATGTGAGATGCTATGAAGACAATAAAATGGTATGATAAATAATGACTAAGGGAGTCAGTAAAAGGTCACTGTGAGCAGGTGGTACCTGAGCTGAAACCTGACATGAGGAGCCAGTTATGAGACTCTAGAGAAGGATGCATTAGGCACAAGGACAGACAGTGCAAAGGTCGGAGTGAGATCCGCATGTCAGACAGACTACAGGGTGGCCAGGATGGCTGGAGCAAGGTGAGAGGTAGAAAGTATGATGCAAGATGAGACTGAGAGCTGCGCATGGGCCTTGCAGGCCATAGAAGGGATTTGAGTTTTATTCTAAGCACAACTGGAAACCCGTGGAGGATTTTAAGCAAGAGAGTAATATGACCAAACTCTAAATCATTTTGATTCTCTCAAGGTACACCCTTCCACATAGAGCTTCCCTCTAATGTAATCTTGTAATCTTGAATTTCAACAGATAAAAACATTTAAAGAGCCAACAGATAGAAACATTTAAAGAGCCAGATAGTAAAACTGGTAATGCCACTCCATCTTGCTTAAGTTACAATCTCTCCTTTACAGAATTCCATAGAATTCTGCCAATCACCATTTCACTTACGTGATCACTGTAATTCAATTCTCGTGAAATGTTAGAATATAATGGTCCACATTTTATGAATGAAGAAAACAAAATATGAATATCTTCTTTAAGGTCAATAATAGAACCAGGAAAGAAACTGAGAAATCTTTCTTTGTTAAATGTGTGTTTTTTTGTTTTTTTGTTTTGAGATAGAGTCTTGCTCTGTCACTCAGGCTGGAGTGCAGTGGCATGATCTCAGCTCACTGCAACCTCTGCCTCCCGGGTTCAAGTGATTCTTCTGCCCCAGCCTCCTGAGTAGCTGGGACTACAGGCGCATGCCACCACGCCTGGCTAATTTTTTGTATTTTTAGTAGAGACGCGGTTTCACCATGTTAGCCACGATAGTCTTGATCTCCTGACCTCATGATCCACTAGCCTCGGCCTCCCAAAGTGCTGGGATTACAGGCATGAGCCACCACGCCCGGCCTATTAAATGTGTTTTTAACACAGTTAGTCCACCTTAATTTCTCTGAAAGGAAAAAAAGAAATCAAGAAAAACAGAGATTTACCTTCTTTCTATCATCTTTCCTGTCAAATGCACACTGCTGCTTGCACTGTTCACAAGAATAGGGTGGTCCATACTTCTTTTCTGAATTTGTGCAGCGCTGGCATTTATTCCCAATAAATGCTGCAATTATGTTGCAATACTGACAAGGTTTGGGCTTAAAAGGGGAAAAAAGAGTCAAGTAAGTATTACTTTCATAAAATACCACTGCATTTAAAAAAGCAATAATTCCTACTTTGTAGTTCATTAGTCATGGTACAAATGTATTGCCGACTTCATAAATCTGCTTTTATATTGACCAAATGAAGCCCAATTCTTTTTTATTGTTGTTGTTTTTGTTTTTTGAGTCTCGCTCTGTTGCCCAGGCTGGAGTGCAGTGGCGCAATCTCAGCTCAATGCAACCTCCACCTCCCGGGTTAAAGCAATTCTTCCTGCCTCAGCCTCCGGAGTAGCTGGGATTACAGGTGCCTGCCACTATGCCCAGCTAATTTTTGTATTATTTCCTAGAGATGGGGTTTCACCATGTTGGCCAGGCTGGTCTAGAACTCCTGACCTCAGGTGATCCGCCTGCCTCAGCCTCCCAATGTGCTGGGATTATAGGTGTGAGCCACCACGCCCGGCCATGAAGCCCAATTCTTAATACTATGTGAAGTGTTTTTCTGCACAGGACTATTGATTTTTAAATAAATAAATAAACAAATAACAAAAACCCATTAGTATGTATGCAGAGACTTCTATGAGACATGCAACAGAACCAGCTCTTTGGAGAAACCAGCAAGGGCTTCCAAATTTCTGAAAAGGCCTCTTTGCTATTATCAGTACATAAACATGTTGGGAGAATGCTTACAAGCACATAACATCCTGAACTGTAACACTAAGAGAAAAAGAGAATCATTCATCAAAATGACTAGTCAACTGTTACCAAACAAAGGGGTCAAAGTTATAAAAATTCATCTTGCCGGGTGCAGTGGCTCACGCCTGTGATCCCAGCACTTTGGGAGGCTGAGGTGGGCAGATCACTTGAGTTCAGGAGTCCGAGACCAGCCTGACCAACATGGTGAAACCCCATCTCTACTAAAATACAAAAATCAGCCAGGTGTGGTGGCATGTGCCTGTAGTCCCAGCTACTCGGGAGGCTGAGGCAGGAGAATCACTTGAACCCAGGAGGTGGAGGTTGCAGTGAACTTGACTGCCATTCCACTCCAGCCTGGGTGACAGACCAAGACTCAGTCACAAAAAAAAAAAAACAAAAACAAAAACAAAAAATTTCATCTTTCCCTTTCTCTTTCCATACTGGTCACTGAAGCCTCTCAATGAAAATTATAATCATAATCCTGGCAGTGTGACCATAAACACAGAGTTCCTTAACAATAAGCATTAGCTAAATGTGAAAGCTGAAATCAGTATCAGATATATTACACATAACCATTTATTCTAATAAAAATATTGTAATGGCATTAGTAGGCCACAGAAGGTAAGGTTCCACAAGACCCTAGTACTCACTGTTAGGTTTGAAAATATCCTACTTACCGTTCCATACAACTGCACGTTCTGAGCACATTTCTTGCATATTGTATTGGTTTTACTGTTAAGGAAGAAAGAGACACAGGCTTTTCTTAGAATATCTGAAAACTGATACCTCCTTAAGCCCAAGGAATTTGCTCATTGCTAAGGGCCAAAGTGAGATATGGTCTGGATGCTTGGTTAACACTAGCTTGAGTACCTTTCTAATAACTCTTTTATTTTTATTCAATATTTTTGAGACAGAGTCTCACTCTGTTCCCCAGGCTGGAGTGCAGTGGTGCAATCTGCTCACTATAACCTCTGCCTCCCAAGTTCAAGCGATTCTCATGCCTCAGCCTCCCAAGTAGCTGGAATCATAGGCGCGCACCACCACACCCAACTAATTTTTATATTTTTGATAGAGACAAGGTTTCGCCATGTTGGCCAGGCTGGTCTCAAACTCCTGACCTCAAGCGATCCATCTGCCTTGGCCTCCCAAACTGATGGGATTACAGATGTGAGACACTACACCTAGCCTCTAATAACTCTTTTAATTATTATGTGGCTGGGCGTGGTGGCTCACGCCTATAATCCCAGCACTTTGGGAGGCTGAGGGAGGTGGATCACCTGAGGTCAGGAGTCCGAGACCAGCCCAGCCAACATGGTGAAACTCCATCTCTACTAAAAATACAAAAATTAGCCAGGCGTGGTGGCGCGTGCCTGTAATCTCAGCTACTTGGGAGGCTGAGACAAGAGAATCACTTGAACCCGGGAGGCGGAGGTTGCAGTAAGCCGAGACCTCACCACTGCACTCCAGCCTGGGCAACAAAAGCAAAACTCCGTCTCAAAAAAACAAGTGAGGCTTTGGCTAAAATGGAGAGTGAGTTATTTCTGATTATGACATCCCCAAGTATCACTAAATAAAATTATCAGATACAGAAAACACCCTCAAAATATTATACTAAAATGGACTAGCAGGAAAAAAAAATAAATTCTCCTTAATTCGGATGAATAGTTGGGAAATTTGAGGTGACAAATAAAGTATGTGTGTCTGGAATATAAACTCAGAGATTCTATCTTTGCTAACCTTACTCTGTGCTCTCCTTCATAAGTAAAGGCATATGAAAACACCAGAGGTGGGGAAAAAGACACTATGATCAAATATTTTGTCAATATTTAGGCCGGGCACGGTAGCTCATGCCTGTAATCCCAGCACTTTGGGAGGCCAAGGCAGGCAGATCACCTGAGGTCAGGAGTTTGAGACCAGCCTGGCCAACATGGTGAAACCATGTCTTTACTAAAAATTCAAAAAAATTAGCCAGGCGTGGTGGTGTGTGCCTGTAATCCCAGCTACTCAGGGGGCTGAGGCAGAAGAATCGCTTGAACCTGGGAGATGGAAGTTGCAGTGAGCCAAGATTGCGCCATTGCACTCCAGCCTGGGCAACAGCAAAACTGTGTCTCGAAAAAAAAAAAAAAAAAAAAAAAATTCTGATTTCTCTAAGAGTTAAGCACTGACAAAAATAAAAACATCCTTTGCCTTGTGAAGATCCAGAGGTCCTATTACCTAAATGTGTGAATTAATAAAGCTGCCCGGGGGAAAAATCATCTTCAAATAAAAGTCTAACTCTTCACATGAGGAGGTAAAAATGAATGTCTTATGTGTAAGAACAATTTAAACAGTACTTTGGGGCTAAAAACTAATAAATCACATAAAAATCTTAAGGCCAGGCACAGTGGCTCATGCCTGTAATCCCAGCACTTTAGGAGGCTCAGCCTGGGAGTTCAAGGTTTCAGTGGGCTACAATTGTGCCACCGCACTCCAGCCTGAGTGACAGAGTGAGACCCTGTCACACACACACACAAAAAACTAGTCTATTCTCTGCTTTGTGATCATTTTCCCATATAATTCCTGTGAAAGTGACTATAAAGTTAAAATAGACAAAAGAAAAACCTCAGAGTAGAAAATATTTAAATTATAAATTATTTTTCAGGGCAATTTTCTGTTACTTTTAAAAGACAGTAAAATAAGTGAAGGACATTCAAAGAAATCTCTAGAAAGAGGATTACCATCAATGATTCTGTGATGTAGAATAGCATTTTGATTTACGCCTAGATTTACTACTGAAGGAATGGGGTAGATGTCAATATATACATATGTTCCTAACATGTTAAAAAACATGCAAAGAAAAACTAACTCTAGGCTGGGCGCGGTGGCTCATGCCTGTAATCCCAGCACTTTGGGAGGCCGAGGCAGGCAGACCACCGGAGGTCCGGAGTTTGAGACCAGCCTGATTAACAAGGAGAAACCCCATCTCTACTAAAAATACAAAATTAGTTGGGCGCGGTGGTACATGCCTGTAATCCCAGCTACTCGGGAGGATGAGGCAGGAGAATCGCTTGAACCTGGGAGGTGGAGGTTGCAGTGAGCCGAGATCGTGCCATTGCACTCTAGCCTGGGCAACAAGAGCGAAACTCTGTCTCAACAACAACAACAAAAAAAAAAGAAAAGAAAAAGAAAAGAAAAACTAACTCTATGATCCATCTTGAATTAATTTGTATGTATAGTGTAAATAAAGGGTCATAGTTCCTATCTCACCCCACATATGAATTAACTCAAGATGGACCATAGACCTAAATTTAAGAGCTAACATATAAAGCTTCTAGAGTATGATTCCACTAACATGAAGTCCCAGAATAGGCAAAACTAATTTATGGTGGAAATGAAAAGTAGAACAGGGGTTGCCTGGAGGAAGCAAGGGTGTGGGGATTGTCTAGGATGGGGCATGAGAGGACTCTATGGGGTGACAGTAACATTCTGTATTTTGATAGGGTTTGGGGCTACACAGATGTCTATGTTTGTAAAACTTGATGCATTTAAGATTCAAGCATGTTAGTGTAAGCCAATTTTGCCACACACACACAAAAAGAGCTGCAAACAAATATTTAACTCTAAATAATGCTGTGCATGCTGAAGTGTTTAAGGGTCATGTATACTGATGTCTGCAACTTTAAATACATCAGAAATAAAATGAATTGATATAGTGATGGAGAGAGAGATGAACAGATGGATAGGTGAATATATAGTAAAGTGTATATGATAGAATTTAAGTAGAGGGCATATGGGTGTTCACTAATTCTTTTAACCTTTTTTTTTTGTTTGAAAACATCCATGATAGGCTGGGTGTGGTCGGTCACGCCTGTAATTCCAGCACTTTGGGAGGCCGAGGCAGGCAGACTGGTTGAGCTCAAGAGTTCTAGACCAGCCTGGGCAACATGGCAAGACCCCTGTCTCTACTAAAGATACAAAAAAAAAGCTGGGTGTGGTGGTGTGCACCCCTGGTCCCAGCTATATGGGAGGCTGAGGTGGGAGGATCATTTGAGCCCGGAGAGGGGAGGTTGCAGTGAGCTGAGATCATCTCACTGCACTCCAGCTTGGGTGACAGAGAGAGACCCTGTCTCATAAAAGAAAAAAAAAAATCCATGATAAAATCTTGGAGAAGATATTCTAAGAATTGAAATGAATAATTAAAAATAGGCTTCTAGGTCTAATGGATGAATTAACAAATAGATCCCACTCTCCTCAAGGCAGGATCACCTACACTCACAGAAGTTCCACAAGAATCAAACTTGGTACCAAAAAAAAATCACTTTGTTGCTATGGAAATGCCCCCTAAAGATGTCTGACCACTCATACCTGCATTTCACACTTTTTTTTTTTTTTGAGACAGAGTTTCCCCCCGTCACCCAGGCTGGAGTGCAGTGGCGCAATCTCAGCTCACCGCAACCTCCACCTCCTGGGTTCAAGCAATTCTCCTGCCTCAGCCCCCCAAGTAGCTGGGACTACAGGTGTGTGCCACCACACCCAGGTAATTTTTTTGTATTTTTAGTAGAGACTGGGTTTCGTCATGTTAGCCAGGCTGGTCTCGAACTTCTGACCTCAGGTGATACACCTGCCTCAGCCTCCCAAAGTGTTGGGTTTACAGGCATGAGCCACCGTACCCAGCCCATTTCACACTTTTAAAAATGAGATTTGCCCAGGCGTGGTGGCTCACGCCTGTAATTCCAACATCTTGAGAGGCTAACGAGGAAGGAATCACTTGGGCCCATGAGTAAGAGACCAGCCTGGGTAACATGGCAAAATCTTATCTCTACAAAAATAAAAAAATTAGCTGGGCGTGGTGGCACACACCTGTGGTCCCAGTTACTTGGTAGGCTGAGGTGGGAGGATCACTTGGGCCCGGGAGGTCCAGGCTGCAGTGAGCCATGACGGCTCCACTGCACCCCAACCTGACTGGGAGAGAGAGACTCTGTTTCAAACAAAAAAAGAGATTTGCCCAAGGAAAGTGTAATGGCAAGTGAGTTTCAAATGTGACTAGAGCTAGCAAACTCTTATCAGGATTGTCACATTTCCAAAAGTATCTTCTTTGGGCTTATAAATTCTTCAATCTCTGTGTATGTACATATTGAAACATGAGGCTCATGTTTTACTGTTGTGGGATTGGTTTCTTCTTGACAAAAAGATTATAATCACAATATAAAATGATCAAGGGTCTTAAAAAGAACTTTAAAAATTTAAGCAGGCTGGGCGTGGTGGCTCACGCCTGTAATCCCAGCACTTTGTGAGGCTGAGGCGGGTGGATCACGAGGTCAGGAGTTCAAGACCAACCTGGCCAAGATGGTGAAACCCCGTCTACTAAAAATACAAAAAAACTAGCCGGACATGGTGGCAGGCACCTGTAATCTCAGCTACTTGGGAGGCTGAGGCATAAGAATCGCTTGAACCTGGGAGGGAAGGGTTGCAGTGAGCTGAGATCATACCACTTCATTCCAGCCTGGGTGACAGAGTGAGACTCCATCTCAAAAAAAAAAAAAAAAAAAAAAAAATTTAAGCAATCAATGGATAATAACTAGGAAACAATACATGTATTATATACCCTTCATTGTATATCTCACCCCACACATGAATTAACTCAAGATGGATCATAGACCTAAATATTTAGCAATTATAGTCTGTATATAATGTGATTGATTACAGATCTGTATTTTACAATGCAACTGATTATAGCATCTGTACATGAAATGCAATCAATTACAGATTTTAAGAGGAAAAAAGCCTATTAATATCTTTCATGGTCAACAAAACTCTACCTCTCCTGCTGGTACTCAGTCCTGCAGTAGGTGCACTTCACAACAGGGTGTGCAATCCGACATTCCTGAAATGAAATGAGGATATAATTTTAAAAGGCAGTCACAAATGGAAACAGCCTTCAGTAGGAAGCCGACCTGGGTACTATTTCTAGCATAGCTACTATGCTTGAGTGAGTCACTTAAACTTTCTGGGCCTTATTTTTCTCCTCTGTAATACTGGCATCACTTCCCTACTGTTGATGTGGGAGTTAAGTAAGAACTTATATGGATTATATGGAACTAGCCATAAATTGTAAAACAAACATATATATGAACAAGTCCCAGACTGGGAATCAGAAGCCCTGAATTCCAGGCCTGGTTCTTCTGCCACTGTGTGATTTTGCGGTTTACTTGTGAAATGAAAGTGCTGGATTAAAATTATTATTTATATATACATAACTTCCTTAAAATCATATATACATATTTTGAGGCCAAAAAGGGCACTCAAGCACTTGCATTCCCCCAGACCTGGTATATAAAAACTGGCAAATGGAAAGTCATGACCATCTGAGGCAAAAGTGACAATTATGAGTTATCCAAATCAGAGACACAAACTGGATTATTGGATAACCTCAACATTATTCTTCAGCCAGTTTGGTGACTTTTTAACTGTTGCCTCACAGCACCTCTAGTCACTTAAAAAGTAAAAGTGGGATAAAGCAACTTAAAAGAAAAAGAGAAGTTGGACCTTCAGGAGCAAAAACTGATCAGCAGCTAGTCAGGGAAGACCGAAGACCACCAACTGGATGCTGAGAAGTGATCCCTCGGATCTGTGAGCCTGACTGTGGGGCTTTTTTAAAACATAAAGCCTTGCTGCCTCCGATTCTGAGACTGGCCGAAAAGTGAGATGCTTAAAAAAAAAAAAAAAATCAAGCCTTGCTACCTCCGATTCTGAAACTGGTCGAAAAGTGCCCGTGAGGAGCCCGAGTTCGACACATTCCTCCAAGGCAGCACCCAACTTTGGAGTTCAGTCCCAGGAGGGGCAGGAGGTCCCCACCAGGGAGACCGCGGCGGCGGGGGAGGCAGCGCAAAGGGATCCCGAAGGCGACCAGTCAGGGCAAGCAGGGGACCCGCTGTCCCTCCCCCGACCTCACGGGGTCCGAGAACAATCCCCACGGTTGCTAAGCACCCGGACACGCCGGCCGCGGGAGCCTGGACCGGGTCCCGGCTCCCGCACGTGCCCCGCCGGCCCCCAGCGGGGTGGGTGCGGCTCCTCAGCCTGGCGGGCCTGCCACACCCTGCTCCGGGGACCCCGCCGGGCGTCCCCACAGAATCTGGAGCTCCGGGCCGCGCCTCCTGCGTCCCCAGTTCCCGGCCGCCGCCCCAGCCCGCGCACCTTGCACAGCTGCTGCCCCTGAGACAGCGCCTCGAAGGGGAAGCGCTGGTGGCACTTGGTGCAGGCGTAGAGCGCCGCCATGTCCGGCCCGGGCCGCGCTCACCGACCCGCCGGCCCGGCCCGCCGATTTATCTGACAGTCTGAGGCACAACCCGGCGGCGGCTGCAGGCTGCTGGCTGCGGCAGGCGGGCGGGCGCAGGCGGGTCGGGGCGGACCCGGGCGGGCTGGGGCGGGCACGGCGACTCTAGACGCCCGCTCACTGGTGGGCTTTGACGTCGATCAAGTGGGAAGGGGCGGAACACGGAGCTTTCGCCCACTCTGATTCGGTCTGGCCTGGAGTACGCCACTGTGACGCTCCAGGCCGCGATTATGTAAAGCGCAGTCACGCGGGGGCGCCACCTGGAGGGGACAGGCTCCCGGCCGGGACCTCGGAAGAGCTTAGGCTCCGCCCTACTTGCTCAGCGTTCCCGCCCTCGCTCCGCCTCTCCACGGCCTCAGGCGCATCTGCGCTTCTCGCGATACCTTCGGGGATTTGTGATGTTTTGGTTTCCATGGAGCTGCCCTCTGGGAGCACGAGGGGTACAATTGGAACGAAGGCGGCGCACAGTTAACTGGAACTCTGCAGCCGTCCAAGCCCAAAGAAGGTGGGGAGCTTGGGAAAGAAGTTCCTCATAATCGGAGCAGGAGGAGCCCGCCCAGCCTCGCTCAAAGGAGGAGACGAGACTCTGAGGGACAATTTAGAAGTGTGTCCTCAATTTAAGACACCTAAATAGGGAACTGTGGGGCTGTGGGCCTTAGGAGAGAAAAGGAGAGCCCCAGAGAGAGCACCCCTATGCTGCGGAAGAGGGACTAAAGAGATGGCAGTCCTTCCAGGAGGGATTGGACAGATATTCAGGCGTCCGGTGGCCTGCAGGCCCCCATCAGAGTGGGCTGCAATTGGCCCAGACCTGCTTCCTACTTTGTTTTCTCCGGTTTCACCCCCAGCTTCTCTCGCAAGCAACCACCTGGTGATTCCTGACGAGGCCTGACTTCCGGAAGGCAAGCCACGCCCTCCGGGCTCCCCTGCCTCTCTTTGGCTCCAGCTTGGCATGTATAGGAGCTGCCCAAGGAATGACAGACTTCTTGTTCTTGAGGTGTTGGCAAAGCTTCCTGCACTGCTGACCTATCCAAGTCCTGCCTTGTAGCTGCTCTTGGGCATAGGTTACTCTTGGCTCTGCCAACCACCCGTACAGGACTAATTGCAGTTTTACCTCAACGTGCGCTTTTTACAATTAAAAACTGACTTAATGGCTTCTATTTCCCTGCCTCAACAAAAAAAATTTACTCTCTCTGAACCCAAATCTGGCTGCTTCCTTGTAGGATCCCCCAAAGATGTGCATTAATCATTAGGATCAGAAAGCAAAGTTTCCAAATCACTGTTCCACAACTAACTACATGACCTTGGATCTATCACTGAACTTCTCACGGCCTCGTTTTTCTCAATTGTACAATGAGGTCATTGTGAGAATCAAAACCAGTACATGAGTCGGGGCGGGATGGCTCACAACTGTAATCCCAGCACTTTGGGAGGCTGAGGCCAGAGGATCACTTGAGCCTTGGGATTTAAGACCAGCCTGGGTCGGCCGGACGCGGTGGCTCACGCCTGTAATCCCAGCACTTTGGGAGGCCGAGGCGGGTGAATCACCCGAGGATCACCTGAGGTCAGGAGTTCCAGACCAGCCTGACCAACAAGGTCAAACCCTGTCTCTACTAAAATACAAAAATTACCCGGGCGTGGTGGCAGGCGCCTGTAGTCCCAGCTACTCGGGAGGCTGAGACAAGAGAATTGCTTGAACCTGGGAGGCAGAGGTTGCAGTGAGCCAAGATCATGCCACTGAATTCCAGCCTGGACTACGGGGCAAGACTCCGTCTCAAAAAAAAAAAAAAAAAGACCAGCCTGTGCAACACAGTGGGACCCCATTTCTACAAAAAAACTTTTTTAAAAATTAGCCGGGTGTGGTGGCACGAGCCTGTGGTTCCAGCTACTCAGGCGGCTGAGGCGGGAGGATCCCTTGAGCCTGGACAGTCGAGGCTGCCCTGAGCCATGATTATGCCACTGCACTCCAGCCTAGGTGACAGAGTGAGACCCTGTCTCAAAATATATATGCAAATACAAATAAAAACAGTACGTGGAGGAAAATGTGGGGAAATTGTTTAATGGGTAAGGGGCTTTTGGAGTGATGAAAATGTTTTGGAACTAGATAGAGGTAACGGTTGTTCAACATGGTGAATATACTTTTTTTTTTTTTTTTTTTTTGAGACAGAGTCTGGCTCTGTCTCCCAGACTGGAGTGCAGTGGCGCAATCTTGGCTCACTGCAACCTCCACCTCCCAGGGGTTCAGGTGATTCTCCTGCCTCAGCCTCCTGAGTAGCTGGGATTACAGGCGCGTGCCACCACCCCTGGATAACTTTTGTATTTTTAGTAGAGATGGAGTTCACCATGTTGACCAGGCTGGTCTTGAACTCCTGACCTCAGGAGTTCCTGGATCAGTTGATCCGCCTGCCTCGGCCTCCTAAAGTGCTGGGACTACAGGCGTGAGCCACTGTGCCCGGCTTTTTTTTTTTTTTTCTTGTGACGGAGTCTTACTCTGTCACCCAGGCTGGAGTGCAGTGGTGCGATCTCAGCTCACTGCAACCTCCACCTCCCGGGTTCAAGCGATTCTCCTGCCTCAGCCTCCTGAGTAGCTGGAATTACAGGCATGCACCACCGTGGCCGGCTAATTTTTGTATTCTTAGTAGAGATGGTTTTTGCCATGTTGGCCAGGCTGGTCTCGAGCTCCCGACCTCAAGTAATCTGCCCGCCTCAGCCTCCCAAAATCTGGGATTACAGGTGTGAGCCACCACGCCCAGCCTCAACATGGTGAATATACTAAATACCACTGAATTGTTCACTTTAAAATGCTTAATTTTATGTTATGTGAATTTCATTTCAAATTATTATTATTATTACTTTTTGAGAGAGGGTCTCACTCTCCCCCAGGATGGAGTGCAAAGGCTCAATCTTGGCTCCCTGCAGCCTCAACATCCCTGGGCTCAGGTGATACTCCAACCTCAGCTTCCTGAGAAGCTGAGACTACAGGCACACACTACCAAGTTCTTCACGGCAGGCTAATTTTTTTGTTTGTTTGTTTGAGACGTAGTCTCACTCTGTTGCCCAGGCTGGAGTACAGTGGCGTGATCTCGGCTCACTGCAACCTCCGCCTCGCAGGTTCAAGCAATTCACCTGCCTCAGCCTCCCGAGTAGCTGGGATTACAGGCATGCGTGACCATGCCCAGCTAATTTTTGTATTTTTAGTAGAGATGGGGCTTCACCATATTGACCAGGCTGGTCTTGAACTCCTGACCTCGTGATCTGCCTGCCTCGGCCTCCCGAAGTGCTGGGATTACAGGCGTGAGCCACTGCGCCTGGCCAATTTTTGTATTTTTTATAGAGGCGGAGTTTCACTGTATTGTCCAGGCTGCTCTCCAACTCCTAGGCTCAAGTGATCCTTCCACCTCAGCCTCCCAAAGTGCTAGGATTACAGTTGTGAACCACTGCATCTGGCCTCAAATTATGTTTTTTTTTTAAAAAAAAGAATGTAAGTGGCTGGGCGTGGTGGCTCACGCCTGTAATCCCAACACTTTGAGAGGCCGAGGGGGACAGATCACTTGAGGTCAGGAGTTCGAGACCAGCCTGGCCAACATGGTGAAACCCTATCTCTACTAAAAATACAGAAAATAGCTGGGCATCTGGTGAGTGCTCGTTATCCCAGCTACTCAGTAGACTGAGGCAGGAGAATTGCTTGAACCCGGGAGGCAGAAGTTGCAGTGAGCTGATATTGCGCCACACTGCACTCCAGCCTGGGCGACAGAGCCAGACTCCGTCTCAAACAAAAAGAAAAGAAAAAAGAAAAATGCAAGCTCAGAGCCAGACTGTGTGACTGAATCCCAGCTCTACTACTTAGAAGCTGTATAATTCTGAGCACATTAAAAACAAAACAAACAAGAAACAGTACATGTAACTTGGCACACTAATATATGTTAGTATTGGAAGAAAAAACTGCATTTCTTCTAGAGAGATGCTGGTGCACTGAATCGTGTAAACACAGCCTCCCTTTTCACACACAAACCCTACAGTGGGGTAAGAGCCTCTCTTTGTTCCCACTGTCTTCAGTTTTGAGTTCCACTCTATTACCAGTTTTACAATTACCTATTGGTTTTCATCAGACTGTGGGCCATCATATCAAGGCCATCTCTATAACCCCTTCACAAAGCTAATTGAACCATTCATTCGATAAATATTTATTTTTTATTTAATTAATTAATTAATTCATTTTTTTGAGAGGGAGTTTTGCTCTTGTTGTCCAGGCTGAAGTGCAATGGTGCAATCTCAGCTCACTGCAACCTCTGCCTCCTGGGTTCAAGGGATTCTCCTGCCTCAGCCTCCCAAGTAGCTGGGATTACAGACCTGTGCCACCACGCCCAGCTAATTTTTGTATTTTTCATAGAAATATGGTTTGGATTTTTGTAGAGACTGGGGTTTCACTATGTTGGCCGGGCTGGTCTCGAACTCCTGACCTCAGGTGATCCGCCTACCTCAGCCTCCCAAAGTGCTGGGATTACAGGCATGAGCCATTGTGCTCAGCCTATTTATTTTTTTGAGACAGAATCTCCCTCTGTTCCCCAGGCTGGAGTGCAGTGGTGCAATCTCTGGCTCACTGCAACCTTCACCTCCTGGGTTCAAGCGATTCTCATGCCTCAGTCTCCCAAGTAACTGGGATTATAGACCTGCACCACCACACCTGGCTAATTTTTGTATTTTTAGTAGAAACATGGCTTGGCCATGTTGGCCAGGCTGGTCTCGAACTCCTGAGCTCAAGTGATCTGCCCCTGTCAGCTTCCCAAAGTGCTGGGATTACAGGCCTCAAGCATCCTCCAGCCTTGGCCTCCCAAAGCACTGGGATTACAGGTGAGCCAATATGCCTGGCCATATCATGCCTCCTTTTTTTTTTTTTTTTTCCCAAAAAGACAGGGTCTGGCTCTATCGTTCAGGCTGGAGTGTGCCCAGTCCGTTCAATCAACAAATCTTTATAGAGCATTTGTGCCAGGCTCTGGCTTAGGCACTGGGGATACACTGGTGTATAAAAAAGACATGAGGGCTGGGCACAGTGGCTCAAGCCTGTAATACTGACACTTTGGGAGGCTGAGGCAGAAGGATCGCTTGAGCCCAGGAGTTTGAGAGCAGCCTGGACAACACGGGAAAACCCTGTCTCTACAAAGAAAAAAAAAATTAGGTGGTTGTGTTGGCGTGGGACTGTAGTCCCAGCTACTCAGAAAGCTGAGATGGGAGAATGGCTTGAACCAGGGAGGTGGTTACAGTGAGCTGAGATCACGCCACTGTACTCCAGCTTGAACTACAGAGACAGACCCGGTCTAAAAAAAAAAAAAAAGGCATGATATGGCCAGGCATGGTGGCTCACCTGTAATCCAGTGCTTTGGGAGGCCGAAGTTGAAGGATTGCTGAGGCCAGGAGTTTGAGACCTGCCTGGGCAACATAGTGAGACCTTGTCTCTACAACTTGGTGCGCACCTGTAGTCTTAGCTACTGAAGAGGCTGAGGCGGGAGAATCACTTGAGCCCAGGAGTTAGAGGCTGCAGTGGGCTATGATTGCACCACTGCACTCCAGCCTCAGCAACAGAATGAGACCCTGCCTCTTTAAAAAAAAGAAAGAAAGAAAGAAAAGAAAAGGCATGATCCCAGCCCTTGTGAAGCCAACAATGTAATGGCAAAGATAGCTAAGAAGCAAGGACTGTGAATTAAAAGATACACCACAGGGACAGACAATGAGGAGAAGGCAGGGGGACTCATTTAGATAGAGCCGGTCAGGGAAAAAACTCTCGGAGAAGATGCCAAGACCTGAAGGTCAAGAAGGACTTAGCCATGTGACTTAACCAAGAATGTTCTGGGCAGAAGAGAAGGGGAAGACTTTGAGATGAAATAGAACGTCGCATGTTCAAGAAATGGAGAAGAGGCCAGTATAGCTGAGGGTGAGTGAAGATGCCGCCAGGACACCAGGGCCAAATGTGCAGAGCTGTAAACCCTGCCATGGATATGGAGTTTGCTCAAAGTACAATGGGAAAGAAGCCAGTGACAGTTTTTAAGCAGGCAAATAACATGATTGGTTTATGGGTTTTTTTTAAGCTTTTTTTTTGTTTTAGAGATGGGGTTTCTCCCTGTTGTCCAGGCTGCTCTTGAACTTCTGGGCTCAAGTGATCCTCCCACCTCAGCCTCCCAAAGTGCTGAGATGTACAGGTGTGAGCTACCATGCCCAGTCTGGATTTATATTTTTAAGATTTCTTTGGCTGCTAGGAGGAGAAAAGACAGCAGGGGGCCAGAGTAAAGGCAGAGAGATCATTTAGGAGGATTATTGCAGGCATCTAGATGAGAGGTGATGGTTAAAAGTTTGCAGTGGAAAGAAGTGGACAGATTCAACATATATTTTGGAGGTAAAATCAATAGGACTTAGGGATGGATTGAATTTGGGAGGTGGTGAGGGAAAGGAAGAAATTATGGTCAATGTGCTCAGCTATGTGTGTGGTGGTAGTATTTCCAGCAAAAGGGAAGACTAGAAGGACAGGTTTCAGAGACAAAACCAAGAATTTTGTTCTGACATGTTAATTTCTAGATGCCTGTGGGGCATCTGGGGGAGACATCATGTAGGCAGCAGGCTCTATTCTGTGTATCTCTTAGAGGTGAGTTCTAGGATGAAGATACAGTTTTGTGGGGAATGTCAGCAGGTATGTGGTATTTAAATCCCTGGGACCGGATAATAGTATCTTGGAAGCCTAGAGAGAGAAGAGACAATGCCTCTTCTTCTTCTTTTCTTTCTTTCTTTTTTTTTTTTTTTTTGAGACGGAGTCTCACTTTATTGGCCAGGATGGAATGCAATGGCATGATCTCGGCTCACTGCAACCTCCGCCTCCTGGGTTCAAGCGATTCTCCTGCCTCAACCTCTCAAGTAGCTGGGACTACAGGCGTGCACCACCACGCCCGGCCAATTTTGTTGTATTTTTAGTAGACAGGGATTCATCACATTGGTCAGGCTGGTCTCGAACTCCTGACCATGATCCTCCCGCCTCGACCTCCCAAAGTGCTGGGATTACAGGCATGAGCCACCGCACCCAGCCGAAATAAAACTTTTTAAAAAACTAGATTTAATTTCTAATTTATTTATTCAATAAACATGCACTGAACATCTACTAAGTATCAGGCACAGTGCTAGGTCCTGGAAGCACAACGATGAAATGACCAAGACCTTGTCCTCCTAGAGCTTCCATTCCTGGATGAAGGAGACAGATTATATATGAGCAAATACATATATTTATTTATTTAAATAAATATAAATATTTACATATAAATAAATATGTTTATTTGAAATTGAATAATGCAATTTCAGGTGATGCTAAGTTCTGAAAAAATAAAGCAGGGAAAAGGAACATGGGATGATGGGAGTGGCTCTGTTTTATTTGTTTATTTTTTTAGATTCACAGGGTACATGTGCAGTTTGTTACAAGGGTATATTGCATGATGCTGAGGTATGGGCTTCTATTGTCCTGTCACCCATGTAGTGAACACAGTACCCAATAGGAAGATTTTTAGCCGTCATTCCCCTGTAATCCCAGCACTTTGGGAGGCTGAGGCAGGCAACTTGCTTGAGCTCAGGAGTTTGAGACCAGCCTGGGCAACATGACGAAACCCCATCTCAACCAATAATACAGAAAATTAGCTGGGCATGGTGGCATGTTTGCCTGTAGTCCCAGCTACTCAGGAGGCTGAGGCGGAAGGACGGCTTGAGCACAGGAGGTCAAAACTGCAGTGAACCAAGATCACACCACTGCCTTGTGGGTGACAGAGCAAGACCAGCCTGTGGGTGATAGAGCAAGACCCTGTCTCAAAAAAACCCAAAAAACTCTGTACCCATTTAGCAATAACTCTCCTTTCCCCTCTATGTCCAGCCTCCAGCCCCTGGTAACCTTTATTCTACTTTCTCTATGAATTTGCCTTCCTAGGTGACTGAAATCATAATGTTTGTCTCTTTGTGTCTGGGTTACTTCACTCGGCATGTTTTCAAGCTTTATCCATGTTGAAGCATGTATCAGAACTTCATTCCTTTTTACAGCTGGATAATATTCCATTGTATATATAAACAGTTTGTTTATCTTTTAATCTGCTGATGGACATTTGGATTGGTCCCACCTGTCTTAGTCTGTTTTGTGTTGCTATAACAAAATACTTGAGACTGGTTAAATACTTGAGACTGGCTAAATTATAAAGAACAGACATTTATTTCTCAAAGTTCTGGAGGCTGAGAAGTCCAAGATCATGGTGCCAGCAGGTTGGATTGTCTGGTGAGGGCTGCAAAGCAGGGAAGGGGCTAGAAAATATTGGCAATCAGGGTTCAGGGCAACTTTAATTTTTTTTTTTTTTTTAGACTGGGTCTCATTCTGTCACCTGCGCTGCAGTGCAGTGGTTCAATCATAGCTCACTGAAGCCTCAAACTCCTGGGCTCAAATGATCTATCTTCCTGCCTCAGCCTCCTGAGTAGCTAGGACTACAAGTGTGTGCCTTGTTGATTTTTGAATTAAATTGTTTGTTTTTTGTTGTTGAGTTATAGAAGTTCTTTATATATTCTGAATATTAATCCTTTGTCAGATAAATGATTTGCAAATATATTCCCCCATTTTGTGAGTTGTCTTTTCATGCTCTTGATAATGTCCTTTGATGCATAAACATTTTAAATTTTAATTTAGTCTAATTTAATTTTTTTTTTGCTTGTACTTTCGTGTTATAATTAAGAAACCATGGCTGGGCGCAGTGGCTCATGCCTGTAATCCCAGCACTTTGGGAAGCTGAGGCAGGCAGATCACCTGAGGTCAGGAGTTCAAGACCAGCCTAGCCAACGTGGTGAAACCCCGTCTTTATTAAAATTACAAAAATTAGCTAATTATGGTGGCGGAAGCCTGTAAACCCAGCTACTCAGGAGGCTGAGACAGGCGAATTGCTTGAACCCAGGAGGTGGAGGTTGCAGTGAGCAGAGATCATGCCACTGTACTTCCAGCCTGGGTGACAGAGACACCATCAAAAAAAAAAACAAACAGAAAAAAACCCATTGCCAAATCCAAGATTATGAAGATGGGATCATTTTAAGACTAGAACTTACATGGCTGGTGAGGGATTGGATCTGGTATGAGCAGTGAAGAGGAATCATGGATGCATCCTAGGTTTTTGGCATAAGCAACTGGGTAAACTAATAGAATTTACTGAGATGGGAAGAGCAGTAGAGGGACAGATTTGGAAGGGAAAAGCAAGGCTTCTGTTTTGGCCATGAAACTTTTGAAATGACTGTGAGATGAGTAGGCAGTTAGAGATACAAGCCTGGGGTGCAGAGCAGCAGTCAAAGCTGGAGGTGTAATTTGGAAGTCATGAATATTTTAGATTGTTTTACAAGCCATGAGATCACCTGGAGAGTGAGTGAAGGGAGAGAAGAGTTTTTCTTAGTCTGTTTTCTGCTGCTATTACAGAATAACACAGACTGAGTAATTTATAAACAATAGAGGCTTATTTGGCTCATGGTTATAGAGGCTGGGAAGTCCAAGAGCATGACACTAGCCTCTGGTGAGGGTCATCCCATGGCAGAAGATGCCATGATATAGTAAGAGAGGACAAGAGAGAGAGAAAAACGGGGCCAAACTGCTGTGACAATGGCAGTAAGCAATTAATGAGGGTGAAACCATGATGACCTAATCACCTCTTAAATGACCCACACCTTAATATCATCACAATTGTTGTTAAATTTCAACCCGAGTTTTGGAGGGGACATTCAAACCAGAGTAAGTTTGAGTAAGTTCCTAAGAGAGACTTGAAACTCCAAACATTAGGAGATTGGGAACCAAGGATGGGGTGGCAGAAGGAGGGCTGGTAATCTGACAAATGAGATAGAAGGTATAATCAGTGAGGTAGGAAGAAAACTAGGGGAGTTTTGCGTCTGAGAAGCCAGGTGAAGGAAATAAATAATTGGCTGTGTTAAAGGTTGCTTAGAGCTTTGGTAGAATAGATGTGTTTGCTGACCTTGATAAGAGTGGTTTCACTGACTTGGCAGAAAGAAAAGCATGATTGGAATAGGTTTTAATTTTTGTCTTTAGATAGAATGGGGGTTGTGGGGATGAGAAAGAGAGAATGAGAAGTGTGGAAGTGGAGCCATTGAGTATAGAGAAAGTTTTAGAGGAATTTTGCTACAAAGGAAAACAGAAAAATGAGGCAATAGTTGAGGGGGGCTGTGAGGGTCAGGGGAAGGCTGGTTTGTTTGTTTTGAGACAGTCTCGCTCTGTTGCCCAGGATGAAGTGCAGTGGCATGATCTTGGCTCACTGCAACCTCTGCACCCTGGGTTCAATCAATTCTCCTGCCTCAGCCTCATGAGTAGCTGGGATTACAGGTGTGCGCTACCATGCCTGACTGATTGTTTTTGTTTGTTGTTGTTGTTGTTGTTTGTTTTGTTTTTGAGACAGAGTTTCGTTCTTGTTGCCCAGGCTGGAGTACAATGGCGCGATCTTGGCTCACCGCAACCTCTGCCTCCCGGGTTCAAGCGATTCTCCTGCCTCAGCCTCCCAAGTTAGCTGGGATTACAGGCATGCGCCACCATGCCCAGCTAATTTTGTATTTTTAGTAGAGATGGGGTTTCTCCATGTTGGTCAGGCTGGTCTCGAACTTCCGACCTCAGGTGATCCGCCCGCCTCGGCTCCCAAAGTGCTGGGATTACAGGTGTGAGCCACCGTACCTGGCCTTTTTTTTGTATTTTTAGTAGAGACAGGGTTTCACCATGTTGGCCAGGCTGGTCTCGAATTCCTGACCTCAAGTGATCCGCCTGCCTCAGCTTTCCAAAGTGCTGAGATTACAGGCTTGAGCCACCACTCCCGACCTGTTTGTTTTTATTAAGTGGGGGCTATTACAGTAAAGGGGGAAATTGTGCAAGAGAAAGAGGAAAAACTTGTGGGAGCAAAATCTTTGATAGGTGAGTGGGGATAGGATCCAGTGTATAAGTGAAAATTTGGTCTTAAACAGGGATAATTTAGGTTGTCCCACAGTCCCAGGGAATGTGTGTAGGAGGTGAAATGGAGTGGGTTAGGAGTATATAAGTCCTTTTTACTTTTTTTTTTGAGGCCGAGTCTTGTTCTGTCATCCAGGCTGGAGTGCAGTGCACAATCATGGCTCACTGCAGCCTCAACTTCCTGGGCTCCAGTGATCCTCCCACCTCAGCCTCCTGAGTAGCTGGGACCATAAGCACACACCACCATGTCCAGCTAATTTTTGTATTTTTGGTAGAGATGGGGTTTTGCCATGTTGCCTAGGCTGGTCTCAAACTCCTGAGCTCAAGCAATCTGCCCACTTCAGACTGCCAAAGTGCTGGGATTACAGGTGTGAGCCACTGTGCCCAGCTTGTTTTATTTTGAGACAGGGTCTTGCTCTGTTGTGCAGGCTGGAGTGCAGTGGTGCAATCATGGCTCACTGTAGCCTCCAATTCCTGGACTCAGGTGATCGTCCCACCTCAGCTTCCTGAGTAGCTGGGAGTACAGGCACATGCCACCATGCAAGGCTAATTTAAAATTTTTTGGTAGCAATAGGGTCTTACTAGATTGTCCAAGATGGTCTTGAACTCCTTGCCTCAAGTGATCCTCCCATCTCAGCCTCCCAAAGTGCTGGAATTACAGCATGAGCCACCATGCCTCACCCAGGAGTATCTAGTTTTTATCACGTGTCCACACCGACATCCTCCTTCCCATCTTGTGTAAGGTCATCTGTCCATGTGGTTTGCTGTTGTGTCTGCCTCATCTGGACCTCAAGACCTCTTCATATCTGTCAGCAATATATGCCACACCTATTCTGCTCAAGGCCATTGGGGAAAATGTTTTGCTGCTCCCTTTGCCACCCTTAAGCAAGAGTCATACTCTTCAACTGTTCCTTCTCTTCTTCTCCTGGACTATCTTGGGTGTGGGAACTCCATAAGGTTTGTCACCCAGTGTAAGGTTGGGCTGCTGTAACAAAGAAAATGAACAATCATTTACTGGCTGGAACAAGTTAGAAGTTTACTTTTGCCTTCTATCATTGTCTAAGGGCTAACGTTCCAGGTCTGCTGGTGGCTGTGGTCCATGTTGTCATCCAGGTAGCTGTAAGAATTAAAGAAAGAGGAAAGAAACACAAAAAGGTGGCTTTCCAGTCAAGACAGATTTATTTTAGAGAAAACAAACCTGAGAGGCGCCTTCTGGCCGAGTTAGGTCAGAGACACACTCTTTTACAGACTGTGAGTTTTTAAGGATTCGGGGTAGGAGAGTTTATCAGAGGCTTGGACTGCTTCTGTATCTCTTTGTTCTTATCTGGGAGGGAGAGTTGTGTGTCTTGTTTCCATACATCTTTCTGCAGCTGCAGACATATCCCCTGAGTCTGCTTTTAGCTTCCCTTAGTGCACCTGAAGGGAAAGGAATGTGCTTATTAAGGCCCACTGTTTTACTGGGGCCCATTGTGTGAGGGTGAAGTTTGGCAGTTACCCAAGAGACTTTTCCCCCACCTGCCTCTGTGCCCAAGCTGTTTTATCTGTGGTTTACTGTCTGCTCTTTCTGGCTGCTTGTAGTTAGAAGAGAAGTGATTTCCTTGAAATGCATGAGGCTAGAAAGGGAGTTGGAACTTAAAGGGGCAGCGTTTGTCCAAGATGATGGTACTCCTCCTCTGTCAATACCCACATTCCTTCCACTGTCTGCGTGGTTGAGCTAGGTCATGTGGGGTTCAGCTAGGAGGAACAGTCAAAGTCCTTGGACCTCTTCTCTCTTTTGACTCCTAGGTGATCTCCTAGGATGAGATCCTAGGTGATCTCATCTAGTTCTTGGCTTTTCTATCACTGATGATTTTGAAATTTATCTTTAATCTGGCCTCGCCTCTGAACTTGACATCCCCATTTGGAGGTCCATAGCCATCTCAAACTTGATTATGTCTAAAAATGGCCAGTTCCTTCTGTTGTCCTCCCTCTTTCAGTGAATGACAGTTCCATTTTTCCAGTTGTTCAGGCAGAAAAGCTTGATGTCATTTTTGACTCCTCTTTTTCTCTCATATCCCAGATCTGGCCTGTCAGTAAATGCTTTTGGCTCCATTGTCAAAATACTGGTATCTTTCTCTAGTTGAACTCCTGTTATCCAAACTCAGAAACCAAAGAGATGCAGACAAAATGTTTCAAATATCCCTCAGTATCTGAGCCCTTACTACTGCTATTATCCTTAGACCTAGGCCCTGTGTTTTAGAGGACACTGCATATCACAAACACACAAAAAATAAGGATCACATGAGTGCCTCTATCACTGGGATCTGAAACTCAGGGCTGATTTAGCACAACCCGTTATCATACACATCTGCTCCAGGACTTGCACCATTCAGGCCCCGGGGAATGCTTCTAAAATGTCTTGCCCTATGTTCTAGAAACAAAAATGGACTGTGTTGATTGCTATAAAGGTTTACAGGTTGTTATCACTGCCAACATCAGAGACAGACACCGCTTTGGAGTCTGGGAAGGGCAGAGAGGTAGAAACGCTTAGGTAAGAGAAAAGACAGGCCAGGCACAGTGGCTCATGCCTGTAATCCCAGCACTTTGGGAGGCCAAGGCAGGTGTATCACCTGAGGTCAGAAGTTCGAGACCAGCCTGACCAACATGGAGAAACCCCGTCTCTACTAAAAATACAAAATTAGCCGGGCGTGGTGGCACAGGCCTGTAATCCCAGCTGCTAGGGAGGCTGAGGCAGGAGAATCGCTTGAACCTGGGAGGCAGAGGTTGCATTGAACCGAGATCACACCATTGCACTACAGCCTGGGCAACAAGAGTGAAACTCCATCTCAAAAAAAAAAGAGAGAAGACAAATTAATTGATTCACCAAATCCTTTCTGATAGCATGAATGCAATTAATTATTGCATAATGGAGTATCATTTCCCAGAGGTACCCAGTGTCAATCTTCTTGCTTCTTTTTCAATTTCAATTACTTTTCCAAACTGGAGGTGTTTGCAGATTACTTTGGTATTCACAACAACAGTTAGACATGGCAGCATGGAATGTTTTCCAATGGAACAAATCTTTTCTCATCTGTGTATGGATAGATCTACATGTAATAAGGGCAGAGCATGGTACAAATTCTTCCCATTGGCATTTAGATGGCTCTTGAACACTAAAATGGCAAGGTTTTTTTTAATTAATAAGATTTGATTAAATTTTCAAAAAATAACAGCTTTAAATAATATTGATTTAAAACTTTTTAATGCCTATAATTTGTGTTTGTATTTTATTTTATTTTTTGAGACTGAGTCTCGCTCTGTCTCTAGGCTGGAGTGCAGTGGTACGATCACAGCTCACTGCAGCCTCGACCTCCTGGACTCAATTGATCCTCCCACCTCAGCTTCTTAAGTAGATGGGACTACAGGCGTGTACTACCAAGTCCAGCTAATTTTTGTATTTTTTTGTAAATACTGGGTTTTGCCACGTTGCCCAGGCTGGTCTCGAATCCCTAGGCTCAAACAGTTCACCCGCCTCAGCTTCCCAAAGTGTTGAGATTACAGGCGAGAGTCACTGCACCTGGCCTATTTATTATTTTTATTTTTTAATTTTATTATTATTTTTTTGAGGTGGAGTCTTGCTCTGTCGCCCAGGCTGGAGTGCAGTGGCCCAGTCTCGGCTCACTGCAAGCTCTGCCTCCTGAATTCATGCCATTCTCCTGCCTCAGCTTCCCGAGTAGCTGGGACTACAGGCGCCCGCCACCATGCCTGGCTAATTTTTTGTATTTTTAGTAGAGATGGGGTTTCACCGTGTTAGCCAGGATGGTCTCGATCTCCTGACCTTGTGATCCACCCGCCTCGGCCTCCCAAAGTGCTGGATTACAGGTGTGAGACACCACACCTGGCCTATTTATGTATTTATTTTAGAGACAGTGTCTCATTCTGTCACCTAGACTGGAATACAGTGGCACAATCATAGCTCACTGCAACCTGGAACTCCTGGGCTCAAATGATCCTCTTGCTTCACCCTCCAGAGTAGCTGGAACCACAGGCGCAAGACACCACATCTATCTGCTTTTTAATTTTTAATAAATTATGTAAAATATTTTGGAGTAATTTTTAAAATATAGGCCAGCCAAAGTGGCTCTCTCCCATAATCCCAGCACTTTGGGAGGCTGAGGTGGAAGGATTGCTTGAGGCCAGGAGTTGGAAAACAGCCTGGGCAACTTAGAAAGACCCTGTTGCTATAAAAAAATAAAAAAATTTAAAAAATATATAAAACATTTTAAGTTTTAATTTTCACATTTATTTTTATTTATTTTTTGATCAAAATATATTCAAATTTTATATACTTTAAAACAGTTACATTTTAGTTTAAATTTTTTTTTTTTTTTTTTTTGAGATAGAGTTTCACCCTTTTGCCCAGGCTGGAGTGCAGTGGCGCAATCTCAGCTCACTGCAACCTCTGCCTCCCCGGTTCAAGAGATTCTCCCGCCTCAGCCTCCTGAGTAGCTGGGATTACAGGTGTGTACCACCATGCCTGGCTAATTTTTGTATTTTCAGTAGAGATGGGGTTTTACCATGTTGGCCAGGCTGGTCTCGAACTCCTGACTTCAGATGACCCACCTGCCTCAGCCTCCCAAAGTGCTGGGATTACAGGCATGAGCCACTGTGTCCAGCCTTTAGTTTAAATTCTTTAGATCAGGGGCTAGTAAACTTTTCTGTAAAGGGCCAGATAGTAAATATTTTAGACTTTGAGGGCCATTATGGTCTTTGTCACAACTACTCAGCCATTGTAGGACAAAGGTAGCCATGGACAACACATAAGTGAATAAGTGTGGCTGTGTTCCAGTAAAACTTCATTTACAAAAACAGGCAGCGAAGCCTGATTTGACCCACAGGCTCTAGTTTGTTAATGACTAGATTGTTACTGTCAAGGCTGAGTGTGGTGGCTCACACCTATAATCCCAGCACTTTGGGAGGCCGAGGCAGGTGGATCACCTGAGGTCAGGAGTTTGAGACCAGCCTGGCCAAAATGGCGAAAACTCCATCTCCATTAAAAGCACAAAAATTAGCCAGGCATGATGGCACATGCCTGTAGTCCCAGCTACTTGGGAGGCTGAGACCGGAGAATCGCTTGAACCTTGGAGGCAGAGGTTGCAGTGAGCCGAGATGGCACCACTGCACTCCAGCCTGGGTAACAGAGCAAGACTCCATTTCAAAAATAAATAAATGGGCTGGGCGTGGTAGCTCATGCCTGTAATCCCAGCACTTTGGGAGGCCAAGGCAGGTGGATCACGAAGTCAAGAGATCGAGACTGCCCTGGCTAACATGGTGAAACCCTGTCTCTACTAAAAATACAAAAAAATAGCCGGGTGTGGTGGCACATGCCTGTAGTCCCAGCTACTTGGGAGGCTGAGGCAGGAGAATCACTTGAACCCAGGAGGCAGAGGTTGCAGTGAGCCGAGATCACGCCACTGCACTCCAGCCTGAGCAACAGAGCAAGACTCCATCTCAAAAAAAAAAAAAAAAGAAAAGAAAAGGATACTTGCACACACATATTTATAGCACCACAATTCATAATCTCAAAAATATGGAAGCGGCCTAAATGCCCAGCACCAGTTAGTGGATAAAAAAAATGTGGTATGGGCCAGCTGTGGTGGCTCACCCCTGTAATCCTAGCACTTTGGGAGGCTGAGGCAGGTGTACCATGAGGTCAGGAGTTCAAGACCAGCCTGGCCAAGATGGTGAAACCCCATCTCTACTAAAAATACAAAAATTAGCCAGGCATGGTGGTGGGTGCCTGTCATCCTAGCTACTCGGGAGGCTGAGGCAGAGAATTGTTTGAACCCAGGAGGTGGAGGTTGCAGTGAGCCAAGATTGCACCTTTGCACTCCAGCCTGGGTGACAGGGCAAGACTCCTTCTCAAAAAAAAAAAGAAAAAAAAGAAAGAAAGAAAGAAAATGTGGTATGTATACACCATGGAATACTACTCAGCCATAAAAAGGAATGAAATAATGGCATTTACAGCAACCTGGATGGAGTTGGGGACCATTATTCTAAGTGAAGTAACTCAGGAATGGAAAATCAAATATTGAATGTTCTCATTTATAAGTGGGAGCTAAGCTATGAGGATGCAAAGGCATAAGAATGATATAATGGACTTGAGGGACTTACGGGGAAGAGTAGGAGAGGCGAGGGATAAAAAACTATACATTGGGTACAGTGTACACTACTCAGGTGATAGGTGTACCAAAATCTCAGAAATCACCACGAAAGAACTTATCCTTGTAACCAAAAACCACCTGTTTCCCAAAAATGATTGAAATAAAAAAAGAAAAACCTTTTCCTTTCTCTGCCACATGTCTACGCTACAAATTTTCCAAACACTTATGCTCCATTTCCCTTTAAATATAAGTTCCAACTTTAAGTCATTCCTTTGCTCCTGCATCTGAACATAGGCTATTTGAAGCAGTCAGACCACATCTTTAATATTTTGCTGCTTAGGAATTTCTTCCACCAGATACCCTAAGTCATCACGATGAAGTTCAAACGTCTACAGATACCTAGGGCATGAATTAAATCCAGCCAACCTCTTTGCTAAGGCATAACATGAGTGACCTTTGGTCCAGTTCCCAATACATTTCTCATTTCCATCTGAGACCTCAGCAGCCTGGACCTCACTGTCCATATCACTATCAACATTTTGGTCACAATCATTTAACCAGCTTCTGAGAAGTTCCAAAGTTTCCCTCATCTTCCTATCTTCTTCTGACCTCTCCAAAGTCTTCCAACCTCTGTGCATTACCCAGTTTCAAAGCTGCTTCCACATTTTCAGGTACCTTTATTGCAATACCCGACTCCTTGGTACCAATTTTCTGTATTAGGCCATTATTGCCTTGCTATAAAGAAATACCTGGCCAGGGCTGGGCACGGTGGCTCACACCTGTAATCCCAGCACTTTGGGAGGCCGAGGCGGGTGGATCACTAGGTCAGGAGATCAAGACCATCCTGGCCAACATGGTGAAACCCCATCTCTACTAAAAATACAAAAATTAGCTGGGCCTGGTGGCGCGTGCCTGTAATTCTAGCTACTCGAGAGGCTGAGGCAGGAGAATCAGTTGAACCAGGGAGTCGGAGGTTGCAGTGAGCCAAGATTGCGCTAATGCACTCCAGCCTGGCAACAGAGTGATACTCCGTCTTAAAAAAAAGAAAAAAGAAAAAATAGAAATACCTGGCCGGGTGCAGTGGCTCATGCCTATAATCCCAGCACTTTGGGAGGCCAAGGTGGGTGGATCACGAGGTCAGGAGATCATGGTGACCTGGCCAACATGGTGAAACCCCATCTCTACTAAAAATACAAAAATTAGCTGGGCATGGTGGTGCACACCTGTAGTCCCAGCTACTCAGGAGGCTGAGGCAGGATAATTGCTTGAACCTGGCAGGCGAAGGTTGCAGTGAGCAGAGATCGCACCACTACACTCCAGCCTGGTGACAGAGTGAGAATATCTGAGGTTGAGTAATTTGTAAGAAAAGAGGTTTAGCTGGGCATGGTGGCTTTTGCCTCTAATCCCAGCACTTTATGAGGCTGAGGCAGGTGGATCACTTGAGCTCAGGAGTTCGAGACCAGCCTGGGTAACATGGCAGAATGCCATCTCTACAAACAATACAAAAATTAGCCAAGTGTGGTGGCATAGACCAATAGGAGATCTAGTTTGTTTTCATAGATTCCAGTTCATCTTCATGGTGGTGTGCACCTGTGGACCCAGCTACCCGGGAGACTGAGGCAGGAGAATTGCTTGAACCGGGGAGGCAGAGGTTGCAGTGAGCTGAGATCAAGCCACTGTACTCCAGACTGGGTAACAGAGCGAGACTCCATCTCAAGAAAAAATAAAATAAAATAAAATAAAATAAAACAAA
This sequence comes from Homo sapiens, assembly GCF_000001405.40. Lineage (NCBI taxonomy): Eukaryota > Metazoa > Chordata > Mammalia > Primates > Hominidae > Homo > Homo sapiens. The sequence goes on along the minus strand of NC_000001.11, from coordinate 27,707,142 downwards.
ATAAAATCAGTGAAAAAAAAAACAAGCCTGAGCATGGTGGCTCATGCCTGTAATTCCAGAATTTTGGGAGGCTGAGATGGGAGGATCACTTGAGGCTAGGAGGTTGAGACCAGCCTGGGCGACCAAGTGAGACTCTATCTCTACAAAAAGTTAAAAATTAGCCAGGTGTGGTGGTGTGTGCCTGTATTCCCAGCTACTTAGGAGGCTGAGATGCAAAGATCCTTTGAACCCAGGAATTCAAGGTTGCAGTGACCTATGATTGTGCAGTGACTCCAGCCTGGGTGACAGAGCAAGACCTTTTCTCAAACAACAACAAAAGCAAAAACAGTAAGATTTTTAAAAACCAGAAAGTAGGAGAAAAAGATGTAAAAGATATCGCTGGGCACGGTGGCTCATGTCTGACCCCAACACTGTGGGAGGCTGAGGCAGGAGGATCACTTGAGGCCAGGAGTTTGAGAATAGCCTGGGTTAGCCGGGCGTGGTGGCGGGCACCTGTAATCCCAGCTACTCGGGAGGCTGAGGCAGAAGAATTGCTTAAACTCGGGAGGCGGAAGTTGGCAGTGAGCTGAGATCACGCCGCTGCACTCCAGCCTGAGCAAAAGAGCAAGACTCTTGTCTCAAAAAAAAAAAAAAAAAAAAAAAGAGAATAGCCTGGGCAATATGGTAAACCTGATCTCTACAAAAAATAATTTTTAAAAAATTAGCCAGGCACTGTGGCACACATCTGTAGTCCTAGCTACTGTGGAGGCTGAGGTGGGAGGACTGTTTGAGCCCAGGATTTTGAGGTTGCTGTGAGCTGCAAATGCACCACCGCACTCCAGCTTGGGTGACAGAGTGGGATCCTGTCTCAGAAAAAAAAAAAAAAAGAATAAAGATGTAGTTATCTTATGAAAGGTTAAAAAAAAGAAAAGTGTCTGAGAAGACTCCAGTAGAACAAAAGGAAAGAAAAAAGAGAGAAAAAAAGAATTATTCAAAATGATTTTTTTAAAAAGTAAATTTTGTCCTAAAGTCAAATGACTGGTTATTTAAGAAAGAAAAAATATAAAACAAACAAAAGGTCTGAGCAGGTTGTGGAAGGTCAGACTAAGTCATAAAAGGTTTATAAAGGATAAATTTATAAAAGAAATTTTATGTATTATCAAGTTGAATATACTTAAAAGAGGATTATTTGTAGGTCTTTCTAAAGATTGTGGTTTAAGCCAGGTCCAGCGGCTCACCCCTCTAATCCTAGCACTTTAGGAGGCTGAGGCAGGAGAATTGCTTGAGCCTGGGAGTTTGAGACTAGCCTGGGCAACATAGTGAGACCAGGTCTCTACAAAAAATAAAAAAAATTACGGAGGCATGATGGCATGTGCCTGTAGTCCCAGCCACTTGGGAGGGTGAGGAGGGAGGATCACTTGAGTCCAGAATTTAAGGATGCAGTGAGCTACAATATTGCCACTGCACTCTAGCCTGGGCAACAGTGTGAGACCCTGTTTCCAAAAAAAATTTAAATTTAAAATTAAAACATTAAAAAATGAATAAGCTTTAATATTAAAAATATAATTATACAAAACTAAAATTTTGTTCCCATATGATGAACAATAAGTTTTTCTTGAAGTATTCATCTGCTTTCAGTAAAATTGCAAAAGGTTTTGACTTTTAATTCTAAAATCTGTTTCTGTAAATTTTCAACCATCTTCCAAACTACAGCTTTTTTTTTTTTTACAGATTCCATTTAATTTTCCTAGTTTCCAGTTAGAAATAGAGTCTTCTTCATTTAGAATGATTATTTCATTTCTCAAGGTAGAGTTTTCCTCTTGAAGCTTCTCAGGTACATCTCTTGGAATTTCACCTTTTGCTGTTGATATAGTTCAGATTTTTGTTCTTGCCCAAATCTCATGTTGAATTGTAATCCCCAGTGCTGGAGGTGGGGCCTAGTGGAAGGTATTTGGATCGCTGGGGTGGATCCCTCATGCCTTGGTGCTGGCTTCATGATAGTGAGTTCTCACGAGATCTGGTCATTTAAAAGTGTGTGTACCTCCCCTTGGCTCTCTCTCTTGCTCCTGCTTTGAATGTGTGATGTGCCTGCTCCCGCTTCACTTTCTGCTATGAGTAAAAACTCTCTGAGGCCTTCCCAGAAGCAGATGCTGCTGTGCTTCCTGTATAGCCTGTAGAACCGGGAGCCAATTAAACCTCTTTTTTTGTTTGTTTGTTTGTTTGTTTGAGACAGGGTCTCACTCTGTCACCCAGCAGGCTGGAGTGCAATGGTGTGATCTCAGCTCACTGCAGCCTCAGCCTCCTGGGTGGTGGTCCTCCTGTCTCAGCCTCCTGAATAGCTGGGATTACAGGTGCCCACCACCATGCCCGGCTAATTTTTTTGTATTTTTAGTAGAGACAGGGTTTCACCATGTTGGCTAGGCTGGTTTTGAACTCCTGACCTTGAGTTGGTCTCGAACTCCTGACCTAAGGTGATCTGCCTGCCTCAGCCTCCCAAAGTGCTGGGATTACAGGCGTGAGCCACCACGCCTGGCCATTTTTAAAAAAATTTATTTACTTTTTGAAACAACCTTAAATAATCTTGTGTTTGGACAAAATTATTTATTTATTTATTTATTTTTGAGACAGAGTCTCGCTCTGCCGCCCAGGCTGGAGTGCAGTGGCGCGACCTTGGCTGGCTGTAACTTCCACCTCCTGAGCAATTCTCCTGCCTCAGCCTCCCGAGTAGCTGGGATTACAGGCACCCACCACCACACCCAGCTAATTTTTTTGTATTTTTAGTAGAGACAGCGTTTCACCAAGTGATCAAAATGATTTTTTGAATAAAGAACACATTTTTATGTCTTTTAAATAATTTTTTATCTAGAACATTTTTTTTCTTTCTTCTTTTCTTTTTTCTTTTTTTTTTTTTTGAGACAGAGTTTCACCCTTGTTGCCCAGGCTGGAGTGCAATGGCACGATCTCAGCTCACTGCAACCTCCGCCTCCCAGGTTCAAGTGATTCTCTTGCCTCTGCCTCCCAAGTAGCTAGGATTACAGGCTCCCGCCACCATGGCTGGCTAATTTTTGTATTTTTAGTAGAGACGGGGTTTTGTCACGTTGGCCAGGCTGGTCTCAAACTCTTGACCTCAAGTGATCCACCTGCCTCAGCCTCCCAAAGTGCTGGGATTGCAGGCCTGAGCCACCACACCTGACTTTCAAGAACACATTTTACTTGTTTGGTACCTGTGTATACAGAATTATATACATTAATTAGAATTTTAAACTCTTGTAAACCTTTATTTTTAGTGAAAACCTAGAAAGTAAGCAAATTTTGAATTGTATCTTAACATTTTATGAATACATAATTTTTTAGAAATTTTTTATAACATAATTTTTTAATGTGGAGCAGGATGTATTTATTAACAACTACAAATATCTTTTCGCTTTTTGTAAAATTTAGGAAGCCAAAAGTAAATATACTTGAATCTATGTTTAGCAATTAATGTGTAGCATTTTATCTTATTTGGAAATGATCCAGATACTTTATCAATATCTACTGCTTAATTTAATATATCATAACTTTAAGATGTCAAATTACATGAAAGTTTATTTGTAAACATTTATCCTATTTACATTTACCTTAATTGATTAATTTTTTTAATTACACCTAAATTACTTATTAATTTCTTAAGAGCAAAGACAATTCCATAAGCCCTTTCAGAGAAATGTCAGGGGTTTGGACTGGTGTTTTAGATGATGGTGACTGCTCCAGTGGTTTTAATTGGCCATCCTATGCCCATATTTAGAATATTTGTTTTTGCTCTTGAAAGATGTTTAGAAATAAGCAGGGCTTAGGGGGAGGCCAGTAAAAGAGCCAAATTGTTTACAGATGTGCATAACCAAACCAAAATGAAACCAAAATAAGAATGTTCACAAAAGGTTTAAGCCAGGTATGCAGACCAAACAAAATATCAAACCAGGCTTCCAGAACTACAGGTGAATTAACCAGAAAATATACGAGGTCCTCACAGACAGAACATAAACTCTGTAAGAGAGTATACTCACCAGAAAGACAAAATGTCTTTACATTGGAAAGAGCTCATCAGAAAAGACAAAGAGTCTTTTATCATCCCAGAAGGGATGCAACACTCTTTATTAAGGTGATGTTACTCAAATCACATCCCAAACAAAGTTAAAGAGCATCTGCCAAAAAGAGGGAGGCTTGGCTTGAGAGAAGACTCACCAGGGCAGAAAAAGGAGAGCCGTGGAAGTAGAGAGCTGAAAGGCCTCAAGGGAGTACTGCACCCTGGTTCCAAGAATCACCAGTTTATTCTGAAAATGATTATGCTTCAGATCCCACTTCTGACACCATGTTTGTCAACCTAAAAGACAGAGAGAGGCTCTCTAAAAGAAAATTATTTTTACTTGAGAATGAAATTTGCAACGGGAATACATATGCCATATTAAACTGTGTCTATATTCAGAGAGGTAAAGGAAGACAAAGGTTTTTGTTTGTTTGTTTGTTTGTTTTTTGAGACGGAGTCTGGCTCTGTCGCCCAGGCTGGAGTGCAATGGCACAATCTCGGCTCACTGCAAGCTCCGCCTCCCGGGTTCACGCCATTCTCCTGCCTCAGCCTCCTGAGTAGCTGGGACTACAGGCACCCACCACCATGCCCGGCTAATTTTTTGTATTTTTAGTTGAGACGGGGTTTTACTGTGTTAGCCAGGATGGTCTCGATCTCCTGACCTCGTGATCCGCCTGCCTCGGCCTCCCAAAGAGACAAAGGTTTTTAAAGGAAAAATGAGAATTGCATAATTGTTTTGAGATAATTATCCTTTTTGATTATCTTTTTTTTTTTTCTGAGATGGAGTCTCACTCTTTCGCCCAGGCCAGACTGCAGTGGTGCTATCTCGGCTTACTGCAAGCTCCGCCTCCCAGGTTCATGCCATTCTCCTGCCTCAGCCTCCTGAGTAGCTGGGATTACAGGTGCCCGCCACGGCACCCGGCTAATTTTTTGTATTTTTAGTAGAGACGGGGTTTCACCATGTTAGCCAAGATGGTCTCGATCTCCTGACCTCGTGATCCGCCTGCCTCGGCCTCCCAAAGTGCTAGGATTACAGGTGTGAGCCACCGTGCCCGGCCGAGATAATTATCCTTGATTACAATGATCAAATATTAATAACAAGGGTGATGCTAGTCTGAGATTGGACAGCAGTTGACAGATGTCCTCGTGGATATATTTTTGTGTGTATATAAGTTTGTGGTGGCCTTTGGGCAAGCATGTGGTTTTTGCAGAGTTTTCTGTTATATTTCTTATTATCAGGCATTTGTGCATAAGAAAACTCCCTTTTTGGCCTTCCCAATCTCCATTTGTCAGGGTTTTTTAATCAAAATGGGTGATTCTATTTTGATTCTGACAACTTTCACAAAAAACTTCTCACACCCCTGTTGCTGATACTCTGGTCCAAGCCATCTTAATTTCTCACCTGGCATAGTGGGCTTGGTAGTCAATTTAGCTAAGATGGAACTATGTTTCTTAGAAATCCCTTTCCTGTGTAGTTTTGGGTGAGAATTTGCCACCAGAAGAAGATGTGGACACAATTTAGAAAGAAGACGTTCAGATGTAGCCATGCTTGCAATTGGAAAGCCAACATAGAGTCAGATGCTACTGCAGTTTACGTGTGGTTTCATTAATCTGCTGGCTCCCCTTGTTGGTGTGAGGCAGCAGCTGGGCGCAAAGCCACTCCATCTCCCCCTAGACTTCTACCTTCAGCTTCCCAAACTCCTGGGCTAGATATATGTTGATGAAGGTCATCAGCTTCTCCTGTAGGTCATCATCAAACTTGGAGGCTTAGGGGTAGGGAGAAACCAATAGGAGATCTAGTTTGTTTTCATGGGTTCCATTTTGACCTTGTCCTCCCCCTTTTCATGTCCATTTTTCCTTTCCAGTTACCTGCCCTGATGACTTCTAGTCCAATACCAGATCCATAAGAAACAGCTGTGCGTAAACTGTTTAACCAGCATCCACAACTGCATCAGATCAAATCCCTATAATAAATCCCTTATTCTATATAACTTCTAATGGTTCTGCTTCGCTGATAGAACCCTAATACACCTGGTTTATTGCAATTGACTCCTAACTGATCTCCCTACTTCTAACCTTGCTCCACTGGGCAGATAGATGTGTTACTTCTCTGCTCAAATACCTCCAATAGCTTCTAAGTAAATGCCAAAGTCCTTACTTACTCTGACTGTGCCAGACTCAGCTTAGATGTCTCCCAATGGAAGGTCCCAGCAGCCAACATCGTTGTCTCATCTCCAGATATTATTGGCTGCCTCAGCCTCATGGGGAGACAAGTGCTAGTGTTTAGCATGAACTTGATTAAACCTGCTATAATGAGACCACAGCAACTTAAACACTTGTGTCTGACCCAACTAAGGATATAAAGGTTCTGATTTCCCCAGCAACTGCCCAGTGGAAGCAGTTAACACAATCCCAAAGTCAGGCTTTTACTTCTTTAGGATTGCAACCCCGAAGAAAGCATTAGCATACAACCTTTGATTCATGCTCTGTTTTCTAGGGAACATAGGCTGACATTTAGTACCAAAAGAGATCTTCAGGGTATGATTTCAGGGCTTGATTCCTCACCTACGTGAATGCAATTAGGACCTCATTGCTGGTAGTTAGTGGAATGATAATAACCCTTCCCTTCATTTGGCATTACAGTTATAAGACCTTTTACTTGTAGTAAAGGAAAGACTACGTGGAAAATCAGATCCAGGGCTGGGCGTGGTGGCTCACACCTGTAGTCCCAGCACTTTGGGAGGCTGAGGTGGGCAGATCACCTGAGGTCAGGAGTTCGAGACCAACCTGGCCAACATGGTGAAACCCTGTCTCTACTAAAAATACAAAAATTAGCTGGGCATGGTGGTGTGCACCTGTTATCCCAGCTACTTGGGAGGCTGAGGCAGGAGAATTGCTTGAACCCGGGAGGCAGAGTTTGCAGTGAGTTGAGATCGTGCCACTGCACTCCAGCTTGGGCAACAGAGCGAGACACTGTCTCAAAAAAAAAAAAAAAAAAAAAAGAAAGAAAGAAAAGAAAAGAAAATCAGATCTAGGATCAGGTAAAAAGTGCAGAGTGCAGAGTTGCAAAAGATTCTAAATGAACAGATTCGGTAGGTCTCCTATGTCAAAGTCAAGGCACTGATAGGGAAAAAGTAGGACCCTGAGACCGAGGATAGGAGCATTATGGTGGAGAAACCTAAGAATCTTTATCTTACAAATTCTCCTGAGTTCTGGGTGGCAGAAGCAGCCCCTTCCCTCTTGCCAGGGAAGAACAATTTTCTCTTGACTCATGTGAGGAAATGATTTCATGTGAACCAGGTGCTTCATAAGATGGCATCTGTTCTCCTTAAGACTTGTTTCCATCACACCCTCAAATAACTGAGGTCAATTCCTAGGAAATCCTGAGTGTGGAAATTTGCTTATTGGTCTCAGGATAAATAAGCTACACCTCAAAGGACGTGAAAGACTAGTGAATATATATGGAAATAATTTCAGGATTTTTAGGCATGGTGGTGAGGGTAGGGAAGCAGGCAGAATATAAGATTGGCTAATGGGGAATATATTGACATAAACCACTCTTCAGTAACTCAGGCTTCAATATTCTTGCAAGAATGCCTGGAGCTGGTCTCTGGTAGATAGTTTCCAAAGATGGTCACTATCAAATTCTTCCCTCCCTCTGTGTACATGCCACTCCCCACATCAAGAGATGGAGTCTATTTTCCCCCATCCTTAAATCTGCAAACACTTAATTAAGCCTAAACCAGACAGCAGAGTTGTGAGAAGTAATAAATTGCTGTTGTTTTAAGTCCTTAAACTTGGGTGGTTTGTTAATTTGCAATAGATAATTGAAATATAGTCTTAATAGTTTGCAAGGATGTTTCTTAGAGCTTGGGCTGGATGATGACCTACAATAAATGATCTCAATATACTAGAATTCCCATGGTTAGGGTTTTTTTTTTTTTTTTTTTTTTTTTTTTTTGAGACGCAGTCTTGCTCCGTTGCCCAGGCTGGAGTGCAGTGACGTGATCTTGGCTCACTGCAACCTCTGCCTCCTGGGTTCAAGCAATTCTCCTGCCTCAGCCTCCCAAGTAGCTGGGATTACAGGTGCCTGCCACCATGCCTGGCTAATTTTTGTATTTTTTCAGTAGAGACGGGGTTTCACCTTGTCGGCCAGGCTGGTCTCGAACTCCTGACCTTGTGATCTGCCCACCTCGGCCTCCCAACCATGGTAGAGTGTTTAATAAGAGGTAAGAAAGTTCAGGAAGGTAGGACTATAACACCCAAGAACTCAGCACCAGACTATGTTCTTTAGGAAGGCCCAGAGGATATTCTTTTCACTAAGACAATAAGTTCACTGATAAGGGAACACCAGCATCTTTGAGTAGCTCAGTGATGTCCGTCTTCAGTACTCTCGGATTAAAAGTAAGAAGCACTACCATGGAACTGAGATCCTAATTATCAATCCTAATGTTCAGATTTCAGAATGGCAGAGGTGACATCCAAGACCAGGTGAATATAATTACTGTTAAAGGCAGCAGTCCCAAAGTGGCAATGAGTGTGCCTTGACCTTCGAGGATCTATACGCTGATTATGGGAATGGGATACAGCTAACTGGATGGTCCTTGATTTTTATTTTTATTTTTTTAAATAAAGTTCTGGCAACCAGAAGACTGAATTAGCTGCTGCTACACTGGAAAATTCTGGTCCCTCATCTAGATTTTAAAATTTTTTTCATTTTTTTTTTCTTGCTCTGACACCCAGGCTGGAGTGCACTGGCACCATTATAGCTCACTGCAGCCTCAAACTCCTGGGCTCAAGCAATCCTCTCTCCTCATCCACTGCACCCAGCTAGATTCCTGACCAAAATTCACAGGACTAGAACCACTTAAATATAGGGTGACCATACCCCCTTAAGGAATGACTCTGTAATCATACCATCATTATATATAGTAAATATCCTTCCAGTCCTTCCCCAGAGGGCTGATCTGCTGCCATTTACCAGGGTAACTGTTCACTGAAAAAGAAGACTATCTAGAATTTTCAAAGAGCATTATAGAATCTGTGCTGTCACAGAAACTAGAAAACAAAATACCATCATCACTTCCTGATTAGAATAGGAGCTAAGGGAGGCCAGGTGATAGATGGAATTGACCTAAAGTCCAATGAGTCTCACAGAAATTAACAGAATCCTCTTACAATGTCGTGACCTGTGGATTAGAAGCTATTATGATAGGAAGAGTCAAGTGGGATCTCCTGAAACTATCTGTATTAGTCAGTGTTCTCCAAAGACAGTGCCAATAGAATGCGTATATTTATGTGTGTGTGTGTGTATACATATGTATATGTGTATATATACAGTAATATGCCACATAATGATGTTTCAGTCAATGACAGACTGCATATATGGCAGTGGTCCCATAAGATTATAATACCGTATTTTTACTGTACCTTTTATATGTTTAGATATGTTTAGATACACAAATACTTAACATTGTGTTACAACTGCCTACAGTATTCAGTACAGTTACATGCTGTACAGGTTTGTACTCTATGAGCAATAGGCCATACCATATAGCCTAGGTGTGTAGTAGGCTCTACCATCTAGGTTTGTGTAAGTACAATCTCTGATGTTCGCACAATGACAAAATCACCTAATGACACATTTCTTAGGACATATTCCTGTTGCTCTGTGACACATGACGGTATATATATAGAGAGAGTTTTTTTTTTTTTTTTTTTTTTTTGAGATGGAGTCTCGCTCTGTAACCCAGGCTGGAGTGCAGTAGCATGATCTTGGCTCACTGCAAGCTCTGCCTCCCAGGTTCATGCCATTCTCCTGCCTCAGCCTCCTGAGTAGCTGGAACTACAAGTGCCTGCCACCACGCCCAGCTAATTTTTTAGTATTTTTAGTAGAGACGGTGTTTCACCGTGTTAGCCAGGATGGTCTCCATCTCCTGACCTCGTGATCCGCCCGCCTCAGCCTCCCAAAGTGCTGGGATTATAGGCATGAGCCACCGCGCCCAGCCGTAAATACTTCTCCAGCTCTCTATTGGAAGGCTGTCAATGGTGAGTTGTGTCCAGAGCAACAGAGGGCTGTTGTTATATTGTGAAATATGTTTTTAGTCTTCATTCCTGTTTCCTGGCATACAACTCCCCAAATCCTTGGAATTTCCAGAGTGATGTCTTTTTATATGCTAATAATTGACTGGTGGCTAGCAGCTGCTAGGTAGCTTCAGGATGGAGGCTGGTGACCAGAAATACCTAGGCAGGATTACAGAGTTGAGACTTTCAGCATCACCCCCCTACCCAATGGGGAGGGCAGAGGGGCTGAAGGTTAAGTTGATCACCAGTGGCCAATGGTTTAATCAATCATGCCTACATCATGAGGCCTTCATAAAAAAAAACAAAAGGAGGCGAGGTGTCGTGGTTCATGCCTGTAATCCAGCACTTTGGGATGCTGAGGTGGGAGGATCACTTGAGCCCAGGAGTTCAAGACCAGCCTGGGCAACATAGGGAGACCTCCTTTCTACAAAAAAATAAAATAAAATAAATTAGCTGAGTGTGATGTATCTATAGTCCCAGCTACTTGAAAGGCTGAGGTGGGAGAATCACTTTAGCCTGGGAGGTAAAGGCTGTAGTGAGCCAAGATCATGCCACTGTACTCCATCCTGGGTGACAGAGCAAGACCCAGTCTCAAAAACAAAACAAACAAACAAATAAACCTAAAAAAACAGGGTTTGGAGAGCTTCTGGATAGCTGAACACATGGAGGTTCATGGAAGGTGTGTGCCCAGGAAGGGCCTAGGAGCTCTGTACCCCTTCCCTCATTTCTCATCCTCATTTCATCTGTATCTTTTGTAATATCCTTTATAAAAAATTGATAAACATAAGTAAGTGTTTTTCTGAGTTCTGTGAGCTGCTCCAGCAAGTTAATTGAACCCAAAGAGGGGATCATGGAGACCCAAACTGGAAGCCAGTCCATTAGAAGTTCTGGAGGCTGGACTTGTGCCTGGCTCAGGGAGCTTGAGGAATGAGCCCTAAACCTGTGATATCTGATGCTATATTCAGAGGTGTTTGAACCAGAGTGACTCCCTCTTGAATAGGAGCTGGGTAAAATGAGGCTGAGACCTGCTGGGGTACATTCCCAGAAGGTTAGGCATACTTAGTCACAGGTTGAGACAAGAGGCCAGCACGAGATACAGATCACAAAGACCCCGCTGATAAAACAGGATGCAGTAAAGAAGCCAGCCAAAACTTGCCAAAACCAAGATGGTGACGAGAGTAAGCCCTGATCATCCTCATTGCTCATTATATGTTAATTATAATGCATTAGCATGCTAAAAGACACTCCCACCAGCACCATGACAGTTTACAAATGCCATGGCAATGTCTAGAAGTTATCCTACGTGGTCTAAAAGGAAGAGGGGTGTGGTGGCTCATGCCTGTAATCTCAGCACTTTGGGAGGCCGAGGCAGGTGGGTCACCTGAGGTCAGGAGTTCGAGACTAGCCTGGCCAACATGGTGAAACCCCATCTCTACTAAAAATACAAAATTAGCTGGCTGTGGTGGTGTGTGCCTGTAATCCCAGCTACACAGAAGGCTGAGACAGGAGAGTCACTTGAACCTGGGAGGCAGAGGTTGCAGTGAGCAGAGACTGTGCCACTGCACTCCAGCCTGGGTGACAGAGTGAGACTCAGTCCCAAAAAATAAAATAAAGTAAAATAAAATAGGCCAGGTGCAGTGGCTCATGCCTGTAATCCCAGCACTTTGGGAGGCTGAGGCGGGTGGATCACGAGGTTAGGAGTTTGAGACCAGCCTGGCCAACATGGTGAAACCCCATCTCTACTAAAAATACAAAAATTAGCCGGGTGTGGTGGTGGGCGCCTGTAGTCCCAGCTACTTGGGAGGTTGAGGCAGGAGAATCACTTGAACCCGGGAGGCGGAGGTTGCAGTGAGCCTAGACTGTGCCATTGCACTCCAAACTGAGCGACAGAGCAAGACTCCCTCTCAAAAAAATAATAAAAGTAAAAGGAACTCTCAGTTCTAGGAAATCTCCACCCCCTTCCTGGAAAACTAATGAATAATCCACCCCTTGTTTAGCATATGATCAAGAAATAACCATAAAAATAGCCAAGCAGCAGCCTTCAGGGCTGCTCCGCCTATGGAGTAGCCATTCTTTTGTTTCTTTACTTCTCTAACAAACTTGCTTTCAGTATAAAAATGAGACTCTTGCTGGGTGCGGTGGCTCACACCTGTAATCTCAGCACTTTGGGAGGCCGAGGTGGGCACATCATGAGGTCAAGAGATGGAGACCATCCTGGCCAACATGGTGAAACCCCGTCTCTACTAAAAATACAAAAATTAGCTGGGCATGCTGGTGCGCGCCTGTAGTCCCAGCTACTTGGGAGGCTGAGGCAGAAGAATCACTTGAACGTGGGAGGCAGAGGTTGCAGTGAGCCGAGATTGCGCCACTGCACTCCAGCCTGGTGACAGAGCGAGACTCTCTCAAAAAAAAAAAAAAAAAAAAAAAAACAGCTGGGGCGCAGTGGCTCACACCTGTAATCCCAGCACTTTGGGAGGCTGAGGCAGGCGGATCACCTGAGGTCAGGAGTTGGAGACCATCCTGGCCAACATGGTGAAAGCCCGTCTCTACTAAAAATATAAAAATTAGCTGGGCATGGTGGCAGGCACCTGTAATCCCAGCTACTTGGGAGGCTGAGGCAGGAGAATCGCTTGAACCCGGGAGGCCGAGGTTGCAGTGACCCAAGATCGCGCCATTGCACTCTAGCCTGGGGGACAAAAGGGAAACTTCATCTCAAAAAAAAAAAAAAGAGAGACTCTTAATTTTGGGGGTCTATTTTGCCTTCCAACTGTGCTGCTTCTTAAGCCCTAAAAACTGCATGCTTTCCTGGCCCTATTCTCAAAGGGCTCCACTCTAAAGCCAGTAAAACAATTAAGACACTTAAAAACTGGCAAATGAAAAACTCTTAAAACTACTGGATCTTCTTCTGTCTGTTCAGCTGTATTTATGTGTTGTGTGCGATGTTTCACTACCAAAATACATTAAAGAGCTCTGATTAATCGGCTTAAAAATAATAAATGCATAAATAAATATTCTGTCAGAAAAATAACAATTTTAATGCCCTTTAGTTCACATGAGTTTAGTAATTTTGGAAAAAAGACAGTTTTAAAGATTATTGGTAAATTAAAATATCTTCAAGATGAAGACATTTGGTCTAAAAAAGGCGAGTAAGATATTAGGTTTGCTAAATGCTTTATTTTTTAATATAAAATACTTCATGAATTTGTGTGTCATCCTTCCACAGGGGCCTGGTAATCTTCTCTGTATCTTTCCAATTTTAGTATTGTGCTGCCAAAGCAAGTACTGCTAAATGCTTTAAGGTCATAAATTGCTTCTTTGACTTTGAAAATTGTTCAACTTACCTGCTTTGGAGCCATTAGATTTTAGGGAAGACTTGGGGACATATGGAGTTAGCCATGCTCCCTAGCTATGCTGGGAAGAGTTGGACCTTATCTTCACTTCTGTCTGGTATCCTAGGTTCCACATCTGCTACATAATTAAAATTGCTTACTTACCAGGTTTTTCACCAAAAATAAAAGTTGCTAAGAGATAACATTCTAACACATGTAATCAAGACTACTGAAGAAACGGTTTTACATGCAAGGTGTGTAAGGAAAGTAGAATATGTTTCCGGTAAAAAATTATAAGAAGGCATGGGAATGTGGGGTTTTTTGTTCCGGTTTAGAGGATTAAAGGATGGCTTTATGTTAGGTAGAATAAAGCTGAAGTTTTGGCCAAGTTATGGAAGGTTTGTGAAAGATTAATCTTGTAAAAATTCTGTGTGTGAACTTATTGGTCAAAATTAAAGGGATATTATTTAATTATTCAGCTTTTCTATAAATCAAACATTGAAATAAAAGCACAACAGGGTTTTCTTACACTGTTGATCTGCTTTTTAACAGAAAATTATAAAAGATTATAACAGGTTTATGAGACTCTTACCTTATGGTCAAACTGATCAAGATTGGGTAGATTTGTGTATAAGGTCTTGTTTAAAATTGGGTTTGATATTAATTGTATACTAATGCAAAGGTGAAATTTGGCTTTCTCTCTTGAACAGGATCTTTATGGAATATTGAAAAAGTGAAAGATTTTTGTTTGCCTTTTAAACAAACTACAAGAAAAAGGAGAGAAAATAGATTATTTGGAAAGCTAAGTCTTTCCTCTATCAATGAGTAAAAGTTTTCAATTTTTTAAAATCTTTGAGTTATCATATTGGCTAAATGAATGGCCTATGGTGACCTGAAATTCTATTTTATCAGTATTTTAAACTTTTGATATTTGACAAACTCCAAAATCAAATTATAAATTATATATTTTTATGATCAGATTAATCCTTTAGATATTAGGTCCCCCTAAAGCTCAAAAATGACATATTTGCCTTATTTGGTACACTAAAATTATACAGGAAGCATTGTCAAATGTGAAATGGTGTTTGGCTTTCTTTGGGCTGTATTTGTAGAAATATATTATTGGTATGTGTTCCAAAATTATGGGAAACCCCTCTGATTCTGATAAGACATATTCTACACTATCAGTAATAATTATAATTGTTATATAAAATTGTTGTATGCCACAGAAGTAACCCAAATTCCTAGTTAATTGTGTCTAACTGTGGCTGCCCTAAGACTTTGTCATCCACAGACAATTGTTGTCTTGTTTTGATCCTCTTTAAAGGGTGGTTTATAATCAGCTATAGGACTGACAAGTACTCTTAAATGCAGCTCTCTGATAACTTTGGAAAGTGTGCCATTAAAATAAAGAGAAGGAACTTATAAGACTTTCTTGGAAAACTAATGTAATTATAAATATCAAGCAAAACAGGAATCAATTGCATAGACTAAACTAATAGAACACCAAAATAATCTTTTTCTGATGTTTTACTTAAAATGTTGCTCATCCTTTCTGTTTGGTTTTTCAGAGTCAAGAAAACTTTTCTTTTGAGCTATCAACAGTTTTTAACAATTGAATAAAGCATACCCCTATGAGCAAAATTTTCAGCATATTTCTTTCTCACTACTTGATTTTACCAGAATTTGGAAACTATTTGTGAGTATTCTTAACTTATGGCACTATAGTTAAGTTATTTGCATAAGTGCAATAAGAATCTGTTTTGTTTTATAACAGGACACAGTTGGAGACACTGATTATTTTACCAAGGCTTTGACTGGGATGGTGTGCTTTCAGATACAGACAGCTTTAAAGAATGAAAGCCGACTAACAGAGTCAAAAAAAAAAAATGCCCCTTGAGAAAACTAGCCTTATACCCTGTCTATGCAATCCCTGTACAGGGTTCCTGATCTGTAGTAAGTAAAGAATGTCACTTTCTGACAAGCCCAGGAACCCCAAATTATCTTGAGAACTGGAAAGGAATTCACCCAACTCATACAGGTATTTTCAGGAATAGACAGATAAATTCTTGGCTGGGCTCAAGGCTTTAAAAAGTCTAATCTAAGATTACTTATGGAATAAAGTTCCATCAAAGCCAATTTTAAAAGGAGCCTGCATGGCAAATAATTAATCTTACTGCACTTTATATAAATAATCAGGACAAGTATAATAAGACTAAAGCTTATTTTGCAAACAAATCAGTCCTACCTTGACTTGTCTTCAATGAAAATGGGGACTGGAGAGAAAAAAATTATGTTTCAAAAACTTTTGTACATCTGTTATTAGATTCTAATCTCATCTTTGTTTTTGCGGGTTTTTTTTGAAATTTAGACTGACTCTACTTATTCCTGTAAATCAACCAGTGATCTCTGGCTGCTGCTCAAAAGAAAAGAGGGAAATAGGTAATGTAAAAATCTAGATCAGTATTCTAATTCTGGTCATGTATTGGAATCAGCTAGTGATCCCCTAACAACTTGGTTCCAACAATAGTCAAGTTCATGAAAAGCCTTCTTATTCAGTCTACTGGGATAATTTTACTTATTTCCTTTACCACTGTGGAATATATTGCTGTTGTACTATTTTGTAGAAACGCAAAATAAGGCTACTCAACATTTTCTTAAATTGAACATTTATTATCTTTCACATAGCACCTTTTGTCAGAACAGAAGGTGATATCTGGAAGAGTTATGAATGGCCTTCACCATAACTGACTGAGCTCTTCTCTACCCTGAATACAAAAGACCCTAATAATTAGGCAAAAATATTATCTCCCCTATTCAGCCTGAAGACGTTACAGAGGATAGATCTACAACCCTCTACAACCCTTAGGCTTAAGAGTCCCCTCGTAAAAGGGAGGGGGGAAATATGTCAGAGGTGTTCCAAGAAGAGCAATTCCATCTTGAACAGGGGCTAGATGAAATAAGGGTGGGACCTGCTGGGCTGCTTTCCCACGAGGTTTGGCATTCTTAGTCACAGGATGAGAGAGGAGGTCAATACAAGATACGGGTCACAAAGACCCCACTGATCCCACTGGTAAAACAGGATGCAGTAAAGAAGCTGGCCAAAACCTGCCAAAACCAAGATGGCAACGAAAGTGACCTCTGGTTGTCCTCACTGTTCATTATATGTTAATTATAATGCATTAGCATGCTAAAAGACACTCCCACCAGTGCCATAACAGTTTACAAATGCCTTGTCAGCATCTGGAAGTTACCCTCTATGGTCTAAAAGGAAGAGGAACCCTTAGTTCTGGGAAATCCCCACCCCTTTCCCAGAAAACGAATGAATACCTCACCCCTTGTTTAGCATATCATCAAGAAATAACCATAAAAATAGCCACCCAGTGGCCCTCAGGGAGTAGCCATTCTTTTGTTTCTTCTTAACAAACTTGCTTTCACTTTACTCTGTGGACTTGCCCCAAATTCTTTCTTGCATAAGATCCAACAAGAACCCTCTCAGGGTCTGGATCGGGACCCCTTTCTGATAACACTATCTCAGAGTAGGTAGTGTCTGAATTGAATCAGAGGACACTCAACTGGTGACTGCTGCTTGGTGTGTGGGGAAATCCTCACATACAAATTTGGTCACAAAAGTCTTCTGTGTTGATTGTTGTTGTTAAGTGAGATAATAGAACAGGCACACTGAGTGTTGTTTCCCCCCACCCTGGCAGAGTTGGTGTCACGGAAGTGAGATTTGCTAGAATGGCCTGGGCTGATGGAAAGTTGTGGTTTGGGAAGAGAAAGGATGAAAGAGTGCTGGGTGAGGAACTTTTGATCCCTGAGTAGCCATGTGGTCACCCATGGTTTAGAGCCGCAGCTGTGCTGTGCTCAGTTACTGAAGATAAAAGTTATGAATGGAATTTAGAGACAGAACCAACTCCTGGAGAGTTGATTCACTGGATGCATAAGGAAATGCAAACTAATAAGCAAAAAGAAAAACATTCTTGTTTACTGTTAACTATAATAGCTAAAATGAAATTGAAAGAGAGTGCTGTGTCAGACCTTGGTGCTAAACCAAGTTCAGATTTCAGTGAGTCTGAGCTTCAGCCACTAGCCTCCAAACTGATCCCCAAGGGAAAACTTACGCAGGGAAACAGAAAATAACTGAGAACTGGGTTACCAAGAGGACAGTCAATGTAGGGGAAGGGCAAAACCAAGTCACTATAGACTAGAGGGTACGATGTGAAGGAATTATTCCATTTTGTAGATTACTATCTTCAGCTTCCTGAGGAATCATTACTAAGATGGATTGCAAGAGTAACTAGATTTCAAGTGCTGCAGAATGGAAGAGCATGTTGAGGTTGATGCAGGATCCACAGCACACTACAGAACAATTGCAGGTAGCTATACATGACCCACACACAAACAGGAGGTTATTCCTGAGGGAACAGCCAGCCCAGTAGATTGGATAAAAGCCACTGTAAAATTTGTTTACCCTGAGAAGGGAGACTCTCCTGAAGGAGCTCAAAGAACTTCACCCAAAAATATGGCTCCCTTTGGTATAATGAGTATTTTAAATTTTTAATTAAAGGCCTTTCGAGATCCACAGCCACTAGAAGAGACTTCTCCCACTATCTATATAAAGACTGGATGGACTCTCCAAGAACAATTGTTTTTCCTTCCGCTCCCTGTTATTTCATTATCTATTACAGAAAAGAAGACCGAGAATGTAAGCACATTCTTAAACAGACCCATTCACAAGATAATATCTCTTTCAGGCTTATTTACTTCCAAGAGAACCATTTACAAGTTTGTTGTTGTCGTGGTCGTTGTTGTTTTTGAGATAGGGTGTCTCTCTGTTGTGCAGGCTGGAGTGCAGTGGTGCATTCATAGCTCACTGTAACCTCAAACTCCCGGATTTAAGGGGAGCCTCCTGACTACGGGTATGCACCACCAAGCCCAGCAAATTTTAAAAGTTTTTGTACAGATAGGGTCTCACTGTGTTGCCCAGGCTGGTCTTGAACTCCTAGCCTCAAGCAGTCCTCCTGCTTTGACTTCCCAAAGTGTCAAAATTACAGGTGTGAGCCACTATGCCCAGCCCGTTTATAAATTAATCTCTATTCCTCCGCCCCCACCCATTCATTCTCCCTAGTAATCATTTATTGTCCCTCAACAGAATTACCTATATTCCCTATCTCCCCCATCCCCTCTGAAATAAAGCTATAGAAGTATTTGGGCCTCATTGGGATGTTGGGTAAGCACTCTGTGATTTTTCCCTCATGTACACATTAATAAATTTGTATGACATTTCTCTATTAATCTGCATTTTGTGGGTTGAATGTACAGTGATCCTTGAGAGGGCAAAGGAGAAGTTTTTCCCTTGGCCCCTACATTCCCTATAAATGTCAAATGGAACACCCCAGATGAAGCAGTTGATAGGTTTCATATGCAAGCCATGTGGAGCTGGCTTTACAATGACCAGGCATTCACCCGCTAAGGATGCCTGTATATGGCAGATGCAGCTGACAGCCATAACTTAACTGAAGCGTACCCTGAGAATGATCCTAGGGTCTAAGAAGAATGTGTGTTCGGAGTCCTGAGCTAAGGAATCCGGGAGTGGCCAACCCAGAGTTTCACTCCTTATCTATGAAGGACATCTGAGCCCCTGGCTCATTCCTTGGAACACAGGCCATACAGGGGATGGAGTCCCTTTTTGTGGATTAACTGGAGGTTGCTGGGTAGAGGTTGCTAGGTGGAAGGTGCTAAGTGAAAATGCTGTATCAACTGCATGCGTTTCATAAAACGCATGCCCTGTTTCATAAATGCATGCTCCTGTCCAGCCCACCACCACTGGACCATCCCTGTGTGTAAGTTCCCCTCAGTAAACCCTAAGTCTCATTCACTGGTTCCGGCCTCTAGGACACAGTGCCATCCCTATTGGAGTCAACAGGAGTCCTGCATGACAATGCCTATTACCCGGGTCATGATAAATGCTGTGGTTCAGGCAGCCTCTTTTGCATGGGCACCTCATGTAACCTTACTACTGCAAAACTGAGCTATAGTCAGAGAAGCCTTATCAAATTTGCTACCTCAGCTTCCCCTCCTGGGTCTTACGGATGGTAATGAAAACATTAAGGCAACTAACAAGAGAATAGGTAATGGGAGAGGGGAGAATCAAAGGATTTCTCCCACGAAGGCAAACATTTTTAAATGGTTATTAAGAAATAAGGCAAGAGCCACTGGCACCTGATGCCTCCCGGAGTTCATGTCCCTTCTGCCTTTCCAAGGGGTGCTTCTGTCAGACTGGCCAGGGGACAATACCCTGTTCCAGTTGAAATTTATGGTGAAGCAGCTGGAGAAACCAGACAAGAAGGCAGAAAAGCACTCCTACGCCAACCAGGCCAAAGTGAAGAAGTCCCTTCAGCAGAAAAATGTAGAGTGCACCCGTGTGTACACCAAGAACACCATCTGCAAGGAGAACAGCAGCGTGAACTGGCTCTACATGGCATCCGCCTGGACACAGTGGCCCCCGAGGTGCAGACAGCTGTGACCATGAAGGTGGTAACCAAGAACATGGTGTAGGTGACCAAAGCCCCAGACAAGGCCTGAACACCACGGACCTGCAGAAGGCCTCTGCAGCGATGGACAGGTTTGAGTAGCAAGTGCAAAACCTGGCCATGCACACATTAGTGATGGAGGATTCCATGAGCTCGGCCGCCACACTGACCATGCCTCAGGAGCAGGTGGACAGACCCATTGTGCAGAGCGCCAAGGAGAATGGCCTGGAGGTCCTAGACCAGCTCAGCCAGTTGCCCAAGGGTGCCTCTGCCGGGCGAGAGCTCCGTGTGAAGCCAGGAGGAACAGCTGTCAAGGGCGTTAGCCGCCCTGAGGAATTAGCCGCACCCTGCCGTGGGCACCGCCTCTGCTCTGTGATGTGCCGCAAGGCTCCTGGCCTCCTCCCCTCCCCCCGGCATCTTGCCTTTTTGTTGATCCTGCAGAGCTGCAGCTGGCAGCTACTGTCGCCCAGCTCCTCTCACCTGCCTGGCCTAGGTGGCCCTGGAGTTGTTCCTGTTTTCTTAGGTTGGGCGGTGGATCTGTGTCCTGGTGTTGAGTAGGGGTGACTTCTGTGACTCTGGGGCCAACAGCTGGGAGGTCAGCAGGCTCTCTTTTGCTCTCTGTGGAGTCGATGGGGTCTGGCCAGTGGGTGCCATGTAAACTTTTGCTCAACACTGCGGGGACCTTCAGACTCCGTGATAGGAGACATGCTGCTCACTGTCAGCCAGTGGGGGTCAGGGCTGCCCTGTTTTCCAGGCAGCTCCTGGAGAAGGCCTCTCCACGCACCCTGCCCCTACCACCAATGGGCAGGAGGTCCCACCATGTGAACGGACACAGCCTGAAGAGGCACCAGTGGCTCGTGTGTGCTGGGGAACGTCAGGTGCCACCCAACACTGTCTTGGTGGCATTTACAGATGATGACCCTCCCCCTCTTCCTCCTCTGTCATTCTAGGGGTGGGGTCTGGGCTGCTCCTGACAGCTGGCTGAGCCTCCCTGGGCCTCCTGCCCTCAGCTCCCCTGGTTCTTAAAGCTGCCCAGTCCATGGGGACAGAAACTTGCCCAGCTCCAAATCCAGGAGTTTCCACCCTGGGGTCCTCATCCTTGCTCATCTGCCACCTCTGGAGGTGCCTTGGGCTACATGGGCTGTGCTGTTGTGTCCCCTCAGCAGGGGGTCTGTCCATGCACTGGCCAGAATTGAGCATGTGCGTGGGGCCTCCTCGGTGATGCTGCCTGTGTGCCAATCTCTTCTGTCTCTCTAAATAACTGGGTGCCTCCCCCGACTGCACCCCATCCTACCTTCCCAGCGTGGAAGCCAGAGTGGCTGGTGAAGGGAGCTTAGGAGAGTCACCTTCAGCTGGGCCAGTGGCTCTGTGAGGAAAACCTGTGCTGTGGCCACGCGGGCACCACCAGCTGCAGCTCATCAGGAGGACTCGGAGAGGGGGACGGCAGAGAGAGGGCTTTGGGCACAGCCTGCTGTTTTGTTTTTTCTGTTCCCTAAAGTTTACTTCATTTTCTTGAAGCTTCCAGGGTTTTGTTGTTGTTTGCCAAAGTAGAAAGGACAGGTGGCAGGCGGGGAGGGTGAGTCCCAGCCCCTCCTCTGCACCAGGGCTGCCGCGGTGTCATGGCTCTTATGAAGGGAAGCATAAGACCCTCACTCAGTGCGTTTGGTTTTCTTTTCAGGATTTCAGAGCCCCTGGGAGGAGATCCCATTGGTGGGTCTGGACATGCGGAGGTCAAGGCACCATCTGGCCATGGTCCTCTCCAGCCTCCCCAGAAATTGACCCACATGCTGGGTGTTGAAACAAGGTCCCTCTATCCCTTGCAAATAACAGCTTTGGAATTAACAGCTTTGGGGAGCTACCTTGTCCTCCCAAGGGTGCAGGGCTCCACAGAGCCAAGGGCCAGGCAGGGGCTACCTCAGCCCTGTCTCCTTGGGCACCAAAGCAGGGATTTGTTGAAGGAGAGAGCCATGTTTGCCCTTTTCCTAAAATGCTGCTGTAAATAAACAGGTCCCCCAGCAAGCAAGGAAGCAAAGGAAGGAAGGAAGGAAGGAAGGAAGGAGAAGGAAAGAAGAAAGGAGAGAGAGGGAGGGAGAGAAAGAAGAGAACACTGATAAGGGTGAAACTAAGAGGAAAAAGAAAGGGGAGAGTCATGAGACTCGTCTGAGCAGGATGGAAATCCTTAGATGGTTATTAAGAAATAGGATGAGTAAAATAAAAATTAATGAGGTTTTAAAAAAGGAAATTAATGCAGTGAAAACAAATGTCTTTTTTTTTTTTTTTTTTTTTTTTTTGAGACAGAGTCTCGCTCTGTCACCCAGGCTGGAGTGCAGTGGCATGATCTCAGCTCACTGTAACCTCTGCCTCCTGGGTTCAAGCAATTCTCCTGCCTCAGCTTCCCAAGTAACTGGGATTACAGGGACCTGCCACCACGCCTGGCTAATTTTTGTATTTTTAGTAGAGATGGGGTTTTGGCATGTTGGCCAGGGTAGTCTTGAACTCCTGACTTCAGGTGATCTGCCAGCCTCGGCCTCCCAAAGTGCTGGGATTACAGTCATGAGCCACTGCGCGTGGCCAAAATAAATGTCTTAATACAACACTATTGAAGGTTGGGTGGACCAAAGAGAGTCTCTGATGGTCTTCAACATTAAAGGCCCCAAACCAGTTTGCTCTATTTCCTCCAGTTTGGTGGAATTTTAAAAGCAGGAAGGTAAAGATTTACAATAAGAAACCCTACCTGGAATTGCCTGGGGTGATGGTCAGACTGGTTAATCAAGGGAAGATTGACAGAGAGGCCAGAGTCTCCTGGCCTGGCCTCTGGCTAAGGACCTAAACACTTATTGCCCAAGAGAGAATAAAATGGTCTGGGGAGGGGGTGGAGAAGAGAAGTTCCCGGGACATAAAAATATACTTGGTCAACAGGATTCTGAAAGTGGGAATGTCTAAACAGGCTTTACGTAAAGGCTTAATGTAAAGTGGTTGTGTCTCCTTTACCTAATGTTTTATGGAAATGGGCATTGTATATGACAGGGTTGTTCCCTCTACCTAGAACTGTAAAACAGAAGGCATGTAAATCCACCCTTCTGGAAATTTTAGTTGGACATGCTAAATGGAAACCCAAGCCCACACTGTAGAGTAGAAGCTGGAGTGCTGATAGGGACAAGTTCTCCATTCGATAGCTCTTTGTGGAGCATTTGCTGGGGCTATGACAAAAGCCTATGAGTGGCTGGGCATGGTGGCTCATACCTGTAATCCCAGCAATTTGGGAGGACAAGGCAAGAGGATCATCTGAGGTCAGGAGTTCAAAACCAGCCTGGCCAACATGGGGAAACCGCATCTCCACTAAAAATTTGAAAATTATCCAGGAGTGGTGGTGGGTGCCTGTAATCCCAGCTACTCGGGAGGCTAAGGCAGGAGAATTGCTTGAGCCCGAGAGGTGAGGCAGAGGTTGCAGTGAGCAGAGATGGTGCCACTGCACTCCAGCCTGAGCAACACAGCAAGACTCTGTCTCAGAAAAAAAAAAAAAAGAAGAAGAAGAAGAGAAAAGGCTGTGAGCACCTGCAAGCAAAGACTACTGAGATTTTGGACTAGACAATTTCCACTTGAGGGGCACTTACTAACTTGTTACGGGACATTAACTGAAGCTACCCCTGTGACTGAAGGACATAAAATGATCTTGACACCTGAAATACCCATGCGATCTCAGGTGATGTCACAGAAACACTCAAATAGAGACAGCAGTGTCCAGAAGAGTTCCATAACAAAATGGAAATGGCTTATACAGAAGCATGCTACCTGGGGAGTGCCAGGAGGAGATAAAAGAAAGGAGCCTCTTTTCTGCTAGGACTGGTTTGCGTGAGGAGCTGCTGGCTTCTACAGTGTCCCATAACGGCTCTCAACTGGCCAGCAAACAGCTTGGTTTGTGGATGGCAGTTCCAAGGTGAATGGACAACATTCTGTTTGGAAGGCTGCTCTGTTGATCAAAGAAGTGTGAAAATAAATAAAATGTAAACCTTGTTGGAACCCCACAAACACCTTAAGCTTTGAGAGAGATGTGACTGTGATCTTGTAGCAGGACAAGCCACGGACAAAACCCCTCAGACACTGAGTTAAAGAAGGAAGGGCTTTATTCGGCTGGGAGCTTCGGCAAGACTCACATCTCCAAAAACCGAGCTCCCCAAGTGAGCAATTCCTGTCCCTTTTAAGGGCTTACAACTCTTAGGAGGTCCATGTGAGAGGGTCATGATCGATTGAGCAAGCAGGGGGTATGTGACTGGGGGTGGCAGGCACTGGTAATCAGATCGGAACAGAACAGGACAGGGATTTTCACAGTGCTTTTCCATACAATATCTGGAATCTATAGATAACATAACCTGTTAGGTCAGGGGTCAATCTTTAACCAGGCCCAGGGCATGGCGCTGGGCTGTCTGCCTGTGGATTTCATTTCTGCCTTTGAGTTTTTACTTCTCTCTTTGGAGGTAGAAATTAGACAATATGAGGGGTGGTCTCCTCCTTTAATCTGAGTCTCATATGGTTACTACTTCCGTTTCTCAGATTATAGATTAACTCGCTTTCTTGTTTGTCTTATTCTGTACAATGACTAAGAGAGTTACATGATGTCAGGAATAAAAACCACCCTTCTTCCTAATGAATGACCCTTTGTGTAGATTAACTTCCCCATTGTTGTCCTGCTTTGCCTAGACCAGATAACAGAAAACCCATGACTATTACACCCTCTGTAAAAAATTTTAAATGCACCCATTCCAAAAAGAAACACTGCATAAACCAATCAAATTGCTGTACCTATGCACCAATTGTGTGTGAAAAATGTAAGGCCAGGCATGGTGGCTCACACTTGTAATCCCAGCACTTTGGGAGGCCAAGGTGGGAGGATTGCTTGAGGCCAGGAGTTTGAGATCAGCCTGGGAAACAAAGCGAGACCCTGTCTCTACAAAAAGTAAAAAAAATTAATTAGCCAGGTGATATGGTTTGGCTCTGTGTCCCCACTCAAATCTTATCTTATAGCTCCCATAATTCCCACATGTTGTGGGAGGGACCTAGTGTGAGATGATTGAATCATGGGGGCAGGTCTTTCCCATGCTGGTCTCATGATAGTGAATGGGTCTCACAAGATCTGATGGTTTTTAAAATGGGAGTTTCTCTACACAAGCTCTCTATTTGCCTGCCACCATCCACATAAGATATGACTTGCTTCTCCTTGCCTTCCGCCATGATTGTGAGGCCTCCCCAGTCATACGGAACTGTAAGTCCATTAAACCTCTTTCTTTTGTAAATTGCCCAGTCTTGGGTATGTCTTTATCAGCAGCATGAAAATGGACTAATACAGTAAATTGGTACCAGGAGTGGGGCGTTGCTGAAAAGATACCCGAAAATGTGGAAGCTACTTTGGAACTGGGTAACAGGCAGAGGTTGGAACAGTTTGGAGGGCTCAGAAGAAGACAGGAAAATGTGGGAAATTTAGAACTTCCTAGAGACTTGTTGAATGGCTTTGACTAAAATGCTGATAGTGATATGAACAATAAGGTCCAGGCTGATGTGTTCTCAAATGGAGATGAGGAACTTGTTGAGAACTGAAGTAAAGGTGACTCTTGTTATGTTAAAGAGACTGGCGGCATTTTGCCCCTGCCTTAGAGATTTGTGAAACTTTGAACTTGAGAGAGATGATTTAGGGTATCTGGTGGAAGAAATTTCTAAGCAGCAAAGCATTCAACAGGTGACTTGGGTGCTGTTAAAGGCATTCAGTTTCAAAAGGGAAACACTATAACAAAATTTGAGGGGTGCATTAAAGTTTGGAAAATTTGCAGCCTGACAATGCAATAGAAAAGAAAATCCCATTTTCTGAGGTGACTTGGGTGCTGTTAAAGGCATTCAGTTTCAAAAGGGAAATACTGTAAACAAAATTTGAGGAGTGCATTAAAGTTTGGAAAATTTGCAACCTGGCAATGCAATAGAAAAGAAAATCCAGGCCAGGCACGGTGACTCACACCTGTAATCCCAGCACTTTGGGAGGCCGAGGCAAGCGGATCACATTAGGTTGGAAGTTCAAGACAAGCCTGACCAACATGGAGAAACCCCGACTCTACTAAAAATACAAAATTAGCCAGGCGTGGTGGCGCATGCCTGTAATCCCAGCTACTCAGGAGGCTGAGTCAGGAGAATCGCTTGAACCCAGAAGGCAGAGGTTGCAGTGAGCTGAGATCATGCCATTGCACTCTAGCCTGGACAACAAGAGTGAAACTCCATCTCAAAAAAAAAAAAAAAAAAAAAAAAAAAGAAAGAAAGAAAGAAAGAAAAAGAAAAAGAAAAAAGAAAAGAAAAGAAAATCCCATTTTCTGAGGAGAAATTAAAGCTGGCTGCAGAAATTTGCATAAGTAACAAGGAACTGAGTGTTAATCACCAAGACAATGGGAAAAATGTCTCCAGGGCATGTCAGAGACATTTGTGGCAGCCCCTCCCATCACAGGCCTGGAGGCCTAGGAGGAAAAAGTGGTTTCATCAGCTGGGCCCAGGGTCCCCAAGTTGTATGCAGCCTAGGGACTTGGTGCCCTGTGTCCCAGCCACTCCAGCTGTGGCTTCAGAGGGTGCAAACCTCAAGCCTTGGCAGCTTCCATGTGGTGGTGAGCCTACAAGTGTGCAGAAGTCAAGAACTGAGGTTTGGGAACCTCCACCTAGATTTCAGAAGATGTATGGAAATGCCTAGATGCCCAGGCAGAAGTTTACTGCAGGGGTGGGGCCCTCCTGGAGAATCTCTGCTAGGGCAGTGCGGAAGGGAAATGTGGGGTCAGAGCCCCCACACAGAGTCCTTACTGGGGCACCATCTAGTGGAGCTGTGAGAAGAGGGCCACCATCCTCCAGACCCCAGAATTATAGATCCACTGACAGCTTGCACCGTGCACCTGGAAAAGCCGCAAACACTCAACACCAGCCCATGAAAGCAGCCGTGAGGGAGGCTGTACCCTGCAAGGCCACAGGACTGGAGCTGCACAAGACTATGGGGACATACCTCTTATATCAGCATGACCTGTATGTGAGACATGGAGTCACAGGAGCTCATTTTGGAGCTTTAATATTTGACTGCCCCCCCCTGGATTTCAGAGTTGCATGGGGCCTGTAGCCCCTTTGTTTTGGCCAATTTCTCCCACTTGGAATGGCTGTATTTACCCAATGCCTGTACCCCCATTGTATCTAGGAATTAACCAACTTGCTTTTGATTTTACAGGCTCATAGGTGGAAGGGACTTGCCTTGTCTAGGATGAGACTTTGGACTGTGGACTTTTGAGTTAATGCTGAAATGAATTGAGACTTGGGGGACTGTTGGGAAGGCATGATTGGTTTTGAAATGTAAAGATATGATATTTGGGAGGGGCTGGGGCAGAATGATATGGTTTGGCTCTGTGTCCCCACCCAAATCTCATCTTGTAGCTCCCATAATTCCCACATGTTGCAGGAGGGACAGTGTGGGAGACGACTGAATCATGGGGTAAGGTCTTTCCCCTGCTTTTCTTGTGATAGTGAATGGCTCTCACAAGATCTGATGGTTTTAAAAATGGGAGTTTCAGCCAGGCATGATGTACGCCTGTAATCCCAGCACTTTGGGAGGCTAAGGCGGGCAGATCACCTGATGTCAGGAGTTCGAGATCAGCCTGGCCAACATGGTGAAACCCCATCTCTACTAAAAATACAAAAATTAGCCAGGTGTAGTGGCATGGGCCTGTAATCCCAGCTACTCGGGGGGCTGAGGCAGGAGAATCGCTTGAACCGGGAGGTGGTGATTGTACTGAGCTGAAATTGTGCCACTGCACTCCAGCCTGGGCAACAAAGTGAGAACTTGTCTCAAAAAAAAAAAAAAAAAAAAAAAAAAAGACATACAACTCAAAAGATATTGCCATAATTAGCTGAGCATGGTGGTGCCCACCTGTAGTCCCAGCTACTTGGGAGGCTGAGGTGGGAGGATCACTTGAGCCCGGGAGGTTGAGGCTACAGTGAGCTGTGATCACAACACTGAACTCCAGCCTGGGTGACAGAGCAAGACCCTGTCCCCTGCCCCTGCAAAAAAGATACTGCCACTTTACTAAAATCCTATTCAATCATTAATAGTTAGTCCCATCCATCATATTGTATGAATGTCTCCCAGGGTGATGTCATTCAGGTTTGCAGGCTTCCATTCAATCTTGTCAGGTTCCAAAAGCAGGAGTGATCTCACCAAATATATATCACTCTTTCTGACATCTGGGATAACTGACCACAGACAATGTCATCTCTTGCTCTGAGCTCCTTTTGAGGTGTTAATGTAATATTGGGTTTCCCTCAATTCATAATCCATTTATTAAATTCTTTACCCTCAGCTACTATCCCTCTTTCTCTCCATTAATATCCAAAGATTTTACCTTTGGAAGGGACATTAAGATTGCCACTGTGCT
Organism: Homo sapiens; assembly: GCF_000001405.40. Classification (NCBI taxonomy): domain Eukaryota; kingdom Metazoa; phylum Chordata; class Mammalia; order Primates; family Hominidae; genus Homo; species Homo sapiens. Next base: position 27,678,710 of record NC_000001.11, on the reverse strand, counting down.
GGTCTAGATTGCAGCCAGCAATACTAGTCTAGTAAGTACTCCTTAGTTCACTCCAATTTGAATAGGATAAGGTAGCAAAGGTGCAGAACTTGGCGGGTGATTTTTACCACCAGGCAGTAGGGCTGCATTCATTGTTAACTCCAATTTTGCACAACCCACCTCCATCAGGCCTTTAGGAATTGTGACATAAAGTTTAAAAACGTAGTTCTAGTTTTTTGCTTAGGAATCATCCCTGCTGCCAGCACTTTCCAGAACTCAGGGAAACACTTATATTTACTAGTTTATTATAAGGGATACTACAAGTGGGGACTGTGATATTATAGCTGCAGCCCTGATCCTAGGACTACATCAGGAAGAGGAGGAAAAAAAATTTTTTTGAAGTGATTTGGGGAAGAAAGAAAAACAGTTATGGCCATTGTACCAGTGTACTCCTCCCTTGGCAAGAATTGAATAATCATACCAGCATCCTCCTTGCTCCCTTTTTTCCTGATCTATTGGAAAAAATGAGGAAAATCTAGTGGGGCCACTCCTTTAGTCTCCACTTGTGTTGTGTGTGAGCAACATGTAAGCCAGCCCTTCATGCTTTCATCTCCCCCTATTTTAGACAACAAATGTTTCAATTACCCACTCCACTTCTCTATCAAACTATTACTTTGAGGAGGATATCTCTCTGCCCATTATTATTATTTTATTTTAATTCCTTTTTTTTTTTTTTTTTTTGAGACAGGGTCTTGCTCTGTCACCCAGGTTGGAGTGCAGTGGTGCAATCACAGCTCACTGCAGCCTCGACCTCCCAGGCTCAAGCGATCCTCCCATTTCAGCCTCCAAAGTAGCTGGGACTACAGGTGGGCACCACCATGCTTGGCTAATTATGGCAGTATCTTTTGAATTTTATGTCCTTTTTTTTTAGACAGGGTCTTGCTCTGTCTTGGAGTGCATGGAGTGCAATGGTGTGATCTCGGTTCACTGCAACCTCCGCCTCCCGGTTCAAGCAATCCTCCTGCCTCAGCCTCCCGAGTAGCTGGGGAGTTGTATGTACTTTTTGTTTTTGTTTTTTGTTTTGTTTTGTTTTTTTTGAGACAGAGTCTCGCTCAGTCGCCCAGGCTGAGTGCAGTGGCGGGATCTCGGCTCACTGCAAGCTCCGCCTCTCAGGCTCACGCCATTCTCCTGCCTCAGCCTCCTGAGTACTACAGGCGCCCGCCACCACACCCGGCTAATTTTTTTTTTATTTTTAGTAGAGATGGGGTTTCACCCTGTTAGCCAGGATGATCTCGATCTCCTGACCTCAACCCACCTCAGCCTCCCAAAGTGCTGGGATTATAGGCATGAGCCACTGCACCCGGCCTTGTATGTACTTTTGATGTAAGAAATTTTGGTTTTTAGAGGACGGGTTAATAGGTGCAGCAAACCACCATGGCACACATATACCTATGTAACAAACCTGCACGTTTTGCACGTGTATCCCAGAACCTAAATTAAAATTAAAAAAAAAAAGAAAAAGAAAGAAATTTGGGTTTGAAGGCCTGGTGCAGTGGCTCATGCCAGTAATCCCAGCACTTTGGGAGGCTGAGACAGGTGGATCACTTGAGGTCAGGAGTTCAAGACCAGCCTGGCCAACATGGTGAAACCCTGTTTCTACCAAAAATACAAAAATTAGGCAGGTATGGTGGCACATGCTTGTAATCCCAGCTACTTGGGAGGCTGAGGCAGGAGGATCACTTGAACCTGGGAGGTGGAGACTGCAGTGAGCCAAGATCATGCCACTGCACTCCAGCCTGGGCAACAGAACCACCATCTCAAAAAAAAAAAAAAAAATGGGGTTTGAAGACCAGAGGTGGACAGTGATATTGTGAAATAGATATTTGAAATAGATAACGAAGCCTCCATAAAAAACCAAAAAGACAAGGTTCCGAGAGCTTCCCAATAGCTGAACACATGGATGTTCCTGGAGGATGCTGTGCCCATTCCCCCATACCTCATTTCCTGGCATACAATTCCTAAAATCCTTGGTATCTCCAAAGTGATGCCTTTTGTGTGCTAATGATTTCTTATTTGTTTATTTTTTAGAGATGGGATCTCACTGTGTTGCCCAGGCTAGACTTGAATTTCTAGGCTCAAGCAATCTTCCCACCTCAGCCTCTCAAATAGCTTGGACTATAGGTGTATGCCACCATGCTTTGTATACTAATGATTGACTGATGGCCAGCAGTCTCTAGGTAGCTTCAGGATGGGGCTGGTCACTGGGAAGACCAAGGCAAGGTTAGAGGGTTGGGACTTTCAGCTCCACCCACTGAAGGGGAGAGGGACTGAAAGTCAAGTTGATCACCAGTGGCCAATGGTTTAATCAATCATTCCTATGTAATGAAGCCTCCATAAAAAAGCAAAAAGACAGAGTTCCGAGAGCTTCCCAATAGCTGAACACATGGATGTTCCTGGAGGACGCTGTGCCCATTCCCCCATACCTCACCCAACACATCTCTTCATGTAGCCTTTCTAATTTCCTGTGTAGTAAACTGCTAACTGTGTTTCCCTGTGCTCTAGGAGCCTCTCTAGCACATGAATTAAACCCAAAGAAGGGATTATGGGAATCCCAACTTGTAACCAGTCGGAAGTTCCAGAAGCCCTGATTTGTGTCTTGAGGGTGAGAGTTGAGGAGTCCCTCAACCTGTAGGATCGATGCTCTCTCCAGGTAGACAGTGTCAGAATTGAATTGGAGGCTGGGCACAGTGGCCTATGCCTGTAATCCCAGCACTTTGAGAGGCTGAGGCGGGCAGATCCCTTGAGCCCAGGAGTTCGAGACCACCTGGCCAACATGGCAAAACCCCATCTTTACAAAAAATACAAAAATTACCTGGGCATGGTGGTGCACCCCTATAGTCCCAGCTACTCGGGAGGCTGAGGCAGGAGGATCGCTTGAACACAGGAGGTCGAGGCTGCAGTGAGCCGTGATTGAGCCAGCCTTGGTGACACAGTGAGACCCTGTCTGAAGAAAAGAAAAAAAGTGCTCACTTCAGCAGCACATATACTAAAATTGGAATGATACAGGGAAGATTAGCATGGCCCCTGTGCAAGGATGATACACAAATTCATGAAGCGTTCCATATTTTTATTTTAATAATTAAAAAAAAAAAGAATTGAGGCCAGGCAAGGTGGCTCACGCCTATAATCCCAGCACTCTGGGAGGCCGAGGTAGGCAGATCACCTGAGGTTGGGAGTTCGAGACCAGCCTGACCAACATGGAGAAACCCCGTCTCTACTAAAAATACAAAATTAGCCGGGTGTGGTGGTGCATGCCTGTAATCCCAGCTACATGGGAGGCTGAGTCAGGAGAATCGCTTGAAGCCGGGAGGCGGAGGTTGCGGTGAGCCGAGATAGTACCACTGCACTCCAGCCTGGGCGACAAGAGTGAAACTCCATCTCAAAAAAAAAAAAAAAGAAAAAAAAAATTGAATCGGAGGACACCCAGCTGGTGTCTGCTGCTTGGGGCGTGAGAAAAAAAACCCACCCACACATCTGGTCTGTGGCGATTGTTGTGTTCAGTGAGAGAATAGAAAACGCAGGCCGGGCGCGGTGGCTCCCGCCTATAATCCCAGCACTTTGGGAGGCCGAGGTGGGGGGATCGCGAGGTCAAGAGATCGAGACTATCCTGGCTAACACAGTGAAACCCTGTCTCTACTAAAAATACAAAAAATTAGCCAGGCGTGGGGACGGGCGGCTGTAGTCCCCGCTACTCGGGAGGCTGAGGCAGGAGAATGGCGTGAACCCGGGAGGTGGAGCTTGCAGTGAGCCAAGATCGCGCCACTGCACTCCAGCCTGGGCGACAGACCGAGACTCTGTCTCAAAAGAAAAGAAAAGAAAAGAAAAGAAAAAGCACATTAGGTCATTTTGGTTTTTTTCTTTCCTCTTAACTGTGTAGCAGGTTCAGGCCACAAAACAAGCTATGCTGCCACTTCTGATTATATGATCCTACAATGTTGCTGGATGTATCTGTGTGAAGGTGGATAACAATTCTGTAGGGAGGGAGAAAAAAGATTCTGTAGAAAGTTTCTGAAAGCCCACATAGGAGAATTACGGTTAGGATTCTTAGGATTCTGCAGTAAGGCTATGCTTACTGTGGTCCCTTTGGGAAAAGAGGCCCTGATGTGTCACTGGGCCCCAGTAGTGACTACACATCTCACCACTGGGTGCCAGGTAGCTATATATCTTAAGTTGGGTATTATCAGAAAGGTAGAGCAGCAGTTCCATATGTGATGGAAGCTGGGCGCATTGGCTCATGCCTGTAATCCCAGCACTTTAAGACCTCGAGGCAGAAGGATCACTTGGAGCCAGGAGTTGGAGACTAGCATGGGCAATGTAGTGAGACCTCCATCTCTAAAAGAAATATAAAAATTAGCTGGGTGTGGTGGCACATGCCTATAGTCCCAGATACTTGGGAGGGTGAGTTGGGAGGATTTCTTGAGCCTAGGAAGTCAAGGCTGCGGTAAGCTATGATTGTACCACTGCACTCCAGCCCCGGCAACAGAGTGAGACCCTGTCTCTAACAAACCAACCAACCAACCGACAAAACAACAAAGAGGCCAGGCACAGCAGCTCACACCTGTAATCTCAGCACTTTGGGAGGTAGAGGTGGGTGGATCACCTGAGGTCAGGAGTTCAAGACCAGCCTGGCCAACATGGCAAAACCCCATCTCTACTAAAAATACAAAAAACATTAGCCGGGCATGGTGGCGCGCACCTGTAATCCCAGCTACTTGGGAGGCTGAGGCAGGAGAATCGCTTGAACCCAGGAGGCAGAGGTTGCAGTAAACCAAGATCACACCACTGCACTCCAGCCTGGGGAACAGTGCAAGACTGTCTCAAAAACAAAAACAAAAACAACAAAAAACAAAGAACAAAACAAAACAAAAAATATATGATGGAAATGGTATATTCAAGGCTGAGCAAAGGGGTCTAAAAGGCTTGAGTAAATTAAATAAACAGGGAGCTCAGAGTCCTGTGGCGCCCAACTCTGTTTCTCTGGGTTTTCTCTTTGACCCATATATATGGCCTCATGGAGTGTTCCCAGCAACCAACAGATAATGGAGGAAAGGAGTCAAACTCAATTCACAGATAAGTCAGTATAATATTTTGGTATCAGCTGGAAACGGACCACTCTATTACAGCCCCATTTGGGGGTGGCACTGAATAATAGTGAATCCTCCCAGGGGGCAGAACTAGGAGCAGTATACCGTGTTGTTCCCTCTGTATGCAGAGAGAGAGAGAGAGAGATGGACTGAAGTACAGACATACACCAATTCCTAATAAGAGGCAAATGGCTTGGCTGGTTGGTCAAAGGCATGGATGGAACAAGATTGGAAGATTGGGAATAAGCAGGTGTGGGTTAGGGGCATAAGAATGAACTCTGAATGGGCATAAAGCACCTGGATCTCTATGTCTCATGTTAATGCTGACCAGAGATCATCTGCTGCAGAGGAGGCTCTACAGCCCAATGGCCAGGATGTCCCATCCTGTGGATGTCAGCCAGCCTCTAAACTTAGCCTCACTATTGCCTTGCAATAGACCTATGAGTGTCCAAGGTGGTAAGGATGGGGGTTAGAAATGAGTCCAACAACTTGGGCTCCCTCTCACCAAAACTGATCTGGCAATTGCCAAAATATAGCCAATCTGCCAGCAGCAGGTAGCAATATGGCAAAATTTCTCAATGAGAATAGCCAGCCATCTGGTGGCAGGTCAATTATTTCAGACCCCTTCCACTTGGGAGAAGGCAATGATTCATCCTTACTGGAATTTCTATGTTCTCCAAATAGAGGTTGCATTTCTGACCCATAGCACTTCAAGCATCACCATCCAAAGGCTTTAAAGAATGCTCAGTTCATTACCTAGGGCCAGGGGACCCATCTTGAAACTCAAGATCTATCATGATGGCCACATGAACACAGGCTTCACTGGTCTTACCATATGCCCATGACCCAGAAGCAGCCAGCCTGAGAGAACAATGGAACAAAGTGACTTAATTTCCAAAGTTCTGGGGGTTTATAAACAGCATATGGTATGTCACATGACTACTGTGGGATTGGAAAAAGATCATGTAAATAGAGCACTTTGCACAGACCCTGGCATGCAGCAAGTGCTCAATAAATGATAGGTGTTGTTTACTAATTGGACTGAATGGTGAAAGGCCTGTGTGCCCCAGGGGGAGCTGGTGATCAGGCTTCACTAAGCCCAGTATGGCCGTGGCTCTCATCATAGTGTGACATGCTTTGAATACCCTTAGCGGCTCCAAAAGTCCTCAGCTTGAAGTGCATTTTTCTGCCAGCAGGCAGCACACAAATGTTCCCGCTGGGCGGAGCTGGGAGAGAGGGGAAAATGAAACTCTGCAGAGTGCAGGAGCTGGGAGAGAGGGGAAAATGAAACTGCAGAGTGCAGAAATAGAAACTCCGACAGGGATTGGCTGCCTAGGGTGAGACGTGGGAGGATCCACAAGTGATGATAAAAAGCCAGCCTTCAGCCGGAGAACCGTTTACTCGCTGCTGTGCCCATCTATCAGCAGGCTCCGGGCTGAAGATTGCTTCTCTTCTCTCCTCCAAGGTAAACTCAGGAGCTATGAAGTGTGGGCATCAAGCTGCCACCCTCTGCCAGGCTGCCTGTCTGCCTGTAAATCTCATGTTCTGAGAGCCAGGAGGCCCCTTCTCCTGGGAGGCAGCACTCCTGGGTCCCTTTTAGTGCTCTGGGCTGGGACTTGTCTAAGAGGATGGGTTGGAGATTTTTAGGGAGATGGGATGCAAAACCCCAAGTGGCATGAGACCCAGCTTACAGGTGCAATATCAGCGATCTGTGGCCTTAACACTGTCACCTCTTGGAGCCTTAATTACTTCCTCTGTAAAAGGAAAGTTAAGTTGCCTTTGCTGCTCAAAGGACTGGATGATTTTAGAATCCCCTTTATTATAGGATCCAATGTGACAGTGAGTTCATCTTTAAGGATAGATGAAGCCATCTGGAGTGGTTGTTAAAAATGTGGGCTTGGTGGCCGGGCGTGGTGGTTCACGCCTGTAATCCCAGCACTTTGGGAGGCCGAGACCCACGGATCACGAGGTCAGGAGATCGAGACCATCCTGGCTAACACAGTGAAACCCTGTCTCTACTAAAAATACAAAAAAAATTAGCCGGGCTTGGTGGTGGGCGCCTGTAGTCTCAGCTACTCGGGAGGCTGAGGCAGGCAGGAGAATGGCATGAACCTGGGAGGTGGAGCTTGCAGTGAGATGAGATTGCGCCACTGCACTCCAGCCTGGGCGACAGAGAAAGACTCCATCTCAAAAAAAAAAAAAAAAAAATGTGGGCTTGGGTATTAGCCAATTGTGGGTTTAAACCCTGACTTTGCCATGACCTGGCTAGGCAGCCTTGGGAATATTACTTAACCTCTCTGAGCTTCAGTTTCCTTATCTATAACATGTGGTTGATAACAATGGTACCTACTTCGTGGTGTTGTTATAGGTACAAGTGGACTGCGTGCCATAAAGTGCTAAGTACTCAATACATGAGAGGAGTTTCTTGTTTTTCTTTTTAACTTAAGAAAATAGCATTGATCTGACAAAGATCATATTAGAGGTGAGTCTGAGGGCATATGCATTTTCCAGTTTTGTGGTATAAAGGAAAGAGCATAGGTTCATGAATTCTGACTGTCTTGAATGTGTACCCATGTTGCACAATTTGCTGTGTGACCTTTATCCCTTGTGATATTGTAAAATATATTTTTTCATCCCCCAGTTCCTGGCATACAACTCCTAAAATCCTTGGAATCTTCAAAGTGATAAATATCTTTTGAGTGATAACTGTCTAATAAGTTGACTGATGGCTGGCATTTCCTCTGGGGAGGGGAGAGGGGCTGAAGGTTAAGCTGATTACCAATGGGCAGTGATTTAATCAGTCATGCCTATGTAATGAAGCCTCCATAAAAACACAAAAGGACAGGGTTTGACAAGCTTCCAGATAGCCGAATACAAGGAGGTCTCCAGTGGGTGGTGCTTCTGGAGAGGAATGGAAACTCCATGCCCTTTCTCCCATACCTTGCCCTATGCATCTCTTCATCCGGAGCATTTGTAATATCCATAAGGAACCAGTAAATGTAGCTGGGTATGGTGGCTGATGCCTGTAATCTCAGCACTTTGGGAGGCTGAGGCAGGCAGATTGCGTGAGTTCAGGAGTTCAAGATCAGCCTGGGCAACATGGTGAAACCCCATCTCAAAAAAAAAAAAAAAAATTAGTTGGGCGTGGTGGTGCATACCTGTAGTCCCAGCTATGCTGGAGGCTGAGGTGGGAGGATCACTTGAGCCTGGGAGGCGAAGGTCTCAGTGAGCTGAGATGGGGCCACTGCACTCCAGCCTGAGCAATAGAGTGAGACCCTGTCTCAAAACAACAACAAGATCAATTTTTTTTTTTTAAAGAAAGAAACCAGTATATGTAAGTAAAGTGTTTCCCTGAGTTCTGTGAGCTGCTCTAGCAAATTAGTAAAACTGCAGGAGGGAATTGTGGGAACCCCAGTTTATAGTCAGTCAGAAACACAGGTAAAACAACCTAGGGCTTTCGATTGGCAGTCTGGGGGACTGAACCCTCAACATGTGGGATCGGCCACTATCTACCCATAGTGGTGTCAGAATTGAATTTGGGGACCCTCAGCTGGTGTTCACCAGAGGACTGATTGTTTGCTTGCTGGTGGGGAGAAACCCCCACACTTCTGCTGTCAGAAGCCTCTCGTACGGTGAGGGAAACTGAGTTTCTTTTTCCACACACCCTTCTGTGCTTTCTTTCTGAAAAAAAAATTAAGTTGATGTGAGGCCAACGTTTGGTGCCAGTAGATATTCAATGCATTGTAAGAATGAGTTTGTCTTAAAAATTTTTTTAAAGCAAATTCTATGCGTCAGGCACTGTTCAAAGTGCCGGGGATACAGCGTGGAACAGTTATTAAATTAACAAGTACCCTCTGAAATAGACTCTATTAATACCCCAATTTTAGAAATAAACAAACTGAAGCCCAGAGAAGCAAAGTACCCTAGTATCCTGCCCAAGGTCACTTGGGTACAAGGCCAGGAACAACCACAGTCATGATATTGACATCTGCGGAGCTTACCACGTGCCAAACACCGTGCGAATCCGCACAGAATCCGCACACCCACCGGTTGGGGCAGGGACATCTCTGCCACTGATGCGGAGAGGAAACGGATTCCCGAGGCTCCTGAGAGGGATCCTGGGTTCCATTCACCACACCTCGCTGCTTTTTACTGATTCAGTTGGAACTGGAAGGGAAAACAACGGAGCTGATGAGCTCCAAAAATGCTCCGGGGACCATCTCCCTCTCGCCCGTTCGCAGGTCTAGTGACGGAGCCCGCGCGCGGCGCCACCATGCGGCAGAAGGCGGTATCGCTTTTCTTGTGCTACCTGCTGCTCTTCACTTGCAGTGGGGTGGAGGCAGGTGAGAATGCGGGTAAGGATGCAGGTAAGGGGACAGGTAAGGGTGCAGGTAAGGATGCAAGTAAGGGTGCAGGTAAGGATGCGGGTAAGGATGCAGGTAAAGATGCGGGTAAGGATGCAGGTAAGGATGCGGGTAAGGATGCAGGTAAGGGTGCAGGTAAGGATGCGGGTAAGGATGCAGGTAAGGATGCGGGTAAGGATGCAGGTAAGGATGCAGGTAAGGGTGCGGGTAAGGATGCGGGTAAGGATGCAGGTAAGGATGTGGGTAAGGATGCAGGTAAGGGTGCAGGTAAGGGAACAGATAAGGGTGCAGGTAAGGGGACAAGTAAGGAGGCATATAAGGGTGCTGGGGGATGGGAGGAGTGTGGGATAAAGGAGAGAGTTTCAGGGTCCGGGGTGTAGAGGGTCTGGCGTGCTTCTGTAGAGACCCTGGCGTCCATTCCAATGGACAGCGCAGGGTTGGTGTCGCCAGAGTCCCAGATTCAAATCCCACTACTCTGTTCATTCCTCCATCCTACCGAAATTTACTCGATGCTAGTTCTGTGCCAGGCTCGGCGCCTAGGGGAAAGTCCCTTCCCCTCTGTGAGGCTCTCTGAGTAGGAGAGTGGTGGCCCCCGCCTCCAGGAGTGGTCCTGAGCATCAGACACAGAGTAGGGGACCCCTGTGTCCCACCCCAACACCCCCACTACGCTTTGTCTGCTCTCCTGCAGGTAAGAAAAAGTGCTCGGAGAGCTCGGACAGCGGCTCCGGGTTCTGGAAGGCCCTGACCTTCATGGCCGTCGGAGGAGGTGGGTCTGGAGGGCGAGGATCTCGGGCAGGCGGGGCGGGCCTCTGCCGCGGACGCTCCCTCACCTGCTCCTGTTCCTCCAGGACTCGCAGTCGCCGGGCTGCCCGCGCTGGGCTTCACCGGCGCCGGCATCGCGGCCAACTCGGTGGCTGCCTCGCTGATGAGCTGGTCTGCGATCCTGAATGGGGGCGGCGTGCCCGCCGGGGGGCTAGTGGCCACGCTGCAGAGCCTCGGTGAGTGCGGGGCCTGGGCCCCTGGTGGGACGTTCTTTACTATTATTTTCATCATACATCTGGGGAAACTGAGGCACTCAGGAATTAAGTAATTTACTCAAGTAATTAAGTAGTTTACCAGGAATTAAGTGATTCTTTATTTATTTATTTTGAGACAGAGTCTGGCTGTGTCACCCAGGCAGGCTGAAGTGCAGTGGTGTGATCTTGGCTCACTGCAACCTCTGCCTCCCTGGCTCAAGCGATTTTCCTGCCACAGCCTCCCAAGTAGCTGGGATTACAGGCACACGCCACCACGCCCGGCTAATTTTTGTATTTTTAGTAGAGATGGGGTTTCACCATGTTGGCCAGGCTGGCCTCAAACTCCTGACCTCAGCTGATCCGCCCGCCTCGGCGTCCCATAGTGCTAGGATTACAGGCGTGAGTCACCGCGTCCGGCCAGAAATTAAGTAACTTACTCAAGTCTCCCTGCTAGTTTAGACCAGAGCCTAGATTCTGACCCAGTCAGTACAATGCGAGAAGCCCCATTCTCAGCCTCAAAGGCTGGGTGCCTCACTGATGCTTTGGCCAAATCACAAGCCTCAGTTCCCTCAGCGGTGCGTGGGGATGATCATCCTCAGTTTAACATTTTTTGAATCTGCTCAATCTCAGAGACCACAGTAGCAAAGAAACATAGTAGAGTAACTCAAATCAATCTCACACCAAACTGGTCTTGACTTGCACTTTTTGAACACCATGGAGGGAACAGATAACAGAGCTCACAGTGACTCTTCTATCGATTGATCAATCTATTGATCTATTTATTATAGATAAAGGTCAAAACAAGGTCTCACACTGCCAGGTTGGAATGCAGTGCATGATCACAGCTCACAGCAGCCTCGAACTCCCAGGTTTAAGCTATCTTCCTACCTCAGATTCCCAAGTAGCTGGGACTATAGGCGCATACCGCCACACACTGGCTTTTTTTTTTTTTTTTTTTTTTTTTTTTGTAGAGACGGGGTCTCATTGTGTTGCCCAGGATGGTCTTGAATTCCTGGGCTCAAGCAATCCTCCCACTTTGGCCTCCCAAAGTGTTGAGACTGCAAGCATGAGCCACTGTGCTGGCCCAGAGTGACTCATAAAAAATGGCCTTACTTCCCTCTCTCTCCTCTCTCCCCACCCACCCCCACCTCTCTCTCGCGCTCTGAGGCCTCCAAAATCCTGGAGAAAACCTGCCCCTGACAAACTTCCCTCTCTGCCTTTCTGAACCTCGCATCTTCTCTTCTCTCAATTCTGAATGGCAAAAGCCCAAAGAACCAGCCCAAAAGAAGAGAGCCCTGCTCAGACGGGGCCACACCCCTGCAATGGGAGGGGAAGAGTGTGGGCGAGCCCAGGGACACCTCTGGGCTATCAGCTAGTTGTCCTCTCACATGGCACATAGCTGTGACAAGATGAAATGATCCCTGGCTTGTGAACCCCCCACACCCACACAGGGCTCCACGAAGGTGGCTGTTAGCATGATTAATAACATGGCGTTTCCATGGCAGACATCAGGTGAAGGAGCCATTATTTTTGCCTTTTTCATCACTGAAACACATCTCTGATTTGGGATGTCAAGGCAATGGGACTCACTTTGTAGTAGTGCCATCCCCTCTCAGGGCCTCTGTTTCTCCATCTAGACATAAGGGGTTGGACTCAACCAATGGTTTCCAGACATTTGGATTCCCAGGCCTGGCACTTGGGCCCCAGTGACTCATCTGTGTTTGCTTTACAGGGGCTGGTGGCAGCAGCGTCGTCATAGGTAATATTGGTGCCCTGATGGGCTACGCCACCCACAAGTATCTCGATAGTGAGGAGGATGAGGAGTAGCCAGCAGCTCCCAGAACCTCTTCTTCCTTCTTGGCCTAACTCTTCCAGTTAGGATCTAGAACTTTGCCTTTTTTTTTTTTTTTTTTTTTTTGAGATGGGTTCTCACTATATTGTCCAGGCTAGAGTGCAGTGGCTATTCACAGATGCGAACATAGTACACTGCAGCCTCCAACTCCTAGCCTCAAGTGATCCTCCTGTCTCAACCTCCCAAGTAGGATTACAAGCATGCGCCGACGATGCCCAGAATCCAGAACTTTGTCTATCACTCTCCCCAACAACCTAGATGTGAAAACAGAATAAACTTCACCCAGAAAACACTTTGTCCTGCTGTCAATCATGTTTGCAGTGAGAAGCCCAAAACAATCTGGCTCTGGCCTGCACCATCCACACACCCCCATTCCCATTTTCCCCTCGAGTCAACCACAGCTCCTGGAACACAACCAGTTGATTTTGTTTCTGGGCCTTAGCACATGTTGGTCTCTACCTGGATGCCTTCAGAAGCTCATCTGCCTGAAAAACTCCCTTCCATCCTTCCAGACTCAGTTCAGACATCCCCTCCTCTGGACTCCTGCCTAGCAGGTCCTCCTGTATAAATGGACAGGCTTGATTCCACAGGGTGCTTGGGGAGGCAGAACTCAGTTTGTTCTCACTGAGAGAAGCTTCCAGGTACTTCTCTGATTAGGCAGAGATGGAGAAGCCAGGTCTCCGTTCTCTCAAGAAGCGCTAGTGATCACCCTCAGATGGAGAATAAAGGCCAGCCCTTCGCTCTGGGGAAAGGGCGTAACAGCAGCTTTTCGAGGGCTCGGCAAGGTCCCCCTTTCCTCATAGGACTCTGGGGATAGGGAGAACAGTTTGCATATGGAATTCACAGCCCTTCTGAATAGGAAGGAGAAGACAACCCAAGCACATAGGAAGCATTCCGTAAATGTCAGTTATGATTGATGAAGGACTTGCATAAAACAAAGAGGGAACAGCCAAGTGACAACCAGGAATTAGCTCATCTGACTTTGGAGTCAGGGTTTACTCTCTGGGGCTCACAGACCATATTCTTCCTTTCTTCCAAAGTTGGCACCAAACTAGGGTCTCTGCCCTTAGAAGAAGCCCCCTCCACTTATTCCCTTGGACAACATCAAGGCCAGAGAGATGGGCAGCCCTGCCCCAGGATTTTAGATCTGAGGCCTCAGCAGTCCTCAGGCTGAATGACACTGGAAATGACCAGTTCTTTATGGGAGACTCCACCTTCCCCAGGATCCCTTGGGACCGGCCTGCGCAGGATAACTCCTTGCCTTCATTCTGTAAGTGATGGCAGGGGCAAAGGACACCACAGCGGATGGGACCCAGTTCCTACCTACTTGAGGCTCACGATGCACAAATGAGGACCCCACCTTTTCCTTCCCTGTCACCACCTCCCCGCCCCCATCTCCTTTCACCCACCCTCACCCTTGCCAGGGACCACAATCCTTGCCAGGGACCACAATCATCCTATCTGCAAAGCCTGTGGCAGAAGGGTGAACACACACCAGAATTCACCATCGCGAGTCGAGAGATGCTCAACACACTTTTAATTAATTATTTTTCTTGAGACAGAGTCTCACTCTGCTGCGCAGGCTGGAGTGCAGTGGCGTGATCTTGGCTCACTGCAGCTTCTGCCTCCCAGGTTCAAGCGATTCTCCTGCCTCAGTCTCCCAAGTAGCTGGGATTACAGACACCTGCCACCGCCCCCAGCTAATTTTTGTAGTTTTAGTACAGAAGGGGTTTCGCCACATTGGCCAAGTTAGTTTTGAACTCCTGACCTCAGGTGATCCGCCTGAGGATCACTCCCAAAGTGCTTGGATTACAGGCGTGAGCCACCGCACCTGGCCTCAATGCACTTTTAGATGCCTCCCTGGCAGCAACCTTCAGAGAGACACATGGCTGTGTCCCCGCCCAGCTCCAGGGCTGAGTCACCTCAGACAAGTTAAGTACTCTCTTGGGGTCCCAGCTTCCTTGTTTTTGTTGTTGTTGTTTGAGACGAAGAATCTTGCTCTGTCGCCCAGGCTGGAGTGCAGTGGTGAGATCTCAGCTCACTGCAACCTCCACCTCCTGGGTTCAAGCAATTCTTGTGCCTCGGCCTCTCAAGTAGCTGGGATTATAGGTGTGTGCCACCACGCCCGGCTAATTTTTGTATTTTTAGTAGAGACGGGGTTTCACCATGTTGGCTAGGCTGGTCTCGAACTCCTGACCTCAAGTGATCTGCCCACCTCGACCTCCAAAAGTGCAGGGATTACAGGCGTGATCCACTGCACTCGGCCTTCTTTGTTTTCAAAACTAGGGCTGGGGGTGTTACATATTGTGGTCTCCAGGGCTTCCTCCTCTAAAACATCTGCTGAGCCTGAAGCGCATGCTTCTGAGTCCCCTCAGCCTTGTCAGATCCTGGCTTTCTGAGGATGAATTTTATTTTTGGAAGCAGCCAAAAGCCACTCTGTAGTGCCAACTTTGGTGACTAAAGTGGGTGACGGTGCGGGGCGATACCATGTTTGGTCACAAATGAGGGTAACTAGAAACTAGCAGGGCTTGTCTCTACTAAAAATACAAAAATTAGCCGGGTGTGGTGGCGGGCGCCTGTAGTCCCAGTTACTCGGGAGGCTGAGGCAGGAGAATCGCTTGAACCCAGGAGGTGGAGGTTGCAGTGAGCCAAGATCACCCCATTGCACTCCAGCCTGGGCGACAGAGTGAGACTCCGTCTCCAAAAAAAAAAAAAAAAAGAGTCCAAAAATAGATCCCATCTCTGACTGCCAATGTAGAGGTTCTCTGTCCTCATCACTTTTCTCTGGACCTGTTTCCCAGATTGTAAAATGGGGAAGGGAAGGAGTTGAACTCTCGTCCAGACCTAGAATGTCTTTCTCCAGTGCTCAAGTTAGGAGCGTCTTGCTCTTAAATAAAATACTTTAGGGATTTCCTTGTTCTTTAAGGGCCTTCCAGGTCCCCCATACCCTTGAATCACCACTCTCCCGGCAGGGGCTCTCACAATTTCATGGTGCTATGTGCGGATCTGACCACCAGGTGGCAGTACAGTCCTATCTTGGACTCCATCAGCCCTCATCAGCCTTTAGCAGCTCCACGATTACCAACAGCCCTCTCTGGGGCAGGCAACCAGGGTTAAATAGAGACGGAAATGAATAGACCTCGCCCCTGCTCAGCAGCAGGAGCTACTGAAGCTCACAAGAGTGGTCCATCAGAGAATCCCTCCAGGGCCCACCTCCTCTTCCCTTCAAGTCCTCAGTCCTACAACTTGGGGATCTCCAAACTCCTGTAGTCAGGTCTCACCTCCAGGCTCACTGCCTGCGCTCCCAGACCCAAGTCACAAGGATGAAAGTTAACGAGAGGAGCACACCACACGCACTTCTTGGCTGGGCAGCAGAGGGGGATGCTGGGAACTGGGCATCACTAGATTCTGCCTGGAAAGGGGGGTCTGGGCCAGCCGAGGGTCTGGGGCAACAGTAGCTGGAGGCTGCCGAGGCAGGGGAGGCCTGTGGCTTCCTGTGAAGAACAGAGGAGCCACTTCCTTTAAGCAGATGGCTGGGGGAGGGGTGGAAGATGAGGGAGCATAGGCTTCCTGGCTTAGCGGGCGGAAAAGGGGTCCCAGGAAGGCCCCATGAACAGGTCCAGAGCAGCCTTCTCTTTCCCTCTTTCTGGGTCTCCATGGAACAGACAGCTGAGACAAGGTAAGGTCACACTTGTGAAGTTCTGTGCCGTGAAGCCACAGAAAGGATAGTCAGGTTAGGGAACAGGCTCATCTGTAGAGGCCAGTAAAGAAATGGAGCCTTGGTTATTCCAAAAAGCAAGTCCAAGCACCTACCCCCCAGTATCCAAGTCCCAGTCCCCAGCCTCAGAACCCAGTCCCAGAAATCCAGCCCCCATTTCCCCGCTCCAAGCACCAGTTCCCAGAGAAACGTCCAGTGCCAAGTCAGAAGCTGGCAGAGGCCCACTGGTTCATTATCTGTGTGAACAAATGGCATGGGCCCACAGGAGAGATTTTTTTTTTTTTTTGAGACAGGGTCTTGCTCTGTCGCCCAGGCTGGAGTGCAGTAGCACAATCACGGCTCACTGCAGCCTTGACCTCCTGGGCTCAAGTGATCCTCCCACCTTAGCCTCCCAATTGGGACCACAGGCATGGACCACCACATCCAGCTAGTTTTTTTTTTTTTTTTTTTTTTTTAGATGGAGTTTCGCTCTGTCACCCAGGCTGGAGGGCAATGGTGCAATGGTGCGATCTCGGCTCACTGCAACCTCCACCTCCCGGGTTCAAGCGAGTCTCCTGCCTCAGCCTCCCGAGTAGCTGGGATTACTGGTGCGTGCCACCATGCCCGGCTAATATTTGTATGTTTAGTAGCTACGGGGTTTCGCCATGTTGGCCAGGCTGGTCTTGAACTCCTGACTTTAGGTGATCTGCCTGCCTCAGCCTGACCACAAATTCTTGATGAACCAGTAGAGCTTGCCTCCCAGCACCCACAGCTACCAGGGCACAGCGTGGTTTAACTGCTCCAGGTTCTGATCTGCAGAAGGGGTAGGGGTCTTCACTCAGCCATGATCACTATCCTTGGAACCCACCAAACTAAGCCCATTTCTCCTTCAGTCTTTCACACTTGGGCCAAAGACACCTCCAGGCATGCCGGTGCCTAGGCCAGACACCTTCCCAAAGGCTTTTCCCCCTAACTTTTCAGTGATGGCTCCTTCTGCACTCTTTGGTCTTCACTCAAATGTCACCTCCTCAGAGAAGCCCTCCCTGACCACCTACTTTAAAATTGCCTCCTTGTTTCTCTCTACCATAGTAATTGCCAACTTGTCTGCCCCTTGGAATCATCTGAGAGCTTAAAATTGTATGGATACCTGTGTCTCACTCACGGTGTGGGAACAGCTTGCTCTCCATGTCACTCTTTTAATTTTCTGTATAAAGCCAGTAAAGACATAGAGTCTTGGTGACTCCAAGAAGTAGGCCCGGGTACCCAACCCCAAGTACCCAAGTCCCAGTCCTCAGCCTCAGAGCCCAGCTCCAAACACCCAGGTCCAAAGTTTTACATATATTAACTCTTTTCATCCTTACAATAATTCTCTCGGGTGTTCTTAGGATCCGCATTTTACAGATGAAGAGATCAAGGTACAGAGAGGTTAAATAATTTCCCTAAGGCAAGCAGCTAGCAAGTGACAGGACAAGGATTTGAACCCAGAGAGTCTGCCTCTGTAGAACAGTGCCTGGCATCTAGAGGGGCTCAATAAATAATTGTCCAATGAATGAATGACTTAATCTTAACTCCCTCTGCCTCACCCACCCCCATATTCAATCCATCAACCCACCTGCCTGAGGATTGTATCTTCTAATTATTTATTGAATCTGTTCATGTCCCACCCACAGTAGCCTCCCTCTCATCTAGCTTACTACCTTCCATGCTGGAGGGCACCTCCTAGGTGTCCCTGTGTCCACTCTTACTCCCGTATCCACTCCTGTCTATTCTCCACACAGAGGTAGGGAGATTTTAAAACACTAAGTACCCAGTGACTGCCCACAGCACTTAGAAGAAAATTCTATTTCCTTACTATGGCCTCCAAGGTCTTAAATAATTCGCTCCCGTAAACCTCCAGAGCCTCATCTCACTCAGTTTCCTTTCCCTTATTTTCCAGCCTGCTAGCCTCATTGCCTTTGCACAAGCTCTTCCCTCTGCCTGG
The DNA here is from genome assembly GCF_000001405.40 of Homo sapiens. Taxonomy (NCBI): domain Eukaryota; kingdom Metazoa; phylum Chordata; class Mammalia; order Primates; family Hominidae; genus Homo; species Homo sapiens. The sequence goes on along the minus strand of NC_000001.11, from coordinate 27,660,677 downwards.
AACACTTGTTGCTTCAGGAGTCGGCTCGATGTAACTTCTACAGGGACCTGAGCCCCAATCCAAGTTAGACACCTGGTTATTGCAGCAGCCTGTATCTCACCGTCCCAGAATGAATCATGACTGCAATGAAAACGATGGCATGAGCATTTGTTACCATCAGGCTTCCGCCCTAGATTATGAGCTCCCTGAGGACAAGCAGAGGGTTCATCTCTCTTTATAGCTAGAACCCAGCACAGCGCCTGGCACTCAGGAGGCACCCAATTACTTTGGCTGACTGGATAGACATACATACAGACGGACGGATAAATGGCTGGAAGAGGAGTGATTGAAAAAATACATTTTAAAATGCCCTGGCTGCATTTCTTAGAGCAGTTATAATGCGCGCAATTCACACGGGAATTATTTTCACCCTTTGAGGGTCCGCACCCACCGGTGCCCCAGTCGCCTTTCCCAGGCAAGGCCACTGGGCGGGGCATCCGGGGCCGTCGGAGTGACGTAACAGCGGGGCGCGTCCGGAGCCGGCCCTCACTTCCTGATTGGCAAGCGCGGTGGCCACACCCACCGCCGCAGCCGTCGGAGTAGAGATGGTGGCAGCGATGGGCGGAGGGGGAGGCCCGGCGTTCGCGCAGACGGCGGTGGGGCGGTGGGGCGGTGGGGCGGTGGGGCGGCCGCGCCGGCTTCAGGGCGTCGGGGTCTCCCGGGGCACGTTCATGAAGCCGGCGAGGTGGAGACTGGGCGCCGAGCGGTTTGCGAGGCTCGCGCGGTTCCGGGGGGCAGTGGGACGGCGGAGGGCTCGTGCGCTGCGGCTGGACCGCTCCCCGCGGCGGGCCGGGCACAGGGTGTGACCGGGCCTCCGGGCGCTCGCTGCAGCGCGTCTATTTCGGTGCCTCTGACCTCAGCGAGGAAAGTCCCAGAAACACAGCCCCACCCTCCCTCTCACCCTCCTTGACACGCTCGCCTCTTCCCCACCACCCCAAACTCAGACCCAGAAGAACTGCGGGAAACTAGGCGCCTGCAGACCTGGTTTCTTAGCCCTAACTCTGTGTGACCCAGAACAGGAGTCCATGACTTGTGGACGTTAGTCCGCTTATCTGTAAAATGAAGCGACACCTGCGTTAGATGATGCGAGGTATGAAGTACCCTGCACTAGGGGTGCTGGTGCTAGGTGCTCCAGGGTTACTAGTTTCTTCCTGATCCTGCCGCTGATGTGCTCTGTGTCTTAGAGCAATTTCACTTAACCTCCGGGGCCAGGCTTCCCCCATCCTAGGATGAGTCAATTGCCTTTCTAGTCCCAGGGTCCTGGGGGCCAGGCCTTCTTGAATCATGGAGTCCGTGGCAAGCTAAGAGCAGGCACCGCCTCCTGGTGTCGGGGCTCTTGCCTTTCTGAGCCCTCACCCTCTTCTTTCCCCATGCTCCCCACCCCCCAGCTCAGGGCCCTCCAGCCTTGTCTCTTGACTTCTCTAAGGTTCCTCTGACAAGTGAGTTTTCTCATCCTCCCTGATGGCTCGAATGAGGTTGTGCCTAAGATGGCTGGGCTCCCCAGAGGCTCTTTGAGGTTTCAGTCTGCTGAGACCTTAAAGGGCATCCCAGGACAACCTTCCTGCATGTTCCTACCAAGGTTGAGTCACTCCCCTGCACAAAACCATTCAGAGGCTCCGTATGGCCCTCAGGCCACTTGGCAAGACCCACAGGCCACAATACCAAGGTCTCTCTTCTCAGCCAAGCCCCCAGGCAGGCTATAGCCAGACTCAACTTTCAGCTGTCTTTCCTCTCTCCCAGTGACACAAACCTCTGCTGGGATCACTTCTTCCCTGAGCCATCCCCTCACACCTTTTACCTGGCTAACTCCTCATCCCTGATCATCATGGAAGAGGATGGATCCTGACCCCTAAGGTGGGTCTCAGTTCAGCTGAGGACTGGTGAGTGACTGCTGACCTCACTCAGCGCAGCCACTCCCCTCCTTGCCTCCTTCCCTCTGCCCACGTTGAACTTTCAGCTGCTTGAAAATACATGTCTCTCTCGCCTCTGAGCCTTTGCACCTGTTTTTCTCTCAGACCTAAACACTCTTCCCTTCCCTATTTAACTTGTATTTATCCTTCAAAAAAAAAAAATCTCAGTTTAGGGCCAGGTGTGGTGGCTCATGCCTGTAATCCCAGCATTTTGGGAAGCCAAAGTGGGCGGATCACCTGAGGTCAGGAGTTCAAGACCAGCCTGGCCAACATGGCAAAACCCCATCTGTACTAAAAATAGCAAAAATTAGCCGAGCATGGTGGCATGCACCTGTAGTCCCAGCTACTCAGGAGGCTGAGGCAGGAGAATCGCTGGAACCCAGGAGGCAGAGGTTGCAGTGAGCCGAGATTGCACTACTGCACTCCAGCCTGGGCGACAGAGCGAGACTCCGTCTCAAAAAAAAAAAAAAAAAAAAAAAAAAAAAAAAATCAGTTTAGAAGTCAGTTTCTCTATGGGTTGGAGGCTGGAGTTCATGACCAGCCTCTGCAATATAGAACACATACTGTCTTGGCAGTATTTAATGTCTCCCCATTAGAATGTAAGTTATCGGTTGGCAGTGGTGGTGGCTCACACCTGTAATCCCAGCACTTTGGGAGGCCAAGGTGAGATGATTGCTTGAGGCTAGGAGTTCAAGACCACCCCGAGCAACATAGCAAGACCCCATTTCTACTAAAAAAAAATTTTTTTTTTTTGAGATGGAGTTTCACTCTTGTTGCCCAGGCTGGAGTGCAATGGCGTGGTCTCATCTCACTGCAACCTCCACCTCCCGGGTTCAAGCAATTCTTCTGCCTCAGCCTCCCAAGTAGCTGGGATTACAGGCATGCACCACCATGCCTGGCTAATTTTGTATTTTTTTTAGTAGAGATGGGGTTTCTCCATGTTGGTCAGGCTGGTCTCGAACTCCTGACCTCAGGTGATCCACCCGCCTCAGCCTCCTGAAGTGCTGGGACTACAGGCATGAGCCACCATGCCTGGCCTCTACTAAAAATTTTTTAAAATTAGCTGAGCATACCTGGCATGTACCTGTAGTTCCAGCTAATCGGGAGGCTGAGGCATGAGCATCACTTCTGCATAGGAGGTTGAGGCTGCAGTTAAGCTTAAGATCAAGCCATTGCACTCCAGCCTGGGCAACAGAGCAAGACCCTGTCTAAAAAAAAAAAGAGAAGAGAAGAGAAGGGAGGGAAGGGGAGGGGGCGGAGAGGAGACCGAGTGTGGTGGCTCACACCTGTAATCCCAACACTTTGGGAGGCCGAGGCGGGTGGATCACCTGAGGTCAGGAGTTCAAGACCAGCCTGGCCAACATGGCAAAACCCCATCTTTACTAAAAAAATACAAAACTTAGCCAGTCGTGGTGGTGGGCGCCTGTAATCCCAGCTACTTGGGAGGCTGAGGCAGGAGAATCATTTGAACCTGGGAGACGGAGGTTGCAGTGAGCCGAGATCGCGCCATTGCACTTCAGCCTGGGCAACAAGAGGGAAACTCCGTCTCAAAAAAAAAAAAAAAAAAAAAAAAAGATGTAAGTTACAGGAGAGTAAAGATGCCTTGTCACTATATCTCCTAATGACAATGATGGCCACAGGCCCTGGCCCAAAATGGAATCTCAGTAGGAGTTTATTGAATTAATGAGTGAGTGAATCTCTACCCAGTGCTTGTCCAGTCCCTGCTTACATACCTCCAGAGGCAGGGAGCTCACTACTCTTGAAGCAGCCCACTCCGTTTGCAATTAGAAGACCTCTAATTCCTGCCCACCCCCAACCATTGCCGAAGAGATTCCCTGGAGCTGAGGCCCAGAGAGAGTGATTACCTTGCCTGAGGTAGTTGGTGCAGAGCCAAGACCTACTCAACTGTCCTGAGGGCATGTGCAAGCTCACCTAATCCTGAAAGAGCCCCTAGGTGTCAGCACTGGCCAGATCCCCCACAGCCTGTACCCATTTGTAGGCCTGGGACTTGAGCCGCCATCGCAGCCCATTTCCCCTTTGCTCAGGAGCAGCCAACCAGCATCTGCTGAAGACAGGGATAGCAGGTCCCCAGTCTGGGAGCGGGGAAGCTAAGAAGGAAGCACTTTCAGGTAGCACTGGACTTCTGTTGCCCCTTTCAACCCCCATGCCAGCCCTATAAAGCAGGACTTGTCGTTCCCATTTTACAGATGCGCAAACTGAGGTGCTAGTTACCTAAGATAACACAGCAAGATAGTGGCAAAGCCAGGCCTAACTTCAAAGCCTGACCTCTTTCCTCTGCCCCTCAGCTTGGTGCCTCTTGTCTATCTGCCCTACTTCCAGGCCAATTCTTTCCTAAGCCTCATGAGGTCCTGAAGTGTCCTGTGGCTTTTGTTCCCCAAGCTGGGTCCCGCCCACAGTGAGGACTCACCAGCTGTGCTTTGGCAGCAGCTAAGAGCTGGCTGAATAACAGGAGTCATCCCTTCCTTCTGTATTTAGTCACTCCCTAAAACTGCAGGGGACCCCGACCAAATTAGGTAGTGGCCAAGGAGGTGTTTTGGAGAGGCCAAGCCCCTGAAACTAGGCCAGGCCACCTATTTGCTGTATCACTTAGGTCTGTTTCTTTCATGGAGCCTCAACTTACCATCTATAAAGGGGGTGAATTATCCTTTCTCAGGGCCTCTGTGTGCAAGGATTCAGGAAAGCTGCTCTCCTCTCTGCCAGGCCACCTCACCTTTGCACCTTCACCTTGAGGAACAGATCCCCACCCCACCCCCCCCGGCCAGGGTCCTTTTGTTGGCAGAACTCCAGCATAAACTGCACATAACCTGATTGTTAATGGGGGCCACAGATCCGGGGTTGGGGGCCCAGCTCCCCAGCTTCAGCCCTTCCTGGCCTTGGTTCCTGCTGGGGAACAGGCTCTGTCATCATGTCTGCTTCCTCTTCTTTCTGTGGCCTTTGCAGAGCCATTTCCCAGGGGGCTCTGCCTCTCCTGCCTCCTGTCTCCTCCTCTGTCTTCCCACCCTTCTTCCTCACACAGTGTTTATCCGCGCCTACTCTGGGCCTGGCACTTGGCTCATAGAGCTGAATAAGCTCAGGGCCTGTCCTTGCAAAGCTCACAGTTTGATGGGGGAAAATGGACAAGGAAACCAAGTTACAATTTATTCACCCATCCCAAATCCTATTGCCCTCCCTGCCGCTACCCTCACCCCTGCAGTCTGCACTCCACGCAGTAGCCTGAGTGATCCTGTTAAAACGGAGGTCAGAACATGTCACTCTTCTGCTCAACCCCCTCGCCCCCCCCATGGCTCCTGGTGTCAGAGGAAAAGCCAATGTCCTTGCTGTGACCTACAAGGCCCTGCGTGATCTACCTCACTGCCTCCCACTCTCTGCTCTGATCACTCCCTTCCAGCTGCACTGGCCGCCTTGCTGTTTTTCAGCATGCCAGGCGTGCTCCTGCCTCAGGCCTCTGCATTTGCCCTTGGCCCTGCCAGGCATGTCTTCCCCCAGGTAGCCACGTGGTCTCCCATCCTTCACTCAGGTATCTCCCCCTCATCCAGGGGACTTCCCTGGCTGCCTATCTAAATATTACCCCTTAGTTGCCTTCTGCTCTTTTACCTGCTTTATTTTTTTTCTTAGCCACTACCAAATAACATGTAATTATTGATTTTCTTTTTCCTGCAAAGGCATAAATCCCATGAGGTCTCCTGAGGTTCCCCACCCCCAAAAACAAACAAAAAAAGGACAGAAGAGAGAGAAAGAAAAAGAATGCCAGAAAAATTCTGGAAAAAAAAAAAGGCAACACTCACTGACTACTGTTAGATAACAATATTTAAAGCCTCAAAAATTAAAACAACTTGGGGCTTGATGGGGTGGCTCACGCCTGTAATCCCAGCACTTTCGGAGGCCAAGGCGAGTGGATCACTTGCGGTCAGGAGTTCAAGACCAGACTGGCCAACATGGTGAAACCCCATCTCTACTAAAAATACAAAAATTAAGAGCCGGGCATGGTGGCTCACGCCTGTAATCCCAGCACTTTGGGAGGCCGAGGCAGGCGGATCACCTGAGGTCAGGAGTTCGAGACCAGCCTGGCCAATGTGGTGAAACCCTGTCTCTACTAAAAATACAAAAATTACCTGGGTGTGGTGGTGCATGCCTATAGTCCCAGCTACTTGGTAGACGGAGGCAGAGAACTGCTTGAACCCGGGAGTTGGAGGTTGCAGTGACCCAAGATCATGCCACTGCACTCCAGCCTGGGCAACAGAGTGAGACTCCATCTTAAAAAAAAAAAAAATACAAAAATTAGCCAAATTAGCCTGGCCTGGTGGCAGGCGCCTATAGTCCCAGCTACTCAGGAGGTTGAGGCAGGAGAATCACTTGAACCCAGGAGGCAGAGGTTGCAGTGAGCCGAGATCATGCCACTGCACTCCAGCGTCCTAGACGATGAAAAGAGATTCCATCTCAAAAAAATAAAATAAGAATAAATAAATAATTAAGTCTGGGCATGCTGGCTCATGCCTGTAATCCCTGCACTTTGGGAGGCCGAGGCGAGTGGATCACTTGAGGTCAGGAGTTCGAGACAAGCCTGGCCAACATGGTGAAACCCCTTCTCTACTAAAAATATAAAAATTAGCCAGACGTGATGGTGGGTGCCTATAATCCTAGCCACTTGGGAGGCTGAGGCAGGAGGATTGCTTGAACCCAGGAGGCAGAGGTTGCAGTGAGCCGAGATCAAACCACTGCACTCCAGCCTGGGCGACAGAGCGAGACTCGGTCTCAAAACAAAACAAAACAAAAAATAATAATTAAAACCACTTGGTTTGGTTCAGGAAGAGACAAACAGACCAATGGACTAGAATAGAAAGTCCAGAAATAGACCTAATTGCACGCGAGAATTTAGTATTTGATAAAGGTGTCCTCTCAAAGTGGAAAATGGACTCTTTAATAAATGGTGTTGGGACACCTAGGTAGCCAACTAGGAAAAAAAAAATTAGATCCGTGCCTCACACTGAGCACCAGGATGAGCTCCCAAGGGATAAAATATTTAAATGTTTGAAAAATCAAAATAAAACCGTAAAGGCACTAGAGGAAAACATGGGAGAATGTATAATCTCATAGTGGAGAAAGTTTAACCATGACTCAAAAATCAAAAAGCTGTAAAAAGAAAAGATTGATAAAGTCAACTATATAAAAATCAAAAACTTCTGCATGGAAAAACACTATAAATCAACGCATAAGACAAATGACAATCTGGGGGAAATATTTACAACTCTAATCACAGACAAGGGAACATCTCGCTTATTTAGAAAGAATTCCAGGAAATTGATTAATCTTATAGAAATAGAGGCCTAGGCCGGGCGCGGTGGCTCACGCCTGTAATCCCAGCAATTTGGGAGGCCAAGGTGGGCAGATCACCTGAGGTCGGGAGTTCAAGACCAGCCTGACCAACATGGAGAAACCCCGTCTCTACTAAAAATACAAAAAAATTAGCTGGGCATGGTGGCGCCTGCCTGTAATCCGAGTTACTCAGGAGGCTGAGGCAGGAGAATCGCTTGAACCTGGGAGGCGGAGGTTGCAGTGAGCCGAGATCACGCCATTGCACTCCAGCCTGGGCAACAAGAGCGAAACTCCATCTCAAAAAAAAAGAAAAAAGAAAAAAAGAAAGAAATAGAGGCCTAGCATATGAACTGACGGTTCCCAGAAAAGTAAATATAAGTGATTCTTAAACACATAAAAAGAAGCTCAAACTCAAAAGAAATGCAAACCAGAAAAACTAGACTAGAATATTGCTACAGTTTGAACATTACGCCGCGAAAAGCAGGTGCTGGGAACTTAACCCCATACAACAGTGTTGGGAGGTTGGGCCTAAGGAGAGGTGTTTAGGTCATGAGGGTTTCACCCTCATGAATGGATTGGTGGTGCTGTTATAGCAGGAGTGGGATTATTATTCTGGGAACAGATTCATTATAAAAGGGCAAGTTCAGTTCCCTTTTCTTCTCTGTCACCCTCTCTTTGCTCTTCCACCATGGGATGACACAGCAAGAGGGCCCAAGCCAGATGTGGGCCCCATGATCCTGGAATTCCCAGCCTCCAAAACTGTGAGCCAATACACTTCTGTTTATGATTAATTATCCATTCTGTGGGATTTTATTATAGCAGCACAAAATGGACTAAGATACGATGTCTTATCAGTCTGGCCAAAAAAACCCCAAAAGCTGAATAACATATTCTGTGAGCATTTCTATGAGGAAATAGTACTACTCTCACACATGTTCTCACACATGACTCTCACATGTGTGAATATAAATTGGTAAAAGGGCATTTTGGCAAAATCTATCAAAATACCTTCAGATAACCTATTTCTGGGAATTCATCTTCGGATAGACTTGCATGAGTAATAAATGATGTATGTATAAAGTTATTCTCTGCAGCACTGTTTCCATAGCCAAAGACTGGAAACAACCCAACTGTCGATTAGTAAGGGGCTAGACTAGGTAGAGCACAGTCCATCCACAAAATGGAATACTATATGGCTACGAAAAAGAATCAGGGAGATCTGTGTGTTCTAGTAGGGAAAGCTTTATAAAGGATACTGAGGGCCGGGTGCAGTGGTTCATGCCTGTAATCCTAGCACTTTGGGAGGCTGAGGCAGGCGGATCACCTGAGGTCGGGAGTTTGAGACCAGCGTGACCAACAGGGAGAAACCCCATCTCTACTAAAAATACAAATTTAGCCAGGTGTAGTGGTGCATGCCTGTAATCCCAGCTACTCAGGAGGCTGAGGCAGAAGAATCGCTTGAACCCAGGAGGTGGAGGTTGCAGTGAGCCAAGGTTGCACCATTGCACTCCAGCCTGGGCAACAAGAGTGAAACTCCATCTCAAAATGAAATAAAATAAAGGATACTAAGTTTGGCCATGCACGGTGGCTCACACCTGAAATCCCAGCACTTTGGGAGGCCGAGGCGGGTGGATCACTTGAGGCCAGGAGTTCAAGACCAGGAGTTCAAGACCAGCCTGTCCAAAATGGTGAAACCCTTCTCTACTAAAAATACAAAAATTAGCCAGGTGTGGTGGTGTGCACGTCTGTAGTCCCAGCTACTTGGGAGAATTGCTTGAACCTGGGAGGCAGAGTTTGCAGTGAGCTGAGATCGTGCCACTGCACTCCAGCCTGGTGACAGAGCGAGACTACTTCTCAAAAATAAATAAATAAACAAATAAATAATAAATAAATAAATAAACCATATTACTCTCCTGCTCAGAAACCTTCCAGTGGTTTCCCATCACATTGATAATAAAACCAAATATCCTTCCTGTAGCGGAGAAGGCCCACCAGCGTGAGCACATCCTTGCTGAACAGCTCTCAGTTCATCTCCCCTCGCTCACTGTCTTCCAGCCACACCGGCCCCCAGGCAGACTCTCGCCTTGGGACCTTTGCACTCACAGTTCCCTCACTTTATTCAGGTCACTGCTAAATGTCACCTCTGCAAAGAGGCCTTCTTTCACCTAAAAAATACAAAAATAAAAAAAAATTCTTTTACACAGCCCTGACCCCTGATTGCCAAGACGTTCTAGCCCCTTCCTTTCTTTGCTTCTCTTCAAAGCGAGTCTCACCAGTGATGTCACACATCTGTTGATTGTCTCCTCCACTTCTAAGTTCCAAGAGGGGAGGGGACTGGAGCTGCCTTGTTCACAGCCCTCTCCTCAGGCCCTAGCACAGGGCCTGGCACATTCAGTAAATATTTGTTGAATGAATGGATGAAATGTGACACCAGATGTAAAGTGCTTAGCATGGTCCTGGCTCACAGCAGGGGTTTGATAAATGTGACTTCCTTCTCCTTCCCTGGGACACCTTCACACTCCTCTCACCCCTGCCCCTCCAGGAATACCTCCCATGTGACCACATGGGCTCCTTGTCTCAGGGTGCCCTCCCTCTCTTCTTTCCACGTGGCCTTTTCATTTGGCTGTTGACGGGCGGGGGGGATATGACATGACTTCTCCATTACACAATGGTTCCCCTGTGCAGGAACTATGGGAACCATGGTTCCTACTCACTCAGCCTCCCTCCTTTTCCAAGGCTCACCCTATGAAGCTGCCTACAGGGCCCACACGTATCATTTCCTGACTCTGATAAGGAATTCCCCCTCTGGTTTGTTCTGTTTCTCTGTCAGTTCCTTCTGCAGTCTAACCGAAATCATTCTTGCTGCAATAAAGAATGAGTTTCCTTTATTTCCCTAGGGCTTCTGAGAAAGCAGCTGGGCTAATTTTTTCCTGTAATATTTTGGTAGTTGTTAAGGGTTTGGAGGTGAACCCTCCCCACGGAGTCTGCAGTCTCAATTCTCAGGCAGAGCAACTCTTGTCAGCTGCTTGGCAGGAAAGGTTTCTCTTTATTCATCTTAGAGGATTTCAGCACACCCTGCAGGGCAGCCAGCTCCCCAGGACTGTGGCCCATCAGGTGGTTGGGAGCCAGGGACAAGATGGTGGACATGGTTGTGGGCATGACTGAACCCAGATGAGAGGTGAGGTTGGCACCTTAACCTTGACCACCTCACTCCCACCTCTCCCTTCTTAATTTATCCATCCATTTAGTCAGTCAGCTCAGAATAAGAATCAGAAGCACCAACTATGTGCTAGGCACCCAGCTCTTATCTTCTCTAAGTCTTGCTTTCTCTGTCTATAAAATGAGATAATAGTACTTACATGGTCATTGTGAAGATTAAATGAGCTCATGTATATAAAACCCTTAGCATATCCTTGGCTCATTAAAAATATTCAATAAACATGTTATTTTTTTTTTTCAAAGGAGTTGATTTAATTTCAGGTGATACAAAGTTTAGGGTAGAACAAGGACCAAAGAGCAGACTCTGGCAAGATTCTGAGCTGGTTTTACTTTTAAATTCACAGTTATGGTAGGAATGACTTAGTGAAAACAACTAAAGAGATGATGAGCCACTGTAAGATTTTTTTTTTTTTTTTACAAAAGTTTATTCTTAAATGTACAACAGCTCCAAGATAACACTTTATTCCAGCTATACGGGGCAAAAGATGTTATGGCAGGGAATAGAGAAGTTTAAATACGGATGAAATAAAGGGTCACCATCTCCTCAGGCACAAGGAACAGCTTGCTTTTCGCCAGATTTCTTAATTCCACCTGTGGCCAAGGGCCCCTTCCCCGCGGCCTTCGCTTTTAGCTCCTCGAGTTTCTTCTGCTCCTCTTTTTGTTTCTGCTTGAAAGCCTTGTCTTCCTCGTCCATCTCCTTGGCCTGCTTCTTGGGCTGTTTCGGTGGCTTCTTCTTGCCACCTTCGTGGCCGGACATGGCACCTGCCGCCCCTTCCGCAGACCCTGCCACCAGAAACCTAAACATGTTATTTTTCAATTCAACCAGCAAATACTGAGAGATGCCATCTCTGGGCCAGGCCCTCAAGAGTCCAGTGGGAAAGGCAGATCTGGAAACATATATTTATGAATAAAGTGCAGGCCAAGCTCACACCTGTAATCCTAATACATTGAGAGGCCAAGGTGGGAGGATTGCTTGAAGCCAGGAGTTCAAGGCCAGCCTGGGCAGCACAGCAAGACCCTGTCTGTACAAAAAAATTAAAAATTAGCCGCATATGGTTGTGCACAGCTGTAGTCTTAGCTACTCAGGAGACTGAGGCAGGAAGATCATCTGAACTCAGAGGTTTGAGGCTGCAGTGAGCTAGGATCATGCCATTACGCTCCAGCTTGGGCGACAGAGTAAGACCTTGTCTCTTAAAAAAAAAAAGTCCAAACAACAGAGTATTTGGGGGACAAGGTGGGGCTGGGAGCCCACCTGCCTGCTGCTCGGCTGGGTGACCTTAGGGAAGGCACACCCTCTTTAGTTCTGCCAGGGAGAATGCAGGAGTTGAGATGGGGACTCAGGCCTAAAAATAAGGCAGGGCAGGACTAAAGACTTGGAGTTGAGCCAGCTAGCCTGCTTTCCAATCTTGCCTCTGCTGAATTCTCCCGGTATGACCTTGGGCAAGCCTCCTGCCACTCTGAAACTCAGTTTCCTCCTCTGAATAGTGGGGTTGGGGATGATCTCATCAGGTGGCAGGGTGGCCGTGAGGATGCAGAAGAGGGCAGATGGCAAAGTCAAAGGTGCTATGCCCTGTGTGGGAGCCAGCCCTGGCCCACCTGAGGATGAGGAGGAAGTTCTCCCTGTGCAGCTCCAGGTACTCCTTGCTGCTATGGCTCCTCCCATGCCAGTGGCAGGAGTGATCCAAGAGGCTGAGGGTCAGGTCCTTGCTGTGTTCCATGAAGTCTGGCCTGGGGTTCCCTGGCACGCAGTGGTGTACCTAGGCTGAAGAGTTTCAGTTTCATGCAGAACACATCTTGGGGTGGGGGCACAGGGGCACCCAGCATATTACATCTGCTCCCACCCTGAGCCAGAGGGGCTGAGTGCCTGGTGTGGGGCCTTGGCCTGCTCATTGAGTCACTATATTCTTGGACTTCTCTGGACCTCAGTTTCCCCATTTGTAGAATCGGGATAATGGGCCGGGAGCAGTGGCTCACGCCTGTAATCCCAGCACTTTGGGAGGCTGAGGCAGGCAGATCACTTGAGGTCAGGAGCTTGAGACCAGCCTGGCCAACATGGTGAAACCCCATATCTACTAAAAATACAAAAATTACCTGGGTGTGGTGGCCGGCACCTGTAATCCCAGCTGCTCGGGAGGCTGAGGCAGGAGAATCACTTGAATCCGGGAGGTGGAGGTTGCAGTGAGCCAAGATTGTGCCCGCCACTGTACTCCATCCTGGGAGACAGAGTGAGACTCTGTCTTAAAAATACGTGTGTGTGTGTGTGTGTGTGTGTGTGTGTGTGTGTGTGTGTGTGTAGACAATGAAATTGACCGTACGGGAGAGTCTTTCAAAATTAACCTGGTGCTAGAGACCACCTTTCTCTAGCTTGTGGTCCACTCCATCCTGCCCTCCTCCTTCTCCCGGCCCTGGTGATGTTAAGCAAGGGGGTCTCTCCTTCGGACTGGGGGTTCCCGAAAACACAGCTTTATATCTTTCCTCAAACAGGGGGCAGGGCTATGTCTCTTCCGTGAGAGCTCCAAAGGTAGTATTGTCTAACAGTGACGGTGTACTTACATGTCAGGCACTTCACATGTGTCAGCCCAATTCATCACATCACATGGGTTTTTACTAATATACCCATATTACAGATGAGGAGACTGAGACTTAAAGAGTTTATGCAGCTTGTTCAAGGTCATCCAGACAGTAGATGGAGGAGTCAGGATTTGTCCAGAGGCCCATTTCAGGGTTATGGAGAGGAGGCAATGTTAGTCAATTCAGACAGACCCTGGGCCACGCCCCAGCTGTTTCACTCATGCACTAGCTGCGTAACCTTGGGAAAGCCTCTGAAATTCTCTGGCCTCAGTTTCTCTATCCATATAACAGAGTGATTCTACCACAGGGAGAGAATGTGTGTAAATGTCTAGACAGGATATGGCACACAGTAAGTGCTCAATAAGTGGTGTTTCCTTCTCCCTTCCTTCTTTTGCTCCTCTGGTAGGAACTCCAGGCCTGAGCATATGCCAAGCCAAACTGGCCTCCTGTCTCAGAGGGACAATTTTGTGTTCCCTCCTCTCATACTGATAAGGCTTAGGGGACCACTGAGAGCCCCCACTCCCAGATTGCCTTGACTCCCAGGGAGCTTGAGTCACCTGGCCGGTGAGGGGACAGTCTCCAGGCTGATGGGGACACAGCCCAATTCGGGGGGAGGTCCTGGCCCCACACCTGACACTGACTGAGGAACCACAGCATTGTGCCACCTCATTGCGCAGCTGGGGCGTGGCTGGGGCGTGTGGATACAGGAGGCACAGAGTTGGTGCTCTGGAAGGGAGCGTGTCAGGGGTTCTAGCCTATGTCAAGTTAGCCCCTGGGGCCACTCACTCTAGGGAAGGTGGAATGTGTTGTGGTGTGAACAGCAGCTGGTGAAGTTGGCATAGTTCCGCTGGTGCTTGTCAAAGCGAGAGCCCAGTAAGTAGCTAAAGCAGTGCCTGGTGTAATGGATAGGAATTGTCCCCTGGGGGGTTGATGTCACCCAGAACTGGCACTAATCTCTTCCCTCCATCACCCACTGACACCCTTTCTAGTATCAAGCACTCCTGGCCCCCAAGGTCCTCAGATCTCACAAGTTACGGGAGGTCCAGGAGCCACTGAGACAAAGCCCAACAGAGCGCCCATACTCAGGAAATTAACAAGCCTCCCATCAAAGCAGGAGAGATGGAAGTAGACTGCAAAGACACCCCTGGAAGCAGAAGGTTCTGTGCCCAGGAATGCTCCCTACTTCATCTGGGAGTCCCACTCTTGGGAGAGAGCTCCGGGGGAGGGAAGGGAGACTTCCCTGCAGGCAGAGGGATGGCCAGGTTGACCTGGTCCTTACCTGGAAGCCCCAAAGCTCAAGCAGGATGCTCTGCATTGGGTGCCCTGGGACTGGCTGCTCCTTAGTGCCACTGACTTGGAAATAAACAGCAGACATCCCCAAGGCCATGATCCCTGGTGTCACATTTTGGCACATGCAGAAGGACTGCTGTGGCGGAGCTGGAGGGCTCAGTCCTGACCTGCCCTGGTGGACAGGAGAAAGCAGAAGACTAGACTCCCAGGGACCCCCAGGATCCTTGACCTGCAGACTCAGGGCTGAAGGGGGCTCCCTGGGCAGCCTCCAAGGGCATACACCTTTCTCACTCACCTCTGAAATATACCAGCCTACCCTGGAAGATTCCAGCGTCTCACTGAAATACTCTAGGTCCTCTCCCACTCCCCATAATATGCCTGAAATAACCCAGCCTTTGTGAAACTCTTTAGCCCCCACTGTGCAATACTCTGATCGTCGCGGAAGTTCTCCAGCCCCTATGGCAAACCTCCACTCCACTCTTAAAGTCCAGCCTCAACTTGAAATTTTTGCTCCAACTTTAAATATTCCAATCCCCTTGAAATATTCCAGCACCCATTCGAATACTCTGCACTCCACTTTAATACCCCAGCCCTCACTCCCACCCCCAGTGAAAATCGCCATTCCATCACCTCCAGCCCCTCTATAATGCTCTGTCCTGCCCTGAGGGAAGGATGGACTCCACGGCCTCCCCAGAGTGCACTACGGTGGTCCTCACTCTGGTCCCTGCTTGTTCTCATGTCCTCGTAGGCCTCAGATGGCTCCTGGACGTCAGTGTAGGGATGCGTCAGCACTCCTGGTGGGAGGGGGCTGTGTGATGACCCCACTGGCTTCCTCACTGCACTCCAGGCAGGTAGAGTCCACCCACTCTAGAAACCCTCCTCCCACCCCCAGAATAAGAGTCTCACTGACCGTAAATATGGCAGCAGTCACTGAAAGTTGGGGGCACCCAGGCCCTGGGGGATGGCACACTCCTGACCTGCCAGGTTGACTTGTTGTGAGCCCCCTGGGGTGGGTCAGCCCCAAGAGGTAGTCCCACAGGCTCAGCCGCCGTACTTGGCCCAGGTTCCCCATCGTGCTGCACTAAGATACCTGTCCTGTGGCTCCATGGGTCTGCTAGGCCAAGGCCAAGCTGCCTCCAGCCAAGGAGCACAGTGACCCAGCACAGGCTCTGGGTCATCAGGGAGCAGAGTGGGGCCCCTGGGACAGGCCAGTTGGCCTGCCTGCCCTGCTTTGTGTTTGGCAAAGCACCACCCCCTGGGATACTCCCTTATGTGAGAGTGAGCGTAGGCAGAGCCTAGCAATCTGTCTATAAAGTGGCTGCATGGATGAGGGACATTATTATGGGTTCTACAGCTGAAGGGAACTGGGTTCCAAGCCCAACTCTGCTGTGTTACCTTAGGTAAGTCACTTTCCCTCTCTGAGCTACAGTGGCTTCACCTTTGAAGCAGAGATAATAACTGTACCCTTGTCTTGCCCCTTACCAGTTTGCTTCAAGGCTCAAGTAAGATATTGGTTATAGGATTTATCTGTCATTTGACAAATATGTATTGAGCACCTACTATGTGCCAGGCCTACTCTAGATCTAGACATGTGGTATTTAGTATCTCTCTCTGCATAAAGCAGCTTGTGATGATGAAGAGACTAGAATCTGGGGTGGTGATGGGAGAGATTCCAAAACTCCTCATCAGACCTCCCTCCCTGGCTCCTGACAGCTTTTTGTATACCCGCTATGTACAAGATACTTTCGAAGCCATCATTTCCTTTACTCCTCATCCTGATAATCAGATATTACTGTTCTAGTTTTATCGGTGTGGAAACTAAAGCCCAGAGTTGTTAAGACATTTGCCTAAGATCACACAGCCAGTAACTTGTGGGTCCTAAATTTGAGCCACGCTGCCTTTAGCAAGAATGGAGGTGAGAGTATCACCACAGCATGTCCACACTGTGGGGTGATAAGCTGGGTCTGTTCCTGGGGGGTCCTGGCAGGGGCCTCAGCCAGTATCGTCCCTGTCCCCTAGGAGTCCCCAATGCCATAGAGGACTAGAGGACCAGACTCCAAGAAAGACATTTGAAGGTTAAACAGGCTTCTTGGGGCATCTTGTCCCACCTTATCCTTGTACAAAAAAGGAAACAGGGGCCCAGAGAGAGGCAGACACTTGGTCAAGTTCGCACAACCTGTCAGAGGCCTTGCTTCTTATCCAGGCAGAGATGCCTGCCCGAAAAAGGCACATCGTGCCACAGGACCCCTGGTGGTGCAGAGAAGAAGTGCTCAGGGCTTAGAGAAGGGAGAAAATACCGCTCTCTCGGAGGCTAAGCCTGGGCAAAAAAGGGGACAGAGAGGCTGCCAGGTGGGAGGACCTTTGGGCAAAGGCTTGGTGGTGGGACTTGTGGTCGGGGTCACCATGCAGGTGCATTCCCTGCCTGTGCATGAGGTCAGTCCGTGTGAGTCCCCTCTGCATGCTCACCTTGGTACCTCCCGAGACCAGCTATTCTGCTGCTGAGCTATTCCCACGGCTGTAGTTCTTCCTGCTCCTGAGCTGAAATCCTCCCTGCTCGAGTCTCCACCCGCTGGTCAGAGTTCTGCTGTTTGGGTTCCCCAAAAATGAGTGTCATGTCTGGCACTAGAGCCACTGAGTGGGAGGCTGAATCAGAGATTTCACCTGTGGGCAACCTGTTTGTCCTTCAGAATCCTCTGAGACGTCATCCCTCTCCACTAGGCAAAGTTTTGTCCTTCCTTCATTCCTGTTTTCTCAGTCGGTCTTTATTAAGCACCTAGTGGGTGCCAGACGCTGCAAGATGCTGGTTGAACTATGCTAAGTTAAAGCGACGAAACCTAGTGGAGCCCAAAGTCAAGGAAGGAGAGAGAAAAACACATCAACTAATATGCACAATGATAGTTGGGTCTTTTTACCAAAGAAATCAACCAAGGTTTATGCATTACATTTGGTGGTGATGTCTCTTTGAAGTCCCTTATAATACAAAACAGTCACCCTCTACTACTGACTTTCTTATGGCAATATTTATTTATTTATTTATTTATTTATTTTTGAGACAGAGTCTTGCTCTGTCGCCCAGGCTGGAGTGCAGTGATTTCGGCTCACTGCAACATCCGCCTCCCGGGTTCAAGCGATTTTCCTGCCTCAGCCTCCCGAGTAGCTGGGATTACAGGTACCCGCCACCATGCCTGGCTAATCTTTTGTATTTTTAGTAGAGATGGGGTTTCACCATGTTGGCCAGGCTGGTCTCAAACTCCTGACCTCTGTGATCCACCTGCCTCCACCTCCCAAAGTGCTAGGATTACAGACATGAACCACCACACCCGGCCAAAAAAAAAGAATTATTCATAGTGATGGTATATACATACATAGGAAGCACGGTTATGGGGCGTCCACCAGATCTCTTCATTGAAAAAGAGTGATCCTCTTTGCAAATACCAAATCATCTGTGTGGGGCTCCTTTCACACTGTGAGAACATGGTCTTCTTTTTTTTTTTTTTTTTTTTTTTTTTTTTGAGACGGAGTCTCGCTCTGTGGCCCAGGCAGGAGTGCAGTGGCGCAATCTCGGCTCACTGCAAGCTCCGCCTCCAGGGTTCACGCCATTCTCCTGCCTCAGCCTCCCGAGTAGCTGGGACTACAGGCGCCCACCATCACGCCCGGCTAATTTTTTTTGTATTTTTAGTAGAGACGGGGTTTCACCGTGTTAGCCAGGATGGTCTCGATCTCCTGACCTCGTGATCCGCCCGCCTCGGCCTCCCAAAGTGCTGGGATTACAAGCGTGAGCCACCGCGCCCGGCCGAGAACATGGTCTTCTTTAAAACTTTTCACCTAGGGGTTTTAGCATCTGTGATGGATTGAATTTTGTCTTTCCCAAATTCATATGTTGGATTCCTAACCCCTAATGTGACTATACTTGGAGACGAGGCCTTTCTGGAAGTAATTAAGGTTAAATGAAATCATACGGGTAGGACCCCGATCTGATAGGGTTAGTGTCCTTATAAAAAGGGACACCAGGCTTGGCATGGTGTCTCACCCCTGTTATCCCAGCACTTTGGGAGGCAGGAGGTTCACTTGAGCCCAGGAGTTCCAGACCAGCCTGGGCAACATGCTGAGACTCTGTCTCTACAAAAAAATGAACAGTTAGCCGGGTGTAGTTGTACATTCCTATGGTTCTAGCTACTCGGGAGGCTGAGGTGGGAGGATCGCTATAGCCCAAGAGGTCAAGGCTGCAGTGAGCTGTGATCATATCACTGTACTCCAGCCTGGGTGACAGAGCGAGACACAGTCTTAAATTTAAAAAAATTAAGAGACATCAAAGAGCTTGCTCTCTCTCTGCCATGCGAGGACACAGTGAGAAGGTGGCCATTGCAAGTCAGGGAGACAGCCCTCACCAGGAACTGACCCTGCTGGACATCACTGATGATTCTTTATTTTTATTTATTTATTTATTTTTTGAGACAGAGTCTTGTTCTGTCACTCAGGCTGAAGTGCGGTGGCATGATCTTGGCTCACTGCAACCTTCACCTCCCGGGTTCAAGCAATTCTCCAGCCCCAACCTCCTGAGTAGCTGGGACTACAGGTGCATGCTACAACGTCCCACTAATTTTTGTATTTTTAGTAGAGACAGGGTTTTGCCACATTGGCCAGGCCGGTCTTGAACTCCTGACCTCAAGTGATCCGCCTGCCTTGGCCTCCCAAAGTGCTGGGACTACAGGTGGTGAGACACCACCATCAATCAACCATTGATGATTCCTTAAATCAGTGATGTAATTGGGATTACAAAATGGAGTTTTTCCTGGCTGGGCACGGTGGCTCATGCCTGCAATCCCAGCCCTTTGGGAGGCTGAGGCAGGTGGATCACTTGAGACCAGCAGTATGAGACTAACCTGGCCAACATGGTGAAACCCATCTCTACTAAAAATACAAAAATTAGCCAGGCATAGTGGCGGGCACCTGTAGTCCCAGCTACTTAGGAGGCTGAAGCATGAGAATCACTTAAACCTGGGGTTGGGGGAGGGGCGTGGAGGTTGCAGTTAGCTAAGATCGCACCACTGCGCTCCAGCCTGGGTGAAAGAGTGAGACTCCATCTCAAAAAATAAAAATAAAAATTTTTTAAATGGAGTTTTTCCAGTTCTCACATTCCCTCTATATTTATTAGTGGGCATTTTCTTTCTTTCTTTCTTTTTCTTATAGTTCTGGAGCCTGGGAAGTCCAAGATCAAGGTGCTGGCAAGGTAGGTTTTATTTTGAGGCCTCTTCTCTTGTCCTGTAGGCAGCCACCATCTTGCTGTGTGCTCACATCTAGCTGGCATTTTTCTTGTTTTCTTTTTCTTTATGAGACAGAGTTTTGTTCTTGTTGCCCAGGCTGGAGTGCAGTGGTACAATCTCGACTCACAGCAACCTCTGCCTTCCAGGTTCAAGTGATTCTCCTACCTCAGCCTCCTGAGTAGCTGGGATTATGGGCGCCCACCACCACACCTGGCTAATTTTTGTACTTTTAGTAGAGACGTGGTTTCGCCATGTTGGCCAGGCTGGTCTCGAACTCCTGACTTCTGGTTGATCTGCCCACCGCAACCTCCCAAAGTGCAGGGATTACAGGCATAAACCACCACGCCCGGTTTTTTTTTTTTTTTTTTGAGATGGAGTTTTGCTCTTGTTGCCCAGACTGGAGTGCAGTTCCTCAATCTCGGCTCACTGCAACCTCTGCCTCCCAGATTCAAGCAATTCTTCTGCCTCAGCCTCTGGAGTAGCTGGGATTACAGGCACCTGCCACCATTCCCGGCTAATTTTTTGTATTTTTAGTAGAGACAGGGTTTCACCATGTTGGCCAGGCTGATCTTGAACTCCTGACTTCAGGTGATCCACCCGCCTCAGCCTCCCAGAGTGCTGGGATTACAGGCATGAGCCACCACACCCAGCTTTAGCTGGCATTTTTCTACAAAGAGGATCTTCAACTAGAAATGAACCACAGTTTCTCCTTAAAAAGGCAGGATAAATGCTTAATTCTCTAAGGAAAGGGTTTTGTTTTTTCTTTTTAAACAAGAGATTCTAGAATGTGTTTGTATGCTAAGAGGATAACTCTGTGGAAGGAAAAGCTGGATGGTACGAGAGATGGAGTTACAGAGGTGTAACATCCCCAGAAGGTGAGAGGATTTAGAATTCAGGTGGGGAAGGAGGAGAAGGGGTAGGATGTTGGAAGACAAAAGAAAAAGTGTGAGCTGCTCATCTGGGCAGAGTGATAGGGCCTGCTTAGTGAGAAATGCACCAGAGGATTGCTGGGCCTGGTTAGTGTCCTATTGAGGCTGGGAGTTGCGACCCTGTCTGCATAGCAAGCAGTTTTCTCCTCCACATTTAGAAGGTAAGGGAGGTCGGGCGCAGTGGCTCACGCCTATAATCCCAACACTTTGGGAGGCCGAGGCAGGTGGATCACCTAAGGTTGGGACTTCGAGACCAGCCTGACCAACATGGAGAAACCCTGTCTCTACTAAAAATACAAAATTACTGCACTCCAGCCTGGGCGACAGAGTGAGACTCCATCTCAAAAAAAAAAAAAATACAAAATTAGGCAGGCGTGGTGGCGCATGCCTGTAATCCCAGCTACTCGGGAGGCTGAGGCAGGAGAATCGCTTGAATCTGGGAGGAGGAGATTGCGGTGAGCTGAGATCGTGCCATTGCACTCCAGCCTAGGCAACAAGAGCGAAACTCTGTCTCAAAAAAAAAAAAAAAAAAAAAAGAAGGTAATGGTTAGATTCCTGCAGGCCTGGGTTTTCCAGGCAGGTACACTGGAGGGAGAGGGAGGGAGAGGGAGGCCGGACAGTGCCAGGTCTTTGCAACGAATGACCATAAGGACTGACAGCAGAATCTAGGCTGGTTGAAAGCAGGAGTGAGAAGAGGAGGAGAGTGATGGCTAGCTGGGAAATGGATGAGAGAGGTCTCATTGGGCTTGCTGGGCTTTGATTTTTGATTTTGGTATCAGTTTTTAGAATTGTTTTATTTATTTATTTAGAGACAGGGTCTTGCTCTGTCACCCAGCCTAGAGTGCAGTGGTACAACCATGGCTCACTGCAGCCTCGAACTCCTGGGCTGCCCAGGCTGGTCTCGAACTCCTGGCTTCAAGTGATCCTCCTGTCTCAGCCTCCCAAAGTTCTGGGATTACAGGTGTGAGCCACCATACCTGACTTAGAATTGTTTTCAAGGAGCTTGTGAATACATGGGCTGAAAGGATAGGAAACTGTGGTCAGAGAGTTGAGGTTTAATTGAATGAATGAATGAATGAATGAATGATAGTGAACACTTATGTGGTATTTACTATGTGCCAAACACTCCTCTAACAGCTCACTGATTTCTCTCAAGACTTCTGTGAGGTGAGGTCTACTAAATTTCCATTTTACATATGAGGAAACTGAGGTACAGAAAGGTGAAATAACTTGGGCAGGGCGCGGTGGCCCACACCTATAATCCCAGCACTTTGGGAGGCCAAGGCAGGTGGATCAGTTGAGGTCAGGAGTTTGAGACCAGCCTGGCCAACAGAGCGAAACCCTGTCTCTACTAAAAATACAAAAATTAGCTGGGTGTGGTGGCTCACGCCTGTAATCCCAGACACTCAAGAGGCTGAGGCAGGAGAATCGCTTGAACCTGGGAGTTACAGTGAGCCAAGATCACATCACTGCACTCCAGCCTGGGAGACAGAGCAAGACTCTGTCTAAAAAAAAAAAAAAAAAAAAAAGGTGAAATAACTTGTCCAAGGTCAGAGTTGGTCTGCAAACCAGGCAGCCTGGGCCCAGAGTCTGTGTTCCTAATCAAGGTTATTCTGAAAGGATGAATGAGGGCATAGAATCCACTTTGCTCGTCCTAAGAAGTGCCAGCTGTCTCCTGACCTCAGATTGGGTCAGAGCCCTAATCTGGTTTAGAGAGGTCCAGAGACAAAAAACAATGAACACAGAAATATATAATTCCAGATTGTGATAGCCATAGAGGAGACAAACTGGATGCTGAGACCGAGAATAAGGAGACCTTCTTAGATGTGGCAGTCAGGGGAGGCTTCCCTGAGGAGACGGCACTTCAATTGAAGAATAAAAAGGAAGCAGTACTGTGAAGAGCAAGAAGAAGAGCATCCTAGGAAGAGGGAACACCATGTAAAAAGACTGTGAGACAAAAATTCAGTGTATTCTAGGAACTGAAAAAGATCCAAATGTGGGTAAAGGGAAAGATGGCTAAAGCTGGGACTGGAGAGGAGGCAGGGGCCAAGCACACAGGGCCTCAGAGGACAAGACAAAGCTGCTGGATTTTATTATTCTTTATTATTATGGTATCGTATGTATTGTATTTTTATTTTTCCAAGCAAAATGAAAGGTAAGGCACTGGGAGATTTTAAGCAAGGGACTAATGTGGCCCAACACATATTTTAAAAAGTAGAAGCAATTTTTTTTTTTGAGACGGAGTCTTGCTTTGTCGCCCAGGCTGAAGTCCAGTGCCGTGATCTCCGCTCACTGCAACCTCCGCCTCCTGGGTTCAAACGATTCTCCTGCCTCAGCCTCCTGAGTAGCTGGGATTACAGGCACCGGCACCACACCCAGCTAATTTTGGTATTTTTAGTAGAGGCGGGGCTTCACCAAATTGGCCAGGCTGGTCTCGATCTCCTGACCTCAAGTGATTCGCCCGCCTCAGCCTCCCAAAACAATGGGATTACAGGCGTCAGCCACCGAGCCCGGCCTGAGAAGCAATGTTGTCATTTTGTTCTTCCATTCATTTGCTTATTCAGTCATCAATTCTTGAATTTCTTCATTCATTCTTTCTTACCTTCCATTATTTAGTTTTTCACTGGGCTTTCCTTTGTTCATCTGTTAATTCCTTTGTCCTTTGGTTGATTCACGTGTTCCTATACACAGAAAGCCTGCTACTGTGTGCTGGGCCTTGTGTGGGTACTGGAGGCATCTACAAGAGCCAGACCCCTGCCCTTGAGGAAAACATATCCCACACACCCATCCCCCAGGAACCAGTGGTGCCCCAGGCAGAAGATGCTGAGGTTCTGCTGGGGGTGTGGAGTGGGTAGAGGCAGCAATCAGGGAAGGCCTCTAGAGCAGATGCTTGTGAGTCAGACCTTGAAGGATGACAGAGCGAGCATGATAGATTGGGGGGATCCCCCAAGAGCAGGGACCAGTCTCTCATCTCTGTGTTCCCTAAGGCTGGCACCTAAGACACAATTATAAACGTTTGCTTGTTTGCTAATTGAACATGTGGGCCGATGGCCAGGCAGGGAGCATTTGATGGCGGAGGTGATGCTGCCCGGCTAGGGTGAAGCCACTCTTCCAGAGACCCTGCACTGCCACTGGCTCCTCTGTCTTCCTCCTCATCCCTCCTCCCATTTCCTAAGAGAAAAGCATTCTTATCTCCATCCCACCACTCTGTTACCCCAGGCACATTGGGCCACACTTGAGCATGTGTACGCATGCACACACACATCCCCACATGCCCCTGCCCATACAAAGAAACACACTTGCCTGCACACCATGGCCTAGTTGTTGATTCCAAAAGCAAAGTCATCATGTCATTGCTTTCTCTCTCTCTCTCTCTCTCACACACACACACACACACACACACTTCTGTGTTTACGCACACTCTCCCTGCCTCTCACCACATCCCAACAGACACATCCTTCTCCACCAAACAGCCCTCCCCACCACACCTCTTCCTCTCCTGGACAGGAGGGATATTCCGGGTTCTTGCTTTAAGGCTGAAGTAACAGTGGTGGGAGTGGGGACTGAACCCCAGATTGAGGAGGGGTCAGGGATCCCTATCAGACAGAGAGACTGGAACTGATAGAGGATGCTACCGTTTCTCTTTTTGTTTTTAAAAATCTTTTTCCACATGTTCTAAGATACTCAGTTTTTCTTCCTTTTTTTTTTTTTTTTTTTTTTTCTTGAGACGGAGTCTCGCTCTGTCGCCCAGGCTGGAGTGCAGTGGCGCCATCTCGGCTCACTGCAAGCTCCGCCTCCCGGGTTCACACCATTCTCCTGCCTCAGCCTCCTGAGTAGCTGAGACTACAGGCGCCCGCCACCACGCCCGGCTAATTTTTTGATTTTTAGTAGAGATGGGCTTTCACTGTGTTAGCCAGGACGGTCTTGATCTCCTAACATCGTGATCCACCCGCCTCGGCCTCCCAAAGTGCTGGGATTACAGGCGTGAGCCGCTGCACCCGGCCTTTTCTTTCTTTTTTTTAAAAAAAGTCATTTTCTGCAACAAAACCCACATTCTTTTTTTGTGTTTTTTTTTTTTAAGGCAGGGTCTTGCTCTGTCACCCAAGGTAGAGTGCAGTAGCTCAATCACAGCTCACTGCAGCCTCGACCTGCCTGACTCGAGGGATCCTTCCACCTCTGCCTCTGCAGTAGCTGGGACCACAGGTGCACACCACCACACCGAGCTAACTTAAGAAAAATTTTTTTTGGTAGAGATGGTGTCTCCCTATGCTGCCTAGGCTGGTCTGGAATTCCTGGGCTCAAGCAATCCTCCCACCCAACCTCCCAAAGTGCTGGGATTACAGGCTGAGCCACTGCCCCCAGCCAGTTACTCAGTTTTTCTAAAACTTGGGTGCCTGGGGGAGGCTGACACCCTTCCCACTCCTCTGAAAGGCAGTTTCCTAAGGGAAGGGTCTTCTGCTGCTCACCACCCTTAACAGCCCTGTGTCCCCAGTGCTCAGCCCCTGAGGAAGGGAAGGCGTGCTGACAGGGTCCATGTGATCCATGTCCAGTGGCTCTGGTGACAGCAGTCTGAAGTCAACTGGCTGTGAGAACTCGAGTAAGGCCAGTCCCGATCTGGTCCTCAGTGATGGAGAAAAGCCCCTCTTAACCTCCAATTCAATGATCCTAAAAGAGCAGGTGCTTCGGGGGTGCTGAAACTGCGCTTTTGGAGGGGGCTTTTGGGAAGGCCGGGCTGGGGACTCAGGTCTGGAGGGTGACAGAGCCGACCTCCCGTAAACCAGGGAGGAGGAAGGTGGGGGCGGGTGGGCCTAGGATCTGGGGGCGCCTCCTCGCTGCGGGGAGCTGGCTTGGGGCTAGGGCGTGACTGTCTCCCTGCCACCATCACCGCCCGCCGGCCGTGACTGCAATAAGAGAAGTCCGAGGCGGCTTCCTCCTCCCTGCCCAGCAGGGGCGGCGGTCAGAGGCGGGCAGCACCCCAGTTCTCCCCGCACGCCGGCACTCGCGGCTGCTGGAGCCCCGGCTGGCTCACCCCGGGGCCGGGCAGAATTGGGCTCCAGGTAAGCGACAGCGTCGGGTGGGGACTGGGCAGGTCAAGCAGTGCCCTCCCCCTCGAGGCTCTGGAGAGAGGACTGGGGGTACACGGGAAGAGAAGCCTGAACCTGGGGGTCGGGGGACACATGAGCAAGGTGACAGCCAAAGGGACCCCAGCCCGAAAAGGCCTAAGGAGGAAAACGGGCGACCTGAAAAGCAAGGCTGATAAACCTGGAGGAGAGGGCGGAGGGGAGCACGGGGGAAGCCGACCAAAGGGACCCCCAAAAAGGTCTAGTGGGTAAAATGGAGGGGACTGATAAGAGTTTAGGAAGGGGGCTGAGGTGGGGGAGAAGGATTAAGGGGAATCCCCAGGACGGTCTGGGGGAGAAACTGAAGGGATCGTGAGAGTGGGACTTTGGGGAGAAGCCGACGGGTCTGATGGGTCCAGGAGAGGGGAAATGGGTGGGGGTGCTGGAGGGAACAGGAGAGGGAGCTGGCGGGAAGGGGGTTGAGGAGAACGACTTCTGGAGGACGGAGAACCTGGGGTGCAATTGCGGGTCCAGGAAGTTCCCCTCTTCCGAGCCGGCCGAAGTCGGGGTGAAGCCCACAGCCCGCAGGGTAACGTTAGCGGCCGCGACCGCGGCCCCGCGACCCTCTCGGCCCGCCCTTGCGGTAGGTTCCGGGCTGCAGGGGACTCCTGCCGGGCGCGCGAGGCGTGGGTCCCCGCTTCCTGGGGAAGTCCCCGCCCTCGGCAGGGACAGGCCTCTCCGGGCGCCCCCTCCGCGCCCGCGGCGGTCTCGGCCCGCGCTCCCCGCTGGATCCGGGAATTGCTGCCGCCCCGACGGAAATCCTGCCTTTGACCGCGAGTGCCCGCAGGGGCTGCCTCCAAGGCAACGAGAGGGCGGGCCGCGCTGGGCCGCCGCGGGGCTCCGGGTGGGCGCAGCCCCCTTTGCTCTCCGCCTTCGCCCCCTTTTGGAATCCTCGGTCTGGTGGGTGGGGGGTGGGCTTCCCGACCGAGGTAGGAGGCGATGCCGCTGTGTTCAGGGATCCTGGGGTGGAGGATCTGCTGTTTGAGAGACCTGGGTTCTTAGCAAGACTGGGCCCTTAATTGCTGTGTGACTGTGGGCAAGTTACAGGGCTTCTCTGGGCCTCACTTTCCTCATCTGAACTATGGTGAGAAATGATCCTTGTGTCCACTCTTCCCCCACGAGAATCAGGTGCAGAAAGCAGTTTTTGCTGAGTGTCCTGAAGGGTTAAGGGCTATCCCTGACTCAGCGAGCCTCCCCTTCACCTTCTCAAAAACATGCAGAGGAGGCCAGCCTGGGCAGCACAGGGAGACCCCCGTCCTGTCTCTACAAAAAAATATAGTTAGCCAGAAGGCTGGAAGTGGTGGCACCTGCTGTAGTCCCAGCTACTCCAGAGGCTGAGGCCGGAGGATCGCTGGAGCCCACGAGTTCAAGGCTGCAGTGAGAGCTCCTGGATGAGAGAGTGAGATTTTGTCTGTAAACAACAACAACAACAAAAAGCATGGAGGGGGACCAGACTGCCCGGCTCTCACTGACAGGGCCTCCAGGGACCAGCACACAGTTGGCGTCTAAATAGTTTATGGCTCTGATGAGAGCCCATACTGGGGAGGTCAGCAGAGTTAAAATCTGTCTCACACCCTCTCTGGTGCTGCATCCAGTTGGCCGCCCCTCGGGTGTGTACTCTCAGGGGCCCTGATGTCCTTGGCATCCTTCCGACTGTGGTGATGATGGGAGAGCAGGACCCTGTTCCCACTTCACAGATGGGAAGATGGAGGTTTGGGAGTTGGCAACCTGCAGGGCCAACAGTAGGGACCAGAATTCCAGGACATCTCGTCTCTGATGTAGCCTGAGCTGAGGCCTGAATCCTTACCTCATCCCTACCAAGTTTCATGTACCCTCCGGGGAGGAGGGTGTGGGGTTTAGGGGCTTCATGACTACTTCCTGTTCCAGTGAGTAGGTGCTCTCACACCCTCCTCCAGTGAGGGTGTGAGTGTTTGTATGTTTTGGGCTCTGAGTGAATGAGCATGAACCCTTGAGCATATGAGTGGATGTTTGGGTGATCTCTGCAGCCACCTGGGGCTGATGTGGCAAAGGAAGTGGCCAGACCTCAGGAGGCTGGGTAGGGAACCCCAGAGCTGGGGAAGTAGGGGCCAGGGCTCTTCCCACGCAGAGCAGACTGGGCTGACCTAAGGTGGGAAAAGGCAGGATGTCCCCCTCACCGCCCCACTCCCCTGAGGGACCAGGGAGGGGGCTTCCTGTCTGGCCACACTGTGAAATCTAGACTCCCATCCCTTGGCTGCCCCTGGACCCCCGCCCCCCGCCGCCATGGCTTCCATCTCCTGAAAATCCTGAGTCCCAGGCCAGATGGCATCTAAAGAGCTGTGTTTTAGAGGCTGGTGGGTGGTTTTCAGCAACAGGTGGAAAACCACTTTTACCCACAAGAAGTGGAAAAAACTGCTAATGGCCTCGGGACCACATGGAGGGTAAAGGCCACCCCCGATCCTGCACACACCTGGCCTCACCACGGTGGTGGTGGAGTCAGACAGGGTTGGGTGGGTATGTCTTCTTCAGGAGGCAGTTTCGAGGCCTCAAGAAAGGATGGTGTGAGATGAAAGGGGGTTAATGAAGGCAGGGCACGGTGGCTCACGCCTGTAATCCCAGCACTTTAGGAGGCCGAGGTGGGTGGATCACCTGAGGTCAGAAGTTCAAGAACAGCCTGGCCAACATGACTAAACCCCATCTCTACTAAAAATACAAAAATTTAGCTGGGCATGGTGGCAGACGCCTGTAATCCCAGCTACTCAGGAGGCTGAGGCAGGAGAATTGCTTGAACCCGGGAGGCAGAGGTTGCAGTGAGCCGAGATCGAACCATCGCATTCCAGCCTTGGCGACAGAATGAGACACTGTTTCAAAAAAAAAAAAAAGAAGAAGAAGAAGAAGAAGAACAAAGAAAGAAAGAAAGGGAGTTAATGAGCAGTGGGGGCCTCAGCAAAGGCACTGGCATTCAGCCAGGTGGAGGGTCTCGGTGAGAGGACTGAGGGTGAGGGATGGAAGCCCGCCCGGTCTGAGGGATAGGGCCTAGTGAGAGATGCGGCACAGTGGGATGGGAGTCACCTGCAGACCTCAGCCTTGCTCCCTGACCCTCCAGCCCTGGCCTGCCCCCGGCCAGCCCAGAGCCTGGAGGAGAAGCCGGAACTCTTGCAGGATGGTGGTTTCCTGCCCCTGCCCAAAGTCCCGGTTCCCTTTTGATGAAATCCCCCAGGCGGCTGGGCCAGCTCAGCCCTCTCACCTCACCCTGGGAACTTCTCTTTCTTCTCAGCCCTGCCCAGTTCTGTACCCTCTGGTCCCACACCGTCACTGCCACGGAGGACCTTCCTCAAGGGAAAGGAGGGAAGTGAAAGTTCACTGGGCACTTACTGTATGTCTGATGCTTTCAGTGATGTGACCCCATTTGATGCTGAGAAGCAACCCCAGGAGGTGGACATTTGTATTCTTATTTTATAGGCAAAGATGCTGCCGCTCAGGGAGATGAACTGACTTGCCCAATGCCTTAAGCTAGTTGTCAGGCAGGCTAGAATTTGAGCCTAAATCTGCCTCTAGATCCCACAGATACTTGGTGAGGGTTGCGGGGGCAGGACATCCTGTGTCTACATCAAAGAACTGGCATAGCTTTGGGAAGTGTGGGCCTCGAAAAAGGATGGGTGGACCTGGGGTTCCTATGTCCAGCAGTAGGGGTGAGTGGGAGGCAGGGTCCCTCCCTGCTGGGTGACCAGCTGCCATATGACAGGGGTGGTGTGTTCGACCGGAAGTATGACATTCACTAGTTAGGAACAGCATGATCTCCTGCTCAGGCTTTGGAGAACACAGCAGTGGGGGAGGGAACAGAACTCTGGACTTGAATTAATAGTCCTGACTTTGAATCCCTTGTCTGGCTGTGTGATCCTGGGAAAGTAACTTCCCCCTATGCAAAAGAGAAGGTGGAGTGGTAAATGGTCCCTGGGGGCCATTCTGGTTTTGGTTATTGGTCACACTTGGCCACTGCACATCGGGCAAGAGCCACATGTCATGAAGCCCTCACAACAACTACTCAGAAGGTGCAGATGCAACAACTAAGGCTCAGAGGCTTATGTCAAAGATCCAAGGTCATAGAGCTACTGAAGAATGGAGCTGGGGAGGGCCACAGGGCAGATGTTGAAGTGAGGAGCACTGCGGTCCAGGGTTGGACCTCAGTTTGATACTTGTAACCTGATTTTGACCCTGATGGGGATCTCGGAGGCGACTCCTGTAAACCAGATGTTCAAGAGACATATTTATAAACAGAACCAAGTGCCCAGAATGATGCTGTGGCTACTCTCTGAGCTGCCCCCTTTCTGGTATTAGCAGGCAGCGAAGTTCAGTGCTGAGAAAAGAGAGACCTGGCTTCTTCAGATTCAGCGACTGCCTGAGAAAATCTGGGCAGATATGGCTCTCTCTCTCTCTCTCCTGCGCCCCTCCCTCCCCCCACCTGCGCCCTGCCTGCTGTATCAAGGATTTAGAGCATGAGGCACAGGGCTGAGAACACTAGGTGCTCCTTAAGAGACACACGTTATTGCAGGGGTGTCCAATCTTTTGGCTTCCCTGGGCCGCATTGGAAGAAGAAAAATTGTCTTGAGCCACACATAAAATACACTAACACTAATGATAGCTGATGAGCTTTAAAAAATTGCAAAAAAGGCCGGGTGCAGTGGCTCATGCCTGTAATCCCAGCACTTTGGGAGGCCGAGGCGGGCAGATCACGAGGTCAGGAGATCGAGACCATCCGGGCTAACACGGTGAAACCCCGTCTCTACTCAAAATACAAAAAATTAGCCAGGCGTGTTGGCAGCGCGCCTGTAGTCCCAGCTACTCAGGAGGCTGAGGCAGAAGAATCACTTGAACCCAGGAGGCGGAGGTTGCAGTGAGCCAAGATTGTGCCACTTTACTCCAGCCTGGGCAACAGAGTGAGACCCCGTCTCAAAAAAAATCACAAAAAAAATCTCATAATGTTTTCAGAAAGTTTACTAATATGTGTTGGGCCACATTCAAAGCTGTCCTGGGCTGCATATGGCCCATGGACCATGGGATGGACAAGCTTGCATTATTGCTTCTACTAGGATTACAGAATGGACTAGTGGTTACAGTGGTTTTTGGCAACAAGTTGATCAGCATTGCATTTTAGCATCCTTTACTCACAATGTAATCTTGGGCAAGTTACTTAACATCTCTGTGCCTCAGTTTCTTCATCTGTAAAATAAGGGTAGTCATAAACCCACCTCATAGGTTCACCAAATAAGACCATGACTGGGAGTTACTTGGCAAGATGCTAGTCACTGTGTAACTGTTTAATAAATTAGCTCATTTTTACTGCCACCTGGATTTCTAGGAAGTCAAATTACTCTCCAAAGAATTGGTGGCACATAGAGATCAGAGCAAGAGGAGGATGAAGAGTCCTAGGGCTATTTTCATGCAGATGTCTGAGCAGAGTGAACCCAATCTGCTCTCCCTCCGTCTTTTTCCCTCCTTGTCTCTTTAGCTCTCTCTCTCTCTTTCTCTTCATCTCTGCCTCTCTCTGTTTCTATCTCTTTCTGTCTCTTGATTACTCTTTCTCCTTAATTCTCATTTCTGCCTCTGTCTCTTTGTCTCTGTTTCTTTCTGGCAGTGTGTGCTGGAGCCAGCTACTTACTGGCTCAGGGGAGTTCATTCTGTGTGTCTCTTCCACCCCAGCTTTCAGGAAGTCACTTTGGTAGCTTTAAATCAGCCATTGTGGGAATATTTACACCATGGAAATCAGAAAATGTGACAAATCAGGGCTTTTTCTTTTCTTTTCTTTTCTTTTTTTGAGAGTCAGTTTACCAGCATACCACGCTGTGTTTCTCTGTCTCTGTCTCTTCCTTCTATCTCTCTGTCTTTCTGTCTCTCTGGCTCTTTCTCTTTATCTCCCTGTATCTCTCAAACTCTGCCTCTCTCTCTCTTTCTTTCTGCCTCTCCTTTTTCTGTCTTTCCCCATCTCTTTCTTTCCTCTGACAAAACAGCATGAACATGGCTACATGCAGTGTGGCCCCTCCCTGCCTTGGGCCATGCAGATGTCATACCCTGTGCCCTACATCCCCTGACGCCTCAGCATACTGGTCCCCAGAGAGCCAGGCCTGGCCAGGGCTTTGGTCTGCATCAAGTTTGGAAGTGATAAGACCCAAGAGCTGCCTACCTCTGCCTGCTGACGACACGGTCAGTCCTGCCAGGGCTCTTCCTGAGCCCACAGAGCTTCCTTCTCAGATGCTGATAGTCTCTCCCTTCCAGCCATACTGGGCATGCAGAATTCAGGGATCCCCTCCATCTGATATAGATATGTTGTGGCAATATATACGTGGGTATTATTGGAAGTGGCAATATTGTATCTGTGTGTGAACATGAGAGATTGTATAAGTCTATGTTCTCCTATAGAGGAGAGCTCTATGTGGGTCCATGTCACCGGAGAGGGCTGTGTATATCTGTGTGTGTGTGTGTGTGTGTGTGTGTGTGTGTGTGTGTGTATCCCTACATGGGGGGTGGGGGGACAGTGTGGGGGCATCCGCATTTGTGCATGCTAGCAGGAATGGCTGCATCTGTCTGTATCTGTGATAGGCAATGGAGAGAAATGCTTGAAAGCTCAGATTCTGGAGCCAAACACCAGGATACATCATGTCTGTGGCCTTCTTTTTTGAGACAGAGTTTCACTATGCTGCCCAGGCTGGAGTACAGTGGCATGATCATAGCTCACTGCAGCCTCTATCTCCTGGTCTTGAGTGGTCCTCCTGCCTCAGCCTCTCGAGGCACGTGCCACCATGCCAAGCTAATTTTTGGAGTTTTTTTGGTTTTTTTTTGTTTTTTTTTTTTTTGAGACAGAGCTTCACTGTCACTCAGGCTGGAGTGCAGTGACAGGCGTAAGCCACCGTGCCTGGCCAATTTTTGTATTTTTTGTAGAGATGGGATTTGCCATATTGCCCAGGTTGGTCTCGAATTCCTGGACCCAAGCAATCCTCTTGCCTTGGCTTCCCAAAGTTCTGGGATTACAGATATGAGCCACTGTGACTGGCCAACCCTGGGCAGGTTTCCAAACCTCTCTGTGCTTCAGTTGCCTCATCAGTAATAATAATACTTAGGCCAGGTGCAGTGGCTCACCCCTGTAATCCCAACACTTTGGGAGGCCAAGGCAGGTGGATCACTTGAGGTCAGGAATTCAAGACCAGCCTGGCCAACATAGTGAAAACCCATCGCTACTAAAAATACAGAAATTAGCCTGGCATGGTGTTGGGTGCCTGTAATCCCAGCTACTCAGGAGGCTGAGGCAAGAGAATGGCTTGAACCCAGGAGGCGGAGGTTGCAGTGAGCTGAGATCATGCCATTGCACTCCAGCCTGGGTGACAAGAGTGAAACTCCCTCTCAAAATAAATAAATTAATAATAATAATACTACTTAAATCATAGGGTTGTGTGGATAAAATGAGATAATATAGGTAAAGTGCTTAATGCAGTGGCCAGCGCATATAGTAAGCGCTATAAATTTTGTATTTGCTATTCTTTTATAGAGGATGTGTGTGTGTGTGTGTGTGTGTGTGTGTGTTCATGTGCATGCACATCTATGTGCAGACGGATGAGGGCTGGAGGTGTGTGTATATGGGGTGTGTGTACACTAGAAGATGTTTGTGCTAGGAATCTGTGCAGAGGAGCCTGGAGCCTGTGCATGAGGCAGCTGAGGTAATGTGCCAACTGAGAAGGGGTCTGAAGGGCTGTGTGGATCTGGGTATCAGCATGGTGCGCCATTTGAGGTGTGTATGTGTGTCTTCCTGTGAGAAGGCTTTATTCTCACCCTTGGTTTTTCTGTTTTCTTTTTAAAATAGAGACAGGGTCTTACTCTGTCTCCCAGGCTGGAGTGCAGCGGTGCAATCACAGCTCCTGCAGCCTCGAACTCCCAGGCTTAAGCAATCCTCCCACCTCAGCCTCCCGAGTAGCTGGGACTACAGGTGGGTGCCATCAGGACTGGCTAATTAAAAAAAGATTTTTTTTTATAGAGACGGGGTGTCCCTATGTTGCTCAGGCTGGTCTCAAGCTCCTGGGCTCAAGCAATCATCCTGCCTCGGCCTACCAAAGTCCTGGGATAGCAGGTGTGAACCACTGTGCCCGGCCTCACCCTTGTTTTTGTATCAGCCCCATCTCTCTTTTCACCAGTTCCTGAAATCCCTCCCGCTGGGCCCTGGATGGCTTCCAGTCCTCCACCTCTATTTTCTGCCCTGGCTCTAACTAGCCCTGTAGCATCCTGGGGCGTTTTAGACACAGTGGTTTCATCCCAGGGAGGGGTCCCGGGGCAAAGGTCTCAGGCAGGGCCCAGTGAACAGGGGCTATTTTAGGGCAGGCTTCTCACCACAGCCCGCCCCACAGTTCACCACATGGGTGTGATGCCCCCACCCCCACCCAATACACACATGAGAGATCACTTAGAGCAAAGGGTGAGAGGGGCAGGTGGGGCTAGGGTGGAGACCAAAGCACTGATGTGACGGAACCATCAGCCAGGCAACTGGACCTGGTGGATCCAGGAAGACTTTCTGGAAGAGGTGAGTGGTGCTAGGTAGAAAGGATAGGACCCAGAGAGAAGAGGAAGAGAATATCTGTAAGGATGACTGGACTGGGGATCGAGAGAGAGAAGCTGGGGGCCCTTTCTTCTAGGACCTTGGGGCCCCTCTGGGGCAAATCAGGGTTCACAAGGTTGGCCCCACCCTAAACTCTCCATTCTCACATCTTAGGAAACCAAGCCCTCTCACCAGTCGGTTCCTCTCTGAGTGTTGCAATGGCAATGTTTCTGGCAGGGTGTGGGGGACCCTTGCTCAATGACCTCCTGCCCTGTTGCTCAGAGGATACCGCTGCCAGAAAAGGGTTGGCTCATTGTGGGGCTTCCCAAGGTACTCTGGTAGCCCCAGCTTCTGACCTGGTCCTTTCTCTGGTATGGGGATAGGAGGAGAGCTCCGGAGGTAGGTATCCACTCTCACTCAGCCACCACATGGAACCCTAGGGTGGCTGGGAGCACAGCAGGGTTCAGAGGAAGGACTGTTTTTTGTTTGTTTGTTTGTTTGTTTTTGAGATGGAGTCTTGCTCTGTCACCCGGGCTGGAGTGCAGTGGTGCGATCTCGGCTCACTGCAAGCTCCACCTCCCAGGTTCAAGTGATTCTGCTGCCTCGGCCTCCCAAGTAGCTGGGACTACAGGCGCCCACCTCCACGTCTGGCTAATTTTTGTATTTTTAGTAGAGACGGGGTTTCACCATATTGGCCAGGCT
Source organism: Homo sapiens (assembly GCF_000001405.40). NCBI lineage: Eukaryota > Metazoa > Chordata > Mammalia > Primates > Hominidae > Homo > Homo sapiens. Next base: position 27,625,742 of record NC_000001.11, on the reverse strand, counting down.
GGTCTCGAACTCCTGACCTTGTGATCCACTCACCTCGGTCTCCCAAAGTGCTGGGATTATAGGCGTGAGCCACTGCGCCTGGCCGGAAGAACTGGTTTTTAGGAGATGGTGACTGGGGACTGTGAGGGAGCTGAGCATGGCTTGATAGAAATCCTGTTAGAGAGATGATTATAATGTTCAAAATCATGTGTGTCTGAGTGTGTTCGTCTGTTAACCTGGCAGGCACCCCATGTATATGTGCATGTGTATGTGTGTGTGCTATTGTGAGCTTGGGCTTGTTAGAGCCTGTATTGGCGTGTGATGGGGTTGGCACGCACACTCATGCAAATATATGCTGTGAGTGTTATTGTGTGACTGTGCTGGTGGGTCAGGTGAGTATGAGTGTGAAAGAGAGCTGGTGTGGGTGGTTTGCCCTATGTGACGGGGGTTGTGTAAGTGTGCCAGGGGTGATAGGAAGGAAAGTGAAGGCAGAAGTCATGCTGGGGCAGAGCCCAGGCCTTCTGGCTTCCTGAAGAGGGCAGGAGCTGGGCAGCTGCTGACAGAAACATTGGCAGAGACTTCATCTTCCTTGTCCTTCTGTCTCACCCTCAGGTCTCTGACCCCTCCCAAGGATCATGCCGCAGCCCCACTGACCCAGGAGTAGGGGCCTAAGGGGTGAGTGGGGTAGACTGAGGGCTTTCAGGGTCAGGAAACAGGGTGGGGGTGGCCTTCCTGAACCCCACAACTCCTCACAGCCTCCTCCTCCTACAAGGACCCTGTTGCTAGGTAACGGATGGGGGAGCCAGAATGAGGCAGCTTGAGAGGCTGAAGGCTGGACCCACGACAGGAAATGGCCTTGATCCCCCTCTGCAGTGACTCTCCAGGTGCAGACACACAGCCTCACACACACTCACACACAAACATGCGCAGATATATAGACATACATGCAGAGATACACACATCCAGAGACAGGCACACTGCTCCCACACAGAGATAGGTGCACATTCATAGACACACAGACACAGAGACACCCACTCACACAGACAGGCACACACATACTCACACAGAAACACATGCACACAAACACGGTCTTACAGACATATACACATGCAGCCAAACACATACACAGAGACTTTTATACACTCTCGTATACACACAAACCTGCACACACAGACAGACATCCACAAAGAGCTGCACACACATGCATACCCACACAGGCAAACTCACCCATACTTAGAGACACACAAAGACGCACATGTACAAGCACACTGAAAGAGTCACAGAAACACAACATATCAAAGCAATAGGACCCAACCTGAGCAATATAGCAAGACCTTGTCTCTACTAAAAATCAAACAAATTAGCCAGGGGTACTGGCACGCACCTGTATAGTCCCAGTTCTTGGGAGGCTGAGACCAGAGGATCACTTGAGCCCAGGAGATCAAGGCTGCAGCAAGCTATGATTGTGCCACTGCACTCCAGCCTGGGCAACAGAGTGAGATCTTGTCTCAAAACAAAACAAAAAAAGCAAAGCAATAGGAGGCAAAAATATGCAAATAAGCATAGCAATATCCCAATGTAGAAAGCCAGCCCCAGAGATATAGACATGAGCCAATGGGAAGAGAAGCACTGAGGGGGGACATACTGTGAGGCAGACTGAACGGTACAGTAGGTGGCCCAGTTCCGCCTTTATCCCTTACAGGGAGGACCCCAATCTAGGCCCAAGAGGGAAAGCCACGTGCCTGTATGAGCGTATGAGCATGTGCATGCGCGTGTGTGCACAGGGTGGTGCACCTGGCAGGGGTCCTTGAGTGAGGCATGCCCCATTCTGTAGCAGGGAACCTGGAATGGGCTGTGTGTTCTGCAAGAAATTGGAGCCGGTGGCCACGGCCAAGGAGGATGCTGGCCTGGAAGGGGACTTCAGAAGCTACGGGGCAGCAGACCACTATGGGCCTGACCCCACTAAGGCCCGGCCTGCATCCTCATTTGCCCACATCCCCAACTACAGCAACTTCTCCTCTCAGGCCATCAACCCTGGCTTCCTTGATAGTGGCACCATCAGGGGTGTGTCAGGTGAGTCCAAGGGGTCGGAGGCAGGAGCTGCCTGGATCCTGGGAGAAACTGAGGGAAGAAGAAGAGATGCGAACTTGCCCTTAGGAGCCTCCAGGAGGATGTGGCAGATACAACCCCGCTTTCAAGATCACATGGGCTGAGGGAGTCTGTACAGCCCTCCCATCAGAAACCACAGTCTGCAGGGGAGGGTCAAGAAGCTCTACTCCCAGTCTGAGAGGGGCAGGATCCTGTGACAGATGCAAGTGACAAAGAGAAACTTCTTGCCCTTTTAGGTGCCACTTCCCAGATGGGAAGTCTTCTTGGTGGGGAAGAGGAGGAGTGGGCAACAAGGGGATCCTCCATGGTGGGAGGAATGGGCTTGAAGTTGTGTGTCCTAAGCTGTGGAGACCAAATCAGAAATTCCTTGGACCCCAAAGGCCTTTGGGAACCAGAGCACTAAAGGAGTGGGGAGGTGCAGCACCTGGCTGGGGAACAGGAATTTGGGGTGCAGCCCCCTTGGTGCTTCTGCCCCATGCCCTACCCTGCTGAGTAGCCCTGACTCTGCAGGGATTGGGGTGACCCTGTTCATTGCCCTGTATGACTATGAGGCTCGAACTGAGGATGACCTCACCTTCACCAAGGGCGAGAAGTTCCACATCCTGAACAATACGTAAGTGACCAGGCCACCTAGTCAGAACATTGCCTGGGCTGGGAGCAGGACACAGACAGGAATCCCACCTGGTCCCTAGCCTCAGAATGCTCCAGCCTAGTTGGGAACACATATACATAACAATAAAAACCCTGGGTGACTGCAACTGTGTGCTGGTTGAGGGGGGTGGTGTTGGGCCACTGCACCCGGCCTGGAGGAGATGATTTTTAAGCTGAGGCTATAAAAATGAAATAGACGGCCGGGTGCAGTGGCTCATGCCTGTAATCCCAGCACTTTGGGAGGCCAAGGCGGGTGGATCACCTGAGGTCAGGAGTTCGAGACCAGCCTGGCCAACATGGTGAAACCCTGTCTCTATTAAAAATACAAAAATTAGCAGGGCATGGTGGCGCATGCCTGTAATCCCAGCTACTTGAGAGGCTGAGGCAGAAGAATCACTTGAACCCGGGAGGCAGAGGTTGCAGTGAGCTGAGATTGCACCACTGCACTCCAGCCTAGGCAACAGAGGGAGACTCCATTTCAAAAAAATAAATAAATAATTAAAAAATAAAAAATAAAAATGAATAGACAGTGAAGGAAGAGGTAAGAAAAGAGGAAGAGAGTGAGAGAGAATGAGAATAAATGATGACTTCTGGAAACCACAAAGTGGTTCACCTTAGGTGGTTCATAAAATATGGGATGCAGAATGGGAGAGAACAGAGGCTAGAGAGGTAGGCAGAGGCAGATTCTGCCAGGCTTTTTTTTTTTTTTTTTTTTGAGTTGGAGTCTCGCTCTGTCTCCCGGGCTGGAGTGCAGTGGTGCAATCTTGGCTCACTGTAACCCCCGCCTCCTGGGTTCCAGTGATCCTGGGACTACAGGCAAGAGCCACCAAGCCTGGCTAATTTTTTGTATTTTCAGTAAAGATAGGGTTTCACCATGTTGGCCAGGATGGTCTCGAACTCCTGACCTCAGGAGATCTGCCTGCCTGGGCCTCCCAAACTGCTGGAATTACAGGCATGAGCCACCACACCTGGTCTCTGTCAGGCTTTTTAAGCCACATTGAGAAGTCTAGATTTTATCCAGAAGGAAATCAGTAGCCATTTTCTGTGGGGAAGTGACCTAGTCAGCTGTCCTCTGAATTCCCAATCCCCAGCCCAACCCAGCTGGGGAGCCCAAGGAAGAAGCTAAGAGCCCTAAGTGCCCCCGAGCTTATTCCTTCTGCAGGGACAAGCCCTCCCAGGGAAGCTGCAGTGGCTGGGGCAGAGCGGACAAAAGCCCCAGTGGTGGGGGGTGTCCAAGATGAGGGTTTGGCAGGATTCATCTCTGCAGACCTGTGTGGCTCCACCTGGCCTCAGGGTGCCTTGGGGGCTGGAGGTGCTGCTGACCATGCCCTGTTCTGTGCCTACAGTGAAGGTGACTGGTGGGAGGCTCGGTCTCTCAGCTCCGGAAAAACTGGCTGCATTCCCAGCAACTACGTGGCCCCTGTTGACTCAATCCAAGCTGAAGAGTAAGTAGGGATTGGGGCAAGACCAGCCCTATGGACAGGACCCTGGAGTCCAGACTCCAAGGCCACCTCTTGGACAAGTCATTGCTCCAGTCCGAGCCTGTCTCCTTATCTAATAATTTTGTAAGGTCATTGTGAGAACAAAAGAAGATTGTACTGATAATAATAATAGTAGATAATAGAGCATGTACTATGTTCTGGGCACTATTCAAAGTACTGTCTGTGTATTAACGGGGTTAGAAATTACTACTATCCTATTTCACAAATGAGGAAGTTGAGGCACAGAGAAAGTAAATATCCTGTGCAAGTTCACATGGCTAGTGAGTGGTGGAGCTGATGTATGAACCCAGATAGTTGGGCTGCATTTGCTAAGCATTACACATATTGCCTCCCAGTAAAAACAACAGTGTATGAGCTTTAAAAAATTGTAAAGTGCTGAAAAAGTGCAAGGGAGCATTACTAGGAATTAATTCTATTAAGGAGGCAAGAATTTTTCTTTTTCTTTTTCTTTTTGTTTTTCTTTTCTTTTCTTTCTTTCTTTCTTTTTTTTTTTTTTTTTTTTTTTTTTTTGAGACAGGGTCCTACTCTGTTGCCTAGGCTAGAGTGTAGTGTAGTGGCACAATCTCGGCTCACCGCAGCTTTGACCTCCCTGGCTCAGATGATTCTTTCACCATGCCTGGCTAATATTTTTTTTTTTAAGTAGAGATGGTGTTTCGCCATATTGCCCAGGCTGGTCTTGAACTCCTGAGCTCAAGCCATCCGCCCATCTTGGCCTCCCAAAGTTCAGGGATTACAGCCATGAGCCACCGAGACCTGGCCCAAGAGGCAGGAATTTATCATTCATTGAATACCTTTATATACTTGAGCAAGTATACTACAGCAAGTATTTATCTCCTTGGTTCACTTAATTCTCACAATAACACCGTTATATTATTAGTTTTTTAAGAGACAGGGGCGTGCTCTGATGCCCAGGCTGGGGTACAGTGACATGATTTTAGCTTACTACAGCCTCAAACTCCTGAGCTCAAGTGATCCTCCCACCTCAGCCTCCTGAGTAGCTGATACTACCGGTGTGTGCCACCATGCCTGGCTAATTTTTGTATATTTTTTTATAGAAGCAGAATCTTGCTATGTTGCTCAGGCTGGTCTCAAACTTCTGAGCTCAAGCAGTCCTCTCACCTTGGCTTCCCAAAGTGCTGGGATTTCAGGCATGAGTCACCATGCCTGGCCTTGATATTATTATTTTAGACAGAGTCTTGCTCTGTTGCCCAGGTTGGAGGGCAGTGGCGTAATCTTGGCTCACTGCAACCTCCACCTCCTGAGTTCAAGCAATTCTCCTGCCTCAGCCTTCCAAGTACCTGGGACTACAGGTGCACGCCACCACACCTGGCTAATTTTTATAATTTTAGTAGAGACGGGGTTTCACGATGTTGGCCAGGCTGGTCTCAAACTCCTGACCTCAAGTGATCTTCCTGCCTCAGACTCCCAAAGTGCTGAGATTACAGGCATGAGCCACCGTGTCCGGCCCCTTGATATTATTATTGTTCCCATTTTACAGATGAGGAAACTGAGGCTCAAAAAGCTTTTAAAAATCTATCCTCACAAATGTCATACATATATGAGAAAAGAAGGGATTGAAGAGACTTTGCAGAGTGAGAATCCAGGACTCTGTGACTGATTTGGGTTATGGGGAGTGGGAGGAATCAAGGGTGGCTCAAAGTCTCCTTAAGGAGCTGGGTGGATGATGGCACCATTTGCTAAGGCGGGAAACACAGGAGCAGGTATAAGTTCATGAGTTCTAGGGGGTACTTGTTGGATTGTGGTTTGTGGAGAGGAACATCCAGGTGGACGAAGCTGCCAGCAATTCGATTAGGTTGTGCTTTGTATGGCAGGCAACCAGCCCATGCTAATCCATGCCCCTGAATCAGCCCAGAGGAAGGGACACCTTTTCTTAATTGCCACTAAAACTCCTCAGTTTGTTTGCTGTGGCCCTTGCAGAGGGCACAACGGGCTAGGGCAGAAATTTGGGACTCATGAGAGTAAAGATGATCATTAAGGCTATATAGGAGGGGGCTGGGGGCGGTGACACATGCATGTAATCCCAGCACTTTGGGAGGCCGAGGCGGGCGGATCACATGAGGTCAGGAGTTCAAGACCAGCCTGGCCAATGTGGTGAAACCTTATCTCTACTAAAAATACAAAAATTAGCCGGGTGTAGTGGCAGGCACCTGTAGTTCCAGCTACTCAGAAGGCTGAGGCAAGAGAATCACTTGAACCTGGGAGGTGGAGGTTGCAGTGAGCTGAGATCGAGCCACTGCACTCCAGCCTGGGTGACAGAGCAAGACTCCGTCTCAAAAAAAATTAATTAATTAAAAATTTTTAAAAAAGCTATATAGACGGTTAAGGAAGAGAGTGGAGAGTGCAAAAGGTTGGCCCTAGGACCCCACTTTGGGGAAAGCTGCCCTCGAAGGAGAAGGAGCCATTGGAGAAGAGAGGAAATCCAGACCAGGCCAAGTCAGAACAACCGAGAGAGCGGAGAAGCTTCAGGAAACAAGAGAGGGCGTGTCAGAGGCTACCGCTGGATTTGGCAGTGGGGGTGACCTTGGTGAGAGATTTCTCTGTGTGAGGGTGGGAGGCGGAGGCCAGACAGCAGAGCCTGGGAGGGAGTGGGAGGTGAGGAAGTGGAGACCCAAGTGTGAAGCACTTTTTCAAGTGAAGGGAAGGCGAGAAGATACAGCAGAATGTTGACGGCAAGATGGAACTTAGAATAGTTTCCTTTGGGGAAGGGAGAAATGTGGGCATGTTTGGAGGTTGTTGGAATAGAGAGGCTGCATGCAGGTGGAGGCTGCTGGCAGGAAGTGGGTATCACTGAGCAGGAGCGGGTAGGCGAGGTTCAGAGGTCAAGTGCGGTGAGGCCCAAGTCTGGGGAGGTGGTAGGAGGCGTGAAGAAGAGGACGGACAATTATGCAGAGGACAGGAGGTTTGTGGGGAGCTTCATGCTTGTGTCCACATCTTGGAGCCAGTGTCACCAAGCACTGAGAGGTGCTCAGTGCAGTGTTGTGGTTACGGGTAGTGTGGTTAGGAGCACAGGCCCTAAAGCAGACAGCCTGGGTTCCTGTTCTAGCAACTGCTGCCCTGACTGTCTAATGGGGTTTAACAATAGTAGCTATCTCACAACATTGTTAGGAGAATTAAGTGAATACATACGTGTATTAAGGCAGACCCTAACACGAAATATGTGTGTTATTATTATAGTGATTATTAAGGAGGTAGCTAATGTCATGCGTGTGGGAGCGGGGAGGGCTTTGAAAAAACTTGACAATGTGTCCTGTCTATACAGTCCCTCAACACTTCCTCCGTCCCCCTCCTGCCTGCCCTCCTGGACACACCACTTGCCAATGCCTTCCCCTGTTTCCTGAACTGTGCCTAGTACCCAGGGGCGGACTGACCTTCCCAGGGTCCACTGAGACTTCCACCACCCTTGGTTTGAAAACACGAGGCTCCTTTAATTCAACCCAAGATGGCCACAGGCCAGTTTCATGATCATCTGAGTCTTCTATGGCACCTGTGGTCACTTCAGCTCCCCCATTGTACCTGCACAGTTGGTTTAGGGCTACGGTTCAATCCCAGAAAGAATCCCCAAGGGAGAGGAGTGATTGAGGCCTGAGGTTGAAGTTTAGACTTAGGACAACATCCAAGTCTAAGAGAGTGCAGGAAGAGCAGTAGCCGGGGCGGGAGCAGCCAGAGAGAAGAGAAGCAGGAGACTGTGCTGCTCTGGAGGCCAAAGGAGGAAAGAGTTTGGAGGTGGAGGTGGGAGAAGGATCTGAGTGATCTGATTACTGGAGTGGTGAAAAAAGAACTAGGGAGAGCGGCAGAGGATTTTAGGTGGAGCTCATTAGCCAGCCTGTGGACAGGTCACTTTCCCTCTCTGAGCCTCAACTTCCTCATCTGTAAAATGAGTGCACAGAAGGGCTACAGTGAGATGAACTGAGGCTCCATGGCACCCTGATGACTGTGATTGTAGCAATTTTAATTCAAGAGAAACCTAACGAGAAGAGATGCTAACCTTTGCAGGGCACCTACTGTGTGCCAGGCATTTTACACTCCCCTTCTCTGTAACCCTCCCAGCCAGGATGTGAAGCAGGTGTACCAGCCCCATTTTACACATGGGGAAAATGGAGTCTTGGCTTGTGAGGTGACTGTGCAGGAGGCTGAGGTGAGGTTTGAGCAGAGCGTACCTGACTCTTGCCTGCCTTTCCCAACAGGTGGTACTTTGGAAAGATTGGGAGAAAGGATGCAGAGAGGCAGCTGCTTTCACCAGGCAACCCCCAGGGGGCCTTTCTCATTCGGGAAAGCGAGACCACCAAAGGTAGGGGTGGTGCCACGCCCCAAGGCGACTGGGAGGCCCAGCCATTGGGGTAGGGCTAGGAGCGGTAGGCTGCTTGGGTTAAGGCCAAGACTGGGACCAGGTCCTAGGGATGCTGCTGTCGGGCCTCTCCCAGCTCCCAGACTAGGGCAGAGGAGAACAGCAGATCAAAAGTGATCCTCTCCACAGGTGCCTACTCCCTGTCCATCCGGGACTGGGATCAGACCAGAGGCGATCATGTGAAGCATTACAAGATCCGCAAACTGGACATGGGCGGCTACTACATCACCACACGGGTTCAGTTCAACTCGGTGCAGGAGCTGGTGCAGCACTACATGGGTGAGGGCAGGGGCCTCAGATCCCTGAACCAACCAACTGAAGCATTGTCCAGATGGGGGAACTGAGGCCCAGAGAAGGGAAGGGACTACCAAGCAGTATTGGCCAGACGGAAACCAGAACCCAAGGATGGGGTCTGCCAGCCCAGGATCCAGCTCTGTGAGCTTCTGGAGGAAAGCAGTCCTTCACCAAGCAGCACCCCCTAATGACTGAGCAAGGCATTGGCCAGTTTCTTGCCTCAAGGCCTCAATTTGTGGAAACTTGATGGAGTGTTTGTGCCGCCTGAATGCCCCACCAAGGCACCAGGACTGCCCTGTGGGCAGACAGGGAGCCATCATCACAGGGCCCTGAGCAGGGGGTGACAGAGGCTGGTCTCACTTTTGTGAGAAACTCTGGCTGCTGGTGGAGCTTGGATGCCAGGGGCCAAGGCAGAGTGAGGGGTCCATTAGAAGGCAGTGGCTGTTGTCCAGGTGAGAGGTGGTGGAGGCCAGACTAAATCGGTGGCAGTGGAGTAAAGATGAAGCAGACGATTCTGAAGCTGGGTAGGAGGCAGAATAGGCCTGACTTGGTGGAGAATTGGCTGTGGGGGTGAAGGGAAGGCAGGAGTCAATGCCCACGTTTCTGCCTTGATTGGTTATGCCAAGGATGAGGTCCACGGAAGACCGTGGGCCTCATGTCCACACCTTTGCCTGGAATCCCAACCCCATTTCCACCTGTGAGAATCCCACCTTATCCTTCAAGGCCCAGCTGGAGGCTACCTCCTATGGGAGGCCCCCAGTCCTTACAGAAGGCTTACAGGGATCATCTCTCCCTCTGGGTGCCACCCCCTTCCTTGGGCACCAACATGTTCCCCTATTTAGTGGATCGGGTTGCCTTTCTTCCTGGCCTGTGACCTCACTTGGGGCCTAGTTCCTTATAACTGATCTTAGGGTCTGGCACCAGGCTGGGATAGGATAAGGAGTGGAGGGGGGTGTCCTGGCCCACCTGTGACTCTACTTCATGACCCCTCCCCTAGAGGTGAATGACGGGCTGTGCAACCTGCTCATCGCGCCCTGCACCATCATGAAGCCGCAGACGCTGGGCCTGGCCAAGGACGCCTGGGAGATCAGCCGCAGCTCCATCACGCTGGAGCGCCGGCTGGGCACCGGCTGCTTCGGGGATGTGTGGCTGGGTACGGAGCTCCCGGGGGCCGGGACGAGGGCCTGGGCTCGGGGGAGAGGGTCCTGACAAGACAGCCTCCGAGCAGGCACGTGGAACGGCAGCACTAAGGTGGCGGTGAAGACGCTGAAGCCGGGCACCATGTCCCCGAAGGCCTTCCTGGAGGAGGCGCAGGTCATGAAGCTGCTGCGGCACGACAAGCTGGTGCAGCTGTACGCCGTGGTGTCGGAGGAGCCCATCTACATCGTGACCGAGTTCATGTGTCACGGTCAGGAGGCGGAGCCTGGTCGGGCGGGATTCGGGGTGAAGTTAAGAGGGGAGTTTTCAGGCGTGGGACCTGGGACGCGATCTGTGAGGGACAAGGGACAATGGGCAGAGTCCCACTAAGGGACCAGGTGTGTAAAACGACTGGAGGGCTGAGGTGGGAGCCGGGCCGAGTGAGACCACTAGGGAGCTGGGGAGGGGGGCGGTGCCTCCGGTGTTAGGCGGGTAGGGCTTGGGCTAACGAAGGCAGAATCGGGAATGAGGGAGGGTCTGGGGCGGAGTCTGGGTGGGTCGTGTCCGGAACACCAAGGAACAGAAGAAACGAGATGTGGGCAGAGTCCGTGTCTGGCAGCAGGGCCAGGACGAGACAAGTGAGGGGTTGAGGCACCCGCGGGGTCCTAAGTGAGGGGCGGGTCCAGGTGGGAGGGGCTGAGGGGCGGGGTCAAGCGAGAGGAGGAGGGGCTGGGGCCCGGGGTAGGGCTTTGCCGCTGACTTTCTGGCTTCTTCCCAGGCAGCTTGCTGGATTTTCTCAAGAACCCAGAGGGCCAGGATTTGAGGCTGCCCCAATTGGTGGACATGGCAGCCCAGGTAACTGGGCCAGCAGCCTTTACCTCCCGGACCTCCCACCTATTAACTGTTCACAAATTCTCTGTCCCTTCAAACGCCTGGGAGGGCGGCCCCGCCCCCTGCATCAGCTGTGCCTCCAGCTGTGCCTGAGAGGTACTGCCTCTCTTTCTGGGCCTCAGTCTCCCCCTCTGGAAAGTGGGTTTTTCAAATGGTCCCTCACCCCTCAAACAGGCCACGGTGTTGTGAGTCCACATGAGCTCCCATCTCTCCACACTATGGTCCCCCAGGTAGCTGAGGGCATGGCCTACATGGAACGCATGAACTACATTCACCGCGACCTGAGGGCAGCCAACATCCTGGTTGGGGAGCGGCTGGCGTGCAAGATCGCAGACTTTGGCTTGGCGCGTCTCATCAAGGACGATGAGTACAACCCCTGCCAAGGTGCCCTGCTTCACCCCACCTTCCAAGAGCTCCCCATGCAACAAGGGACTTCCATGGGGCCCCACGCACTCAGGAACCCTTCCTCACTCCAGGTCGCCCGAGTCGCCCCATCCTGATGTAGTATGAGAGGCAATTCTGGGCTCAAATCCCAGGTCGGCCACTTACCAGCCATGTGGCCTTGGGCAAGTCACCTAACCTCTGGGAGCTGCCGTTTCTCTTCTGTAAAGTGACAATATTCAGATAACAGGAAGTCAGCAGATGTTTACCAGGCACCTGCTATGTGACAGGCACAGCTATAATTCTTGAATGAAAGACAATGGCGTGTAACAGTGGGAATTCTGTAGCCAGAATGCCTGAGTATGAATCCCAGCCAGGTATTAACTCTGTGATCTGGGCAAGTTACCTAACTACTCAGTGTCTCCGTTTCCTCGTCTGTAAAATGAGTCTCTATCTCATGGGGGTTTTGGGAGGGTTAAATGAGTTAATGCATGCATATCACTTAAAACAGTGTCTGGCACACAGGAAAGGCTAGCCAAGTATTGGCCGTTATTAGGATAAGAATTATTGCGATTTTTGGAAAGTGCCCATCACTATACTAGACACATAGTAGGTGTTGACTAGATACCATGTCCTTTCTACTATGCCCAGAGACCCTTGTGCTCAGGATCCCCGAAATCCTCATCCCTAGAGTCCCCATTCTCTCTCTGTCTCTTTTTTTTTTTTTTTTTTTTTTTTGAGATGGAGTCTCACTGTCACCCAGGCTGAAGTGCAGTGGTGCGATCTCAGGTTATTGAAGCCTCCCAGGTTCAAGCAATTCTCCTGCCGCAGCCTCCCTAGTAGCTGGGATTACAGGCACCCGCCACCATGCCCGGCTAATTTTTGTATTTTTAGTAGAGACAGGGTTTCGCCATGTTGGCCAGGCTGGTCTCAAACTCCTGACCTCAAGTGATCCGCCTGCCTTGGCCTCCCAAAGTGCTGGGATTACAGACGTGAGCCACTGCGCCCAGACCCCATTCTCTTAATCCAGCTGTTTCCAGGGACCCCCTCACTAACTTTCCCTGCTCCCCCATCTTCTCCAGGTTCCAAGTTCCCCATCAAGTGGACAGCCCCAGAAGCTGCCCTCTTTGGCAGATTCACCATCAAGTCAGACGTGTGGTCCTTTGGGATCCTGCTCACTGAGCTCATCACCAAGGGCCGAATCCCCTACCCAGGTTTGCCTCGCCAGGGGTAGGGCTGGGGTGGGGGATGGTCACGGGGAAGGGCTTCCACCTGGCTGTCCCTTTGACTGACAGAGACCCATCCTTCAGGCATGAATAAACGGGAAGTGTTGGAACAGGTGGAGCAGGGCTACCACATGCCGTGCCCTCCAGGCTGCCCAGCATCCCTGTACGAGGCCATGGAACAGACCTGGCGTCTGGACCCGGAGGAGAGGCCTACCTTCGAGTACCTGCAGTCCTTCCTGGAGGACTACTTCACCTCCGCTGAACCACAGTACCAGCCCGGGGATCAGACATAGCCTGTCCGGGCATCAACCCTCTCTGGCGGTGGCCACCAGTCCTTGCCAATCCCCAGAGCTGTTCTTCCAAAGCCCCCAGGCTGGCTTAGAACCCCATAGAGTCCTAGCATCACCGAGGACGTGGCTGCTCTGACACCACCTAGGGCAACCTACTTGTTTTACAGATGGGGCAAAAGGAGGCCCAGAGCTGATCTCTCATCCGCTCTGGCCCCAAGCACTATTTCTTCCTTTTCCACTTAGGCCCCTACATGCCTGTAGCCTTTCTCACTCCATCCCCACCCAAAGTGCTCAGACCTTGTCTAGTTATTTATAAAACTGTATGTACCTCCCTCACTTCTCTCCTATCACTGCTTTCCTACTCTCCTTTTATCTCACTCTAGTCCAGGTGCCAAGAATTTCCCTTCTACCCTCTATTCTCTTGTGTCTGTAAGTTACAAAGTCAGGAAAAGTCTTGGCTGGACCCCTTTCCTGCTGGGTGGATGCAGTGGTCCAGGACTGGGGTCTGGGCCCAGGTTTGAGGGAGAAGGTTGCAGAGCACTTCCCACCTCTCTGAATAGTGTGTATGTGTTGGTTTATTGATTCTGTAAATAAGTAAAATGACAATATGAATCCTCAAACCATGAAATACCCTTGAACCTTCCTTTGGGAGCGGGGGTGGTCAATAGGGGGTGAACGGACAGATATGGCTACAGGCAGCAGCAGGGGAAGCTGGAGAGGGCCCTAATGCCTACCAAGCACGGGGCATCCAAGGTGTGGAGTTTTAGAACACCCAGAGTCCCACTGCTCATCTGCACGTGAGTTTAGAAGACAAGCAGCTGAAGATACATTAAAATGTCCCCTTCGTTGCTGATATGGCCTTCAATCTGTGTATAATAGGTTTGCTAATTCTTTATCTGAGTTCATCAGATTTGCCATTCATCACAGGCGCAATGGGACAACCTTAGGCCTCCTTTGCCAGGGCAGGGAGGAAGACCACAGTGGACCCTCTGGAGCTGTCAGACTCTCCAAAAGAGGACAGAAGAGAGGGGAGGAGAGAGAAGAGGCCTGAGGGTTAGTCTAACTCACTGGATCTCATTAGGGGAGTTTTGCCCCCAGGGGAGCTTTTGGAGAGGTTTGAAGGCAGTTTGATTTGTTTGGATCCTACAGGTAGGGTTCAGGGATGCTGAACAATCTGCAGTGCACCTGCGCGATGATGAATCTTCCCACTCCCTCGTTCCCCTGAGAGAAACTCTGGAAGCTGACATGCCTCCGTGTGGAAACAAGGGGAGCAGGGAATAAAGATTCCCACCTCTCCCATCAGAAAATGTTTGTTGACCATCTGACTTACTAAGGGAATGGACAGAGAAGGAATCTGGGAGCTGGGAATCACTGCAGCAATTGGCAAATCATTACTGAGCATTGACTCTGCAAAGCATTGACTCTTTGCTAAGGAGGACCCTGGGAACACAAACATGAATAAGACCTGTCCCTGCCCTGGAGGAGGAGTTCATAGTCAAGCAGAGGAGGAAAATTATAATAATAATAACTCACTTATTAAGTGTCTTCTGAATGTCAGATGTATTTACAGCCATCTTTTCAATTTAATCCAGTACTGAGCCTGGTTCTGTGATTAGCCCCATTTGTAGGTGAGAAAACTGAGGCTCAGGGGTTACATGATGTACCAAGAGCATGCAGTGTATGTGACAGAGCTAGGATTTGAACCTAGATCTTACACCAAAGCTCATGGTCTTTTCACTAGACTTCATTGCCTCTAGGCTTTGGGAAGAGAGCCTCTGTGGAGTGTGTGTGTGTGCGTGTGTGTGTGTGTGTGTGTGTGTGTGTGATCCTTCCTCCTCTAGTTATTGGTAGAAAGATTCCCTGGAAATCCTCCTATGCTGGGTGACCTAAAGGAAAGAAAGATAAGGCAATCAATGCAGATTGAGAATTCCCTGTGTCCTGCCCTGTGCTGGGGGTTGCTGAATGAGAGCAGTAAGATGGAGAGAAGCCAAATGGCTGCTCAGAGGGGTTGTCATAGGGGTGGGAGCCTTAGCTCCACAGAAAAAGTCTCAGGGGCCAAGGCTTCCCAAGGGCCACAGTTTCTGGCTGACCAAACTCACAAGAGCCTGATGTATAAGCCAGAGGCCAGTGATTCTGCCTGCCATGAAATAAGCAGAGAAGAGCACGGCTCTGGAGCTGTAGTGCCTGGTGTGAATCCTGCCTCCACCACTCACTAGCTGTGTGGTTTAGTGCAAGTTTTTCACCTCTCGAAGCCTCAATTTCCTCATCTGTGAAATAGTAATCAAATGATCAATACATGTGAGCTCTCTCTGTCACTACCATTTGCAAATTGTTGACTGTGTGCCAGGCATCCTGCTAAGTGCATGCATGCTGCGATTTTATCCTCGCAGATCCCTATGAGGAGGAGTTTGTTGTATCTTCATGTTGCTAATGAGGAAACTGAGGCACAGTGAAGTGAATCAGCAGGACAGAAGTGGCAGAGCAGGGGCTTACACCAAGTCTTCTGACTCCAAAATCAGTGCTCTCAGTCTCCACAGCCTTTTTCTGGGACCAGAATATTCTTGTCTGCCCTACAGGGCTCTGTCTGGTACCAGGATGCCCGTTTGGTTTCAATGAAAGCCCAGCAGGGCAGTGAACCACCTGGAGTTCACCAGGGCCCTCGCTGCTCCTCAGTAGAGACCAGAGCCTCCTGAGCCTGGAATCCCTGTGTCTACTGGTGCCTTCCTTGTCTCTCCCTCTGAAACAGCTAGATGAATTCTCCCTTGCACCCCGTTTTCTGTGCAGCCTTCTGTTCCCTTCAGATAGAGCACAATGCAATTGATTAGGCTTCTGCTTTCTCAATTTCAATCACATCCTCGCCCTGCCTCCCTGAGATTACAGGCGGGTCACCTTGATTGCGGTTTGCACCGTTCACAAAACTCTTCAGTCGTTTACAAAACCATCTCTCGCCTCATTCACTCCCCCACCTGGCTCTTCTCCTCCGTGATGCGTGGATTTTACTGGTTTAAGACTCAGAGGGCAATTTTATTTCCAAGTTCATGGTGGGGGAGGAGGACACCTAATTGACTAATGCGGGTATTTTGCATGCATCATCTAATTTGATCTTCACCACAAGGCAGCGCAGATGTGTGATTATCCCCATTTTACAAAAGAGGAAACAAGACTCTGAGAGGCTACAACACTGGCTCAAGGTCATACAGGTGGATGGTACAGCCAGGATTTGAACTCAAAGTCTCATGTGTTCCCCGGGTCACATTTCTTTATTTGAAGGAGCAGCATGGGAAAGTGTCATATTGACCCAGAGTCAGGTCCAGGAAGGGCCTGGTGCACGTAGGGCTCAGGGGTAGCTCCCTACATGCTGAGGATTGTACTCGTAAAAGAACTAAGTCATTTATTAATTTCACACACATCTACTGATGTCTCCTGTAGGCTGGTCCTGTCTAGGAGGCAAAACAGTAAACAATGACAACACTTAGGGGCAAGGTCAGTCTGGGAGCCAAGTCTGGGGGATTTCTTGGAGTCTGTGAAATAAAAGTCTGCCTGATGAAGCAGCCAGAGGGTGAGGTCATCTCCAGCAGAGGGAACAGCATGTGCAAAGGCCCAGACGTATGGTAGAGTAAGGCCCATTCAGGCCAGGCAAGTGCCAATAATTAGGCATGGGAGGGCTGAGGGTGCAGATGAGGCATGGAAGACGAGGGATGGAGAGTCAGAGGCAAGAAGTAGGAGGGGGAAAGCCAAGGGGTATGGGCTCTGAGTTGTGGGGAAAAGAAAGAAGAAATCTGGGGGACCCAGGACTTATTGTGGGGAATGGAGTCTACTCTGGATCCCACTGCTCCGGGACTGAGCTGAGTGGATCCTCTCTCCACTCCACCAGGTACAGTATCGAAGACACACACACACACACACACACACACACACACACACACACACCCCAGGTACAGTATCGAAGACACACACACACACACATACCCCAGGTACAGTATTGAAGACACACACACACACACACACACACACCCCAGGTACAGTATCGAAGACACACACACACACACACACACACACACACACACACACACACGAGCCTGGATGGTCCTGCAGTGATGTTCACACTCTCTCTAGTGGTGACTCTGAGTACTACATCCAAAACTGCAAGAAACTTTCCCCCCTCCCGGGATGGGAGAACCAGGTCTCTTCAGAAACTTCCCACCACAGGACAGGAGATATGGCACAGTTCCTGCTCTCAAAGAGGTCACAGTTTAATGGTGATGGGTGCTAACAGGACAGATGCGGGCAGAAAATGACAATAAAGCTATGTGGGAGAACAGGGGAGAGTCCTAACTCAACTGGGCAGGGGGAAGTCTGGGAGGCTTCTCAGAGGAGGTGTTGATTCATCAGAAACAAGAGTAAGAGTTTGCTTGGTAAAGAAAGAAGCAACAGAAGGACATTCCAGACTGGACAGAATTAAGTGAGCTCAAAGGCAAGAAATGAGACTGCTCAGGGAGTTACAATTAGGTAGGTGTGCTAGGAATGTGAAATTTCAGAGGGGTTAGTGGCTAAAGATGAAGATGGCAAAGGCAGGCATGGGTCTTGTCTACCATGCACTCAAGCTGGGATCCTAAGCCTTGGACAATGGGGAGCCACTGAAGGGTTTTGAGCAGGTCAGATTCACTTTTTTTTTTTTTTTTAGACGGAGTCTCACTGTTGCCCAGGCTGGAGTGCAGTGGTGCCATCTCAGCTCACTGCAACCTCTGCCTCCCGGGTTCAAGTGATTCTCCTGCCTCAGCCTCCCAAGTAGCTGGGACTACAGGCGGGAGCCACCACGCCTGGCTTATTTTTGTATTTTTAGTAGACACGGGGTTTTGCCATATTGGCCAGGGTTATCTCGAACTCCTGACCTCAAGTGATCCGCCCGCCTCGGCCTCCCAAACTGCTGGGATTACAGGCATGAGCCACTGCGCCCAGCCAGATTCACTTTCAGAAGGAACTCTTTGGTGACAATGGAGAGGAAAGATAGGAGGCGAAGAGGCAGGAGACGGACACCCCTCTGGGACACAAAGAACCATACCAGGTCACACTCATAGGACACACAGCTTTGACCGCGCCTATGAACCAGACATAGCGATACAAGTAATGGCACCTACAGACGTGTCAGTGGGATCCCAGGCTGAGCACCCACAGACAAACATGCACTGCTTCACACTCAGACACAGAAGTCAGGCCTGCAAGCGAAAGCAAACCGAGGACACAGGGTTACCCCCCAGACACAGGCGCACAGCGGGAATCACACAACCCTGACGGCCACAGGAATTCACACACACTCAGTGTGGCTGTCAAGGGCCCGACCCTGCTCCCCCTCTGTCTCCCCCAGGTCCCTCACCACCTCCGGCAGGAACAAAGCTGACCTTTGCCCTCTGGCCTCTGGCCTCTCCTCCCACACCCCCTGCCCCAGAGGGAGGAGCTGTTTGAAGTCTGGGCTGCAGCTGGGGTTTCCTGTGGCCTAGAGGAATGTGGGAGGACTTGCACGGGGGAGGGGAAAGGGGCTGGCCCAGGAGGAGGGCTAACAGAGCCTGGGGGCCTTAGTCCCCACTGTACCACAATGAGGGAGGCTTCCTGCTTGCGTGGTCTCTTGGGCTCCAGCTTTGAGCTGTTCCCATCCAAAGAAGGGGAAAACCAGGGCCATAATGGCTCCAGTCCAATGGGCCTCTTGTTCCTGGATCTGCAGCTCAATAGCTTAGGATAGGCCCGCAACCTCTCTAAGCCTCCGTCTCCCCTTCTGCATACTGGGCTGAACCACCCTCTAGCAGTCCACACCTCTCCTGAGCAGCCCCAGGAGTAGGGCCACCCCCAGAACTTCCATATTCAGGGAGGGCCGTGCTAGTCCCTACCCAAGACTCACTTCATCCTGCCCTTTCCATGAGGTCTGGGGGCCTGGCTCCAGGCTGCTGGGACCTGTCAGTTATTGTCATTATTAGTGTGACTCATCATCTCTCTCACCATGCCCTTGCCAGTTTTCACAGTGCTTTTACATCTATATGCTCAGTTAATCTTCTCAACAGCTCTGCTTCTATTTTACACATGGGAAAACTGAGACTCACACAGATTGAGGACACACAAGTAAAATCAAGATCAGGACCAGGCCTGTCTAGCTCCTGCTCCACATGGCCTCTCAAACCCAAGGCCCCATTCCAGACTCTCATCTTTATTTTCCAGGGTCTAGCTACACCACCTTCTGCTTACACCGAAACAAAAGCGGCTGGAGGGAGCTGAGCCCAGAGAGGGATGATGCAGGCTCTTCCAGAACCTGTGTCCTCTGCCTCAAGCCTTCTTTCCCTCCTGCTCGCTGACAACTGCTGAAGCAGAAACGAAGATTAGACACTAGGTGGCAGCAGCAGCCCACGGGAAGACAACTTGAGTTTGGGGAGACCACCCCCCGCCAAACTCAACACAATTTGGAGAGGCTCCACGAAAAAGACCAGCCCCCAAATAACAGGGAGACTCTGCAATGCTTGGTTTCCAGTGATGATCAACACTTTAAGGGCCAATGGAATTCACCCTCACAGGGGAAGGGGACCGCTGAAGTAGCCTGGGGTGGGAGGGGCATGCTCGAGAAACCCTACCTAACTTCTATTTCCCTCTAACTCATAGAGCCATGGGCCCTACTAATCTTGCCCTCTGCATCTCATTACTTAACCTCCCCCTCCCATGCTTTTCCCAAACTCCCCTTCATCTCAACCTACTGGGGCTCTCCACACCCCAGAAACCATCCTATATTATCCCACCCAACTCCCTCCTAAAACTTGATTCAAACTGAGTAGAGTCTTCATGACTACAGGCAGAATCTAATGGGTAATGGGGGAAGGGAGAGAAAGGAGGAGGAACCTGGGTCTCTTTCACCCTCCCCAACGCCGAAGTCTGTCTGTCCTATAGGGGGCCAGCTAGGGCAAGGTGCCAAAGCCTCATCTATTTGGGATCACTTCAGGCCCAGGCTTTGGAGCTGCAGAATCTCTAATGACTTTAGCCACTACTTTTATGAGCATCTGACCTTATATTTCCCATTCAATGAATAAATCTTTGAACCCAAGTCCTAACTTGTCTGCAAGGAGAAGCTGCTCCAAGATGAGGGCCTCTCCAGTCGGTCATGGCAGCCCCATGATGCCAAATCAATAGTGTCCCGTTTAGAGCCCTAGACCTCTCCTATTACTGCTGCACACACCCTCTGCCAAGGGCCAATAGAGAGTGTTCCCCAGATCCCCTCTCTTGTCCTCTGGGGGTACTGGACTGCCATAGAGAAGGAGCTTGGAAGGAGTGAAGGTGTGGGGAAGATAGTGACCAGGGAGTTGCGGTTGGCAAAATGTCACCAGCTGCCTTTGTCACACACTGGCCAACACCCTGCAAGGCCAAAGGAAGAGTCAGAAACAGGTAGGCCAGAGACAAAGGCACTGCTCTAGGAACTTCAGACCTGGAGCAAGATAGACAAGGCCAGCAGACACAGGGTGTGGAACATCAGACACACAGATGAGGTGGTCCAGTGAGGTGGGACCGCCGCAGGGCCAGTCAGGGCCGGCGTTGGTAGACACCTAGGACACAGGACACGACAGCCACTATGCATTATTCATCTCCGTGTCCCTTGCAAGCCCTGCATACCTCAGTTAACATTTGTTGAAGTGCCAAGAAAGGACACACAGACACAGGGAGAGAAGGTCAGTTACAGAAATGGAGGGAGTCACAACTCCTTGTCATAGCCCAGGGGTTAAGCTTGTGGGGTTTGGAGTTAGTCAGACCCTGGTTCAAATCCAGCTGGGTTCAGCCACTTGCTAACTGGAGAACCTGGACCTCAGTGCCCCCATCTCTAAAATGGAAATAACAGCACTATTTTACCGCAGCAGTTCAGCCATCTCCGGGGGCGGTAACAAGGCCCCCAAGCAGCGCACATTCCCATCTGTGGGATAGGCTAGGCAGGGGCTGGAGAACACATGTGACCTGAAGAGGAGGTAGGTGAAAGTGCTGAGCCCAGCCCCCGGCCGCGGCAGGAGGTCAGCACCGTTCAATCTGAATCCTGCTTCCTGACACAACGCAAATGCTCAGCAGAATTCGGAAAAGGGTGTGTGTGTTCTATCTGCGGATTATCCAGGACTTTTGAGCCCTCGCCGCCCTTGGACATATAGGAAAGCTGGGAGTTGCAAGGGCGAAACCGAGGTCGGAGTTTGAGAGGAGGGGTCACTGAGTGAGGAAGCAGCGCTGGCTGGGTCTCCCCCGCTCCCCCGCCCCAGCAGCCCTCCCGCCATATATACTTGAGCTT
Source organism: Homo sapiens (assembly GCF_000001405.40). NCBI lineage: Eukaryota > Metazoa > Chordata > Mammalia > Primates > Hominidae > Homo > Homo sapiens. The sequence continues at coordinate 27,604,620 of NC_000001.11, read as the reverse complement.
TACTCAATAAGAAACCTTTTCAGAAAAGGATAACGTCCCCAGATTGAGAGAGCCGGTCCTCTCCTCTGCCCTCTCCCCCTCCCATTTAATTGGGACGCCCCAGAAAGTCGCAGCCCCTTTGGCTAATCCCCTGGTTCCCTATTCCACTCCCATTCCACTCTCAGACCCCGCCCCTTCACTCCCACCCGCAACCTCCGCTCGATCCAGAGCCCCCCGGTGGAGACAAGGAACACAGGGACCATTCTTAACCCTTGGGGAGGATCTTCGCCCGTTGGTAAACGAGGACGCGCTCCAGCCAGACGAGCCCCAGGCGCGGGGTCCCCGGGGCTCCTGGCCGCGCCGTCGGAGCAGCCGGCGCGGCCCCGCCCTCCCCGCGCGCGGAGCGGCCGGGGCGGGGACTACAAGTCCCGGCGTGCCGCGCGCGCGCTCCCCCCTGGGGTTCCGGATGGTGAGCGGCGAAGGTAAGGCGAGCTCGCAGAGGCAGCGGCGGCGGCGGCGGAGACGGAGAGAGGCAGGCAGGCAGGGCGAGGGCGAGAGACGGAGGGAGGGAGCGAGCGAGGCGGACCAGACAGACAGACAGGCGGGCGGGCGGGCAGAGCGAGCCACCCGCCAGGCTGCGCTCAGCCCCGCTCGCAGCGGAGAGAGCAGAAGGCAGGAGGAGGGAGGGGAGGAGGGGGAGGGAGGGAGAGAGGGAATCCAGCTACCACCACCCAAAGCCAGCGTCTGCTTTCTGTCCTCATTTCCTTTTCCCACCCAGCTTGGAGAGCAGAGAAAGGCAGAGAGAGCGAGAAATAGAGACAGTCTGAGAGACAGACAGACAGCCAGAGAGAGCGGGAGGGAGGAGGGCGGAGGAGGAGGAGCAGGAGGACTACGCGGGGCGCGTTCCCTCCCAGGTTTGCTATTGGGGGGGGTGGGGGCGGGGGTGTCCAGGGCTGGGAGAGTGTGTGCGCGGCGGGAGGGCGAGGGGGGCGCAGAGAGAGCGAAGGAGTGATCGAGGTGGGGGGGCGCCGCGGGAGCGGGGGGCCGTGTCCAGCGGAGTTAGCGGCGGAGAATGTGAGCCGAGGCGCGAGCCATGCTGTCAGCGACGGCGGGCGGCTCAGGGCTCCTCCACGACTCCTCTCCTCAGCAGCCGGGCGCCCGCGTCGCTGCCACCGCCGGAAGACAGACGTCCCCCAAAACCCCTCGCCTGGCTCGGACCCACGGAGCCGGCAGCCCAGCACTCCGGTGAGTGGCGCCTCCTCCCCAGCCCCAGACCCCCGCTGGGGACCGGCCGGCCAGGCTCTTTTGTGCAGCGCACGGGGGGGGCCTGCGTCCCCCGGTCCGGTCCGCTGGACCCGGTGGCTGCGGTGCCCGCGGTGCGATCGGTCTTTGTTTCCACCGGGGCCCGCGGCTCGGCTGGGCTCGGCTCGAAGCCTGGCAGGCAGCGCCGGGAAGGGGGAGGGGGAGGTGGACGGGGAGGGGGGGCGGGGAGGGGGGGTTCTCGGGTTTCCTGGCCGCCCCGCGGCTCCCCCGGCTCGGGGGCGAGGTGCGCGCCCAGCGCTGCCGCGCGCCCCCTCCTCCTTCCCCCTCCCTCCGCCTTTGGATTTAAAACTGCAATTTGCTCTCCAGCTTGCTGAGAATGTGGGGGGGGGGGGAATGAAGGGGGGACCGTGGGAGCGGAGAACAAGGCTGGATTTTAGGATCGGCGCTGGGAAAAGGGGAGACTGCGGAGGGAGGAGCCCCTCCCCTCCAACCCCCAAATCCCTAGGATCCACTGGCTCTCGGGGAGTTGAGGGGCGGGGACCTAATGACCCGGAGGGGGTGTGGGGCGGAGGAGGGATTTGGGGGCGGCTAGGGCTGGAGGGGTTGGGCCGCGTGCCCGGTTACCTGGCGAACAAAGTCGGCTCACTTTTGCATAAATAAATAAATAATCGCCTATCAATGCGTTTCCTCTGGGGCTCTGATTGAATCGGCCCCCTCTTCCCCAGGGGGTGGGGTGCTGAGTGACAGCTGTCAGCCCCCTAGGCAGGGAGCTGGGGTGAATTGCTGAATCTCTGCTCGCTGCTTGAGGGCGCCTTCCCCTGCTGGGTCTGGGTCCCCGGGCAGAGCCAGAGGGGCAGGGGGCTGGCTCTGAGTCTAGGAAATAACCTTGTTTCCTGTTCTACAGGAAAAGGGACAGCAACCCAGAGTTTGGGGGCTGGGGATGAGGACTGATGGGAGCTTGGGGGGGTTCCCCAGCAGCCTGACCCCCCAGCCTCCTGCCAGGCGAAGGGGCCAGCTGAGGGAGGAAGGATGTGGGCCTTGCTGGCCGGAGGCGGGAGCTGGGGCTGTCCCTGAGGCGGGCAGCGGGCACAGAGCGGGAGGAGGGAGAGAAGCGGGGGCGGGAATTCTCTACCGCAGACCCTGGGGGCCAGGGCCAGATGTGGAGGGGTGGGGAGTCTCCCCTCCCTCCCAGCTTGGGGGCCCTGGGGCTGGGCTGGGAGGGGCTGAGCCTGGTGCCCTCGGTTCTGCACCAGTGCCTGACTGGCAGGGCCAGCTGAATTTGGGCCCAGGCGTCACCCTGGGAGGCAGGGCCGGACTGTACCAGCCTGGTCCCTGAGCACAAGGAGGGACCCTTGGGGGGCCTGTGCCTGTCTGGCTGGGCAGGCGTTTCCCGCCGGACCAGTTGGTGTCAGGCGGGACTTGGCCCCAGCTCCCTGGGCAGAGCTCAGGGTGTGAGGACAAGCTTTGCCTCCGGGTCAGGGTGGCCACATTTTGTCCGCTGCTGCTGTCGCCGCCGGCTGGGCGGGGGCATGTGCCCGGGCCTGGGCAGAGTCCTGCCAGGGGCATTTGGGGTGTTTCTATTGTTGGCTTGTTCCTGTTCTGTGTGGCTGTGTGAGCTGGGGCTGTAAGTGAAAGATTACCAGTCTGTCCCCCAACCTGGGGTGGGGGGGTAGGAAGGCTGGGTTGTGGGGGGACCCCCCAGGTGGCATGTGCATGCTGCTTGCCATCTCCCTCCTTTGAGCAGATGTATATTTATTTTTATAGTAATGGAAAATCAAACTGGATAGTAAGTTGAATTCATTTTTTTCTCCTGCTGTGTCAATAGTTGGAGTAATCCCCAGAGACTGGTGAACTTCTGGCCCCAGAGCTCCCACTCTTCAGGGGTTGCAAAGACCAGTAAGGGCATAAGCTTTGGGGGACCAGTGGCTACCAGCCCAAACCAGTGAGTTGTCCTTCTTCATCTGGCTTTGGGGCAGATGCCCAGGTGGGCAGGCATTGCCCCCTCCCCAGGAATCACCCACAAGCCCAAGGTGTAGTCTGGCCTTTCTAGTCTGGTCAGTGCCTAACTGTGCCCAAGCCCTCAGGAACGTTCCCCTGGTGGGCGCTCTCCTCCGCCTGGGCTCCCAGCCCACGTGCCGATATTTATTTTCTGTAGTAAAATCCATTTTTAATGCCGTTACTTTTGAAATAATATAGAGAGAAACAAATGTGATGTGTTTAAGTTGCCCTCTGTGAGTTTTTAATGTGATCTATGGCTGAGGTAGTGATGGAAGGAGCTGTTGGGCTTGGAGAAATTTGGTGTCATAAAGAAAAAGAGCTTGCTGTTTATTATTGTTGCTGGGCTGGGGGGTCTGGAACAGGGTCGTGGGGGCAGGGAGCCCCTACCACCCTCAGGCGCTGTGGGACAGCATAGCTTCTCAGTTTCAATGCGTGAGGGTTCTGGGGTTATTTTGCATTGCTCCCCAGCCCTTGATGGGGCCTTTGGGGAAGGGGTTTGGGAGCTGGGGGACTTTGTTACCCCCACTGCATGGGCTTAGATCTGGGCTGGGAGGCTTCTGGAACCCCCTGCTGAGCTAAGTGGAGGTGTACAGTAGGGAAGTTGGACTTGGATTCAAAAGGTTAAAAGATGGGGTCTCCACCTGATTGCTGTGGTTGTGCTGGAGGCTTGAGGGGCAGACTGCCCCTGGCAGAAGACATTTGGGTAGGGGGAGCTGTTCTGGACTGGCAGAGCCCCAGAGGGACATTGTTGTTCTCCAATCAGCCTGGAGCACTGACTTTGAACCACTCCCACCTCTATGCTTCTGTTCCCCATTGGACAGGGGCTTCCTCCAGGCAAACCTGATCTCCCTCATTTCCCCCTTCCCCTCTTCTGTCCCACCCCCAGGTCAATTTCAATTTTTTTTGTTTTTTTTTTTTGGTTTGTAGAACACAGAGCTCTGTGTCTCATGCCAGCCACCCAAGACCAGGGGGTGCCATGCCTGTGTACCAGATGCCCAGGCCCTTCTGGTCTGGCTTGGTGAGGTCAAGCAGACTCACTATTATGGGATGGAGCCCAGCTCTGTCTCTGGGTCCCCTGGGTCTCTTGGGACAGAGTGGGGAGGCGGAAGCCAGGATGGAGTGGAGCTGGGGACTATGGGAGGAAGCAAGGGTAACATTGTTGCTAATGCCTGCAGATGGGCCCCCCCCAGGGAGGGGGGCGGGGGAGCGACCCACAACCACATGCATGGTGAAGAGAGAGAAAGATGGAGACCAAAGCCAGTGATGAGAGTGAAAGAGAAAACAGGCAAGAAAATCTGGAATTACAGCCCCTGGAGGTGGGGGCCGGGGACCAAGAAGGCCTAGGAATATACCACTCCCCTCCCTGGAGCCAGAGAGGAGGCAGCCCTGAGGTCCTCTCACCCAAGATCAGATTCTGGGGTTGTTTTTGGAGGAGAGACAAGCAGATGTTTGGGAAGAGGGAGGAGGACAGGTGGGAGAGAGAGAGAGACTCTCACAGGAGGAGGGAGAATGGGGAGACAGATTCCAGGGTTTTCAACAAATGTTTCAGGTCCCAGGGTAGCATCTCCCTTCTGCCCTCCCCAAATGCCTGGAACAGAGCTGAGCTTTTCTTGGGACCCGGGGGGGCGTGGCCTGTGGCAGGTACTGCACCCTACAGGTTGTCAGGTGCTCTGTGCCAAAAGACACCCAGGTTATAAAAGCGGGAAACATTAGGGTCCCAGAGGTGCCAGGAGCATCATCCAGTTGGACGCCCCCCACTTGTTTGACGAGAGAAAGCCAAGTCTAGGGAGAGGAGCCACTTGCTCAGGGTCACAGATACCTTTGGCAAGACCAGGCTGGGACCTGGGCTGTTTGCACTCCACCTCACTGTAGTTAGAGAATTGGAACAGCTGCAGGGGGCCTCCTGGGAGTGGAGGGGGCCGGAGCCTGGGGAGAGAAGCAGGCAGGCACCCTTGTGGCCAGAGCCCCCCCAGGGGAGGGGGAGGCGCCGCTGCTGCCGGGAGAGAGAGGGAGGGAGGCGAGAGAGGAGGGGAAACAGTGAGTCAGGCTTCCAAGAGCTGAGGATGAGAGAGCCAGAGCTGGGAGGGAGAGGGCAGGGAGGGCTGCTCAGAAGGGAGGAGAGGGAGGGGGCCCAACCAGGGGCAAGGAGAGCTCGAGAGGGAGGGAGCCAGCCCCTGGCCCTGGCCCTGGCCCTGGCCCTGTGGTAGGGCTGTGTGGAGGGTGTAGCCAATATGGACTTTACCCATGGTAGGTCAGGAAGGAGCCTGATTCTGCCCCTGCAGCATCTCTTTCTTCTTTCCTCATTTATGATCCTACCCCAGGGTCTCAGGAGGGATGACTGTGTCCTCCCATCCCTTCCTCTTGGGCCTCAGTTTCCCCATCCATTGTGGGATTTGGACTGTGAGCTATTGGAGAGGGAGTGGGGGACAGGGACAGAGTAGCCAGGGAGAATGTTAAGGGATGCTGTCTGAAGCTGCTGGCTTTGTGACGGGGGCGCTGTCACCAGTGCAAGGTAGGGTGCTGGTCTCTGCGTTCATGTCATGACGGTGGATGCTGGTGTTGGGGGGCTTGGGCAGGCGGTGAGCACTGGGATGCACTGTATATATTTGTGTGTGAGGTGCTAGATTCAGGATGGCCAGTGCCTAGACAGGGCCAGGGTCACTACATGGCCAAAACCAGCCTCCACTGTTGTGGGGGTGACACTGGTGTGATCCCCCCACGTCCCTATGGGTAGATGGAGGTGGGAATGGCCCCAGTGCAGTTGGCAAGAACAACCCCTCATGCCTGGAACTGGGACCAGAGCAGGAGGGGTCCCCAGGGACTGCCTGGAAAGGAGGAGGGAAGGAGCCCCCCTCCAGCCCAGCTGACAGGAAGCCCTGGCTCCCAGCCCCTCCTTCGCCCAAGGCCTGGCCTCTCCTGGCCCCTCCCTCCTGGATCCCAGCATCTCTTCCATTGGCCAGGGGATGAGGAAGGTGGGCATCAAGGATCCCTCTCCTGCAGGGCCTGGCTCCGGGGGCAATGGTGAAGTGAGAGTAAAGTGAGGCCCTGCCTCCCTCCAGCCCCCTTCCAGCCCCCTCCACCACACACACAAACCCAACTGCAATGAGGCCCTGTTTTCTCTCCTCTTCTGCTCTGGGGTCCTTGGCCTGGGAGCCCAGGGGAGGGGCTGCTTCTGCAGCTGGCTGGCCCCGAACTCCCAATTCAGCCCAGCTGCCACTGAAGCTTCCAGAAGCTGCAGCTCTGCACCCCCTCCCCACCCCCTGAGCCAGGAGAGGCCTTGCTGACCTGGGGGAGGGTGCCTTGGGGAGCGAGTGGGCACCCTTGGAAGGACTAACACAGACAGCCAGACAGATGGGTGGTGAAACAGATGGACAGAGACACCCACACACAGACAGACGGAGAGAGACGGACAGATGGACTGGGACAGGGAGAGACGGACAGACAGAGGTGCTGGCAGAGAGAGGAGGAGGCAGAAAAATGGAAGACAGAGACTTAGAGAAAAGAAAGGAGACAGAGTGACTGAGATGGAGAAGGAGAGAGATGGGGAGGCTGAGAGACAGGAAGAGATAAAGAAAGGGGGAAACCCAGACAGACAGAGAGAGGGAGGGAGAGGGAGGGAGAAGACTGCAGGCTGCAAACCACAAACAGGGATTTGATGAGAATCTGGAAGGTGTTTTCTCCCTCTTCCCTCCCCAAACCCCCAGGCCAGCCAAGTCTCCATTCCTTCCACCCCCGGCTCAGTTTCCAGCTGCTAAAGAGGTCAGGGAGAAAGAGCAAGAGAGAGAAGCCGCCCAGAGCCCCTTGCTCCCTGCTCCTCTTTTCATAGGGGGAGGGGGTTGCTGAGAGGCCTGCAGCCCTGACCCCTGCACCAGATGCACATGTGCACCTCTCTTGTCTTGGGAAACACCCCCTCACATTCACCCGGGGGATGCCCCTCGTATAAACGCAGCCCCCACGGTCACACCTGTCTACACAGGCCCTGCGTCTCTCTCTCTCTCTCTCTCACACACACACTCTCACACTGTCACACACACACACACACACAAATTTGTGACATGTAAATCTCCACCCTCACACTCATTCTGCATCTCACGAACATAGCTGGTGAACACGCACCTGTGCTTCCTTCCCTGTACAGGTGTTGACTCACAGGCCCTGTCATGGGACACCCTCCTACATACAGTGGCAGTCACACCAGAGCACACAGAACCTCCCCCTGCCACCTGCCCCCCACCCCCATACTCTAACCCGGCTGGCAAGGTGGGGAGGCAGAAGGTCCTCTCAGTCGGTGAGAGCCCTTCTGGAAAGCTTCAGGGCCTGACCTGGACACAGAGAAATGCCCAGTGGCTTGGGTAGTGGGGAGCTGTCTCAAAGGTGGTGAGGCATATGTGTATAAACATGTGCTTGCATGTGCAGGTAGAAGGGATGGCGAGTGTCCTCATGGAGTGTGAGAGAGACTGGGTGTATGTGAGATAGGGTACGGGTGTGACAGGGAGCTCCAAGGTGTGTGGAGTGTGTGGGTGTGTGTGTGAGAGTGACTTGTCAGGTATGTATGTGTGGATGCACGTTTATGTGATAGGTGTGTGTGTAAGATGGGTGTGTGTAACTGTGGGTTTTGCAGGGTGGGGTATGTGTGATGGGGGTACATATATGAAGGTTTAAGGGCATGGGGCAAACTGCATGTGTGAGCGTGCAGTGGCAGGCATGCATGTGGGAAGGTGTATGAGTGCGTGTGAGTGTAGGGACTATGCAGATATGAGGGTGTAGTTCAGGTGTGAGGCTGGGAGCCTGTTGCCTGGATTGGAGCAGTGTTTTCCAAGGCCTGAGTGCTACCTGAACAGGAACATCCAGCACAAGCACGTGGGAAGGGGCCCCCGGCCTGGAAGTTGGGCACTGACCCACACAGATGCACAAGGACAGACATACCCGCCCCTGTCCTCCCTCTTCCTCTCTTCTGGCGTCAGTGGTTTTTAAAGGAGCCTCCGTGAGGACTGTTTGCTGTGCAGTTCCCCCACCCCCAGCCTGTGTCTCTTCAAACGCAGTGCTGCCCTCCAGGCAGCTTTGTGGAGGCTCCTGCCTCGACCATCTGAAGGCAGATGGGTGGGCTTGGATCCGCTGCTGCCCCCCAGGGAGCGAGGAGGCAGCTCTGCTCCTTGGGCCTGGGCACAGGCTGAGACAGATGGACTGCCTGTCTCAACACCCCCGCACAGGCACCCCATACCATAGGGGTTCTAGCGGGTAGCCCCCAGTTAGGCCCCGGAGCAAAGGCCAGGATGCTGCCCTTCATTCTCCCAGAGGGGCATCCCCCCTAACACACACAAACCCTGCAGCCCCATCACCTCTCTGGGGTCCAGGGACTCAGTTACAGCTCCCAACACCTTCTAAATAGACAACTGCCCCACATACACACTCACAGCTCTAACACCTCTAAAACACAACTGCTCCACCTACAACACCCAGCCCACACACTTCCACACACACACTCTACATACAGATACCCCCCGACATCCAGCTACCTCACATGCACATACCCCCAAACACACAACCACCACATGCTTACCCACAACCTGCAACACCTCCCTGACACCAGGAACCTGGTTACAGCCCTCATACCTGTGCATGCACGGACGATAGCCTGTGGCACATCTCTGATATCAGAGACCCATTCTTCCCTTCCCACGTATGGAGGGACCTCAGGTCTCTAACGCCTCCCCAGACCCTTGCAGGTACCCAATTAAAATCCCAATAACCTTTCCAGAGACACTCCCCAGCTCCTCCCCAAAACCACAGTGCATCCTCCACCAACCACAACACCTTTCCAGGCACATGTTCACAGCCCTAGTACTTAACCAAAACCCACATTTTTATGACCCCCCAATACATCCCTAAACACCCCAACACACACACAATCACACACACACACACACACAGCTATCACACCCTCAGCATATCAACCCCCTATCCAACCCCAACACTGCCAGATACACCCAGGACCCAGCTACAGCCCTGCTACCTTCCCACTGACTCATACCCTCAAAGCCCTGACACCTCCCCAGACACACACACTCTGCCCACAGCCCCCAACGTTTCTCCCAGCTATAGCTCAGCACTTCCCCAAACACCGGTATCATCCCCTATACCTTTCCAAACATACAGCCTCCCCCTACAACACACATACACTCACTGCTTCAAACACCCACTCAAACAAGAACACCCTCTGTAGCCACAACATTTGCCTCAAACACACAGACATGGCTTCGGTTCTAGTATATCTCTAACAGATCAGGCCCCGAAGCTTCTAATACCTCCTGAAACTTGTGCACACTGCCTCCTGGATCCCGGCACCTCCTCGACAGGCAGTCCTAATGGCCCGGCCCCACCGCTTCCCAGACAGTCTCAGCTCCGGTACTTTTCCTCAGCCACCTAAGGGCCCAGGGACACCCCTACACCTCTCCAAACACCCCGATACCACACCTGTACACAAAGACAGCCTCAGCTAGTCACAACCCTGCACCCATTCTGTGCTCCGCCTGCACCCCACGGCACCCTGTCACATACCCCGCCTAATCCTTCTGCAGCCCTCACTCCCACCGTTGGCACATTCCAGCACACCCTCTCCCCCACCTTGTTCCCCTAGACAGCCTCAGCCTGTCACACACATTGCTCACTCTTGTGTGCTCTCGCTCTCTCTCTCTCTGCTGCCCAGGCCTCCCGCTCTTCCCAGAGCCTCCTCTGCCTGGGGAGGCATCTCCACCCCTTCACCGCCCCAGGCCTTTCATTCCTGGACAGTGAGGCTGGACATCTGGTTCAAAGCTGCCCCACCCAAGACCCTGTGCTCTGGGCACCCTGGCCTGGGCTTAAAGGTTTGGGGCCTCTTTGGGGTGGGGGCAGAGCCCCTTGGCACCTGGTCATCCTGGTCTTTCAGCCAGGAACTCTCAGTACCCAGCCCTGCCCTGGCTCTGGCATGTATGTGGGAGAGAGGGACAGGGGGAGTTGCCCCCAGCCCACACTTTTTCAAGTGCTTGCCAAATCACTGCCTCCCTCCCCCAACCCCTTGGCTCACCTGAGAGGGACATGGGGCCTGGGGCTTCAGGGAGAGGGATGGGGAAGGTGCTGGATTGACATACTACCCCCCACCCCCAAATCCAGGCTGCGGGGCTTGGTCTCCCTGGGAGTCAGTTCCGACAGTGAAGGTTACTTTACTAGATGCATGATTTTAAACGGAATCTCCACCATCTGTTCCACCCCCTAATTACAGATGCACAGAATCCGCCTCAGAGGGCAGCATGAGGGGAGTGATTTAGAGGCTGAGCTGCTTCTGCCTGCATTAGGACTGGGGAGATAGGGGGGCTCTGGGTATTGCTCACAGCCCCCAAATCCCTTCTCTTTCCTAGAGGTCCCTCGTGCCTCCTCTCTTGCTGAGGGAAGGCTCACAGAAGGGCTCCACTGATCCCCAAGACCCTAAAGAAGAAGCAACTGCAGTGCTGTGGGAAGGGTCCCCAAGACATCGCCTGTGTCCCAGCCCAGCAAGTCCTGGGATGCAGGCTCCATTAGGGCCTTAAAAAATTCAGTGAATCGATCTCCTGCCTGCCTCTTGTGCCCTGGGGAGCCGCAGGCACTGGCTTAGCCCAGCTGTCTGCCCACCCTGGGGGGATAGCAGGGATTGGTGAGATAGGGAGGGGTTCAGAGCAGAGGTGGGGCAGCCAGGTTCTGGCAGCAAAGCCCATGGGCAGGCATGCCAAGACCCACCGGGGGTGTTTGCACATATGTGCCCATCCGCCCTGGCACAGCTGGCATGCCTGACCCCAGCTGGAGCCGTGGCTGTGGGACTGGGGCAGCACCAAGGGCCAGAGGGAATGGGCCAGGGCCTGGGTCTTAGGGTTCTGAGGGACACACGGCTACGCCCTGAGAATGGGTCCATCTTTGCCCATGGACACCAGGGACCTGGGTCCCAGCCTGCCTGGGGGTAGTGGTGGCGGCAGCAGTGGGCACACTGCGGTAGACTCTGGGGCATTCACTGCAGGGAGAGAGGGAGAGAGGTTGGGCTGGAGGAATTTTAAAGATTGCTGCAGGCAGGAGGGTCTCTGGAACCCTGTGGAGCGGGCAGTCATGCAGAAGTAATCCTATCGCTGCCTGCCTGGAGGAGTGGAGGGGGAGGGGAGGGACGGAGCTGCTCCCCCTTCCCCACCTCAGCCCCTGCCCCAGCCAGCCCTGGAGGGAGCCCGGGACCCTAGGGGCCTTCCCTGAGGAGACACCGTGTCTACTCCGTTCCACCGAGGCCTGTGTCCCCTGGAGGGGCAGCACCGCAGCTGTTGCTCAGCTCCTTGCTCTGGGTTTTATAAATAATGCAGCTCGGAGGTGGGGCCAACTCTGCCCCTGGTCACCTTGGGTCACCCAGTATGGAACCTCCAGCTGGCAGGCCTTTGGCAGAGCCCCTCTCCCGTCCAGCCTGCGCCTCCTCGTCTGCTGTGTGAGCTTGGGCCAGGGGCCCAAGCCTCTCTGAGCTGGGCCCGAGGTAGAGGAGTGCGGAAGAACCCAGAAACCCTGGGTCCTTTCGTCCCACCCCCAGCCCTCACAGGTTAACCGGCAGCCGGCTCAGCCAATCCAGGCTAGAGAGGGATGACCTGTCTACAGGGGCCTCCTGCGTTCCGGCCCCTCCATTTTGCAGATGGAGCAACCGAGTCCAGAGGGGTGCAAGGGTGGTCAAGGCCAGCCAGCTGGGGAGCCCCCTCCTTCCTGCCCCATTCTGCTGTCACTCAGGCTCTTCTCAGCCTCAGCTCAGCTAAGAGCAGGGCCTGGGGGGGGGAGGGCGGGGGATGTTTGGGAAAGTGGTTGCGGCTGAGAGGTTGCCATGGCGATGCTGCAGGATGCCGAGCTGAAGTGGGGGTCCCACAGGGTCTCTGGGGCCCCCAGCTCCGCACCCCTGTGGTCTTCTCCTCCCCATCTCCTGTCCCCCACCCAGATGTCTGTCAGGCGGCTCCGGTGACAGGCTGGGTGGGTGACAGGTGGTGCAGGTGATGGGCTGGGTGGGTGACGAGCTGGGTGGGTGACAGGTGGTGCGGGTGCGAGGCAGGCAGGTGACAAGCTGGGTGGTGACGGGCTCTGTGGATGACAGGCAGGGGGTGTGGTTGGCGAGGATGCTGTCTCCTGGCTGGTGGCCTGTTGCAGCCCCCTACCCTCATGCGTGTGCACACACATAGACTCTGGGCTCAGAGCTTGGGGCTAAGATACTAATGAGGCTTATTACTTGTGGAGGGGCAGGTGCCTAGGCTCACTAATGAGAGGCCTTTAACAAATAGGGGAGACAGCTAGGGGGCTTCGAGGAATTCGGCTGGCCCTTCTGGGCTGAGACCCTGGGGGTCCTGACCTGGCTCAAGGATGAAGCTGGATCGCCTCCAGCCAGGTCGGGGATCCCTCTTCCCCCTTCTCCCTGGCCACTGGATTTATGTTAATACTAACCACAATTATGATCGCTACCATTGTTCAAGCACTTATTATGTGTCAGGCACTGTGCCAAGGCCTTTGCATGCATTTTCTCATTTCAACTCAACAGTCCTAGGAGAGAGGCACTATTACCCCATTTTACAGATGGGGAATCTGAGGCTGAGAAAAGGCACAGGACTTCATATAACAAGTTACTGGTGCAGCTAGGGCATTAATCCGGGTCTGTATGTCCCTAGAACATGTGCTCTTAACCACCCCACCAGTAAAACTCAGGTCTTGGTGCAGACTCCAGATCCTCTCTCAGGGACTGGAAAATGGGCATGTGGTGGAGGGGTGATCACCATAAACTCTTCAGCTCTGACTTGGGTGGCTGTGAGGACTCCTCCAGGTAGCTGCTGTGACCTTACCCCATCTGGGCCAGATTCTGGACAGAGGGCAGGGCCTAATGCTAAGGGGGGTGAGCCGAAAGGTGGTCACCTGGGATATCTGAGCCACTTTCTGCATTGTGCAGTGGGAAGGCTGAGGCCCAGAGAGGAGCAGTCACCACCCAAGGTCACACACCCTGTGAGCTGCAGGGCCCCGTGGGATCCCAGGTCTCCTGGCCTCTTGAAAGGGCAGGGCTGGGTGTGGTGCCAGAGCGGGGAGGCTACCTCCTCCTGGGCCCCACCCACCAGCCTAGTTTCCTCCCTGGATGTTGTGAGCACCCAGCTTCTAGGAGGGTGCAGGGGTCTGTTGGCAGACTCCTTAGGGCCATGCTCCCTCCCCATCAATCTGAGCCCCTAGTGTCAGTTGTGCCGCTCCCTTTGGAACCCATTGGGGTGGAAACTCCCTGGCAACAGCTGATGGATGGGTTAGGGCTTTGACATTGGCCTGGGGCCACAGCATGGCCCTGGAGGGACCAGGCTGGGGCTGGGAGGTGGGGGTTGGAGGGGAATTTAAGGGAAAAGAATTAGGCTCATAAATCATGGAGCATCTCGTTTCTCCTCCTCAACCTTAGTCTCTTAGCAAACCTGCTCTCCAACTGCTCATCCAAGGTGCTGGGGGTTGAGGGAGCCCACCTGCCTGTTCCCCACTCCCTCCAGCTGATGCTCATCCCCTCCGGAAATTGCACCCTCCCACGAGAAAGAAAGAGCTGCAGCCACTATTGCTAGGCAGCATTAAGACAAGTCCAGATGACTGGATTTTGCCTCTGACTCATTGTGATGAGTAGGGCGGAGGGCTTCACTGCCTCAGTTTCCCCAACTTTGGACCTTAAATCCTCTCCTGATGCCTCTCAGCCCAGCCAGGAAGGAGAGCTAAGACCAAGAGGGATTTAACAGATGCAGGACACACAGCCTTGTCCTCAGACCCCCCAAGTCTGAGAGAAGCAAAACACTCACCTTGAGAGCCCTCGGACTTGGAGGTGAGGTGCAGAACCCAGGCTGGGTGTGTGCTGAGGGGTGGTGGGGGTGGGTGGTGCTGGGTGGCTGGCCTGGGAATACTTTCTTAAGCTAAGGCTGGGGCTTAGGGGAGGCCAGAGGAAGGGTAATAGTTTGCCTGGGGGTGCTGGGAAGCCATCTTTGGTTGGGAGGTGTGGGCCTGGAAGGGTCTGGCCTTCCCACAGGCCCAGGCAAACAGTAGGTTGGAGTTGTGGGCCTCCCCGCCCAGCTCCCCAGGGAACTCGCTGCTGCCTGGCCCCAGGGACCCAGGCATCCTGGCGGGTGAGGGCGGGTCTCCAGCAGGCGCGCTGCCAAACCCCGCAGCCTGCTCACCAGGAATCTTGTTGCTGAGAGATGGAAAATCCCGGCCGGGGCCTGCAGCTCATCCCTCCCCTCCAGGAGAAGGAGGGGCCCGAAGAGTCCTTCCTGTACCCCCAGCTCTCATCTCAGGGCAGGGCTCTCCTCAGCAGTGGGTGGGGCAGGGGGCCCAGGACAGGCCTCTAAGGCCCAGTCACATGTCCTGGAGCCCTGCCCAGCCCACAGTGGGCACTAGGGCACTCTGGAGGCAGAATGAGCCTGGTGCAGCAGAGGAGGGGGTGGGGGTGCTGAGGGCAGAAGGCGGCCTGGGTGGGGGCCGGTGCCTGGCCCTGGCCCCACTGGCTCCCCCAGGGCGGAGGGTGAAGGGTTGGTTCTCTCCTTGGACAGGAAGACGAATGATCCCATTATGGGAGCGTGATTTTATTCCACGTGTCACAGAGTCTGAGATTAACTTGCTCACCAGTCTGTGACAAACCCCTCACACCCAACACACAGATACAGACACACACATATCCTTGGTCTCACAAACATCACACAGACCTAGATAAGCATCTCCATACTACAACACATGGCATAGTCTCCCATACAGAAACACAAGCACACGCTTAGATACACCGAAGCCTAGACCCACAGTCTCAAAAGCACAATGTGCCCTCACTCACACCAAGGCCGCATGGACCCACAAATGCAAACAGTAGTCCAGCAGGATGCTGGCACTCTGTACTTAGACATGCATGGAGTCTAGGACACACATAGACACCCACAAAACCAGACACTGCCATGCAGACAGGCATAGATCACCAGCCACACACACTGAGACAAAGGCCCAGAAACATATAGAGACAAAGACAGGCACAGACACACAGCCAGTGGTACTCACACGAGCACAGGCGTGCACACCCGGACACAGACAAAGACAAAGAAATGCCCAGAGGTTTTACTGTGGACAGATGTAGAGGCACACGCACATCTGGGCCTCGTCCTCGACCTCCCTGCCTAGGGACATGGTAATCTGGCGCCTGTGGCTCCAGGGAGGACTCTGAGGAATCTTCTGCTCTGTCAGAACCCCCCACCCTGGGCCCAGGGCCAGCCCCCACCTCTGGCACCAGGCCTGTGGTCGAGGCCATGGCAGCTGCACCCTCAGCAGAGCCCTGAAACCTCTTACCTACCTTCCCCACTGGTCACACTCACAGGGACACCATCTCCTCATGCACATGTTCACAACAACAGCCCCCCCATACATAGTTTCTCACTCACTCACCCTTCCTTCATGTGTTCCCTCTTGTCTTTCTCAATCACTCCCTCCTAGCAGAAGTGCACAACCTCCATCATGTACACACACGGCATCCTGTGCACACACAGCCTTCCTCACACACACCCATACATACCCAAGCCGTCATGGCATGCGTACACAGCCCCCCTACAAACACACACGTACATGTTTGCATACTTCCCTGCCTTCTCACACAGGCCAATTCACAAATGCAGCACACACATGCGTCCTCACCTCTTCTTGCCCATGTGCACACACACACACTGAGAGCCTCCCTCACACCATCATTTTCCTTCCTCTGTCTCTCATAAACACTCTCTCTGCCAAGAGTGTGGCCTGCTGCAGATTAGCCCTGACGGTATTTGTTACTGCTCTTCACCATGTCCTTGCCCTTCCTGGCCTCAGTCTCTCCCCGTCTATCTCCGGCCCTGCCTGCTGTGGCCTTGTATTCTTTTGTCATTCCTCTGTTTAGTCAGCAGGTCTATACAGAGCATTCATTGATTCATTCAACAAATATTGATTGAGCATTGATGATGAGTTAAGCCCTGGGGATACTGTGGTGACCAAGATGGACATGAGCCCTTCCCTCACAGGCTCTCAGTTTTGTGACCAGCCTATTTGTTGCCTGTCTCTTCCAACTCCATTGTAAAGTAACCCTTGATCTTGGATGTTGAGAGATGTGTAGGAATTCATAAGAGGAAGCGTGGAAGGGTGTTCCAGGCAGTGGGAATAGCATATGCAAAGCCTGAAAGTGAATCAAGTGTGTTATGCTGAGAAAACGGAGGGACGTTCACAGACCAGAGGAGACACTGCAAAGAGGCCAGAAGGCAGATGTCACGGCGTGCAGATGCCATGCTCTGGGGCTTCAGTTTTATCCAGTGGGCTTCAAGGGGTTATGGGAAATCTTTGCTGGCAGGACCAGGGGAGGGAGAGACTGGAGGCAGGAAGGCTAGTTGAGGGGCTTTGGAAGTGCAAGTGGGAGATGATGGTCTAACCTAGAAGTGGTGAGTAGGATGGAGAGGAGATTCAATTAGGGTTAAGGATCAGTGGGGTTCCAGTTCCTGAGCTGAGTGACCTTAGGCAAGTCATACAACCTCTATGAGCAAGGTTCGTCGTGCAAGGATGGGGTAGTACAGGTGTTGGGCTTGTAGTAGCTGCTCAATAAATAATAGCCATTATTGTCAGTTATCACTTGGACATGGGGGGACATCAGATGAAGAGATTTACTGAGCATCTTCTGAGGGCTGGGTACTGTGCCAGCTGCTGGGGCCCAGACTCTTTTCTTAGTCTACAGAAAGCTCACCTGATAACCATATCACACAGACAGCAGAGAGTGAGTCTTCACCTTCACCTCCACCCCAGAAGCTTAAAGGAAATTGTCAGGGTTCTGGGTGGCTCATGGAGGAACTGGTATTGAGCTGGCTGGTAGAATTTGGGCAGGGAGAAGTTGGGGAAGGAGCTTCCAAGCAAGCTAGGTGAACAGCAAGGCCGAGGGCAGGAACTGAGGTTGGTTGAGGTCTAACCAGTTGCTGCGTAGGACAGAAGGGAAAGTTGTGGAACGGGCCTATGGAGGCGAGGCCTCAGAGGCTAGGCTGGGAGAGGGCAGCATGGAACTGAGCCGCCCTCTGAAAATCCAGTGTTGTAGTGTGACATGGAATGTACCCCTTAGAGAGTCAGCTTCAGGCTCTCCTACTAGGTCACTGGGTGACCACAAACAAAATGCCTTGTCTTCCCCGGCCTCAGTTTCCCCATCTGTGCAATGAGCCGATTAGTCTTGTGTAGGAGGGAATTCTGGCATCACGTCCTAGGGGTTGGTTGGTCTAGCCAACTGGGTCAGGCATTTTTCTGGCTTGGGATTCTGGGCCTCAGCAGTACTTTCTTCCAGAGCATCCTAAGCCAAAAGTGGAGGAAAGTGAGGGGTCCTCAGAGATGGATTTTGGGGCACTCCAAATGAGGGGCCAGGGCCTCAGCACAGAAGAGGGGGGTCTTGCCGAGACCTGACTCCAAGCCCCAGAGGGGACCCAGAAGAGAGGACCAGGGTGCCTCTTTTCTTCTGCTCTGACCTGTGTGGTGGTAGATGTGGCCCAGTGTCCAACCCCCCGACCTAGAGGGTGTCAGGACCCTTCCTGCCCACTGACTGGGGAGCAGGGCTTGGAGTGCCCTGGGGATAAGGAGCCAGGAGGCCAATCTGGGGTGGCAGAGCCAGGTGGGTGCCTATGGGTAGCTGGGCTCTGCCTTTGATATTTGGGGTTGCCGGGAGTTGTGGTGTAAGGCAGGTTTTGGTGACACACGCCTCCAGCCCAAGCTGCCCTGGATCCTGGCTTCAAGGGCCCCTTTAAGCATCTCACCTGTGAGGTAGGGCTAGGAGAGAATTAATTTCCTGTGCTATTTTAATTTTGCTGTATTTAATCTGCTGTTTATTTTAATTAATTAATGACGGGTAATCGCCTATCATAACCTACTGCCGCTGGCTCCTCTTCCTTTTCAAATGGGTGGAAGGCTGGGCCAGGTGATTGCCGGGTTAGCTGTGGGGGAGAGGGAGGTCCTTGGAGGCCTGTCCCTCTCCCCTTCTGCCTGTCTCATCCCAGGGGTCCTCTCCACCAGGGGTCCTCTCCTCCCATCTCACCTGTGGCTCCTCCTTTCCCTCCCTCTTCTCGCCCAGGTCTGCTTCAGGGCCTTGGAAGTAGTGACTGTGGCAATGAGGGGCCTGACCTGAGGCCCCTGCCTGTCTCTCAAGAAACAGTATTTTGATGTCATAGGATGGTAGTTGGAAGGATGGGGAGCTTGCCTTGGATGGCGCTTAGGCACCCTTGGGGAAACTTTTGAAGTTGGGGGTCAGTTTTTAACAGCAGCTCCTTTCCCCTCTCCCCCACCCCAGTGCCCAGACAGCATGCCCATCCACATTGTCGGGCCTGTGGGACACCAGCATGTCTTAGTATCTATGGACATATCCGGGGGTATGATTTCAGTTATTCATTAATCCCTAGGACAGACCTCCAGGGGGATTAACCCCTTGTATAGAGGAGATGGCTGAGGCTCAGAGAGGCTAAGTAACTTGCCCAGGGTCACATAGCAACTAAGCAGCAGGGCCTGAATTCTGGCCACAGTCTGATTGCATGGAAAGAGTTAACAGTTGGAGGAAGGGGAGGGGAAGTGGCTTGAGGACTAGGGTGGGGGGATTAGGTCAGAAGACTGATTAGGCCGGGAAATGGGGTCCTCTGCCTCTGGAGGATGTGGGGAGGAGGAGGGGGTCCCTGCCACAAGGGGCTTCTCGAAGGTGTGCAGTCTCTGCTACCTCTTCCCGTTTCCTTGTGTGTCTTCAGTTATCTGTTTGGAACAGGGGCTTTGTCACTAGCTCTGTACCCTACCACAGGAACCTTTCTAGAGCTAGGTGGAGCTCAACTTTTATTTATTTAACAAACATGTATATAGTGTTTACTATGTTCCAGATACTATTCCAACTTTATAAACAGATCTTCACTTAATTATTATTGCAGCCCTTTTATTAGTGTCTTTGTTTCATATATCAGAAAACTGAGGCATAAAAAGGTAAAGTGACTTGCCCAAGGTCACACAGTCAGTATGTGGTGGAGCCGCCCTTTGAACTTGGAAGGCTAGGATCCAGAGTCCTTGTTTGTTCATTTGTTCCTTCTTTTTTTTTTTTTTTTTTTTTTGAGACAGGGTCTTACTCCTGTTGCCCGGGTTGGAGTGCAGTGGAGCAGTCACGGCTCACTGCAGCCTCGACTTCCCAGGGTCAGGTGATTCTCTTCTCAAGTAGCTGGGACTACAGGTGTGCACCACCACACCTGCCTAATTTTTTGTGTTTTTAGTAGAGACGAGGTTTTGCCATGTCGCCCAGACCAAGTAGCTGGGATTACAGGCGCCTGCCACCACACCCGGCTAATTTTTGTATTTTTAGTAGAGACAGGGTTTTACCATGTTGGCCGGGCTGGTCTCGAACTCCTGACCTCAGGTGATCTGCCCACCTCGGCCTCCCAAAGTGCTGAGATTACAGGTGTGAGCCACCACGCCTGTCCTGTCCTGCCCCCTTGATGCCCTAAGTAGGAGATGGGAGCCCTGAATTCCTGGGGGATAAGGCATCTCTGGGGAGCCTCTAGTCTAGGCCGAAGGGGAGACCTAGCCCTGCCCTTCCCAACACTAAGTTTGATGGGGTGATAAGGCAGAGTGCTGTGGGGGAAACAGGCAGAGTGTCAGGCTGTGCCTCGCTAGGAGTGTGCAGATCAGTGGTTCAGAAGCCTCTATAGAGCACAGCTCACCCCGCTACAGTGCTGGCCACCAATGGGAGAGGTGGAAGGGTTGGCCTCAGAGAGCTTGCTGCCCAACTAACTGGAAAAACAAGGCTGATAGGTGTGGTCAATTCTCAACAGTGGGATAAAACAATAAGAGAAAAACATTGCAAAAAAATCATGTCATTTAAAGAATTTGGGCTTTGAATCCTGTGTGTCCTTAGTTACTTGACTCCTCTCTGAGCCTCAGTTTCCTCACCTGTTGAGGGGAAATAATAATGGCATTGATGCTATAGGGTTTTGTGAGGCTCAAATGAGATAAAACATGAAGGTTTAGCTTTGGAGCAGGGGCTCAGTGAGCATCCATCTAGATGCTAAGATCCAATACCTGGAGAAAGAAAGGGTCCCTCCCTGGGGTTGGCATCAGAGCAGATAAGGATGGGAATGGTGAGGATGGAATGGGCAGTGAGCGTCCCGACTTTGGAGTCAGACGGCTTGGGTTTAAATCCCAGCCCCTGGGAGCTGCTTTCCCTCTCTGGGCCTTGATTTCCTTGTCTGTAAAATGAGTATAATACTAGTTCTCCTCTCCTCCATAGGGTGTTGTGAGGATTAAATTAGCTAATTAATTTATTCAACAACTAATATGAAGCACCTGCTGGGTGCCAGACATGTTTCCAGTCACTGCAGATCATAAGGGGTCATGTTAGCAATCTTATTGTTACCACCATAATCTGGAAAGAGGGGACAACTGCTTGGGAAGGAGGCAGAGAGGAGGCTGAAGCCTTCAGAATGGAGATAAGTGAAATGATAAGATGCTATAGAAATAATAAAGAGCTGATACTTAGTGGTTACTATGTGCCAGGCACATTTGCTCATGAAGCAGGGGCTCATATTATCCTTATTTCACAGATAGGAATCGGGTTCAAAGAGGTACAGTGACATGCCCAAGGAAACACAGCTAATAGGGAGAGGGTGGAGCTGCAGTGTGAGAGACTCAAAAGCCACACTATTAGTCACAAAGCTTTAAACCTGATTAAGAGACGGGTTAGGGGTGAGGGCATTGATCCAGCAGAGGAAGGAGGGAGAGACCTGGCCAGGAGAGGGACAGGGGGAATAGAAAGGAAGGACAGAGGTGGGCAAGGCCTTCAACTTCAGGAAACAATTAGAGAATGAACCAAATCAACATACACTCCCCGAGTGGGTTTTCTCAGCAATAAACAACAAGACATGAGCTCAGGGAAGGGAACAAGTGAAGTCTGGAGGGAGGGCTTCCCAGAAGAGGTGAATCTTGAGAAATGGGTAGTTGAAAGAGATGGGGGAGCCAGAGCATGCCAGGCAGGGTGCCGGGCACCAGCAAAGGCCCTGAGGTGAGAATGAACGCGGCTTAGGGCTCAGAAGTGGGAGGAAATTGCTGAGTGAGATCAGGATGAGGATTGGGAGGGCTGGTGGCCTCAAGGACATAGGGAGGGTGACAGATTCGAGAGGCTTAGCTAATGTAGAAATAGAAATAAACGGCCAGGCATGGTGGCTCACGCCTGTAATCCCAGCACTTTGGGAGGTTGAGGTGGGCGGATTACCTGAGGTCAGGAGTTCGAAACCAGCCTGGCCAACATGGTGAAACCCCATGTGGTGGCAGGCACCTGTAATCCCAGCTACTCGTCAGTCACTTGAACCCAGGAGGCGGAGGTTGCAGTGAGCCGAGAGTGCGCTATTGCACTGCAGCCTGGGTGACAGAGGAAGACTCCGTCTCAAAAAAAAGAGAAATAGAAATAAACCCCCATCTGGACAGAAACTACAGTATAGTGATCAAGAAGGCAGGCTCTGCAGTCCAATCCTAGCTAAGTTGTGTCCCACCATGTGAACAGGGCAAGTCAACTGAACATCGCATCTCCAAAACACAGGGTCATCAAAGTACCTGACCCCTCCGATGAGATGCTCTGTGAGGAGTGCTTAGCACAGTGCCTGCCATGCAGTAAGCACTTGACTCATGCATTCATTCCTTAACCATCAAGTGCACACTTGATGTCAGGCACTTTTCTAGGACACACAGCAGTGAACAAAACAGACACAAATCCCTGCCCTCAAGGAGCTTACATTTAGAGGGTAAAACAGACAGTTAATGTAAAAACAAGTGAAATAAATGGTCGTTAGATGGTGATATGTACCAAGGAGGAAAATGAATCAGAGAAGGGGCATTGGGCATGCCCACATTACAGGGTTACTGCAGTTTTAAATCAATGTACAGATGGAGGCTGTTGTTACTCTTATTTGTATAGCAGGTTTTAGTAGAAAAAGCACCTTCCAGTTTACAAGGCAGTTATTCCTTGTGAGAATCAAGTGAGATACAGGTATTGCCATCCCAATTTTATAGATAAGGACAGTGTGGCTTGAAGACAACAATCTGACTGAGTCAAGAGTCATGACTTTGAGGACAGTGCTATACCTGCTAACTCCCTGTGGGATTCGCTGTTCTGTTCCTGAAAGTCTAGAGGATAGATGAAAAGAGATGATGGGAATTGGAGGGGTGTGGGCAGTGCCGAGGTGGGTCAATGTCCAGGGATGGAGCTGCGCTGGAGAGCAGGGGCAGAGGCCTGTTTCCTGGAGCCAAGCCTGGCCAGCTTCTGCTGGTCTGGCGGAATCAGGGTGAGTTCAGAGGTTGGCTGGACCCAGAGGCAATCCCAAGGGCATAGCAGGGGAGGCCTGAGACACTGTGTGATTGAGCAAAGGGGCAGAATCTGTCCAGAACGGAGTGAGTGTGTGGGTGGTGTTGAGACTCAGGGGAGGGGAAGAGAGGAGAGGAAGAAGTCAGCCCCGCTGACCAGATGAGAGAGAACAGCCAGGAGGTTGGTGGGGCCAAAGCTGGCTCTGAAGGCCCCTGAATGTCAGGCTAAAGACCTTGGCCTTGATGTTGTCGTCAGCAGTAGGGAGCTGTTAAAGGTTTCAGGGCAGACACGCAGAGTCATGAGAATGGGATTTGAGGAAGATGTAGCTAGCTCGAGGTGGAAGAGATTCAGAGGAGGTGACTGGAGGTGGGGGAGCCCACCAGGAAGCTGTCATGGCCAAGTAGGTGAGACATGATGAGGTCAGATCAGAGAGACCACTTGGACTGGAGGAAGGAGTAGGGCCTGGGAGAGGATACCCCTGGGTTCTGGCCTTGGATCTGCCCAGATTTTCTGAGGGTCCCTTCTTTATTACACACCTCTATTTTCCCATTTGGATTGAACTAAAGGCGTGCCTGCCTTTTTTTTTTTTTCTCTTGGTTACCATTTTGGCTAAGGACCCATTTTGAGAAGATGATGAGACCTAGGGGCTTTCTCTCCAGAAAAATTTTTTTTAAAAATATATTTTTTTAAAGTTTTGAGCCTGGGCAACATAAAAAATTAAGTAGCCAGGTGTGATGGCACATGCCTATGGTCCCAGCTACTTGGGAGGCTGAGGTGGGAGGATTGCTTGGGCCCAGGAGGTTGAAGCTGCAGTGAGCTATGATCACGCCACTACACTCCACCCTGGGATACAGAGCGAGACCCTGTCTCAAAAACAAAAACAGGCGGGACGTGGTGGCTTACACCTGTAATCCCAGCATTTTGGGAGGCTGAGGTGGACAGATCACCTGAGGTCAGGAGCTCGAGATCAGCCTGGCCAACATGGTGAAACCTCGTCTCTACTAAAAATACAAAAATTAGCTGGGCATGGTGGCATGCACCTGTAATCCTAGCTACTCGGGAGTCTGAGGCAGGAGAATCGCTTGAACCCGGGAGGCGGAGGTTGCAATGAGCTGAGATGGCACCACTGCACTCCAGCCTGGCGACAGAGCGAGACTCCATCTCAAAAAAAAAACCCAAGTTTTTGGTTGGTTAAAATGTTGTGAGGTTTATAAACCTGTGAAGTCCATCTATGGAACTAAGCTAGATGATCAATAGTAATAAAAATAGCAGCTAGCATTAAATGCTTATTATGTGCCAGGCACTGGGCAGAGCAATATACCTCATGATCTTGTTAAAGCTATACAACAACCTGTGAAATAGTTACCATTTTACAGACGAGAAAACTGAGGAGGCCTAGAGAGATGAAGTGGCTTGCCCAGTCAGGGTTGGAAGTTAAGCCTGGGCTTGTCAGATCCAGACCCTGAGATCTTAACCACAAAGGTTAGCCAAGGATTCTAGGATTCAGGAAGAAGAAATGGCAGGGAAGGGGACAGGTATGGGAGGGTTTTCAAAGAAAGCCGTGGAGATAGCAGAGCAGGAGAAAAGGGAAGAGGGGTAGTGGTGCCAGCTCAGCTCTGAGGAGAGACGACGCATCAGGTAGTTGGAGGTAAGGGGCTGGAGATGCGGATTTCATTTAGAGCCCCCTGGCCTGGCTTCCAGAGGGCTTGGTATCTGTCCCACATGACCCCCAGCTAAGTGACCTGCTCTGGAGCCTGCTGGGAAGGGGTGGAGGTGGGGCCACTCTATCTCTTGGCCTCATTATATTTTGCCCCCTTGTTCTGGAAGGGCTTACCCCTAACTCTTTGACTCAGCCTCCAGTGCTGTCTCTGGAATCTACCCTCCCTCCCACATCCCAAGGCCATCAAGAAGGGCCCATGGGCCTTGATCTCTCTAGGGGAGTTAAGAAGTAGAGACACCCTTTCCATCCCAGAGAGGAGTCCTGGGGCCCATCTGCCGAGATCAGAGTAGGATTTGGAACCCAAGCACCAGGGAACCAATGTTAGGCTCTGGTTTTAGATCCTGGCGGGCAGCACTGTCTAGAACCACAGCAGGAGGTGATCTAGATTAGACTAGGCCATGGTCTTGGGCTGGAATCTAAATTTATAGTGGGTTGGATTTGTTGCTCATCTAAAATGGTCATTCTGGAAAGTAAAAATTTTAGACTTTGTAAGCATTCAGTCTCTGTCATGAGTAGTACTTAACTCTGCCATTGCACCTTGAAAGCAGTCATAGACAGTGCATAAGCGAATGAGCATGGCTGTGTTCCAATCAAACTTGAATTATAAAAACAGACAACAGGCCATGGACCATAGTTTGCCAACCTCTGATCTAGAACCTTATTCCTCCTGAGGGGTGTGTAGATTTTAAACCTAATTAGACAGTGATCTAAGCAAACAATGTTGACATGTCAGGCTGGAACCTAGATCCATGGCAAGTTAACATGAAAGGTGATCTATAGTCACACTCTTGCTGGGATCTAGATATTGGGGATTGATGAACAAGAAATGCACTAAATAGTGTGTATAAAGCAGACTAAGCCATCATCTCTGGCTGAACCTAGATTCACGGAAAACTGGGGTGGGGTGGTGTGGGGTGGTGAGATTTAGACTAACACATAAGGCTGTGGTCTAGATATGAGAAAGTGAGTGAGCTAAAGTCACACAGATACGGATCCAGAGAAGGCAAAGCTTTAGTCCAAAGCCAGAACCCACAAGACCTAGAACACCAGCCTGGGCAACGTAGTGAGGCCCTGTCTCTACAAAAACGTTAAAAAGTTAGTTGGGCATGGTAGCATGTAGTCCCAGCTATGCAAGAGGCTGAGGTGGGAAGATTGAGCCCAGAAGATTGAGGCTGCAGTGAGCTGTGATTATACCGCTGCACTCTAGCCTGAGTGACAAAGCCAGACACTGTCTTAAAAAAAAAAAAAAAAAAGATTTAGAACAGGACTATCCAGTAGACACATAATAGAAGCCATATATGTGTCCGGGTGTGGTGGCTCACGCCTGTAATCCCAGCACTTTGGGAGGCCGAGGCAGGTGAATCACAAGGTCAGGAGTTCAAGACCAGCCTGGCCAACATAGTAAAACCCCGTCTCTACTAAAAATACAAAAAATTAGCTGGGCATGGTGGCAGGCACCTATAATCCCAGCTACTCGGGAGTCTGAGGCAGGAGAATCTCTTGAACCTGGGAGGTGGAGGTTGCAGTGAGCCGAGATAGCGCCATTTCACTCCAGCCTGTGCGACAGTGTAAGACTCCGTGTCAAAAAAAAAAAAGAGAAGCCACATATGTAATTTAAAATTTTCAAGTAGCCACATTAAACAAAGTAAAAAGACATAAAAGGAAGTAAGTGGAATTAATTTTAACAATTTATCTTTCTTTTTTTTTTTGAGAGGGAGTCTTGCTCTGTTGCCCTCACTGGAGTGCAGTGGCACAATCTCAGCTCACTGCAACCTCCACCTCCCGAGTTGAAGCGATTCTCCTGCCTCAGCCCCCCAAGTAGCTGGGATTACAGGTGCCCACCACCACACCCAGCTAATTTTTGTATTTTTTGTAGAGATGGGGTGTCACCGTGTTGGCCAGGCTGGTCTCGAACTCCTGACCTCAGGTGATCCACCCACCTCGGCCTCCCAAAGTGTGGGATTACAGGCATGAGCCACTGTGCCTGGCCCAACAATTTATCTTATATAACCCAATATATCCAAAGTACTAGCATTTTAATGTATAAGCCTTATAAAAATTATTAATGAGGTATTTTATATTTAAAAAATACATTAAGACTTCAGAATCTGGTGTATATTTTGTACTTACAGCACATTCCAGTTCTGACTAGCCACACTCACATGTGGCTAGTGGCTACCATGTTGGACAGCACAGATTTAGAAACAGGCTTTTCTTTGGGACCAGGGTCCAGAGGAGTTATGAGCCAGAATAATCTGGAACAAGTAGGGTTGTACTCGCCAGAGGTTACACCCTTAGCAGACTTGAACTGGGTGTAGTCTGACTGCCTGGGAGAACATCTGGGCTGTGGGCTGGGGAGTCAGGGGTTCCCTCCCCTGGAGTCTTAACTCCCTGGCCTCAGGTGGAATCTCTGTTGGGGCTCTGGCCTCTCAGGGTATTCAGTATCACCTCTGAGCACTGGCCCCCAGTTCCTGTCCCTTATCCCAGTGTCACCTCAGTCTTGTCTGGCCTGGCAGGTCAGGGGGAGGGGAGCAGGGTGGCAGCTGGACCCTTGAGAGAGCAGGAGCTCCACCCCTCCGAGCCAGCTGCTGCCAGCCTTCCTGGACTGACTCTGTGGAAACAGGGGGCCCAGAGACAGAAATAAACTGCCAGGTTTCCGGGGCGGAGTGGGGGGCCTGCCAGTCTTTGTGCTTCCTTGCTTGGGAGTGGGGGGAGCAGGAAGCAGCTCCAAGCCCTGTCCTAGGCTGTTCCCCCTGTATGCCATCTCCCCTCACCCCCAGATGCCCCTGCCCCCATGGCTCTGAGGCTAGGCTGAGTCTAGAATTTGATGGATTAGTGAAACCTAGGGGCCCATAGTCTGGGACTGACACTTGGGAGCAGAGAGTGGTCCTTAGGACTCTGGTCCCAGCTTGGTGCCCATTTCTAGAATCCTGTCCTGGGGGCCCCTCTAGCTGCCGCACGGCAGGAGCTGAACAGATTCAGAGGGCTGCAGTGGGGCAACCGACCAGGAGCTGAATGATTTGTATTGGATGCCCACGTCTGTCATTCACTGGCCAAAGGCAATTTTCTTTCCTCATTTATGATCCTATCCCCGGGTCTCAGGAGGGATGACTGTGTCCTCCCATCCCTTCCTCTTGGGCCTAAGCTTCCCCATCCGTTGTGGGATTTGGACTGTGAGCTACTGGAGAGGGAGTGAGGGACAGGGACAGAGTAGCCAGGAAGAATGTTGAGGGATGCTGTCTGAAGCTGCTGGCTTTGTGACAGGGGCGCTGTCACCAGTGCAAGGTAGGGTACTGGTCTCTGTGTTCATGTCATGACGGTGGGTGCTGGCGTTGGGGGGTGTGGGCAGGCGGTGAGCACTGGGATGCACTGTATATATGTGTGTGTGTGAGGTGCTAGACTCAGGATGGCCAGTGCCTAGACAGGGCCAGGGTCACGGGTCACCACATGCCCAAAAGCAGCCTCCACTGTTGTAAGGGTGACACTGGTGTGATCCCCCCATGTCCCTACGGGTAGATGGAGGTGGGAATGGCCCCAGTGGAGCTGTTGAGAACAGCCCCTCATGCCTGGAACTGGGACCAGAGCAGAAGGGGTCCCCAGGGACTGCCTGAAAGGGAGGAGGGAAGCAGCAATGCTTGTCCTGCCTGTGTCAGGGTGAACACTGTGTTCAGTGGTTAACGGGTTCTGGAACCAGAGTTTTTCTGACTTTAGGCTCTGACATTGTGTGACCTTTGGTGGGTCACTTAACCTTCGTGAACTTCAGCTTTCTCATTAACAAAAAGGGGATAATATTACCTACTTTATGGAGGCCTTATAATTGAGTTAGCGCATGCTAATAATGCAGGGCAGGTGCCCTGTGTTAGCAGTGACCATTGGGTAGTCGCTAGGCACAAATAGGTGGTCAGTGAAAACGCATTGTTCAGATGTCCGGACGCTTTCCCTGCAGAGGGCCTTTTCAGACCCCTTCGTTTTAATAAGGAAAACGGAGGCCCCCAATTGTGACAGCGTTTTGCCCAAGGAGAGGCACACAGCAAACAAAACCTTTATATGGCACCTACCCTATAAAGCCGGGTAGCTCAACCCCAATTTACAGGTAAGGAAATCGAGGCCTGTGATTGGCCGCCGGTTCACGGTGGCGCTATCCAGTTAGGCCTCAGTCCGCCGCTGCGGAGGGAGCGCCGGGCCGCCAGTGCTCTCTGCAGGAGGGGCGTGCAGGTAGCGGGCGCCCTGGAGCCACTGCCCGAGCCAGGCACGCTATTAATAACCCCGCCACTCAGCCGCGTCCGAGAGCGCAGGTCCGGACCGCTGCCGGGCGCCTCCAGTCCCCGGGCCGGGGCAGAGCCCGAGCCCGACCCGGATCGCGACGGCCCTCCCCTCCCCCCGCCACGTGACCCCGCCCCCCCTCCCATTCAGCGGGCAGCAGAGGGCCCGGCCTGGCGGGCCGGGGGCCAGGAAAAAGCCGAAAACACCGAGGCCGGGCCGCTCCCCTCCCGCTCAAAATAGCCCCCGGTCGGGGCTGCCACGCATTCCGCCGGGCCCGGGGCGCGGGAAGGGGCGGCCGGCTTGGCCCCCGCCCGGCCAGACGTGGCTACCCGGCCGGGTTGGACCGGGTGGGGGCCGAGGGCGGGCCGCGCGGCCGGCCGGCATGTGGCTCTCCTTCGGGGAGCCTTGGCAGCCCGGGCTGCGCGCTGCGCGGGGATGATGGAGAGCTTCTGGAATTTCCTGCAGCTGGAGAGCGCGGCCGGCCGGGGGAGCGAGCTAAGCGCGCAGCTCGGGCAGGGGCGCCTGGCGCCCGACCCTAGGGGGCGCCTCCGCGGCGAGGGTGGTGGGGGGAGACCTCGCCGCCCGGCCCCAGACTGCGGGAGTGGAGAGAGCACCCCTCGCCTCCTCGGCCTCTCTTTTCGGGTCTGGCGGGGGTCCAGTCCCGCCCCTCCCGGCTTGCGCGGCGGAGAAGGGCCAGGTGCAGGCAACGCCCCTCCCCCAGCCGCCTGGTTTCCCTCTCCGCCCGTCACCTCCTCCAGGAGCCAGAAACTCTGTGGCCTCATCTGGGAGGGGGGCGGAGGTGGCAGGGATCAGTGGGCAGCTTAGCCTGCCAGGTAGCCCCAGAGGCGGCGGCGGCGGCGGGAAAACTCGGAGGCGGGCTCTTCGGGCCCTGAGAAGTGCTGGGCCTGCGGACTGGAGCTTCTTGCTCCAGCCAGAGGAATCTGAGGGCTGCTAGGAGGGAGGCAAGGCAGTCTTCTCCCAGCATGCAGCACCCCCGCCCCGCCTCCCAACTGCGGAGCCGATGTGGGGGCAGATGTGCTGGGAAAATCCTGGATAATTTTCCCGACGGCGACAGTAGCTTTCTTTGAGAGCATTTCTGCACCTTGCAGGCCCCAGAGTCCAGAGAAGGGCCCCGGGATGGGAGGGGCTTCATTTTACAAGAGCCCTGAGAATCCAGGAGTAGGTATGTGACCTCTCAGGGCTCACTCTTGGCACTATGGCTTGGGGAAGGAAAGAGGTCTACCCTGCCCTTTGTTGGGCAGGGGAAGGGACGCTTTCCCACAACTTTGTTCCCTTCCAGCACCATTTGGTGCTCTGTAAACTGATGAACCTTTTGGCAACTCAGCAGGCATCTTCCCCATCTGATGGTGGACCCTTCTCCCCCTGCCAGTGGCCCTTGTTCAGTTCTGTTTCCTGCCCCCACCTAGCATACTCTCACCATGGTAAACAAAAGCAGTCGGGATAGGCACGCTTCACCTATGCCACAGTTGCCACTCGCTGGCTGTGTGACCTTGAACAAGTCCTTTTACTCCTGAGTTTCCCTTTCCTCACGTGAAAAACTAGATAACACTAGATAGGCCATGGCCTTGTGGTGGGGCTCAAAGTTACACAACATTTCAATCAGTTAGCATAGCATCTGCACATAGTAAGGGTGGGAAATGAAGGGCACCCGTGTGACATCCAGCCCCATCCTGAGGAATAGAGGTAGCCCCCAAAACATTTGAATTCCCTTCCCCTGCACCAAGCCTGTGAGATTTCACTTCCCAAGGTCTCTGTCACACTAGTCTCCTCACAGTGCTCCTTTTGCCTTCCACTGGGGGTGGGGCGGGGGCTGGCAGAGAGCTCCAGGCTGGCTCCCCAGGGGATGGTCCAGGCAGGCTGTGAGGCTGGTGGAATTCTGCTTTCCTCTTCCTCTCATCTCCTTGCTGACCTTTCACTCCATCACTGCCAGATACCCAGATTCAAATTCAGATGCCTCGGGGTTCCTCCTTAGCCCAGGATGTTGGGCCTGGGCCTGTGTCAACTCCCAACCTCTCCTATCCCCAGTTCTCCCTGTTTCCTGTTTGATTGGCCTTCCATGTCCACTGGGAAAGACCCTGGTGTACTGGAAGGAGCTCAAGGCCCCATTTGTTGTCTGTGTGAACTTGAGCAAATTACCCTACCTCTTGTGAGCCTCAGTTTGCTTTTCTGCAAAATGGAGTTGAAATAAAAACTACCTGGCAGAACACCTCTTTACTCATGCATCGCAGAGGCTTCCTGGCAGAGATCTACGTAAATAATAAAAGGCAGGGATGCCCTGGACCACAGAGGGAACTTGCATTCAAGGCCAGGTATAGGGAACTTTGTAACCTTCCCTTGCCTTTGGTTTGGGGAGACAGCTCTCTGGGGCGCTGGGATAGGAAGTGGAGCAGGAATGAGCATCCACCAGCTCTTTTTGGCAAAGCCTGGATCCCACCAAATTTATGTGGCCCAGATTCCAGGGCTGCGAGGTGCTCATGTCTTTGGATGCACTGTTGGGCAGTTCTCATAAACTCTCTAGGACTACAGATTCCCCTCCCAACTAGTCGGTTCCACCTCCCTCTGCCTCAGAAAAGCCTTTCTGGGCTAACTGTACCCTACTCCCCAGTGTCTTTACCACACATAGAGGGCTCCCACTGGGGAACTATGAAAGAAAAGGGCAACCAGGAGTTCGGCTGTGTGACGTTAGGCAGGCTGCTTCCCCTCTCTGGGCCTTGGTTTCCTTCCTCCTGCATAGCGAAGGAGGTTGGATTAGTGGCTCCCTAAGGCACCTTCTAGCTCTGACAGGCTCCAAGCCTGTGTTGACTGATGTGTCCTAGGAGATAGGCGCACACAGAGAACCAAGTCAGCTCGGAGATTCCTGTCAAGGTATCCCCACCCCACCCCCAGAAGGCTGGAGTGCCTCCCTTCCTGAGACACACCCTTCAGGGATACTGGTGGAGGTTGTGGTGGATGGAGGGGGCTTATCACCCAAGCCAGTGGCACCGCTGCTTCCCTAGGTCTCTGTTGTCTGTGGAGAGGCCTGTGCATAGGAATAAGAGCTTGTGTCAGGCGGGGCTGTGAGACTGTGTGCTTCTAGGGGAAGGGAATGTGTGTGTCAGTGACCAGTCGGCCTCCAGGGAATTGGGGCATGGCGCACAAGACAGCTAGCTCATGGGTTGGTGTCTCCAGAAGAGCGATCGCAGGGGCGGTGTGTTGAGGTGTGTGCAGGACAAGGAGGCTGGCAGTGGGAGGGAGGAAGAAACATCCATGAAGCAGAGAGCCGGGCTTTGGGTCAGGACAGGCTCCTCAGAGAGGCTCCAGCCTCCTGGGGAAGCGGCTGGAGTCAGCACAGTCCCACACTGCGTGGTTTTGCCTGCACCTGGGTTTGTCAGTTGTTTATGGATGTTGAGCTGAGTGGCACTGTTTGGAATTGGAGTTGTCATGTACTGTTGTGGGGGTATCTGTAGGGGTGTTGTCAGGGCCTCTGAACAGTGCATGTGTGGCTGGCTAGGGTACGGACGTGTAGCTGTCCAGAACAGTGTTGTAAGGCAGTAGGCAGCTCCTGGCCGTTTGGGCTGCTATCAGATGTCAGGTTGTACTGGGACCATCCGGTGGTGTTTTCAGGCTGTGAGTGAATCCTGGCCATGTTTTGGGTGCCTCTTCCCTTCTATCTTTGTACAGAGGGGGGCCCCAGGACACCTGGAGGGAGGTCTCCTGTCTTAATCAGTCCCTCCACAGGTAAGCAGGCAGGCAGCCTCAAGCCCCCTCACTCTCAGTAATTTTACCACGGTGCCTAAGTCAGGAACAGGCGTGAATTGACCTTTTAACCCCTTCCCCACCACGGGATTAGACTCTGTTTCCTGTTCAATCTCCTCCAGAACCAATTCCACCCCGTCTGGACCACCCCCCAAAATGGATAAGCAACCCCCTCCATTTCTTTTCTCCCCCACCCCTGTCAGGCCTTGAGTTGGGGGGCTGAAGGCCAGGCTGGTGCAGGGTCTGGCAGGAGCTGAGGGCCCAGGTGGGAGTGATAAATATTGAAGAGGAGGGATTTCGGTGTGGGCTGGAGCAGCTGCAGTGGTTCGAGTGTCACACTATCTCTCCCCAGGTTTACTGACCCATTTCCATTCACGCGGCTGCTGGTTTCCTAGCAACGGCAACAGTCCCCCCAGAACAGGCGGAGTGTGTGTCTGCCATTAGCGACTGCCGCAACTGTGTCAAGGTTACCCCGCTCCCTGCAAACCCACCCCGGCGGGTTTGTTTTCTGCCAGCGCCTGGCACACACCATGCCAGCCTGGGAGGGGGAGGGGAGGGGGCTGGGGGCCAGCCCCAGGGCTTGGGTGAAGTAGGGGGCCGAGGAGGAGCTGCTGTTCCCGGTCCAGTGGGAGCCAACTTGGACTGAGGCCGAAGCAGCCACCCCCCCCTCCTTGGCTGGTGGAATTCCTGAGCCTGAGGGGAGCAGGGGGTGGGGCTGTCCCTCAGCCCTGACCCCCGAGATTCCAGAGCCTGGGGGGAGGGCTGTGGGCCGAGGGGGCCTCCAGGAAGCCTGTCCGGTCTGACCCCACCTGACTTGTTCTGCTCCTGCCCTGGCTTCTTCCTCCTCCTGCTGCAGCTCAGGGTTCTGCTCCGCTCCAGGCTCTTTGTCCCAGCCTGCCTCTGTGCCTGGTCTCCCCCATCAGACTCCCCAGGGCAGGGTTGTATTTCTCCTGTTGGACTAGGGGTTCCTGAGGTTGGGGTTCATAATGCCTCCTTTCCTTCTCCACCCTCAGCACTAGCTCATGACTATTTTTCCAAATGGCATGGGAGATGAGATGGGACATTTGGGGTGGCAGAGAATACTAGTGGGGACTTTCTGGATACCCTCATTCCACCACCGCTCGCTAAAGGAGATTCTTCCTACACTCCCTCCACCTGGCAGCCCACACTGGGTCTGGCCACAGGAAGTAGAGTACCCTGCCTTTTCTTCCTGAAAGTCAGGCTGCAAAGGGTTAAAGGAGCTCTCCCACCCCTTGCGTTGGTATGTGAGCTCCCCCAGGCTGGGGGGATGGGAGAGTGGGGGGGTCTGTCACCTTATAGCCACTCATGTGGTCAGCTCAGACCTGACCAGTCACATTCCTGCCCAGGAGGGCTGGGGCTTGAGGCAGAGGGGCAGGGGC
The DNA here is from genome assembly GCF_000001405.40 of Homo sapiens. Lineage (NCBI taxonomy): Eukaryota > Metazoa > Chordata > Mammalia > Primates > Hominidae > Homo > Homo sapiens. The sequence goes on along the minus strand of NC_000001.11, from coordinate 27,570,878 downwards.
AGGGGCCTGGAGGGGGCTGGTTTGCAGGAATGGAAAGGGGGAGCCAAGAAGCTGGGGCAAGGGGCTGCTGGGCAGTATTAAGATACATAAAGCTTGAGTCCATCTCCTCATTCCTCTAGGCCTCAATCTCCCTATCTTTCCTCCCAGTTTGCACCCCCTAAAACCTTCCAGTGGTGCACATGCCTGTGACACAGGTACAGACCTGGTCCCAGTTCTAAACAAAGAGAAGAGTGTGGCCAAGGCAGTTTCTGACATGCAGGGCAGCTCAGGGACTTGTTGGTAGCCTGCAGTGTGACTTTCTGGTGCTTAGGGGAGGTTGGCTAGGTTTTTGGCTGGGTCAGAGGATTTGAGATCTAGGGTACGGATCAAGCTGTGCTAGACAGTAGAAAGAGACCTGGGCGGGGACCCAGGAAACTTGGTTCTTTGCCCAGCCCTGTGCCTGACTCCTCATGGCCTCAGTATCCCCATTTGAAGGGTTTAGGCCAGTGGTCTCTAAAAGCCCTCCTGTCCTGTTAGTCAGTAGCCCTGGGTGAGGGATGAGGGGTGGGGGGCGATGGTCTGGAGGGGTGTGGGAAGCTGCCAGCTCAAGGGGGAGTTTGCAACGTGATCCCAGAGCGAAAATAGCCCAGGTCATTTTCAGCTGCTTGGGCGGAGGTATCTGATCCCGGCAGGGCAGCTTGGGCAGGGGGCAGGGAGGAGCATTCTGTAAAGCTCTCTGGGAAACCAGACCCTAGGATGGGAGGGTAGGGAAAGGTTGGCATGCCCAGCTGGGCTTCCTGAGACCCGCTGGGGGCCCAGGAATGGAAAGATGAGGAATGCAGAGGGTTAACAGGAGGTGAAGGCTGGACTCCAGCCCCCTTTGGGTCCTGGCCTGGCTGAGGTGAAAGGTCAGCTCCAGGGAGTCTAGGCACAGCTGGGGAAAGAGTAACCCGATCCTTCTCCCTAGCCAGACTCAGGGCATCACAGTGCCGCCTCCCCCAGGAAAGGTGCTTTGACATCCCCAGGAAGGAGTTTGTTTCTACTTGTTCTCAGCAGGGGTTGGGGCTAGGGGAGGGTCCAGGCCTGTCGGGTCAGGGAGAGAGCTACAGGCCAGGCGCCCCAACCAATATGGCAGTGCTTTGTCATCCGGGGGTCAGGGGAGGTGGAGGTGAGCCTGCTGGAAAGGTTAGAGGTAGCCTGTTCTGGCCCTGCTGTCACGCTGCCCCATTTATGACTCCTGACGGCCAGCATCAGGGCTGGGGAAGCTTAGAGGTAGGAGATGTTCTTCCCTTCTCCAAACACACTGAGTAGTGAGAGAACCCGCCTGGTACTAGACTGTGACAGCGAGGTATGTTTGGGGTGGAGAATTACACCTCAACTCTGAGATAGATGGCTTTGCTGTCTGCAGTTGTGTGTGTGGTGGGGTGCTAGGGTGTAAGGTGGTGTGATGGGAGGCTGAGATGATGCGACATGGAAGAACATGGGGTTCAAATCCTTGCCTGTCTTAGGCAGGCTATTTTACCCAAGCCTCAGTTCCCCCATCTACAAAATAAGACTAATAGTACTCACCATGTAGGGTGATGATGAGGATTGGCACAGAGTAAGTGCTCAGTAAAAAGTAACCTTAACAAGCCTTATTGGATGCCAAGGTCACACACAGTGTGGAGCCAGGATTGCAGCTGGCAGTCTGACTCCAGAGCAGGGGTTGGTGAGCTATAGACCATATGAGGGAGAAGACAGTTTCCAGAATGTGACTGCGTCAGTGTCCCCAGGGCTGTGCACTGGGCGATGGGGGGTAGTATCCAGATGATTTGGGGTGGGATGGGGTGAGGGGGCTTTGAGTATGTGGCAAGTGGGCGGGGGGGTTCAGGGCAGGGCTCTTCTTACGGCCGATTTCTGGGGCTTTCGCCAGCCCCCCGCGCCCCACCCTGGCAGGCTTTGTGCGGGTGTGTGGGTGTAGCTGTCCCTGGAGTGCGGCTGTAGGTATGTTTGAGAAGGCGCAGGCATCCCGAGAAAGAACAAGTCGCCTTTTGTACGCGTCCAGCCCCAGGCTGGGCTGGGCGCTCTCTGGGGGATCCCCTGTTTCCGCGCCCAGCTCCCCGCCCACGAAGAGCGCCCCGGCCCGGCCCGGCCCGCCGCAGGCTCCCACCTGAGGGGCGCAGCGAGCGGAGCGCCCCCTCCCGGGCACCCGCGCCGCGGCCGGGGGAAAGGGTCCGGGGAAGAGGGCGTGTCCGAAGCCCCGACCCCGCCCCTAGCGACATCACTCCAGGTGCTACCAATCTCCGGGAGCCCGGCCCGCGCGGCCCGCCCCCTCGCGGGCACCGCTCCTGGTGTTCGGGACGCGCCGTGGGTGGAGTCGGCGGGAGGTGGAGGAAAAGGCAGGGCCGGCCTAAGGGGCGGGGAGACCGTTGAAGGCCTCGCCCTTCCAAGTCTGGGAGAGGCTGAACACGCGAGCGACCTGAGACCGAGCTGCTCTGCTCCCGTGAAGCTCCTCACAAGACCTCTCTCCTGGAGTGCTCCACCTTCCAGCCCACCTGCCCCAAGATCTTGCCAAGTACCACTTTCTGCAGGAAGCCTTCCTAGAACCTACCCTGCGATCTTTTCTGATTACCCGCACCCTCTAGGACCCTCTGTAGTTAAGGGCAGTACCAGCACTACTGCCAGCGCTAGCTGCCATCCACTGAGCAGTTTGCTCAGTGTACCCCCACACTGCTCCATGGAATGGCTTACCGGCTGCATTTCTGCGGGCTGTCCACCTTGTACTATCGGGCCCTTCTCACCCACAGGGTTGGGTGTGCCTCTGGTCAGGCGTTACAGACACCGGCCCGCCTCAGAATAGCCACCACTGCATCCAGAGTCACACAGAGCAAGGAGGTAGGAGCATCAAAGCTGGAAACCAGGTTTCCCAGCTTCCTTCAGGCCTTTGGTTCAGGTGTGTGATTAAGAGCAGGGAGTTGCACGGAGACTTGCTTTAGGCCTCACCTTTCCCCATAGGAGGCCTCTGCCCTTCCCTGTCCCTCCCCACAAACTGGAAGAGCCCTAGGCCTACCTTCCTCTGCAATCCACAAATCTGGACGAGAACCCCAACTTCTGTGAAGAGGGAGAGATGTTGGGGGAGCTGGGAGGGCTTTTGCAAGCCAAAGGGGCAGTTCTGGGCTACAAGGAGTATTGTGGGCCCAGTGATTTGGGGGTGCTTGTGTTGGGGACATAATGATTTAGCTTGCAGGTGGGAGGTTCCAAGTTGAGCAAAGAGGAGGGTTAGGAGCCACAAGTATGTGGGGTTCAGTGCAGTGCAAGGGAGGCAGGGATTATGCTGGGCCAGCACTGCCCCCACCAATAGCCTGGCCTGGTGGAATGCTGGGAGGCCCCAGGGATGGGGCCAGGCAGCCAAGGTGTCTCCGGTGGCACAGAAGCAGTTAAGAGCTGCCTCAGCCTGTTCCTTCAGACAATTAGTGACATCTCGCTTGACAACACCACACTGAGCCGATGCAGACCTCAGCCCCCCTCCCGGCCCCCCGACGGCCGCTTCAGCTGTTTATTCTTGGGCTTTAACAATTGGGATTCTGACTTGGAGGAGCGGGCGCCCCGCGCTGCCCTCTGACCCACCGTCGCCTTGGCAACTGGAGCCCGGTAGGCCTGGGCTCTGCGTTAGGATTACAGATCCTGAATTCACAATCTTGCTGCTTCCCTGCAAGCAGCAGTGGCAGCAAGCAGCAGCATGCAGGATCTTCAGCTAGACTGGAGGGGACAGAGAGGAGGAGGGTCCCCAGGGCCAGCCTGAGGCGCATGCAGGAAGCTGGGATGCCCACAGACGGCCTGGAGAGCAGTGCACCCTCCACAGCCTCCCTAGGATTGGTCAGGGCCTAGAGCCATGCTCCACTCCCAGCATCTCTGTGGCTCTCTGGAAACTTTCTTCCTGGTAGAGCCCCGAGGGCAGGGGCGAGGCTTCTTCCTTACCCTGCCTTTCTGCCTCAGCCCCCTACCATGCCCAGAGCTCCAAGTGCCAGCAGACTGTGCCCCTGCCGTGCCCGCCTCCATGGCAACAGGCCCCCCTCCCTCGACAGCTCTGCTCCTTCTTCCCCCCACCCTAGCAGCCAACTGCCCCAGCTGAAACCAGAGCCGATGCATCTGTGAGCCTCATGCCCAGACCCACATTCCATTTCTGTCCTCTGTCCCCCCCCAGTTCTGGCAATGACATCCCTCCTCCTCCTCCTCCTCCACCCCCCTCCCTCCTCACCTCTGCCTACTGCTGTTCCCCCCACACTCTAACACTTAGTAGTGTCACCCCCTCTTCCCACCCCATCTGAGTGTGTCTCACCCTCCGACTGTCGCTGTGGGGCTCTGGGTGTGTCAGTCCCTCTGTCTGTCTCCAGCTCCCGGGTCGCTGGTGCTCTGTGCCTCCGCCTGTCTGTGCAGACTCCTCAGGTTCCTTCTCCATCTCTTCCCCCCTGTGCGTGTGTCTTTGTCTCTGCATCATCCTGCCTGTCTCTCTCTTTTGTCTTTTTCTTTCTCCTTGTCTCTCTCTCTTCCTGAGTCTCTTTCTTGCTGTTTTCCTTCCTCTGGCATGGTCGCCCTCTCTCTCCCTCTCTGGCTCTCGCCCCCTCCCTCCAGATCTTTTTCTCCTTCTGCCTCTTTCTGCCCTGTTTCTCTTGCCTCAGTGTCCTTCATCTTTCTGTCTCTCTTCCTGGATCTGAATCTCTGCCTTGATTTCTCCCGCCCCCTGTCTTTCTTCTGACTTTGTCCTTCTAAATACATATCTTTCTTTCAGAGCTGGGCCTTTCAGTTCTCCTTACTCTATTTCCTACCAGGTTGTTTCCTTCCCAGGCCTATGAAGATTGGGGAGCTGGTGCAGGGGGCAGGGCTCCAGAGTCACCCCAAAGGATCCCTCTTTTTAGTAGGGGCCAGATGTCCTGGAAGCCCCACTGGGCTTATGTGGTTGAACCTGAAATGGAGGGTGCAAGGTTGAAGAGCCTACAGAGAGTGTGGCACCAGGAAACAAGAGTGTGAGTCTGCCTTTCCAGGGTTTTAGGGGATGGGCTCCATCCATCTAGTCTACCTTCCACTAGCCCAGGGTAGGAACAGAAGATAGTTCCAGGAGCTAAACTGGCCCAAGAAGCTCTCTAGAGAACAGGCCTCACTGATTCTTGGGATTTGTCCCTTCCCTTGCTAAAATGATGGCAAGTTCAGACTGTGCCTCAGTTTCCCCAGATGGTATAGGGATACTATCCTTGCTTCATGTCTGACTTCTTTAAAGTGCTTTGAGTTCCTGGAACAAACTCAAAGTTATGAGGAACAAGGAAAGACTAGAGTGACTCCCGCCCCTTGCTCACCAGCGCCGGGGGACACCAGACAGAATGTTTGTCCAGGGCATGGGTGGAATCAGGGTCCTGTCTCCTTAAGGGTTGGGTGGAGGACAGTGCCTCGCCTCCCTTCAAGACTGGCAGCCCCTGCTGTCTGGCCCGCCCTCCCAGTCTGGGCAGTGGCCTCTGTCCTTCCTCTCTCGCCCCTCTTCATGGAATGAGCTTGGAGTCGTGGGCAAACAGGCCCTGGGGTAGGGGAGTCAGGCCTCACCTCTGGGTGTGGTGAGGCCTGGTCAGGCAGACCGTTCTAGGATCCTGGGGTCTGGGCACTACTCACCAAGGGGCCAGGCGGGGGAGTAGGGGTGCCTGGGGGAGGCAGGTTGCACGCAAGGCATGCTGGGCCCCCTCGGCGGGTGGGTGGGGGGAACAAAGCTGGCATCGAGGCCTCAGCTAAAATTAGCCGCTTCCCTGCGCGGGAGCGAGCATGCCTGCCAGCCGCCCAGATCGCCGCTGCCTCGGCAGGCCATCTGTCGCCACGCTTTACTCAGTCCCCCAGGGCCCCCCAGCTCCAGCCACCCCCAGGGGCTAGGGGGACTCTGCTCTGAGGCTGTCCGTGGCCAGGACTCTAGGCTCTTGTGCTGTCGTGCTGTGTGACCTCAGGCTAGGCCTTTCCCTCTCTGGGCTCCTGTAAAACGAGGGGCCCTAGACACTGACATCTCAGGTCCTCTAGTCCTTCCAAGCACCAGGTGCTGCTGCTGGTCATGATGGGGTGGGAGGTGGGGTGCCTCCCTCCCCTTAGAGCCACTCCTCTTGTCCAAGCTTTGGGCCAAGTGGGGTTTAGGGTAAAGGTAGGGCATGGTGGACTCCTATCAGATTCATTGGTCTTCATCGGGCGGCAGGGAGGCACTGCATCCAACAACACCCCAACATCTCCCCTGTCCCCCTCCACACTTGACCTCCAAGCAGTCTTAAAGAAACAGCTCCAGGTGGGGAGCCAGGAGATGGAGGCTGAGTTCAGCTGATCCTAATTTGCTCTGTGGCTTGGGCAAGTCTCTTAGTCTATTTCTCCCTCTCTTCAATCAGAAGCTTCCCATTTCTTGAGGAGCGGCCCACTTTATGCTACCTTGTCTCATGAGGCTGGCACTCTTGTCCCTTTTGTACAGATGAGGAAGATGAGGTTCCTTGTGAGGAAGCAGGGGAGCAGGGGAGGCGGGCTGGAGCCCTCTGTGGCCTGAAGTTCTGCCTGCTGGTCTCCAGCTTCAGCTTCTTCTTTCTGACCCTGGCACTTCTCTCACTGCGGCCCCTTCCCCCCTCCCCGAAGCCAAAGAGGCTGAGCTGCTGCTCCAAGGTCACCCAGCTTGGCCCTGGAGGAGCTCAGACTGGAACCCAGGCCTCTTGGCTCTTGGCCTCCCTCACCACTATGGCCAGCAGGCTGGGCCTGTTCCCTGGGTGAGTCATGTTCCTGGACTTTGGCCTCCTTGTCCCCAGCTCTGTGGCCTGAAGTTTGGAGAGGGGGCCTTTGTAAGGAAGAAGGGCTCCCCTGGAAGCTATGGGGGTCTCAAGCCATTATCCCATACTCTTCCCACTGAGCACATGGTGATAGCAACCCCTAACCGCCCTACTCCCCACTGATCTCTAAGCAGTCTCATAGTAACAGCGCCTCAGGACAGCCCTCCCTCCACCACTCATTCAGCCCCCTCCCTAGATACACAACTACAGTGAATAAGAAATGGAGTGGAGTGAGGGCTGGGGGAGGTGGCATTTCCAGGTAGTCAGTGTGTCCAGGCAGCTTCCTCCCCAGCACTCCTCTCCCCCAGCACCCGCCACTGGGCGGGAAGCCACAGCACCTCCCCTCCTGGTGTCCAGAGGCCAAGGTCACACCAGAGCCCTGTGTGCCTTCACCTCCTCTGGGGCCAGTGGTGTTTGTCACTGGGGCAATGTGTGGCTGTGCCCGGCTCTGGCAGTGCTGGGGTGACATTCATGCCGTGTGAGCTGTGACGCCTCTGCAGGCAGAGGGACGGCACCACCCAGGCTGGTGACAGTGATGGGGGAGGGGTGAGGTGGGCTGTCACCTGTCCAAGGCAGCCGGGGAGGTGACATGTTGTGTACCCATCCCACAGTCTGCAGGGAGGATTCCCAGGCAGGGGCGAGGTTATGTCCCTGCCTCATGCTGTGTGGTGGGTGGAGGGGTCCATGCCTTCCTCACACCTGGAAGATGGGACTTGTCCCACGTGTGTGTGTGTGTGTGTGTGTGTCTTGGTCAGCTGTGTGACAGGTTCTGTGTGTGTGTGCATGTGTGTGTGTCTTGGTCAACTATGTGACAGGTTCTTTGTGTGGGTGTGTGCATGCATGCGTGCGTGTGTGTGTGTCTTGGTCAGCTGTGTGACAGGTTCTGTGTGTGTGTGCATGTGTGTGTGTCTTGGTCAACTATGTGACAGGTTCTTTGTGTGGGTGTGTGCATGCATGCGTGCGTGCGTGTGTGTGTGTCTTGGTCAGCTGTGTAACAGGTTCTCTGTGCATTAGTGGGTGTGGGGGTGCCTGGTTGCGTGTCAGTTATGCCACTGTGAGGGGTAACAGACGCCTGCCCCATGCTGTCGAGGGTGTGTCAGGTGTGCCCATCTCATGTTTGGAGGAAGCGACAGGTTATGTGCTTAGTTCATCCCGTTAGGAGGGTTGTCACCAACTTGTGCGCCTGTCTCTGGCTGTTGTGTGTGTGAGATGTCACCATGTGCCCGTCGCAGGCTGTTGTGGGGAGTGGCATGTGTGATTCTCTCATGCTGTTGGGAAGTTGTCAGTAACTTGGGAGCTCGTGTCTCACTCTAAAGAGACGACATGTTTTCTGGTGATACGGGGCTGGCAGCTGGTGGGGCCTTCCCATGCAGACCACAGAGCCCCAAAGGGCTGGCCAGAGGAAATGCTTAGGGCCCTGAGCAGAGGGACAAGTGGGAGCTGGGGGGTGCTCAGTCCCGCATGATCTACCCTCTCACCCATATGTCAGCCCGTGGGACTGTTCCCCAGGGGGAGGGACCCAGCATTCTTCAGATGGTGTGGAGAAGGGCCTTTAGGGCCAGGGCAGGTGTGTGTCTGTGAGGTGGGGCACCAAGGCAGGGTTTGCATGGGAGGCAGGGGGCTGTGTCCCTGAGGGCCTGGGGACCCTATTTCCTGCCTCTCCTGCCCCTGAAACTGTTAAACTAATTAAGGCTCTGGAGCCACAGGATTAATCGGGGCAGCTCTGCGCGGGCCGGGAGCTCAGGTAGTCAGTCGATCAGTGCACCGGGGAGGATATTGGATTTCTGAACCGCAAGTCAGCACTATTCGGGCCTGTTATCTCTCCCAGGCTCGGGGGTCAGGAGGCGGGAGGCTTGGCGCACTGGCCGCCCCCGCCGAGCCAGCTTGGGCGCGTCCACTCCCCCTGCCCACACATCCCAGCTCTGGCCTGTCTACTGCCCACACAGGCCTCCCCTCGGCCCTTCTCCCCGGCCCACCCTGCCTCTGCTTCGCTGCCTCTTTCTCAGGCTCCTGCAGAAACCCCTGGTCCCTGCTCTCTCCTGCCTTTCCCATCTCTGCCTGGCTCGCTTCCCCCGTGCCTCTCTCCCCTCTGGGGCTCTTCCTTGGTCCTTACTGGCCTCAGACTCACTCTGGGCCTGAGCTACCCCCTCCCCTCAGCCTCTGACAAGGTCTCACCCGCCTCTCTCTACCTTCCTCTCCATCTCCCTTCTTCCATGAGCCCCTCATCACCAGTCCGTCTCTGCTTTTGTGTTTGTGCGTGCCCGTCTTCCAGTTTCTGTCTTTCTCTGTCTCTCTGTCTCTGTTTCTCTCCCCATGTCTCTGTGTCTCCCTGTGTATCTTTCTCCCTCTTCCTCTCTGTCTTTTCCTCTCTCCCTCTGGCACGCTCTCTCTCTCTGTCTTTTCCTCTCTCTCTCTTGTGTGGTCTCGGCTGGTGTCTGCAACCAGAACAAATCTCCCCCAGCCAACACCCCCTGAACAAGGAGGCCAGAGCAGCTAATGGGAAACATGTGATTCTGCCTTGCGCCTGGAGCACCGTGAAGGGAGCCTTAGTCCCAGCCCAGCCCCTGCACCCCTCCTTGCTGTGTTCCCCCCACCACACTGTCCTCTGCCTCCCAGCAGCTCCCCCAGCCTGTGTGGGCACTGTTGGAAGTTCATTTACACTGGGTGGGGGCCTGACGTTTATCTGCTGGGGAGTATCAGGTTGTGGAGGGGCTAAGGGCAGCTTTGCTCCTGAAGTTCCCCCCCAACACTCAGGGCCAGGCAGACCCCATGCAGACTCCTCCCACCCACCACCACCATATGTAGGAGAACAGGGCCAAGATGAGCCGAGCTGTGGGGGCCTGAATGGGGGGCAGCCAATCTACCCCCACTGGAGGGCTCTAGGGCCACCCAGATTTCCATCTTTTCCTTCCTCCTGGGCCTCTGGGGAGCTGCAAAGGTGGGGGCTCCCCAAGGGCTTGGGAGCTGCCGGGCTGTGTTTCTGTGCCCACCCAACCACAGGGAAAGGGGGGACAGATCAGAGGAGGGAGGCTCTGGCAGGTTGGAATTCTCCTTCTCTGCCTGTGGATAAATTGTCCCTAATCCAGGCTTGGGGAGTTGTCTGGCTCCTACAGAGAGAGAGAGAGAGGAAGGGAGGGAGAGGGAGGGAAGAGGGAAGCAGGCACACACAAACACAGTGACACAGACACACACACACCGTCTCACAAAGGGTATCTCACATGCATGCACACACGCACTCACACACTGAGCCCTTCACAAAGGTACCACACAAACCCTGGGGCACCGTTGTGCTGACACACCATGGCACACAGACCTGCTCACACATGTTGACGCTGACACACGGCCATACTGGCACAATCATACAGTGACATAGCACAAGGACCCACTGACATACACAGAGACACGCTGTGGTACACAGACACACAATAAGGTCACACAAATCCACACATGCATGGACACACACACGAGCACATACTGACCCATGGTGAAAGAGACCCACAGGGACACTGTGGCCAGTCACACTGCCACACCATGACCCTGAAAACCCAGAGAAAGGCAGAGGTGGGAGGGAGGCAACACTGATCCACAGTGACACCAGTGCCTGCAGTCACAGGCCTCGAGATTGGAAACCTGCAGGGACAGCAGAGGATCAGCCTCACGCCCCCACCCCCTGCCAAACACACATCCAGAGAGCTCTGAGACAGGCAGGAGCCGGTTTGGCTCCTGACACAGCGAGATGCAGAGAGCCAGGCAAAGCGTGTGCACACCCAGGCATGCTCACACCCAGCCACAGCTGGGCTCACCTGGCTACACACAGGCACACATGCACCCCTGTGTCCTCACACACAAACAGGCTTAGCTAGACTCACACACACACACACACACACACAAAACGAATAGAAATAAACGTGAAAAGTGCACATACCCACATGTATGACTGAAGACACCAAATCCAGGCACACACTTAAGCTGGCATCACACATACACACACACAGCTGACCACAGCAGCCACAACTGAGCAAACGCGTGATCCCACACATGGACACGCTTAAGCCCACATGTACCCACACAGACGTACAGAAATACAGAGAAGCACACGAACAGGCTAAATAGACCCAGGAACCCACATACAGGTATATTTACCCAGACAGCTGAGCCTTGACAGATATGCATTTGCACAGGCAGAATCTCGATCACACGCATACAAACTCCCAGGCAACCAGAACCTATAAGCAATCCGTGAGGCCTGGTTCCCAGACCCCCTCTGGGCTCCAGTACAGACCTCGAGGAGGCAGACAAATGGGCAGGAAGCAGGGGGGTGGTGAGGAGGGCCATGGTTATTAAAGAAAACAAGAGACATAACTAGTTACTGATGGAAATGGGTAAACGCCAGCTGCATATACACCCTTGTGGAAATTCGCATCCACCATCACTCTGAACAGCACCTCTCACATCTGCATTGTCAGTAACCTGTTTGCATTATAGTTTCCCCAGATGTTCCTCCCCATTCATAAGATCTCACTTTTCCTATTTTATACATGAGAAAACTGAGAGCCAGAAAAGTTAACTGACTTGCCCAGAGTCACACAGTTATGAAGGTTGAGCCAAGGACTGTCAGACTCCCAAAGGCCAGGTTCCTTCCACTATAGTATATGTGCATGTATATGCATGTGTGTACATAGATGTGCAAAAACATTGCTTCTCAGTAGGAGCCTGGGGTTTCAAGAAACAGGTTTGGCTGGTGCAGTGGCTCATACCTGCAATCCCAGCACTTTGGGAGGCTGAGGCTGGAGGATTGCTTGAGCCCAGGAGTTCGAGACCAGCCTGGGCAAGATGGTGAGACCCTGTCCCTACAAAAAATTTAAAAAAAAAATAGCCAGGCATGGTGGTGCATACCTGTAGCCCCAGCTACTCGGGAGGCTGAGGTGGGAGGATCACTTGAGCCCAGGAATTCAAGGAGGCAGTGAGCTATGATCATGCCACTGCACTCCAACCTGGGCCACAAAACGAGATGAGGCCCTGTCTCTCTTATTTTTTTTTTTAAAAAGAGTCTCACAGTTCCCAGGTGGGATAATGCGATGAGGTTGGAGGTGGATGGGACTCCATGTAGGAGAGCTTCCTGGCTCAGTGTCCGCCTGCACCCTGCTGTCTGGCTGGCTTACCCTGTGTCCATGCTTATCTCTGTGGTGCTGTGTTTGCTTCCACAGATGGGAGCTTGCCTGATTGTCAACCCATCGGCCTGGACCCCAGAGCCCACCCAGTTGAGCGTGTGCAGAGGGCCCCGAGTGCGGGGCGACGCTCAGGCCGTTGCAGAGACCACCCTGGAGATGCTGATGAAGACAGGCCTTTCCTGCTGAGCCCAGCCTATCTTCGCAGCCTGCTCAGGTAACAGTGTGCAGGGAAGTCAGGCTTGGGCCTGGGCCACCCCCAGGAAGTGGGGATCAGGGGAACTTGCCTCCCAGTCCCAACAGGGATCCCCTCCCAGCTTAGGTCAAAAAGAGCTTCTTTACAGAATCAAAACATATTAACCCAACATTTACTCAAACTCCCCATTATCCAGAAAGGGGAACTGAGGCTCATGGATATACAGTGAGTCCTACCTCCTAGCCTGAGGACTCTTCCCTGCGCCTTGATGACCTGAGAGAACTGGGAGGAGAAAGGGGTTGTGACAATGACCAGGACTCAGGGCAGAGGTGGAAACCAGAGTGCCTGATGTGTGCAGCTGCTGACCCCCCCAGGACACCTCTCTACCGGAGTCTGTGGAAGCAGAGAACTGGGAGGCCAAGGTGAGGTGCTGGGAGGGCCTGGGTAGCCCAGGTATGCTAAGGTGCCCTTGCAGGACAGGGAGGGGGCGGGGGCAGTGGCAGGACCCACCTCCCTACTCCTGGCCCAGGTTAGCCCACCCAGGCTCAGGAGCTGCAGAGCCAGGTGAAGCTGCCCTGCCCTGCAGAGGCAACTCCCTGAACTGACACATGAAGCCTGCGGCTCCAGGAAGCTCCCTAGAGCTGAGCCTGCCTGGGGACCCCACCCTACTTCCAAAGGAGCATTCCTGGGGCCTGAGGTCTGGGGGTGGAGTCTCCTGGGATTGTAAGGGTGGGGAGGTACAGCTGTGGGAGGATGCGAGGCTGTGTGTATCCGAATGTAAATGTACAGGGCACTCAAGCTTGTGTGCAAGCAGGTGTGTGTGGAAGGCTCTGTCCTTCCGTGCACATGGGGTAATATACAAGAGTTGTGTAAGTGGACTGGGCTGGGGAGCGTTCAAGGGCTGTGTATGTGGTACCCGGAAGTATGAATATGCAGGATTCTGGGTGTGTACTGGGCAGGTGTGGGGATACTGTGTGTGCCACACTGGATGTCATGTGTGCAAGGGTGCTAGTGTACACTGGAGAGATGTGTGTATAGACAAGATCTGAATACACTGCGATGGTACGGTGTATGCACACGGGGATCTGTGTGTACACTGGCTAAGTGTGTGCTCAGGGTTCTGGGTGCACAGTGGGAGTGATGTGCACATGTGGCTCCATTTGTGCTTTGGAGGTGGGTTGGGCAAGCCTTGAGCTGAGCTGGGCTCAGCAGTGCCCAGCCTTGTGGCCAAATTGCTGAAGTCACTTCCTTTCCAGCAGCAACTTTCCAGGAGGAGGAGTTCTTCAGACCTGGGCGGGGAGCGGGGGGGCGTGGAACAAGGAGCTCTCTGGGGAAGGAGGTGGGCGGGGGTGAGAGGCTGCAGGGAAGGCCTAGTGGGGCTGGAGGAGGGGAGTCCTCCGGGAGACAGAAGGAAAGACAAGGACGGGAGTCTGGAAGGGCCAAGGGCAGGAGGGGAGGGGGGCGGAGCAGGGCGGGAAGCTTAGTCCCTGGGTGACCTCGGAGGGAGGAAGGGAGGGCCGCCGGCAGGGTGACCCTCGGGTCCAGCCAGAGCTGGCGGTGGCGCCCACACACCTGGCACCCAGGGCAGGGGGCTGGCAGGGGGCGGTTCTGGGGCAGACCTGCTTGCCAGGTGCCCTGTTCCAGGGAGGAAGGGGGTGGGCGAGGGTTGCACAAAGGAGCTCTGTGTGGCTGGGGGTAGGGTGGGGTGGGGTGTGCACTGCTGTGCTGTGCTGTGGGGGGGCCCTGATGGCCCCAGGGGGCGGGGCAGGGCCAGCTCCCCTTGGGGGCATCAGTGGCTCCAAGGGGACACCTAGTGGCGAGGGAGAGTAGTGCATCTAGTTGGATGGCTGTTGGTGGGAGGTGGTGACTAGAAGCTGAGAGGAGGATAGATTAGAAGTCAAAAATTAGAACTGATGGTTGGGACTAGGACCGTTGTAGGAGGCTGCAGGGGAGGGCGCTGAATCTCTGGACACCAAAGAAGTTTGATTTACAGAAGCCCAACCTAAATTCAGACACCAGCTTAATTGAATGAGATGGCTGTTTGTTCTTAAGGGCATAACTTAACCTCTCTGTGCCTCTATTTAAATGATGCCAAATGAGTGACAGCTGCCATTATTATTGCCATCATTGTTATTTGTATTATGATATTGTGCCTGGGATCAGGTTGAAAGAAGATATTCAGGTGTTACTGTGTGGGCAGGTAGGCGGCTGAAGGGAAGGAGGTGGACAGAGGTGATGACTAGTCCCTGAGGGACAGATCCTGAGAGATAAGGCCCCTGGAGGAAAAGGGAGGTGATGGGAAGGTCTCAGAGCAGCAGTAATGGCCCCTTTGATGCAGTGTTTTCCATTTGAGGACATCCCAGGGCCTTCGAACCAGGCTGGGAGGGAAATGGTGGGGGAGGAGGAGTGTGCAAGCTGGAGAGAGGGTCATGAGGCCGGAAGTGAGAGCTGGGGCTGGCAGCCTGGCTCCCCTGGGGAGGCAGTGGGTGGGGGAGGGGAAGGAGGGCTGGGGAAGGGGTGGGGTGGTCACAGCCACAGCCGGGGAGGGTGGGGCTGGGGACTCAAGGATGTGGGCTGGCGCTTCCCGGCACTGTGCACAGCAGGTTGGGGCCCCCAGCCCCCTCCCAACCAGCTGGTGTCCCTATGGGCAAGCTCAGACACACTGACCCAACAGCAGACAGGCAGACAGAAGTACCCCTTTGACTTTGTCCACAGACCAGGGCTAGGTGGTACCCTTGGGAGGGGTCCAAGAGAATGGCCGCCGGGGTGTGGTGAGGAGGGGAGCCAGCTGTTTCCCTCAGATCCTGGAGGCTGCAAAAGAGAGCAGTGGCCAGCCTCAGGAGGCCTGGCAGGAGGACGTGCCCAGAGGTCTTCACGGGTGGGTTGAACAGAAGCCACCACCGGAGAGGAGGTTTTTCTCTTCTGCCAAGATCACACCCTCAGGCCCCAGCTGGGAGGTCTCCAGGGCGGGGAAGGCTCGGCTAGCCTGACCCTCAGTAAGGGAGGGAGGGAGGGGGCTTCTGGTGGGCATCTCCAAGTGGGTGCCAGGAGCCACGGCCCAACCACACTGTTGGAAATTGGACTTGGAGGTTCCAGAGTCTGAGCCCCTTTTCTCGTTTGTGAGGGTGTCACCCACTGTCCTCCCTGTGAGGGCAACAGTGCTCCAAGTTCTTGGACTAGAGAGATCCTGACCTGGGAGGGGCCAGGTCCACAGCCAGGCCTGGGAGAGAGCAAAGTAGGTGGGACCAGTAGGTGGGACAACGAGGAGCAGCTGAGTCCTGGAGCCTGCAGAGAGAGAAGGAACAGTGGATAGAGGGATGTTCCACCTGGGTGGGCAACCAAAGGGCCCCTTCCTGTGCCATTTTGTGACCTCGGACAAAGTCTCTTTCCCTCTTCAAGTCTCAGTTTCCTCATCTGTAAAATGGGAGGGGCATGAGATGGCACTAGAAAGTGTCCCCACTGGGGTAGCTGGTTAAAAATACAGATTCCCAGATGTCCCTTCACATCTATGAGTCACATTCCCCTGGACTAGGGCCTGGGTATCTGGAATGTTACACAGCTCCCCCAGGCCCAGGCTTTGGAAGCCAATGGGTTAGATAATTTTAAGGTTCCTCCCAGCCTTAAATTAGACCACGGCGCTAGAAGGAGCATTTTCAGAAGTGGCTGAAGGATTGTTACAGGAGCTGGGAGTGGAAGGAGGCTTTGGACTTAAGGCAGAATTAGAAATCCTGCCTCTTAGCAGCTATGTGACTTCAGGCAAGTTACACATACACTCTGAGCCAGTTTCCCCTGTAACATGGGGATAATAAATCATGCCTCCCAGGCTGCTGTGAGGATTCAGTGGGTCACAGATGTGTAGGTGCTTTGTAGATTGCAAATCGCTGTCCCCCAAAGGGGAGTAGAGAAGTGTCTCTTTCTACTTTATCCTGTCCCCGAGTCAGCTCTGCAGTCTTCCTGTGGGGTGACAGCATGGGTAGGTGGGGAGAATCTACATGGGTCTGTGGCACATAGGTCCCAGGGATCCAGTACTAGGTCAGAGCCAAACATTAGGCAGTGAACAAGGTCAGTCTTTAAGACCCTCACAGTGTTGGGGTCCATTCAGCTCCCTGCTCCCTGAGATCCCGGCTCCTGGGATCAGCCATGGCCCTGAGTCCTCAGGCTTCTTTGGGAGTCAGACATGCCTGGATCTAAATCCCAGCTCTGCCCTGACCAGCTCAGGGAGTCAGTCGGTAAATATTTATGTAGCATTCATAGCCCAGGCCCCAGGGTCAGGTGATACAGCGATAAACAAGACAGATGTGATCCCTGCTCCTGAAGAGCCCACACTCTTGTGGGGGACACACTAAACAGCCAGTCACGCAAGTAATTGATTATAGTTGCAATGAATACTATGAAGGTGAAATACATAGGGCTCTGAGAGGATGTAGCAGGGGCCAGGACAAGGCCAGAGGTAGGATGGAGCAGCAGAGTTTTTCCGATGAAGGTGGAAGAAGGATCAGAGAATGTCCCTTTTCACATTCTTAGGTCCCTCTCTCAGCATCCTTCTTGGGTCTGGAGAAGAAGAAAGAGCCTCAAGGGAAAAGGCAGGGTTGATTGCTTTGCGTACCTCATTTGTGTGCGTTCATTCATGCAACAAACTTTTTTAATTTAATGTTTTGGAGAAAGGATCTCACTCTGCTGCCCAGGCTGGAGAACAATGGCACGATCATAGCTCAGAGCAGCCAGCCTCAACCTCCTGGGCTCAAGTGATCCTCCCACCTCAGCCTCTTGAGTAGCTGGGACTACAGGTGTGCACCACCATGCCCAGCTAATTTTTAAATTTTTGTAGGGACGAGGTCACGCTATGTTACCCAGGCTGGTCTCGAACTCCTGGACTCAAGCGATCCTCCTGCCTCAGCCTCCCAAAGTGCTGGGATTACAGGTGTGAGCCCCTGCGCCTGGCCAAACAGCTGTTTTTTTTTAAGCGCTGCTGTAGGCCATGTGCTGTTCTGAGTGTTGGGAAATACATATAGTGGTGAATAGGACAGATATCCTTGCTTTTATGGTGTTTACCATCTTCCAGGGGGTAGTTTCTGTAAGACTGGGGAGGATAATCATATTGATCTCATGTTTGTCTGGGGAATTTGATGAGATAATCTATATAAAGTGCTTGGCCCAGTGTTTGGCAACAGAAAATGTCCCCAAACTATGGGCTTTTATTGTTGACTCCCGGTGTGATTGCTCTGACCTCAGGCATCTTCACTTTTTCTTTGCAGCTCTTATCCCACTAGTAATTAAGTCATTTATAATGATCTGATCAGTGTCTGTCTGTCCAGTCCTTGTCCAAAGTAGGTACTTTATAACTAATGAGTGTATGAATGAATGATGTTACTTTTATCTCTGAGCCTCCATTTCTTCATCTGCAAAATGGGGTTATTAATAGCCCCTACCTCACAGGATTGGTATGAAGAATTAAATGAAACGATGCCTGGACAGCTTCCAGCCCAGTACCTGGCGCGCAGTAGGTGCTCACTAAACCTGAGCTGCGATGGTCCTTTCCAGGCGCTGTCCACGCCCCGAGGCCTGGGCTCAGGCCGAAGTTGCTCCACAGCACCCCCAGCTGACAGCCAGCGACTGGCAGAGCCCCCAGGCACGGGGGCCCTCTCTCTTCCAGGTCAGCCGGGTGTCTGCGCTGGACAGAGCGCTGAGGGAGCCGGGGGTGGTACCTGGAGGAGGCTGGGCCGGTGGGCAGGGGTTGAGCTGTGGCCACCAGACCATTTGGGGAATTCAGATCTATTGCCCGTCTTGTTGCCCACAGAGATCTCCAGTGTGACAGCCCAGGCGGCAGAGCCGAGGGTGAGTGGTGGGGGTTCTCCTGGAGCCCTTTCGGGGTAAGAAGGAGGGAGGCCGTGCCCTTGTTAGAACTTCCTGGCCTTCTCCTTAAGTTTGATCACCCTGCTGATGTGCTTCCCTCTCAAAGGCAGGGGTCCTGTTCTTCCTGAGTGCATAGCCAGATTCCCAAAGGGGATGAGCTGTCAATAAGTGAAACTGGGCCGGGCATGGTGGCTCACGCCTGTAATCCCAGTATTTTGGGAGGCTGAGGCAAGTGGATCATCTGAGGTCAGGAGCTCCAGACCAGCCTGGCCAACTTGGTGAAACCCCGTCTCTACTAAAATACAAAAATTAGCCAGGTGTGGTGGCGCATGCCTGTAATCCCAGGTGCTTGGGAGGCTGACACCTGAGAATCGCTTGCACTAGGAGGCGGAGGTTGCAGTGAGCTGAGATCACGCTGCTTCACTCTAGCCTGGGCGACAGAGTGAGACTCTCTTCCAAAAAAAAAAAAAAAAGTGAAACTGGGCCCATGAGGGGCTCACTATACACATGGTGGTTTGAGAAAGGCTGGGAGTCAGCAAGGGGATGGGGCTTGGGGTGGGGAGGGGAGCTTGGTAAGGAGATGAGACCTCAGGAGGGAGGGGTCCAGGAGCTCATCAAGGATATGGGAAGCTGATGAGGATGTAGGTGTTCAGTAAGGGACCTCCTGCTCTTCCTGCCTGGCAGGTCCTGGTCCCGGCTTCTCGCACCCTCATGTCAGCCCCGGCCCCGCCCGGCGGCCTGCGGAGGACAAGGTCAGGATGCGTGTGAAGCCCCAGGGCCTGGTGGTGACTTCCAGTGCCGTGTGCAGCTCTCCTGACTACCTCCGGGAACCCAAGTACTACCCCGGCGGCCCCCCCACCCCCCGGCCCCTGCTTCCCACCCGGCCCCCTGCCAGCCCACCTGACAAGGCCTTCTCCACCCACGCCTTCTCCGAGAACCCACGCCCACCCCCACGCCGGGACCCCAGCACCCGGCGCCCACCAGTCCTTGCCAAGGGGGACGACCCGCTGCCCCCACGGGCAGCCCGTCCTGTCTCACAGGCCCGCTGCCCCACACCGGTCGGAGACGGCAGCAGCTCCCGACGCTGCTGGGACAACGGGCGGGTGAACCTGCGACCAGTGGTGCAGCTGATTGACATCATGAAGGACCTGACACGCCTCTCCCAGGACCTGCAGCACAGTGGTGTACACCTGGACTGTGGTGGGCTCCGACTGAGCCGCCCGCCTGCACCGCCACCCGGCGACCTACAGTACAGCTTCTTCTCCTCACCCAGTTTGGCCAACAGCATCCGTAGCCCTGAGGAGCGGGCCACCCCACACGCCAAGTCGGAGCGGCCCAGCCATCCCCTCTACGAGCCTGAGCCTGAGCCTAGGGACAGTCCCCAGCCTGGCCAAGGCCATAGTCCCGGAGCCACGGCTGCGGCCACGGGTCTGCCCCCAGAGCCTGAGCCAGACAGCACTGATTACTCAGAACTTGCTGACGCCGACATCCTTAGTGAGCTGGCCTCCCTCACTTGCCCAGAGGCCCAGCTGCTAGAGGCCCAGGCCCTCGAGCCACCATCGCCCGAGCCGGAGCCTCAGCTCCTGGACCCCCAGCCCCGCTTCCTGGACCCGCAGGCACTAGAGCCGCTCGGGGAAGCTCTGGAGCTGCCACCCCTGCAACCTCTTGCTGATCCTCTGGGGCTGCCGGGCCTGGCTCTCCAGGCCCTGGACACCCTGCCTGACTCCTTGGAGTCGCAGCTGCTTGACCCCCAGGCACTCGACCCCCTGCCCAAGCTGCTTGACGTCCCAGGTCGCCGTCTGGAGCCCCAGCAGCCCCTGGGGCACTGCCCACTGGCCGAGCCCTTGCGCCTGGACTTGTGCTCACCGCACGGCCCCCCCGGGCCTGAGGGTCACCCCAAGTACGCCTTGCGGCGCACTGATAGGCCAAAGATCCTGTGTCGCCGGCGGAAAGCCGGACGGGGACGCAAGGCAGACGCCGGACCCGAGGGCCGCCTACTGCCCCTGCCTATGCCCACGGGGCTGGTGGCTGCCCTGGCCGAACCCCCACCACCACCGCCTCCTCCACCCCCTGCCCTGCCAGGCCCAGGCCCGGTCTCAGTCCCAGAGTTGAAGCCGGAATCTTCCCAGACCCCAGTGGTCTCTACCCGCAAAGGCAAGTGCCGGGGCGTGCGGCGCATGGTGGTGAAGATGGCCAAGATCCCCGTATCGCTGGGGCGGCGGAACAAGACCACATACAAAGTGTCTTCCTTGAGCAGCAGCCTGAGCGTGGAGGGCAAGGAGCTGGGCCTGCGCGTGTCGGCTGAGCCCACCCCGCTGCTGAAGATGAAGAACAATGGGCGGAACGTGGTAGTGGTCTTCCCACCCGGTGAGATGCCCATTATTCTCAAACGTAAGCGCGGCCGCCCTCCTAAGAACCTGCTGCTGGGTCCCGGCAAGCCCAAGGAGCCAGCTGTGGTGGCGGCCGAGGCAGCCACTGTGGCAGCGGCCACCATGGCCATGCCAGAGGTAAAAAAACGACGGCGGCGGAAGCAGAAGCTGGCATCTCCCCAGCCATCCTATGCAGCAGACGCCAACGACAGCAAGGCCGAGTACTCAGACGTCCTGGCCAAGCTGGCCTTCCTGAACCGCCAGAGCCAGTGCGCTGGACGGTGCTCACCGCCCCGCTGCTGGACACCCAGTGAGCCGGAGTCGGTGCACCAGGCCCCCGACACCCAGAGCATCTCCCACTTCCTGCATCGTGTGCAGGGCTTCCGGCGGCGTGGGGGCAAAGCAGGCGGTTTTGGTGGCCGGGGTGGGGGCCATGCGGCCAAGTCAGCCCGATGCTCCTTCAGTGACTTCTTTGAGGGCATCGGCAAGAAAAAGAAGGTGGTGGCCGTGGCAGCCGCTGGGGTCGGGGGCCCGGGCCTTACTGAGTTGGGGCACCCACGCAAACGGGGCCGGGGGGAGGTAGACGCTGTGACTGGGAAGCCAAAGCGCAAGAGACGGTCCCGGAAGAATGGGACTCTGTTCCCAGAGCAGGTGCCCAGTGGCCCAGGCTTTGGGGAGGCAGGTGCTGAGTGGGCCGGGGATAAGGGTGGTGGCTGGGCCCCTCACCATGGGCACCCAGGCGGACAAGCTGGCCGAAACTGTGGGTTTCAGGGGACCGAGGCCCGGGCCTTTGCCTCCACTGGGCTGGAGAGTGGAGCCTCAGGCCGTGGCAGCTACTACAGCACGGGTGCACCCTCAGGCCAGACCGAGCTCAGCCAGGAGCGCCAAAACCTCTTCACCGGCTACTTTCGCTCGCTGCTCGATTCGGATGACTCCTCCGATCTCTTGGACTTTGCCCTCTCAGCCTCTCGCCCAGAGTCCCGGAAGGCATCGGGCACCTATGCAGGGCCACCCACCAGTGCCCTGCCTGCCCAGCGGGGCCTGGCCACCTTCCCTAGCCGGGGAGCCAAGGCCAGCCCAGTGGCAGTGGGTAGCAGCGGGGCTGGGGCGGACCCCTCCTTTCAGCCTGTCCTGTCCGCGCGCCAGACCTTCCCACCAGGACGAGCAGCAAGCTATGGGCTAACTCCAGCCGCTTCAGACTGCCGGGCAGCCGAGACCTTCCCCAAGCTGGTGCCCCCGCCCTCAGCCATGGCCCGCTCACCTACCACCCACCCGCCTGCCAACACCTACCTGCCCCAGTACGGCGGCTATGGGGCCGGACAAAGCGTATTCGCCCCAACTAAGCCCTTTACAGGCCAGGACTGCGCTAACAGCAAGGACTGCAGCTTCGCCTATGGCAGTGGCAACAGCCTCCCTGCCTCACCCAGCAGCGCCCACAGCGCCGGCTATGCCCCACCGCCTACCGGGGGCCCCTGCCTGCCACCAAGCAAGGCCTCCTTCTTCAGCAGCTCTGAGGGGGCCCCCTTCTCTGGTTCAGCCCCCACGCCCCTGCGCTGTGACAGCCGGGCCAGCACAGTCTCGCCCGGTGGCTACATGGTACCCAAGGGCACCACAGCCTCTGCCACCTCTGCAGCCTCTGCCGCCTCCTCCTCCTCCTCCTCCTTCCAGCCCTCGCCCGAGAACTGTCGGCAGTTTGCGGGGGCTTCTCAGTGGCCTTTCCGGCAGGGCTATGGAGGCCTGGACTGGGCCTCAGAGGCCTTTAGTCAGCTCTACAATCCCAGTTTTGACTGCCACGTCAGCGAGCCCAACGTGATCCTGGACATCTCCAACTACACACCGCAGAAGGTGAAGCAGCAGACGGCTGTGTCGGAGACCTTCTCTGAGTCATCCTCCGACAGCACCCAGTTCAATCAGCCGGTTGGTGGCGGGGGGTTTCGGCGTGCCAACAGCGAGGCCTCAAGTAGTGAGGGCCAGTCGAGCCTGTCCAGCCTGGAGAAACTGATGATGGACTGGAACGAGGCATCATCTGCCCCCGGCTACAACTGGAACCAGAGTGTCCTCTTTCAGAGTAGCTCCAAGCCGGGCCGTGGACGGCGGAAGAAGGTGGACCTGTTCGAGGCCTCACATCTGGGCTTCCCGACATCCGCCTCTGCCGCTGCCTCAGGCTACCCATCCAAACGGAGCACTGGGCCCCGGCAGCCGCGAGGTGGACGGGGCGGTGGGGCCTGCTCAGCCAAGAAGGAGCGGGGTGGCGCAGCGGCCAAAGCCAAGTTCATCCCCAAGCCACAGCCAGTCAACCCACTGTTCCAGGACAGTCCTGACCTCGGCCTGGACTACTATAGCGGGGACAGCAGCATGTCACCACTGCCCTCACAGTCGAGGGCCTTCGGCGTGGGAGAGCGAGACCCCTGTGACTTCATAGGACCCTACTCCATGAACCCGTCCACGCCTTCCGATGGCACCTTTGGCCAAGGCTTCCACTGCGACTCGCCCAGCCT
Source organism: Homo sapiens (assembly GCF_000001405.40). Lineage (NCBI taxonomy): Eukaryota > Metazoa > Chordata > Mammalia > Primates > Hominidae > Homo > Homo sapiens. The sequence goes on along the minus strand of NC_000001.11, from coordinate 27,548,006 downwards.
GGGTGCTCCCGAGCTTGATGGCAAGCATTTCCCACCGCTGGCCCACCCACCCACGGTGTTTGACGCCGGCCTGCAGAAGGCATACTCGCCCACCTGCTCGCCTACACTGGGCTTCAAGGAAGAGCTGCGGCCACCGCCCACAAAGCTGGCTGCCTGCGAGCCCCTCAAGCATGGACTCCAGGGGGCCAGCCTGGGCCACGCAGCTGCAGCCCAGGCCCACCTGAGCTGCCGGGACCTGCCGCTGGGCCAGCCCCACTACGATTCCCCCAGCTGCAAGGGCACAGCCTATTGGTACCCTCCAGGCTCAGCTGCCCGCAGCCCGCCCTATGAAGGCAAGGTGGGTACAGGGCTGCTGGCTGACTTCCTGGGCAGGACGGAGGCCGCGTGCCTCAGTGCCCCTCACCTGGCTAGCCCACCAGCCACGCCCAAGGCCGACAAGGAGCCACTGGAAATGGCCCGGCCCCCTGGCCCACCCCGTGGCCCTGCTGCAGCCGCTGCTGGCTATGGCTGCCCACTCCTTAGTGACTTGACCCTGTCCCCCGTGCCGAGGGACTCGCTGCTGCCCCTGCAGGACACCGCCTACAGGTACCCAGGCTTTATGCCCCAGGCGCATCCTGGCCTGGGTGGGGGCCCCAAGAGCGGCTTCCTGGGGCCCATGGCGGAACCTCACCCCGAGGACACATTCACCGTCACATCCCTGTAGTGCCAACTGAAGTGCCGACTGGACCGCGAGGTTTTGTTCCTGGGTGAGTCTGGGGATGTGGGCGCAGTGGGCAGAGGCCTGGGGGTGGGAAGAGGACATCAGAGCTTAGGCAAGGACAGAGGTATGGAGTGCAGGAAGCAAATGCAGGATTTAAGGGCAAGGCTGGGGACTGAGAGCAGGGTGTAGGGATTCAGGATTCGCTGTTGCGGACAGTCTCAGGAGGAGATGGGGTGCTTGGGCTGGGAACTCAGCAGGGGGCTTGAACGTTCGGGGGGGTCTTGTGAATTGAAATGGCCAGAGGACTACACACTGGATGGGGCCCTGTAGTTTGGTTTATTAAGCTTTCAATTATTTGTTCATGCTATGTCTTGGGCAGGAAGTGAGTATTTCCCAGGAAATACGCTGATAAGGGTGGGCATTTGTATCGCCCTGTGTGAGACAGGTGAAGGGAGAAGCAGGTTGGACGGTCGTCTACCCAGGGCCTATCCAGAGGACCAGCCCTGCTGGCACCCCCATTTCCCTGGGAGCTTCACTGATTCTAAGAGGCAGCCTGGTGAGGGCCAGGCCAAGAGTGGCCAGTGTGGCGTGGTCACACACTCTGCAAGGGCTTCACAGGATGGTCCAAAATGTCCTCTCTTGGCCTCCCAAGGTACCCCCAAAGGCTATTTTCCAACATCTTTGGTCTGAGATAGGCTAGGTGTGGCCAGGAGCATGTGGGGTAGGGACCCAGAAGTGGAGAAGGGGTGCTGGGGTCCCACTGTCCCTGCAAACCTGCAGCCAGTGAGGCTATCTTCAGGCAAAGGTATTTTGACCCTAGAAAAGCCAGTCCCTTTCCTGAAGCCAAAGACTTTTCTGAGAGTTCAGTTAAAGAGTGTTAAATGTTTTGATACTGTTTTTATCAGGTACTGTGACCTCATTAGTTGGAGTCAGTTTTAGTATTCTCAAGATTTGGTGTTTTAAAAAAGGAAAATAAAAGACAGAAAATGCCCCCAAAATGATCAAAGGGAACAAGGTTGAAGGAGCCATCTTCTTGAAGAACAGCCTGCTCCCGAAATACAGCCGCCACTGGCCCCACTTTTGGACAACAGATCTGTCACAAAATTGGCCCAGATGTGGTGGTTGGTGATGGGGCAGACTGGGGGCATGCCTGCGTCCCTCACCCTTCACCTCTGCTGCCACTGAAGCTTCCTGGGAGTTTCTCTTCCTGGAGGAGTAGCTGGGCTCCTGGAAAGTCCCATCCGTGCTCTGGGAGGCCATTCAAGGCCAGGGTGACTCAGGGTCCTGAAGTCATGTCAGTGGAAACTTGTTGCCCCCTCTCTGCCAGACCCCAGCTCCCCTGGTGCCTGAAGGTGACAAAGGGCAGCATGCAGGAGTCCGGAGGCCTCCGGGAGGACCATTCCCAGATTGGCCACCAACTTCCCACATGCCCTTGACCAAGCTTTTGCCCCTCTCTGGGCCTCAGTTTCCCCATCTTTTCAAGGAAATTTACTTTGATAATCCCTTAGGCTCTCGCAGCTCTGCATGGCAGAGACAATGAAGCAAACTTTTTTTTTTTTTTTGGCAGCATCTTTTCCTTCCTGATGAAGCCAGGCCAAGATTAAAATGGCCTTCCATTCCCCATGCGTCTCATTGCAACCAGCAGAGCCTCAGATCTGAAGCAGGCCAGGGAGAAACTGCTTAGGGTTTAAAATGTCAAACTCTTGATCCTTCTCACTGGCGGGGAGATGTCTCATGGATAATCCAGAAATGTGAAATAATCCAAAAACCGTTCCTCCCAGGCTCTGGGTGGGAAAATGGACGGGTGTGGGGGCTGGGTGTTTGGGCAGGTCACAGCTCAGTGAAGTACATAATGGAACCACCCAGTGAGGCCTGAACGCAGGAGGAACTGGGATGCCATCCAGCCCCACATTCTGGCCCTGCTCCCCACTCAGGGCTGTGAGTTAACTGCGCTGTCCTCAAACCAATGCATTCCATTGTTCTAGAGACATCTGTCCAGCACCCACTAGAAGCCAGGCATTGGGGGCACCACAGTGAACACCACAAATGAGGTACTGGTCCTCAGGGGGCTTCCCATTTAGAGGGAAAGACAGCAAACAGTGGCATTAAGCATGTGTTGATTCCAGCTGTGGGAAGCACTGTACAAGAGAAAAAAGCTAGAAGCTTGTGAGCGCACACAGCATGCTGACCGGACCTTGAAGCTGAGGCCTGAGGAATGATGGGGCTGAACAGCTGGCGGGGAGGGGGAAGAACATTCTGGGCAGAGGGAACAGCAGTGTGGAAAGCCTGGAGGCAGGAAGGGACTCAGCTTTAAGAAACTGCCTATGGGAAGGCAGTAAAGCTAAGTGAGGGGATGAGGCAAGCGAGGCCAGATCATGCGGGGCATTAGAAGGAGTCTGAATTTCATTCCCAGACACGTGGGGATCCACTGAAGAGTTCCCTGCTGGAATTCCCCAGGCCACCGTGGAGCAGGGCTAGTGTTGAAGCAGGGAGACCAGCTGCAGTAGTCCACACATGCAGTGATGATGGCCCAGGCCAAGGTGGTGGGACGGCTGCCCCCTCTCTCTATCTAAGATGACCCACAGGCTCTAGGGCAACCCCCCAGTGCCAGGGGATGATCAAAATCACCACGGGAATGAGAAAGAGTTGGAGATACAGAGAAGGAGAGTGGCAAGGAAAAAGTTCATAGAGGGAGTTGCCACTCTCAACAGAGGGCTTAAGCAGAGAGGACAAGGACACGCTCATTCACCAATAGCAGTGAGCAGTTTTGACGCCAGGCACTGGAGAAGCAGCAGTTGAGCTTAGTTTCCCAACCTGAGCCCCTGTGTGTCCATCCAGTGCTGGGTACTGGGGAGACAAAGCAGGCATGACCCCTGTCCTCCAGTTCAGCCTCCACCCCAGGAAACTAAAACAAGTACACAAAAAACCTGAAAACACCTGGCAGAGAGTGGCAGGTGCCCAGAGGCAGTGAGAAACAAAGATTTGCTGGACAGCTGGGTGTTGTGGTCAGAAGTCAGCCCTCTGCCCCCTTGATGAGAAAAGGGACATTTGTGCTGGGCCCTTTATGTAACGCTGCCTCACTGACCCTTCACAGCAGACTATGAGGTGGGGTGTGTCTCCCCACCACAACCCCCTGCCTCCCGCCCTATCCCACATTAGAGTTGAGGAAATGGGTGCAGCTCTGAACCTTGCCCAGGGGATCCATTGGCAGATAGTGGAGCCAGGATTAGAACCCAGTACTGTCCCTCCTGAGCCTGGGTGCTCTGCCATATGGCTGCCTCTCATCTCCCCACGCCTGATTCCCCATCTGCAAAAGGATAGGTTGGATTGGACAATCCCTACACTTTTTTTTTTTTTTCTTTTTGAGATGGAGCCTCACTGTGTCGCCGAGGCTGGAGTGCAGTGGCACGATCTCGGCTCACTGCAGCCTCTGCCTCCTGGGTTCAAGCGATTCTCCTGCCTCAGCTTCCTGTAGCTGGGATTACAGGGGCGCACCACTGTGCCCAGCTAACTTTTTTGTATTTTTAGTAGAGATGGGGTTTCACCACATTGGTCAGGCTGTTCTCGAACTCCTGACCTTGTGAATCACCTGCCTCAGCCTCCCAAAGTGCTGGGATTACAGGTGTGAGCCACCGCACCCGCCCCAGTCCCCACAACTCTTGCTGGGTCTGACATCTTAAATGGATTTTGAGGTTCTGTGGAAGAAGCTGCACTGGAGCTCAACCTTCAAGAATAGGCAAGGTTTGCACACATGGAGACCGGGGGAAGGGCATTCTGGGCAGAGGGAACTGTGGGCAAAGGCAGGTCACATCCCAATGTGGATTAGAAGATAAAAGCTCAGAGGAGACAGAATGGGGAATGTGGAGCCTGACTGATCTGAGAGCTGTGGCTGATGGGACGGGGAACAGAACGGGTCAAGCAAGGAGGGGGCCTTGGCCCTGTGCAGACATCTTCTCTGGGCCTCTAGATGGAAAGTAGAGCCAGACAGACTGGCTCCACGTTGGGCCCTGTGGGCTAAAGATCGACCCTATCAGACCCTGGGGACAGGGGTGGGAGGGTATGAAGGGCCCTCCAAGGTGTTCAGGATTCTCGAGTCCCTCTCCCCTCCCTACTCCCTCTCAGGCCTGACCTGAGGCCAAGAGAAATGTCACAGGTCCTCCAAGGTTACGCGGCTAGGGCCTGACTGAAGCAGGAAGCAGTTTCCAAGGCCACCATCCAGCCGGGGTCAGCAGGCATGCCCGGGCCTGGACCAGGCCGCAGCTGCTCTGGGCTTTGTCTCTTCGTGTCTTGAAACCTCGAGAGGTCACTTGATCTTGCCTGTGACTCTGAGCAAGAGGCCTTACGTCAGGGCCCAGCCAGTCCTGCCCTGACTCTTCTGGGCACAAGTTCTTCCCCACACTCTCTGAGGCCATCCTCCCTCTGATCCTATCTCTTGCCACTCCTGCAGCCATGTTTAGGCCAGGCCTTGTTCTGAGCCCTCATTTCCTGAAAATGTAATCTCTCCACGACCATACCGACTCACCCTTCTTCTTTCTTATCTTCCCACGTCCCAGAGCAGGGCCACGGAACTGGAGGGTGGTGGCTGGGAGCCTGCCTGTGGACACAGATAGGCCTCTATGCACAACCCAGTTCCATCCCTTACCAGCTAGGTGACCTGGTGAGTCATGTCACCTGATGAGTCACGTCACCTCTCTGCATCTCTTGTGAGAATTAAATGAGATTACACGTGAAGCCCTTGGCCAGGTCCCTGGTACACAGTGAGCACGTAGTCAGCGGCTGGTGATGGGTAGGTAAATACCCGACAGAGGCTGAACTCCGGGGCCTCTGACCAGCCTGTGTGAGTCACACACCTCCAACCCTCGCCTCTTGTACCTTCATGCAGGACCATAGAGCCGGCCCTCCCTCGCCTGTGCTCCTCCTAGGAAGGAGGTTGTATTCTAGTGTGGATTTGGGGCCTTGGGGGAGGCTTTGTGATAGCACCTAGTTCTTTGCGTTAGCAATTGGGCCGAGTCCTCCCTGGAGGACCCAAGGACAAAATGACCCGGCTCAGCTAGAAATGCTGTCATCACAGTTATGCACACCAGTCCTCTCCCCCACTGCAAATATGAAAAATATTTTCTTGTGACTGTAATATGTCATGATTTTTCCCCTGGCAGTTGTGCCATCTTTGTCAGCATAACCTTTGCTGCCATAGTGCACTGCGTTTGTGCTGGAAGGCTGGGGGAAGTAGATAAATTCTGTGTTCACACACATGAGCTAGTGACCTGCTTGGGGCCAGGCATTGTATCCAGTGCTGCAGGTATCACTGAGCAAGACACACAGTGCCCTGCCCCCACAGGGCTTGCAGCCTTTTACAGGTGTTTGTTTAAAACCTCCTTGCCAGGCGCGGTGGCTCACGCCTGTAATCCCAGCACTTTGGGAGGCCGAGGGAAGAGGATCACCTGAGGTTGGGAGTTCGAGACCAGCCTGGCTAACGTGGTGAAACCCTGTCTCTACTAAAAATACGAAAATTAGCCGGGCATGATGGCAGGTGCCTGTAGTGCCAGCTACTCGGGAAGCTGAGGCAGGAGAACTGCTTGATCCCGGGAGGCGGAGGTTGCAGTGAGCCAAGATCACACCACTGCACTCCAGCCTGGGTGACAAGAGCAAAAACTCTGTCTCAAAAAAAAAAAAAAAAACCTCCACATGGGCCGGGCACAGTGGCTGATGCCTGTAATTCCAGCACTTTCAGAGGCCGAGGCGGGCAGATCACTTGAGGCCAGGAGTTTGAGACCAGCCTGGCCAACATGGTGAAACCCTGTCTCTACTAAAAACACAAAAGTTAGCCAGTTGTGGTGGTGTGTGCCTGTAGTCCCAGCTACGTGGGAGGCTGAGGCAGGAGAATTGCTTGAACCCTGGAGCCGGAGGTTGCAGTGAACTACGATCGTACCACTGCACTCCAGCCTGGGCGACAGAGCAAGACTCCGTCTCAAAAAAAATAAAAAATAAAAAATAAAAATCCTCCACATGAGCATCACTCTCTAGAACAGGGCCTGGGACACTCCCATGAGAAGGAACAGGGACCACCCTCTAAAACCGTTGTGAGCAGGGCAGGCAGCAGGAGATTCCTGGAGGCAGGAAATGGGTCTTGACAAATTTGAGACTTCAGAGGCTTTAGCTCTAGCTCAGCCACCTGGGTTTCTGGCCCCACTCCCTCCCTGCTCCAAGCACGCACCCCACCCCCAGCCCCCCAGTTCATTCTCCCCATTATGGCCACCAAAGTGCTTGGGTTTTGTTGTTGTTTTTTTTTTTTTTTTTTTTTTTTTAGCATTTTTAGATGCACAGTGTCTGGAGTCCCTAAAATATTTATTGGATGAATTGATTAAAACACATCTGCTCCTGTGACTCCATTGCTCTACACCTTCTGATTGCTTCCTTCCCTCTCCAGCCTCCTTCCTTGCCTATAAAATCAAGGCCCAGCTTCCCAGCATGGTATTCAAGGTATTCCAGGCTTCCGTCCTGGCACCCAACCTTTTTTTCAGCCCCGATCTTCCTCACACACACCCTCCCTTAACAGCCAGGAGCATGTGTGGAAACAGGAGGGAGCTCTGGGAGGGCTGGCTCCCAAAGGTGCCCCGTGCTTTTGCTGTTCCTGGCCTGGGTGGCCCTTTCCTACCCCATCTCCCACCTGTCAGTTCCTATCTTTCACTCAGACATCACTTCCTCCAAGAAGCATTCCAGGGTCCTTCTCAGGTCCAATTAATCTCTCACCCTCTCTGCATCCGTGACAGCCCTTCCTGGGAATGCCCTCCTTGCCACGCCACCAACTCCTTTAGGGCAATTACTCATCTCTGGGCACCGTCCTCCCCTCCCCCACCCAGTGTCTCATCATGCCTGGGACATTTCAGGTTTTTTTGTTTTTTTTTTTTTAACTTGAGTTGAAGAAAAGCATGTAGAATAGGGAGAATTCTAAGAGGAAAGGTTAAGCCCTGGGGAACGGGATGGGACAATTTCACCCTGTCATCAGGAAGTGCTCCTAATAGAAGGGCAGGGACAGGGTGTGTAAATAAACCAGTTCAAATTCTCAGAGCTCACTGGGCCTGTGGACCTCTCCAAGCACAATCCATCCAGTTTACAAAGAGGGAAAGGTCCTCGCCTGAGGACTCAGAGCCACCTGGTCATTGAAGCACAGAAGGTAGAGCCAGGAAGGGCCCCTGGGGATTGCCTGGTTCCATGGTTCTTGCTCTTTCCTCAGCCTCCACTTCAGTTGCATGTCCGACACAAACCCATCAGGAATGCCTGTCTTTACATATGGCATCTCCAGCTGGAGGGTGGAGAGTGGGGGAGAGAGAGAGAGAGAGAGATGGAGGAGGTGAGGCTAGCCTCCTCCCAGGACAGGTAAGGAATGTGAGGCTCTGAGAGGTGGTAGAGACACAGGGTCACACAAGGCTGGGGAACCCCATTTGGTCCTACTGCCTCACAGCTGGGGAGATGAGAAGAACCTTAAGGAGGGAATGGCTGGCAGAGCTAGAGTTTAAGGAGCACCTCTGGTCAGTAGTGGACTCACATTTGAAAAAATTCTCAGGCCGGGTGCGGTGGCTCACGCCTGTAATCCCAGCACTTTGGGAGGCCGAGGTGGGTGGATCACGAGGTCAGGAGTTCGAGACCAGCCTGACCAACATGGTGAAACCCTGTCTCTACTAAAAATACAAAAATTAGCCAGGCATGGTGGCGCACACCTGTAATCCCAGCTACTCGGGAGGCTGAGGCAGGAAAATTGCTTGAACCCAGTAGGCAGAGGTTGCAGTAAGCCAAGATTGCACTGCTGTACTCCAGCCTGGGCAACAGAGCAAGACTCCATCTCAAACAAACAAAAAAAAAATTCTCCAGGCCTGGCATGGTGGCTCACCACGCCTGCAATCCAGCACTTTGGGGTGCCGAGGTGGGAGGATCGCTTGAGCCCAGGAGTTTGAGACCAGCCTGGGCAACATAGTAAGACCCCATCTCTACAAAAATACAAACTAGACAGATGTGGTAGCATGCACATGTAGTCCCAGCTACTCAGGAGGCTGAGGTGGGAAGATCGCTTGAGCCCAGGAGTTTGAGGCTGCGGTGACCCTCGATCATGACACTGCACTGCAGCCTGGGTGACAGAGTGAGACCCTATCTCCAAAAAAAAAAAAAAAAAAGAAAAGAAAAAAAGCTTCTCTGGAGTAGAGGGAGACACAAACACAGCCTCCCCATCCCTGATTGGGAGCCTCATCGATAATTCAGTGAATTCCAGGTCCAACGGTACTTCTGCATACCAGTTGTGGGCTGAGCCCCCAGGAAGCAGTATCCTCTCCACATGGAGATGACTCACAGGCCTGGCTGCCTAAAAATGTTACAGGGATGGATCAGGCTTTGGGCCTCTGTGGTTTGCCTGTGACCCTTTGTCTTTGGGGCACCATCCCAGTGCCGGAAGATCTCTCCCATCACCTGTTCAGCTCCCTTATTTTATAGAATAGAAACTCAGGCTGCTGCAGTGGCTCACACCTGTAATCCCAGCACTTTGGGAGGCCAAGGCAGGTGGTTTGCTTGAGTTCAGGAGGTCGAGTCTAGCCTGGGCAACATGATGGAACCTTGTCTTTTCAAAAAATAAAATAATTAGCCAGGTGTGGTGATGTGCGCCTGTAGTACCAGCTACTCAAGGTGCTGAGATGGGAGGATCTCATGGGCCTGGAAGGTGGAGGTTGCAGTGAGCCGTGATTGTGCCACTGCACTCTAGCCTGGGTGATAGAGTGAGAACCTGTCTCAAAAAAAAAACAAAAAACAACCAAAAAAACCTGAAGCCCAGAGAGGGAAGGGACTTACTCTGGGTCACACAGGAAATCAGCCTCTCAAATTCTAATGCACTTTTTCTTTTCTGGTTTTTTTTTTTTTTTTTTGAGACAGTCTTGCTCTGTCACCCAGGCTGGAGTGGAGTGGCACGATCTCAGCTCACTGCAACCTCCGCTTCCTGGGTTCAAGCAATTCTCATGCCTCGGCCTCCCGAGTAGCTGGGGTTACAGGGTGTGTGCCACCACACCTGGCTAGTTTTTGTATTTTTTGTAGAGACGGGGTTTCTCCATGTTGGCCAGACTGGTCTTGAGCTCCTGAGCTCAAGAGATCCACCCACCTCGGCCTCCCAAAGTGCTGGGATTACAGGCGTGAGTCACCCTGCCCGGCCTCATGCACTCTTTTTTGCCTTCTGCTCTACTGCCTTGTTTGACATTGGACCCTTTCAAGAGAGTAGAGACTAGAGAGTAGAGGTTAGACCTTAACTCATGCCCTGGCAGCCAGTGGGCATGAATACATGTTTGCTGTTCACTTAAATGAAAGCACAAATATATATTCCTTTTCCTTTTTGGAGGAGAGCAGCCCCCTCTGGACAACCTGATTTATATGTGCTCTGCAGCACTTTGAATCTCTGCTCAGCTGTCCCTCACTGCTGCCAGTGCCAGTCCCCCCCTTGACAGGCAGAGACCACTTAATGCCCTGGCACCTCAGATGGTGAAACCACCGGAGCATGAGGACTCAGAGGAATGTGGCTCTGCAGTTGTGTGTCACGGAGGCACTAAAAGGTGAAGTCTGCAGAACAGTGGTTGGTGTGCTGGGGGCCGGTGCGTGCTAGCCCTGGGTGTGCAGCAGTACCACATATAGGTTCCTGCCCTGGAGGAGCCAGGTCGGGATGACAAGGGTACCGTAGCTATGGTAACAGGGTGGTCTAAGGAGGTGTTCTGAAGGTGTGCAAGGCCGGAGCTGGACCTTGACATGCTGACCAGACTCAGGTCAGTCCCCGCTCTGTCACTCAGTCAGCGTACGTCTTGGCCCCAGCATGTGCTGGGTAGTGTTCAGCAGTGGTTGAAGAGCCACAGTCTCTCCTGCCACGACCAGGTTAGCTGCCTCCCCAGGACCTTCCGTGGCACAGCCCCTGTCTCCCTGCGTGGTAATTACCCTGGTTTGGGGTCTGCTTTGCTTTCCCCTCTATCTGTGAGCCTCTCAAAGACAGGAACCAGATCGGTCTTGGTCTCTGCTTTGTCCCCAGTGCCTAGCACTGGGCTGCCTGGCACGTTAGTGTCTGGTCCTGCTTTGTGGAGAGCTGAACCTGGTGAGGTCAGGGTTCCACACAGCCACAGCATTCTCCCCCACCTCCATGAGAGAACCCTGGGGCTTTTGGGCTTTGATTTCCCCCCTCCCCCGCTCCTTCCCATCCCGAAGATTCTGCCAAAGTCTCTGGCTGGCCAAGTCCTGAAAGCTGGGGAGGGTAGTGGGAGGAGGAAGGTGAGACGCGATGGGCGGCTTAGCAGAGGGTGAGAAAGCCTCCTGCTGCCTGGCCGCAGGCACCGCGGGAATGGTTCTGGCAGGAGCCGCCTGCTGGGCTGAGATCACCATGGAGACCTGGCTTAGAGAGGGTCACTGGCAGTGGCTAAGGGCCTGGGGTGGGGGTGGGGGTGCAGGGATTTGTGCAGAGGCTCCCAGCCTGCCCCGGGGCCCTTGGAGGGAGCAGGGGAGGCTGGCGTTGGACAATATCAGTTTGCCAGTGGTTTGGAGCAGCCCATCCTAAAGTCCCCTTCCCTTGTCACCCCCAACACCCCAACAGAGGTTCTTTAGCTTGGCAACTGTTCTTCAACCGCAATAGAGCAGTCCTCTGGATAGATGCCCCCAGCGCTCTGGCTCAAGCAGTTACCCCAGATAAAATCATTCTGCTCCCTAATAGACACCCCTCTTGTCTCTGCAGCCTGTTTACCGCCTGACTGTGGAGAGCTTGCATTCATCCCAGCAGCAGCCCTTGCCCCAAGAGCTGCTTTTCTACCTATCACCCCATTGCAGCACAGCTGTCACCCTCCCAGGCACACCGCTCGCCCCTACGGCTAGTATTCCATCCTCCTGCAACTGCAGGCAACCTGACAGCTTAACAAAGATGCAGCTCTTCTCCTCTCCTATGCCTCTGCCTGCCACCTGGTCTGGTCCACCAGGATGAGGTGCTGCCCTGCCTCTGCAGGAGCCCACCTGGTTCCCCTGGACCTTGGGGGAGTCCTGGCAAGTCCAGCCTCAGGACAAAAGTCGTCCCCGGGGCTGACTGCCCAGCAGACAGCAGCCGAGGCTGAGCAGAATTTAAATGTGGCTCTGGTAGAAAGGGAAGCCAAGAAAGTACAAGGGAGGAGAGGCTTTCTGCCGCCGCCTGATTCCTGCTGGTGTGGGGGAGGACGGATGGGCTCCTAAGGAACCTGAGGAGGCCCTTTCAGCATCCTCACCTCGCCCTTTAATTCGGATGGAGATGGTCGCACACTGAGGGTGGGAGATGTGTGTCTCGGGGCTCTGAGAGGAGGACAGAAGTCTGAAAGGACCAGGCTAATAATGACTGGAGCTCTTAGGAAGTCCCGAGCCCATCCCTGTCCTTCAGGGGACCTTCTCACTCACCCTAGCAGAGCTGTGAATCCAGGGGGTCTAGCCAAGCTGGGGGTCTGGGTAGGGAAGTCAGATCCCCAGGGCCCCGCAAGCATAATGAGAACTGTCTGGGAAAAAGGGGTACTTCCAATCTCGAGTGTCTGGCGATGGGAGGAACTGGGAACTTGGGAGTGTCTGAGCTTCAGGAAGGCAGGGTTAAGCCAAACACAGATGGCATTGTGTTGGGCAGTTTCTCTGTTCTTTCACTGAGAAAGACTTCCTCCTCACCTCACCTCTCTAAGGAACAGAATGGCATTGGTAAGAAGAGGATTGGATTTAGAAGAAATAAAAGCAGTTGTTCACACCTGTGCTGTGTGCTGAGGCCCTGCCCTCCCCATGATGTCATTCCTCAGAACAGCCTAAGTTGGAGGAATTACTAAACTCATCATGACATGAGGAGGCAGGTTTGGAGAGCCTAACTGCCCCAGAAAAATAATAATGAATAATAATCAGTATAATTTATTATGCACTTAAGGACCAGGCTTCATCTGTCCTATACCGCTGAATCCTCCCAGCAAACCAATGGGGTAGTTCAGTTATCTTCTTTTTACAGATGGGCAAACTGAGGCTCACAGAAGTTCAACAACATGCCCAAGGTCATAGCACTACTAAAGGGTGGCACTGGTATTTGAACTCAGCTGTGTCTGATTCCAGAGCCCAAGCTCTTAACAAATTCCACTGCCTGGAACCCCACCTCCTCACCCAGCACCTGCTTCACCCTGTGTTTTGGGGCTTGGACACGCATATTTTACAGATGGGGAAACTGGGCTCAGAGAAGGCAGGTCTGAGTTTTTGTGAGAAAGAACAGTGGTTAGCTTTCCCCCTCACCCTGCTGAATCCTGGGAGGAGCTGGGTGGGGGTCTCCCTCTTCACTTCCCTGATCTCAGAGCACAGTCGATGCGTGCCGCTCACTCCTGCCTCTTCTCTTGTGTTTCTTTGCAGCTTTCAGAAAACCAACGCCAAGATCCCTCCCAGCGTCCACATCGTCCTCTGGCAGGAGCTCCTGCCCCTCTGCCTCCCACCCTGCCCCCTACACCCCCTGCAGACCCATCTCCCTCCACCCCCTCCCACCCATCTCCTCCACGCAGAAGCCGAAGGTGAGCCCTTTCTGCACAAAACCAGCAATTGTAAATACTTTTTAAAAATGTACAAAACTTAAAAACAAAACACAGTTTTAGAAAAAGACAAAAAAAAAAAAGAGAGAGAGAGAGCGAGAGAGCGAGCGTGTGCAAGAGGTTGCGAGCGGGGCCCCGAGGTGTCCAGAGCCCCTGCAAGTATGCACTGAGAAATTTATCTACAGGTCGTTTGACAAAAATGAACAATATCCTATTTATTGTATATACTGTTTTATTATAAATCGTGGATTGTATATTGCATTCTGTAAACCTGCTGTGGTCCCGTGGTGTGCAAATTCGCATGGTGGGGGGGAGGGAGAAGAACCTCTTGCGGGAGCTTTTTTTTTCTTTCTTATTTTTCACTCTTTTGGGTTTTCTCTTCTGTTGTTGTTGTTGTTGTTTTCTGTTGGCAGGACACACCCAAAGATCCAAGTTTGTATTAAAAAGAAATGAAAAAAAGCAAAAAAAAAACAAAAAAAAAACAAAAAAAAAAAACCAACCTTGTGTCTTGTGAAAGGGGGAGTGAGGGTGGAGGGAATGGAAGGGACACCGCTGGGTTTTGTCACCAGCTACTGGTTCTCCAGAGGAGTTGAAATACCTACACGTGTTCCTGGCCACTGAGTTTTCCCTTCTGCCTGAGATCTGGGTTCCCCCTCATTTCACTCCAGGCCCTGCGTCTCCCCTGCCTCTGAGCTCCCCACTCTGCTGCCGAGGACATCCTGGCCCTTGATCATGCGTTCAGTCCCAGGTCCAGGGATTCTGCCTCTTGGACCTCCATTTTGTCCTAGGTCCTGGGTCTCCTCTGACTCTCCCTATATTCTATCCCAAGTCCAAGGTCTCCCCAAATGCTGGGTTTCCTCTCCCTGAGGAACCTCCATCATGGGGCTCCTGCTTCTGGACCCCCTTATTCCATCCAAGGTCCCAGGTCTCTGCCTCGAGTCCCTTTGTGTGTCCTGTGTATTCATGGCCTTTGGGCCTCACAGTTCTACTCTGGTTCAGGGACATCTCTCTTGGCGACACTCATTCCGTCCTAAGTCCCGGAACCCTCATGGGGCCTCCCTTTCCCACTAGGATTGGAGTGCCCCCCGTCTATGTATCTCCCATTTGCCCCAGGTCATCAGTCTTCTCTGCTTCCAGGCCCCTCATTTTACCCCAACACCCCCACATCTGCTTATGCAGAACCTGGGATATGACGAGGCCAGTCACCCCAGTGTTGCTCTGCCCTCCCCTTTCTGTCTACCCTGAACTCCAAATGTTTCCTCCCTGCTTTGGTAAACTTTGGAAAAAGAAAACTCCTAACCCTGTGCCTGCGTCTGGTGGGCCTGGAAGAGCTGAGCTGTTTCCTGATCCCTGACTTTGGGGACCTCTTGGGTGTCCTTGCCCAAATGATGCCCACTTTGGCCTCCCTGGTCTTTGGGAAGCAGTTTTTCCCATAGACCCATTTTATGTTTAAGTTCTGCTGAGTGTGGCTTCACGTCCCTCCTCAGTGAAGCTCAGGGAGATGCCAAGGGATCGTGCCACGGGGCCTGCCCTCCCTGACCCAGCCAGCTAGGCCCTGGCCTCAGGAGAGTCAGAGGAGCCCGTGGTCTGAGGAGGAAACACACCTTCTGGGCACACCTGTCTGGAAGAGGCAGGAGGACTCAGGTCACAGTCCCCTGAAACTGTTGCCTCTGTGCTAGATGCAAAAAGCTCATCCACCCACCAAGCCCCCTCCCTACATCCCCCAGACTCAGAGATGAAGACATTACCCCACGCTTCCTGACTGCTGACGGGGAAGACAACACTACACTCAAGCTAACGATGCAATATGAGCTGGAAGTGGGGGCAAGAAGCAGTGAGACCCCCTGAGAGTTAGGGAGGAGGGCTTCTCTGAGGAGAAAGCTTCTACAGAGCCAAGCCTAAGGTGCTGGGCAGAAAAGTGAGGGAGTTCCTGGAGGAGGAAGAGGATGTGCAAAGGCCTAGAGATGCGAAAGGGTAACAGGAGGCAGGAGCCACAAGCAGTTAGCTCTGTTGGGCACACGCTGTGTTTAGGGAGGGGAGAGGGCTTTGGCAAGGTCACTCTGGGTAAGGTGGAGGCTGGTTGGAGCGGGTGGGCAGCATCAGAGAAAGCAGTGGATGAGGCTCAGATAGGCCAACCGCAGAGAAACCTGTGTTCAGCCTCAAGAATCACCCGCAGGGAGAAAATGCCTGTGTTCAGCGGCTGCTGAGGAAGAAGAAGAGACTCGGGGAGGCTGTCCAGGTGGGGCAGGCCGGGCCCAGTTGGCTTCAAGGGAATCAGAGTGGGGCCTGGTGAGTCCGGCTGAGGGCTCAGAGGAGTGGCGGCCCAGAGGAGGTTTCGGGGAGGGGAGGAGACAGTGGTGGATTGCTCAGTGGAAGGGACTGGGGCTCAACATGAGATAGGTCTTGAGAAGGGGAGGAAGGGCAGTGAAGGGTTGTGGGCCCCAGGGCTTTGGAACTGGGGCAGAGAGAGGAGACCCAGGAAGGAAGTGGGAGTTTGACGGGTTGATTATGGCACAGTGAAGGGGCCCCTTAACTCGAAGGGAAGATGGGGGTTCACTATGAAGAGAGGGGCATAGGGAGAGGGAAGTGATGGTAGGAAGGCTTGGTGAGAACAGGGGCTCCAGGAGATGGGAACGGAGGGGCAGCAAGAGAATGGGCGCTCAGGAAGGGGAGGGGTTTCAGCCTAGGGCCTGCTGCTTAGTAAGGGGTGAGGCAGGCTGTGGTGTATTTTGGAGACCAGACTCGGGAGATGGACCAGGGCCTCTGGGATGGAAGGTTCTCTGTGCCCTTAGTTAAGGGCAGCAAAGACCCTGCACAGTGTATGGTGCAGGTTTGGGGCACACCCTGTTTTGATCCGTTCTTTTCAGAGGTCAGGGCCCTACCACCGCCCCAGTGCCACACCTGATCCCAGAATGCATCAAGGCAATGTGGCTCTCAGATACGTGGGTTTCGCCATCATTTATTAAACACTTCCCTGAGGCGTTTATTCTTCAGAACAATCTTTGAGGTAGAGAAAGATGCTCACTTGGTTTACAGATGAGAAGACAGGTTCCCAGACACAGAGTAAGGGACTGGTCCAAAGCTCACGTGGAAAGTGGCAGAAGTAGGCTGGCCTAGGCTTTAGGCCCTTCCTTTATTTTTTTCCCCCTTTTTGTATTTTTCTTCTATTTCTGCTTTTTAGAGATGGTGTCTTGCCATGTTCCCCAGGCTGGTCTCAAACCCCTGACCTCAAGCAATTCTCCAGCCTTTGCCTCCCAAAGTGCTGGGATTACAGGTGCGAGCCACCACGCCCAGCCTTTTTTTCTTTGTTAAATTTTTTTCCTGCCTGGTGCGGTGGCTCACGCCTGTAATCCCAGCACTTTGGGAGGCCGAGGCGGGCAGATCACCTGAGGTCAGGAGATCGAGACCATCCTGGCTAACATGGTGAAACCCCGTCACTACTAAAAACACAAAAAATTAGCCGGGCGTAGGCGCAGGCGCCTGTAGTCCCAGCTACTCAGGAGGCTGAGGCAGGAGAATGGTGTGAACCCGGGAGGCGGAGCTTGCAGTGAGCCAAGAGGGCGCCACTGCACTCCAGCCTGAGCAACAGAGCGAAACTTCGTCTAAAAAAAAATTTTCCCCTTTCCTTTTTCTTTTTCTTTTTCTTTTTTCTTTTTTTTTTTTTTTTTTTATCCCAAGACAGAGTCTTGCTCTGTCTCCCAGGCTGGAGTGCAGTGGCGCAATCACGGCTCACTGCAACCTCCGCAGTGGCAGCAATTCTCCTGCTTCAGCCTCCCAAGTAGCTGGGATTACAGGTGCCCGCACGCCCAGCTAATTTTTGTGTTTTTACTAGAGACAGGGTTTCACCATGTTGGCCAGGCTGGTCTTGAACTCCTGACCTCGTGATCCGCCCACCTTGGCCTCCCAAAGTGCTGGGATTACAGGCGTGAGCCACTGCACCTGGCCTTTCTTGCTTTTTCATAACAGTTTTAAGGCGGGGCGGGGGGCGGAATCTGCTTATAAAATCCAAAAATTAATCCATTCTATAATTTAAAAATTTTTAATAATAGATATATGGCACTTATATATGCCAGCTGTTCCAAATGCTTTGCATATGTATTAATGCATTTGGTCTCCACCAGAATCCTATGAGGCTTCGTTGTAATGATTATTATCCCCATTTTACAGACAGGAGACTCAAGTGCAGAGAGGTAATTTATGAAGACCACTCAGTGAGTACATTCAAACCAGAACTTACTAAGTGGTGACACCAGAGTTCAGACCAAGCAGTCTGGCTCAGAAGTCTGTGCTTCACTGTACAGTTAAAAGTGAAAATCCTTGGGCGCAGTGGCGCGCGCCTGTGGTTCCAGTTCCTTGGGAGGCCGAGGCAGGAGAATCGCTTGACCTGGGAGGCATAGGTTGCAGTGAGCTGAGATCGCGCGACTGCACTCCAGCCTGCGTGACAGATCCAGACTCCATCTCAAAAACAAAAAAACAAACAACAAAAAAAGTGAAAATCCTCTCTACTCCCATCCCTGGCTATAACCCCTGTGTCAACACTTGTTAGTCTATTCATGTACATAAGGGGTTCTAGATCCTAGAAAGGAATTGCCTGGAGAGCTTCAAAATGCCGATGCCCAAGTCCTACCCCAAAATATTCCGATTTTATGGGTCTGGGGTGGGGCCTGGGCATGGGGATTTTTGAAAGCTTCTTGGGTGGTTCCAACACACAGCCCACTGGATAACCTCTAATTGAGCTGTTGAGCTGAGTGTCACACACACCTGTATTTAGTGTACTGTCCTAGGTGTGTGTACACTGTGATATCCATTAGCGTTTTTCACTCTGAGTGGCTGTCAGTTACTATGGGTTCTCCCCCACACCAGAGACCTGGTATGAACATATTTATTCAAACATTTCTTAAGCACCTTCCAGGCACCGTCGAAGGCACTTGGGGAGTCAACAGTGAGCAGGACAGTCAGGGGCCCTGCCTTTGAGTGTCTAATCTGATGGAATTGACAAATTTAGTCATGCGTTTTTCCCTGTGAGTAGCAGGGGTTCGAGCCCCTCGAGGGTTGCTGAGAGGGGGAAAGAGGGGTGGACATCTGACCCTCACACCTTAGGACGGGGAGAGACTTTCTGGTGTGGCTGTGTATGCTGGGTCTTCTGGCCCTGTGTGGATGAGATTGAGAGAGGGAGGCCCAGGGCATGTTTCTGGGCTTGAATGAGTGTGGCTGGCTGTGTGGCATGTGTGTAAAGGTGTGCATGATTTGGGCCTGTGAAAATGTGGACGGTGGTGGTGGGGAGAGGAGGTTTTGAATGGAGGGGGGCTGTGTACAAGGTAGGCACTAGCCCAGTGCGTCACACAGATGCGCACATGCATGTACACGTGTCCACACACACACAGCCAGCTGTGAGGAGGAGGCTGGCTTCCAGTCCCAGGGCCAGGAGAACTCTGCTTTGGGTATGTGGGGGAGGCACAGCTGGGGCTGGAAACTCTAGAGTGGGAGGGAGGGAGAGAGGAAGGGAGGCTGAGGAGCCGCATCCTTGATCTCTTCTGTTTCTGCAGTTCCGGACGCCGTGCTCTGGGTCTCTGTGTGCCTCTGAGTCTCCCTCTCTCTAATGTCCGGATCTTGGCATCTCTGTGCCTCTCTTCTCCGTCTTGGGCTTTGAGGCTGATCACGTGACTGGATCTCCACCTCTCCAGCCTACTTGGCTGTGTCTCCCTCCATGTCTCTGTCTCTGCCTCCATGTCTGCCTCTGCCTCTGCCTCCGTGTCCTTCCCTGTCCTTGCCAGGTGGGGGGAAGGGGGCCCAGTGCTCAGGGAGCAGGTGTCGGCTCACTCAGGCAGCAGGGAGTGAAGCCGAGGAGGGCAAAGAGCCAGCAGCCCCTGGACACACAGCCACACTCCAGGAGACGTGGGGCACTCACAGGAACACACAGTGATATGCATGGAGAGAGGGGCTCCTGAGGGCACTTACAGGGACATAGACGTACAAAAGTCCACACACAGCCACACCCGAAACACTCAGGGATGCCAGACAGATATCCACGGGCCACACACAGACACAAAGGCGCACACACAGGTACTCATTCTGGCACACACGGACATCCAGAGTCGCCGACACACCCAGGGCGTTCCTCCTGGGGAAAACCCAGAGACATGGACGCGCACACGGACACACACACACCCCTTGGGCTCGTACAGACACAGATACAGAGGCACAGGTACGCTCGGTTAACTGGCAGTCACTCAGGCACTCGGGGCTAAGGAGGCAGATGAGCACAGACAGGCACAGACCCTCCAGGACAATCGGAGACCGACATAAAAGCACAGCAGGCCGGCCGAGGGACCCACTGAGGGGCACACCCAGGCGCGGGCAGAACGTCCTCAAGGACACACTCCTCCCTCGGGCCTCACTCTGGAGCACCTGGGGACACGCCCATGGGCGGCTGCACGGGCGGCAGGACGCCCCAGCGCACCTGGCGCCCCCGGCGTTCCCCTAGGCGCCCGAGCCGAGTGTGCGTGCGTGCCCGTGCGCGCCGCCACCTGTGGGAGGAGAGGTGCGCGCTGCGCCCGGGGCTGCCCGCCTAGCGCTGCGCGGGGGGAGCTGTTGCCATGGCGCGCAGAGCGCGGCCGCATACTAATGGGGCGGCCACGGGCGCTGCCCCCACAGCTGCCCCCCTGCCGGCCGGGCTCCCTCCTCCAACTCCTTCCTCCGGCTCCAGCCAAGTCACCCCGGGGCTGGCGGCCCTGGCCCACGCACCCCACCCGGTGGGCCTGAGCCCCTTGCCTAAGGCCTAGGGGCCCTCGCCTCCCCTTTCCCGGCAGAGAAGTCCCAGGCCGGGCAAAGGGCGGCGCTGGGGCCGGCGAGGGCGAGGGCGACGGCGAGGGCGAGGGCCTGGGCGCTGCGGGGGCTGCCTGGCCCGGACTCAGGCACCAAGCGGGCACGGCAGCTGGGAGCGCAGGTGCTGCCCTGGAAATGGGGTGGTTGTCCTGGGAGGGGGCGGGACAGGGGAAATAAAGGGGGAATTTAACCCTTCCTTCCCCCAGGCTTGGCTGGGGAGGGGAGAGGCCTTGACCAAGCCCTGCGCCATCTGCCTCCAGCGTCTCTCCAGTCCTGGTTGTGGCTGCACTGAGGGTCCCCATCCCTCAGGACGTGCTCCTCATCACTCCAGGCCCTAAAGTGACTGGTGAAGTTAGGGGTGTGTGAAGTGCCCCAGGACTAGGTGGAGGGGGTGGTGGCACGTGAAGGGTTAATACGTCCTCATACCTTGATTCCAGTCCCGGAGCTGCCCTGACCCCCTACCCCCTCAGTCCCGCTGTGTTAATTGGCGCGGAGGGGTGAGGCCTATCCTGGCGTGGGGGGAGCCAGCAGAGGGTTTGCAGGTAGAGGCAGTGGGAGGGGGCCTAATGGAGGGGGGAGCCAGGCGGTTGCCTAGCAACCCCACAGCTGTCTGTTGACCTAGAAGAAGCTGCGCCGTCTTGACACAGCTGGTGTTTACATGTAACCGAGGCTCTGGCTTAGCGCTTGCTTGGAGGAAAGCTGAGGTAGGGCCCTCGTGGCAGCCTGGCCCCGGCCCCCGGCTGTCGTGGGCTCCCTGCCTGCCTGCCCTCTTTGCTTCAGCTCCCACCTGAAGTCCAACGGAGAAAGAGTGGGAGAGCAGATCTCAGGGTTGCAGGCTGTGGGGCTGGGGAAAGTTGCTGAACACACACACACATACACACACACACACACACACACACACACACACACAATGCCTGAGGCCTTCCACACAGAAATGGTGGGAGATTAGGAAAAGCAGAGGCAGATTCCAACCCACATGGAAAACACCAACATACAGAGGGACACGTGGCCCTACAGACCTGCAAAATCAAACTGACCTAGGCACGCAACACAGGCACGGAGGTACCGCAGACATAATGACAACCAGGAAGACAGACACACAGACACACAGAAACATGGTAATTGAAACACTGACACACAGATGCACCTACATACACCTCCATACACAGAACAAACAGGCACTGACCTTCTGACAGAGACACACACCCGAGCACATTGACACACAAACAGAAACCCCCCATGGTGACATCAGCAACTCCCACATGAATGCAGAGTCCATCCCTGCTAGTATCTGCAGGCCTGCACAATGAAAGGCAGAAACCCACATACACAGTCATCCATGTGCACACACAAGAACACAGAGAAGGTCGGGTGTGGTGGCTCACGCCTGTAATCCCAGCACTTTGGGAGGCCGAGGCGGGCAGATCACCTGAGGTCAGGAGATCGAGACCATCCTGGCTAACATGATGAAACCCTCTTGCTACTAAAAATACAAAAAATTAGCCGGGTGTGGTGGCACACGCCTGTAGTCCCAGCTACTCGGGAGGTGTCAGAGCGAGACTCCGTCCCCCCCTCCAAAGAAAAAAAGAACACAGAGAAACATACAATACACTCAACTTGTACCGATTGACCACAGTGCCCAAGGCAGGCAGTCGCTGACACCACTGATGCAGGCAGGAGCCCGACATGTGGAGAGGCACAGGTCCCCAGAGGACCACGGGCCCTGACATGTCCCACCTGCACCCACACAAGTACCCATAGCACAAACACGTGCCTGCCTAGGGTGTGGTGTGGGCAGAGCTGAGACTCCTCCCTACCCACAAGCTCATCATCACAGCAGATCTGCCCTGGGGTCAGAGGGCCCTAGTGGCCCCAGAACCAGAGCCCAGTGAAGCCCTGTCTGGCCTGGGCTGCATCCGTAACCCTCAGGCTTAGGGAGGAGACAGCACCAGCCTTTTCCCTGGGAGCCCCTGGCCTGAAGGAGACAGAGCTCTGTCCCCTGGAGTCCCTGGATGGGCAGAAGAGGCACAGACCTGCTCTGTGGAGCTCCAGTCTGATGGGGGCCATATCTCCTTGCCAGGTAGACAGACACACAGACACACACAGCTCCTGGGGGGTTCTTGAGGGCTTCCTGAAAGAGGTGAGCCTGAAGCCTGGCTTTGGAGCCCAAGAGGAAAGGGGGAAGGGTGTGTACGAAGGAGGGCCTCCCTTCCTTCCCCTGTGCCCCGCCCCCTCATCCAGCAGTTCCTCCTCCCCGCAGGGCCCAAGGGGCCGGCTGGGGCCCCACAGTCCCATCAGCCCAAGCAGTGAGCAGAAGGAGGAGAGCAGATATTTTTAGCTTCTCTGCCACTGACATTTCGCAGCAGGCGACCTGGGGTGAAGCTGAGTGAGTGCTGAAGGCTGGGAGAAGCCGACAGCGCCTTCCCACCCCCATGTACAAGCACACACAACTGTGCATGCACACAGTTGTGTGCAATGCTCACAGACGTGGCCCAGCTTCAGGTACACAGTCACACGCCTAGACACACATGCACCTGTGCACGTACTTGGTTCATAGGCCACTTATGCTAGAAACCTCACACACTCAAGACACAAAAAATTTATCCATTCACACACCCAGACACACACGCACGATTCATACACCTAACACACTTCCCACACCCTGCCAAGCATGCACACTTTCATTCATCATTCATTGGAGAAATATGTATACAGTGCCTACTAAGTGTTGGGCCCTATTCTGGACACTAGGAATAGATTAGCAAAATAGTTAGCAAAATAGATAAAAATTTCAGTCCTAATAGAGTTTACATTCTGACAGGGGAAGTTTGACAATAAACAAAAAATAAAAAATAAAGTATAGCCTTAAGAACCACAAATATAGGCCAGGCACGGTGGCTCGCACCTGTGATCGCAGCCCTTTGGGAGGTCGAGGTGGACAGATCACTTGAGGCCAGGAGTTCAAGACCAGCCTGGGCAACATGGCAAAACCCCGTCTCTACTAAAAATACAAAAATTAGCCAGGCGTGGTGGCACACACCTGTGATCCCAGCTACTCGGGAGGCTGAGACACGAGAATTGCTTGAACTCAGGAGGCAGAGGTTGCAGTGAGCCGGGATCCTGACACTACACTCCAGCCTGGGTGACAAGAGTGAAACTCCATCCAAAAAGAACGACACATATAACCTAATCCCCCAAAATACACAACCGCACATGTGAACAGCTTCCTAATATTCACTGCTCCACAAATACACACAACTGCACACACAACCTACAGGCAAGACTCATACAGGTAACTCCACACATATACCTCAAGACAATTACAAACATGTATACACATCCACACTTATATGCAGTTACACATTTAACATGTAAATACTTAAGCAATTCAAACACATGGTACATATTCATCCAGACACACACACACACACACACACACACACACACACCACACACAATTGTACAGAGCTATACAGTTCACCTGCCTACATACACAGGATACAGCCTCCCCAAGAACATGTAAGGCAGGTTCACACAAATCCTTCCACACATAGACAACCACTCCCTGCCGGTCATAGACACACATTCCTGCAGTCCTTCCCCTCCCCACTGAAATCCCAGCTTGTCTGCCACTGGGTCATGTATGTTCATAGGTGTCCACACAGAGTCCTAGCGTACTCGCAACCTCACGCACACTCTCAACAACCCTGCTGCAAAGAGACCACACACACTAAGTCAACGCATGCCCAGGTTCATGCCCCCTAGGTACCTGCAATCCCCTCCCTCCTTTTCCCATGAGGGCAGTTCGGTCACTGCACCCCACACCTGCACCCCGAATACTGACCCCAGGACTCCAACCCAGCTGCCCCCAGGGTTTGGGGGTTGGGCCCAGACCCTACAGGAGCCCTGGGGTCCTCTCCCCAAGGCCCCAAGAGGCAGGACTCAGAGTCTCTGAGCTCAGAGCTCGCCCCTGTGCCCAGGCTGGAGGTGGAGGTAAAGGGCAGCCTGGGCTTCTCAGCTCTGCCGCCAGTGCCCTCCCCTTGCTCTTCTCTCCTCCTTCCTCTCGTCTCAAATTCCTTTCGTTCTGTTTCTCTGTCTCCCCATCCCACCCCTATCTCTCCAATAGCCCTTGGCCAAAAACCAAGCCCTCTTCTCTTCCGTATTCTGCCAGAGGGTATTGAAGCCCTGTGACAAACAGATGGACTAACAGGCAGACAGACATATCACTTGGGCAACAAAAGCAACACAAAAAAGAGGTCGTTGTCATATCCCGAAGACCTGGGAGGAAGAAAAGATAAATGGACCAAGGGAAAGATAAGACTAAGTGGCCCATGGGCCAACATGCACAGCTAGGAGAAGGAGCCCTGGATTCCAGTCCTGGTTCTGCTGTGTGACCCTGGATCAGCTGCTGCTCCTCTCTGGGTCTTTTCTGCCTCTGTACAAACAGGGAGTTGCGGTAGGTGTTTTTTTGAGGCAACAGGACTCTCAAAGACACTGCAGCAGTTGTATAAACAGGGAGAGGAGCTGGGGGCCTTGAGGGCCTGGTTAGAGCCATAAAAGCCCCTCCCCAGAGGCTCTCCACAGCCTCTTCCCCGCCCTAGGCCTGGGCTCCAGTCTGGGTTGAAGCACCAGAGGCCAACAGCACCCCCTGCCCCCAACATGCATAAACACATGTGCTCCTCCGAGACTCAGCTACTTCCTTTGCCCTCTCTGGACCTCAGTGTCCAGGCTTGTGCATTTAGGGGCTCAGGTTTGGGCTCTGTGCCTATGAGCCAGTCTATGTGTGCACTGTCTGTCTGTCTGTCCGTCTGCCAGCAGCCTTCAGGCGCCAGGAGGGGAGGCAGCAGTGGAAGGTGGGGGCAGGGAAGGAGGTAGCGTTGACAAGTTCCAATGTCTGGCTTTCCCTCCTGGAAACCCCGAGCTGGGGCTGGCCCCCCCTTCCCTTCCTGTCTCTCTCGCTCAAGCACGTCCCTTCTAAGAGCCCCTCTCTGCAGACGCCCCCAGTGGAACCAAGCCCAGATTCGCTGCCAAGAAGGCCGACATTTCTTAGACTTGCCACGTTAAAGGGGCCTGCACAGGCACGCACTCAAATCCCCCCCTCCATGTCCTCCGCCTGTGCACATTCAGGCAACCCGAAACACACAAAGACACGGTTGGACACAGCGGCCACCTGTGCACACAGGAGGTAGCACATGGAGCGCATCTGACCCCGGGCTCACAGACAAGTACAAACATAGCCATGGACTCCCTCCGCCCTCCTCCATTCAGCCTGCCACAGACCCAAGCACGCAGTTTCCAGCGCACCGTGCTCACAGACACGCACAAACGCAGTCACACGCAGGGCCTTGCCACATAGAGAAACAAGTGCAAACCTGTAGCACAGCACCGTCACCATCACCACCACCGCCGCCGCCACCGCCCTGTGTAAATGCAACCACAGAAACACAATGCCTGTGCTGCCTGTTCCCTGTACACACAGCCAAGCATATACAGTCACACAGTGTTCCCCTGAGTCACTCTCAACAACCACACAGACAAAGTCTGTTGGGCACAGAGGCGCCCATACCCATCCTCTGGACATTTGGACTAGCCCACACCACCAGTACTGTGCCTTCCTGGGCACAAGACATGCACAAAATCCCAGCCACCTGCAGAGTTCCCTTCTGCACACACACTGTCCCTTGCACATACACAGACAAGCTCAAACCCACAGTTATGCTGTTATCCTCTTGTACACCATAAAATCACAGGGGCTCCCAACACACCCAGATGTGACATACACAAACTCAGGCACATGTACCGACTCTTTTGTGCATACAAAGATTTATTGGCACTGACGTGGTGCCCATCTGCTACCATGTGCACACACTGCTAGATCTCGCACGTCTCTGTACACAGGCCTGCGTTCAAACTCAGGGCATACAGCTTTCCCTTGTGCTTACACAAACACACAGTGGCCCCCGATGTCGGCACAAACCCACACACATAGCATCATCACCTGTGCACATTGAGGCAAACACAGACTCACAAACCACCCCAACGTGCTCTTCCATGCACACACATATGTGTGCATGCTCCCACAGACAGACCCAGCTATCGGAACCTCATTCTCAGACACTGCAGTCCCCTGGCCCCCAACCCCAGCTTCCTGCCTCCTTCCCTTGGCCGGCGAGGGTGGGGAAGGGCTGGGAAGGCTGGGGGCTGGCTCAGCCCTTGTTCCCTCCCTCCACCGGCTGGCTCGCTCCCTCCTGTCTGGCAGAGTCAGCCAGCCAGCCCAGCCCCGGCTCCGGCAGCCCTGACTGCTCTGGGCAAACTCTCGGCGGGTTGGTCTCGGCTGATGCCGCATCAGCAGCAGCAGCAGCAGGGGCGAGAAGGCTGAGGGTGGATGCCAACGTGGCAGACGGCAGGCAGGGCGGCAGGAAGGAAGCTGGGCCCGTTCTGCGCCCACTCACTGGGGGAGACAAAACCAAGGGGGCTGGATGAGCAAGCGAGGCAGCTGGGCAGGGGACCTCGTGCACAGCCTGGCTCTGGGCCCACACTGGCCCCAGACTCACGGAGTGACCTTGGGGAACTTGCTCCCCTTCTCTGGCTCTATTTGCCCCTTCAGCAAGTGGATAGTATGGACTGGACACTCCTCCAGGTCCAAATCCTTGCATCCAATTCAGTGCTCTGTGGCCTCGGGCTAGTCCCTTCCCCTCTGGAATCTTAGCCTTTCAGCCCAACAATAAAAATTCTTCACCTCTGTATGGCTACAACTATTGATAAAAGGTTTTCAATCTACAAAATTAGCACCATTTTATAAATAAGAAAACTAAGGTTCAGAGAGGTCAAACAATCCACCCAAGGTTACCCAGCAAGAGAGTGACAGAGCTGGAACAAGACCTCAGGGCTTCTGCTTTAGTCTCCAAAATCAGTACTGCCTCCCTTCTCTTCCAGCCATCCCATGCCCCAACTCACCCTTCAGGGTTGTCTGCCCACACCACCTCCCAGCCCTGGGCCCCACTAGAGCCACCTGGCTCTGCCCTGGGGAGTCAGGGTGCAAAGGCCAGACAGGCCTCCCACCAGCATTCCAGCTGCCACTGGGAACACAGCTGTCAGCAGGGCCGGGAGAGCCAAAAGCCGCCTCCCCAGCAGGCCCGCATAATTGGTACATTGTCAGCTCAAAAACAGAACTGCTATGGGATCTTGGGCTCTCCAGGCCTCAGTTTCTTCATCTGGCTGGCTGTCGTGGAAAGGAGGAGATGATCTCCAAGGGCCTTTTCAGCTTGGAGTGTTGCCTAAGGAGTGACCGAGGGAGGAGGCAGCTGTGCCAAGGTCCCCAGCCAGCCATGGGTGTGCCTCAGGTGTCCAGAGCCCTGGAATTGGGTCTCTGCCTCACCTTTAGTTTGGGGTGGGATCTGCATCCTCTCTGAGGTCCCGCAAAAGGGAAGGGCTTGGAGAGAGTTTGCAGGCCGGATGGATAGACACACAGATGGAGGAACAAAGGTCTGAAGGAGAGAAGGAAAGAAAGTCTTCAACCTGCACTGAAGGAGGGTGCAAAGGCAGAAGACCGAGGGAGGCCCCCATGCCCTTCCTTTGTTTCTTTCGCCACCCTCTCCTGAGGCTCACTCTGCCCAACCCCACAGGGCTCAGTCTGTGGGAAGGACAAATGTGGGACAGTCACAGGCAGGTGCAGCATGCTGTGGGATGAGCCCGGGGACTGTGGAGGAGGCCCTGCTGGTTTGTGGGGGTGAAGAAGATTCTGGGGGAGGCATCACAGGTAATGAGCTCAGGTTTCCAGGAAGAGGAAGAGTTAGCCTGTATGTGCAATGATTACCCCCATTTTACAGATGGGGAAATCAATGCTTAGAGGTAGAGAAACAGAGTCAGGCCTTGCACCCAAGCCTGCTTGACGGCAAAACCAGTGTTTTTTGTGCTATGCCATGCTGCCTCCCGAAGGAGTGCGTTGCTAACGGTGGCATTTCAGATGTAGTGACAGTGCACCGGGAAGAGGTTCTGGACAGATGGTTCCCAACTGGGCCCCTGCCTCAGGCTAGCAGAGCAGAGGGTTGTCAGGGCAGGCAAAGCACGCCCTCCTCCACTCTGCTAGTGTGTGGGCTGTGGGCAGGTCCCCGCTCCACTCCTCACCATCCCCCTCCAGCCCTTTGGCCTTGCCTGGGTGACCTGCATGAGCTCAGCTTCCCAGCAGCCCTGCAGAGGAGTCAGCCTGGGCAGAGGCTGCCTCTGCCCTCTCGCTGCTTGGCAGTGCCAGGGGAGGCGGGGCCACGGAGGGGTTGGGGAGACGTCCAGCCACCAGACCTCCGGTCCTGTCCCCCAGGTCTGGTGCCCCTGAGGTCTTCTGCAGAGGGCCAGGCTGGGACAGGTAGTGTGGAGCTGGGCACGCTGGTCAGGCCCGTCCCTGTCGCTGCAGCCTTGTTGAGCTGCCATTAACAAGTGGCCGGAGGTTGCCGTGTCTCCATGGAGACCAGACAGTTAGTGCGGCTCCGGGGTGAGGGCCGTGATTAGTGAGTGTCAGCTTTGCCAGCCCTGCTCTTCCCACCGCCCGCCTGCCGCTGGGCTCAGAGACAACAGGCCTGGCAGGGGGATGGGGAAGGACTGGGAGGGGGCTCAGGGCCCTCACAGGCAGGGGGGCTCCCAGGCCCAGCCCCAAGTGCTATGTCTTTGTCTCCCCCAGTGGCTCCTCAATTCCCCCTCCTCTAGTCTCCCGCGTTCCCTCCCCAATCCATCTTCCACACAGCGACCAGGGTGAGCTTTCTAATACGAGCTGCATCCTGACACTGCCTTCCTTTAGAACTTTCCATGGATCCCCGTCTCCTGGAGGCTAAGAGTCAAATTCTTTATCATGGCATTCAAAGAATTCATTCATTCATTCATCACTCATTCATTCAACAAATATTTTTTGAGCACCTACTATGTGCCAGGGAGCCTGCCAGGTATACATGGTCAATAAAACCAGCGAGATCCCTGCCTTCATGGAACTTCCAATCTAGTGAGGAAGACACACTGAGAATAAAATACAAGTCAACGGATACACGATTACAATCATGAGAGTTGGGAGGAAGTGGAGAGAGTGCATTGGTAGAGAATAATTTGTAGGGGAGGCAGCCGAGTTAGAGTGGTCAAGGTGGCAGCATTTGGACAGTCACAGACATTGCTGAGGATCCATCAGTGTGCACAGCATCCCAGAAGGGAAGAATACTCCAAGGAACGGCCTGGGCCAGGGCCCCAGTCTCCTACCAAGGTAAGGCTCCGCCCTGCCCCTCTGCCCTGGCCTACTCCTCCCTCCCTCCCTCCAACCCCCTCCTCCATGGCTCCTATCTTGGTTAGAGGCACAGGGCTTACCCAGGTGAAAAAAAAAACACCTCTGAGTCATCACCAACTCCTTCTTCTCTCCCTGTGTTCTCCTCTCATGATTCCTGGGTCCCGTCAATTCTATCGTGTCTCTTCTCTCCTCGCTGCCACCGCAGACCCTGTCACTTTCACTCAAACTATCACACCTGCCCCAACAGGCTTAGCCATTCATTCGTTCCCTACCGATCATGGATTGAGGCTCCAGGCATTATGCCTTAGGGCCTTGTGGATACAGCAGTGAGCAGTGCCACACAGTCCCTGCCCTTGGCCAGAGTCCAGTCGACGAGGCAGGCAGGTGGGCAGGTCTGCAAGCACAGAGGAGGAGTAAGTAGGAGCATCTAATCTGGACTGGGAGGGGTGTCTAGTAGAGCTTCCGGGTGGAAGTGCTGGCTAAACTGAGACCTGAAGGTGGGCAAGGAGTTAGCCAGGCAAAGTCAAGGGAAAGATACTCTAAGCAGAGGCAAGAGCACGTGGGAAGGCAGGAAGTCAGAGAGGTCCGAGCCTGAGCTAGGGCTGGTGAGGAGCGTGCTCAGATCTGCTCCCCGACAGCCAGGCTCTCCTCGTACAGCTCACGCTCCACACTGCGGCTAGAATCACCTTTCTAAAATAGGCGCAATAAGGCCAGGCACCGTGGCTCACGCCTGTAATCCCAACACTTTGAGAGGCCGTGGAGGGTAGATCACGAGGTCAGGAGATCGAGACCCAGCCTGCCCCACACGGCAAAACCCCGTCTCTACTAAAGATACAAAAAAATTAGGTGGGCGTGGTAGTGCATGCCTATAATCCCAGCTACTTGGGAGGCTGAGGCAGGAGAATCGCTTGAAGCTGGGAGGAGGAGGTTGCAGTGAGCAGACTGCACCACTGCACTCCAGCCTGGGCAACAGGGCAAGACTCCATCTCTAAATAAATAAATAATAAAAATAAAATAGGTATAATCCTGTCCCTTCCCAGCCCTTAAACTCCTGCTCTGTTTCCCCAGTCCTTTAAAGTCTGCCCTCAATAGCAAGGCACTGGAGGCCCTCAAAACTGCCTTTCGAACCTCATTTCCTACCACTCCTCTCAGCCAACTCTGTGTTCAGCCACACCCAAACAGGTCATATCCTTCCATATCCCTGGGCCTTTGTCCACAAAATACATTCCTCCTGGAATGCCCTCTGCCACTTTTCCGGGTGAACTCTTCATCCTTCAGAGCCCAACACAGATGTTCCTTTTCTCTAAGAAGCCTCTCTGGACCCCCACCTCCCCAACAAAAATGAGTTTCTCTTCTATGCCCCATTACAATTCATTTTTATTTATTTATTTTTTGAAACAGAGTCTTGCTCTGTTGCCCAGGCTGGAGTACAGTGGTGGGATCTCGGCTCACTGCAACCACTGCCTCCCAGGTTCAAGCAATTCTCCTGCCTCGGCCTCCTGAGTAGCTGGGATTACAGGTGCACTCCGCCATGCCTGGCTAATTTTTGCATTTTTAGTAGAGACGAGGTTTCGTCATGTTGCCCAGGCTGGGCTCGAACTCCTGACCTCAGGTAATCCGCCCGCCTTGGCCTCCCAAAGTGCTGGAATTATAGGCGTGAGCCACTGTGCCCAGCCTATGCCCCATTACATTTAATTCCAGATAGCTAATACTCACTGAATGCTTCTTTCTATGTGCTAGGCTTTACATAAGCATTCCATGTTCGTGATCATATTTAACCTTCATGGTTATATTATTAGAAAGTGTCATCACTCCCATTTTGCTCATGTGAAACTGAGACTCAGAAAGGTTAAGTAACTAGCTCATTTCACAAACATAATCAGTGATAGAGCTGGGATTTGAACCCAGGCAATTTGTTGCCACCATTTATATGCTTAATCCTTATTCCACACTGCTCTACAGTAAGGTGTTCTAGCAATGTATTTGCCTCCCCTACCAGACTAGCAGCACTTGGAGGACAGAGGCCTAGACTAACTCATCCAGGGTCTCCAGGTCCCAGCACATGGCTCCACACACAAGTCACGGTGTGCAAATGTGTGTAGAATGAATAAATAACTTTAGCTAGAATGCTGCCGGAGGTTGAGATGGGCTTAAAGGTTACTTAGGGCAAATTGAGCCTCCGTATCCTGTGTGGGTCTGGTCATTATCCTGGGACAGATACCATACCCACTCCAGCACCTAGCTCTGGCACAGCCCCAAAAAGGATCTGCTGGTGGCTTTGGGATTCCCATCCCTTGGCTAGCAGCCCCGTTGGAGTCAGACAGATTCAGCTTTGAGTCCCAGTTCTCCCCTTAGATATAGCAAATGACTTCACCTCTCTGAGTCTTAGCTCTTCATCTTCAAAATGAGCTCAATAGTACCTGCCTTTCAGGGTTGTTGTGAAGATAATGAATGGCAGCCATTTTTACTATTTCCCAAGTGTCAGCTATGTGCTGTGCCAGGGTTTGTCATTTACTCTTAATTAGTACAGACCTTAGGCCCAGGCAACCGTGGAGACAGGGGCCCCAGTGTTTTAGAAGGCCACCCTGGCCCTCCTCCACTAGGTGCCTCCCCATGGAGTGAGGAGTCAGAGAGGCCAAGAGGACATACCCACCCAGAGACCACCGTTACCTCTTTCTAGACCACCTCTGAGTACCCAGGATCCTAAATTTCGCTGAGCTAGTTTCCAGGGCCTGGGTGGGCCCTTCCCTCATCCAAACCACACTTCCAGGGTAGATTCCTAGGCCTGAGGGGTGGCCAAGGGCAGCAGGGGTGGGTGGATACAGCTTGACACGCAGGCAATGGGGCAGGCAGGGAATGTGGGAGGAGAAGGGCCTCTGGTGTACTCTTTTTTTTTCTTTTTGTTTTTGAGACAAGGTCTAGCTCTGTCACCCAGGCTGGAGTAACATGCCTGGCTTATTTTTGTATTTTTTGTAGAGACAGGGTTTCACCATGTGGCTCAGGCTGGTCTCAAACTCCTGGGCTCAAGTGATTCACCTGTCTCAGCCTCCCAAAGTGCTGTGATTACAGGCGTGAGCCACTGTGCCTGGCCTGCTGCTATACTCTTATTAGGGACGAGTTTGCCCTCACTAATCTTCACAAATGCCCTGAAAGGCAGGAATTATTAGCTCCATTGTATCTATTATCTTCTATCTATCTATCTATCTATCCATTTATTTATTTTTTTAGAGACAGGGTCTTGCTCTGTCATCCAGGCTGGACAGGGTGGAGTGTAGTGGTGTGACCATAGCCCACTGCAGTCTCAAATTCCTGGGCTCAAACAATCCTCCCACCTCAGCCTCCTGAGTAGAGGGTTTTTTGTTTTGTTTGTTTGTTTGTTTGTATTGACGGGGTCTCACTATTTTGACCAAGATGGTCTCAAACTCCTGCACTCAAGTGATCCTCCTACCTTAGCCTCCCAAAGTGCTGGAATTACAGGCATGAGCCACTGAGCCCTGCCTTGCCCTATTTTATTTTATTTTATTTTATTTATTTTTTTTTTGAGATGGAGTCTCTCTCTGTTGCCCAGGCTGGAGTGCAGTGGCATGATCTCGGCTCACTGCAACCTCCGCCTCCCAGGTTCAAGTGATTCTCCTGCTTCAGCCTCCCAAGTAGCTGAGACTATCGGCGCATTCCACCATGCCTGGCTAATTTTCGTATTTTTAATAGAGACAGGGTTTCACCATGTTGGCCAGGCTGGTTTCGAACTCCTGACCCCAAGTGATCCACCCGCCTTGGCCTCCCAAAGTGCTGGGATTACAGGTGTGAGCCACTGCGCTTGGCCCTGGCACCCCATTTTAAAGATAAAGAAACTAAGGCCCATCTAGAGGAGTGACTCCAAAGCCTGTTCATTTTACTCCGTCTGAGGAGGCTTTAGATCTAAATGTTTTACATATATTTTCTCATTTAATCCTCACAATGACCCTATGATGTAAGCAATATTATTATCTCACTTTTCAGATGATGAGACTGAGGCACAGAAAGGTTAAGAAACTTGCCTACGATTGCATAGCTCATGAGTGGCAGAACTGGGAGTTGAACCCTGAGAGTCAAGCTCTTAACCATGGGCTCTGCTGCCTGTTACCATGATCATAGTTATAACTCAGTTCCTTAACTTGGCTAGCAACCCCCTGCCTCAAACATCTGCCTGAGGACAGGAATACAGTGAAGGTGCTCTGGGTGCGCTCTGGGCGAAAAGCCAGAAAGAGGTAGAAATGGAATCCAATCTGAAGGCACCTGGGCAGAACATGTGGAAGGAGCTAGGGACTGGGGCTTGACCCTGCTCCTCACCCTCTGTCCTGCAGTGCCAGGACAGCTGGGCAGGGCCCCGGGGGCCGTTCAGAGAGAGGGACCTCTGGCCTGAGCCTCACGCTATGTCCTCCTTCCCAGTCTGTGGCTTGAGAAGATGGCACTTTCCCAGGACCGAGGCAGAGGCTGCCCCACCACTTCCCCTCCAAGGCCCAGCTGTGAGGCGCCTGCCCAAGCTCCCACCAGCCCCGCCTCTCCCACTCCCCGGCCAAGCTGCTGCTGCTCTGTGGTCACCTGGACCCAATTTTCTTCTTCCTGCCTCCTCCCATCTCTGGGAAGCACCCCTTGGTTGCCCTGCCAATTTCCAAAGGCTTCTCCCCCAGGAAGCCATCTCTGCCTTTGCCCCAGTCTTACCCCCAGGTCCCCTACCCCGACTCGGAACACTCAGGCTCCTGTCCTTTCACCCCCACACACAGATAATCACTTGGACCATCAGCCCATTTTCCATTTGGTTCCTGGCGGAACACCGGGTCCGCCTGGCCAAACTATGAGTTCCCTTTCCCTGGGCGGTATCACTTCCTGTGCTTCCCTCTCCCCCAGCAGTGCCTGGCAGGGAGGAGGCCACAGCCAGAGGGTTGCCCATGCATCAGGAACTGAACCTTAGCACTGAGAGGCCTGGAATCAGCATGACTATTCTTCAAGCTTTGGAGGTCAACCTCCCTGTCACTTGCTAAATGAGAAAACCCAAGAGGCCCGGGGAGGGGAAGGGACTTGCCTAAGGTCACCCAGAGGCCAGGCCAGGACTCAAATCCAGGTCTTCCAACTCTCAGACCCAGGCTTCTCACACTGTGTGAGATCAAGTTTCCAACCCTCCCAGGTACTCCTCATTTTCAGACAGATGACCAGAATAGTACCTGAGAATGTACTGTCAGAAACTCAGGAGTTAATTCTGCCCCAAAGGCCATATCTGGAAAAGTCCCAAAGAGATTGTTAGCCCAATCACCCTCCATCCACTCCCATCTTTTTTTTTTTTTTTTTGAGACGGAGTTTCGTACTTGTAGCCCAGGCTGGAGTGCAATGGCGAGATCTCGGCTCACAGCAACCTCCGCCTCCCGAGTTCAAGCGATTCTCCTGCCTCAGACTCCTGAGTAGCTGGGATTACAGGCATCTGCCACCACGCCTGGCTAATTTTTGTATTTTTAGTAGAGATGAGGTTTCACTATGTTGGCCAGGCTGGTCTGGAACTCCTGACCTCAGGTGATCTGCCTGCCTCAGCTTCCCAAAGTCTTAGGATTACAGGCATGAGCCACCGCGCCTGGCCATCCACTCCCATCTTACAGACAAGCACACTAAGACCTGAAAGCAGACTGTCTCTAAAGAAAACAAAAAGGGGGCAGGGCGCTGTGGCTCACGCCTGTAATCCCAGCACTTTGGGAGGCCGAGGCGGGCGGATCACGAGGTCAGGAGTTCGAGACCAGCCTGGCCAACATGGTGAAACCCCGTCTCTACTAAAAATACAAAAATTAGCCGGACATGGTGGTGGGCGCCTGTAATGCCTGCTACTCAGGGGGCTGAGGCAGGAGAATCGTTTGAACCTGGGAGGCAGAGGTCGCAGTGAGCTGATATCACGCCATTGCACTCCAGACTGGGCAACAAGAGCAAAACTCCGTCTCAAAAAAAAAGAAAGAAAGCAAGCAGAATGGACCTCCTCAAGGTCACACAAAGCTGGGGCTAGAGCTCAGACAGGATTCCAGGTCGAGTTCTTGGAAGAATTAAGCATGGCCACCCAACTCATTCATTCAACAACGATTTGTCTGAGAACCTACTAATTCCAGGCTCTGTTCCAAGTGCTGAGAATATAAGGGTAAGAAAGACAATCATAAGGCCAGGTGCGGTGGCTCATGCCTGTAATCCCAGCACTCTGGGGGGCCGAGGTGGGTGGATCACCTGAGGTCAGGAGTTTGAGACCAACCTGGTCAACATGGCAAAACCCCGTCTCCACTAAAAATATAAAAATTAGCCAGGTGTGGTGGCACATGCTTGCAATCCCAGCTACTCAGGAAGCTGAGGCAGGGAGAATCACTTGAACCCGGGAGGCGGAGATTGCAGTGAGCAGAGATCACGCGACTGCACTCCAGCCTGGGCCACAGAGCAAGACTCTTGTCTAAAAAAAAAAAAAAGAAAGCAAGAAAGAATCATTGCTGGAAGAAACAGGAGGGGGCTTCTGGGTACAGGAAATGTTCTGCATCTTGATCTGGGGACTGGTTATATGAGTGTGTTCAGTTTGTGAAAATTCATATCAAAGTGTATGTTTTGATATGTGTACTTTTCTGCATGCATATTTCAGTTATATATTTTATTTATTTTATTTTATTTTTTTGAGACGGACTCTCGCTCTTTCGCCAGGCTGGAGTGCAGTGGCACAATCTCGGCTCACTGCAACCTCCACCTCCTGGGTTCAAGTGATTCTCCTGCCTCAGCCTCCCCAGTAGCTAGGACTACAGGTGCTTGCCACCACGCACAGATAATTTTTGTATTTTTAGTAGAGACGGGGTTTCTCCATGTTGGCCAGGATGGTCTCGATCTCTTGACCTCATGATCTGCCCGCCTCAGCCTCCCAAAGTGCTTGGATTTACAGGTGTGACCCACTACACCTGGACTGATTTTTTTGTGTGTTTTTTTGAGACAGAGTCTTGCTCTGTCGCCCAGGCCAGGGTGCAGTGGCGTGATCTCAGCTCACTGCAACCTTTGCCT
This sequence comes from Homo sapiens, assembly GCF_000001405.40. Lineage (NCBI taxonomy): Eukaryota > Metazoa > Chordata > Mammalia > Primates > Hominidae > Homo > Homo sapiens. The sequence continues at coordinate 27,511,615 of NC_000001.11, read as the reverse complement.
CCTGGGTTCAAGTGATTCTCCTGCCTCAGCCTCCCAATTAGCTGGGACTACAGGCAGTTGCCACCACACCTGGCTAATTTTTGTATTTTTAGTAGAGATGGAGTTTTGCCATGTGGACCCGGCTGGTCTTGAACTCCTGACCTCAGGTGATACAACTGCCTCGGCCTCCCAAAGTGCTGGGATTACAGGCGTGAGCCACTGCGCCCAGCCTAAAATGGATTTTTTTTATTTTGAGATGGAGTTTTGCTCTTGTTGTCCAGGCTGGAGTGCAATGGCATGATCTCCACTCACCGCAACCTCTGCCTCCTGGGTTCAAGTGATTCTCCTGCCTCAGCCTCCCGAGTAGCTGGGATTACAGACACGTGCCACCATGCCTGCCTAATTTTGTATTTTTAGTAGAGACATGGCTTCACCATGTTGGTCAGGCTGGTCTCGAACTCCTGATCTCAGGTGATCCGCCCACCTTGGCCTCCCAAAGTGCTGGGATTATAGGCGTGAGCCACCGCTCCCAGCCTAAAATGGATTTTTTAAAAAGACAGTCACAAGCACTGAGCTCACAGGGCTGTAGTATAGTAGGGAGGATGAGACATTAAACAAGGAATTACACAAATAATTGTTTAATTACAGTTGTGACAAGTGCTACAATCAAGTGGAAGGTGTTATGACGTATGGAGTAGGATGACCTGATCTAGTTTAGGAGTAGTCAAGGAAGACTTCTCAAAGGAGGTGGGGTATCAGCTGAACTGTAAAGAATAAGAGTTAACAGGGTGGGAATGATTCTCAACCCCTACCTCACACTGCACAAAAATTAATTCAACATGAATCATGCACCTAAATGCGAACACAAACACTTTAAATCTTATAGAAGAAAACATACAGGGCTGGGCTCAGTGGCTCATGCCTGTAATCCCAGCATTTTGGGAAGCCGAGGCGGGTGGATCACCTCAGGTCAGAAGTTCGAGACCAGCCTGACCAATAGGGTGAAAACCTGTCTCTACTAAAAATACAAAAATTAGCCAGGCGTGGTGGCGTGTGCCTGTAGTCTCAGCTGCTTGGGAAGCTGAGGCACAAGAATCACTTGAACCCAGGAGGCGGAGGTTGCAGTGAGCCAAGATCTCACCACTGCACTCCAGCCTGGGCAACAGAGCAAGATCTGTCTCAAAAAAAAAAGAAAACATATGGGAATATTTTCATGACCTGGAGATAGGCAAAGATTTCTTTTGTTGTTGTTGTTGTTGCCGTGTTTTAGAGACAAGAGTCTTGCTCTGTTGCCCAAACTGGAGTGCAGCGGCATAATCATGGTTGACTGCAGCCTTGGACTCCTGGGGTTAAGCAGTCCTCCTGCCTCGGCCTCCCAAAGTGCTATGACTACAGGTGTGAGCCACTCTTCCCGGCCTAAGCAAAGATTTCTGAGGCATTGAAAGCACTAACCATAAAACAAAATTATCAGGCAGTGGGGGAAACATTCAAGACAGAGAAAACAGTATATGTGAAAGCCCAGAGGGGAGAAGGGGAAAGGTGTGTTGGAAGAGCTGAGGAAAGGCCAGAAGAAGCAAAGTCAGGGAGACAGTGAAGTGAGAGAAGGGCCAAGAGGTTGGAAACAAAGGTCAGGGATAATGTGACTTTAACCAGGGTTTGCAAAAACCTAATATTACCCTCTTTGACGTGCTCAGGACTACAAGGTGTTGCCTACACAAAAAGGAGAATAAAAGGGAACACGCCCCCCTTCTCCCAGCTCAGCAACAAGGCAAGGCCAGGCTTGGATTCTGCTTCTTTGCAATCAAGATATAGTTTTTTTACAACTTGAAAAGTCACTTAATCCAGGTGCCAGGATGAGGTGGGGCATTGCAGGTGGGGACTCGGGCTGTTAGGCCCCGTCCTGCCAGGCCCAGCCCTGGTCTTAGAGGAGCTGGAGTTTGCCAGCTCCCACCCACGCCTCAGCTCCTGCTATAGCCCCACCCCACCCCTGCTCAGCACCTGGACCTCCTCATCTCCTCTTCCCTCTCTCCCTCTCTTGGAGGGCTGACAAGTCCCACAGGAAAGAAAGAGCTCAGAGGTCAGGAGTTTCCTCCACCTACTCGCACTCCCACATACATCCCAATATACCCCAAAACAGAGCTGGAGTGGGGGGCCTCAGGCAACCAAGTACCCACAGAGTTCAGCTGTCTCATCAGTCAGGCCTCTTCCCTGCAAGGCGCTCAGGAAAGACTGACGGTGGTGACTCCATTCAATTCAACCAACATTGAGTACCTGCTGCATGCCAGGCCCTGTGCTAGAGTTAAGAAGGGTGTTGTTCCCACTCTCTGGGAACTCTTGGGGCAGTGGGGGAAAGATGGTGCACACAGCCAACAGTATTACACGTGCTTTATAGTGGTGCAAAGTGCAATTGAGTATACAAAGTGAGACTGATTTCACTTGGGGAATGGTGAGTGGATATCAAGGAAAATTTCCTCTGAGCAGTGACATCTGAGCTGGGCCATAACAAATCAGTAAGACTGCCAGTAAGAAAAGGTCTTTGAGGCCAGGCATGGTGGCTCATGCCTTTAACCCTAGCACTTTGGGAGGCTGAGGTGGGAGGACTGCTTGAGGCCAGGAGTTCAAGAGCAACCTGGCCAACATAGCGAGACCGTCTCTAAAGGAAACAAAAAGGAGCCAGGCGCGATGGCTCATGCCTGTAATCCCAGCACTTTGGGAGGCCAAGGCGGGCGGATCACGAGGTCAGAAGATCGAGACCATCCTGGCCAACATGGTGAAACCCCGTCTCTACTAAAATACAAGAAAAAAAAATTAGCAGGGCATGGTGGTGGGTGCCTTGTAGTCCCAGCTACTCGGGAGGCTGAGGCAGGGGAATCACTTGAACCTGGGAGGCGGAGGTTGCAACGAGCTGAGATCATGCCACTGCACTCCAGCCTGGTGACAGAGCAAAACTCTGTCTCAAAAATTAAAAAAAAAAAAAAAAAAGAAGTGCTCCTTTTGGCAGAGGAAAGTATAAGAATTATAGTGACTACCAGGAGTGTGAGGTAGTTTGCTCAGCACCTTATGTATTCATTTAATTGTCACGATGACTTTGTGAAATTGTGTAATTATGGCCATTCTCCAGATGTGGCAGCTGAGGCTTTGAGACACACAGCTAGTAAGCGGCAAAACTGGGATTTCAACTCAGTGCTGTCTGCTTCCATGAGTTGAACTTCTGCCACCTAGAGTAGCCTGAGCAAAGGACATGTGGCAACTTGAGCAGAGGGCCATGAGGTGAGGGCTGGAGGGCCTCACCATGAGGTGAGGCAGGGGTTGGGTTGGGGGAGCCTTGGTTGAGGAGTGTGGGCTTTATCCAGAGAGCAATGGCAGTGGGGGGCGGTATGGGAGGTTCACTAATGGGGGTGTGGGGTAAAGAAAGATGATGCTTACGATTAGCTTTCTGTTTTCAGAGGCCCTCTTTGAAGAGAAGAAATTAGAGGCAGAGAAACCTGTGTGGGAGTGGCTGTAAAAATCCAAGAGAAAGATGGGGGTTGAGGGATGAAGAGGAAGGTAGGCATCTGGGAGATACCGAGCGGAACCTGGGGACTGATTGGTTCCAGTGGACAAGTGGAGGGAGGAGTCCAAGCTGATGTCCCAGGATTTTGCCTGTGTGCTCCAAAAGGAACCCCAATTATTAGGTTTTGTATTTCGTTTTGTTTTTTGTTTTTTGAGATAGGGTTTCACTCTGTCTCCCAGGCTGGAGTGCAGTGGCGCGATCAGGGCTCACTGCAGGCTCGACTTCTCCCCAGGCTCAGGTGATTCTCCCACATCAGCCTCCTGAGTAGCTGAGACTACAGGTGTGCTCCACCATGCTCGCTCATTTTTTGAAATTTTTGTAGAGATGGGGTCTTGCCATGTTGCCCAGGCTGTTCTGGAACTCCTGGGCTCGAGCGATCCACCCACCTTGGCCTCCCAAAGTGCTCAGATTACAGGCATAAGCCACCATGCCCAGCCTTGGCTACTTTTTTTTATTTTTATTTTTATTTTTTTTTGAGATGGAGTCTTGCTCTGTCACCCAGGCTAGAGTGCAATGGCGCGATCTCGGCCTCCTGGGTTCAAGCAATTCTCCTGCCTCAGCCACCTGAGTAGCTGGGATTACAGGCACGTGCCACCATGCCCAGCTAATTTTTGTATTTTTAGTAGAGACGGGGTTTCACCATGTAGGTCAGGCTCAAACCCCTGACCTCATGATCCACCTGCCTTGGCCTCCCAAAATGCTAGGATTACAGGCGTGAGCCACTGCGTTCGGCCAATTTTTTAAATTTTTTGTAGAGATGGGGTCTCGCAGGCCAGGCGTGGTAGCACACACCTGTAGTTCCAGCTACTCAGGAGACTGAGGTGGGAGCCTGGGAGGTTGAGGCTACAATGAACCCTGATTGTGCCACTGTACTCTAGTCTGTGCAAGAGAGTGAGACCCTGTCTCAAAAAAAAAAAAAAAAAAAAAAAAAGCCGGGTGCAGTGGCTCACACTTATAATCCCAGCACTTTGAGAGGCCAAGGCAGGCAGATCATTTAAGATCAGGAGTTCAAGATCAGCCTGGTCAACATGAGAGATGGGGTCTATGTTGCCCAGACTGGTATTAAACTCCTGGGCTCAAGCAATCCTCCTGCCTTGGCCTCCCAAAATGCTGGGATGAGAGGCATAAGGCACTGCGTCCAGCTCCAGTAATTAGTTTTTAACAACATACTGGGCACCCGCTAGCCGCCTACCATGACTCAGCCCCACATGTGGCACCTGCAAAATTCACTCCTGATGGGTGCTTTATTCTCCTCCAAATACTCATTTATATTCATCACCTATTTGTGTATGTATTTATCTAACATATATGGAGCACCTGCTGTATGCCAGATGCTGTGCCGGGAACCGGGGATACATCAGGGCACAAACTAAACCCGTGTCATTAGTGATGTAATGGTTATAGCCGGCGGTCTGCATTTGAATCCTGATTTGCAACTTATTTGTGGTGAGTCCTGGCTCAGCCTCCAACTTGCTGTGACTTCAGGTGAGTGAGTGAACCTCTCATTGTCTGTTTCTTCATCTGTAAGATGGCGATACCAACAGTACCTACCATGCAGATTAAATGGGTTAAATGTAAAGTCCTGGGCCCCGGGTCAGCATTTGACATTAGCTATTATTAGAGTTTACATTTTAACGAGGATCCAATTGCACAATTAATTATTTAATTCATTATTATTATTATTGAGACGGAGTCTTGCTCTGTTGCCCAGGCTAGAGTGCAGTGGCGCGATCTTGGCTCACTGCAAACTCCGTCTCCTGGATTCAAGCGACTCTCCTGCCTCAGCCTCCTGAGTAGCTGAGACTACAGGCGTGTGCCACCATGCCTGGCTAATTTTTGTACTTTTAGTAGAGACGGGGTTTCACCATTTTGGCCAGGCTGGTCTCAAACTCCTGGCCTCAGGTGATCTGTCTGCCTCAGCCTCCCAAAGTGCTGGGATTACAGGTGTGAGCCACCGCCACCCCTGACCTATTTAATTTATTTTTATTTTTATGTTTGAGACAGGGCCTCACTCCGTCACCCAGGCTGGAGTTCAGTGGCACAGTTACAGCTCACTGCAGGTCACTCCTCAACCTCCCAGGCTCAATCCATCCTACCACCTCAGCCTCCCGAGTAGCAGGGACTACAGGCACATGCCACCATGCCCAGCTAATTTATTTTTTGTAGAGACAGGGTTTTGCCATGTTGCCCAGGCTGGTCTTGAACACCTGGCTTCAAGTAATCCTCCCACCTCAGCCTCCCAAAGTGTTGGGATTACAGGCCTGAGGCACCACACTGGCCAATTATTTAATTATGTACAACCATGATAAATACAGCACTGCCGTCTTTTTTCTTCTGAAGGTGCCTCCTTCAGAAGTTGAGGGCAGGTTTTAGAGCAGGTGATGGTCCCACTGAGCTGAGCTGAGTGAGTTGGGGCTGGCCAGGGAAAGCATGAGGGAGGGAGGGGTGGTCGAGGCAAAGGGCACAGTGAGAAGGCAGACCCGCAGGTGGAAGGAGGCGCTGAGAGCTTTGTATTTCCAGAACTTTACTTGGAGCCTCAAAACAGTGCTGAGAAGTAGGTCAGGCAGATACTATGCCCCCATTTTACAGAAACGGCACTAAGGCCCAGAGAGGAACAATGACTTAGCAGGTCTGTGACAGAGGAGGCTCCGTCAATGTTCTGCCAGCTGATCCAGGGGGCTGGAGAGGACAGGCCTGAGAAGAGGCCTTTGTCCCTTTGCCGGCTGGGGCGGGAGCAGCAGAAGCTGAGGCTGCAGCTGGCCACCAGCAGCTGTGGTGGCCAGAGCTGCATTCCTTCCCCTGCCAGTGAGCAAGTCCAGGCTTATGGCAGGGGCTGGGAATTTTCTTTTTGTCTTTTAAAAAAAAAGCACTTTAGTCAACATTAAGTTGTGACTTCAAACAGACACAGCTCCTAAGTGTCCTCCCCAGCCCTAGTTCTCTCCAACTCCCCAGGGTAAGCCCCCAGGCAGCCAAGTTTCTGGGAAAGGCAGGAGGCCTGGACTTGGAGTCCAAAGACTGTGGTGAGCCTTGGCTCAGACTCCCGCTTGCTGTGTGACCTCAGGCAGGTCACCACCCTCTCTGGGCCTGAGTGTCCTCTGCAAAACAGGGAAGGGAGGGTTGGATGACATAAGGTGGGGTGGGGAGCCCAGCAGCTGGCCCCAGCCAGTGGCAACACAGCTCTGCTGCTCTCCAACTTTGAGGCAGTGGGGCCTTGGGGGTCCGGAAGCTGGGGACAGGCAGCCTTTCATCTCTGCTGGCCCAGGGTCGCTGCAGGTTGGCAGGCCCCACATCCCGAGATCGCGTTTCAGGCTGGAAGGGGCCTTCCTGTGACCTCAGCCGGCCAGGCCTGCCCCTGCCTCCCTCCTCCCCATTCTCACCAGAGGGAAGCAGGCAGTATCCCGCCCAAGGTCACCAGCCAGCAAGTGGCTGTCCTTCGGCCTGCCCTTCCCTCCCACCCGAGCCAGCCCCCACCGGCCTCCCACTGTAAAGCCTCAGGTCTCCTGGGCCATTAGGAATCTGCCAGGCGAGGCGTGGTCTTTTTCCTCTCTCTTGTTTCTTGGCTTGTTTTCCCAGTTCTCCAACAGCCGCCTCCTGCAAAAGCCTCTGGGTGCGTGTACAGGAATATTTTTCTTTAAAAAAAAAGAGAGAGAGAGAGAGATTGAAGAAAGACAGAGAAATACAGCAGAGTTTGGGTAAAAAAGCAAGCAACTCCTTAATCCTTTCCCTGTAACCTCTGGCTTCTCAGCTGGGTTGGCCCCAGGCACTGGGAAGGCAGGCTTTGCTGGGGTGAGAGGCCTGGGCTTGTACCCCACCGCCCCCTCCTCACCCGCCTCTGTTCTCCGGGGTTTGGTCTGACTTTTGGAGCCAGGAGGAGACGAGCTGCAGGGCTCAGCAGGGCTGGGAACACATGGGGGTGCTGAGGGGCTTGGCTGGGACTTTGCCCCCTGCCCACTTGGCCACCTTCTATGGAGGCTACAGGATCCGAATATTTCACCCATAACTCATTCCCTCTCTTCCTGCTTTCGTTCCTTTATCCTCTGTCTTCGGAATCACTGGCCTGTCCAGTGCTAGCTCCCTGAGTGCCATCTCCCATCCCTGCACCCTGTCACCCCACACGGGGCTTGGCTTTCTTGTTTTGTGAAAGTCATACACTTTCACACTTTGTCTTTATCCAGTCAGACCCCTCTGTAGAGGTGGCACTCAGTGTCCTGCCCTTTGTCCTGTCTGAGGAACCAACCCCTAATTATCTGTTGTAGTCACAGTTCCTGGGTCCATGCCTGACATATAGGAGGTATGTTGGGGTGCTTCTCGAATGAATAAATTCAAATCATAAATAGGTCGCTCAAAATATTCAGAGTGAGCTGGGCGCGGTGGCTCACGCCTGTAATCCCAGCACTCTGAGAGGCCGAGGCAGGCAGATCACGAGGTCAAGAGATCGAGATCATCCTGGCCAACATGGTGAAACCGCGTCTCTACTAAAAATACAAAAATTAGCCAGGCGTGGTGGTGCGCACCTGTAGTCCCAGCTACTTGGAAGGCTGAGGCAGGAGAATTGCTTGAACCCGGGAGGCGGAGACTGCAGTGAGCCGAGATCGCGCCACTGCATTCCAGCCTGGACAACAGAGCCAGGCTCCATCTCAAAAAAAAAAAAAAAAATTCAGAGTGATCCTGCAAAAGGGACATTTGATTGTGACATATCTCTGTTAGAACTCTTCCATGCCTCCCCAGCACCCCCAGAATCCAGTCCAATCCTCTGTCTCCACCTCTCCCCACTCACCAGCCCTCATCAAAGGATGTCCTTTTCCCCCAGTGAGCCATCATTTTTTCTCTTGCCTCTGGGCCTTTGCACATGAAATTCCAACCACCTGCCTGCCTCTCCCGGCTGTCTCAAACCTGTTCCCTTGTCAGATTCAAGGAGCAGAACACACAAGTGTTCAGAGCCCAGCAAAGCAGGGATACTCAAGACTTTTTTTTCAAATGGTTTGACATTCAATAATTTTTAAAAATCACTGAAATAGGCTGGGTGCGGTGGCTCATGCCTATAATCACAGCACTTTGGGAGGCGGGCGGATCACCTGAGGTTAGGAGTTCGAGACCAGCCTGGCAAACATGGTGACACCCTGTCTCTACTAAAAATACAAAAATTAGCCGGGCATGGTCGTGGGTGCCTATAATCCCAGCTACTCCAGTGGCTGAGGCAAGAGAATTGCTTGAACCTAGGAGGTGGGGGTTGCAGTGAGCCGAGATCCAGCCACTGCACTCACTCCGGCCTGGGCAACAGAGTGAGACTTCATCTCAATAAAACAAGCAAACAAAAAATCACTGAAATAGTGCTCATGGGAAAATTCAGAACTTTATTGGAGCTTCTTGGTCTTATTTTCTGGTGAGTTTTGTTTTTATGTTGAATTTATACCTAGGTTGGTATGGCACTAGGTGACACGATCTGGCTCTGGTCTTTAAGTCTCAGCCTAGATGTCAACTACTCCTCTACTGACTCCTCCAGACCGGTTTAGGTCTCTTCCTGGTGCTCCCGAAGCCCTTCTTCTTTTTTTTTTTTGTAGAGATGGGATTCTCACTATGTGCTGGGATTACAGGCATGAGCTGCCACACCTAACCCCCTATGGATTTTTTATATCCATATTTTTGTTTTGCTTATTCCTTTTCATTTCCTTGCCCCAAGTCTGTAAGCTCCCTGAGGGCCTAATATTTTTCTTTTTCTTTTTTTTTTTTTTGAGACGGAGTTTTGCTCTTGTTGCCCAGGCTGGAGTGCAGTGGTGCGATCTCGGCTCACCCCAACCTCCACCTCCCGGGTTCAAGTGATTCTCCTGCCTCAGCCTCCTGAGTAGCTGGGATTATAGGCATGCGCCACCATGCCCAGCTAATTTTGTATTTTTCGTAGAGATGGGGTTTCTCCATGTTGGTCAGGCTGGTCTCGAACTCCCAACCTCAGGAGATCCACATGCCTTGGCCTCCCAAAGTGCTGAGATTTGGGATTACAGGCATGAGCCACTGCACTCGGTCAATATTTTTCTACTTCTTTTTTTTTTTTTTTTTTGAGGTGGAGTTTGCTCTTGTTGCCCAGGCTAGAGTGCGATGGCGTGATCTCGGCTCACCACAACCTCTGCCACGTGGGTTCAAGCGATTCTCCTGCCTCAGCCTCCCGACTAGCTGGGATTACAGACATGTGCCACCATGCCCGGCTAATTTTGTACTTTTAGTAGAGAACGGGGTTTCTCCATGTTTGTCAGGCTGGTCTTGAACTCCTGACCTCAGGTGATCCACCCGCCTCGGCCTCCCAAAGTGCTCGGATTACAGGCTTAAGCCACCGCGCCCAGCCATATTTTTCTACTTCTATACCTGCAGTGCCTAGTATGGAACCTAACATAAAACTGACCCAAGACATGTTACTCTCCAGTCGTTTCTTTTTTTTTTTTATTTCTTCTAAAAAAAATGGGATACATGTGCAGAACGTGCAGGTTTGTTACATAGGCATTCGTGTGCCACGGTGGTTTGCTGCACCTACTGATCCATCCTCTAAGTTCCCTCCCCTCACCCTCCAAACCTCAAACAGGCCCTGGTGTGTGCTATTCCCCTCTCTGTGTCCATGTGTTCTCAATGTTCAACTCCCACTTATGAGTGAGAACATGCGGTGTTTGGTTTTCTGTTCTTGTGTTAATTTGCTGAGGATGATGGCTTCCAGCTTCATCCATGTCCCTGCAAAGGACATGATCTCATTCCTTTTTATGGCTGCATAGTATTCCATGGTGTATATGTACCACATTTTCTTTATCCAGTCTATCATTGATGGGCATTTGAGTTGGTTCCATGTCTTTGCTATTGTAAATAGTGCTGCAATAAACATACATGTGCATGTGTCTTTATAGTAGGATGATTTATTTTATTTTATTTTATTTTTTGAGACGGAGTCTTGCTCTGTCACCCAGGCTGAAGTGTAGTGGCACGATCTCGGCTCACTGCAAGCTCCACCTCCTGGGTTCACGCCATTCTCCTGCCTCAGCCTCCGGAATAGCTGGGACTACAGGCGCCCGCTACCATGCCCAGCCAATTTTTTGTATTTTTAGTAGAGACAGGGTTTCACTGCGTTAGCCAGGATGGTCTCGATCTCCTGACCTCGTGATCCGCCTACCTCGGCCTGCCACAGTGCTGGGATTACAGGCGTGAGCCACCGCGCCCGGCCAGTAGAATGATTTATATTCCTTTGGGTATATACCCAGTAATGGGATTGCTGGGTCAAATGGTATTGCTGGTTCTAGACCCTTGAGGAATTGCCACAATATCTTCCACAATGGTTGAACTAATTAACATTCTCACCAACAATGTAAAAGCGTTCCTATTTCACCACAGCCTCACCAGCATCTATTGTTTCCTGACTTTTTAATAACTGCCATTCTGGCCAGGCGCAGTGGCTCATGCTTGTAATCCCAACACTGTGGGAGGCCAAGATGGGTGGATCATGAGGTCAGGAGATCGAGACCATCCTGGCTAACACAGTGAAACCCAGTCTCTACTAAAAATACAAAAAAAAAAAAAAAAATTAGCCAGGTGTGGTGGCAGGCGCTTGTAGTCCCAGCTACTCGGGAGGCTGAGGCAGAAGAATGGCGTGAACCTGGGAGGCGGAGCTTGCAATGAGCCGAGATCGCACCACTGCACTCCAGCCTGAGTGACAGAGCGAGACTCTGTCAAAAAAAAAAAAAAAAAAAGTTAGCTGGGTGTGGTGGCACCCGCCTGTAGTCCCAGTTACTGGGGAGCCTGAGGCAGAAGAATCTCTTGAACCTGGGAGACGGAGGTTGCAGTGAGCTGAGATCACGCCACTGCACTCCAACCTGGTGACACAGCAAGACTCCGTCTCAAAAATAAATAAATAAATAAAAATAACTGCCATTCTGACTGGCGTGAGATGGTATCTCTTTGTGGTTTTGATTTGCATTTCTCTGATGGCCAGTGATGTTGAGCTTTTTTTCCTGCGTTTGTTGGCCATGTAAATATCTTCTTTTGAGAAGTGTTCATATCCTTAACTCACTTTTTGATGGGGTTGTTTTTTTCTTATAAATATGTTTAAGTTCCTTGTAGATTCCGGATATTAGACCTTTGTCAGATCAGTAGACTGAAAAAATTTTCTCCCATTCTGTAGGTTGCCTGTTCATTCTGATGATAGTTTCTTTTTTCTCTCTCTCTTTTTTTTTTTTTTTTTTTTTTTTTTAAGACGGAGTCTCCCTCTGTCTCCCAGCCTGGTGTGTGCAGTGGTGTGATCTCGGCTCACTGCAAGCTCCGCCTCCCGGGTTCACGCCATTCTCCTGCCTCAGCCTCCCGAGTAGTTGGGACTACAGGCACCCGCCACCACGCCCAGCTAATTTTTTTGTATTTTTAGTAGAGATGGGGTTTCACTGTGTTAGCCAGGATGGTCTCAATCTCCTGACCTCGTGATCTGCCCGTCTCAGCCTCCCAAAGTGCTGAGATTACAGGCGTGAGCCGCTGTGCCCGGCCGATAATAGTTTCTTCTGCTGTGCAGAAGCTCTTTAGTTTAATTAGATCCCACTTGTCAATTTTGGCTTTTGTTGCAATTGCTTTTGGTGTTTTTGCCCATGCCTATGTCCTGAATGGTGTTGCCTAGGTTTTCTTCTAGGGTTTTTATTCCTCAGGCTTTTTTTATTCAGTCCACTTTGCAGGGTAGATCATATTCTGTTCCTACTTCCTAATTCTGCCTGAGGAACTCCTACTCACCCTTCAAAACCCCTTCCAAATGGCCCTTCCTCTGTAAGCCTGTCCCAATCTCCCAGTTAAGTTCTCTACTTCTATAAGCTCATAGCTCCTACTGCAATCAGTGTCTTCCGCTTTTATTGTAATTTTTATGTATATCTTCTCCCTCATCAGATTGGGAGCCACTCAAGGGCAGAGTCTGAGTGGACTGATCCCTCCGTCCCCAGTGCCCTGCACAAGCCTGGCCAGGGCAGGCAGCAATGTATCCTTATTAAATGAATAGACTGGAAGATGTCATGAAGGGGGTAAAACTGAGGCAGGATTTTGGGCTGGGTGCCGTGGCTCATACCTGTAATCCCAGCACTTTGGGAGGCCAAGGTGGGCAGATTGCTTGTGCTCAGGAGTTCAATACAAGCCTGGGAGGCTGGGCCGGGTGGCTCATGCTTGTAATCCTAGCACTTTGGGAGGCCAAGGCAGGAGGATTGCTTGAGGCCAAAAGTTAAAGACCAACCTGGCCAACATAGCAAGACCCCCAGCCCCACCCCCATCTCTATTTAAAAAAAGAAGAAGAAGAAGACCAGCCTGGGCAACATGGCAAAACCCCGTCTCTACAAAAAATAAATAAATAAATAAAAATTTGCCGAGCATGGTGGCACGCACCTGTAGTCCCAGCTACTTGGAGGCTGAGGTGGGAAAATCACTTGAGTCCAGGAGGTAGAGGCTGCAGTGAGCTGAGATAGCACCACTGCACTCCAGTCTGGCGACAGAGTGAGACCTTGTCTCAAAAAAATAAAAAACAAAAATAAATAAATAATTCAGGCCGGGTGCGGTGGCTCACACCTGTAATCCCAGCACTTTGGGAGGCTGAGGTGGGAGGATCACCTGAGGTCGGGAGTTTAAGACCAGCCTGACCAACATGGAGAAACACTGTCTCTACTAAAAATTTAAAATTAGCCAGGCGTGGTGGCACATGCCTGTAATCCCAGCTACTCGGGAGCCTGAGGCAGGAGAATTGCTTGAACCCTGGAGGCGGAGGTTGTGGTGAGCTGAGATGGCGCCATTGCACTCCAGCCTGGGCAACAAGAGTGAAACTCTGTCTCAAAAAAAAAAAAAAAAAAAAAAAAATTCAAGCAGGATTTTGAAGGTAGGAGGAAAGAGAATAACAGGTACTTACTGAGGGCATAGTACCAATAAAAACAGGCTGGGCACGGTGGCTCACGCCTGTAATCCCAGCACTTTGGGAGGCCGAGGTGGGCAGATCACGAGGTCGGGAGTTCGAGACGAGCTTGGCCAACATGGTGAAACCCCATCTTCAAAAAATACAAAAATTAGCTGGGCATGGTGGTGGGTGTCTGCAATCTTAGCTACTCAGGAGGCTGAGACGTGAGAATCACTTAAACCCAGGAGGCGGAGATTGCAGTGAGCTGAGATCATGCCACTGCACTCCAGCCTGGGTGACAGAGCGAGACTCCATCTCAAAAAAAAAAAAAAAGAAAAATCATAATCATCAGCAGCAGCATCATCATCATGGGAACTATCACTAAATGTGCCATAGTGTGATGAGTAAGAGCACAGATTAAGCTCTACCCCTTACTGGCTGTGTGAGCATGTGCAAGTTATAGAAATCTCCTTGTGCCTCAGTTTCCTCATCTGCAAACTGGGGTTAGTAATAATATCTACCGTATCAGGAGTTAAATAGGTAAATATATGCAAGGTGCTGAGAACTATGCCAGGTACACATGGGCACTGTGTATTTCCTATCACTGTTATTGCTGAACACTTTGGTCCTGCCAGGCAGTTTTATCTGCCATCTCACTTGGTCCTCACAGCAGCCTGAGAGACAGGGATTATTGTCCCCTTTTACAAAGAAATGAGGCGTAAACAGGCCAGGCAGCTTGCTAAGGTCACTTGCTGGGTAAGTGGCAGGAATGGGATTTGAACCTAGGTCTCTCTGCCCCTCCCACCCACCCCATTTCCCTGACTGTGGAACCTGCCTGAAGGAGGAGGAGGAGGAGGAGGAGGAGGAGGAGGAGGAAGAGGAGGAGATGGCATAGTGGGAAGGCAGGGAGGCTTCACCGAGCTGGGGCCTTGGAAGCAGAGCAGCAGGCATTTTTTCCAGAGCTTTCATTTCCGTCTGCTTCTTCTAAGCAGGTGAAAAACCCCACAGAGGACCCTTCCCTGAGTACCCCCGCCCCCACCCTATTTCCTCCCCCACCCAGCACTGCCTCTGTCCCCCACACTGGGAGCGGGGAGGTCAGGCATGCAGCGTGGGGGATGCAGGGGAGGGGAGTGAGGAGGTGGGGGAGCATCATTCCAGATCCTTCCCCTCAGCAACCCTCTCTTCCCCATCAAAGGCGCTCAGGGAGGAGAGAGCATTCCAGGTGGAAGGAATGGCAAATGCAAAGGCTGCAGATTAAGGATGTGGAGGTGGGGAAAGCCTGCGAGCTTGGCTGGAACCGAGGTTCGTGGCCCCCTGGGATTGCTCAGTGAAGAACTTGCTTGACGAGAGAAAGAGAGAGAGAGAGAGAGACTGTGGACCTAGCAAGAGCTGAGGATGCCAGAGGGAGGGGGGTGACCTGGAGATCATTCTGGGCTCTGAGTACAGTGCTCTCCACCCTTCTCCCCTCAGATGGGGGTCAGGGAGAGGGGAGGGGTGATTCTTCCTGGTCCCTATGCTTTGTTGCTCCCCCTGGAATTCCTTAGCTGACTGCACTCTGTCAGTTCCGTACCCAGTGCTGGCTCATAGCTTTTTAACACATTCTCTCATTGCATTTGTATTTTCTCTTCAGCTCCATGAGACTAGTTTTATTCACTCCATTTTATAGGTTAGAAAACTGAGGCTCAGCTAGGTTGTTTTTTTGTTTTTTTGTTTTTTTTTGTGGGGGCGGGGCGGGGAACGGAGTTTCACTCTGTTTGGCTGGAGTGCAGTGGCGCGATCTCGGCTCACTGCAACCTCTGCCTCCCGGGTTCAAGCAATTCTCTTGCCTCAGCCTCCTGAGTAGCTGGGATTACAGGCGCCCACCACCATGCCCAGCTAGTTTTTGTATTTTTATTTTTATTTAAGAAAAAATGTTTTTTGAGCCGGAGTCTCGCTCCGTCGCCCAGGCTGGAGTGCAGTGGCATGATCTCCGCTCACTGCAACCTTCGCCTCCCAGGTTCAAGCGATTCTCCTGCCTCAGCCTCCCGAGTAGCTGGGACTACAGGCGCGTGCCACCACGTCTGGCTAATTTTTTTGTATTTTTAGTAGAGACGGGGTTTCACCATATTGGCCAGGATGGTCTTGATCTCTTGACCTCGTGATCCGCCTGCAGCTGAGATTACAGGTGCCTGCCACCACGCCCAGCTAATTTTTGCATTTTTAGTAGAGACAAGGTTTCACCATGTTTGTCAGGCTGGTCTCGAACTCCTGACCTCAGGCAATCCGCCCGCCTCGGCCTCCCAAAGTGCTGGGATTACAGGCATGAGCCACTGTGCCTAGCCCTGTTTTTTACATTTTTATCTATTTATTTATTTATTTTGAGCCTAGGTTAGGAAACTGGCTAATTCTTGTATTTTTGATAGAGATGGGGTTTTGTCATGTCACCCAAGCTGGTCTTGAACCCCAGGCTCAAGCGATCCCCCTGCCTTGGCATCCCAAATTGTTGGGAATACAGGTGTGAGCTACCATGCCTGGCCCTTTCCCCTCATTTGTAAAATGAGGATGATAATAACAGGACCTAATTTATAGGACTGAGGCTGGGCGCAGTGGCTCACGCCTGCAATTCCAGTACTTTGGGAGGCCGAGGCGGACAGATCACTGGAGGTCTGGAGTTCACGACCAACCTGGCCAACATGGTGAAACCTCGTCTCTACAAAAAATACAAAAATTAGCCAGGCGTGGTGGTGCAAGCTTGTAATCCCAGCTACTTGGGAGGCTGAGGCAGGAGAATTGCTTGAACTGGGGAGGCAGAAGTTGCAGTGAGCCAAGATCATGCCACTGCACTGCAGCCTGGACGACAGAGCAAAACTGTGTCTCAATAAATAAATAAATAATTTATAGGACTGATATAAGGATTGACGAGTTAATGCATGTAAAGCAATTTGCACATTCCTGGCATGTAGCAAATGCTCACTAAATGTTGGTCCTTATTAATATTACCACTAAATGCACAATACCACCTCCCACTCTGAAAGCAACTTCTTTATCTGCATTGCCTAAAAGGAAAAATTAAGGCTCCTATTTTGGGACAACCTTCAAGCAATCACTGTGCTAAGTGTTTCATATTTATGATCACATTTAATTTGAACATATCTGGAAAATAAAAACAATTATGGCCAGGCCTGGTGGCTCACGCCTGTAATTCCAGCACTTTGGGAGGCTGAGGTGCTGAGTCCAGGAGTCCTAGACCAGCCTGGGCAACACAGCAAGACCCCATTTCTATTTTTTTTTTGAGACAAAGTCTCACTCTGTTGCCCAGGCTGGAGTGTAGTGCTGCGATCTCGGCTCACTGCAACCTCTGCCTCCTGGGTCTACGCCATTCTCCTGCCTCAGCCTCCTGAGTAGCTGGGACTACAGGTGCCGGCCACCATGCGCGGCTAATTTTTTGTATTTTTAGTAGAGACGGGGTTTCACCGTGTTAGCCAGGATGATCTCGATCTCCTGACCTCGTGATCTGCCCGCCTCGGCCTCCCAAAGTGCTGGGATTACAGGTGTGAGCCACTGCGCCTGGCCGACCCCATCTCTATTTTCTAAAATTATTAAATAAAAACAATTATGATTTTCATTTTATCGATAAGGAAATTGAGGCTCAGAGAGGTGAAGTCACCTGCCCAAAGTCACACAGCTAGGAAGTGGTATAATAGTGATTCAAATCCAGGTTTGTCTGGCTCCAAAGTCTCGTATGACAATTCAGGCCGGGCACAGTGGCTCATGCCTGTAATCCTAGTACTTTGGGAGACTGAGGTGGGAGGATCGTTTGAGCCCAGGAGTTTGAGACCAAGCTGGGCAACATAGGGAGACTTCATCTCTAAAAAACAAAACAAAAAAAATCAGCCGGGCATAGTGGCATGCACCTGTAGTCCCAGCTATTTGGGGGGCTGAGGTGGAAGGACTGCTTGAGCCCAGGAGTTCAAGGCTGCAATGAGCCATGATTGCACCACTGCAAGCCAGCCTGGGTGACAGATTAAAATCCTGTCCAAAAAAAAAAAAAAAAAATTAAGTTCAGATGACAACTTGTCCAGTTCATGGATGTCTGTATCAGCTTGAACCCAAACCATCTGCTCCAACTGCTGCCTCAGGCTCACTTCCCTCCATGCTGGGAAGACCAAGCATTGTTTACCGAGCGACTTTTATATGCCAGACAATTTACATATATTTCCCATTAAATCCTCACCCCCACCTTATGACCCTCTATTGTTATCCCCATTCCTTAGAAGAGTAGCTGAGACACAGTGAGGTTTGATGACTGTTCAGGTCACACAATCCTCGGTGAGTTGGCAGAGCTAAGATTCAAACCCAGGTCGGTCTGCCTCAAAGCTTGCATTCTTTCAGGGACTACGAGAAAAGTACAGAGACCCTTGGTGAACAGCACTACTTTCTTATCTATTTATTTATTTATTACGTTTTTAAATAAATGAGATGGGGATCTTACTTTGTTGCCCAGGCTGGTCTCAAACTCCTGGCCTCAAGTGATCCTCCCACCTTGGCCTCCCAAAGTGCTGGGATTACAGGCCAGCCCCCACTTTCAAAGCTGGGTTTCCTCCCCTGTAACATCCTCAGTCATTCATCAACAACCATGATACTTTTCCTGGTGGCCCACAGGCCCTGAGTGCTCCACCCTTCCTCCCCACTGCCACCACCCCCATGGGCTTCCATGCCTTTCCACACCCTTTCCCTTGGCCTGCAACACTTCTCCCAACCTCTTGCTCATTCAAGAATGGATGAACCCCAGGCCAGGTGTGGTGGCTCATGCCTGTAATCCCAGCACTTTGGGAGGCCAAGGCAGGTGGATCACTTGAGATCAGGAGTTTGAGACCAGCCTGGGCAACATGGCGAAACCCCATCTCTACTCAACATACAAAAATTAGCTGGGTGTGGTGGCACACACCTGTAATCCCAGCTACTCAGGAGGCTGAGGCACAAGAATCGCTTGAACCTGGGAAGCGGAGGTTGCAGTGAGCCGAGATTGTCACTGCACTCCAGCGTGGGTTGCAGCCTGGGTGACAGAGCGAGACTGTCTCCAAAAAAAAAAAAAAAAAAAGAGTAAATGAACCCCCATTCATCAACTCACCTCAGACATCATCTCTTCAGGAAAGTCTCCTTTGACCCCACCCCATCCCCTGACATTCACTCTCATAAACACATTGCACTTTACCTTCTGCTTCCTTATCTCAGTTTCTGTTTTTGATTTGTCTGATCACTTGGTTAACAACTTTCTTCCTTCCCAGACTTTAAGTTCCATGAGGGTCTGAGTCTGTTTTGCTTGCTATTGTAGCTACGCCACTGTCAGGCTGCCCTCTATGTGGTGGGTGCTTAATAATTTTTTATTGAATGGATGAATCCATGAATGAATAAATAGCTACCAGGCACTTTATACACATGACTCATTAACGCTACAATTAACTAATTGAATCCTCACAACTGCCCTTTTGTCATCATTTCAGAGAAGAGGTAGGTGAGGCTCAGAGAGCTAGAAAGTGGTGGTGCTAGGACTCGATCTCAGGTCTGCTTAACCCCAAAGCCACTGCTTTCTGCACAGCTGCCTCCCAGCACCCAACAGCCACAGCCAGGATTTAAATAGTCCTTGGTTGTCAGACCACATGTCCCAGTTTGAGCCCGGAGGACACCAATTCGGATGGCACCAGGGCCCTGCTGGCACCACCCCCTTGGCTGTCTCTGCCCTTCTGAAGTCTTAGGCTGCTTCCCCTCCCACTCCCTTCTTGGCCTCCTTCCTTTCCAGGGAGGGAAAAGGACTAGGAATTACAGCCAAGCAGCTCTTCTGGGAAAAACAATCCTGTGGTGAAAAGAGCCCTGTTCTGAGAGCAGAGAAACCTGGATTTAAGTCCTGGCATGGAGGCGGCCCTGCTGAGGGCTCACAGTGGCATCACGGCCCCCCTCTGAGCCTCTGCGTCCTCGTTTGAGATTCTGTGTAGGTTCTCAACCCATCTGTCACCCCCTTTTCACGTCCTGACTCCTAGGACCCCAGAAACAGCCTGGGCACACCCCTAGTGTCACTTTTCCTCAGGAACCCTGGTGGTTAACAATAGCTGGGGGGTGGTCTGTGCCCAAGTCTACATTGATCAGAGAGATGAGGGACTGACCTGGCACCCTTAAGACCTTTCCTGGAATGCTAAGGGGATGGGTGAGGGAAGAGTGGAGGGGAGGGGAGGGAAGTCATTCTCATATGATACCAGGCCTGAAAGGGAGAAATACAGGAATGGAAACCAAAAGAAACAGGTTTGAGTTCCGGGGCTGTTTCAAAGTCCCTGAAGGACCCTGGGTAAGTCATGCAACTTCAGAAAGACTCAGTTTTCTCTTCTGCAAAAATGAGGGTAATACCTGCCATACAGGGTTGCCCTAGAGAATTAAGTGAGGTATCTTTGCTAACATGTTAATTTGTCACATTTCTATCTAGCTGTGGCATTTTTTTTTTTCTTTTTGAGACTCGCTCTGTCTCCCAGGCTGGAGTGCAGTGGCATGATCTTGGCTCACTGCAACATCCACCAACCAGGTTCAAGCGATTCTCCTGCCTCCCAAGTAGCTGGGATTACAGGCGCGCACCACCACGCCCAGCTAATTTTTGTGTTTTTAATAGAGGCGGGGTTTCTTTTTTCTTTTTTGGAGACAGAGTTTTGCCCTTGTTGCCCAGGCTAGAGTGCAATGGCGCGATCTCGGCTCACCGCAACCTCTGCCTCCGAGGTTGAAGCGATTCTCTTGCTTCAGCCTCTGGAGTAGCTGGGATTACAGGCATGTGCCACCATGCCCGGCTAATTTTTTGTATTTTTAGTAGAGATGGGGTTTCACCATGTTGGCCAGGCTGGTTTCAAACACCTGACCTCAGGTGATCCGCCTAGAAGCGGGGTTTCACTTGGCCAGACTGGTCTTCAACTCCTGACCTCAAGTAATCCGCCCGCCTCGCCTTGGCCTCCCAAAGTGTTGGGATTACAGGCGTGAGCCACCGCGCCTGGGCGTTTTTTTTGTTTTTTTTTTTTTTTTGAGGTGGGGTTTCGTTCTTGTTGCCCAAGCTGGAGTGCAATGGCGTGACCTCGGCTCACTGCAACCTCCGCCTCCCGGGTTCAAGCGATTGTCCGCCTCAGCCTCCTGAGTAGCTGGGATTACAGGCATGCGCCACCACGGCTGGCTAATTTTGTATTTTTAGTAGAGATGGGGGTTTCTCCAAGTTGGTCAGGCTGGTCTCGAACTCCTGACCTCAGGTGATCCGCCCGCCTCAACCTCCCAAAGTGCTGGGATTACAGGCATGAGCCACCGCGCCCGGACAGCTGCAGCCTTTTATAATCAACAAGACGAGCATATTCCCCACTCATGCATGAGTCCTCAACAACCACTCCCGCATGTGAGGCACAGACGACTGCTCCTATTTTGCAGAAGGACAAACTGAGACCCAGATAAATTCTGGAAGTTGTCTGAGGTCGCAGAGTGAAGTGGCTGAACCAGGGTTCCGCTCACTTGACCATGGCTTTTCAGTACTATCCCCCATTCCCAGGACCCGGGCCTTGCCCCGGATGGACTGTGCAGGACGGGATAGAGCTTGTGACTCACTCTCCCCACCCTACTTTCTGCCCTGGCTGAGACCGGAGTGAAGGGACAACACTATGCGCAACTTGAGGGGTGTCCACAGAAAGTTTACGGGCTTGGCCCCTTCCTTTCACTAAATCTAGCGGTTCTTTCAAGGCTAACAAGAAGAATTCTTCTTTCAACACACTTTGTACGAGTTTTTACACTTTCTTAGGTGAGCTTTCCCTACTTTGAACTTAGGAGTCGGTTTACCTTAATCTCCGCCCCCCACTTCACTTGGTTTGCACCCCGCTGTTTACTCCGATTGCGGAAGTCGCCCGGGTGGAGCTCTGGGGAGGGTACCCGTGAGTACGTCTTTTGCGTAGTTATTTAACTGGCGTTTTACTCAGGCCAATGGAATGCCCCGAAGCCCCGGGTGGGTGGGGCAGTGAGCCAATCAGGGCCATTGGCGGGGTGTGGCTGCCGCCCAGGGCGGGGAATCGCGTAATGGCGGACACAGGCAGGGCGAGCGCGGCTGGGGGCGTAGCGCGCTGAGGGGGTCCGGCCGTTTGGCAGCCCGCGAGGCGGTCCGCGGGAGCACACTCTGTGCGGAGACTGGGCGGCCGGCCGACCCTTCCTGTCGCTGACGGCGACTGCGGGAGGCCAGGTGAGCAACAAGTCCCCTTGGGTAGACCCCGCTGGGAGGCGCGGGCCCCGGCCGGGCCGCTCTTCCCGAGCCGTGCAGGGTCTCGGGGGACTGGGTGCCGGGACTCCTACTGCGGACTGGCAGAGGCCGGGCGAGCGGTCAGCGCGGGGTGGCGTCTTAGTCCACCCCACCCCCTCAGGGAGGGAGGGAGTGACCCGAAGTCCCCTTCGGAAACTTGGAGGGGTCCACAAGTCTGAGGGACTATGAGTGTCCCGGCCTGACCTGGTTCTGCCATCAGCTCGCTGTGTGATCTTGAGCAAGTCACTTTCCTCTCTAGGCCTTAGTTTACCCCCTGTGTAAAACGAGGGTTTCGTCGGCAGATGTATGTACAGGAGTTGGGTCCCAGCTGTTGTCTGAGATCTTGGACAAGTTCTTCCCCAGGCTGAGCCTCAGTTTCCATCTCTGGACCATGAAGTAATTGAGGTGCTCGTTGAGGCCCCGGCCTGCTAAATTGAGGAGGACACTGTGTGTGTGTGTGTGTGTGTGTGTGTGTACGTACCATGAAGTAATTGAGGTGCTCGTTGAGGCCCCGGCCTGCTAAATTGAGGAGGACACTGTGTGTGTGTGTGTGTGTGTGTGTGTGTGTGTGTGTGTGTGTACCATGAAGTAATTGAGGTGCTCGTTGAGGCCCCGGCCTGCTAAATTGAGGAGGACACTGTGTGTGTGTGTGTGTGTGTGTGTGTGTGTGTGTGTGCGCGCGTACAGGATAGTCTGCAGAGTAAGGAGGAGAGTTGTCTAAAGGGGCTGTTCCAAGGAGGACGTGGGTGCTACCCAGACCATGATGGGGTGAGCTGGGGTCCTCTTGGTTCTCCAGGAATCCTAGAGCCTCTGAGAGGGAAAGTTTTAATATGGTTGTCCATAGAACCGGAGAAGAGGAAGGACTCCTTGGAGCCCCTTGGGGCTCTGATTGGAATTTAGGTCCAGAATTCAGGAGGGTTAGAAGGAAGAGGAAGAACTTTTATGGCAGCCCTACTAGGTGTCAACCCTTGCTTAGGCATATGTTCTTATTTTTTTACAGTGACTCTTGAGAATTTACACATAAGGAAACTGAGTTTCAGAGGAGTTAAGTAATTTGCCCAAGGTCGCACAGTAAAGGGCAGAGGTTACTTAACTAAATTGTTTCCTCTGAGAATCACTGGGCAAGGGGGAAGTCACTGCCCACTCAAAAGATAGTGTTAGGGAAGTTTGCCTTGTTACAAATGGGGGCAGAGGTCTGGCCTCAGATATGTGATTTGACTTCTGGCATGGGGACAGTCTTGATCTCTGGAAGGTTAATTATAAGTCCAGCCCCTTTATTCAGTCTGTAAGTTGGAAAGAACTATTTGTAAGTCGTAAAAGTCCCTTTGAAGTGTGTGTCAGGACCTCAGAGAGCTCCATTTGAATCCTGGTAGGGTTGCCTGTAGAAAAAGTTCAGCAGCTATTGGTGTATATAGACTAGACTTTGGTTCAGAGTGGTGCCAGCCCATTCGCTTCTTCTCCTCCATCAGAGGGCCACATTTTCTTGGGATGGGAGAAATTTCCCATTTGTTCAAATTTCTTTGGATTTCTTGGGTGAAAGGTTCAATAGCCCACCTCTGATTAAGCTTAATATCCCTTTCTTTGTGCAACCTGTTTTTTGACTTCTAATGAGTGAAGATTGTGGATTTGGGGTAGGCGGTAGTTGGGTGCAATAACTTGCTGCCCTTAATTTTTCCAAACCTCAGAGCTTTTGGTTAATCAGAATAGTAGGGACGGCTATGGGTATTGTTCTCATATGTCAGTAGTGGAGAAGAAAATTGGAAGAGGAAGTTACTGAGAAAGAGGGCGTTTCTTAGCAGTGGAGCCAGTATGTATTTCTTTGTTTGAAATTCTAAAACCAGAAAAGCAGCAACTACAGGAGGAAGGAAGGAAAGAACTGTGAAACTTTTTCCTGTTCAGATATCTTTAAGAGCTGTTCCTGTCTCTATCCATGTCCCAGGCTCTACTTTCATAGAAAAAGTCAATTGTAATTTGTTCAGTTTTCTTCTAGAATGAAATAATTTTAAATCTTAAACCCTCTGAGAATAGTTGTTTAAAAATCAGAGCATTTTATTGAGTAAATTATTTACAATGGATTATTCTTTTTCTCAGCATATTACTAATTTGGTCTTATATATAAAATATATGTATAACATAATAAGAATATAAAATAAATATATAATATATAATATACATTATATAATATGATATACATTATATAATATAATGATATACATTATATATTGTATAAAATATATATTATATATTATATAAAATATATATAATATATATTATATAATATATAATATATATTATATATTGTATAAAATATATATAATATATATTATATATTATATAAAATATATATAATATATATTATATATTGTATAAAATATATATAATATATATTATATATTGTATAAAATATATATAATATAACATATATTATAATATTATATAATATATATTTATATAAAATATATTTATATAAATATATATTTATATTTGTATATATATTAAATATATATATTTATATAAAATATATATTATAGGCCGGGCATGGTGACTCACGCCTGTAATCCCAGCACTCTGGGAGGCCGAGGCGGGTGGATCACGAGGTCGGGAGATCGAGACCATCCTGGCTAACACGGTGAAACTACGTCTCTATTAAAAATACAAAAAGTAGCCGGGCGTGGTGGCGGGTGCCTGTAGTCCCGGCTACTCGGGAAGCTGAGGCAGGAGAATGGTGTGAACCCGGGAGGCGGAGTTTGCAGTGAACCGAGATCGCACCACTGCACTCCAGCATGGGCGACAGAGCGAGACTCCGTCTCAAAAAAAAATCTCTCTATATAGATTATATTATATATATAATCTATATTTTATATATATGTTATATATAATATATGTAACAGATTATATATAAAATTTATATATAATATATAAATGTAGATTATATGTAAATATATAGATTATATATAATATATATCATCTATAATGTATGAGTTATATATGTAAAATATAATCTATATATTATATATATATCAGTCACCCAGGCTGGAGGGCAGTGGCGTGATCTCGGCTTACTGCAACCTCCGCCTCCCAGGTTCGGGCGATTCTCCTGCCTCAGCCTCCCAAGTATCTGGGACTACAGGCATGCACCGCCACGCCTGGCTAATTTTTGTATTTTTAGTAGAGATAGGGTTTTGCCATGTTGGCCAGGCTGGTCTCAAACTCCTGACCTCGGTTGATCCACCTGCTGCGGCCTCCGGAAGTGCTGGGATTACAGGCGTGAGCCACCACGCCCAGCTGAGTCTTTAGCTATATTTTAACTGTGATTTCAACCTAAGGAATTGATCTAGATATTAGAGGATGCAAATATCACCGTCACTTGAAAAACACATAATAATGTGTTTGGCTTTTGACATGTTAAGTCTTTTTATGCGTTATTTTCCAGGATTGTGTGTATGTGATAGTTGTGAAGACACTGAATTTATTGCACGTGAAGCTCTATTAATACATTCATTCCCAATATGTTATATTTTCTGTAAAATAATTAGTCTTAATTAGTATACCGGTCCACAGTACCTTATTCAAAATCCTTGGCACCAAAAAAAAAGTTCTTGGGACCAAATGTATATCTGAATTTAAAAATTTTTGGATTTTGGGGTTTTAGAAAAGAAATATGGTACTATGTGTTATGTAATACCCCAGAGAGGTCAGGGCAGCACTTTTTAAATCAGATGTATTTTATTATTTCTGTAGTAAAATGTCTGGATGTTCATACTAACTGGGATAAATACTGTACTGTCATTAGCCTTATGTCATTTCTTGTCAGGTTTTGCCTCCAAATGAATAATGAAAAATTTATTTTTCACAGCCTTTGCATTTTGCAGATAAAGTGAAGGGACTGTAGATCTCTATAGGTAAAACTTACGTGATAGGCCAGGTGCGGTGGCTCAAGCCTGTAATCCCAGCACTCTGGGAGGCCGAGGCGGGCAGATCACAAGGTCAGGAGTTCGAGACCAGCCTGACCAACATGGTGAAACCCCGTCTCTACTAAAAATACAAAAATTAGCCGGGTGTGGTGGTGCACGCCTGTAATCCCAGCTACTCAGGAGGCTGAAGCAGGAGAATCGCTTGAATCCGGGAGGCGGAGGTTGCAGTGAGCTGAGATCACGCCACTGCACTCCAGCCTGGGAGACAGAGCAAGACTCTGTCTCAAACAAACAAACAAAATTACATGATAACAAGAGCAATTACAAGGAAAAATATTGTATAGTCCAGTTAATTTCAAAGTCATGTGTCCTAAAAACAATATTACATAGAAGACAGACACCTTTTGTTGTTTCTGTCATACAGAAATCTTACTGTGATTAAAATGTGCCTGATAAGCATTTTTCCTTAAGTACCACAATTTATGCTTTAATATCTTCACTAGTCTCTGAAATTTTAGAATGACACCCTCCACCTCTTTTGTTTTTAATTTTAAAAATTTTATTTCTTTTATTTTCTTTTTTTCTTTTTTTAAACAGTAGAGATGGGCTCTCGAAATGTTGCCAGGCTGGTCTCAAACTTCTGCCTTCAAGTGATCTTCCCGCCTTGGCCTCCCCAAAGTGTTGAGATTACAGGTGTGAGACTTCATGCCCTGCCCCCACCTCTTCTTTAAATAGTAATTTGTAGGGTCTTTGCTCATCATTTTTTGTATAGCATTTAAGAGAATTGTACTTTTTGCATATAATTCAGAGAAAAACAAATCAAATGCAGATCTGTAGATTCATGTTTGCCAATTTTTTTTTTTTGAGACCAAGTTTCGCTCTTATTGCCCAGCCTGGAGTACAATGGCGCAATCTTGGCTCACTGCTACCTCTGCCTCCTGGGTTCAAACAATTCTCCTGCCTCAGCCTCCTGAGTAGCTGGGATTACAGGTGTCTGCCACCACGCCCGGCTAAGTTTTGTATTTTTAGTAGAGACGGGGTTTCTCCAAGTTGGCCAGGGTGGTCTTGAACTCTTGACCTCAGGTGATCCACCTGCCTTGGCCTCCCAAAGTGCTGGGATTACAGGCATTAGCCACCACACCCGGCCATGTTTGCCAAATTTTAAAGCTGATTTTTTTCCTTTAGAGTATTCTTTTTTTTTTTGAGACAGAGTCTCGCTCTGTCATCCAGGCTGGAGTGCAGTGGCGTGATCTCGGCTAACTGCAACCTCCGCCTCCCGAGTTCACGCCATTCTCCTGCCTCAGCCTCCCGAGTAGCTGGGACTACAGGTGCCCGCCACCATGCCTGGCTAATTTTTTGTTTTGTATTTTTAGTAGAGACAGGGTTTCACCTTGTTAGCCAGGATGGTCTTGATTTCCTGACCTCATGATCCACCCACCTCGGCCTCCCAAAGTTCTGGGATTACAAGCATGAACCACCGCGCCCGGCCTAGAGTATTCTTTAGAATGAGGTAAAAACTGTCAATGGGATTTGGGTCAAAATTTTGTTTATTTTTAATTTATGAAGCTTCCACAATTTGCACATCTTGGTGTAAGGAGTTTACTAAAATACATTTAATTTTGAGTATTTTTATTTTAAGTGTATGCTATATGAGAAACTTCTGTTTACCAGCCATATGAATTTGGGTGGTTTCTTTAAATGGCCAAGGGCCTCTACTAGCACATTTTCAAAACTCAGGCTACTCTTAGTTTTCTCGGACATCTCTACTGTAGAGTGAGGTGGACTGGTATTGTTGGAGGATGAAGAATTATTTTTTCTCTTTAGAAGAAAGCCCCATGACAGCATGGATTTGTGGAATTTTGTCCTTTAAGAAACCAAGTAGCTGCCTGGTTTGAGGGCCTGAATTCAGCCACCTACTTGGGGTGGCTCCATAGTTCCTAAGAATGGTACCTTCACTGTTTTGGAGATACAAAGGATAAGAAACTGTATCAAGAGTTGCAGGTGGAGTCAGTGTGTGATTGGACTAGGGAATGGGAAAAATTATTGTTATTATTTGAGACAGGGTCTCACTCTGTTGCCCTGGCTTGAGTGCAATGGCAGTATCACAGCTCACTCACTGCAGCCTCAACCTCCTAGGCTCAAGCAGTCCTCCTCTTGCCTTAGCCTCCCAAATAGCTGGGACTACATGTGAGCGCTACCATGCCCACCCAATTTGTTAAATTTTTTAGAGACGAGGTCTAACTATGTTGCCCAGGCTGGTCTTAAACTGAGCTCAAGCCATCCTGCTGCCTTGGCCCCCTAAAGTGCTGAGATTACAGGGATAAGCATAAACCACCATGCCCAGACCCCTCACCCCCTTTTTGTTGTTGTTGTTTGAGATGGAGTCTCACTCTGCCGCCCATGCTGGAGTGCAGTGGCGTGATCTCGGCTCACTGTAACCTCTGCCTCCTGGGTTCAAGGGATTCTACTGCCTCAGCCTTACCTAGTAGCAGCTGGGATTACAGGTGCGTGCCACCATGCCTGGCTAATTTTGTTTTTGTTTTCCGAGACAGAGTTTTGCTCTTGCTGCCCAGGCTAGAACAATGGCATGGTCTCGGCTCACTGCAACTTCTGCCTCCCAGGTTCAGGGCGAGTCTCCTGCCTCAGCCTCCTGAGTAACTGGGATTACAGGCATGTGCCACCATGCCTGGCTAATTTTTGCATTTTTAGTAGAGATGGGGTTTCACCGTGTTGGTCAGGCTGGTCTAAAACTCCTGACCTCAGGTGATCTACCCGCCTCAGCCTCCCAAATTGCTGGGATTATGGATGTGAGCCACCACGCCCGGCCTAATTTTGTATTTTTAGTAGAGATGGGGTTTCACCATGTTGGCCAGGCTGATCTCGAACTCTTGACCTCAAGTGATTTGCCCACCTCGGCCTTCCAAAGTACTGGGATTACAGGCGTGAGATACTAATACTGCTTTAATTATGGCCTTTGTATTCTGCTTCATTCTTGTGTGCTCCTCTTCCATTTCATGGTCCGACCAGGAATACTTAAGCAGCATCCCTGGTTGCCAATAGCACCCCCTCTGCCCCAGTTGTGATAACCAGAAATGTCTCCAGATATTGTTACTTTTATCCTGGGGGGATAGATTTCTCCCTGTTGTGAGCTACTGTATCAATAGGGGTAGGAGTGGTGGAGCAATAGAGGAAAGTGATTATAGATGTCCTCAGGTGCATGTTCTCCTTTTTCTCCTTCTTTCTGGTTATGCAGTTCCTGTCCCTGACTTTGGATAAGAAAATGAGAAAAATCAGGAGGTGACCATTTAAAAATAGCCCCATTATTTTTATTCTGTTCAAGTTTTATTTTATTTGGTTTAAATATATTAGAGCAGGACAGATAGCTGAATTATTTATGCAGATCTATGTAAATTTAATTTCTACCACTGATTAAGATTACATAGAGTAAAGAACTACTGGACTATTACTACCTACCTTGCATGAAAGACTGTTTCTAAGAAAAGCTCATAGCTGAAAAGTTTAACACTTAAAGGATAACCAGCATTGCTTATATAAAGAACTTGCCAGAACTTGTCAGGATTCTTGCTAATTTTTGAGCTTCATGGCTAAGATGTATCTCTTGATGTCCCCGCATAAACACTTCATAACTCCAAAAAACATGTTTAGAATGGGCATGCTTTTCTAAGCTCAGTATTTTTTGTGACAGGCGGATTGGTCAAGGCAGTGGTCCTTAATTCCTCTGGGCATTCATAAATTAATGACAAGGTAGTGGTAACATTTGAAGACTTCATTCTCTTTTGGCCAACTCTGTACAATATAACATTATAATCATTCATGTCTTAGTCACCATTAAGGTAAAGTTGAATGAGTGTTTTTTCCTGTTCTGTTTGAAGTTATGAATGGTACTTTACAGAATTCAAATGTATAGTTATGAATAGTATCTCAGAATAGTTACCATTTATGCAAATGAAACACACTTCTTAACTTAGAAACCAAACAGAATTGAATTAGAAAAGAGAAGAATAGAAACAAGAATTGTTGAATGCTTGCTGAAGAAATAATGTTCAGATATAGAAGTATCTCAGAAAAATTTGCTTTTCATGATGATTTCCAGACTAATAAATAATTTGAGATTGATAGGAGAGGCTATTAAACTTTGCCTGTGATATTTCTTTTCAAGCTCTGTTTTTCTTTCTGGTAAAATACAGAGAAGTCTGAGATGTACTCTCAGCTGTAAGATTAATTCCATTTGAACAAAATAGTTTCTTTTTTTTTCTTTTTTCTTTTTTTTGAGATGGAGTCTTGCTCTGTCGCCCAGGCTGGAGTGCAATGGCCCGATGATGTTGGCTCACTGCAGCCTCTGTGCACGCCCTCCCTGCTCACCCCAGGCTCAAGCCATTCTCCTGCCTCGGCCTCCTGAGCTAAGTAGCTGCGATTACAGGCGCCCACCCCCATGCCTGGCTAATTTTTGTATTTTTAGTAGAGACGGGGTTTTGTCATGTTGGCCAGGCTGGTCTCAAACTCCTGGCCTCAAGTGATCTGCCCACCTCTGCTTCCCAAAGTGCTGGGATTACAGGCGTGAGCCACCACGCCTGGCCCCAAGTTTCTTATTTTGAGAATACAGAAGGCTTTTTGAGAAAAAGCAGTGGTTTGACTCATTTCCAATTTGAGTGAACATGTGTATGTGTATACACACATGCGTTATTTTTTTCATACGGAGTCTCCCTCTGTCGCCCAGGCTGGAGTGCAGTGGCGTGATCTCGGCTCACTGCAACCTCCACCTCCCAGGTTCAAGTGATTCTCCTGCCTCAGCCTCCTGAGTAGCTGGGACTACAGGCGCGTGCCACCACGCCTGGCTAATTTTTTTTTTTTTTGTATTTTTAGTAGAGACGGGGTTTCACCATGTAAGCTAGGATGGTCTTGATCTCCTGACCTCCACACATGCATTCTTTTTTTGTTTTTTTGTTTTTGTTTTTTGAGACAGACTCTCACTCTGTCACCCAGGCTAGAGTGCAGTGGCGTGATCTCGGCTCACTGCAAGCTCTGCCTCCCAGGTTCACGCCATTCTCCTGCCTCAGCCTCCCGAGTAATTGGGACTACAGGGAGGAGCTGGGAGTAGCTGGGACTACAGGCGCCTGCCACCACGCCCGGCTAATTTTTTTGTATTTTTAGTAGAGACGGGGTTTCACCGTGTTAGCCAGGATGGTCTCGATCTCCTGACCTCCACCCGCCTCGGCCTCCCAAAGTGCTGGGATTACAGGCGTGAGCCACCGCACCTGGCCCAACACATGCATTCTTAAATATGTCGTGTGGCTTGTGTGAATTTTAAGCTTTGTAATTGACATAGTAAAGTAACAAGAGCAGTTCATTTACTCTCAAGTATTTTGATTTGAAACCTCCTCTCCTTCCTCCATACCTGGCTTATGCCTTTGTTCTAGCAAGTACTCAGTTTATTTCTATTTTATTATATTTTATTTTATTTTTATTTTCTTTTTTTTTTAGATGGAGTCTCATTCTGTTTCCAGGCTGGAGTGCAGTGGTGCTATCTAATCTCACTGCAACCTCTGCCTCCCGGGTCCAAGCGATTCTTGTGCCTTAGCCTCTCGAGTAGCTGGGATTACAGGTGCTTGCCACCATACTCGGCTAATTTTTGTATTTTTAGTAGAGATGGGGCTTCACCATGTTGGCCAGGCTGTTCTCGAACTCCTGACCTCAAGTGATCTGCCCAATTCGGCCTCCCAAAGTGCTGGGATTACAGACATGAGCCTCCACACCCGGCCATAAGTACTCAGTTTAAAAAGTTTGCTCTTAAATCAGGTCTTGAGAAATTTTGTTTAACTGTGTAGAAGAAGGTTTTGGGTCATGCCTATTGATACTCCTTTTCATTCACAATTGGGAACTATAAGTGAATTTCCCTTTGTAGAATATTGATAGTCTTTAAAGAATAGTATTCCTGAATACCAACGGCATCTGTGGAATTATGAGAATTATAAGACTAACTTCTTCCCTATCTTTACTTTTAAAGTTCCTTCAGCATTCATTGGATGATAATTTGCAAAGCATAGTGCTCCACTTTGTTGTATACTATTACAGACAGTCCCCAGCACTTGAGATATGTTAGTAGCTACTTTTTTGTTTGTTTGTTTTTTTGAGACGGAGTCTTGCTCTGTCACCCAGGCTGGAATGTAGTGGCGCCATCTTGGCTCACTGCAGCTTCTGCCTCCCTGGTTCCAGTGATTCTCCTGCCCCAGCCTCCTGAGTAACTAGGATTATAGGCATGTGCCACCACACCCAGCTAATTTTTGTATTTTTAGTAGAGACGGGGTTTCACCATATTGGCCAGGCTGGTCTTGAACTCCTGACCTCAGGTGATCCACCCGCCTTGGCCTCCCAAAGTGCTGGGATTACAGGCGTGAGCCACCGTGCCAGGCCATTAGTAGCTGCATTTTATAGATAAAGTAAACTGGTTCTGAGAGATTAACTTCCTCAAAATTATTCAACTAAATAATGGAACATTTGAAATTGAAATGTCTTTTTTAAGATGAGATTTATATTTATTTTAAAATTATTTGGAATTTTTAAATAATAAAATAGAGATGAGGTGTGGGTATGTTGCTAAGGCTGGTCTCCAGCCCCTGGCTTCAAGTGATCCTCCCACCTTAGCCTCGAAGGTGCTGCCAAGATTACAGGTGTAAGCCACCAAGCCTAGCCAAGATTTTTTTTTTTTTTGAGATGGAGTCTCACTCTGTCGCCCACACTGGAGTGCAGTGGCGCAGTCTTGGCTCACTGCAACCTCCGCCTCCCGGGTTCAAGCAATTCTCCTGCCTCAGCCTCCCGAGTAGCTGGGATTACAGGTGCCTGCCACCACGCCTGGCTAATTTTTTGTATTTTTAGTAGAGACGGGGTTTCACCATGTTGACTAGGGTGGTCTTGAACTCCTGACCTTGTGATTCACCCACCTCGGCCTCCCAAAGCTCTGGGATTACAGGCGTGAGCCACCACACCCGGCCCTAACCAAGATTTTTAAAGGTAAAACTTATATACAGTGAGATGGAAGTATATAATTAGACGAGTTTTGACAAATGTAAACACCTATGTAGCCAACACCCACATCAAGAAATAGAACATTTTGGCTGGGCGCAGTGGCTCACGCCTGTAATCCCAGCACTTTGTGAGGTCGAGGCGGGTGGATCACCTGAGGTCGGGAATTGGAGACCAGCCTGACCAACATGGAGAAGCCCTGTCTCTACTAAAAATACAAAAAATTATCTGGGTGTGGTGACGGATGCCTGTAATCCCAGCTACTCTGGAGGCTGAGGCAGGAGACTCGCTTGAACCTGGGAGGCGGAGTTTGCAGTGAGCCGAGATCACGCCATTGCACTCCAGCCTGGGCAACAAGAGTGAAACTCCATCTCAAAAAAAGGAAAAAGAAATAGAATATTTTTATAACCCTCCAAAGTTCCCTCCTTCCAGTTCCCCTTCCAGTCAATCTCCACCATTTTATAGGCAACCAATGTTCTGATTTCTATCCCCACATATTAAATTTACCTATTCTTGAATCATATAGTATGCACACTTTTGTGTCTGACTTTTTCTGTTCAACATAAAGTTTTTCACATTTGTCCATGTTAATGTGTATACGAACCCAAGTCCTTTGATGCATATCTAGAGTTCTTTCCAACAAACCACAGCTACTAATTTGCTTATTCTTACATCATATCCTTTTTTTTTTTTTTTTTGCTTTGCTATTTGCATGAAATTTATTTTCTACTTCTTTTCTTTCTTTCCTTTTTTATTTTTTTTGGAGGTAGAGTCTTCCCTCTGTCCCCCAGGTTAGAGTGCAGTGGCAGGATCTCGGCTCGCTGCAACCTCTGCCTCCCGGGTTCAAGCAGTTCTTCTGCCTCAGCCTCCCAAGTCTCTTTTTAGTAGAGACGGGGGTTTCACCATGTTGGTCAGGTTGGTCTTGAACTCCTGGTTTCAAGTGATCCACCTGCTTCAGCCTCCCAAAGTGCTAGGATTACAGGCATGAGCCACTACACCCGGCCTGCCTCCCATTTCTAATATCCTAGATTTATTTATTTTTATTTTTTTTTTTATTTATTTATTTTTTTTTTTTGAGACGGAGTCTCGCTCTGTAGCCCAGGCTGGAGTGCAGTGGCGGGATCTCGGCTCACTGCAAGCTCCGCCTCCCGGGTTCACGCCATTCTCCTGCCTCAGCCTCCCAAGTAGCTGGGACTACAGGCGCCCGCCACTACGCCCGGCTAATTTTTTGTATTTTTAGTAGAGACGGGGTTTCACCGTTTTAGCCGGGATGGTCTCGATCTCCTGACCTCGTGATCCGCCCGCCTCGGCCTCCCAAAGTGCTGGGATTACAGGCGTGAGCCACCGCGCCCGGCCGATTTATTTATTTTTAAAATCTCTTTGAAGTTACAAAAGTAATACTTGCTCATTGCAACAGATTATTTTTTATTTTTTGAGACGAAGTCTTGCTCTGTCACCCAGGCTGGAGTGCAGTGGCATGATCTCTGCTCACTGCAACTTCCACCTGCC
The DNA here is from genome assembly GCF_000001405.40 of Homo sapiens. Classification (NCBI taxonomy): domain Eukaryota; kingdom Metazoa; phylum Chordata; class Mammalia; order Primates; family Hominidae; genus Homo; species Homo sapiens. Next base: position 27,477,464 of record NC_000001.11, on the reverse strand, counting down.
TGGTTCAAGTGATTCTTCTGCCTCAGCCTATCGAGTAGCTGGGATTGTAGGCATGTGTCAACACGCCCAGCTAATTTTTGTATTTTTAGTAGAGATGGGATTTCGCCATGTTGGCCAGGCTGGTGTTGGACTCCTGGCCTCACGTGATCTGCCAGCATCAGCCTCCCAAAGTGCTGGGATTACAGGCGTGAGCCACCGCGCCTGGCCTTAAAAAGACATTTAAAAAAAATCTGTACTCATATAGAAGCCCCTCTGGTCCCTTTGGTCTTCTGTGATATCTTTCTAGGCCTTCTCTATTTTACCTTTTTTGTGCTATGATGACTACAACTACACATTCTATTCTAGGTACAGGTACACTTTGGTTTGTACAAGGATAGGATAATATGTTCTGTGTTTCCAAAGCTTTCATAATGACAGCCAGTATTTTGTTGCCTTTTTGTAGCTGTATTCAGGGTACAGTCTAGGGACTTTGAAACCCCTTTCCTATGTTAAAACAGGTAGTTTTAGAGCTCATCGTTTGATAATTATAGTTTGAACTATTTTTCTGTCACTGAATTACCTTATTTTTGTCTACATGGAAGCTGTTTTTCACATTGCTGAACACACAGAGCCTTGCACCATTGTACTTCTATGTGTTGCTGTAGAGTCATCTGCAAACTGGGAAGATTTCACTATTGTTTTTTCTAGATAATTTCTAAAAATGTTAATTGTGGTACATTTCAGCCTTGATCCCTTGGGGACCCTTTGTTTATACATCTTTAGAGAAGGGACTGTGTCACAACTCTCTTATTTCTGTTTTTAAATGAATTCTCTGGGGGAAAAATAGTCTACTTATTTGCTCTTTTCAGAAGCCTCTGGAAGAGGTTTTTTTTTTTTTAAATTTTGTCCACTTAATTCTCATTATACCATGTGATGTAGTTTGAATATGTATCCTCTCTAAATCTCATGTTGAAATGTAATACCCAGTGTTGGAGATGGGGCCTGGTAGGAGGTGTTTGGGTCATGGGGGCAGGTCCCTCATGAATGGCTTGGGCCATCCCCTTGGTGATAAGTGAGCTCTCGCTCTGAGTTCACATGTGAAGTGCCTGCTTGCGCTTTTCCTTCTGCCATGAGTAAAAGCTTCCTGAAGCCTCCCCAGGAGCACATGCTGGCACTGTTTCCTGTACAGCCTGCAGAACTGTGAGCAGTGAAACCTCTTTGCCTATAAATTACCCAGTCTCAGATATTTCTTTATAGCAATGCAAGAATGGCCTAAGACACCATTTACCTTCTCATCAGATGTGTATATGTGTTACCTAAGGCCTCGTAAACAGTAGGTTTTCTGTAAGCCTTTGCTATATTAAACATTCAACAATAGGATAATGCCTAGTATTGGGTTATTAGTTTAACATTCAACAGATGTGTTAAGTGCCTACTGTGTGTCACGTACTACTAAGGATACAACTCAGTGATCTTGAGAAGAAACAAGGTGCATGCTCTCATGCAGTTTGGGAAGCCTTGGATAGACAGTAAAGACATAAATAAGGCTGGGTGTAGTGGCTCACGCCCACATGGGGAGGCGTGAGGCCAAGTATTTTGGGAGGCTAACGTAGGCAGATCACTTGAGCCCAGGAGTTTGAGACCAGCCTGGGTAACATGGTGAAACCCCATCCCTACAAAAAATACAAAAATTAGCTGGGTGTGATGGTGTGCACCTGTAGTACCAGCTGCTCAGGAGGCTGAAGTGGGAGGATCACTTGAACCCAGGAGGCAGAGGTTGCAATGAGCCAAGATTATGCCACTGCACTCCAGCCTGGGCAACAGAGGCAGACACTCTCTCAAACAAAACAGAACAAAACAAAAAGACATAAAAAGTTAAAGATTGTGATGTATGTTAGAAAATAAAATAGGGTGCTATAATAGAGAGTAATAGAGGAACTTAGATAAGGATGGTCAGGAAAGGCTTCTCTGAGAAGGTGATATACTGAAAGTGAAGAATGAAAATGAACCATTGAAATAGAGAAACGAGGGAAGAGAGTTCCAGGGAGAAGGAACTGTTGATGGCAGAAGCCCTGAATCAGGAAAATCCTTAGTGTATCCTGAGAGTGATGGAAGCCTACCATGGCTATGTATTAGTGAACGGTGGTAACAAAATATGTGATTGGAGAGATGGGTAGGAGCCAGATATTTCAAAGCTTTTTAGGACTGTTAAGGAGTTCTGTTTATTTATATTTTGAGACAAGGTCTTGCTCTGTTGCCCAGGCTAGTGGCACAGTCTTGGCTCGCTGCAGCTTTGAACTCCTGCCTCAGCCTCCTGCGTAACTGGGACTACAGTTACATAACACCACACCTGCCTAATTTTTAAATTTTATGTGTAGAGATTGCATCTCACTGTGTTGCCCAGGCTGGTCTTGAACCCCTGGCCTCAAGCAGTCCTCCTGCCTCAGCCTCCCAAAGTGGTGGGCTTTCAGATGTGAGCCACCACATCTGGCCAGGAGTTTTGTGTGTATTTTGTTTTGTTTTGTTTTGTTTTTGAGACAAGATCCCACTCTGTCACCTAGGCTGGAGTGCAGTGGTGCGATCATGGCTCACTGCAGCCTTAACCTCTGTGGCTCAAGTGATCCTCCCACCTCAGCCTCTTGGGTACTTGGGACTACAGATGCAGGTCACCATGCCAGGCTAATTGTTTTATTTTTTATTTTTATTTTTTTTTTGAGGCAGAGTCTCGCTCTGTTGCCCAAGCTGGAGGGCAGTGGCATGATCTCGGCTCACTGCAACCTCTGCCTCCTGGGTTTAGGCGCGATTCTCCTGCCTCAGCCTCCTGAGTAGCTGGGACTATAGGCTCATGCCACCATGCGCAGCTAATTTTTGTATTTTTAGTAGAGGCGGGGTTTCATCATGTTGGCCAGGATGGTCTCGATCTTGTGACCTCGTGATCCGCCCACCTCAGCCTCCCAAAGTGCTGGGATTAGAGGTGTGAGCCACCATGCCCAGCCTAATTGTTTTATTTTTTATGGAGATGGAGTCTCACTATGTTGCCTAGGCTATTCTTGAACTCCTGGGCTCAAGTGATCCTCAGCTTCAGCCTCCCAGAGTGCTGAGATTACAGGCGTGTGAGCTACTTTGCCTGGGTGTGTTTTATTTTTAAGTAAATGGGAAGTCTGGAAGAAGTGTTTTGTTTTTAAATTGAGGTGCTTGAAGATTTAAAAAAAAAACTTTTTAATGAAAAAATATCAAGCATACATGTAAGTAAAGAGAATGATGTAATGAACTCCTATGTATCTATCTCCTAGCCTCAACAAGTATCAACTCATGGCCATTACAACAGGTCTTTGAATAACATTATTTTGTTCACCTTCATTGCGTTATAATGTTGATGAGAAAAAAAATGTATTCCTGGCCGGGGCTACTGTCTGTGTAGTTTGCACGTTCTCCCCACATCTGTGTGGGCTTTCTCCAGTACTTTGGTTTCCCTCCAGGTACTCTGGTTTCCTCCCGCATCACAGAATTGTTCGTGTTTGATGAATTGGTGTCTCTAAATGGTCCCAGTCTGAGTGAGTGTGGGTGCGTGTGTGATTGATGGGATGGCATCCTGCCCAGAGTTGGTTCCCACCTTGCTCCCTGGGCTGTTGGGACAGGCTCCGGCCACCCATGACCCTGAACTGGAATAATTAGGTAAATACTTATCTTTCTTGTTTTTATTAATCTTTCTTAAATGTTTGTGTAGCTCACATTTGTTTCAGTGTTTAATATTGGAAGTGTTTTGGTCTTTCTTTAGAAGTTTGGTGATGTTTTTTGTGACCAGAAATATGCTATAGGAACTTAACTCTTGTTTACATTAGACTGTGGTAAAATTGGTTTTGTTATACATTGTTTTGCTTAAAATAGTAATATCCAAGAATCTATTGATGAGTTAAGTGAGGACTTACTGTGTTGTTTCTTCCAATACCCCTCTTTCCTCCTCTGTTACAATTTTTTCCATGATTAACAATGTAACTTTTTTTTTCTTTCTTTTTTTTTTTTTTTTTTTGGCCATGGAGTCTGGAGTCTTGCTCTGTTACCCAGGGTGGAGTGCAGTGGTGCAGTTTTGGCTCACTGCAACCTCAGCCTCCCGAGTAGCTGGGACTACAGGCACCTGCCACCACGCCCGGCTAATTTTTTGTATTTTTAGTAGAGACGGGGTTTCACCATGTTAGCCAGGATGGTCTTCATCTCCTGACCTCGTGATCCGCCCGCCTCGGCCTCTGAAAGTGCTGGAATTAGAGGCATGAGCCACCGCTCTTGGCCATTTATTGGCTATTTATATGTCTATTTAAATCTGTTGCTTCTTTTAAAATTGGGTTATTTGTCCTTTTATTGTATTTTAATAGTTCTTTATTCCGGATACAGGTTATCAGATAAATTATTTACAAAGATTTTCTCCCATTCTGTGGGTTGTCTTTTCACTTTTCATGATCATGCCCTATAAAGCACAATTTTTTTTGTTGTTTGTTTCCTTTTTTTTTTTTTTTTTTGAGACAAGGTCTTGCTGTGTCTCCCAGGCTGGAATGCAGTGGTGCCATCATGGCTCACTGCAGCCTTGAATTTCTGGGCTCAAGGGATCCTCCCACCTCAGCCTCCTAAGTAGCTAGGGCTACAGGCTCACATCTTCATGCCATACTAATTTTCTTCCTTTTTTTTTTTTTTTGGTAAAGATGGGGTCTTGCTTTGTTGCCCAGATTGGTCTTGAACTCCTGGCCTCAAGCAATCCTTGCCTTGGCCTCCCAAGGTGCTGGGGTTACAGGCATGAGCCACCCTGGCCTGATTTCCCCTTTTTTTTTTTTTTTTTTTTTTTTGGAGACGGGGTTTCACTGTGTCACCCAGGCTGGAGTGCTGGAGTGCTGGAGTGCAGTCGTGAAATCTCAGCTCACTGCAACCTCTGCCTCCTGGGCTCAAGCAGTCCTCCCATCTCAGCCTTCCAAGTGGCTGGAACTATAGGTGCTAGCCACCATGCCTGGCTAATTTTTGTATTTTTTGTAGAGATGGGATTTCACCATGTTGCCCAGGCTGGTCCTGAACTCCTGAGCTCAAGTGATCCACCTGCCTCAGCCTCCCAAAGTGCTAGGATCACAGGCTTGCATCACTGCACCCAGTTTTGATTTACATTTTTTTTTTTTTTTTTGAGTTGGCGTCTTGCTCTGGCACACAGGCTGGAGTGCAGTGGCGTGGTCTCAGCTTACCACCACATCAGTCTCCTGGGCTGAAGCAATTCTCCTGCCTCTCGAGTAGATGGGATTACAGGCACCCGCCACCATGCCCGGCTAATTTTTTTATTTTTAGTAGAGACAGGGTTTCACCATGTTGGGCAGGGTGGTCTCCATCTCCTGACCTCGTGATCTGCCCGCCTCTGCCTCTGAAAGTACCGCGATTACAGGCATAAGCCACCGCGCCTGGCCCTGATTTCCATTTTTAAAAGATTAATCCAGTTGCTACAAAGAGAGTGGATTATTTGGGGGCAGGACTTGATTGAGGTGGGTTGAACAGGCTACTGCAGAAATCTAGGCAGTGATGAAAGTTTGAACTACTAGGTAGGTCGCTAAAGAGATGGAGAGAAATGGATGTGTTTAGTATATATTTTGGAGGTAGAGCTGATAAGGCTTGTTGATGGGTTGAATTTGTGGGTCAAGGAAGAAGATAAGGATTGAACAGGCCTTCCTTCTGGACATTCTTCTCTTAGCTTTTATGACACAACATTGTTCTGGTTCTCTTTCTGCCTTCCTGATCCTCCTTTGTCAGTCCCTAAGTTGTCTCAGGCCTTGCTTCTCTTTTTTTTGCTTTTGTATTGAGAGGTCATCTACTCTTTGTGTGTGTGTGTGTTTGAGACAGGTTCTTGCGCTGTTGGCCAGGCTGCAGTACAGTGGCGCCATCTCGGCTTTCTGCAGCCTCAGCTTCCTGGGCTGAAGTGAGCCTCCCACCTCAGCCTCTCAAGTAGCTGGGACCACAGATGTACACCACCATGCCCAGCTAATTTTATTTTTTGTGGAGCCAAGGGTCTTGAACTCATGGACTCAAGCGATTCTTCCGTCACAGCTTCTCAGAGTGCTGGGATCACAGGTTTGAGGCTCTGTGCACAGCCTACTCTTTTTTTTTTTTTTTTTTTTTGAGACAGAGTCTCGCTCTGTCGCCCAGGCTGGAGTGCAGTGGCGGGATCTCGGCTCACTGCAAGCTCCGCCTCCCGGGTTCACGCCATTCTCCTGCCTCAGCCTCCCAAGTAGCTGGGACTACAGGCGCCCGCCACTACGCCCGGCTAATTTTTTGTATTTTTAGTAGAGATGGGGTTTCACTGTTTTTAGCCGGGATGGTCTCGATCTCCTGACCTCGTGATCCGCCCGCCTCGGCCTCCCAAAGTGCTGGGATTACAGGCGTGAGCCACCGCGCCCGGCCCACAGCCTACTCTTATGTCTTCTGTTACAACCTTCATGCAGTAACTGCCACATCTATATTTTTGCCTCTCAGCTCCAGTACCAGAATTCCTATTGGACCGCTTCACTGATATCCTACTTGCACCTCCAGCTTTTCATGAGCTGTCTGCTTTTGAGAACCTGTGGTCAGATTGTACAGGTTGTCTCCTCCTTGCTTGGGAGGCATGTTTACTGGTTTTAAGGATGGGTTTTATACCTTTTATGTAGGTTTTAATGATGAGTCCTTTGCTTTAGAGAAGTGCATTCCCAAGAAAATGCATAGCACTCCTGGGCAGCATTTTGTTCTTCAGAACCTTGTGAGGAACACAGGTTCAATGAGAAGGTTCAGCTTATCTCCTGCCCACCCCACTCCCCAGCCCCCCAAATCCCCTGACTTACTGCTCTTCATTTTGACTCACATATTTCTATTTATTTATTCAGTCAGTCAGTCATTTATTGAACACTATTCAGGGCTGGTATAGGTCTGCCAACATGCTAAACATTGGCCCCACCATTCTCCCAGTTCATCCAGTTGTAAAATCTTAGTTACTGTTGACTTCTCAACTCCTGCTTGTTTTCATGCCCAGACACTCTCAGATCCCTCCCTGTCTTTTCCTCCCACTACTGCATTTTAGGTCCTGTGTTACCTTTTGCCTTGATTATTTATCCTTATTTTCATCCCCCTCCCCAGCTCCATTCTTTTCTACTAAACTTAGGTGAGGTGTATAGTTTCTTCCTAAATATTCTATCATCTAGAACTCCAAATGTGTGACTCCCAATGCTTATTGACTAAAGTACAAACTCAGCCTGATATTTAAGATTCTGTGGTCTAGCCCCTACTTGTCTTTCCAGCTCTGTTTCCCACTACAGGCGCAATAATGCGCTCATCTTCATTTCCCAAAAATGTTTCATTATATTCTGCCTTTGTGCTTCTGCTGACACTGTCTGTACACTTCAGATATAATACTCCCTGTCACTACATGTCCAAATCCTGCCTATTTTTCATGCCCAGTTATATGACACTCTTCTATGATGGCTTCTGATATACTTAAAAACTACCTTGCTTATGATACTTAAACCGTAACTTCACCTTTTTTTTTTTGACACAGAGTCTCATTCTGTCGCCCACTCTGGAGTGTGGTGGTGCGATCTCTGCTCACTGCAACCTTTCTGCCTCTCGGGATCAAGTGATTCTCCTGCCTCAGCCTCCCGAGTAGCTGGGACTACAGGTGCACACCACCACACCTGGCTAATTTTTGTATTTTTAGTAGAGATGGGGTTTCACCATGTTGGCCAGGCTGGTCTCTAATTCCTGACCTCAGGTGATCTGCCAGCCTTGGCCTCCCGAAGTGCTGGGATTACAGACATGAGCCACTGCGCTTGGTCAACTTCATCACTTTTTACCTTGTTTTATGTTTAGGTACTTTTCTGATTTCTCCTATATGACTAAAGTCCTGAAACAGAAACTGGTTCTTGTATTTCTGTGCATCTTCTACAATGTTAGCGCCTTTGTGCTCAATAGTTACTCAATAAATATTTGCTGAATGTGATAATGTTGTAGTGTGTCCTGGAGGCGGTACACTAGATCGAATGATCTCTTGAAGTATTAGCCAACTCTGTGACTTATTTTCATACATTTTTGTAGATTCAAAAGCTACAAGAAGTTTTTATAGATAAACTTGTCTGCTCATCTCGTTCTTTAGAAAAGTATAGAAAATTTCAAACATATACAGATGTGGAGAGGGTGATATAGTGAGGCCTTACATGCCCAACACTCAGCTTCAACAATTATTAGCTCATGGTCAGTCTTGTTTCATCCATACCCCTATTCGTTCCCTCATCCCCCTTAGATCATTTTGAAACAAGTCCCAGACATCATATCATTTAAATGCTAATTTCTGTGTATAGCTGTAAAAAATAAAGAGACTGTTTTTAAAAAACATAACCACACTGCATCCTGTTAATGTTCAAATTTCCACAATTAATTTCTCTTTCTGCTCTCCCTTCATCCCTGCCACCCCTTCTCTCTGAACATTTGGTTTATTTGAATCAGGTTTCAGACAAGGTTGATACATTGATTTGGTTTACATAGCTTCTATGTCTCCTTTTTTTTTTTTTTTTTTTGAGACAGAGTCCCACTCTGTTGCCAGGCTGGAGTGCAGTGGCGCGATCTCAGCCCATTGCAACCTCCGCCTCCACCACGGCACCCAGCTAATTTTTGTATTCTTAGTAGAGACGGGGTTTCACCATGTTGGCCAGGCTGGTCTTGAACTCCTGACCTCAGGTGATCTACCCTCCTTGGCCTCCCAAAGTGCTGGGATTACAGGCGTGAACCACCGTGCCCGGCCTCTTTTACGTCTTTTTTAATCTACAGGTTCTCTCAGTTCTTTTTTTTTTTTCCCCGGAGACGGAGTTTCGCTCTTGTCGCCCAGGCTGGAGTGCAATGGCGCAATCTCGGCTCATTGTAACCTCTGTCCCCCAGGTTCAAATGATTCTCCTACCTCAGCCTCCTGAGTAGCTGGGATTGCAGGCATTAGCCACCACGACCAGCTAATTTTTGTATTTTTAGTAGAGACGGGATTTCACCATGTTGGTCAGGCTGGTCTCTAACTCCTGACCTCAGGTGATCCGCCTGCCTCGGCCTCCCAAAGTGCTGAGATTACAGGCGTGAGCCACTACGCCTGGTCAGTTCTTTTTTTCTCTGGTGTTTTTTTTTTGTTATTGCTGCTGTTGTTAAAGAAACAAAGTTGTGTAATTCTCCCGTTCTGGACTTTGCTAGTTGAATTTCTGTAATTCATTTATATTCCTCTATCCCTTTTATTCCCTATAAACTGGTTGTTAGATCTAGAGAGTGTTGTCTAACAGAAATATTCAAGCTTCTAATTAAATTTAAAATTTCAGCCTGGTCAACATGGTAAAACCCCATCTATACTAAAACAGAAAAATTAGCTGCTTGTGGTGGCATGTGCCTGTAATCCCATCTACTTGGGTGACTGAGACACGAGAATTGCTTTAACCCAGGAGGTGGAGGTTGCAGTGAGCTGAGATTGTGCTACTACACTCCAGACTGGGCGACAGAGTGAGACCCTGTCTCAAAAAAAAAAAAATTATTTGGCACATTAAAAAGATAAGAAGAAACAGGAAATTGCTCTGTCACCCAGGCTGGAGTGCAGTGGCGTGATCTCGATGTACTGCAACCTCCGCCTCCTGGGTTCAAGCGATTCTCCTGCCTCAGCCTCCCCAGTAGCTGGGACTACAGTCGCGTGCCACCACGCCTGGCTAGTTTTTTATATTTTTAGTAGAGATAGAGTCTCACCGTGTCAGCCAGGCTGGTCTCCATCTCCTGACCTCGTGATCCGCCCACCTCGGCCTCCTAAAGTGCTGGGATTACACGTGTGAGCCACTGCGCCCCCCGGAAATTCATTTTAATAATATACTTTATTTTGGCTAGGCGTGGTGGCTCACGCCTGTAATCCCAGCACTTTGGGAGGTCAAGGCGGGCGGATCACGAGGTCAGGAGATTGAGACCATCCTGGCTAACACGGTGAAATGCCGTCTCTACTAAAAAATCCAAAAAGTTAGCCGGGCGTGGTGGCAGGTGCCTGTAGTCCCAGCTACTCGGGAGGCTGAGGCAGGGGAATGGCATGAACCCGGGAGGCGGAGCTTGCAGTGAGCTGAGATTGCACCACTGCATTCCAGCCTGGACACCATCTCAAAAAAAAAAAACAGAAAACAAACAAACGAAAAACTTTATTTTACCCAATAGTTGCAAACTATTATTTTTTTCTTTGTGTGTGTGTGTGTGTGTTTTGGTTTTTTTTTTTTTTTTTGAGACAAGGTCTCACTCTGACACCCAGGCTGTAGTGCAGTGTGGCATTATCTCGACTCACTGCAACCTCCACTTCTCAGGCTCAAGTGACCCTCCCACCTCAGCTTCCCAAGTAGCTGGGACTATAGGCGTGCACCACCAACCCAGCTAATTTTTATATTTTTTATAGGGATGGGGTTTCTCCATGTTGCCCAGGCTGATCTCAAACTCCTGGGCTCAAACAATCTGCCTGCCCCGGTCTCCCAAAGTGCTAGGATTACCAGTGTGAGCCACCGCACCCCAGCCTGAAAAGTCTTATTATTTTAACATTAATATAATGACATATAATCAATAAAAAATTATTGTGATTTGTTTTTTTCTTGAGCTGAGCTCTCACTCTGTTTTTCAGGCTGGAGTACAGTGGCATGATTTCAGCTCATTGCAGCCTCAACCACCTGGGCTCCCACCTCAGCCTCCCAAGTAGCTAGGACTACAGGCATGCACCACCACACCCAGCTAACTTTTAAATTATTTGTAGAGACGGGCTTCATTATGTTGCCCAGGCTTATCTTGAACTCCTGGCCTCAAGCCATCCTCTCACCTCAGCTTCCCAAAGGCTGGAATTTCAGGTATGCACCACTGCGCCCAGCAGCATCCTTTTTTAATATTAAATCTTTGAAAGTTGGTGCTTTGCACTTACGGCACATATCGGTTTGGAGTGGCCCTGGTTTTGGTGCTCCATAGCTGCATGTATGCAGTGGCTCCTGTTGTGCAGTGCTCCTCTAGAGGCTTGAACTGAATCCGGTTGCTTTTTTGGCAATAATACTTCATAAGTGGTGGTGTATTATTCTGTGAGGAGGCTCATAATGTCCAGATGTCTCTTTTTCTGTTGTACGTGGTCATGGATGATGATTACCTAGATCCATGATTTCATTAAATGTGTGAAAAATGATTAGATTTTAATTCTATCATTCTTTTTTGTTGTTGTTTATCATCTGGAATACTTCAAAAAAGAAAAAGTTTACTTTATCAACTCTTTGGTTACCCTGGGGTTTGATATGTACAAGGAAGGCAAGGTAAATACTTAATTCATTCCCTTTATTCTTTCATTTACTAGTTTTCAAAATAATGAGTTGGTTTTCAGATATACTCCAGAGAGGACCAGTGACTTTTTAGGGTTTTTTAGGGCATGATCAGGAACTTTTAGGTGTTAACATATTTGATGTGTTTTAATCCATTGCAGTTATTCTTATTGATGTTAACTTTGTTTCATATTGGACCAGTGGGAAGTTCTTCAAGCTAGCTCCTGATTCCTTTTGACATAATTTCAGCAGTCTTTGATAGTGTTCCTTGCTTTCTAGCACGATAATGTGTTCCCAACTCATCTTGTACATTTTCTGCCCTTTCCCCTAAGCTCTGGATCCTCTTATTGCGATATTGTGTTTAGAGACCACATTATTAGCTCCCTCATTTTGTAAAAGAGGCAGCTGAAGGCAAGAGAAGTTGAGTGATTTAACTAAGGTAGCACAGATTTAGTACCGTAATCTGCCCTAGAACCGTAGCCTTCCTTAGCCATTGCCATTTTGTCTTGCTTCCTCTGCCTAGTCTCTAGGACAGGTGGTTTAACTACATTTTAGCTTATACTGTAGGGGTCATCAGGGGAAGATAGGTTTTGTGGGTCATCATGGAGGTAGTATTAAACCTCATTAATTTGGGCTAATTGGGGGAAAACCTAGTGAGAGTGTTGTAGGTTATTTTTCTTTAGATGCAGCTGTTACTTTGAGTTCATACAGTAATTGAAACTAGGCTAATAGTGTTACCAGGTTATTTTGTTAGATAGAGATCCTTGTACCTGGTTTAATGAATAGCTGAGAATGGTGTGCAAATTAACTTTAATTGTATGTAAATTAGACTTGAAATGCTTAAAAACAGCTCATTAAACATTTCTCCCTGCAATCTTATTTACACTGTTTTCTTAGTCTTTATTAGAGTGCAGAGGTAAACTTCAGCTCAGTTCTGAATATATCTCAACTTTCATGTGTGGAGTCTATATTAATAAAGTGTGGCTGTAGCGTTCAGAGAATTTTAGAAAGATATTTGAGAAGTAAAGAGGAACAGCATCTGAAAGTCAGACATCTGGCAGTCTCAGCCAGTCAGAATGTGTTTCCTTGCGTCTTTAAAAGTAAGCTGTTTTTCTCCTGCTGCTTTCGGAAATAAAAAATAAAAGTAAAGGCTGTAATCCCAGCACTTTGGGAGGCCAAGGCGGGTGGATCACAAAGTCAGGAGTTCAAGACCAGCCTGGCCAACATGGTGAAACCCTGTCTCTACTAAAAATACAATAATTAGCCGGGCGTGGTGGCACGCGCCTGTAATCCCAGCTACTTGGGAAGCTGAGGCAGGAGAATTGCTTGAACCCAGGAGGCACAGGTTGCAGTAAGCCAAGATCGTGCCACTGCACTCCAGTCTGGGCGACAGAGCGAGACTCTGTCTCAAAATGAATAAACAAATAAATAAATATAAAAGTAAGCTGGAAGTGCTTCTAAGTGGTAAAGATTGTTCATTTTACTTCAACAGTAGCATCAGCTCAGGACCTCACTCAGATAATTGTGTATATTGACACACAGAGGACCCAGGTGTATGAGGGCTGACTGTGTGGCCTATTGACTCTGTGGCCCAAAGTGTCATTTGACCTCTTTGAGCTTTAATTTATTTGTCTATAATTAGGTAGTTAAAATTGGGAGTAGTAATATATGTTTTTTTTTAACCTCACAGACTAATTGTAAGATTCATATCAGCTAATTAATCAAATGATATTTATTGAATTAATGAAAGATATGAAAGTACTTTTTTTTTTGAGACCGTTTTCCTCTTTTGCCCAGGCTAGAGTGCAATGGTGTGATCTTGGCTCACTGTAACCTAACCTCTACCTCCTGGGTTCAAATGATTCTCCTGCCTTAGCCTCCTGAATAGCTGGGATTACAGGCACCCACCACCATGCCCAGCTAATTTTTTTTATTTTTAGTAGAGATGGGGTTTCACCATGTTGGTCAGGTTGGTCTCTAACTGCTGACCTCAGGCAATCCACCCGCCTCGGCCTCCCAAAGTGCTTGGATTACATGCGTGAGTCACCATGCCCAGCTGAAAGTACTGTTTAAACTAGAAGCTTTGTATGACCAAAATTATTATTAGAATAATATAGATGAGGCTGGGAGGCTGAGGTGGGCGGATCACCTGAGGTCAGGAGTTCCAGACCAGCCTGACCAACATGGAGAAACCCTGTCTCTACTAAGAATACATAATTAGCCGGGCGTGGTGGCACATGCCTTTAATCCCAGCTAACTCGGGAGGCTGAGGTTGCGGTGAGCCAAGATCCTGCCATTGTACTCCAGCCTGGGCAACAAGAGTGAAACTCTGTCTCAAAAAAAAAAAAAAATAATAATAATAATATAAAGGAGGCATGTTAATATATACTAATGATCAGAAGCAGGACAGCAGACAAGAGATTCAAGTTGTCTGTCCAGAACTTTGCAGACATTTTACTATATAGGCATATGTAAACCTCACACCTCAGGTGCCTCTGACAGTATCATAGTTTTTTTTTTTTTTTTTTTTTTTGAGACAGAGTCTCACTCTGTCGCCCAGGCTAGAGTGCAGTGGCGCTATCTCGGCTCACTGCAAGCTCCACCTCCCGGGCTAACTCCATTCTCCTGCCTCAGCCTCCTGAGTAGCTGGGACTACAGGCACCCGCCACCACTCGGCTGATTTTTTGTATTTTTTCTAGAGACGGGGTTTTACCGTGTTAGCCAGGATGGTCTCGATTTCCTGACCTCAAGATCCGCCTGCCTCAGCCTCCCAAAGTGCTGGGATTACAGGTGTCACCGCATCCGGCCAGTATCACAGTTTTATAGCAGTACCACTGCAGATGTGAAGACCCTGAGTTTCTAAGAAAAAGTTAAAATATCTATAATATATTCTGTTCAGAAAATAATTGATATGCACAATATATTTTACAGATTTTCATTAAAATACCTTCAAAAAGCATAGTCTCTAAATAATTATTTCCATTATCTGACAGTTTTACCTTATATGAAGTCTGCCATTCTCTAAAAGCAGCTAACGGCCAGGCATAGTGGCCCATGCCTGTACTTCCAGCAATTTGGGAGGTCCAGGCAGGCGGATCACTTGAGGTCAGGAGTTCAAGACCAGCCTGGCCAACATGGTGAAATCCTGTCACTACTAAAAATACTAAAATTAGCCAGGCATGGTGGCGCGCACCTGTAATCCCAGCTACTTGGGAGGCTGAGGCACAAGAAATGCTTGAACGCAGGAGGCGAAGGTTGCCGTGAGTCTAGATCGCACCATTGCGACAGAGTGAGACTCCATCTAAAAAAAAAAATTAAAATAATAAAAATAAAAGCAGCTAACACCTGCACTGAATATCAGCAACTGTTCTAAATTCCTTATTATATTTACTCTTTCATTTTTCTCAATAATCTTATGAAGTAGGTGCTATTATTAATCTCCAATTTATAGATGGGGAAACTGATATACAGAGAGGTTAAGAAATCTACCCAAGATTCTTTATTGGGATTCTGGGTTGAGGGAAAAATTTTCCATAAAGAGCATTAGTAGGGAAGGGTATGGTGGCTCATGCCTGTCATACCAGCTCTTTGGAAGGCCAAGATGGGAGGATCGCTTGAGCCCAGGAATTTGAGACCAGCCTGGGCAACATAGAGAGACCCCATCTCTCTCTCTCTTTTTTTGTTTTTCTTCAAGAGCATTAGTGAGACAACGGGTAAAAGATACGAACTTTACATTAGATAATAATAGTGTGTTATTGTTAAATTTCCTAATGTGATAATTGAACTGTAGTTTGTTTTTAGAAAATAACCCATTGAAGTATTTGGAGAAAGGACATGATGTCTACAACCTATTATCAAATGGTTAAAAAATTAATAATAGGGCCAGGCACGGTGGCTCACACCTGTAATTCCAGCACTTTGGGAGGCCAAGGTGGGCAGATCACGAGGTCAAGAGTTTGAGACCAGCCTGGCCAGCATGGAGAAACCCCATCTCTATTAAAAATACAAAAATTCGCCGGGAACGGTGGCATGTGCCTTTAGTCCCAGCTACTTGGGAGGCTGAGGCAGGAGAATTGCTTCAACCTGGCAGGCAGAGGTTGCAGTGATCCGAGATCGCACCACTGCACTCCAGCCTGGGTGACAGAGCGAGACTCCATCTCAAAAAAAAAAAAAAAAAGTAATAAAATAGTGAGTGGCCGTGTGTGGTAGCTCAGACCTGTAATCTCCACACTTTGGGAGGCCAAGGTGGGAGGATCACTTGATCCCAAGAGTTTGAGACTGCCTGGGCAACATGGTGAAACCCTGTCTCTACCAAAAATACAAAAAATAACCAGGCCTATTGGTGTGTACCTGTAGTCCCAGCTACTTGAAAGGCTGAGGTGGGCCAGGCGCGGTGGCTCACGCCTGTAATCCCAGCACTTTGGGAGGCCGAGGCGGGTGGATTACGAGGTCAGGAGATCGAGACCATCCTGGCTAACACGGTGAAACCCCGACTCTACGAAAAATAAGAAATTTAAAAAAAAAAATTAGCTGGGCGTGGTGGCGGGCGCCTGTAGTCCCAGCTGCTCGGGAGGCTGAGGCAGGAGAATGGAGTGAGCCCGGGAGGCGGAGCTTGCAGTGAGCCAAGATCCGTCGTCACTGCACTCCAGCCGGGGAGACAGAGCGAGACTCCGTCTCAAAAAAAAAAAAAAAAAATGCTGAAGTGGGAGGATCGCCTGAGCCTGGGAGGTCAAGGCTGTATTGAGTCATGGTAGCGCCACTGCACTCCAGCCTGGGCGACAGAGTGAGACCCTGTCTTAATTAATTCATTAATTAATTAATTCTGTGTGTGTATGTGAATGTGTGTGGAGAGATGTGTAAAGTAAATGTGGCAAAATGTTAGCAGTTAGTGAACCTAAGTGAAGGGTATATGAGAATTCTTTGTAATATTCTTGCAACTTTTCTCCAAGTTTGCAATTATTTCAAAATAAAAAGTAAAAACCTTTTTTTTGTTGTTTGTTTTTGTGTTTTGAGACGGAGTCTTGCTCTGTCACCCAGGCTGGAGTGCAGTGGCGTGATCTCTGCTCCCTGCAAGCTCCGCCTCCCGGGTTCACGCCATTCTCCTGCCTCAGCCTGCCGAGTAGTTGGGACTACAGGCGCCCACAAACACCCCCAGATAATTTTTTGTATATTTAATAGAGACGGGATTTCAGAGTTTCACTGTGTTAGCCAGGATGGTCTCGATCTCCTGACCTCGTAATCCACCCACCTCGGCCTCCCAAAGTGCTGGGATTACAGGCGTGAGCCACTGCGCCTGGCCAAAAACTTTTCTAAGGTTATACAGCTGAAGAGTATATTTAGCAGAGCTGAGATTTGAACCCAGGTCATTTGGTTTCAGAATTCATGTTCTGAATTATAGGACTATTTTGCTCTATTCACAGTGTTAGATAAATGAGGTATATCTGTACTCCATTTTGGCTATGGGACTATGATTGGACGCTGAACATGGGGCTATGTTAATAGCTCTGCCTCCTGGTTCTTCAAGGATAGGGTGATCATATAATGTGTAAACTGGTTCACTTTTAAGAGTGAGAGAAAATACTTTTAATAATCACTCTGGGATGATTGATGTAAACCAAGGTGAATGGACACCCTGAAAGGATACCTCTTGGCAGAGTTTAGTTTTCACAAATGTGACAGGACATGATAATTGCTTCATTATAATTGAATCTTGTTTACCATGGATTCTTATTTACATAATACAGGTGCATTTTTTCTTTCGCCAACAGAACTCAGGCCTTTACCTGATTCATTTTCATATTCTCTCGATTTTGCTAATTCTTTTACTTCCCTCCAGACCACTCAGGAAATATTCTTTGTCAAACTTCATTTCCTCCAAGTCTGAAAAATACCAGCAGGAATTTCTATAACACTTGTCCCATTAAAAAAAAAATTGGCATTTAAAACCATAAATCCCAAAATATCTTTATTAACAGGATTTCTACAAGGAGAGGAGCTGGTAAATGCATCTGCATTACTGGACTGGCAGAGAAATATTACTGTCATCAACTTCCTATAGATACTTGGAAATAACCTTATTGTATGGTACTAGAGGCTGTGTTAATGTTTGTTAAAAAGGATTATACCAGTCTAGAATCAAAGCATATGTGTTATCTCATTGATCTGTTATACTTATTTGCAGTAACACTGTTCTGAAGCTGCGTCCAATTAGAGGTTGTCCTTCATTGATAGAGGGCTAGTATTTGTAGTCAAATCGCTAAACTTTCAAAATTATTCTAATAGAATCTATTGTGGATTTTTAAAGATCAAACTACCTTTTTGCTTCCTTATACAGTATGTATTTAACCAAGTATGTATCCACTAGGGTGATAGGGGGTGGGACAGGCAAGGACACTGAAATTTATATCAGATAGCCTTCCTACCAGTTAACTACTGTGGTATAAAGTTTGGAGGAAGAATGGATAAAACACATGTGAACATAAGTTTTTTTTAAACCACTAAAATGACTTTCCCCTTAAATTATGAGATGTACTTTTATAGTAATAATAGTCTTGATTACATTTTTATTTTTTAAAAATAATGTATATTTTATAGTTCAAAGCTGTTTAAATTTCCTATTCTTGGTGGCTGTTTTCTTTAAATTCAGTGAATTCCTATATTTAAAAGGATAGATGTTTTATTTATGTCAGATTTATGAATGTGGCCCAGCAGGATGGCTCAATGCCTGTAAATCCTAGCACTTTAGGAGGCTGGATCACTTGAGCTCAGGAGTTGGAGACCAGCCTGGATAACATAGCCAGACCTTGTCCCTACTAAAAATTTTAAAAATTAGCCAGGTATGATGGCACATACCCATATTCCTAGCTACTTGGGAGGCTGAGGCAGGAGGATCACTTGAGTCCGAGAGATTGAAGCTACAGTGAGGTATGATCACACCACTGCACTGCAGACTGCATGACAGGCACGGCCAGGTCTCAACAACAACAAAAAATTCACAAATGAGAATGGCCTCTGAAACTTTTTTTTTTTTTTAGATGGAGTCTCGCTCTTGTTGCCCAGTGGAGTGCAATGGTGTGATCTCGGCTCACTGCAACCTCCGCTTCCTGGGTTGAAGTGATTCCCCTTCCTCAGCCTCCTGAGTAGCTGGGATTACAGGCGCCTGCCACCTCACCTGGCTAATTTTTGTATTTTTAGTAGAGACAGGGTTTTACCATGTTGGCCAGGCTGGTCTCAAACTCCTGACTTCAGGTGATCCGCCTGCCTCAGCCTCCCAAAGTGCTAGGATTACAGGCATGAGCCTCTGCGCTCGGCTGCCAATTTTTACAATTTTTTAAAAAAAATTTTTTAATTTTTTATTTTTTTTGAGGCAGAATCTCGCTCTGTCACCGAGGCTGGAGTGCAGAGGCGTGATCTCGGCTCACTGCAACCTCCACCTCCCAGTTTCAAGCAATTCTCCTGCCTCAGCACCCCGTGCAGCTGGGATTACAGGCATGCACCACCACGCCCAACTAATTTTTGTATTTTTAGTAGACGGTTTTTCACCATGTTGGCCAGGCTGGTCTCAAACTCCTGGCCTCAAGTGATCCACCTGCTTTGATCTCCCAAAGCACTGGAATTACAGTGAGCCACTGCCCCCGACCTAATTTTTACTTAATTTTTAAAAATCTTTATTTTTGAGGAAAACTACAAATATTTGTTATCTTTAACTGGGATCAACCATGCATTAATGAAAATGAACTATTAAAATAATAAAATAAATACCTATTTGCCTTGAATTACCAATTTTATGTTTTTTATTTGACATAGGAAATCAACAAGGCCTTTTTTTTTTTTTTTTTTTTTTTTTTAAGAATCTCGCTCTGTCACCCAGGCTGGAGGGCAGTGACGCGATCTTGGCTCATTGCAACCTCCGCCGCCCGAGTTTAAGCACTTCTCCTGCCTCAGCCTCCCAAGGAGCTGGGACTACAGGTGCAGGCCACCATGCCTGGCTAATTTTTTTTTGTATTTTAGTAGCGACAGAGTTTCGCTGTGTTACCCAAGCTGGTCACGAACTCCTGAGCTCAGGCAATCCGCCTGTCTCGGCCTCCCAAAGTGCTGGGATTACAGGCATGAGCCACCGCGCCCAGCCAACAAATACTTTTGACAACACAGTGTGTGCAAAAGACACAATCTCCTGTCCAAAAGAAACCTATATTCTGAGAACACAGAGATACGTTAAAATATTGAAATATTAGGCTGGGTGTGGTGGCTTATGCCTGTAACCCTAGCACTTTGGGAGGTAAAGGTGGGAGGATTGCTTGAGGCCCAGGAATTTGAGACCAGCCTGGGCAAAATAGTGATACCTAATTTCTACAAAAATTTTTAAAAATTAGCCAGGAGAGGTAGCTCACACCTATAGTCTTAACTACTCAGGAGGCTGAGGCAAGAGGGTCACTTGAGCCCAGGAGTTTGAGGCTGCAGTGAGCTATGATTAAGCCACAGCCCTCTAGCCTGGGCAACAGAGTAAGACCCCGTCTCTTAAAAAAAAAAAAAAAGGTCACAATATTGTTGAATCCCAGATCTTTATGTCTGGATTATACTCTGCCATTATTCCATTCTTCCATTCTTCTATCCGTTTTGTCTTAATAACAATAATTTTTACTAATCCACCTCCTGGGCCCAAGTGATCCTCCCACCTTAGTCTGCTGAGTAGCTGGGACTACAGGCGTCAGCCACCATGCCTGACTAAGTTTTGTAAGTTTTTGTAGAGGCAGAGTTATATCATGTTGTCCAGGCTGGTCTTGAACTCCTGAGCTCAGGGGATCCACCTGCCTCAGCCTCCCAAAGTGCTAGGATTATAGGCATGAGCCACTGCTCCCGACCCTACTAATCAATTTAATAAATACTGTGCCAGTTAATTTGAGGACTTACATAAAAATGGACAAGCTCCTAGGAAAAGATAACTTACCAAGATGATGTAAGAAAAAAATAGAAAACCTGGTCTGACGTGGTGGCTCATGCCTATAATCCCAGCACATTCGGAGGCCGAGGCAGGTGGATCACTTGAGTTCAGGAGTTCAAGATCAGCCTAGCCAATATGGTGAAACACCCCATCTCTACTAGAAAAAAATACAGGCAGGACCCGGTGGCTCACGCCTGTAAATCCCAGCACTTTGGGGGGCCGAGACGGGCAGATCACCTGAGGTCAGGAGTTTGAGACCAGCCTGGCCAACATGACAAAACACCATCTCTACTAAAAATACAAAAAAAATTGCCGGGCGTGGCGGCGGACGGACGCCTATATTCCCAGCTACTTGGGAGGCTGAGGCAGGAGAATCACTTGAACCCGTGAGGCGGAGGTTGCAGTGGAGCTGAGATCGCACCATTGCATTCCAGCCTGGGTGACAGAATGAGACTCTGTCTCCAAAAAAAAAAAAAAAAAAGAGAAAACCTTTAACTATTAAATAAATGGAAGTTTTACTTAACTTCTTCCAGAGGAAAGCACCATGACCAAATTATGTATTTATTTATTTATTCCTAACCACTAGGGAATATCCAAATAATTTTCCAGTTAAATTTGATCACTTTCAAGATACAGCCTATAGTTTTAAAATCAGTTCTAAATTTCACTTTCCATGTTGTTGTCCCCTACATTAAAATGGTGAACTATGGTTTACATTTTTACTTCCTGGCCTATCTGATATGGACCTCTACTAAGGGGACCCAGTTGTCCTGTTTTCTTTTTCATTAGCTCCTACTCCTTATCTCCTTCCTTGCTTTTTCTCTGATTTTTTTTCTTCATAGTCTGCAAGAGTCAGAAAGAACCTTTCCATTGTTGTTTTTTTTTTTTTTTTTTTTTTAGAGTCTCGCTCTGTAGCCCAGGATAGAGTGCAGTGGTGCAGTCTCAGCCCACTGCAAGCTCTGCCTCCTGGGTTCACGCCATTCTCCTGCCTCAGCCTCCCGAGTAGCTGGGACTACAGGTGCCCGCCACCACGCCTGGCTAATTTTTTGTATTTTTAGTAGCGATGGGGTTTTATTGTGTTAGCCAGGATGGTCTCGATCTTCTGACCTCGTGATCCGCCTGCCTCGGCCTCCCAAAGTGCTGGGATTACAGGTGTGAGCCACTGCACCCATCCTAACCTTTTCACTGTTTAGAGATTTGTTTCCCAGTAGATTTATGTTCATCTTTCTGTCCATTTATCAGGAATTTTATGAAGATTTGATGAGTGACAGAAGGGCTGCTTAGCACCACAGGATTTAAAAGATAGTACCTTCCCTCAAAGAGCTCACAGTCTTCGTGTTCCAACTGTAATATGGGATGGATTCTATAATAAAGTAATAATAGAGTTCTCTTGGAGTAGATGAAAGCTTGATTAATTTTTTCTGGGGAATGGGGTCAGGATAGCTTCATGGAAGCAATTACACTTGAACTGGGCCGGGAAGCGTTAATCACATTCTAAGAAGCAGGAAAAAAACAAAAAGGTAAGTAATCCAGGAAGTGGCAAATGTCTTGAGTGAAATCACAGAGACATTGGAGTGCAGGGCTTCTGTGGTGAGCAGTGAGTGGCTGCAGGCTAGAGCATTGGAAAGGTGTGGCCAGAGATGAGGCTAAACAAGTATGTTCGTGTCAGTTAGTGAAGGGCCTTAAATAACACATTCTCTCTGATCATTCCTAGTCTGATTTTTCTCAGTCTCGGCCCTTCTCACATCCCTAACCCACCCCCAATTCTCAGATAAAAATTTTCAGGTTTCCTGCTATGTCATGTGTTGATATATGCCAGAGATTTGGTCATACAGTTTTACCTTAGTGCTGAAAGAGACCAGACTTCATCTGGTTAATTATTAGGAGGCAGCTGCTGGCACATACTCTAGCCATTCCAGACTTTCATGGAGAGAGCTTGATCTCAGTGTTTTGGAAAAACAAAAAGTAACTCCTTCCTATGAAAAGGGGTGGGGTGCTCAGCCTCATCAGTAATCGGAGGAATGCAAATTAAAACTGCAGTGATATATTGGTTTTATGTTCATCAGATTGGTAAAAATTAAAGTCTGACAAAAAATGTTGGGAAGGATGTGAAGCAACTAGAACTCTGCAAGCAGAAGTGTAAATGAGCACAACCATTTTGGAAAAACAATTTGGTATTGTCTCATAATTAAAGATGTACATGCCCTGTGACCCAGAAATTCCACTCCTGGGTATTTACCCTAAAGAACTTTACATATGTGGACCAGGAGACATGTACAAAAACATCCATAGCAACACTGTTGACAATAGCAAAACAAACTAACAGAAAATTCAAACTGGAGAAAAAATCCCAATGTCGATCAACTTGAGATTGGATAAGTTAATCATGATATGTTCCTACAATAGAATACTATATAGCAGTGAAAAAGTAAATCGCAGCTATAGCAACATAAACTAATCTCAAGAACAAAAAGTTGCAGAAGGGTATATACGTTAATATTAGAAATAAAAAAATCAGGTCAAGACCAACCTGGGCAATATAGTGAGACACTGTCTCTACAAAAAAATTTTAAAAGTGGCTGGGCGCAGTAGTTCATGCCTGTAATCCCAGCCTTTTGGGAGGCCAAGGCGGGAGGATCCCTTGAGCCCAGTAGTTCGAGACCACCCTGGACAACGTAAGAAGACCCTGTCTCTACAAAAAATTTAAAAACTAGCTGGGCATTGGTGGTGCCTGCCTGTGGTCCCAGCTACTTGGGAGGATCTCTTGAGCCCAGGAGTTTGAGGCTGCAGTGATCTGTAATTGCACCACTGCACTTCACCGTGAACAACAGGAAAACAGTCTCAAAAAAAAAAAAAATTAGTTGGGCATGGTGGCACACGCTTGTGGTCCCAGCTACTCAGGAGGCTGAAGTAGGAGGATTGCCTGAGCCCAGGAGTTACAGGTTACAAAGAGTGATCATGCACTGCATTCCAGTCTGGACAACAAAGTAAGACCCTGTATCTTTAAAAAAAAAAAAAAAAAAAAAATATATATATATATATATATATATATATATATATACACACACACACACACACATATATATATACACACATATATATACACATATATATGTATATATATTAGAGTCATATGAAGTTCTAGAATGTGACACTAAACAATATAACATTTAGAGATAGAAATGTGATAAAACTATAAAGTAAAGGAAATGGTAAACACACGTCACACGTTTAAGATAGTTATTTCAGGATAAGGAAAGGAGATGGCTTTGGGAGAGTATGCAGGGGGCTTTAAGGCTAATAGTAATATTCTTTTTTGTTTTTTTGAGACAGAGTCTTGGTCTGTTGCCCAGGCTGGAGTGCAGTGGCGTGATCCCAGCTCACTGCAACCTCTGCCTCCCAGGTTCAAGCATCCTTCTGCCTTAGCCCCCCAGTAGCTGGGATTACAGGCATGTGCCACCATGCCTGGCTAGTTTTTGTATTTTTAATAGAGACTGGGTTTTGCCATGTTGGCCAGGCTGGTCTTAATCTCCTGACTTCATGATCCTTCTGCCTTGGCCTCCCAAAGTGCTAGGATTACAGGCGTGAGCCACCGCGCTTGGCCCTTTTTTTTTTTTTTTTTTGAGACAGAGTCTTGCTCTGTCACCCAGGTTGGAGTGCAGTGGAGTGATCTCCACTCACGGCAACCTCTGCCTCCTGGGTTCAAGAAATTCTCCTGCTTCAGCCTCCTGAGTAGCTGGGATTACAGGCGTCCACCACCACACCTGGCTAATTTTTGTATTTTTAGTGGACACAGGGTTTCATCATTTTGCCCAGGCTGGTCTCAAACTGCTGACCTCAAGTGATCCACCCACCTCAGCCTCCCAAAGTGCTGGGATTATAGGCGTGAGCCACCACTCCCGGCAGTATTCTTCTTAAACTGGGTGATAGATACACTGACATTTGCTATGTCATGATTCTTTAGAGTTTACATATATTTTTAATTTTTAAAATTTTTATTTTAATTTTTTGAGATGGAGTCCCATTCTGTCACTCAGGCTGGAGTGCAGTGGTGTGATCTCAGCTCACTGCAACCTGCCTCGTGGGTTCAAGCAATTCTCCTGCCTCAGCCTGCTGAGTAGCTGAGACTGCAGCTGTGTAACACAACACCTGGGTAATTTTTTGTATTTTTAGTAGTGATGGGGTTTCACCATGTTGACCAGGCTGGTCTCAAGCTCCTGACTTCAGGTGATCCACCCACCTCAGCCTCCCAAAGTGCTGGGATTACAGGCGTGAGCCACCGTGCCTGGCAATATTCTTCTTAAACAGTGATAGATACACTGACATTTGCTATATCATGAGTCTTTAGAGTTTACATATATTTTTAATTTTTAAATTTTTGTTTTTATTTTAATTTTTTGAGATGGAGTCCCACTCTATCACTCAGGCTGGAGTGCGGTGGTGTGATCTCAGCTCACTGCAACCTGCCTCCTAGGTTCAAGCAATTCTCCTGCCTCAGCCTGCTGAGTAGCTGAGACTACAGGTGTGTGACACCATGCCTGGGTAATTTTTTGTATTTTTAGTAGAGATGGGGTTTCACCATGTTGGCCAGGCTGGTCTCGAACTCCTGACCTCAGGTGATCCACCCACCTCAGCCTCCCAAAGTGCTGGGATTACAGGCACGAGCCACCGCGTCTGGCCTATTTATTCATTTATTTATTTATTTTAGACAGTCTCACTCTGTCACCAGGCTGGAGTGCAGTGGCACGATCTCAGCTCACTGCAACCTCTGCCTCCCTGGTTCAAGCGATTCTCCTGCCTCAGTTTCCCAAGTAGTTGGGACTACAGGTGCGCACCACCACGCCCAGCTAATTTTTGTATTTTTAGTAGAGATGGGTTTTCACCATGTTGGCCAAGATGGTCTTGATCTTTTGACCTCGTGATCCACCCGCCTTGGTCTCCCAAAGTGTTGGGATTACAGGCGTGAGCCACGGCGCGCAGCCTGCGTCTGGCCTATTTTTTTAAAAACTATATCTCTAAATAATTTTAAAGCATTAAGAAAAGATTGCTGACACTTGATCTAGCCTAGTGTTCTCCCTAGTTCTTCTTTTGCAAATAAACACATTTTTCAAAAAGTAAAAACTGAGGCTCAGAGAAATTAAATACAGTGGTCTCCTGCCTTATCCAGTTTCAGTTACCTGTGTTCCACTCTGGTTCAAAAACAGGTGAATACAGTGCAGTAAGATGTTTTGAGAGACCACATTCACTTAACTTTTACTAATATTACTGTAATTGTTCTATTACTGTTCTTAATGTCTTACTGTGCCTAATTTATAAATTAAACTTTATCATATGTATGTATAGAAAAAAATACACCTCAGTACTATCTGCAGTTTTAGGCGTCATCTGAGGGTATTGGAACTATGTTCTGAGGATAAGGGGTGACTACTGTAATTTAATTGTTCAAGGAAGAAAGTGTACCTGGTCTTTCAAACCCAGTATAGCACACTTTGTAGCATCCTGTTTTGCAACTCTCCTGTTCTGTAGATTCTGTCAATTAGAAATGCTTCCACTTGGACTTCTGCCTTAGTCTTTCACTCCCTCATGTAGTACATTCTCCATACTGCTGCCAGAGAGAGCTTTCTAAATGCAAATCTGATCATGTCACTCTCTGGCCTCAATCTTAAATAGCTCCCTATAGCTTTTAGCACACTCTGTTAAGTGCTGTAGCCCGGCATACAAGGCTCTCTGTGCCTCAGCTTTTGTCTGCCTTATTAGTCTCATCACTCATGACTTCCTGCACTTCAGCCACATAAGCCATTTACTGTTCCTGGAACACTGTTTTTGCCTCTGCATATGCTACTCCCTCCACCTGGAAGTTCTTAACTAGCTTTATTTGTCCTTTA
The DNA here is from genome assembly GCF_000001405.40 of Homo sapiens. Lineage (NCBI taxonomy): Eukaryota > Metazoa > Chordata > Mammalia > Primates > Hominidae > Homo > Homo sapiens. The sequence continues at coordinate 27,451,329 of NC_000001.11, read as the reverse complement.
AGACACCTTTTCTTAACTGACTGCCCCTCTTTGCCCCAACTTGAGCTGGATACTTCCATTATACCTTGAACTTAACATTTGTAGTCACACTTACCAGAGTATTATTGTCCCCTTTATTTATATCTCCAGGAGCTTGCAAGCTCTGTGAGGGCAGAGGAAGTATTAAATTAATATCCTAAGTGTGTGGCACAGTGCCTGGTATATAAGTTTCACTGAATGAACAAATAATTGTATATTACTTTATACAAAGACAATATATATGTATGCTTTTTTTTTTCTTTTTAAGAGATGGGATCTCACTATGTTGCCTAGGCTGGCCTCAAATTCCTGGGCCCAAGTGATCCTCCTGCCTTGGCCTCCCAAAGTGTTGAGATTACAGGTGTGAGCCACCATGCCTGGCTCCATATATATTTCATAGTTGTCATTTGTGTGCCAGATTTTCACCAGCTCTACCCATATTTATTGAGGAAAGAAATGAAGAAGGGAGGGAAGGGAGGAGAAGGGAAGGGAACAGAAAAGAAGGGAGAAGGAGGCTGGGTGCGATGGCTCACACCTGTAATCCCAGCACTTTGGGAGGCCAAGGCAGGCAGATCACCTGAGGTCAGGAGTTCGAGACCAGCCTAGGCAACATGGAGAAACCCCGTCTGTACTAAAAATACAAAATTAGCCAGGCGTGGGGCGCGTGCCTGTAATCCCAGCTACTCAGGAGGCTGAGGCAGAAGAATCGCTTGAACCCGGGAGGCAGAGGTTGTGATGAGCTGAGATTGTGCCATTGCACTCCAGCCTGGGCAACAAGAGTGAAACTCTGTCTCAAAAAAAACAAAAAAGAGTCTGGGAGAGGGAAAAAAGAAAGGCAGACAGCTTGGTGGGTAGATGGGTGGGACAAAAGTATTGAGGAGAGGAAGACAAGAAGCTGGTTTGGGAGATTCAGGGTCTTATTAACATTTTAGGCCAAGTACCTGGAAAGTTTAAAACACCCTGTATTTCTTTGGACATGTGCTAATTATCATGACTTATTCTGACATTTCTTAGCCTTTTTGGAAATTTCTCTTCTTGGCTGATAACTATCATTTTTCTCTCTTTACATTAGGGAGTAAGAGCTTTGAGGTACAAGAATGAGACGGTTGTGGCAGACAGCTCATGTTGTCACGGTAGTCTTGGTCTCTAATTTTTTTTTTCTTTTTTTGAGACGGAGTCTTGCTCTGTTGCCCGGGCTGGAGTGCAATGGCGTGATCTCCACTCACCGCAACCTCTGCTTCCCGGATTCAAGCAATTCTCCTGCCTCAGCTTCCCGAATAGCTGGGATTACAGGTGTCTGCCACCACACCCAGCTAATTTTTGTATTTTTAGTAGAGATGGGATTTCACCATGCTGGCCAGGCTGGTCTCGAACTCCTGACCTCAGACGATCCGCCCACCTCAGCCTCCCAAAGTGCTGGGATTATAGGCGTGAGCCACCATGCCCAGCCAATAATTTTCAACTTCTTTTTCTGCTCTGTCCCAGATTGGACCCTGAGTTTGAGGGGTAAATGTAGATCCTCTCTCGTGACCTGGTGGGATGCCAGAATCTATTTCTAAAACAAAGGTTGAACTTGGGTTATCTTCTCTCAGGAAACAGTGCTATAAGACTGGAGTTCCAGACACCCTCCTTATCCTTATCTTTGTGAGAGCCAAAGCACAAGAAGCAACTATGGCTTCATTCATTTGATTTGATAAACTTTTTTTTTTTTTTGAGATGGAGTCTCGCTCTGTTGCCCAGGCTGCAGTGCAATGGCCCGATCTCAGCTCACTGCAACCTCCGCCTCCTGGGTTCAGGTGATTCTCCTGCCTCAACCTCCCAAATAGCTGGAACTACAGGCATGCGCCACCATGCCCAGCTAATTTTTGTATTTTTAGTAGAGATGGGGTTTCACCATGTTGGCCAGGCTGGTCTCGAACTCCTGACCTCAAGTGATAGGGCCCTCCTTGGCCTCCCAAAGTGCTGGGATTATAGGCGTGAGCTACCGCACCTGGCCTTGATAAACATTTATTGACCATTCTCTTGGTACCTAGCGTGGTGGTAGGCACTAAGATTAGAGATGACTCATAGCAGCCTCAGAGAACTCACAGTCTAGTAAGAGAGCAAGTGAAAAAACCGCTCATTTTAATCCCGTGTGATGGTATAGACATGGACAACGTGTTATGGATATTTAGAGAACCGTTATGGCATGTGGAAGAGGGGACGCCAGCTTCCTTTGGGGCAAGGCCTATCAAGAGGTGTTTCGCTTGAGCTCAGACTTGGAAGACCTTATAGGCTGGTGGGGGTTGTGGTGGGTGGTCAAACTTGAGCAAAAGTATGGAGGTAAGAGAGAACATGGTACAGTGGGGTGTGATGGGAAGGTCTGTAGGACTGCAAAGAAAGGTATATGTGTATGAGAATGTGACAGGAGATGAAACCGAAGGCATATAAAGGGCCATATTGTGGATGACCTTTTTTTTTTTTTTTTTTTGAGATGAGGTCTCTCTCTTTCACCCAAGCTGGAATGCAGTGGTGTGATCTTGGCTCACTGCTACCTCCGCCTCACAGGTTCAAGCGATTCTCCTGCCTCAGCCTTCTGAGTAGTTGGGACTATGGGTATGCATCACCACACCTGACTAATTCTAGTAAAGATGGGATTTCACCATGTTGGCCAAGCTGGTCTCGAACTCCTGACTTCAAGAGATCCACCCACCTCGGCCTCCCAAAGTGCTGGGATTACAGGCGTGAGCTATTGTGCCTGGCCAGTGGATGACCTTTTCTACTTTCCTAGATAAACTGGATTGTCAGTAGAAGTGTTTCCATTTGTCCAATGTTCGGTGTTAGTGTTTTACTATTGTCTTTTGAGTAACTGAGTTTCATCACTTTTTATTTCTTTGATTTGTTCTTTTTATGATACCCAAATTTGGAACTCTCTTTATTCTTCAGGTGATTCTGCTTTGAGTACGATCTAGTCAAACCCTACACTCAGACATTGTGGAATGGATGATACACTGCTTTTAAGGCAGTTTGGAAGGAGGATGATTTAAATGACCTTCAAAGAGTAATGTCAAGCCCCCATGTCAATGTCACTGCAATTCATGCATGCATGGAGAATAGGAAAGGAACTTAATTGTGGAGGAGGGGAATTGTAACCCTGTTTGAATGGGTAGTTGAAAGTCCTGGGCCCGCCCCTAAGGCTCAAAAAAGGACTTTCTTACATTTGCTGCCAAGAGGTCAGAGGGAGAGCCCATATAAATACCATCCTCCCGCGGGGTGTGTGAGCCAGTCTTATTCTTTTACTTCCACAGGTGCAGAACAGGTTCACCAAATAGTATTCTGATCTCCCTTGAACAGAATCTGACATCATATTGTCCTTCTCTAGAAAATCAATCCCTTTAAAGCATGGAACATGGCAATTTTAGGTCAGTAGGCATTTAAAGACACCTTTTTAACTTTCAAGGGCTGGCCTAATAAGATATATTTTGTACAAAATACCAGTGTTATCAAGATGAAACTTGAATCATTTAAATTTTGCAAGAGACTTAGTTTTAGCTGCTTGTGTACCTTTTACCTATGAAATTACTTCTTATTTTCTTTTAATGGTGCTGTCCTTCTGGAGCACTGTGATCATCATCAGGTATCAGGCTCCATTCCTTCAGCTAAACTTTCGTGACTGTTCGGAATCCATTAGTGTTTGAGATGAGGGAACCCACAGCAACCCATGTCACTGTCTTTTCGGACCACAAAATAACTTTCCATAGTTAGGCTGGATGACTGCAGAAACCAGTGCCTTACATAGTCAGGAGCTGCTGCAACATAGCTACAATCTGAACAACCAAAGGAATTAATCACAGCCAGCCTCATCCATTTCATTAATTTGTTTTGCCAAATGGTATCAGTGAGGCAGAGGTACACCTTTGGCTCATTAATACAAGATCTGAACGGGAAAAATCTATTTCATTGAAATCCTTGAGAGTTGCTGAAAACACATGATATGTCTTAGTACTTTAAATAGAACTGTTCTAATTTGGAGGGAAACTGCTGTACAAACATGGCCCATTGATACCTTCACAGCTTATCTATTCATGCCGCTCTTGCCATTTCTGAATTTTGGAAAAAGTTCTGTGTTAATGTAAATATAATTTTATTTTTCTAAATACTCATATCTTAAAATAATACTCATTAATAGATTTTGGTAGGAAAACTCCATCTTCTTAATTTTTCATTTATATAAGCTTCTTCCCTGCATTCTGGAAGACATTCTTCAGTGTATATACTGTGTCAAAGCCCATTTTCAAGGCAGTTGATAGAGATTTAGCTATGCAATTTATTTACCATTGGTCACCAAGAAAATAAAAATGGAAGAACCAGAAGGCCACTGAGGGAAAATGTTATAACAGCATACTCCAGGGGCTAGAGACCAGAGAGCAAGAAGAATGCTCACGGGTGGTCCCAGGGAACTATGATTGATAGTAACAGAATAGCAATTAGGTAATGGAAAGTTCCGGCTACTGTACCAAAGACATTCTTCATCTTTTTTTTTTTTTTTTTGGAGACAGGCTCTCACCCTGTCACCCAGGCTGGAGTGTGGTGGCACAATCTTGGCGCACTGCAATCTCCACCTCCCAGGCTCAAGCGATCCACCCACCTCAGCCTCTTGAGTAGCTGGGACTACCAGTGTGCACCACCACGCCTGGCTAATTTTTGTGTTTTTTGTAGAGATGGGGTTTTGCCATGTTACCAAGGCTGGCCTCCAACTCCTGGGCTCAAGTGATCTGCCTGCCTCAGCCTCCCAAAGTGCTGGTTGGGATTATAGGCGTTTCTTCTAACAAATTTTGTCTTGGAGTTGTCTTTACAAGTGAAGCTTTTGTGATTTTTGGAATGCTATAGAATTCATCTCTAGGCTTCTTGTCCCACTAAAGCATTAGAATTTAAAACAGACCCTTTAACATGATTTATAGCAGACAAGAAATACCAGTTCAGTTTGGGCAGGTGGTATTTAATTGCCCCTCTTTGCGGTCCCTGTAAAATTGTTTGTGGGTGAAATCACAACAAAGATCCATAAAGAACAGCTTTATATATATATTGAAAGAGATACCAGTTTCTTGCATTTTTCTAATGTCAAAGGTTAATTTAAAATATTAATGCTGAAAAGATTAAGATATTAAATCTAGTAAAGAATACATGTACATATTGTAATTACTTTTTACGATTAAAGTAATTGGATTATATTTAATGAGCTATTTACATTTAATAATTAAAAAAGACTTATCTTTTCAGTATTTCCTATATGCAGAAAGAGATGGGAGAAAACTCACTTCTGATATAATTATCTTAGTTTGGGCTAAATAGGAAAAACAACTGTGCTTTTTAGAAAAAGAGAAGAATATTATATTAAAATATACATACACAGATTAAGAATTACCCATAGGAGTGTTTTAGTTCATTGTAAAAGAAGATGGAAGATTAGGTGCTTTAAAAAAAAAAAAAAAGTCCCTGATGAGAAGATTTGATGAGCTAAACAGAGAATGAAACTTAAAGCGATTCTCAGGGACCCTGTAGATAAAAGTAACCCGTCAGAAGTGTTGGAACCCCTAATGCCTAGCTGTTTGAAAACAGGAGTTTGAAAAGCAGTAGCATCTGCACATGTTATCTGAGGCTGGGATTTTAAATAAGCCTGTGTTTATGTTGTTTAAAGGAAAGAAGTGAAGCCCCTGAGCATCTGGCTAAAATTGGGCGCAGAGAGGGAGAAAGCAGTATGTTATACTCATTAACACCATTTCAGTTTTAGGGTAAATAGGAATGCTTTCTTGTGTTAGCATGCAGTCTTTTTTCCATGGGAGATAAACTAGTCTGGAATTTGATGGCACTTGTGTACAAAGATGAGAACTATGGGCGTATTTGTCTAACTTCTTAGTTTGGGTGTTTTGCATAGAGTCAGTGTGGTGTCATGGAAAGAACATGAAGTTTGGACACAGTTGGACCTGGGTTTGAAAGCTGTCTGTCTGTGTGACTTTCATAAAGTTATGAATCACTCTGGGTTTTAGTTTTCTGATCTGTAAAATCAAAATATTACTACTTACCTTGGAAAATTGGAGGACTAGAAATATTCAAGAAAATGTGAATAAATATCTGGTACATTTTAGGAATTTAACAGGTATTTATTGAGCAGACACTGTAGGATGAAAAGAAATTTTAAGAATCCTACTTTGTCTCCAGATAGTTGCTGTTGCTACTACTGCTTTATGTTAGGTTTAAAGATATTTTGTTTTTCAATTCCTGTACTCAAAGAGTTGTATACACCAAAAATCTGTGCTATAAAATAGACTGTAGTGACTGCTATAAAAGAGGTTCAGCATACCTCATTGGCACTTGGAGGGAGGAAAATGACTTTAGACTGGAAGATTCAGGGAAGGCTTCTTAGAAGTGGTGACACTCACCTCGGGCTTTTAAGATGAAAGATTGTTTGTGTGTTTTTATAAAGAAATACCACAATCCAGATAATAGTCTCTTGAAGAATGTATTGCCTTCAAAGTACTTAAAGTGAAAATACTGGATTGACTCTTGACTGTGATTGGGAAGACTGATACCCTTTGTTGTAATCCTTAAAATAGGTATAATGTAAGCAGAGGCCATCCATCTTTTTCAGTATTTGTCTCCATGTTCCTGAAGAGCCTGTCTCAGAAGGTAAGAGGCCCACCTACTTCTTGGCCTCCACTGAAACCAAATAAAAGAGGACCATTTAGGAACACCTTTGTGTAATGCTCTTTGTTGTTTAATTTGACCTGCTGTCTTTAGATTATTTCATTACTAGGAGGTAGGTCCATATAAACTCGCCATTCCTTCGAGTTAGTAATAATGAGAGCTATCAGTTACTGAATACCTACTGGGTGCTGGGTACCCCTCTGGAATGCTTACATATGTTATCACATCTTATTCTTAGAACTATCCTAGGTTGGCCATGGTGGTTTACGCCTGTAATCCCAGCTCTTTGGAAGGCTGAGGTGGGAGGATCACTTGAATTCAGGAGTTTGAGACCAACCAGGGCAACATAGTAAGACCCTGTTCCTACAAAAAGTGAAAACATTAGCTGAGCATGGTGCTGCACGCTTCTAGCCCCAGCTACTCTGGAGGCTGAGGTGGGAGGATTGCTTGAGCCCAGGAGACTGAAGCTGCATGAGTCACGTTCACACCACTGCACTGCAGCGTGAGTGACTGAGCCAGACCCTGTCTCAAAAAAATAAAAACAACTAAGGCCAGGCGCGGTGGCTCATGCCTGTAATCCCAGGACTTTGAGAGGCTGAGGCGGGCAGATCACAAGGTCAGGAGTTCGAGACCAGCCTGGCCAACATGATGAAACGCCATATCTACTAAAAATACAAAAATTAGCCAGGTGTGGTGGTGGGTGCCTGTAATCCCAGCTACTCATGAGGCTGAGGCAGGAGAATCACTTGAACCCAGAAGGTGGAGGTTGCAGTGAGCTGAGATCACCCCCCCCTGCACTCCAGCCGGGGCAAAAGAGCAAAACTCTGTCTCTAAATAAATAAATAAATACAACTATAGTATAAGGTAGTTTGTATTTTCCCTATTTTATGGATGAGGCTCAGAGAGATTAACTACCCTAAGGTCATATAGCTAGTGGCTCAAGAAATCCTTGCTTTCTTTGTCTGAACATTCTTCTGGATTTACCAAGCTATATTAAATTTTTTTTTGTTTTTTGAGGTGGAGTTTTGCTCTTGTTGCCCGGGCTGGAGTGCAATGGCGCAGTCTTGGCTCACTGCAACCTCCGCCTCCTGGGTTCAAGCGATTCTCCTGCCTCGGCCTCCCAAGTAGCTGGGATTACAGGTGCCTGCCACCACGCCCAGCTAGTTTTTGTGGTTTAGTAGAGACGGAGTTTCACCATGTTGGCCAGGCTGGTCTTGAACTCCTGACCTCAGGTGATCCACCCACCTCAGCCTCCCGAAGTGCTGGGACTACAGGCATGAGCCACTGTGCCTGGCCTTTTTTTTTTTTTTTTTTTTTTTTAAGAGACGGTGTCTTGCTCTTGTTGCCTGGGTGGGCCTCTTACTCCTGGAGTCAAGCGATGCTTTCACCTCAGCCTCCCAGGTAGCTGGGACCACAGGTACATGCTACCACACTTGGCTAATTTTTTATTTATTTATTTATTTAGAAACAGGGTCTCACTGTGTTGCCCAGGCTGGAGTGCAGTGGCACAATCACAGCCTACTGCAGGCTCGACTTCCTGGGCTCAGGCAATCCCCCCATCTCGGCCTCTAGAGTAGCTGGGACTACAGGTTTTCGGCACCGTGCCTGGCTAATTTTTTTTTTTTTTTTTTTTTTTTGAGACAGAGTCTCGCTCTGTTTCCTAGGCTGGAGGGCAGTGGCGCAGTTTTGGCTCACTGCAACCTCTGCCTCCCAGGTTCAAGCGATTCTCCTCCTGAGTAGCTGGTTTTACAGGCATGTGCCACCACACTTGGCTAATTTTTGTATTTTTAGTAGAGACGGGGTTTCACCATGTTGGTCAGGCTGGTCGCAAACTCCTGACCTCGTGATCCGCCCACCTCGGCCCCCTAAAGTGCTGGGATTATGGGTATGAGCCACCACGCCCGGCCCTTTGGCTAGTTTTTTGTGTTTTTCATAGAAATGAGGTTTATCCATGTTACCCAGGCTGGTCTCAAACTCCTGGGCTCAAGCAGTCTGCCCATCTCAGCCTCCCAGAGTGCTGTGATTATAGGCATGAGGCACCACGCCTGGCCTATTTTTATTTTTAATTTTAACTTTAATTTTTTTGAGATGGAGTCTCGCTCTGTCTCCTAGGCTGGAGTGCAGTGGCACAGTCTGGTTCACTGCAACCTCCACCTGCTGGGTTCAAGCGATTCTTCTGCCTCAGCCTCCTGAGTAGCTGGGACTACAGGCACGTGCCACCACGCCTGGCTAAGTTTTGTATTTTTAGTAGAGACGGGGTTTTACCATATTGGCCAGGCTGGTCTTGAACTCTTGACCTTGTGATCTGCCGGCCTCGGCCTCCCAAAGTCCTGAGATTACAGGTGTGAGCCACTGCGCCCAGCCTTTATTTTTAGTTTTTAACTTTGGTAGGTACATAGTAGTTGTATATGTTTATGGGATCCAGCATATTTTAAAATTTTTTTGTAAAGATAGGGTCTTTCTATGTTGCCCAGGCTGGTTATATTGATTATTTATTTTATTTACTATTTTTTTTTTAGAGATGAAGTCTCATTTTTTTGCCCAGGCTGGAGTGCAGTGGAGCAATCAGTCATGGCTCACCACAGACTCAAACTCCTAGGCTTAAAGGATCCTCTTGCCTCAGCCTCCTGAGTAGCTGGGACTACAAGTGCACACCACTGCACTCAGCTGAGTTTTTCTTTCTTTCTTTTTTTTTTTTTTTTTGAGATGGAGTCTCGTTGTGTCGCCAGGCTGGAGTGCAGTGGCACAATCTTGGCTCACTGCAACCTCCGCCTCCCAGATTCAAGTGATTCTCATGCCTCAGCCTCCCGAGTAGCTGGGACTACAGGCATGTGCCATCACGCCCGGCTAATTTTTTTTTTTTTTTTTTTTTTTGAGACGGAGTCTCGCTCTGTCACCCAGCCTGGAGTGCAGTGGCGCAATCTCGGCTCACTGCAAGCTCCGCCTCCCAGGTTCCCGCCATTCTCCTGCCTCAGCCTCCGGAGTAGCTGGGACTACAGGCGCCCGCCACCACGCCCGGCTAATTTTTTTGTATTTTTAGTAGAGATGGGGTTTCACCATGTTAGCCAGGATGGTCTCGATCTCCTGACCTTGTGATCCGCCCACCTCGGCCTCCCAAAGTGCTGGGATTACAGGCGTGAGCCACCGCGCCCGGCCATTTTTAGTAGAGACAGGGTTTCACTCTGTTGGCCAAGCTGGTCTCGAATTCCTGACCTCAAGTGATCCACCCACCTCGGCCTCCCAAAGTGCTGGGATTACAGGTGTGAGCCACCACGCCCAGCCACGTTTTTCATTTTTTATAGAGACAGGGCCTTGTCATTTTGCCCAGGCTGGTGTCAACTTCCTGGGCTCAAGTGATCCTCCCACCTTGGCCTCCCAAAGTGCTGGGAGTACAGTCATGAGCCACCACTCCCAGCCAGTAAGTATTTGTATATCCAAACATAACTAAACATAGAAAAGGGGCTGGGCATGTTGGCTCACTCCTGTAATCCCAGCACATTGGGAGGCTGAGGCGGGCAGATCGCTTGAGCTCAGGAGTTCGAGACTACCCTAGGCAACATGGTGAAACCCCATCTCTACCAAAAATACAAAAAATTAGCTGAGCGTGGTGGCATGTGCCTGTGGTCCCAGCTACTTGGGAGGCTAAGGCGGGAGGATAGCTGGAACCCAGGAAGGGGAGGCTGCAGTGAGCTGAGATTGTGCTACTGCACTCCAGCCTGGGTGACAAGAGTGAAACCTCATCTCAAAAAAAAAAAAGTGTTATGATCTTATGGGACCACTGTCATATATGTGGTCCATCATAGTCCATCATTGACTGAAATGTTGTTATGTGGTACATAACTATTCTCTTGTAAGTCTGAGTTATAGAATGCATTTTAGTGTTAGAGAGATTTTTTAAAGACCACCGTGTCCACCTTCTGAGGCTGGAGGATTGCTTGAGCTCAGGAGTTCATGGCTTTAGTGCACTATGATTGTGCCTGTGAATAGCCACTAAATTTCAGCCTAGGTAACATGATGAGACCTTGTCTCTAAAATAATATGTTTATATTTCATTGACTCAGGTATACATTTTTTCCTCACATTTTAACATCGCTTTTTTTTTTTTTTAAGACAGGGTCTCACTCTGTCACCAGGCTGGAGTGCAGTGGTGTGATCACTGCTCACTGCAGCCTCGACCTCCTGGGCTAAAGTGATCCTCCCATATCAGCCTCCTGAGTAGCTGAGACTACAGCTGTGCGCCACTGCATTCAGCTAATTTTTGTATTTTTTGTAGACGGGATTTCTCCACATTGCCTAGACTGGTCTAAAAAGCGTGAGCTCAAGCGATCCACTCTCCTTGGCCTCCCAAGGTGCTGGGATTATAGGCATGAGCCACCATACCCACCCCATTTTAACATCTCTTGAATCGTAATGCCTCTTTCAATCAGTGGCATCCTAAATTTGATGAAATATGGTAGAAACCCATTGGAATTGTGACTTTTCCATAAATACTAGTGGTAAAGTTCAAGACTTCTGTTTATCATATTAGCTCTCCTTGAAAAACCTTTCCGTCTGTTTTTTTACATCCAAATTCTATCCAGTTCAGATACTAGGTTTTGGGTTTTGTTTTGTTTACTTTTGTTTTTTTGAGACAGAGTCTCATTCTGTCTCAAAGGCTGGAGGGCAGTGGCATGGATCTTGGCTCATTGCAGCTTCAACGTCCCGCGTTAAAGTGATTCTCCTGCCTCAGCTTCTCAAGTAGATGGGACTACAGGTGTGTACCACTACACCTGGCTAACTTTTAATTTTTTTTGTAGAGACAAGGTCTCACCATGTTGCCCAGGCTAATCTTGACCTCCTAGGCTGAAGTGATCCTCCACCTCGGCCTCCCAAAGTGCTGGGATTACAGGCATGAGCCACTGCACCCAGCCCCAGTTCAGATCTTTAAGGTTCCAAGGAGTCTGTTCAGTCCCTTCAGTTCACAGTGATCTTTTCATCCTTTCTATTGTCATAATTGAACTTCTATTTATTTGCTATATTGTTACTTAACTGTGGTTTTCTCTCTCTCTGAACTAAATTATAAGCTCCTGGAGTCAAGGGAAGAGATTTTATACTTCTTTGTGTCTTTTAGTGTCTTCTTGATAAATATTCAGTGATTGATAACAGCACTATAATTAGTAGTTAACCATTAATACGACCTGAAGCTTATTAAGACAGTATTGTATAATGCTTAAGAGAACCATATATAAACATTTAGAACAGGGCATGTGCTAGATAGATGTCAATCATTCTACTGCTACTACTACTACCACCACCACTACTACCATGATACTACTATTACTACTACTGTTGTTTTAATTATTCTGTGCTAGGCACTGTGCTAAACGTTTTATACATGCATTATTTCATTTTTCTTCACAACAACTTTACAGACAAGGGGTCATGATAATGATTTAACAGGCTAGGAAATAGACTGAGAGACTGCTTGCCAAGGTTCCAAAGCTATAAAATGTGGCAGTGGTGGAGTGAAACCCACACCTGTGTCTCTTAATGTTCATGCTCTTGCTCTGCCCCACTGCTTACTAGATTTTTAGGGCTTTGGCAACTTCCTGGTAAACTGAGGTTAGAAAGGAAAGAACAGATACTTATTTTTCCCTCTGCTCAAGGACTTTAGCTTGTAAGTCTCATGCTTTGAGTGCTGACTGAATGTTGTGAGAGGAAGTAGATGTACAGCTGCCCTTTGCTGCTGACTCTTAGTCAGTTGCTGGTGGCTTGGCCATTAGTGACAGATATGTGTGTGACACTTTTTCAGGAATGAATTCTTGTTACAGCTGGCTATTGAGTAGTTCATATGGAATTGCATGGCAATTTGCTCCATAATTCCACTCCTTGTCTCACATGTAGTTGTGATTGCTAGGTCTCTCTCCTCACTTAAGTTGGTGTATTAATAGTCACATCTCAGGACTGCTGCTTCCGCCCACCTGCTCCATGACCACACAGTGTGTTTGTGTATTGCCCTGAAGTGTCAACAAAACATTTTGCTGAATTTTCTTTTTGTTGTTGCTCTGCAACCATCTTTTCCCTGGCCTTTCTCAGTTGTGTAAAGTTGGTTTCTTTCTTGGTCTTTCCATCCCAGAGAGGGTGCAGTTACTGCAAAGAGAAGCTTGAAATAAGAAGTAAGGCATCATAACAATTAAAACAAATGGTTACACAGCTAGCCAGGTGAATTGAGACTTAGTGCCTGATGTGCAGTTCAGCTCTTATTATCTCCTTCCTCTTCTATTTTCAAACCTGCCACTGTAGCTAATCCACCAGTGGGTACTCTAATACCTTGACCAAAGGAAGTTTAACCTAGTACAGTACTCAGTGCTGCTTGCAAGAGCCAAGAAAGAAAGGTTGCAGTCTAGCCCCATCTTCTCCATCGCATAGTATGATAGTAAAATGGGGTTAGACCCTTCCATAAAACCAAGCTGTGTATTGGACTTTTGGCTGTTTGTCTGGGAGAATACATGCCCAGGTTTGGCTTCCTCCCAGGTACTTGGAGAGGAATGCATTTTGTATCTGTCCTCTTATCTCAAATTTCTGGGTACCATCAACTGGAGAGCACTCTCTTCTGTCATTGGCTATAAATTTAAAAAGAATCGTTTAAATATGAAGGGTATTTTATTGGGGCTTGTGTGAGTTATTGACATATTTCTAGTAATCTAGTGAATGATTTGAACTGATTTGTTGAGGTTTGATACTTTTTTTGTTTTGTGTGTGGGTGTTGTTTTTTCAGAACAGCTTAGTTGTTTTTCATGTTAAACTCCTGTGTAAATTTAATGTTCAGTTGATGACAATGGCTGAAAGAAATCTGATACCTTATTAGGAGTAAAGGGTAAGATTTCTCCATTTATAAGTACAATTATTCATAATCTATATTTATCCAATCAAAGTAAAAGCCCATTTAGATGGGTAGTTTGAAGTATTTCAAACCATACAATTTTGGTGATATGGGTTTTACTAGAAATTGGCATTAGATTGGGAAAGTAAAATGAACTTTGTCTGTAACTGAAAGTCATCAGTGACCACATTGTAGATCCTGTGTAATTTAAGTGGATCCATAACAAGGAATTGGGCCAAGATGGAGATACAAGAAATACTTTATGCGGGTAAATCTTTTCCTCAGAGCTCAGAATACTTTGCATACAAAATCTCTGTTTCATATAGCATCTTTCAAGCATTTTTTAGTGTAGTTTACAGCTGGACTAGAGGGATGAATTGAAATTTTATCCCCGATTGCCTGTCATCATTAGATTGAAAGCTAGAATCCAGGTTTCCAACTCACAGTTTAAATGTATTTTCTTTTGGACAACCAGATGGATCCTGCTAAAAAGAGAGTCTAATTTTGGCCATTTAAAAGACAGTTTTCTATGAAAAAGTTGATACTAGAAGAAACCAATTTTGAAGGTTAAAGAGATTCCCCCAATTTTAGTTTTAAGAACGAAACTATGATTAGACCCTTAAGTGTAAAAGGGTAAGAACAAAAGGTGCTATTGCCCCCAAAAGATAATAAAAAGTTATGGAATTACCAGGTGTGAATGAATGGTCCTTCATAGATGTACCTTATGCTCAAGGAGTAAGATACTGGAGTTTAGAAGTTCTGTTTCCTCAGCTACTGTCTTAAAGCCATATCAAGACAAGAAGTATCCCTACACTGATTGGATGTAGGCACAAAATTGGTGTGTCATTCCTTTATGAAATTGGAAATATCTCTTTTAGATCACAAGTAAGCCCTTTTTCTCAGTTTTCCCAGTCAAATACTTTCTGTATCTACCGCAGGAGTTCCATTTCTGTCCTACTAGCTCCTTTGGACATTGTTTTAGTGACCTAAACAGATTTGTCATTCCTTGTGCTTGGAGAGAGAGTGTGGTTATATTTGTTAGTTTAGCCCCACCCTGTATTTCAACAGGAAGTGGGTGGGTGCCTAAGCTTATAATGAAGTGTTCTTCCTTGTAGTTGCTGCATGGTAATGAGGACTGCTATATGCAACAGTAAATTCATACTTTAAACATTTTAATATACAGACTTAAATTTCAGTAAGACCATGTATTGTCTGTCATTTTGAAGTCAAATGACTATTCGACTTTCCAACTGAAATTCTTAAACCTAGTGAAATGCATATTCTTTTTCTTTTTTGTTTCTTTCTTTTTGAGACAGGGTCTGGCTCTGTCACCCAGGCTGGAGTGCAACCACTCCAGCTGGTGTGATCGTAGCTCTCTGCAACCTCCAAGGCTCAAGCAATCCTCAGTCCTCCTGCCTGAGCCCCCTGAGTAGCTGGGACTACAGCCGCATGCCACTACACCCAGCTAATCTTTTTGTTTTTAATAGAGATGAGGTCTGGCTATATTGCCCAGGCTGGTTTCGAATTCCTGGGCTCAAGCAGTCCTCCTGCTGCTGCCTCCCAAAGTATTAGGATTACAGGTGTGAATCACTACACCCAGCCATGTTCTTTAACATAAAGAAATGTATCTCTTGAAAGAGGAAACTCAAGAGTAAACCTCTTCTCATATGTCCCCATCCAAAGTGCTGTTAACTATAGAACAGTGGGAAACGCTGAAGTGAAAGCAGAAGTCCTAATTGCCACACATGCAACATCCCCACATGTTCCATCCCCTGCTACTGCTGATCAGCATTTTGGGGGTATGTTTCAAAGAGGAACTGCCTTGAGAAGCATTTCTGTTGTGATGGTTATTGCTATAGCTCAAATATGTTTGCTTTTTGGATGTGACCATAGAAATCTGCAGGTGTTATCAGTGACCTTGGCTCAAAATGTAGCATTGTTTATTTGTCATGAACAGCTAGTAATAAACATAGCCAGAAGAATGAGCAGTCATCTATCTGTCTTCTGGTAATAACAGGAGTTCAGAGTGTGGGGCACAGATGAGTGCATCCTCCCTTCTCTCACAGATATCCCTCCCTTTTTGTTTTCTTCTACCCTCCAACCCCCAGCTCACCCCATCCCACCCCACCCCACCCCACCCCAGGCTGTTGGGAGCAGTCATGAGAGTTCAGAAAGTAGGGTGGATATCAGAGTCTCCGTTGCCTAGACTGGAGTGCAGTGGCACAATCATACACACTGCAGCCTCAACCTTCTGGATTCAAGTGATCCTCCCACCTCAGCTTCCCAAGTAGCTGAGACTATAGGCATGTAGCACCACACACCCAGCTAATTTTTAAAATTTTTTGCAGAGACAGGGTCTGGCTTTTTTGCCCAAGCTGGTCTTGAACTCCTGAGCTCAAGCAATCTTCCGGTCTCAGCTCCCAAAGTGTTGGGATTACAGGTGCGAGCTACTGTGCCTGGCCCGAGTCTCTTTTTAACTTTATACTGACCAAAGGTGATATATAAAAGTATTCCATGATAGGCTGGGCATGGTGGCTCACGCCCGTAATCCCAACACTTTGGGAGGCCAAGGTGGGCGGATCACTTAGGTCAGGAGTTCGAGACCAGCCTGACCAACATGGAGAAACCCCATCTCTACTAAAAATACAAAAATTAGTGGGCATGGTGCTGTATGCCTGTAATCCCAGCTACTTGGGAAGGCTGAGGCAGGAGAATTGCTTGAACCTGGGAGGCGGAGGTTGTGGTGAGCCGAGATTGTGCCATTGTACTCCAGCCTGGGCAACAAGAGCAAAACTCCGTCTAAAAAAAAAAAATTGCATGATAACTTCAAATATACAGACTTGAAGAATCTCACTGTTTGAGGGGACCTTAAAGGGCCTCATCCAGTTTCCATTTCAAAGCACGAATGCCATCATGGCACTAACAGTCCAGACTGGTACTGCCAGGCCATGGCTAGGAAGTTCTGGCAGTCTTTTATTTGTTTTCAGACTCATTCTCAAGTCCCTTAGGCTGAAACTTGCTACAGATGAAGATGGGGTTACTGCTGAATCTGGCCTGGATGTCTGGAGCTGGTCCAAAATACAGTTTTTCTTTGAAATTTTTTGGGTAGCTAACTCCTTGATCAGTCCAGGAGCCCCTTGGGTATAAATAACCTCAGGGCTCTGTCTGGAACTTCCTTTGGGCCATTCTAGATCTCACAGGTCCTAGTAATTAGACAGATGTAGACCTGGAGAAGGGGCATGATTCATGGCTATAATCTGCCCCTCTCTACAGTCCCTAAATGTGCCTCTGATTGTGTGTTCAGAATGCAAGTGGATGTTGGCTGAGTGAGGAGATCATGGCAGCTTGGGTAGAAGCACATCTAGAAATTTTAGAGCTGGGAAGCTTCTAAAAGATGTTTAGCTTAGTCCATTTATTTTGTAGATGAGGACACAAAGCCCAGAATAAAAATTATAACATCTTTGATTTAGAAGGCATTGTAGAGGTCATCTAGTCTGACTTTCCAACACCTTCATAAATGCTAGAAATTTCTCCCCCAACGTGCCTGATAGCTGGTCATCCAGAGCACAGGGCTGGAGAACTCATAACCTTATCTAAAGATAAGCCATTCTACTATCGGACAATTCTAATTAAAATGACCTAGATAAATTGAAATCTACTTCCCTGTAACTTTTATATTCTCAGCAGTTCTAATTTAATTGCTCTCCTATTTGACATCTCCCAAGGTAAGACCTTCTCAAATCCCCAAATTAGCAGATATCACTATAGTATATAATTTCCCTAATCAAAGTAAAAGATGTCTGAAAAAGACCTTCACAGATTCCATAAAGATAGGGCATTCCACTCTTTCATGTATCCAGAATTTCCTTTTTTGACCAAGAACCACCACTTCACTGGTTTTCTTCACTTTCTCTTTGTTTTCCTTCACTGGCGCTAGCATTCAGCTCTTTTCTGACGCTTTTGATAAAGAAACATACATTTTATCACTTAGTGAGTATAACTGTATAAAACTAAAGAGAGCAGCCGGTGGGGCTGAGGGGCTGGACTCACCCCTGCAACTGCCACCTGTCTAGTTTCTCAGTTCATATTTGCTAGCTGTGGTAGGGTGGGCCTTTACATTTGTACTTTCTCCTTCTCAGCCTGTGAAGAATTTCCCAATTGGTCTTCTTACTTCCAGCCTTCTGCCCAAATATAACTCCTGTGCTTATGCAGAATGATTTGTCTAAAATGCAAATGTGACCCTGTTGTCCTTCCATAATTCAGTGGTTCCCCAACATCCAGTGCACTATACCAGTAAGGTGCTACTGATGATAGAGGAGCCTTTCTCAACTGGAGTTCCATGAAAGAATTAAATCTTAATGTCATTAGGCATTCATTATATGTAATATATTAACTTTTCTCCAGTACGCGTAGAATGGTGCTAGTTATGTACAGTCTTGAGGGGAATTGAGAAAACTGTCACTCTAATCATCCTTTTTGTTCTGTGGTTCAGATGAGGAATCCAGTTATGAAAGACTGGAAGAAAGAGATAGTATATGTTCTTCAGGAGGTCCAGGATCACAGCTGGAAGCAGCCTCCAGGAAAAACCTGCCAAATTCCTTTGAAGGCTAGAGTTTTGTCTTTAAACTTTTAATGTAAATATTGCATTCCACCATATAATATGTCTATGGTTAAAAGTATTTTTAAATATTTATCAATGAGGGGCCCGGGTATGGTGGCTTACACCTGTAATCCCAGCACTTTGGGAGGCCAAGGTGGGAAGATTGCTTGAGGCTAAAAGTTAGAGACCAGCCTGGACAGCATAGCAAGGCCCCATCTCTATAAAAGATAATAAATTAGCCAGGCATGGTGGCATGTGCCTGTAGTCCTGGCTACTTGTGAGGCTGAGGTGGGAGCATCACTTGAGCTCAGGTGTTTGAGGTTGCAGTGAGCTATGATCATGCCACTGCACTCCAACCTGGGCAACAGAGTGAGGCCTGGGTGACAGAGTGAGACCTTGTCTCTTAAATAATAAGATAAAATATTTATCAGTGAATAGGATTTATTCTACAGGAGGATTTGCCTAGGGTCTGTGGAACCACAAATAACTGCCTCTTTTTTTTTTTTTTTTTTTTTTTTGAGACAGAGTTTCGCTCTGTCGCCCAGGCTGGAGTGCAGTGGCGCGATCTTGGCTCACTGCAAGCTCCGCCTCCCAGGTTCACACCATTCTCCTGCCTCAGCCTCCCGAGTAGCTGGGACTACAGGCGCCTGCCACCGCGCCCAGCTAATTTTTTGTATTTTTAGTAGAGACGGCGTTTCACCATGTTAGCCAGGATGGTCTCGATCTCCTGACCTCGTGATCCGCCCGCCTCGGCCTCCCAAAGTGCTGGAATTACAGGCGTGAGCCACCGCGCCCGGCCTATAACTGCCTTTTTTTAAAAGCCCTGTAGTGGGTTTTTTATTTTATATATATTATTTAATGTCTCTAGGAAAATTGCCCCCAAGATCACACAGTAAGGTGTACTAGTCAGGGTGCTAACCTAAGAATGTGTCGACTCCATAAAGCCGATACATTTTCTATAACTTGAAGTGTGAGAGAGAGAGCCTGGAAATCTTTTTGCCCAATTCTAAGTTTATTTTCACCTGAATGTAAGATTTTTTTCTTCTTGGTCAAGTTACTGTTGTGGTTCAGATCATGCATAACTCCATGCTTCTTGTACAAACCAATCCTTGATTATCCAAAAGAAAAATGAGCAATGGTGCATGTCATTTCACATACAAGGAATTTTGTCTCTCTTTGGTGGCTTTGAAACAAATCACTTTAAACGATAGCAGATAAACTTTTCTAATTGTTTTGTCCTAATAGATATTGACATATTGTTATTTCTCGAGTACCCTCCCGCTGGTTGTGGTAAGTGGCCTTTTTGACAATAAGCCATTTGCTTTAGAAAACTTGGTTCCAGGTAAACCCCAAACAGATGACATACAGTTAGTTGTTTGTTCTGCTTATCCAAGGCACTTAGAAAACCATAAGTGCTAAAGTACCAAGGTGTTAGAATTTGCCCCCCACCCTCAATCTGAAATTTATGTAGCCATCTGGAATCTAGTTTCCATTAGGTATCCAGAGGGAAAGTCCAGAATGCCCTGTCATTGGTCACATTCAGCACAGCATTTCAAGGTGGTCTGGTTCTTTTAGCTCCTCTGAGAAGCTGGAATGAGTACTCAAATGATTACCAGTGGAAGAGCCACAGTGGCTGTTTCCAGTCATTCCTGGCTGTACACCAAATTTCTGGTTGATCTTGAAAGTTTGAAATTTGGGAATCTAAGGACACCTAGAGGATGGTGTTCAGAGCCCTGCAAGGTTCTTTCATATGTAACCTCCTCCCACCTTTCCTGTTCTAAACTCTCTTTACCATGTGTTACTGAAGATTGCATCTTAGTACCTGATACCCTTTACATTAAATAAAAGAGGGAAAGAGTTAAATTGGAAAGTCCAGGGTTTGGACTAGAAAACCCATGGGGTCAAAGGGGGAATTCAGCAGAGAAGTGGAATGGAAATCATTTCCTTAGACAGTAGACAAGTATTCAGGAAACACCTCTGCACCCCAAAGATAGGCACAGCTGCCACACAGTGACTATTAAAGGGAGGTTCAAAGTTATAAGCAAACAGCTGATTCTCTTGGTTCTTGGGCTGTTGCTGTTGGTGACAGGAAATCTTGTTCCCCAAGCTGCTGGCTTCCTGTTTTATTTTTACTTGTAGCAGATCAGAATGTCCATAACAAGGAGCAGTCTGTTCCGAAGGGTTCTACTCCCCCTTTGAGCCTGAAAGATTTTTTTTTCTCTTTTGGTCAGACAATATGTCTGTAATATTTAGTTTGGTTTAAGCATTTTGTATTCACAGTCAACGTTTTGGTGATGAGCTGGTATTTTAAGATTTGATGTAAATAAACCCTTGTTTTGCTTTTTTTTTTTTTTAAATATATAAAGAGGAGTTTATAATATTGGGGACTTGGCCCAGCTATTCGGAAAGCTAAGGTAGGAGGATCATTTGAGCAAGGCGGTCAAGAATGTAGTGAGCTGTGATCGCACCATTGCACTCCATACTGGATGACAGAGTGAGACCCCGTCTCAAAAAAACAAAAAGGCTGGGCGTGGTGGCTCATGCTTATAGTCCCAGCACTTTGGGAGGCTGAGCTCAGGAGTTCGAGACAAGTCTGGGCTACATGGCAAAACCTCATCTCTACAAAAAAATACAAAAATTAGCTGGGCGTGGTGGTGCATGCCTGTAATCCTAACTACTTGGGAGGCTGAGGCAGGAGGATCGCTTGAGCCCAGTAGGTGGAGGTTGCAGTGAGCTGAGATCGTGCCACTGCACTCTAGCCTGGGTGACAGAGCGAGACCCTGTCTCAAAAAAGAATAAAAAATAAGAAAAAAAATTGAGGACTTAGGTATGTTAACTTTATGCTTTACCTTTTCATGTGAAGTGAATTTGTCATTTTCCCTAGCATGAAAACCATTAGGCTGTTTTAGATTTCTTTAGTTTTATAAGATGTGGAAAGAGGATCAGTTCATTGTGCCTTGACTGTAGTCATATCCATTTTGTGGAAATTAAAACCCTCTCCTATCCTTGTAAAACTAGGAATTCGGTAATCTAAATCTAAAACAATAGCTCAGCATGAACCTGAAGTGCTGGGGGATTTCCTAGGGAAAGGGGCTCAGCCCACCGGATAAGAAACAGTAACTGGAAGGTTTCCGGATCTGCTCCAGACATTTCCTGCTGTCTCTAGAGCCTTTTGGCCCAGGTGTGTTGAACCGGATGGGAGCAAGAAAGGGAGCTGTTGGGTAGAAGAGAAAGCACCAGGGAATCTTACAGCACAGTTTACTCAGCATCATGTTTGACATATTGAATGTGTAAAATTTTTACTTTATATTCTCTCGTTCAGTCAATTTACAAACTAAACTTAAGAGATACTGGCATTAGTAGTTAGCTATACTTTTTTTTTTTTTTTTGAGACGGAGTCTTGCTCTTGTCACCCAGGCTGGAGTGCAATGGCGCAATCTCAGCTCACTGCAACCTCTGCTTTCCGGGTTCAAGCAATTTTCCTGCCTCAGCCTCCTCAGTAACTGGGATTACAGGCACCCGCGACACGCCTGGCCAATTTTTTGTATTTTTACTAAAGACAGGGTTTCACCATCTTGGCCAGGCTGCTCTCGAACTCCTGGCCTTAGGTGATCCACCTGCCTCAGCCTCCCAAAGTGCTGGGATTACAGGCGTGAGCCACCATGCCCGGCCTAGTGGTTAGCTATACATTAACAGCCATTTACCAAGGAAGGACTGGAAAAGTTAATCCTGATGTATATCAATCACTATTGGCAGCTTGATTTCGTTGTGGAGATTATCAGGTGACAGTGTTCTTTTTTGATCTTTATAATTGGTGGCCTAGAATCTGATCTGTCCTGGTTATGAACACCCCAGGGATAGGATCTGTACCGTCCAGTGTCTGCTGAATGGGCTGTTTTCTAACCATGCCTCCTTGCCTCTGGAGACTCTTGTTGGTTGGAGCAGTAGTTGGCACTTTAATGTTTCTATGCTGCCTATGTACCTCAGGCAGCAGTCACCAAGTCCAGAATTTCTAAACTTACATAGCAGATCTTCTAATAGCAAACCTTAAAAAGGGCAAGGGAGAGAGGACTTAAAAATGAAAGAAAAAAAAAGATAGGGAGAATGAAGATTTTTTTTAAAGCTGTTTTAGATCAGGGTAAGACCAAAAAAAAAAAAAAAAAAGATTCACACAGCCCTAGTGTGCCTGGAATTTGTGGTTGAGTAATACTTTCCTGTTATTTCTTTTTTAGGTTGTTTTTCACCATTCAGAACATTGCCTGAAGCAGGTCCACCATGCCGTTAGTAACGAGGAACATCGAGCCAAGGCACCTGTGCCGTCAGACGTTGCCTAGCGTTAGAAGCGAGCTGGAATGCGTGACCAACATCACCCTGGCAAATGTCATCCGACAGCTGGGCAGCCTGAGTGAGTGCCTCAGAGAGCCTGTGCTTTGCCCTCAGGGGTCGTTGGTGCTCTTTATTTAGTTTCCTTCTCCTCCCGCGTTCCTATTTCTCCCCCATCTGCCTTCCCTAGGTAATGCGAAAATGTATCCTCCCTCTCCTCCCCAAAGAGAGGCTCCCTTTTGGTGTAGCTTCTTCTCTTCAACCTTCTTTATCTACCACCACCCTCTAGGTTCCCTCCTCCCTCCCCCTCCACCTGCTTCAACAGAAATCTGTGGGAAGGGTGGCAGGAAGGGCTGCAGCAAAAACTGCAGACGGAATGACAGAGCAGAATTCTGTGTGTGTAAAGTGGGAGGTTCACAGAGCAGTATCTTGGGTCGGGGAATGTGCCTGTAATTACACGAGCTGTTCGATGTAGCCTGACTTTGTTGAAGCCTCAAATGTGCCAATAGTTTTTATCTACCCAACACCCCCACCCCTTTTCTTCCCAAAGAGGAGTAAAGCAAACATGCCTTCGGAGAGATTCTGACTGACTTGTCCACCCTGGTACACATTTAATTGTGCTGCAAGCCCCCAGGTCCAAGTTCAGGGTACAGATTACTTCTGCAGTCTCTGGGGTATTGGGAGTTTTGCAAGCTGTGTGAACATACAGTGACACAAATAGTAGCTGGAGCCATTCTTCCTTAGGAGGAAGATGGGGGTTAGCCCAGACTGTTTTGGAGCTGAAGGAAAGCCAGCTCAACTATATATATTTTTTTAATTGGCAAGAATGAATGAGACTGCCTTGGGTGGGGTACATGCATGTGGTTTGGATTTCATTCTGAATCAAGTTGACTTTGTTTGCTTGAAGCTGAGATATGGGAAGGGCAGATGCTTGGATTGGCTCTGCATTTATCTAGTGCCACTCCAGCTCCCATAAGAACCTCCGTCAAAATGCCATTTTAGTGATCTTCCTTAGCAAAGGCATCTTGGTGTGAATTATTTCAGATAGTCACCCCTCCTATCGCATCACTGCCCTTAGTGAAGGCAGTGGAATATCAAGAAAGCCTGCATTCTCCCGTATAGCAATAGGCCCAGCCTTTAAAATAGGAGGCTGAGGAGACAGAACTCTATGACCAGATGATGTATGGAGTCTGAGATTCCTAAGCCTTCACCTACCTCAGGGATCATCTCAGTTGATCCAGGGCTTAGAGAAACCTAGATGGGGCATCATGAAGAAATGAAACCCTGCCAGTGCCTGTCTTACACAAAGGAACACTGACAGTAGCACAACAGCAGTGCAGCTGACGAGGAAGCACATCAAGGCTGCAGAGACCTCACTGCTTTTTAAAGGCATAATTTCTGCCTCTCTCTGTCTCTCTCTGAGAAGGCCAAATGGGTGGAAGTCAATCAATCACACACTGGTTCCTTCTTCATAGGACAAAGAACATCTAGCTAATGATGCTTCTTATTTCCACTTACTGAAGTTACGCTCTCTCTCAGCTATTTTTCCAGGGTGGTGTTGATGGATGCCATTGCTCACACTCCCACTTGTGATCAGACCACTCCTATCTTGGGGAAGCTGATCTGAGGGCCAAAGTCACCTTATGCCCAAGGAAACAAGATTTTCTTACATTGTGGGGGCTAACTGATCCTTTATTCATCCAATAAACTTGTGTTGAACATATTTTATGTACCAGCTGCTGAGGGGATACTCAATAAGAATAAGAATAAGAGGCAATAATAAGAAATTGTCTCTGCCCTCCAGGACTCATAATCTACAAGGGGAGGCAGAAATAAATAATTCCTAAGAGGAGAGAATGGGAAGAGAGTGAGAAGGGAACCCACATTTGTTGATTGCCTACTTTATGCCAGGTTTGGATAAGATCTTGACATAGATTATCTCATTTAATCTTCTCAGTAATCCTATGAGATTAGGTGGTGGTATTCCCATTTTTCAGATAAAGAAAATAAGGCTCAGAAAAATAAGGTAACTTGGCCAGGCACAGTGGCTCATGCCTGTAATCCCAGCACTTTGGGAGGCTGAAGGGTGTGGATCACTTGAGGTCAGGAGTTCTAGACCAGCCTGGCCAACATGGTGAAACCCGTCTCTACAAAAAATACAAAAATTAGCCAGGTATGTTGTCACACACCTGTAATCCCAGCTACTCGGGAGGCTAAGGCACGAGAATCGCTTGAATCCGGGAGGCGGAGGTTGTAGTAAGCTGAGATTGTGCCACTGCACTCCAGCATGGGCGACAGAGCGAGACTTCATCTCAAAAAAAAAAAAAAATTAAGTTAACTTGCCTAAAGAGATACAGCCAGTAAGAGGCAAAGTCACTGTTTAAACTCAGACTTCCTACAGATTTCTCAGCTCTGTCCCTTACTCGCTGTCTCTGCCAATATTGCCCTGGTTTAGACTTCATTGACTTTCACCTAAACTATTACCCAAGCCTCCCTCTACCTTCTTTCTCTGATCCAACCCCCTTAAATCTGTTCCTATATCCCTGCCAGAGTGATCTGCCTAAAAATCAAATCTCACTTTTTACTTTTTATGATTCTGAATTTCTGAAGGTTTGAAAGTTCTGTGTTAACTTTTGTAATGTAACAAGTGTTTTTATAGTCAGAGTACACATCGCAACTATTTCTCTCCCCTCTTCCTCACTGTGGAATTATTTAAGTTCCTTGGCCTAGCATTCAGGACCCTGCAAGACCTGCCTTCCTTTCTAGCCTCATTTTCTACAGTCTGTCTTCCATTTTACAATTTTTTTTTTTAATTTTTGTGTTTTTGAGACAGAGTTTTGCTCTTGTTGCCTAGGCTGGAGTGCAATGGCGAGATCTCGGGTCCCTCCCTGCAGCCTTCGCCTCTGCGTTCAAGTGATTCTCCTGCCTGAGCCTCCCGAGTAGCTGGGACTACAGGCATGTGCCACCACACCCAGCTAATTTTTTTTTTTTTTTTTTTTTTTTTGAGACGGAGTCTCACTCTGTTGCCCAGGCTGGAGTGCAGTGGCGCCACCTCGGCTCACTGCAAGCTCTGCCTCACAGGTTCACGCCATTCTCCTGCCTCAGCCTCCCAGGTAGCTGGGACTACAGGCGCCCGCCACCATGCCTGGCTAATTTTTTTGTATTTTTAGAAGAGACAGGATTTCACCGTGTTAGCCAGGATGGTCTTAATCTCCTGACCTCGTGATCCGCCCACCTGGGCCTCCCAGAGTGCCGGGATTACAAGCGTGAGCCACTGCGCCTGGCCAATTTTTTGTATTTTTAGTAGAGACGGGGTTTCATCTTGTTGGCCAGGCTGGTCTCAAACTCCTGACCTCAGGTGATCCAACCGCCTCAGCCTCCCAAAGTGTTGGGATTACAGGCGTGATCCACCACGCCCAGCCTTCATTTTACAGTCTTTTAAAATGGAAAAAGGGGGCTTGGCATAGTGGCTCACACCTGTAATCCCAGTACTCTAGGAGGCTGAGACACAAGTATTGCTTATGCTCAGGAGTTCGAGACCAGTCCTGGCAATATACTGAGACCCTGTCGCTACAAAAATTAAAAAATTATCCAGGTGTGGTGCTGTACACCTGTAGTCCTAGCTGGTTGGGAGGATAAGGTTGGAGGATCGCTTGAGCCTGGGAGTTCAAGGCTGCAGTGAGCCATGATCATGCCACTCCAGCACTGGCCAACAGGGCGAGACCTTGTCTCAAATAAATAAATAAAATGAAAAAGGAAAGCAAAAAAGAATGAATTATCAGCTACTAGTAATTCTCCTGAGACAGACCATGCTCTCTCATATGTCCATACAGTGCTCTTGCTATCCCCACTGGCTGAACAGCCCTTGCCATCTTTGTCTGTCTGGCTGCCTGTAGCTGATCCTTCAAGGCCCAGCTCAGGAATCTTCTCTTCCAGGTTGGGCTAAGAGTGTTCCTCTGAGCTCCCGTTACATGCCTATATTATCCTATCACATTGTATCACAAATCACCTATGTCTCAATTAAAAATTATTGGCTGGGCACAATTGTAATCCTAGCACTCTGGGAGGTGGAGGCGGGAGGATTGCTTGGGCCCTGGAATTTGAGACAGCTTGGGCAACATAGTGAGACCCTGTCTCTACAAAATATAAACGAAATTAGCTGGGTGTGGTGGCGTGTGCCTGTACTTGCAGCTATTTGGAAGGCTGAGGTGCAAGGCTGGGGTAGGAGGATCACTTGAGCCCAGAAGGTGAAGGCTGCAGTGAGCTGAGATAGCACTGCTGCACTCCAGCCTGGGCAACCAAAAAAAAAAAATTGTTGAAGGTAGAAATCATGTATTGTTTGTTCTTGAACCCCAGTGTCTACCTTGTATAGTACCTGTCACCCAGTAGAAACTCAGTAAATGTCGAATAATTCACGCCTATATATTTCCCACTATTCCGTGCTATTGATGCACAAAGAATGTAGGAATGGAAAGAATACTTTCTGTGGGTAGTGGGGGCACAGGTAGGGATAGGCGGGGTCAAGGAAGACTTCACAGAAGAGGTTACATTTGAATGGGACCTTGAAAGATGACTGGGATTTCATCTAGCTGAGAGGAGTGCAGGGAAGGGTTCATATGTGCTTCAGGCTCATGACCTTGGCCTCATGTGCATTGTACCTGGGTGGAACTTCTCAATTTAGTAGTGAAAGTCTGATTATGGAATGGATAAAGCATAAAACTAAAAATTCCACAGCCATAGATGGCTCTGTGACAGCACATCCAGAATTCTTATTTTTTCTCAGAATAGTGAGATTGGCATTTCGCATATTCGGTTGCTGTATCTTAGGAAATACAGGCACAGCCAGCCAGCACTTTGTATCAGTATTGTGGCCACTCGGGAGAATGGAACCCCCACTTGGGTCATTAAAAAATCAAGCTAGATATTGGGTTTCTAACTGACTGCAGTGTGGGTGAGGGGGTGGGGCATGCCATTGGGGAGCTCCAAGACTCCCACTCAGACTTCAATAAGAGCAGCTTCACATTTTTAAACATCAGTTTTACCTGTTCTACTTCCACGTAACATTTCATTTGAAGTGTTCTGCTAAGGAAAAAACAAAATTGAAGACTGCTTCCTAGAATCTTTTGCAAAATGTGGTATCTGTATGAATGTTGGATAATGATGGATATTGGGTCTGTCTTGGTAATCTGAGTGAGTGAAATTTAACTCTGAACAAGACACTTTGGTTTTTCCTAGTTCAGTATCACACTTCTGTTTTCAGAAGTTGGAGTAATTTTTAGCACTTGAAGAATAGATACTATCAAATTACTGATTGGAATTATATTTAAAATTTTCCTCTAAGCTTAAAACTTAGGGTATTTAGGCTGGGCACAGTGGCTCACGCCTGTAATCCCAGCACTTGAGGAGGCCAAGGCGGATCACTTGAGGTTGGGAGTTCGAGACCAGCCTGGCCAACATGGTGAAACCCCTTCTCTGTTAAAAATACAAAAATTAGCTGGGCCTGCGCCTGTATTTCTACTTGGGAGGCTGAGGCAGGAGAATCTCTTGAATCCAGGAGGCAGAGGTTGCAGTGAGCTGAGATTGTGCCATTGCATTCCAGCCTGGGCAACAGAGCAAGTCTCTGTCTAAAAAATAAAAAAAAAAAATTTGAAAATCAAAAACTTAGGGTATTTAGAATTAACACTTTTTTTTTTTTTTTTTTTGAGATGGAGTCTCACTCCGTTGCCCAGGCTGAAGTGAAGTGGTATGATCTTGGCTCACTGCAACCTTTGCCTCTTGGGCTCAAGCGATTCTCATGTATCAGCCTCCTGAGTAGCTGGGATTACAAGATGATGTGCCACCATGCCTGGTTAAATTTTATATTTTTAGTAGAGACAGGGTTTCACCATGTTGGCCAGGCTGATCTCAAACTCCTGGTCTTCAGTGATCCACCCGCCTCGGCCTCCCAAAGCATTGGGATTATAGGCATGAGCCACCGTGTCTGGCCTTAGGTATTTACACTCTTAAGTCATGTAATGTGGTTGAGGAGTATAAGGAAGAATCTCATTGTAACAACTCACATTTTTAGCTCACTTAATCCTTATGGTAACTTGATGGGGTAGATATTATCCCCACTTTACAGATGAGGAAACTAAGGCTGGGAGATTGTGACTTGCTGATGAGTACACGAGTATAAATAGAAAGAGCTGAGACTGATTCCAATTTTCTTTTTTTTTTTTTTTTTTGAGACGGAGTCTTGCTCTGTCACCCAGGCTGGAGTGCAGTGGCACAATCTCGGCTCACTGCAAGCTCCGCCTCCTGGGTTCATGCAATTCTCCTGCCTCAGCCTCCTGAGTAGCTGGGACTACAGGCGCCCACCAACACGCCTGGCTAATTTTTTGTATTTTTAGTAGAGATGGAGTTTCACCGTGTTAGCCAGGATGGTTGTGATCTCCTGACCTCGTGATCCGCCCACCTCAGCCTCCCAAAGTGCTGGGATTACAGGCATGAGCCACTGCGCCCAGCCCAGATTTTCTGGTTTGAAGTCAACTGCTCCTTCCATGTCTCAGTATAGTTCTAAGTCTGCCTCGGGCCTGAGGTGATGAGATAGTGGGGAAGCCTTCACACCACCTCACTTCCTCTTAAAACAGAGATCTTATTGTTACCAGTTTTATATGTTGAGGTTCTGTGTAAGATTTTTTCTTGAAAACCACTGTGCCACACTGAGCCTCTACTTCTACTATCACTATCCCCTTCACTTAAGGAGCAGGAAATCCTAGGTACTCTTGGTGACTCTTGGTGTAAGTTGATTGTTTTTTTTTTTTCCCCCTCCAGAATAGCTGGATGGTTAATAGATATTTTTCTTTTTTCTTTTCTTTTATTTCATTTTATTTATTATTATTATTTTTGAGATAGGCTGGAGTACAGTGGCATGATCTGGGCTCACTGCAACCTCTGCCTCCCAAGTTCAAGTGATTCTCATGCCTCAACCTCCTGAGTAGCTGGGATTACAGGTGTCCGCCACCACGCCCAGCTAATTTTTTTTTTTGAGATGGAGTCTCGCTGTCTCACCTAGGCTAGAGTGCAATGGCGCGATCTTGGCTCACTGCAACCTCTGTCTCCCAGGTTCACGCAATTCTTCTGCCTCAGCCTCCTGAGTAGCTGGGATTACAGGCGCCTGCCACCATGCCCATCTCATTTTTGTATTATTAGTAGAGATGGGGTTTCACCATGTTGGCCAGGCTGGTCTCAAACTCCTGACCTTAGGTGATCTGCCTCCCTTGGCCTCCCAAAGTGCTGGGATTATAGTCATGAGCCACCACGCCTGGCCTAATTTTTTTGTAATTTTATTAGAGGCAGGGTTTTGCCATATTGCCCATGCTGGTCTCAAACTTCTGGCCTCAAGTGATCTGCCCACCTTGGCCTCCCAAAGTGATGGGATTACAGGCATGAGCCACCATGCCTAGCCTTCTTTTATTTTTAACAGATATTTTTGAGCTTGGTTTGTTTTCCACACATAATGTTGCATATTTCTCTGTTTCAGCCTTCCAAACACAATTTTCCATTACCTAGACAAGCATGATACAGTATGGTTTTCATAGGAACTTAGCCATATTAGAACAGGGATCAAATAAAATCCTCAACCTGCAGAGTAGAAATGCTTGTCAGCCAATTTGAGTTCTTTGAGCTCAGGAGCGTCCCATAGTTGTTTAGGTCACAAACGATCAATATGCAAGGACTTGCTTCTTCCTTGATTAGAAGTCCTTATTGACTTAAATTTACCAGCAATTCAAAATATGCAGTTGATTGGTCTTATCCCCACTCTTCAGGTTGTACTGGGAAGGTGAGCTGCAGTTCACCCTGAAGGTGTGGTTTTGGCCTTTCAGGCTATTTTTTCCCCCTCAAATATGGACTAAGCATAAATGTAGTTTTGAAGCTAAAAATTAGAGCCTACTTTAAATAGTTCTCAAAAAAAGATTATCATTTGATTGGGCACAGTCTCTTATGCGTGCCTTCACCTTGCAAGAAGCTCAGATGGTAGGCCCGGGCGTGGTGGCTCATGCATGTAATCCCAGTACTTTGGGAGGCTGAGGTGGGCAGATCACCTGAGGTCAGGAGTTCAAGACCAGCCTGGCCAACATGATGAAACCCCGTCTCTACTAAAAATACAAAAAATGAGCCGGGCGTTGTGGCAGGCACCTGTAATCCCAGCTACTCAGGAGGCTGAGGCAGGAGAATCACTTGAACGCGGGAGGCAGAGGCTGCAGTGAGCTGAGATTGCGTGCCACTGCACTCCACCTGGGGGATAGAGCAAGACTCTGTCTCAAAAAAAAAAAAAAAAAAAAAAAAGCTCAGATGGTATATTTATTTGTATGCACCACTTTTCATTCCTAGTAAGAATGTGCCTGTGGCTTGGAATGACAATATAGAGGTAGTGTCAAATTGCTGTTATGTTTCTTTGGCTGCAAATTCTCCTTGCATTCCAGGGTTGAAAGTACGGAACTTTTCTTTTTCTAAAAAACAAGACATTGTGGAAAGAGACCACTGCTATGTTGTTTTTCAGAGAGGGCTTGAAAGTTTCAGCTTTTCACTTGGTTCCTGAGATGTAGATTTGAAGGATTGTAACCTAGAGCAGACTTTGAAAGTTATAGGTTACAAGCCGGGCATGGTGGCTAGAACACCTGTAATCCCAGCACTTCGGGAGGCCAAGGTGGGCGGATCACTTGAGGCCAGGAGTTTGAGACCAGCCTGGGCAACCTGGCAAATCCCCATCTCTACCAAAAATACAAAAATTAGTTTGGCATGGTGGTGCGCATCTGTAATCCCAGTTACTCGGGAGGCTAATACATGAGAATCGCTTGAGCCCAGGAGATGGAGGTTGCAGTGAGCCGAGATCACGCCACTGTACTGCAGCCTGGGTGACAGAGGGAAACTCTGTCTCCAAAAAAAGAAAAAAAAATTATAAGTTATAAAACATAAAGGAACCTTCCCACCTCTTAAAAGAAGTTGTATATCTCTGCTATGGCTTGTTGATAAGCTCAGGGCCCCTCAAAGATAACACAACTGATCATAGTTGTTCACTGTATTTTCAAGGCTCCATTGAGGAACTAATTTCCTATTTTTCATGTTAATTTTAGATACGTAGAACGTCCTCTGAACTCCCAATCTGTTTTTCAGAACCGTTTTATAAGGTACTTTTACAGAACAGCAAGAGGCTAAGGGCTATAGGCAAATGTGTAGTGTTTATTTTATTTGGAGTCTCGCTCCGTCACCCAGGATGGGGTGCAGTGGCTCGGTCTTGGCTCACTGCAACCTCCGCCTCCCGAGGTCAAGCAATTCTCCTGCCTCAACCTCCCCAGTAGCTGGGATTATAGGTGCCTGCCAGCACGCCTGTCTAATTTTTGTATTTTTAGTAGAGACGGGGTTTCCCCATGTTGCCCAGGCTGGAAATGTGTAGAAATATTATCTTTTCTTCCAGGCTTAATTTTTTGCATTACACCTTTCAGTTTTATTCAGCCTGTTTTGAGTCTCATGACTGTTCACGTCTGTCAAGAAGACTCTATTAGTTATAGAACATATGCAGGCTTCCTAAACTATGAAGAGTATTTCTCTGTCTCTAAGAGCAGTCATCTGCATATAGCCCAAACCGTCTTAGGGTATGTGTGTGTATATGTATGTGTTTGGGGGTTAGGGAACACGATCTTTAGTAGCCAGTTTTTGTGACCATTTACGTTACTTCTATGCACTAGTGACTTGGTTTCTTTGCTCTTTCCAGGTAAATATGCAGAGGACATTTTTGGAGAGCTCTTTACTCAGGCAAATACCTTTGCCTCTCGGGTAAGCTCCCTTGCTGAGAGGGTCGACCGACTACAGGTTAAAGTCACTCAGCTGGATCCCAAGGAAGAAGAAGGTAAGAAAGCTGAGCTCAGCATTTGCAGGCTCTGCTGAGCAGTTTTGTAGAATTTTTTTTCCCTGATTTATTTAAAAAAAAAAAAACGTGAGGAGAGAAATCACAGAGACCTATAGAGTTCTGCTTTGAAATCACACAAGCCTGAGTGCTGGAAAGAACCTTTTTAGCTCCACCACACCCCCATGCACTCCTTTCTCCCATTCCCCCAATTCCTTCTTTCTCAAATTTCCCCTCCCTCAATCGTATTTTGCTACCATAAAAGTACTTGGAAGATTCATTCCTCCTAAGGAGAGGCCTGCTAGATCTGGCCACATAGTAAACCTTTGTGTTGCCTCATTTTGTTCAGTCGTGAAACGACTGGGCTGCTGACAGCCTTGTGGGGCTTCCCCAGAGGGGGAGGGAAAAAAAAAGCCTGGCTGCGGACAGCCACAGCCAAGAAGTGCAGCAGCTGAGGCCTCTCCGACTGGTGTGACTCAGTGTTTGCTCAAATAGCCTGTCGTCCATTTTCTAACGCCTTCCATCTTCTCTCAGTGTCACTGCAAGGAATCAACACCCGAAAAGCCTTCAGAAGTTCCACCATTCAAGACCAGAAGCTTTTTGACAGAAACTCTCTCCCAGTGCCTGTCTTAGAAACATACAATACCTGTGATACTCCTCCCCCTCTCAACAATCTTACCCCTTACAGGTAATGGCTGGCTAGTTCCTCCCTTTTTCAACCTATGGTTTAATAACGCTAGATTTTTTTTTGTCTGAAGCGGTTGTTTCCATCAGAGGATTGTATCTAAAAGCTTACTGCCTACCCCAAAGTTGTGGTAGTTTCTGTGGCAGCAGAAACTAAAATTTACACCATAAAAATTGTCACTTATTATTGTTTGGTTTCTGAAATTCATAGTGAATATAATACATATTGAAAGTTTACTGTAACCATTGCATGCTACAGAGTTTAATTTCATATAAGCCAGGTCCATCTTGGATTCCATCCAAGGAATTTAGTTATTATAGAACCAAAAGGACTTTGTTACAAGGCGGTCCTACAGCATGGATCCCAGGGGCAACATTCTAGCAAGGCTCCCACTTACTTGGAAACCACTAGATTACCAGATGTTTGGGTGTGTTAGTGGGGCCAGCCTCTTGGCCTGGCTGCTCTGGGCCCAAAGGGGTCTTTCCAAAGCTTAAGGAGTAATTCGCATTCTTCCAAATGAGCATCGTTCACTTTGTTTTGAACATCCTTTGGACATTTCCTTCTGTAAGGACCTACTCTGCTGTGCCTGGACTTGAAAAAGAAGGTAGCCTTATAGACAAAGCCCCTCTCCTCTAGTGGTTTGGTAGTTTTGTCATCCTGCAAAAAACCACTGAAGAGGGGCAGAAGGTGAATATTTATCTTGCTTACACCCATATATATCTTTGGAGCAGGTAAAAAGTAATTACAGATAGCTGGAGGCAGATGTCTTCTATCAGACATGTGTACACTGCAAGGTAGAGTGTGTGTGTGTGTGTACCCACGTGAAATTCAAGGACACCAGTCAGATTCAGGGAGCCTTCTCACACAGATATAAAGTACATGGCATCTGTCCTTCATTTTACTTGTAAAATTATGTTTGCCCCTTGGCTTTCAAAGGGACCAGCATAGCAGGACAGAGGTTTGACTCTGCAGCCTCCGTTATTGAGTCTAGTTGGGTTTGGGCAGAGGGGTTGTGGGGCAGAAAGGGGTCATACAACTGATAATATTGTAGCGAGTATAACATAGGGTTTGTGTGGTGGGATTGCATAAACAAATGATATTAGGAGAATTTTATTCTTCAGTTAATGGTATTTTTCTTTTTAGCATACAGTGTCAGAATTAGCGTGGCCTCTCAGTTATCTGAACTTGGCCTAACAGAAATGAGTGGTGGTGTATCTAACTCAGGAGAAGATTTAATATAGAAATTATTAATGTTTGATTTGGAAGTGCTTTCTGTGTTGTGATAGGATTGGAGGGTAGGGAATAGAATTGCCTTTCCAGTTCTTTTTAGTTCAGAATAATGTTAAGATAAATGTTCACTCCTAAGCACATCCTTTCTGGATAGTGAGAGGACCTTATCCATGCCAAAATGCAAGATTCCAACTAGGACCATTGAATCTGGCAGATAGCCCTTATATGGACACTAAGTAGTTTACTCTGTCCCACTGGCACAGCCATTAATTAGAAGCTGGTGATTAAACCTTGTGGTCTTACAACAGCTGGCCATCTTTTCTCACTGGAGCCCTCTTGTGGTTGGGGTGTATGTGGATGCTGAGCTGTTCTAGAAGGGAGCAAGAAGGTGGAGTGCTGTGGTTGGTTTTCTGTGTGTGCAGAGAAATAACAGCTGTAAACCACACACTTTTCACGTATATATGTGTACATATGCATACACATGAACTCCCACATGTGCACACAGGTTTCCAGTGGGTGGGAAGCTACTGATGCTTTCTAGAGAGTCCTTGGGGAACTGGTGGGAAAAGAGGAACCAGTGGTAGAAATCCCCTCTGATGTACCAGGAAATCCGAATATCCTCAGGGAGATCTCTGTGGCCATGCAGATCATCAGAAGTAATCAGGATCCCTGCTGCTATCACCTGTACTTGCCCTGACAATGCAAATTCATCTACCAGGAATTGAAAGTAAGGCTAAGGTTCTTAAAAAGTCTGATAAGTAGAGAGGTGCCATTCGGGGGCATTGAAATGCTGGTATGGGAGAGGAGGTATGCAATCGATTCAAATGACTTCTTGATTCCTTGGTGTAAAAACTGCTAACTGGTAGGTGTTTGGAATATTGGATTTGGTTGGGAGCTCATCTGTCTACTGACAGCTACTTGTCTTCATTTCTATCCCAGGGACGATGGAAAAGAGGCACTCAAATTCTACACAGACCCTTCATACTTCTTTGATCTTTGGAAGGAGAAGATGCTGCAGGACACCAAGGATATCATGAAAGAGAAGAGAAAGCATAGGGTGAGGGGAAAGGGGCCTCTGTTCTCCACATCAGTAGGCACGATTGTGGAGGGGGATAAAAAGGAAGCCAGTGTTATGTGAAGTAATCATTTCAAGTGGCTGCTTGCTTGGATGCCAGGTGAAACTCTTAAAAAAATGTGTCCACACCAAGCACAACCAAGATGAAAGTATAAATCATACCAAAAATGTGTTTGTTCCCCCCAGTGCTATTAACAATTGAGTATATTCAGGCTGAGTTTTAGAAATTGACTTTTCTATTCACCATTTATTTCTCTTGCAATTTGCACCTGACTCTGCTGGACACTCAAGCTAGGCTAGTCCCTTCTCCACTAGTTTTGCAGCTCATTTCTCAGAGATCAGCACAAGGTTCTGCAGTGTTTGATTTGCAACAGGAGCAGTTTAATGCCTTCGCTACGGGCTGGGCGGGGCTAGGGTGGGGGGATATATGTAGGTTTTGAAGATTCTCCCTCCCCATAGACTCTTCCTGGTATGTATGTGACCTACCAGTTGCAACCTCAGTCCCATTAGCATGGCTGCCAGGAGGCCCAAGAGAGTGCCAGGGGCAAGAGCAGCTGCACAGGCGGAAAAATTCTTCATTGATTTTTGTTTTGTTTTGTTTTGTTTAAACTATTTCCTTATATGTGCCCCAGATAACTGCAGGTCTCATTACATCTCATCTCTCTTGACTGACCTTTGGGGCTGAGCAAATAATAAATAGCTGTTTACTAACATCTAGCAATTAGAGCTTTTCAAAAATGTGAATGAGTTATCCAAAGAGGAAGTGGGGTTCCCGTTGCTGGAGGCATTTGAGTGTGGGATTGAGCAAATGTTTCACCCGGGGATGGTTTGGATTAGATGGCCTCTGGGTCACTTCAAACCCAGTAATTCTGTAAGTTCTGTAGTTATTGTATGTTGTCTAGGCAGATTATCTCTTAGATACGCATCCATGAAGATGGGTAGAATTTTAATGAAGAACTTGGAAAATGTTCTACAAAGACCTTCCTGTTCCTTTTCATTATAGAAAGAAAAGAAAGATAATCCAAATCGAGGGAATGTAAACCCACGTAAAATCAAGACACGTAAGGAAGAGTGGGAGAAAATGAAGATGGGGCAAGAATTTGTGGAGTCCAAAGAAAAGCTGGGGACTTCTGGGTAGGTAATGCCTTTGTACTGTTGGTAGCATTCTTTGAAGGGGCTGGGGACAACAGTCTGACAGCTCTGGTGTGACACCTTTCACACCCCCTGAAGTCTGTCTCTGTGGCTTAGATCAATACCACTGTTAATCAGCTACTTTAAAGTGCATCCATCTGGTGATGAAAATTTGCTAAATAAATCAAGAGATTCAGCAATTTAAATGAGGTGATTGGAGTGGTCTGGAAAAGAAAGCCCATGGCTCCTAGTGCCCTTACTCTGCGAGATACACATCTAAGGGCCCCAGAGGAAAGATTGGAAAGGGAAGAAAAGTGGTCTTGGGAATCCTTTGCCTCCAGAGCATTGATTTGAAGGTCATGCCTAAGAACTGGGCATTTCACTCTCAGGGCTGGGGAGGGCTAGGCAAGAAAGCTGTTCACATCACCAAAGCAACTTTTCAGTCAGCCTTTGTCAGTCATGGGAGAGAAGCTAGCCAAGGGACTGAATGCAGACCTCATAGACAGTGTGGGAAAGGTTGCTTGGCCAGTATTGAGGCTATATATCTCTGTGGAGAAATAAGAGGTGTCAGTCTGACCCCATTTCCCAATACCAAATCACACTGGAGGTTTAAAGGGGGAAAAAGATGGTTTTAAAGCTTGGTTTGATGCTTATCCTGGTGTCTGACCTGGTTGACATTCAAAGCCAAGTCACCATGACTGCTTGGCATGAATGTCGCCCTGGTTTTTTCTCTAAATACACTGCATCATGGCTGTCAGAGAACCATGCCAGCCCATGCTGGGTGTCTAGGAATGATAAAAGGAAAGAGTTGAGTTGTTCTTGCTTTTAGAAATAACTCTACCATGAAAATCTTGACTTTTAAAAATCTTGACACTTCTGACACTTGTTCTTCGTGGATTAAGAGATCTGCTTTAAAGAGTGATGAAGATGGTGAAAGGAAAAAATGAACCTTTTTCTCTACTGGGAAATCAGCCCTGAGGGTACCTTCATTACCTTCACCTCCCAGTAAAGGGGGACATTTTGTTCCACGGACCAATCCTGTTCAGACAGGCACTTGTCATAGGTTCAATGACTCTAAGGCCAGAAGCTTATGTGTTCAGAATGCCAGCTACCCATGTGTGTCTTCTTTTTGTGGAGTAGGAAGATGAGGATTTGCCTTCCATTTTCCTGTTGTCCAGGCGGTTTGGAGTTGGGGCTTCATGGTTAGTCTATCTGGACATGCCTGTTGGTGAACCTATAAAGAGACGTGCCAAGGCTCCAGGGCTCCAGGCCTTGGGGATTTTCCACATCAGAGCATCTTTTGATTCAGTTAGTTTTCTCCAACTCTGTTCTCCCTGAGGTCTGTTTTAGATGAGTTCTTTAGACCCCAACAATGGTGGAAAGAGGGGGAGGTGGAGCAGAGCAGGCCAGATTTTGCTAGCTGATGCTTGGTGTATTTGTGCTTGTTTGAAGTTTTGTTGTTGTTCACCCAGAACAAATTCACCCAAGGCCCAGTGCACTGAGGGACAGGTTTTCATGAGACAAGCCCTAGCACGCTACTTTAATCGTCAGCTCATTTGGTTTGATAAGAGACCTGGCAGAAAGACCACATTTACTACCACATAGCACCCTGCATTCATCCTCAGCTTGATTTTGCAATCCAGTGCCTCCTTGGCCTTCGAGCTCTCCAGAGGCTTGCTGACCTCAAAATCAGTCTGTGTGCCAGTCACGTGTTTGCAGCTCACTAGCCTCTGAGACTTGGCTTCACATTTGTCACAGGACAGACTTTGGGATTCAGGTATATCTGCACCTGACACTGGGGAGAGAATTTAAAAGAACTGCTGGGTTTGACAAGGCCAACACTGGGCAAGGAACAGCATGGTTTTGATAATCTGGGTTGAATCCTGTTACTACAAACAATTCAGCATAAATATCTGGGATATATTTGACAATAGAATATTTAGTCTTAAAATAAAATTTCAGTGTAACAGAAAATATGTGGGAAATATACCTATTTTACTTCTCCCTAATAGCTTTTGTATCAAATGCATTTTTGTAGTACCTTTTAAGAAGAAAAAACCCACTCAGGCTCTTTAAATGACAGTTTTTGGCATTCGGTTCATTGTCAGGTATCCACCCACTTTGGTGTACCAGAATGGCAGCATTGGCTGTGTTGAAAACGTGGATGCAAGTAGCTATCCGCCACCACCACAGTCAGACTCTGCTTCTTCACCTTCTCCTTCCTTCTCCGAGGACAACTTGCCTCCTCCACCAGCAGAATTCAGGTAAATGGTGGTACCTACTCCATCCACTATTGGTAGTTATACACTTGAGAACAAAAGAATGGACCAGGAGCAGTGGCTCACGCCTGTAATCCCAGCTCTTTGGGAGGCCAAGGTGGTGGGAGGATCTCGTGAGGCCAAAAGTTCAAGACCAGTCTGGGTAACATAGCAAGACTTCATCCCTACTAAAAATCAAAAAAATTAGCCAAGCATGGTGGCAAACGCCTGTGGTCCCATCTACTCAGGAGACTGAGGTGGGAGGATCGCTTGAGCCTGGGAGGTTAAGGCTGCAGTGAGCCATGATCATGCCACTGCACTCTAGCCTGAGTGACAGAGCGAGACCAAAAACAAAAACAAACAAAAAGTTAAAACCCTAGGTCAAGACCACTAAAATAACTTCAAACAAGACTGTCTAGATAATAGAAATAATTAACACTGTATGTATATGTTGCTTAATTCTCATAGGAGTCCTCTTTTGAGGTAGGCACTGTTACTATCCCCATGTTACAATGAGTAAACTGAGGCACAGAGGGGTCAATGAAATGACCCAAAGGTCACAGCCAGTAAGGGCAGAGCCCTGATTGGTCAGTTGAACTCCAGAACCTATATTCTTAACTACTCCTGTTTTGCCTATACCGAAACAAATGGAAATCACCAGCTTCTTTCTTGTTTTTTCCTTAACTTTATTTTATTTACTTATTTATTTATTTTTGAGACGGAGTCTCACTCTGTCACCCAGGCTGGAGTGCAATGGCGCGATCTTGGCTAACTGCAAGCTCCGCCTCCCGGGTTCATGCCATTCTCTTGCCTTAGCTTCTCGAGTAGCTGGGACTACAGGCACCCACCACCACGCCCAGCTAATTTTTTGTATTTTTAGTAGAGACAGGGTTTCACCATGTTAGCCAGGATGGTCTCGATCTCCTGACCTCATGATCCGCCCACCTCGGCCTCCCAAAGTGCTGGGATTACAGGCATGAGCCACCATGCCCAGCCTTTTCCTTAGCTTTAACTCATCATGAAATGAAGTGGTACAATCTGCTGTCCATGATATAGTTAGCAGTTACCTTGCCCAGTTGTCTAGGAACCTAGCATAGAGTCACTTCCTCTTAGTGCTTCTGGTTAGTTTCACTGCTGTGTCAAATCTCCAGAAACAATGAAACAAAGGGAAAAGGGGGATGAAACTCCAAATTCGTCCATTTTGATATTTGTGCATGTCCCTGGCAGAGGTGTACAGTGGAAGTGTTAGGCAGTAATGACTGAAAAGAGATCTGAGAATTGTTCAGATTGCACTGTTTTCTCCGTTACTTTTGTCCTTTCTGATGCCTGATAAATGAGAGCTTTGAAAGGTGCACTTTTCTCCTTGGGTACTTCTTAATTAGAAATTGAGTATGTTGAGGACCCCTCGGATGGAGACCTAAAGCTGTGCTGTCCTCCTTCTCTCCCCTCATTCTTCTTGGCCCTAGAAACCATTAATCCCAAATCTCCTTCTGCTTCCCAAATCACTTCCTGCTGGTGGCCCTGTCAGATGCAGCTAAGGCTGGAAGGTCTGTGGAAAATTCCAAAATGGCTGCTTTTCTAAGGAGTAGCTGTTAGTGCAGGGTAGATACAAAGGTGGAAAAAGAAAACCTTCAGCTTCACACATGGCCTGAGACCTTGCAGCTGCAGCCGAGCAAATCTGATCCCAGGAGAGGTGTAGCTTTAATCCTCTTTCAGGCCTGGGTCAGGAGTCTGGTGGCACATTCATTTCCCATCTCTGCAGATTCTCGGATTGAGATTCATTCTCTCTCAAGATTTCCCCACATGAGCACTGAAGATGCATTCACCTAAATCTATATCCCACTCAGGTGTGGTCAGCCTGGCTTGGGTTTCCTGCCCTCTCCAATGCTGGTGAATGTTAATAGCCTGAGAAACAGAGCCTAGTGTGTGGGTGGTGTTTGAATTTTTATTCCAGTTCTTTCTTGCATGCACCCTTAAACTGGCTCCAGGATTAAACTAGCAACTGCCATGGACCA
This sequence comes from Homo sapiens, assembly GCF_000001405.40. Classification (NCBI taxonomy): domain Eukaryota; kingdom Metazoa; phylum Chordata; class Mammalia; order Primates; family Hominidae; genus Homo; species Homo sapiens. The sequence continues at coordinate 27,410,562 of NC_000001.11, read as the reverse complement.
TCCTTCTTAGGGAAGGGGAGGGAGGGTGCCTTCCCCTTAGAGCTGGAAAGGCAGAGGGGGCCGAAGAGATGTCTCAGCTAGCCTGTACCTGATAGAGGAATCTCAAGTCCACTTCTTGCAGGTAGTTTTACTCAATCTGTCTATCCTCCTCTACTGGTGGGAAGCTCATTACCTTAAAAGGCTGCTTATTTCATTATTGGTCTGTTATGACCATCTGTAGGCTTTTCTTTCTGTTTAAGTGAAAGTGAAATGGTATAGTCAACCAAGATAAACCTCGGTCTGTAGACAAGGCTAACTGTAGATAGGTGTCTGCATTCTAAGGGTGATGGTGAGTCTTTTTTTCTTTGGCCTTTTAGTTACCCAGTGGACAACCAAAGAGGATCTGGTTTGGCTGGACCCAAAAGATCCAGTGTGGTCAGCCCAAGCCATCCACCACCAGCTCCTCCTCTAGGCTCTCCACCAGGCCCTAAACCCGGGTTTGCTCCACCACCTGCCCCTCCGCCACCTCCGCCTCCAATGATAGGCATCCCACCTCCACCACCGCCTGTAGGATTTGGGTCTCCAGGGACGCCTCCACCACCCTCACCCCCATCTTTCCCACCTCACCCTGATTTTGCTGCCCCTCCACCTCCTCCTCCACCACCAGCAGCTGACTACCCAACTCTGCCACCACCTCCCTTGTCCCAGCCAACAGGAGGAGCACCTCCTCCTCCCCCTCCTCCTCCTCCTCCGGGGCCCCCTCCTCCCCCTTTCACTGGTGCAGATGGCCAGCCTGCTATACCACCACCGCTTTCTGATACCACCAAGCCCAAGTCCTCCTTGCCTGCCGTGAGCGATGCCCGTAGCGACCTGCTTTCAGCCATCCGTCAAGGTAAATTTCAATGGTGGGTTTGGGACTGTGGAGCCTTGTCTTTCTGAAGCTGGGATGACTGATTGGGGGATGGGTGAGGGGGTCCCTGTGCCCTTCCCAGGAAACGGCTTTCATTGGGTGGGGAGAGATTGGGACATTAGGCCTGGGAGCAGCCTGAGAAAAGGCTTCACCCTAAAAATATGGAGATTTAGATTTCTTTCCACCTTGGTTTAAAGTAAAGGATTCTTTTCTTTTCTTTTTTTTTTTTTTTTTTTTTTTTTTTTGTGGGGGACAGAGTCTGGCTCTTTTGCCCAGGCTGGAGTGCAGTGGCTCGATCTCGGCTCACTGCAAGCTCTGCCTCCCGGGTTCACGCCATTCTCCTGCCTCAGCCTCCGGAGTAGCTGGTACTACAGGCGCCTGCCACCACGCCCGGCTAATTTTTTTGTATTTTTAGTAGAGATGGAGTTTTACTTTGTTAGCCAGGATGGTCTTGATCTCCTGACCTTGTGATCCGCCCGCCTCGGCCTCCCAAAGTGCTGGGATTACAGGCGTGAGCCACCGCGCCCGGCCAAAGTAAAGGATTCTTAAGCTGGGATCTTTGAAGTCCTTGGAAATATATGCTTATGTGTGTTTGCATGCATTTTTTTTTCCTTGGGGAAGGATCCCCATTTTTCATCAGTTTCTCCGAAGGGTTTTGTGCCTTCGAAAAAAAACAAGAATCACTGTCCTAGTGGGTCCTTGTTCAACTGGACTCAGCAACTCCCCAGCCTTCTCCACTGCTCTGCCCTTCGTGTCTTCCTTCCTTGCCCCCTGCCCTCTTTCTAACTCCTTTTTTCTCCCATTTTCTTTTATCTCCTCTTTTCTCCTCTTCCCTCCCCTCCCCTTCCCTCCCCCTTCATCATCTCACCCTCCTGGAACATTGGAGCATTTATTCTATCAGGGGCCAGGTCTGGTCCCAAGGTGTTATCGTGGTTTGTTCTGTTTGTGATCCTCAAAAAACTTCTAATCTAGAGAGGACAGTCTATGGCAGCTGAGCCCCATTATAATTGATGGAATTGGGCAGGCTGAGGGTCTGCTAGATGGAATGTGGTGGCTGCTCCCCACTTCAAAGCCTTATGAGAAGTCCTCACCAGCCTGAAAGTGTGTAAACCAGAAAGGACAGCAGGCTGCCTTTCAGACACACCTGTGACATCAGGGCCATCAATTTCATAAACTCATCTTCTTCTGCTTTTCCATAACAACCTTCTTTTTCTCTATCCTTTCCAATACCACTTACCCATTGGTGGCCACTCCCTCTTACCCAGTTCCAGATGGATTCCAAGGCTGAGGACACGCCTTCCTCACCCTTCTGTCTCTTTGCCACTAGGTTTTCAGCTGCGCAGGGTTGAGGAGCAGCGGGAACAAGAGAAGCGGGATGTTGTGGGCAATGACGTGGCCACCATCTTGTCTCGTCGCATTGCTGTTGAGTACAGTGACTCAGAAGATGACTCCTCTGAATTTGATGAGGACGACTGGTCCGATTAACTCTTTCTGCCTGCTGCCCACCTTCTTTTTCTTTCCTTCCTACCTGCCTTCTTTGATGCCAACCCCAACAGACCCGTAGGGGGAGAAAAGGGAGGAAAAAAGTAATTTTAAGGGGCCAAAGCTTTCCCTGAAGCAACCAAAGATATATCCAAGTGCTTCCTCCAAGTCAACATGTATTTCCTCTCCCCATTTTCAGGCCCTGTGGGGCTCCTGAGGTTCAGTAGCTGGGATGTTCCCTCTTTCCTTCAAGTGCCTGTTGCATATTGAAAGGAAGGAGAAATCCCAAAGCAGATTCCTTTGATCGGGTTTCTGTTGGAGATGGGGCTTCCCTTAGGAGCCATATTCAACTACAGCCTTCTAAAACCTGTGCCCTCAGCCACTTCGAATGCCAGCCACCTTCTGGTTCTAAAACGGGGAGTGGTCTGAATGAACACAGCTGACCCCTTTCCCGCGCACTGAAAGGGCAGAGTAGGCCGAAGGGTCCAAGGGCCAGACTGCCTCACCCTCTGCCCTAATCAGCAGGGTGGGCCTGCCTTTTGCTAAGCGATCTCTATGCCTGGGATGCCCTTTATTCCAGGAGGCATCAAGCCTCTAAAGAATGTCTCACCTCCTCTGCCCAAAAATGATGCCTTTCTGTAGGCTGGTGTTGTTGCCTCCCTCCCAGGATCCCTTTGGTGAGTATGGTGTTCAGGATGCACCACCACCACCTCTAGATACCTTCAGGCAACACAGCCCAGTTTTAACCTCTAGTATCCATGACCAAACTATCCCTGACACATGAGGACAGGGGCCTCTTCTGGCTGTCAGGAGCAAAGCCTGAAGACTTGGAGCTGCAGGACTGGAAGAACAGTGGAGCCCCGTGGGTCTCACCCTTTAAGGATGCTGAGGCCTAGAGATGGGAAGTGACTTGCTCAAGGTCACACAATTGGATAGTGACATAGCTAGAGCGCAGAGTTCCTGATTCCAAGTCACCTGTGCTTTCTGGGACCAAAGAATGGGCACCTGCTGGAGTCCGGGCAGAGCTTTCTCAGTTGTATTGCTACTCCAGACCTCACCATAGGTTGGGGTCCCAGTAGGAAGGCTCAGGGTCTGTGCCAGCCCTGTCGGTGCTGCTCAGACCTTCATAGCCTCTCTTGTCATTCTTTGTTGCCCCTTTTCTGTCACCAGCCAACCACATAGCCTTGGGACCAGCCTCTCTGGGGGACCAGAAGTAGTGAGAGAAGGAAGGGGATAGGCAGCTTTGACAGGTGCTGCTTTCAATTCCTCTGCAACTCCTCCCCCTTTTATTTCCCCAATTTAAACAAAGATTCTGCCAACTGTGGAAACTTCAGTCCCTCAGGCTGGCAGCCATGCCAGTACCTGCCTGGGGGTGGGGGGTGCCTGGCAGCCATGAAGCAGGCTGAAAGGCAGAGGGGCTCCAGGTCCTGTTTCCAGCTCCCCTCACTGCACATGGTGAAGCTCGCTCCCTCCCTCCCTCCCTTCCCGCTTTTCCCAGAGCTAATACACAGGTGCTATTATTCAGAAAAAAACTGGTCAGCTCTAGCCAACAGTGAGGTTTCTTTTCTTCTGCCCTAACTATTGTGTAGCCTCTTATGCTGAAATCGGCTTCTGCTGGCTTCTCCGGCTTTCAGAGCCCTGAAACAAAGAGAAACAGGATCTGTCCCTACCCAGCACAGCAAATGGTTGTAGTAATTGCCAAAGCCCTCATAAAGCCCTCCGGCTTGAGGAGAGAGTGTATAGTCATGGGTTCTGCCTCTGTGCCCTTGCTGGCCGCTTCTCCTCTGCCTTCTTTCCTGGAACTCAGGGTGTGGGGACTGAGCCTGTAGGGGACAGCATGCCGTCTTGCTGTGGCCACTCCCAAGTGTGCCCTCTTCCCTCTTTACACATCAGGTGTCTCTGGCACAGGACTTGGCACTAAGCTCCATGCTGAGACACCAGGCTATGTGGGCCCCCACCTTGTTTCCCAGCCTGCACCTTAGAAGCCGAAGGTGCTTTCATCAGAACCCTAAAATGGTCGTTGAAGGCGCCTGGGCCGCAGCCCAGCAGTAGTTGGAGAGGCAGGCAGAGGGCAGTGGTTCTCCCAAATAGGAGACCTGGGGCCTGGCCAGGCCAGGGTTTGGGCCTAATGGCTTTGACTAAATTACCCCCATCCTCCTTGCCCGGAAAAGGGAGAGCTAGAGCCACTCACTGTCATTCTGCTCTGACCTTGAAGGGGGCGGTGTTGGCCTGGCTTCTGGAATGGACTGAGTCCATCGTGGAAAGGGCTGGGGGCAGGAGGAGGTGGGGAGGGGCACTGCCTGCGGAAGGTAGGATTAGATCATTAGCTCAGTGACCTCCTAGGGTTTCGATGTGCTATGTTCTCATCCTACAGTTGGTTTGGTAATGATCTGCAAGTCCCGGAGAGCAACAGCACAGCTCTGCCTGACGCTCTCATTAAAATCTATGCAGCCAAGCTCGGCACTTTGTAGCAGCCGGCCTTGCGAAGCCTCCTCAGCTCGGGGGGCCGGGGACCCAGTGAGCCGAGAGGCCCTCTGGGCTCCACTTATGCATATGCACCAAAAAAAAAAAAAAAAAAAAAAAAAAAAAAAAGGCTTCTTTAGACCCAGAGCCCTTTAAGATGATAAAGGACCCAATGCAGGTAATCCTGTTTTTGGACTCACGTAATGTAGAATGCAAAGTTTAGTGATTATTTAATCTGGGCCTAAGCTAGTGAGAGTATGGAACAATGGCCCATAAGGACTCCTAAGCGCCGAAGCCAAGGAGCCTCCTCCCTTCCTGGTTCACCCCGCCCAAGGGACCTGCCCCCATTCCTGTGGCCCTGGGGCCCAGCTTCCAATAGTGTCAGAAGCAACTTGTGGCTTTGCCTTGGTTGTGAGATGGGTACATTCCAAAGGAGCAGCCTGGGGGAGGGGGCAGGCTCAGCCAGCCCTTGGAGGCTCAGAGCAGCTGGCCCAGGCTCCAGCTCGCCTCCAGTGGAAGCCCGAGCGCCCTCAGAAACGACCCTGGCCAATGTCAACGCAGAGCCGAGGCGGTGTTGTCACGGCTAATGTGAAATCTCTTCCCGTGGCGCCCATCCTCTGACTCTGCAGTGCCAGCTTGGACAGATTGAGGTCTCTGTGGCTTTGGTGACCCTGCTTAAGCATTCCCACCGTGTCCCAGCTCTGCTCTAGGACTGCCTCCCACTGCGGCCCCTCACCTGACTTCAGGGTATGGGGAGGGAGGGAGCCAGTGCTCCAAGGCCAGGGGGCTTTGCTCATGAGAGATGTCAGGCTTCCTGGAGGCATCAGGCTTTGAGCCCTGCTGGGGTCCAACTGACCTGGGACCAGGTGTCGCGCAGAGATGTGCCTCATTCTGTGCCTCCTTCTGTGCCTCCTACCATGTTCCCTTTAACTGTGCCTCAGTGTGGGTTAGGGAACAATTTTGTTATTGTATTAAGTTTATTCAGTTAATTCACTTGAGGAACTAACCAGTTTTTACTTTCTGTCTAGAATGATGTACATGTAGTAGAGTAAGCCATAATGCTCCCAAAGTGCCTTGTTTTCTCTGATACAAACATATTTATAAGGACATATTCCTGTGGGTTCTTGGGTGTGTTTGCCACATCAAGATTTTAGGGAAGGGGGGTATATGTGTAGTAGGGATGCCGTTTGAAAACAGGCACTCTTCCCCTGAGGATGGGAAAGGAGCTCTTCAGTTGGAGATCTAGGCAGTGGGTTAAGCCAGACCCCTAAAGTGACCCTTTCCTCTTCTGCCCTATTCTTCTCAGACCCTCAGAAAGACATCCAATTTTTTTAAATCCCTGTAGCTCCAAGCCTGGTCTCATTTGCTTCCCTGCCAGGCTCATCGTGTGTATACCACATTTGTGCCCCACTGACCTGAAGGTTCCATGTAACTGTATACACATGAATACTTAAATGCCAACATTTAAAATAATTTGATAAAGTCTTTGTAGCCACTCAGCCACCTCTGGTGTTTGTGGTATTGTTTTAATGGGACAAGAGATTAGAAGGAAATGACACTAACAGCCACAGGTGGTGGCCAGAGCTCAGGAGGGGCTCCAGTGTGGGTGGGCCTAAAGGGCAGGAGGCTTTTGGGTGTGGAAAGTGCATTGTGTGCAGAGGTGGAGAAGGCTGGAAACCATTTCAGTTTAGGAGGAGACCCAGGTTGGAGGACCTGCAGACCCAGATACCCAGTCCCCTTCTCACCATGAGAAAGGGGGTGTGCTGGGGCCTCAGGAGACAATCTGCTGGCAACTGTTTGCATCAGGCAGGAGAGGAGTACAGGCTGAATGCTGATGCTGCGCCCAACATCTGGCCGGCATCTTGTCTGCCTCTCAGACCCAAGCAACTTACCTTAAATAGAACGATTTACAATGGAATCCGATAAAAGGTTTAGGCTGCTGCACGCCCCTTCTCCTGCCTGAGGAAGGCGAGGGGGCTGGGTTTGTATTCTGACCCAAAAAATGACCTACCCAGGAAGCAACGGTTGTTCCGAGCACAGCTGCTGCGGGTAACTGTCCCTGGGGGTAATTTATGAGCAGACACCCAGTTCCGGGCCCAGCAGACACAGTGTAGTGGCCCCCGGGAGAGGGGCGGGAGCAGAGTTGGTGACTGCGGGTCACGCCTGCTGTTCGGAGAGAGAGTCACCCACTGGCATCCCAGGAGAGGCGGCAGAAGTTTTGAATTGTCAGCAACTGCTGCGCCAGCCGCTCTGAGCTCATCGCTGGAGGTGGTGGTGCAGAGAAGGGGGCCGCGGAGCCAGTTCGCCCTTGCAGAGCCCCTTTGCTCCACCCGCCTGCTCAGGCCTGTGTTTAGTCAGCACTTGGCTTCCCTAGGCCGGTGACTGACAGGCAGCCAGACACCCGCCCTGGCAGAAGACAAAATGGTGGTTCGGGAGCCGCCCTTGCTAGGGAATTGGAGGGAAGGAATGTGGCTTTGGGAAGCAAGAGGCCTGAGCTTGAATTCTGGCCCTGCCACTCGGAAGCTGTGACCCTGTGCAAGTCGCTTCACCTCCTTGGGCTGATCCTGAGAAGAATAAGCATTTATTGAGCGCCCACTACCTGCCAAAGACTGCATATCTTTTATTTCATTCTTAAGAGGCAAGGGTCCCCCATTTTACACAGAAGAGAAACAGATTCACAGTTGCCTAAGATCACATAGCTGGCCAGGAACAGAACGTGGTTCAAACACAGGCCTCTCTCTAGCCAGAGCCCAATGCTCTGTTTACCATGCAACTGAAACGGCTTGAGTCTCCATCCAAAATCATTGAGGGCTTTAACGTTGTAGGGAGCCTGTTAAAGGTTTCCATTCTTACCTGCCCCACTCCCTGGTGCCCAGTTTTATAAGGGCAGTGAACGGTGATGGTCATTTTTGCTCTCGCTTTGAAATCAAGTGAGCTTGGCTGAGGGCCTGGCTATCCCAGACCTTTAGAGCAGGAAGTGCCTGCACCCTTGGCTACCTAAGAAGAAAGTGGGTTCCCTATAGGTATGGGCTGGGGCTTCACAGAGACACGTGAGTGGGCACATGAGGACCGGTGCACATATCGTGCACAGATCCCTGTTGTTTGCACAAGGACACAAACCAGCACATGATTTCAGGAACCCATAATCGCAGGCAGCCCTCACACATTCCTCGGGAGCCGCCCTCCCTACTTGCTGCCTCCACCAGTTCCTCACTGCCCCCTCCTGGCTGCCCAGTGGCCAGGGCAACCTGGCACCATTTCCTGGAAGTTCTGCTCGGGGCTAGTTGTCAACCAGTTCCCTCCTAGATCATGGGGCTGGGAGCAGTTTCAGGTGCTCCCACTGAACTGCCCCTCAGCCCCAGGAGGTGTGGGCGCTTAAAGGGTGCTCTTGAAGCTTAAGGACAAAAAGCCTTTCATGGGCCAGGCACGGTGGCCTACACCTGTAATCCCAGCACTTTGGGAGGCCAAGGTAGGTGGATCACTTGAAGTCAAGAGTTCAAGACCATCCTGGCCAACATGGTGAAACCCCGTCACTACTAAAAATACAAAAATTAGCCAGACTTGGTGGCGTGCGCCCGTGGTCTCAGCTACTTGGGAGGCTGGGGTACAAGAATCGCTTGAACCCGGGAGGTGGAGGCTGCAGTGAGCTGAGATTGTGCCACTACACTCCAGCCTGGGCAACAGAGCGGGACTTCATCTCAAATAAATAAATAAATAAATAAGCCTTTCACATCCAAAGGAATCTTTTATGGGAGAATTGCCAGTCCCTTGATGACAGGGAGAGTGGTTAATATTTGGGGCAAGGGGTCCTGCCTAGCTGCCTTCCCTGCCTTTACCTAAGAAGCTGTCCGTGCATGTCCACGGTATGCACACACGAGCTCACACTGCACACATCATTAAAAAGGAGCAGACTTCCTGGCTGAGAAGTCAGAGGTCAGATCTAGCTCCCACCTTGGGCCTCAGCTTCCTCACCTATTCAACAAAGAGTTGACTGTGATGATGTATGTAGCCCCTCCACTCTGGCGTTGCACCATCTTGGGAACTGATGCCGCTCCCAGAGTGTGTGTCTTGGAAGGATTACAAATACAACGCCTTTTGTTCTATTTTATAGATGAGGAAACAAGATACAGAGAGCCACAGCAACTTGCCTGAAGTCACACAGCAAGCTAGCAGCAGACATGGAAATAGAAACTTTTTTTCCAATGCCCTAGACTGCCTACAAGAGAGCAGAACACCTTGTGGGCTTGAGCCACAGCCAAGGAGACTGAAACTGCAAGGGAAGCCAGAATCTCTGGCCTTTTGTGTTGGAACCATGACAGGGTCCATGTGGCTGCCTGAAGGCTTAGGGGGAGTCCAGAGGAGGTCCCAGGACCTCTCCCCAGGAGGCTGGGGAGAGACAGGTTGGAACTTGAGTGGGTTCCATCACTCCCTATCCCCACCAGTAGACTGAGCAAACCTCAAGCTTTTATGTAAAGCCAGAGGCTAGCTAAAGAGGGTTCTCCCTAGCGTGCGGCCATTTGGTAGCTTGTTCATCAGGGCATATACACGCATGTGAGCGGTGTGCATGGATGGATGTGCATGCATATCTGGACTCCACATGTATAAATCATAATGTGGATAGTAGTTGGATGTTGGTGCATGCCTGCAAGCACACTTAGAACCTTCATGGGCATGTGTAATGTGTAAGTGTATGTGTTTGTGAGCCCATATACATGCAACTGCATTCGTGTGTTTGGATGTACATATATAAATGATGTCTGCATATCTGGCGGGTGACTATGAACATATGAAATTTTGCTTGCATGCATACTTGGTACATTTATGAGTGTACTTGGGTCTGTGCAGATGTTCACCTGTTAGTGTGCCAAGTGGGGTGGAATATGTCTGCACACATGGCTGGTGAGTGTGTGTAAATGTGCATGCAGGGCTGGCTTCAGGTGACTGTGTAGATAATGAATCATAGGAGTGCCCTCCCAAGAGAGTATGAAGCCAGTGTTCTGCCCAGCCCTGGAATAGGGGGTGCACTACCTGGCTCCAGCCAGTCACAATGCAGGGCTTGCAGTACCCCCACCCTCACCCTCAACATGCACAGTATTCCCTAGACCCATCCTGCTTGGCCAATTTGCAGCCTCTTGCTCCCAGCTCCTGAGAAGGCCTGCAGCAAAGTCAAGGGGCTGGTGGCCAATTAGCGAGGGGGTTAATCATGGATCGGAGGCCCCCCGGGGGGCGGGAAGCTGAAGGCAGGCATTGGGGTTGGCAGGGCCATGAGCTGCCTGTGATGACGCAAGGAGAGAGGGAAGACAAGGAGCGGAGGTTGAGCCAGCCCGTTGGTTCTGGAAACCGAGGGTCAGCCTGTAAATTCAGGATTGCTGAGCACTGCCAGCAGCGGGGAACATTTGCAAGTGTGTGTACGCTGTGTGTGAAAGGGCGTGCACATGCATTCATTCAAGTCCTTGAATCTGGTGCTGCATGCAAATGTGTATACATGACTATGGACATTATATGCAGTGCGGTTTTGTGTATATGTGGCTGTGCTAATGGGTTTAGGTATGCATACATGGTTGTTGTGCCTGTGTACACACACACAAGGGTGTGTACATGTGTGCAAGGGCATGTACATTGAAGTGTGTGCTTCAGCACTAAATATGCACAGAAAGTTGACATGGTCAGTGTACACATGTGCAGTGATGTATCTGTGTGCACAAGTGTGTGTGTGCTAGTGTGCAGGTGCATCTGGGTATACCTACATACATGTCTGCCTGTGTGTGTGTTCTCAGAACAGCCAGGTGCCTATACATGTGTGCCTGCATGTGACATGAGTGTGTGTCTGTGCACGCAGGTCTCAGCATGGAAGGAGCTGGGGGATGCGGGACTGGCGGTCTCCAGGCTCCAGGAGGGAATCTGACAGCCGAGCCTTGCCGCAGCCCCCAGCCCCGGGAGCCTGTTTTCCAGCCTGCGGAAGCTGTGAGCCCGTGAACTCATCTTATATTAATAGCTACTGTCTCCTCACTTATTGCAAGGAGAGGCGGACATGGCCCCGGCAGGGGCTTAGCACTCAGGGCTGCCCCCACACACCCACATAGGACCAAGGGAGGCGGGGAGGAGAGATGGGCTCCAGCCCCATCCCAGGGCCTACCCCAGCAGGAAGGTGGGGCTCTTGGCCCTAGCCTTGCCTCCCCCAATTCAGGGGGCCACGTCACCAGCTGACCTTCCTGGACCCCTGTAGTTGGGAGGGATCAGGCATGGGGGTTGGAAAGCTGTCAGAGGCAGAGAGGCTGGGAGGTGTGGCTACCCCTCCCCAATTACACACAAGCAAATGCGCGGGCGCGCGCGCACACACACACACACAAAGCATGCGGTGCTGAGCAGCTCCAGGCTGTGGGCACCAGAGGACTCTGAGGCTTGAAGGAGACACAGGAGGCCTCAGTCTGAGTGGGGAAGACACAGTCCTACCCTCAGGGATCCTCAATCTGAGGCAAAAGACATGACCCTGTTCTCAAGAGGCCCCCAGCCTAAGGGAGGAGACAGCTCTGCTCTCAGAAGTTCCCAGCCTGAGGGGAGAGACATGACTTTGTATTCAGGAGCCCCTAGTTCTGAGGAGAGAGAAAGATCTGCCTTCAGGAGCCTTCGGTTTGAGCAGACAGACATCCCTTCTCTCAGGAACCCTCAACTGGAGGAAGGACACACAGCCCTGTCTTCATTCTGAGGAGGGAGGGAAGACTTCTCTACAAATATTTACTCAGGGGAGGTGTAGTAAGGCATATTGTATGGATCACATTCTCACAGCTACAAAAGGGCTCAGGCAGGGAGGCTTCCTGGAGGAAGCATGGAGTGGAGGTACTGGGAAGAAGTGCTAAGCTGATCTGCAGAATCCTGGGAGGAGGGAAAAGCCAGCCAGCCCCACCACACACACAGGAACCAACCTGAGGGACAGATTCAAACACCCCTCAAGGTAGGCCCAGGACCCAAAGCAGAGACCCCAGATCCAGTCTGCCAGAAACACCTCAGCTCCAGCCCACAGCCACCCCCAGAGAGACAGAGGAAGCCCCTCAGTGCAGGGGCCCGACACAGGCCCTCCCAGACACAAGGATGGCGGCAGGTCCCTTCTTGGGCCCTGGAGCTGGAAGCTGGGCTGGGGAAGCAAAGGGCTGAGACTCACCCAGGGTAGGACGGGCACCTGGCCTCTCTCCTCTGGACCTTGGTGGGGCTCCTCAGGAGCATGATGGTGGAGGCAGCAACAAGGCCCTGCCCTGTGCTGTGCCTCCAGAGGTCTGGGTTTAACCTGGAGACCCCCTGCTTTCCCCCAGCCTGGGGATTTACCCCAGTTTCCTTGCTTGATGTTTCTGGGTTGTTCCTGAAACACGCTCCCTCATCCAGGAAAGAAAGAGATTTAGAGTCAAATGGGCCTGGGTTCAAATCCCAGCTCAACTCCTTACCAACCCTCTGACTTTGGACCAATCCAATGTCACCTCTCAGGGAGGCTTTTCCTGGGCACCCTAATTTAAAAATTACTCACACCCTCCCCATCCTTCTTCCCCTGCTCTTTCTCTGAGGACTTACCACTGTGTAATATTACATTTTGGGAAAAACTTTGTATTACTATTTCCCCCAGCTAGAATTTAAGCTGTCCACAAGGACAGCAGTGAATGAATGAAGGCCCATTACTCTTGGAGCCTCAACTTCTTCTTTTGTAAAATGGGGAGGAGCAATGGTACCCATTTGACAAAGCCACGGTGATGGTATGGAATGTTTGGCGTGGGGGAGGGGCCTGCTGAGTAGGGACTTTTCCCAGGGACCTGTCAGGAGGGTGGGGATAGAATAAAGCTTGGCCTGACCTGGTGCGGCCTCCCTGCTTTGTGCCTGGGCCTATTGGCATGACGACTCTCCTCAGACTACTGGGAGGGATTTTTTTGGTTGGGGGGTGGGGACGGAATCTCACTCTGTTGCCCAGGCTGGAGTGCAATGGCGCGATCTTGGCTCACAGCTCACTGCAACCTCTGCCTCCCGGGCTCAAGCGATTCTCCTGACTCAGCCTCCCAAGTAGCTGGGATTATAGGCTCCACATCCGGCTAATTTTTTGTATTTTTAGTAGAGACAGGGTTTCATCATGTTGACCAGGCTGGTCTCGAACTCCTGACTCAGGTGATCTGCCCGCCTCGGCCTCCCAAAGTGCTGGGATTACGGGCGTAAGCCACCACACCTGGCCAAGGGAGGGATCTTTACACCAGACAAAAGGGCTCTAACTCTGCCAGGGAAATGGAGAAAGGCCTGTGTCCTAGCCTGGCACAGCTGTGCGAGTTTGAGCAAATGGTTGCTCCTCTTTGGGCCTCGGGCTCCTGTCTGTATGTGGAGGGGTGAGCCAGAAATGCTCCAAGAGCCCCACCTCCAAGCTTTGCCCAAAAATAAGGCTTGGGAAGCTGGGAGGCTTGGCCAATCAAAGCTTCCTCTTCAGCCACACCCCAAACCTGCTGCTGCCCTGGCCTGATAGACACATTCTTTCTGGGGTCAGCTTCCTCTCCTCAAGTACCCAAACTCTGGGTCCTGCACACATATGTCCCCAAAGGCACACACTGATAGTCACTCACCTTTGCGTAGAAAAGCTCTTCTGACTCCAAAATGACCAGACCCCCTCCGACCACTTCCCAAATGTGGCCCTAAAAATGAACCCCAAAATAAATCAGGGTCCAGCTGGGTGCGGTGGCTCACGCCTGTAATCCCAGCACTTTGGGAGGCTGAGGCGGACGGATCACCTGAGGTCGGGAGTTCGAGACCAGCCTGGCCAGCATGGTGAAACCCCAGTCTCTACTAAAAATACAAAAATTAGCCAGGCGTGGTGGCAGGTGCCTGTAATCCCAGCTACTTGGGAAGCTGAGGCAGGAGAATCGCTTGAACCCAGGAGGCGGAGGTTGCAGTGAGCCGAGACCACGCTATTGCACTCCAGTCTGGGCAACAGAGCAAGACTCTGTCTCAAAAAAAAAAAAAAAAAAAAATCAGGGTCCAGAATGTCCTAAGCTCCAGGCTTGGGAAGGAAGGAAATCACTCACTACACAGCACAGATTCTGGAAACAGATGTTCCTGGCTCTACCATTTTTTAGCTGTATGGCCTTGGGCCAGCTGCTGTCCCTCACTCAGCCTCAGCTCCCTCGTTTGTAAAATGGAGAAGACACTACCGGTGCCATGGGATGCTTATTAGGCATAAGCGAGGTAGCATGTGTGCCAGACACACAGTAGGCACCCATGATTAGAAGGACCTATTATTGGCCAGACGCGTTGGCTCACGCCTGTAATCCCAGCACTTTGGGAGGCTGAGACGGGTGGATCACGAGGTCAGGAGATCGAGACCATCCTGGCTTACACAGTGAAACCCCGTCTCTACTAAAAATACAAAAAAAATTAGCCGGGCGTGATGGTGGGCGCCTGTAGTCCCAGCTACTCGGGAGGCTGAGGCAGGAGAATGGCGTGAACCCGGGAGGTGGAGCTTGCAGTGAGCCGAGATCACGCCACTGCACTCCAGCCTGGGGGACAGAGCGAGACTCTGTCTCAAAAAAAAAAAAAAAAAAAAAAAAAGTAGGACCTATTATTATTAAGGAAACTGACATGCTTTGAGCATATTCATCATGTCTAAGCCCCACAGTGGCCGGTGTGGGCAGGATGTGAGCATCCTTGACCCAGGAAGAGCCAAGCACCCAGGTTCCTGTCACCAGGAGGAGGTAAGGTCCTTGCCAGTCAGTGCCCAGGTCTGAGCAGAGGGGCACTGACATCTGAGAAGGAGTCACCTGCCAGCCACCCTCCACCCTCTGTCCAGCTCCCCAGATCCCCCAACAGGCCCCCCAGGCCTGGCTTGACCCTCTCATTCCAGGCCATCCCCCATCAGGCCCCACTCCATACCCTCCACACACACATAGGGAAACATATTTATGACAAAATCATTTTTTATTGAGTTGGGTTGGAGACGGGAACAGGGAATGCACTGGGGGCCATACCCCGGTTGGCAGAGGGGTGGGGTGTTGGCTCGTGCCCCCCCTCCTTTAGGGCACCGCAGGGTGAGGCTTGGCCCCCAGGCCATGGCTGTGGCCCTGGACGCCAGGCTGGAGTGGAGCTGGGGTTGCATTCTGGTCCCAGCTGCCTGGCCGGGCTGCAGTTTTCCCCAAATGGCCACCAGAGGGCAGTCGGACCCCAGCGCAGAGGAATTTTTGGTTGCTCAGGTGATGGCTTCTTAAAAAAATAAAAAACCAGAGGCTGGTGTGTTCCCCTTCCAAACCCGAGGAGGGCAGGCCTGGGGAGAAGGCTCTGGTTTCTATGATCTCTTCGATAAAAAATAATCCAAAATAATAACAAAATACGTGGTTTCTCTTTCACCCTTTCCCCCCTCCAGGAACTGAGGTCAGAAATGGGGGTGAAGGGACAAGGGATACCCTGGTATGGCCTGGATATCAAGGTGTGGGCCTCTTTTTTGCCCCTTACCACCCATAAGTAAATTTATAAATAAATAAATCAATCATAAATAGACACTGTCTTTGTATATGTGCATATATAATCTTTCTCTCTCCTATTTAGGCAACTATGTGACTAATCTCTCTGACTCTTTAGCTCAGAAATTCAAACATAAAGTGACATGGTCAAGGTCAAGTTTGGGGGAAGAGGGACATCTGGGACTTGGAATGGCACTGTAAAACTCCCAGCATTCTGGAATTGCAACCCAGCTGGGCTGTGAGACATTTCTGAGTAGAACACTGACCACCTGAACATTCTGGAACCGTGGAGCCAGCTGGGCCCCCATAGGGATCTGAACAGAACCTTGAAACACCCAATGTCCTAGAACTCCAGAACCAGCTGGGTCTGGGGGGTGTGGAGCTGGGGGTTTGGAAAGAAGCCCTGGAGAGCCTAACATTCTGGAATTCTGTAGTAATCAGGGTTGAAGGGTCATGAAGACTCAGCTAGACATCACTGGGGGAGCGGGATCGGAAGGGGATCTTGGAAGAGGAACAGCAGCAGCAGACAGCCCACAGCACTTTCTGCACATCCTGGTTGCGGAAGGCGTAGATGATAGGGTTGATCATGGAGTTGTAGGTGGCAGGGAGCAAGGTAAGATAGGTGTAGAGAGGTGGAGAGTGGGCATCACCCAGCAGGCAGTAGACAGTGAAGGGCAACCAGCAGGCGGCAAAGGCTCCAAGCACCACGGCCAGTGTGGCAATGCCCTTGCGGGTGGCCACATAGTGGGAGGCAGGCAGCAGGTGCCGCTGAAGGGCAATCTGCTGGGCATGGCGGCAGACGATGCGGCAGATTTGGGCGTAGAGCTGCAGCATGATGCCAAACACCATGAAGAAGGCAATGGCCAGAACTACCAGATGGTTCTTGGAGAGTGGATAAACCACGCCACATGTGGTCAGGCCATCCAGGCAGTTCCAGGCCAGCACAGGCAGCAGCCCCAGGCCCAGGGCACCTCCCCACACTAAGGCCAGCATCACATAGGTCCGTGTCACTGTTGTCTCTGAATAGTAGGTGAGGGCATTGTACAGAGAAAGGTAGCGGTCGACAGTGATGGCCAGTAGACTGCCGATGCTGGCGGTAAAGGCCATTGCCAGCACGCCAACCAGCACCAGGCTCATCTCCGCTGAGCCGATGCAGAAGACAGCAGCAAAGTGCAGGACCAGGCCCAGGCCTGCCAGCAGGTCTGCCACGGCCAGGCTGCCCACCAGCAGGAACATGGGGGCACGGAAGGCAGGAGTGCCCACGATGATGGCCACCACTAGCGCATTCTCGCAGGACACCAGGGTGCCTGAGATGCAGAGCACCACATCCCAGGCCTTAGGCGAGGGCAGTGGTGCGGCTGGACCTGTGGGCCCCTCTGCTGGGCCCACGCTGCTTACATTCACGTTGCCTGAGCCAGCTGAGAGCCAGGCCAGAGGGCTGCCTGCACCCCACATCATGGTACCTGCAGGAGAAAGGCCTTGTGAGAAGCTGACCAAGCTGGGTGATGGGAGTTGGGGTCTGGAGGGGGTGAGGTGCTTCTCAGGATACGTGGTGGGAGTCTCTCCTCAGGATACCTGATAGGGTCCCAATGCCTTATCCCCACATTCATGCCCTGGGGCTCTTCCCAGGATACCGCTGTCCCCTCCAATGCCCCCAGGCCTCTAAACAGGGGTCTCTTCCTGGGGATCCCTGTCCTAGGTCCTGCAGGTCTCTTTTTCCCACGTGTGTGACCAGAGGAGAGACAGAAGAAGGGGTACTATAAGTGGAAGAGGGCCATAGGATCCAGGGGATGCCCCCGAAGGCTCAAGATTGGGGTAGGGAAACATCTACCCCATCAGGGAGACTGAGCAGCTCCGCTCCCTCCCATCAGAGATGATGATGCTAGCTCGTGCCTGAGGCTCCCAGACCCCTCACGATTTTCAGTACTGCCAGCCTTAGACTCCGCCCCCAGGGAATGCGCGTGAAGCTCCCGCCAGCCATCACCCCGCACTCCCGCGGTAACACCTGGGAACTCAGCCCCCCACCCCCCACCCTCCCAGACTTCTGTTCCTGGCTGGACCCTTCTTTCCGCCTGAATCTCTAGGTCTCTGGGCAGACCCCCCTGCTGGAAGACTGGATCCCTGAGTCAGATGCCTCCTTCTGCCCGGACACCTGGATTTTGGGCCTGACTCTGCCTCCTGCCTGGATACCTGGATTCCTAAATTGGACACCTCCTGCTGTTCGGACCCCTGGGTCCCTGCCCCAGACGCCTCCTGCCGGCTTAACCTCAGATGACCATCAGTCCCTCCAGGGCCTCGGGTCCCTGCAGGAATGCTTACCCTTCGCCGGGTCATCCAACTCAACCCCAGCACTCGAGCACTTGGGCCCAAGCCTGCTAACCCAGAATCGCCTAAACCCAGAATTCCCACCTCGAACTCGAACCCCGGCCGGCCACTAGGAGCCTTCCGCCGGCCCAGTGCCCCAGCATCCTGCGTGCCCTTCAGGACCCCTGGTGCCCGCGGCGGGGCCCGCTACTCACCGCTCAGGACCAGGCGCGGCCGGGCCGCGGGGAGGCTCCGCTCGGGTCCTGGCGGCGCAGGGCGTGCGTGGACCCCGAGAAGCCCCCGCGGCCGCGGGAGAAGCGGCGTGAGTCACCCCGCCCCGCCCCCGGCCACCGGTTCGGTGACGTCAGCGGTCCGATCAGCCAATGGGCGCGGCGCGCTGGGGCGCAGCGCGCGTTGCGCGGCATAGTAATAAGGCCTCGCACCGCCCGCTCCCCCATTCATAAAAAGCGACCGTGGCTGCGGCCCCGCCCCCTCCCGAGTCCGCCCGCGCTGTCCTTGACGCGGCGCCCTCTGCGGGCCGGGGGTTTCAGAGGCGCCGGTGCGAGAGCCTTGAAGTCTCAGAGAGGCTGCAGGGAACGTGGTGGAAGAGTGGAAAGGGGGCCCGGCTAGGCTGTGGGGTGATGGGACCCTTGGGTGGCAGAGAGGCTGACGAGATCCAGGTGACGAAGGAAGAGCTTGTGATGGGGCTGGTTGGGCTTCCCTGGTGAGAATGACAGGGTTTCCAAGATGATGGGGCCCTGAGGTGACGATGACAGGGAGCACGAGGGAGCGGGGAGGTGGGTGGCAGTGACGACATTAGCATGGTGACAGAATCTTGGGGTGGGGGGTGATGGCCGTGGGACGCTAACGGTAGAGGGGAAGCCCTCAGGGCAACCATGGCAGTGTCAGGGTGACTATGCAGCAGGGGGGAGTTCAGGGACCCCGGGATGGCAGAGGCAGCGGCCTGGGAACATGGAGTGTCCAGGTGACTTCAGGTCACCATTACCCTGTCAGAATGGCTGGGGTACTGAAGCGACAATGCTAAGCCATGAGGACTGTGGGGCCCTGGAACGAAGATAGCAGGTGGCTGTGGTGAGTGGGCTCCAGGGTGAGGGGCACAGGGTAGAGGGTCTGGACTGACAGTGACCAGGCAGGTAAGTTGCTGCCAGGGCAAGTCCCGTGATGCCGGGGCTGGGATAAGAGCTGGGTGACGTCACTCATGTCAGCCCAATAGCGCCCTCACAGCACCGGAGGGGTGGGCCTGGCAAGATTTCAAAACCTGAATTATTTATTCCAGTATCTAGAAAGCCAGCGTGGAGGGGGTGAGGGGTGCACTTCCCTGAAGCAGGAGGAGATGGGGAGCCGGGAAGAACTTGGAAGCAGAAAGCCTGGCAGCTCAGTCCTCAGGGCAGGCCCCTCTCAGCCTCCTATTTTAGGCATCCTGATGGGTGGAGCAAGGAGAAAGAGCTCCCTCTTCCCCAACGCCATCTGCCCTTAGTCCAGGGGAACCACTCTGGGCAGACTTCTCCAGATGTGACAGATGTGGCCAGTCCTGCGGCAGGGGGACTGGCTGCTCCTTCTCCCTGTGTCTCTTGCCTTGATGCTCCCTGGAATCATGCAGGCCTGTGGGAGGGGAAGATGAGGTTAAGAGGCCTGAGGATCCCAGGCCCCACTGGACACCCCCATCACAGCACCATCACTGCAGCCCCCATGGTCAGCCTCCACCAGGCAGGTTTTGGGTTTGAGTGTGAGGCAGCAGAAGGTCAAGTGGCAGGGAACATGGGAGGAGGAGGGGGTCGGAGCTGGAGAAGAGGATTCATTTCAGGTTGGATGTGGTGAGTTTAGGGGGCTTAGGGGGTGGAAGTGTCCAATCTCAGTTTCTCCATTTCCTAGCTGGGTGACTTTGGAGAGTTTCTTCAGCTCTCTGTGCCTATTTCCTCATCTAAAACACAGGGATAATATTAGTACCGGCCTCATGGGGTTGTTGAGTGGGTTCTACTTGCCATTGGCCATCAATGTTACAGCTGGATAATGAGGGACACCTGGGAGGTGTAGGCATGCAGGTGGCAACTGATGTTTTAGGGGTAAATAATGTCACCCAGGGGCGGGAGCAGAGAGTGAGGAGTGGCTTCAGGGGCTCCTCCTCCTGGGCTCTTGCACCTGACCCCTCTGACAACAACCCTTCTCTTCATCCAGGTCTCTGCTCCCGAATTACTTCTGAAACAGGCTGCTCTGAACTCTCAGATCGCCACTGGCCTCCCCATCACTCTCCCTCCCCTTCTCTTGATTTATTCATTTTTGGAGGATGAAGCACTCTTGAAATTATAAATGAATTCATGTTTGTTTGTTTTACTACATGTCAGCCCCACTAGAATCTAAGCTCCAAGAGGATACTGACTATGTCCCATTTCTGCTAGAGAACAGTGCCTGATATGTAATGGGTATTGAAGAAATAATCATGGACTGGATGATTGACCTAAAAGGGAACAACCAGAGGAAAAAAGGAAAACAGAGAGAATAGTAATATGCCTGGTGCCCAGGAAGGTGGGGGTGTCAGAGAGAGGATCCAAGGGCATCAGGGCCCCAAGACTCAGGGTCAGGGATCCATTTACTCCCCCATCAGAGCTGGGTCCCTACAGAGTTCTGGTCTCTGCGATGGGTGAAGGCTGCTGGGAGGTTGGCATCAAAGGGGGGTATCAGGGACTATCTTCTACTACTCTGAATGGCAATTATATATTTTTTAAGTTTTCGTAGCTTATTGATCCTCTGGTGAAAAATCTTCACCATTGCTGCAGATAAAGCCATTCCTGTTTGCCAGCACCAGCACCACACTCTTGTGACTCCCTGGCTGTCGTCATTCTGTTCTTGAGTTCCTTTAGCTGTTTTCTTGAGGTCTTTTTCTTTTATGTCTTGCAAGTCTGTGTTTGGATTAATTTTTCTTTGCATAATCCAAGGAATCATAAATCATAACCAAGCCAGTTGTCTTAACACCACCAAAATGGGTTCTGTCTTTTTTTTTCGTTTGTTTGTTTTTTGAGACAGGATCTCAGTCTGTCACCCAGGCTGGAGTGTAGTGGTGCAATCAATGCTCACTGTAGCCTCAACCTCTTGGACTCAAGCAATCCTCCCATCTCAGCCTCCACAGTAACTGGGATTACAAGCACGTGTCACCACGCCTGGCTAAGGCGTGTAATTTTTGTAGAGACAGGGTTTCGCCACATTGCCCAGGCTGGTCTTGAACTCGTAGGTTCAAGTGATCTGCCCACCTTGGCCTCCCAAAGTGCTGGGATTACAGGCATGAGCCACTGTGCCCAGCCCAAAATGGGTTCTAAATACAAAGATGAAATCCAGAGTGGTCTTCTACTTTTTGACTAGTTTTCTGTCTTAGGTATTGTTGTCTTCCCAGGGTGAAGGACACGGAAGACCATCATTTCCACTGAAGTATTGGTCATGAACTTCCTGATCCTGATAGTTATCCTGTTGTTTGCAAGGGAAGTTGATCCTAAGGCAGCCAGAGAGGAAAAGAGAGTGCAGTGACATTTCTTTTCTTTCCTTTTTTTTTTTTTTCCGAGACAGTTTTATTCTTGTTGCCCAGGCTGGAGTGCAGTGGTGCAATCTCGGCTCACTGAAACCTCTGCCTCCTGGGTTCAAGCGATTCTCCTGCCTCAGCCTCCCAAGTAGCTGGGATTACAGGTGCCCGCCACCATGCCCAGCTTTTTTTTTTTTTTTTTTTTTTGTATTTTTAGTAGAGACAGGGTTTTACCATATTGGTCAGGATGGTCTTGAACTCCTGACCTCAGGTGATCCACCCTGCTCAGCCTCCCAAAGTGCTGGGATTACAGGTATGAACCACCGCACCCGGCATGCAGTGACATTTCTAACCCCGAGAAACCCAGGAGAGCCAAGAGACTAAAGGGGGGCTATGGGTTTTCACGTGAACCTCATGTGCTCTCCCTCACGCACCAAAAGTGCTCATACCAATCAGGTCTCCATTCCCCGCATACTTGCTCTCTAAAGGAAGAGATAGTTCCTTCTCTCCTATTCTCCTCATGCCCTCTGTCCCTACCTCCTTGACACCTCCTCCAACCCTTCCCACCTACCAGGTGCCCAGCCAGAGCCCAAGGCTTACAACAACCTGCAAAAGTGAGGGACCATGTCTCCATTTCTTGGGTGAAGCCCAGGAAAGCCAAGGGACTTGCCCCAAATCACATAGTAAATGGCAGAGCTGGGATCTGAAGCCAGGTCCATCTGTCACCAAGTCCAGTGTGCCTTCCATTCTGGCCTAGATGTCACCTTCTTCCCAGAAGGGGCTGAGGCTAAAGTTTGACTAGGGCTGACAATACCTGCAGTTCTCCAGGTGGCCACCAGATGGCTGTGAGGACTCACTTCCAGGTGAGACTTTTATCCTTGCCTCTTCTGTCTTCACCAGTTGGAGAAATCCCTTGGGGAGGGAGGAATTGGCGGGGAGGGGGTGTTCGTGCGTGTGTGCTTGTGTGTGTGTGTGTGTGTCAGTCATAGATAATCCCCACACCTGAGTCCCTTGTCTAAGACCCAAGGGTCTAGGCATCATCAGTGCCCATATTCTTAGCATAGACCCATTCATTCAGCCATTATTTACTGGCAGTTCCCCTGGGCTTAGGGTTTGTTCAGTGGGTGCTAGGGACAGAAAGATGATCTGGCCAAATTCCTGCCTTTTCAACAGTCAATAGACACATTTATTGAGCATCTTCTATTTCCCGGGTACAGAGAATACAGCAGTGAACAAAAATCCCTGCCATCTTCAATGAGCTTCAGTTTTATTAATTAATTTATTTAGTTAGTTATTTTGAGACATAGTCTTGCTCTGTTGCCCAGGCTGGAGTGCAGTGGTGCAATCTCAGCTCACTGCAACCTCCGCCTCCCGGGTTCAAGCGATTCTCCTGCCTCAGCCTCCCGAGTAGCTGGGACTACAGATGCATGCCACCACGCCTGGCTAATTTTTGTATTTTTTAGTAAAGACAGGGTTTCACCATGTTGGCCAGGCTGGTCTCGAACTCCTGGCCTTAGGTGACCTGCCCACCTCGGCCTCCCAAAGTGCTGGGATTACAGGCATGAGCCACTGTGCCAGGCCAAGCTTCAGTTTTAATCTGGAGGGATGGACAATCTACAAATAGATCCTTAAAATCTATTCAAGTAGGGAGCTCTTGGGGGCCTCACAGACCAGTGGGACAAACATGTACACAGATGGTCACAACATGGCATAGTAAGTAAGGTTACTTAATAAACATCTGGCTGGGCATGGTGGCTCACGCCCATAATTCCTGCACTTTGGGAGGCCGAGGTGGGTGGATCACCTGAGGTCAGGCGTTCGAGACCAGCCTGGCCAACGTGATGAAATCCTGTCTCTACCACAAATGCAAAAAATTAGCCAGGCATAGTGGCAGGCACCTGTAATCCCAGCTACTCAGGAGGCTGAGGCAGGAGAATCACTTGAATCTGGGAGGCGGAGGTTGCAGTGAGCCGAGATCACCACTGCACTCCAGTCTGGGCAGCAAGAGCGAAACTCCGTCTCAACAAACAAACAAACAAAAACCCCAACATCTATTCAGCCCTTACTGTGTGCAAGGAGTTCACTAAGGAGGGAAGATCAACATGGTTCCTGCCTTCATGAAGCTTACAGCCTAGGAAACAAATGAGTAATTAATTATACATTAGCTACCTGCTCTGAAGAAAAGAGCAGCTGTTGGGATGTAGGATCACCAGGTGGCCTCTTTTAGGGAGGGAGGTCATGGAACAAGTCACGTGAAGAGAGAACAGGAGTCTTAAGGAGAGGACACGACAAGTGTAAAGTCCCCAAGAAGAGAAAGCATTGATGGGTGTGAGGACCAGAGAGAGGAGGCTAGTGTGTCTGCAGCTAAATCAGCAAAGGGGAGAGGGAGGAGAGGCGAGGTGGGCAGAGGCAAGATCATGTGAGACAGAAGGGAGCTCTTGGGGGCTTACAGACCGGTGGGACAGACAAACATGTACACAGATTGTCACAACATGGTACAGTAAGGTTACTTAATAAACATCTGGCTGGGCACAGCGGCTCATGCCTGTAATTCCTGCACTTTGGGAGGCCAAGACGGGTGGATCACCTGAGGTCAGGAGTTCGAGACCAGCCTGGTCAATATGATGAAACCCCGTCTCTATTAAAAATACAAAAAATTAGCCAGGTGTGGCAGCGGGCGCCTGAAATCCCAGATCAGTGAGACAGACGCCATTGGTGGGAGGGAAGTGTTATGATCTGAACTGACACGTTATCAAAGGGTCACTCTGACTGCTGAGTGCAGAACAGACTGGAATGGGGAGCAGGAGCCCCACTAGAAGGCCACTGCAGTCATTCAGGCAAGAGATGGGGAGGGCTCTGAAGTGGAAAAAGCAGATGGATTTAGATCTCTAGCTAAGTGCTGCAGCAGCTCAGCCTCATTCTGTGACAGTCACAGAAGGCTTCCTGCAGGAGGTGGTCTTGTAGTGGTGTCTTGAAGAATTAGTTTGCCAGGCAAATGAAGTCCAAGGTTGAGGAGGACCCTCTAGGAGAGAGAACAGCTAGGATAGAGGAAGAGAGGTATAGGGGGAAGGCTCTGTTCTATCTTCTTAGAGGGTAGGAAGGTGATGGGAAGCACCCAGGCCAGGATAGAGAGACTTCTAGAGCCAGAAATCAAAGGGTTGTGGAGGTCAAGCCATTGTTGAAAAGTTGTTAGGTGGGGCCAGGCATGGTGGCTCACACCTGTAATCCCAGCACTTTGGGAGGTCAAGGTGGGTGAATCATTTGAGGTCAAAAGTTCGAAACTGGCCGGGCACGGTGGCTCACGCCTGTAATCCCAGCACTTTGGGAGGCCGAGGCAGGCAGATCACCTGAGGTCAGGAGTTCGAGACCAGCCTGACCAACATGGTGAAACCCTGTCTCTACTGAAAATACAAAACTAGCTGGGCGTGGTGGCACATGCCTGTAATCCCAGCTAGTTGGGAGGCTGAGGCAGGAGAATTGCTTCAACACGGGAGGCAGAGGTTGCGGTGAGCTGAGATTGCACCATTGCATTTCAGCCTGGGCAACAAGAGCGAAACTCCCTCTCAAAAAAGAAAAGTTCGAGACCAGCCTGACCAACATGGTGAAACCCTGTCTCAACTTTAAAAATACAGAAAATTGGCCGGGCACGGTGGCTCATGCCTGTAATCCCAGCACTTTGGAAGGCTGAGGCGGGCGGATCACAAGGTCAGGAGATCAAGACCATCCTGGCTAACATGGTGAAACCCTGTCTCTACTAAAAATACAAAAAATTAGCCGGGCATGGTGGCGGGTGCCTGTAATCTCAGAATCTCAGCTACTTGGGAGGCTGAGGCACAAGAATCCCTTGAACCTGGGAGGTGGAGGTTTCAGTGAGCTGAGACTGTGCCACTGCACTCCAGCCTGGGCAGCAGAGTGAGACTCAGGCTCAAAAAAAAAGTTGCTAACTGGAAGAGATATGGTCAAATATATGATTTGTGAGGGCCAGCATAGGAGGGGCCTGGAAGCTGCTGAGATGCAGTGAGGCGTACAGAGGGAATACAAGGGGACAGAACCTGAAGGACTTTTTAAAATTAATTAATTAATTTTATTTTTTATTATTTTTATTTTATTTTTTTATTAGACTTTAAGTTCTAGGGTACATGTACACAACGTGCAGGTTTGATACATAGGTATACATGCGCCATGTTGGTTTGCTGCACCCATCAACTCATCATTTACATTAGGTATTTCTCCTAAAGCTATCCCTCCCCAAGCCCCCCACCCCCCAGCAGGCCCTGGTGTGTGCTGTTCCCCCTCTGTGTCCAAGTGATCTCATTGTTCAATTCCCACTTATGAGTGAGAACATGCAGTGTTTGGTTTTCTGTCCTTGTGATAGTTTGCTGAGAATGATGATTTCCAGCTTCATCCGTGTCCCTGCAAAGGACATGAACTCATCCTTTTTTATGGCTGCATAGTATTCCGTGGTGTATATGTGCCACATTTTCTTTTTTTATATATATAATATATATATTTTATTATACTCTAAGTTCTAGAGTATATGTGCACAATGTGCAGGTTTGTTACATATGTATACATGTGCCATGTTGGTGTGCTGCACCCATTAACTCATCATTTACGTTAGGTATATCTCCTAATGCTATCCCTCCTCCCTCCCCCAGAACCCGAAGGGTCTCTTTTCCCCTGAGTGGGCAGTTTTGGGGGCCTCAGGGACACTCAGGTGGAGATGCCGTGGACCCATGGGAGGCACAGCAGAGGGAGCATGGCCTCCAGCATCATTCAATCCTAGCTTTACATCCTGGCCTGCTGCATTGAAACCCTGTGCCCCTGAGCAGCCTGCAAATGGGAAATGACAAAACTCATGCCTAGAGGGTAGCTGTGGACATTAGATGGGAAGTTGCATGTAAAAGCTCTCAAAATGTACATTCGGCTAGTAAGGGGTCAATAATTGCTAGCTATATATTGTCAGTTACAGGTGTGGCAGTTGTGAAGTCAGAACTGGCCTGGAGATGATTAAGAGATCTGTTGGCTCAAAAAAAATTTTTTTAATGGGTGCATAGTGGGTGTATATATTTATTGGGATACGTGACCTGTTGGCATTCATTCATTCATTCATTTAAAACAGGGTTTCACTCTGTTGCGCAGGCTGGAGTGCAATGCCATGATCACAGCTCACTACAGCCTCAAATCCCTGGGCTCAAGCAATCCTCCTGCCTCAGCTGTTGGGTTTCAAGTGGGGACTGATGGCAGTGGAATGTCCAGGATGACCCCAGGAGAGTGTGGAACAGGGCTTGGGACTAACCTGGGCCACCATCGATTAAGAGAGGGTTAGGAGAAGCAGATGGGGGAAGGAGGGGAGAGGAGGGGAGGAGGAAGAGGAAGGAGAGGAAGTGCCCCCTAAGGAGCCTGAGGAGAACCAAAAGAGGCTGGTGCCAGGGCAGGAGTGGTAGCCGTGGGGAAGGCTGCGGAGAGGCCCAGTTGGCCTAGTAATGGCGTCACCCCTGACCTGGCCAGAGGGTGTGGTAGGCCAGAGGCAGACACAGCGGATGAGGGGCAGAAGGGAGGCGGGTGGAGGGGTGCAGTGAATGGAGAGGGAGCACCGAAGCTAAGCTTGGGCAGCCAGAGGGCAGGGGCCAGCTAGGGCCCGGCCCAGCGGTCATGGGGCCTGGGTGGAGGGTGTACAAAGCGGGGCCTGCACCGAGCCCTGAAGGCAGGGAAGTGACCTCGTCTCGAATCCAGATTTTTGCCACTGCCTCTCTCCGTGACCTCGAACGAGTCACTCATCTTGTCTGAGCCTCAGTTTCCTCACCTGTGAAGTAAGGATCAAAGCAGTCGGTACTTTCCAGAATTTTCAAGAAGCTGCCCTTGGAGGCACATAGTAACCACGCCAGCCACCAGTCCTGGACCCCACCTGCTTTAGTCCAAGCCCCGCCCCAGACCCCCGAACTCACCTGGCCGCGCACACTAGCCACGCCCCTAACTGGCCCCGCCTTCACCTGGCTCCGCCCCGACCGACGAGCCCCGCCCCACCTGCCGCTCCCACTGGCCACGCCCCCACCTGGCCACGCCCCGGTTGCCCAGGTCTCGCTCCGCACACGCTCAGCCGAGCCCAGTCTGGGAGGGACGCGCCCGGCAGCTGTCCACCGATCCCGGCCACCGCCCCCGGCCACCCCCACCCCGCGAGCCCATGGAGGCTCCGGGACCCCGCGCCTTGCGGACTGCGCTCTGTGGCGGCTGTTGCTGCCTCCTCCTATGTGCCCAGCTGGCTGTGGCTGGTAACTCGCGGCAGGGTCTGGCTAGGGGCTCGACGGGGACGGATGGAGCTTGCACCTCAGCCAGCCGTCTCCCCAGGAGCAGCCTGGGCTTGAGGGGAGGGGGCTTTCCGGCCAAGTGCAGGCCTCCAGGGGTGGGAGAGGGGGCTCCAGCTCTGTGTGGAGCCCTGTGTGTAAATATAGGCCCCAGGTGTGGGGGCCTAGGGAGCTTCAGGTGGTCTGGGGGAGGTGGCTCCAACTGAATCTGGGAACCCCGGGTGTATGCAAAGGGAGGGGCTCTGGGTGAATGTGGGGAGGCTCTAGGTGTGTGTAGACCTCTGCTGTGGAAGCTCCAGGTGTGCGCTGGGGCTTGGGGATCCAGGGGTGAGTGTGAGAGCCCAGATGTGTGCAGAGGGGCGAGGGCCACCGGAGTGTTGGGTGGGAGGGTGGGCGGGTGCCACAGCTTGGCTTCGAGGAATTCTCCCTTCCCACTCCACCGCACTACCAGGTAAAGGAGCTCGAGGCTTTGGGAGGGGAGCCCTGATCCGCCTGAATATCTGGCCGGCGGTCCAAGGGGCCTGCAAACAGCTGGAGGTCTGTGAGCACTGCGTGGAGGGAGACGGAGCGCGCAATCTCTCCAGCTGCGTGTGGGAGCAGTGCCGGCCAGAGGAGCCAGGTATGGAGCTGAGCCCTCCCCAGATTGAGTGCCCCCAGCTCTGAACCCCAAGGCCCTGGCCCCTCTCCCCAAACCTCCCCCCTGCACCTTCTCTCACCAGGACACTGTGTGGCCCAATCTGAGGTGGTCAAGGAAGGTTGCTCCATCTACAACCGCTCAGAGGCATGTCCAGGTAAGGGGGTTCTTGCACCTAAGCCAAGTTGCATGGGTCTCCCCAGCCATAGCCTGCCCCCCAGGAGGAAACAGCCTCTCTCAGGCGGTGGATTTTGCTCACCCATACCTGGGCCCGGTATCAGTTCTGCCTTTAGCTCACTGAGAAGTCCCCTCCTCTCTCTGCCTATTTCCTCATCTGAAAATTAGTACAGGTGTGTGGAGGGGATGGGAGTGTTAGCTCTTCTTCTAGTTTAAGGCATAGCAAGGACTTTGGAAGTTCAGAGGGAATGAGAGGGAGTGCTTCCTGGAGGAGGTGGCATCAGTAATGAGCCTGGAAGGTAGAGATGGAGAGAGAGCACATCTGGTGGAGGGAACTGTGTGGGGCTTGCAAGTATGTTGGATGTCTAGAGTAGGGACAGGGCTGCATCTGAATCGGAAGTTTAGCGGTGAGTGGGGGCTGGGGTCTTGATGGGAGTCAGGGGGTGGGAAGGCTGCTTTGCTATGGATCACCTGTCTCCTCAGCTGCTCACCACCACCCCACCTATGAACCGAAGACAGTCACAACAGGTGAGTACTCCCTGGAGACGGGGCAGTGGGAGGAGCAGAGGTGCAGGGGAAGACAGCTCTGGGCTCAGGCACTGACATGCTCTGTGACCTCGGCCCTGCGCCTTCTCCCTCGGAGCCTGTCTCCGCATCTGTGAAATGGGTTGGATGATGCCTTTCTCATAGAGTTGCTCTGCAGGTTTTATGAGAAGCTGTACAGTGCCCACTTCAGTGTCTGACTCACTGAAGGCAATCAAGAAATGACAGTTCCCATCCCTCCTCCCCATTGCCAGTTCTGGGAACTCAAGGTCACCCCTCGGGACTTGTCCTTGGAGGTGAGGGTGTGTGGCTCGAGTTGCTCAGGAGACATCCTCAGTGCCTGCCTACTGCACCCTCCAGGCCCAGAGAGGGTCACAAGGCGGGTTCCTGGCGGAGTAGAGGCAAGAATGCCACCCTTTGCTTCCCACTCCCTCTCAGGGGCTGGAGGTCACCAGACTTGGCAGGGATGGCTGAAGAGGCCCTTGGTTAATTAAAGCCAGAAACCGATCTCAGAAGCTGAATTATTGATGGCTCAGCTCCCTCAGCTGGAGCCCCGGATCAGCCTCATGTGGCTCATTTCTCCCCTCTTCTGCTCCTCATCCCCCAGCTTCCTTCTCTGGGGCTCCCTGAGCGGGAGCTGGGACCACTGTTTGCCCTTCATATTGTCAGACTCCTTCCACCCCTTACACCTTCTGGGAGGGAGACCCAGTTCAGGCTGGGCCCCTTTCCACTGTCCCAGAATGATCTTCCATCCACCAGCCCTGCCCTGTTCTGGGCACCCAGCCCAGGGCCTGAAATCAAATCCCTGCTAGGAGTGGACAGGTACCGTGGCACAGCTGGGAGCCACCCAGGCATAGCCTGGCAACCATGGCCCTAAAGCCCTACCTTCTAAGGGGCAGAGGAGATGGTCAGGGGACCCTGTGTGAGTCTGGCTATGTCCTGTGAGGTGACTTTGGCCAAGCCTGTCCCTCAGCCATGTTCCCCCTGACACACACTGTCCAGTCCTCGCTTACCCACTTAGCAGGGTGACAGTTGGGGCCTCCACTTCTCCCCCTGCTCCTTCCCTCTCTGAGGGCTCTGACATTGGGTGACACTGAGGTCTTAGGGCTTAGGAGTCCTGAAAAGGGACTATATCGTCTGCATCTTGGCTCTGAACCCTGAGGTCCAAGGCTGAAAGGAATTGTGAGCAGGGGAGGGTCTGAGTTCTGGCTCTGTCTTCACCCTATTGGGCTGGTGAGGCCCAGGGAGGGTGGGAGCCCAGTCACTGGTCCAAGCCACCAATTGGACCATGTGATCATGAGGCCCAGAGAGAATGTGGGTGGCATAAAAGCCACAGAGCAAGCCAGGAGCAGAGCCAGGGCTGGACAGCACCCCACCCTCCCCTGCCACTGTTCCTCCCACCAGGCGCTTCCCAACTGCCTGCGGGATCTGGACTAAACGGAGCCCAGGGTTTAAGCACCCCATATTGAGGACCGGGGCCTCCAGGTTACTTGTGCCAGTTATGAGGGTAGGACTGGGATCCTGGTTCACAGTGACTGCTATGACCCCTGCCCTGCCTCACCCCTGCAGGGAGCCCCCCAGTCCCTGAGGCCCACAGCCCTGGATTTGACGGGGCCAGCTTTATCGGAGGTGTCGTGCTGGTGTTGAGCCTACAGGCGGTGGCTTTCTTTGTGCTGCACTTCCTCAAGGCCAAGGACAGCACCTACCAGACGCTGTGAGTACCTGGCCAGCAGCAAGTACCTGAGTCCCAGCTTACCTCCTGGTTCCTGCCCCACCGTTCCCCTTCAGTACCCAGGGTGCTGTCTTCTCCATGGGCAAGCCCTCAGGACGGTGACAGCGTGCTCCATGTGAGCCACACCCCTTTTGTCTCCTCCAGTTGGGGTGTTTCCTTTGTCAGATGTTGGCTGGGACCAGGACTCAGCCTGGGCCAGTCTAGGAGCC
This sequence comes from Homo sapiens, assembly GCF_000001405.40. Lineage (NCBI taxonomy): Eukaryota > Metazoa > Chordata > Mammalia > Primates > Hominidae > Homo > Homo sapiens. The sequence continues at coordinate 27,379,823 of NC_000001.11, read as the reverse complement.
CAGCTGAGCCCTCCTGTGTCTTTTCCCTTCATGCTGCCAGCAGGGAAGAGAACCAGTAGGTGCCAGCCCAGGCAAGCCTGTGGCCCGCGTTTCTGTGGCTGTGGGCAGGAGCTGGGCCTTGTGTCTAGTTGGGTTTTGCTCTGAGAAGGGGAGCTGTGCCTGAGGCCCTCTGTGTGCCGTGTGTGCTGTGGGGCGGGTCGCCACAGCCTGTGTTAAAGTGTTTGCTCTTCCTCTGCTGCCTCCTCTCGAGGCAGGGGGTCCTTGGCTGGCTGAGGCAGTGTCACCTTCCTGAGTGTCCTCTTTGGCCTCTGCAGAATCTGACCCCTTTGGGCCTGGACTCCATCCTGAGGGGAAAGGAGGATGCAGAGGGTGGCCTCTGGGCACCCTTGTGGGTAAGCGGGGGGCGGGGGCGGGAAAAACTCTGGCCGCCAGTTTTTGGCTCCTGCGGGCACCAAGCAGGCTCAGTGTCTGATGCCTGACATCTCCTCCTGTCCTGGGCCTGGAACCTGCAGCTGAGAAAATCCCTCAACCACCTCGTCTCCTCCATCGCCCCTGCTGGGCCCCCCAGCCTGACAGTGGGTTGTATGCCTGCCTCTTTCCACCAACTGGCCTGGGCACTGCCCCCAAATAAAGGAACTCTGCACTGCACTTCATGTCCTGTGTCTTGGGCTGTGTGTGGATTGGATGGGGTGAGGGTACGGCCATTGTCCTCTTCTTAACGGGAATTCCAGCTAGGACTGTCGCTGTTACCTTTTAAAATATTTTCATCTGGCCAGGCGCAGTGGCTCACGCCTGTAATCCCAGCACTTTGGGAGGCCGAGGCAGGTGAATCACCTGAGGTCAGGAGTTCAAGACCAGCCTGACCAACATGGTGAAACCCCATCGCTACTAAAAATACAAAATTAGCTGGGCGTGGTAGCACACGCCTCTAATCCCAGCTACTTGGGAGGCTGAGACAGGAGAATCACTTGAATCCAGGAGGCGAAGGTTGCAGTGACCCAAGATCGTGCCATTGCACTCCAGTTTGGGCAACAAGAGTGAAACTCTGTCTCAAAAAAAAAAAAATGTTCATCTTTGACACCTGCTTAACCCCCACCCCTTGCCCCTTTACAGATGAGGGTACGGAGACTCAGGTAAGTACACATGCTGAAGTCACACAGCTGGACAGGGCAGGGCCGGGGTTTCAATTCAGGCTTTTCTGGGCTGGGCATCATAGTTCATGCCTAAAATCCCAGCACTTTGGGAGGCTGATGTGGGCGGATCACTTGAGTCCAGGAGACCAGCCTGGGCAACATAGTTGAGACCCCATCGATTAAAAAAAAAAAAAAGTAAAATTAAAATAAAAAATAAAATGAATTCAGGCTTTTCTGACTCCAGAGTGAGCAGAACAGCATTCCAGAGGCATCTCCAGGCTCTCTCGGCCTCCAAAAGTTAGGTCTCTGCCCCCGCGCCAAGGGGGAAAGGGCCCCAGGGACTCCACGCAGCCATTCCTGGCCTTCCTCTCTCAGGCTCTCCTGGGAAGGCCTGCCTTCTGTCCCCAGGCACCGAAGTCTTCCCTGACGGTAACATCGCCCATGGATGGGCGCTTGCCAGGAGCCAGGCATGTAGCTGCGAGTTTTATAACTTTTTATTTTATTTTATTTTTTCTTTTCTTTTCTTTTTTTTTTTTCTTTTTTTTTTTTGAGACAGAGTCTCACTGTGTCGCCCAGGCTAGAGTAGAGTGGTGAGATCTTGGCTCACTGCAACATCCACCCCCCCCTGCCAACCACAGTCCACCTCCTCACCCCTCCCTTGCACCTTCACTTCCGCCAAAGCTCCAAGCCTCTGGAAATCAGCCTCCCCTTTGTGCACTCCCCCGTCTCCCTAGAGCCCCTGCTGCTTCCCCTGTATGGGATATGATAACACCCCATCTGCCCTTGCCTTCTCTCTTCTCTAGGCTTCTGCATGAGCAGCTCCTCCTGCCTGGGTCACCCTGCCCTTGTTTCTCCCCCAGCATGAGTTTTCTTCTTCACCCTCCTCCTTTATTGGGTGCTTTCTTTTTTTGCAAAAGTAGTAAATGCCTGTGAGGGTTTGAAAAAGGACTATACAGAAGAGTGAGAACTGGGCTGGGTGCGGTGGCTCATCCCAGCACTTTGGGAGGCCGAGGCAGGAGGATTGCTTGAGCTCAGGAGTTGGAGTCAGCCTAGTCAGCCTGGGCAGCATGGCGAAACCCCATCTCTACTAAAAATACCAAAATTAGCTGGGTGTCGTGGTGCACGCCTGTAGTCCCAAGTACTCAGGAGGCTGAGGTGGGAGGATCACTTGAGCCTGAGAGGTCCAGGCTGCAGTGAGCCAAGATCATGCCACTGCACTCCAGCCTGGGTGACAGAGTGAGACCCTGTATATATTAAAAAATAAAAAACTGGCCAGGAGGTATAGTGGCTCACACCTGTAATTCCAGCACTTTGGGAGACTGAGGCGGGATGATTGTTTGAAGCCAGGAGTTTGAGACCAGCCTGGGCAGTATAGTGAGAACCCATCTCTACAAAAAATAAAAATTTAGGCGGGGCAAAGTGGCTCACACCTGTAATCCCAGCACTTTGGGAGGCCAAGGCGGGTGGATCACTTGAGGTCAGGAGTTTGAGACCAGCCAGACCAACATAGTGAAACCCTATCTCTACTAAAAATACAAAAATTAGCTGGGCGTGGTGGCACACACCTGTAATCCCAGCTACTTGGGAGACTGAGTCAGGAGAATCACTTGAATCCAGGAGGCGGAAGTTGCAGTGAGCCGAGATCAAGTCACTGCACTCCAGCCTGGGCAACACAGCAAGACTTTGTCTCAAAATAAATAAATAAAATAAAAATTTAGCCCGGTGTGGTGGCTCTGCCTGGCATCCCAGCTACCGGGAGACTGAGGTGGGAGGACTGCTTGAGCCCAGGAGGTCGGGGCTGCAGTGAGCTATGATCACACCGCCACACTCTAGCCTAGGTGAGAGAGTGAGACCCTGTCTCCAAAAAAAAAAAAAAAAAAGAGAGAACAACTCCTTCCCTGGTCCTACTCTCCAGAAATAACCACAGTTCACAAGGTCTGTGTCAGACCTCTTTCTGTGAATTTACAAAATACATATATACACACCTCTAGCATTTTAAAAATACAAAGTGGGATAATGCTGTGCATACTGTTTTGCATTTTTGCCCCTCTCATTTTAGATCAGATTCACCCTGTGAGTTGTCTGAATGGTCCTAATTCATGTGAATGCCATCAATGACTGGTTGGGTCATTTCCACACTGATGCTTACAAACAGCGCCATGGTAAACAGGCTTGTCTGCAGATCTTGGCATACTCGTGGGACAGTCTGGGGAAGACAGATTCCTAGAACTGGAATTGCGGTCTCAGGATATCCCTCTCGCGGACACATCCTGTCAGGCAAACACTGCCTCCACTTCCCCTGATACCACTTGCACCTCAGCCCTCTCCATAAGCACCAGGGAGGTGCAGAGGAGGCCTTGAGGGAGGGTTTCCTGAATGAGTGAATGAATGAGCCCTGCCTCTCCTCCCTTATCACCTGAGGTCCCTCTCCAGCTCAGGCCTGATCCTTCACATCTGGACCCTGGCTGCTGCGTCCTCCCTGGCTTCCCGGCCTCCAGGCCTTCCTACATGGGCTTCCCGCTCAATTGGCGTACATTAGCAGCTGTTTCCTAAGCCTCACGGGACTCAAGGTTGAGCATGGAGTCACTTTCTTTTTTTTTGAGACGGAGTTTTTGCTCTTTCGCCCAGGCTGGAGTGCAGTGGTGCGATCTCGGCTCATTGCAACCTCTGCCTTCGGGTTTCAAGTGATTCTCTTGCCTCAGCCTCCTGAGTAGCTGGGATTACAGGTGCATGCCACCAAGCCCGGCTAATTTTTGTATTTTTAGTAGAGACAGGGTTTCACCGTGTTAGCCAGGCTGGTCTCGAACCCCTGACCTCAGGTGATCTGCCTGCCTCGGACTCCCAAAATCCCGGGATTACAGGCATGAGCCACCGCAGCCAGCCAGAATCACTTTCTTAATGGTGCTTTTCCCTGGCGGGGGCATGGGGCTTGGGTAAAACTCTGTTGCTCTCAGCATATAAGTGGCCAAGAGAACAGAAGTCACGTCCCATCACTGGGCCTCAGTTTCTCTTTCCTTATTCATTTAACTCTTTCTTACTGAGCACCCATTTTGTACCAGGCCCATAATGCAATAATAAGGATTAATAGCAAGTCCATGTGAGGATCGGAGGTGACGTCAGTATGACGCTGGAATGCAGTAGATGCCCAGGAAATGGTAGCAGTTGTCACTATTCATAGCATTGACAAGGATCAGGGAAGGATTCCCAGTGGAGATGGCTGTAGAGCTAGACCTTCATGGACAGATGGGGCTTCACAGGTAGAGACGACTGTGAATGTAGAGGTCTGGAGAGATGGCTGGGGAGCCCTGGAAGCCAGGATCAGAAGTTGGACTCTTTCAGTGTGCGGTGGCTCACACCTGTAATCCTAGCACTTTGGGAGGCCGAGGTGGGTGGATCACCTAAGGTCAGGATTTCGAGACCAGCCTGGCCAACATGGTGAAACCCCTTCTATACTAAAAAAAAAAATACAAAAAATTAGCTGGGCTTGGTGGCGTGCACCCATAATCCCAGCTACTTGGGAGGCTGAGGCAGGAGAATCACTTGAACCCGGGAGGCAGAGGTTGCATTGGTTGCATTGAGCTGAGAGCACGCCATTGCATTCCAGCCTGGGCAACAAGAGTGAAACTCCGTCTCAAAAAAACAAAAAAACAAAAAACAAAAAACAAAAAGATGTTGGACTCCATCCTGGTTGGATAGGGCAGGGATAATGCCCTTTCTCTCTGGGGCTGAAGGAGGAAATACTCCCACCCCCTGCTGGCTCCAGTCTGGGTGGGGTGTCCCTGGGGGACAATGGGAGGAAGTCTTGTTTCATGTCCTCCCACCAGCCTGGCCCCCTTATAATCTGGCATCCTTCCCCTGGTGGGCCCAGCAAGATGGATCTACTGTGGATCCTGCCCTCCCTGTGGCTTCTCCTGCTTGGGGGGCCTGCCTGCCTGAAGACCCAGGAACACCCCAGCTGCCCAGGTGGGCACCTAGGGTGCCCTCCTCACCAACCCACTCCTCATTCCCTCGCTGGGTGTCCCCCCACCAAGGCTCATCAACCTCAAGGAGCAGGGTGGGAGTTTCATAATCTGGGCTCTGCATGTAAATATATGCAAATGGATGCAAAGCACACGAAACCTTGCCAGCTCAGGAGACAAGCATCCTGACAGTGGGAATCTGGGAGACAGGAAGAGAACTGAAGAGGGGTCTGGAAGAGACAGTCTACCCTGTGCCCACCCTGCCTGTGTCTCCCTGTAGGACCCAGGGAACTGGAAGCCAGCAAAGTTGTCCTCCTGCCCAGTTGTCCCGGAGCTCCAGGAAGTCCTGGGGAGAAGGGAGCCCCAGGTCCTCAAGGTGAGAGGGGCTGGGGAGCGGGCTGGGATCTTGGGAATGGGGAAGGCAGGAAAGTAGCAATTTTTGTCTGTGCTGAGGGGCCACGACAAAGGAGCAAGGAACCTACTCTGTGCCAGCTCCAGGCTGGGCACCCGGCATCCTAAGATCAACTCTGCCAGGTAAGTGGTTTCATCCCCATTCTGCTGAGGAGGAAAGGGAGGTTCAGAGAGGATAAGATATTTGCCCGCAATCACAAAGTGAGTGAAGGGTGAAACTGGGATTTGAACCTCTGGCTCCAAGTCTCTTGTTTCTTTTTGGTCCTGGGCATGGGGTGGGACTCAGGAAATCTCTGCCTTTGTGATTTCAGGGCCACCTGGACCACCAGGCAAGATGGGCCCCAAGGGTGAGCCAGGTGAGTAAGTGGGGCTGGAGGCCTCCCCGCTTTCTTTGCCTCTGTCCCTGGACTCTAGGGTGGGATCTCTGCTTGGCTGCTGTGCCTATGATGGCTCTCTCACAGGGGAATGGATGGCTGGGAGGAGTGGGAAGGATTAGGAGAAGGGCCTGGCTACCCTATGATGGCCCTCCTATTGGGGATGGAGGGCTGGGAGGAGTGGGGAGGATTAGGAGAAGGGCCTGGGTACCCTATGAAGGCCCTCCTACAGGGTTTGGAAGGCTGGGAGGAGTGGAGAGGATTAGGAGAAGGGCCTGGGTACCCTATGATGGCCCTCCTACAGGGTATGGAAGGCTGGGAGGAGTGGGAAGGATTCGGAAAAGGGCCTGGGTACCGGCTCCACTGGTGGCTCAGCGCTGGGGTGCTGAGACATCAGAGCCAACACTCATCCCTTCTCTGGGGCAGGAGATCCAGTGAACCTGCTCCGGTGCCAGGAAGGTGAGGCAGCCCTTGCAGGAGCCAGGAACTTGGGATCACATGGTGTTGGGTGTTGGCAGACCCCCAAGTGTGGCCAAGATCCTCCCCACAGCCTCCTCAGAACCCTTCTTCAGGGACCTGAAGGAGCCAAGAGGGTCCCTAGGGTCCCACACTTGTTCCAGTGCCTGGGGGTGGGGGTCAGGGAATAACCTGGGCACCACCCCAGTCCATCTCCCCTTTCCCAGGCCCCAGAAACTGCCGGGAGCTGTTGAGCCAGGGCGCCACCTTGAGCGGCTGGTACCATCTGTGCCTACCTGAGGGCAGGGCCCTCCCAGTCTTTTGTGACATGGACACCGAGGGGGGCGGCTGGCTGGTGAGTGTCTGAGAAATGGGCTAACAGGCCAGGCCCACTGGTCACTTCTCCCCCTTGGCCCCTAGGGGAGCCAGAACCCACCAGAGCAAGGCATTTCCTAGAGGAATTCACTGACAAATGTTTAGTGAGCCCCCAATGGGACCTGAAGAAGTATGAGGGCTTCACAGAGGAGGTGCCTTTTGAAAAGACCTTAAGTTGAGTGCAGTAGCTCACGCCTGTAATCCCAGCTACTTGGGAGGCTGAGGCAAGAGAATTGCCTGAACCCAGGAGGTGGAGGTTGCAGTGAGCCGAGTTCTTGCCATTGCACTCCAGCCTGGGTGAAAAGAGTGAAACTCTGTCTCAAAAAAAAAAAAAAAAAAAAATAGGGTAGGGAGGGGCATTCCAGCTAGAAGTAAAGATAAACTCAGGGAGGCAGCAGAGTAAAAGGTTTGCAGGGAACGCGTGAGTGAGCTGAGAGCAGGCGTGGGTGTCGGCTAAAGTCTGCCGGCACTGACGGAACATGGATTGAGGACCTCTGTAAAGGCCAGTTCATGGAAGGCACTAAATGATCAACTTAAGAAGTGTGCAGCGCGCCCAGACGCGGTGGTTGGCTGGACGTGGTGGCTCACGCCTATAATCCCAGCACTTTGGGAGGCCAAGGCGGGCAGATCACCTGAGGTCAAGAGTTCGAGATCAGCCTGGCCAACATGGTGAAACCCCATCTTTACTAAAAATATAAAAATTAGCCAGGCGTGATGGTGGGCGCCTGTAATCCAAGTTATTCAGGAGGCTGAGCTGGGAGAATTGCTTGAACCCCGGAGGTGGTGGTTGCAGTGAGCCAAGATTGAGTCACTGCACTCCAGCCTGGGCAACGGAGTGAGACTCTGTCTTAAAAAAAAAAAAAAAAAAGAAGAGTGTGCAGGGCAATGGGTAGCCCCAGGAGAGTTTTAAGCAGGGGAGGGGCCAAGTAGAACTTCTGTTTTAAAAAGATGATTCGGGCTACACCATGAAAGATGCACTGCATTGGGGGACCAGTGGAGGCAGGGACATGGTTTAGGAAGACAGCAAGGAGCCAGGCAGTAAAGACAGTGGAGCAGGCCTGACACAGTAGCTCACACCTGTAATCCCAGCACTTTGGGAGGCCGAGGTGGGTGGATTGCCTGAGCTCAGGAGTTCAAGACCAGCCTGGGCAACATGGCAAAACCCCATCTCTACTAAAAATACAAAAAATTAGCTGGGCGTGGTGGCAGGTGCCTGTAATCCCAGCTATGCAGAAAGCTAAGGCACGAGAATTGCTTGAACCAGGGAGGCAGAGGTTGCAGTGAGCCGAGATCACACCACTGTACTCCAGCCTGGTAACAGGGGGTGAGACTCTATCTCAAAAAAATAAATAAATAAAATAAGACAGTGGAGCAATGGAAATAGAAGTACTTAGGTTGACAACTCTATAGGACCTGGGGCCTACTTGGCTTGGAGGGGGAGGTGGAAGACATCAGGGTAAGGCCAGGGGTCCAGCTTGGGCTGTGGGAGTGGCCTCTCTAATGTAAAATATCTTGGTTTTTTTGTTTGTTTGTTTGTTTTGAGACGGAGTCTTGCTCTGCTGCCCAGGCTGGAGTGCAGTGGTGTGATCTCGGCTCACTGCAACCTCCACCTCCCAGGTTCAAGCAGTTCTTGTGCCTCAGCCTCCTGAGTAGCTGGAACTACAGGTGTGAGCCACCACACCCGGCTAATATTTGTATTTTTAGTAGAGACGGGATTTCACCATGTTGGCCAGGCTGGTTTCAAACTCCTGACCTCAAGTGATCCACCCGCCTCGGCCTCCCAAAGTGCTGGAATTACAGGCATGAGCCACCAAGCGTTCTTGGTTCTTATAGTAAATGAAATTGGGTTATTTTGACTGACACCCAGCAGCGCTGGCCATCTCCTGTGGGTGGGGACAGTGTTTTGTCAATTCAGTCTTCCCAGGGCTTGCAAGGCTGTGGCATGAAGTTGAGTGTCAGTAAAAGTTAACAAGGGAATGTAGAGTTCATAGAAATATTCAAAGCTAACTTGAAGGATCCCCATTTTATCAACAGGCCCCAATCCAAAGAGAGAGTGGGTATCCACCCACCCCTCACAGTTCCTGCACCCTCAGCTGCCAGTGCCCAGCCTGGAGTAATAGCTGCTGTGCCCCCCCTCCCCCAGGTGTTTCAGAGGCGCCAGGATGGTTCTGTGGATTTCTTCCGCTCTTGGTCCTCCTACAGAGCAGGTTTTGGGAACCAAGAGTCTGAATTCTGGCTGGGAAATGAGAATTTGCACCAGCTTACTCTCCAGGGTGAGTTCCCAGCAGGGTCCTGGAGTCTGGGGGTTACTGTCTGCCATCCTGAATCCCTGCCCCACCCCCAAGAACTGAGGATTCCTCCATCCCTGCCTCCCCTTCTTTCCAGGTAACTGGGAGCTGCGGGTAGAGCTGGAAGACTTTAATGGTAACCGTACTTTCGCCCACTATGCGACCTTCCGCCTCCTCGGTGAGGTAGACCACTACCAGCTGGCACTGGGCAAGTTCTCAGAGGGCACTGCAGGTGAGTGAGCCTAAGGGGAGCAGAGGAAGGAGGCTGGATCCTTTCCCAGTGCTGCCACTGCCCCCATGAATGACCCAGGGCAATCCTGTCTCCTCTGTGGGCCTTAGTTTCCGCATCTGAGAAATGGCAATCATGAAACAGGATGGTGCAACAGTGAAGAATTTGGGATCTGGAGGCAAACAGACCTGAGTTTGAATCCATCTCTGCCATTTAGTACTTATGTGACCTTGGGCAAGTCCTACCCCTCCACTGAGCCTCAGTTTCCTCCTCTATAAAATGGGCAGGGAGGCCGGGCACGGTGGCTCATGCCTGTAACCCTAGCACTCTGGGAGGCCGAGGCGGGCAGATAACTTGAGGTCAGGAGTTCAAACCCAACCTGGCCAACATGGTGAAACCCCGTCTCTACTAAAAATACAAAAAAATTAGCCGGGCGTGGTGGAGGGTGCCTGTAATCCCAGCTACTCGGGAGGCTGAGGCAGGAGAATCACTTAAATCTGGGAGGCAGAGGTTGCAGCGAGCCAAGAGAGTGTCACTGCACTCTAGCCTGGGCGACAGAGCGAGACTCCATCTCAGAAAAAAAAAAAAAGGCGGGGGGAGCGCAGGGAGGCAAGGAGGAAGTTTTGGGTGCCGCCTGAGGCTCTGTTGAGTGTTAGTGTTCTCTGCTTTGGAAGAGGAACCACGGAAGTCTTCTTTCAGAGAAACAGTGACTATTGGGGAGAGATTTAAAAGAGGGAAGTGGTTATGAGGGAGTGCCTCAGGGAACCACCTTTCCTGGCCAGGCACCTAAGAGGTTCCTCCCAGCTTTTCCTAGCAGAGTTGCTCAGACTGGATGGGAGCTGAGAGAAGACAAAGGAGCTAGAGGGGGGCCGGGGATTCTGGAGGGGGTAAGACAGGGGGAAAAGCTGGGAGCTTTGGAGCCAGACAGTCCCGAGTTCAAGTCCTGCCGCTGCTTCAACCAGCCGAGTAACCCTGCGCAAACAACCTGGCCCCTTGGTGTTGCTCGTGGGGCCTGATAAAATTCAACTCTTAGTTGCTCTGAGACTCCCATGGCATTATATCTCCAAAGGTGCCAGGCGTGGTGCTGGGCACCAAGGTGCTTTCCATCCCTTCCCTGCTAGGGGATTCCCTGAGCCTCCACAGTGGGAGGCCCTTTACCACCTATGACGCTGACCACGATTCAAGCAACAGCAACTGTGCAGTGATTGTCCACGGTGCCTGGTGGTATGCATCCTGTTACCGATCAAATCTCAATGGTCGCTATGCAGTGTCTGAGGCTGCCGCCCACAAATATGGCATTGACTGGGCCTCAGGCCGTGGTGTGGGCCACCCCTACCGCAGGGTTCGGATGATGCTTCGATAGGGCACTCTGGCAGCCAGTGCCCTTATCTCTCCTGTACAGCTTCCGGATCGTCAGCCACCTTGCCTTTGCCAACCACCTCTGCTTGCCTGTCCACATTTAAAAATAAAATCATTTTAGCCCTTTCAAGACTCTTCCAGTTACTGGGAAAAAACCCTAGAGGGCAGAGCAGGGACACAAGTTTCAGCTCCATTCAGGGAAGAATTTCCTTCCAGTCAGGAAGATGGAAAGGACAGCCTCTAAAGTAGTGAGGCTTCTGTCTCTGGAGGTGTGCAAGACAAGGCCAGAGGGGCATATAGTGGAAGGACTGGAGGAGATTCAAGCATCCATTGACAATTTCCTGAGGCTCTCTGGGTCCTGCAAGTGGATGGCTTTGTGGCAGGAATTGCACAATTGCACAGCTTTTTTGTTTGTTTGTTTGTTTGTTTGTTTTTGAGACGCAGTCTCGCTCTGTCGCCCAGGCTGGAGTGCAGTGGCACCATCCTGGCTCACTGCAAGCTCTGCCTCCCAGGTTCACGCCATTCTCCTGCCTCAGCCTCCCGAGTAGCTGGAACTACAGGCACCCGTTACCACGCCCGGCGAATTTTTTGTATTTTTAGTAGAGACGGGGTTTCATCATGTTAGCCAGGATGGTCTCAATCTCCTGACCTCATGATCTGCCCTCCTCGGCCTCCCAAAGTGCTGGGATTACAGGTGTGAGCCACTGCGCCCGGCCGCTTTTTTTTTTTTTTTTTTTTTGAGATGGAGTCTTGCTCTGTCGCCCTGCCCAGGCTGGAGTGCAATGAGCCAGAGGGGCATACAGTGGAAGGATTAGAGGAGATCCAAGCATCCATTGACAATTTCCCGAGGCCCTCTGGGTCCTGCAAGTGGATGGCTTTGTGGCAGGAATTGCACAATTGCATAGCTTTTTTTTTTTTTGAGATGGAGTCTTGCTCTGTCGCCCCGCCCAGGCTGGAGTGCAATGGCACGATCTCCACTCACCGCAACCTCCATCTCCCAGGTTCAAGTGATTCTCCTGCCTCAGCTCCCAAGTAGCTGGGATCACAGGCAGGTGCCACCACACCCAGCTACTTTTTTTTGTATTTTTAGTAGAGACGGGGTTTCACCATGTTGGCCAGGCTGGTCTCGAACTCCTGACCTCGTGATCCACTCATCTTGGCCTCCCAAAGTGGGATTACAGGCATGAGCCACCGCCCTGGCTGGGAATTGCACAGCTTTCTCAGCCTGTCGGTTGCCCATGCCTGTCCTTTGTAAGTTGTCTGTTTTCCACTCCAGCCTCTGTTGCAGGCCAAGTTCTCAAACTCTACCACTTCCTGCCTATCTCATTGGGTGTCAGTTCGAATCCAAGGTCAAACCAAGGAAGGTACCTTTTTCTTCCACAAGGCAACAGGGCAATGAAACAGCCATTGAGTAGCATTTAAGCAGTTTATTTGCCCAAAGCCACATTCTAGTAAGTGGCAGAATTAAATAGTTAAGAGTCTGACAGGCGGTCCTGGGTTTGCACCCTGCTGTCATGTGCTGAGTGATCCTGGACAAGTTATTCAACTTAAGTCCCCAGTTCTTGGTTTCAGGGTCCACTGAGGCTTCTACCAGGTTGCTGCCTCACTCATTAATTCACACAAGAAAGTTGGGGACTCTTGGGGATTTGAAGCTGAGAAGCTGCTGTAGTGCAAAGGGCTGGGGTTGACTCCTTCAAGGGGTGGCTAAAGAAATGTTTAGAGTTGTTTAGAGTAGGAAGTGCTTCTCAGGTCCCATGGCCACGTTCTGCCTAGAAGTCAAAGGTCAGCGGGGGTCCACAGCAGGTTGGGTCCTGGGGAAAGCAGCCCCCTAGTGACAGTTAAGGCTCAGATGCCAAGTCCCACTCCAGGACTGAAGGCTTTCGGGCAAGCGGCCTAGGGTGTAGGTTTCCCCCATCCCAGTCCCTCCCTGCCTGCGCTCACTGGGCCCGGGAGGACACCCATTGTTCATCATGCTCTGCGCACCCTGATGTCTCTAGAGAGCCATTCATTCAACAGATACCTGCAGAGCAGGGCCTGCATATCGAACCTTTTCCCTAGCCCTGGCCTCCTCACACATTTTATGTGCACTTGCTGTGAGCAGTCCACAGTCTTTGGCGTGCACAGGGGCACAGGCTGTTCCGGAAGCCGCCAGTCTCCAAAGTTCTGGCGGGAGAGAAGGGAGGGGAGAGGCTGAGTCTCAAGCCGCTAGGGAGCGGCTCTGCCCCAGGGCCGAGGGTGGAGCTTTCTGGGTCGGCCGGGAAAGGGCTGGGCTTAGCCTACAAGTGAAGGCAGGGCAGCGTTGGCGGGCGCTCCCTTGAGAAGTCCAGGTGGCGGGCACCTCCGAGCCGATTCCCAGGATCCCCCAAGTGGCTCTGAGCTGCCGATCACCGGATGCCCCAGATTCCTGGGACCCAATCCCGGATTTCAGAACCTCAGGACCTTGCAAGTCCGAGCTAGGATTTCTCCCTGGACTTTAGATTCCTGGAACGGGACGTCAGGCCGTATTCCGGATCCCTAGATCCCGTGGGAGATTCTCCGATTCCGAACGGATTCCAGATCCCAAGATTCCTGATCTGCCGGCCCAGGCTCCTGCCCCGCCCCCGGTTCCCAGTGCGCGGCGCCCCGCGCCTGAGCGCCCCCGCATGGCGGGGCCGTGTCCCCGGTCCGGGGCGGAGCGCGCCGGCAGCTGCTGGCAGGACCCGCTGGCCGTGGCGCTGAGCCGGGGCCGGCAGCTCGCGGCGCCCCCGGGCCGGGGCTGCGCGCGGAGCCGGCCGCTCAGCGTGGTCTACGTGCTGACCCGGGAGCCGCAGCCCGGGCTCGAGCCTCGGGAGGGAACCGAGGCGGAGCCGCTGCCCCTGCGCTGCCTGCGCGAGGCTTGCGCGCAGGTCCCCCGGCCGCGGCCGCCCCCGCAGCTGCGCAGCCTGCCCTTCGGGACGCTGGAGCTAGGCGACACCGCGGCTCTGGATGCCTTCTACAACGCGGGTGAGAGCGCTGGGGGCGGGGCCGGATCCGGGCGGGACTCAGGGTCCTGGGAGGGGACCAAGCCGGGCTCGAAGGCTCAAGGGAGGGGCCGAGAGGGGTACCGGGTCTAGGGGACTTAAAGTGAGCTAAAGCTGAAGGGCTTGGGACAGGGCCGTGAAAAAAGTGGGATTTAGGGGATCTGGGGCGCGGCCGGGCTCGGGACGAGACAGGGATCCGGGCGCGGCTCTAGGGCTCGAGGTTGGGGCTTAGGCACCCTTCAGTCGGAGCGGTGCCCAGCCAGCGGGGCAAGGATGGGGAGGGGCTTTGGAACTCTGGGGCGGGGCGGGGAGCGGCGCGGGGCTGTGGTGTCTCAGGGGTGGGGTTGGAGAACTCAGCCTCACCCTCAGGAGAATGTCACGCGGATCTCTTGAGGACAATTACTGGGAGAGGAGCTTGGACTTAGGGAAAGGGGCCGGGAGGCTGGAGTTCAGGAGTCCTAGCATACTATTTCCAAGGATCGGGCTAGGAGAGGCAAAAAGAGAAGCGAAGGGGCCCGACGGGACTGGATACTGGGTGAGGGAGCTTAGGTTAAGTGGCCTCAGCGGCCCAGAAAGAATGGGCGGGGAAGGGGCGGGGAAGTGGGCGGGAAAGGATGGCTCAGGGGCGGGGCCAGAAGGAGGCTATTCCCCCGCGAGTCACTCCTCCCTCCAGCCAGCCCGGATGCTCGGCCCCCATACTTACTTGCTTATGCTAGAGTCCAGTAGCTGTGCTTCCTGGATGTCCATGAAATCGTAGCCTAAAATGAAGGCTGACCCGACCACTCGGACACAAAGATACAATTATCGACAGACACAAATCGCATACATGTTGACTCATGCAGGCCCTAGCAGACGCTGTCACACACACAGATACAGTCAGACATAGTAAGCTATACATGTCACAGATATACACATACATACATTTAGGCACAGCGTTGTCTATGCACACTGATGGTAGCCCCTTTCAAGAGCCTGTGCTGAAGACCAAAGGGAGGGGACTTCTATGTTTGCGCAACTCCCACCTCCTAAATGGCCCGTAACAGACTCAACTGGTCCACAGCCTCCCTTCCCCCATGCCAGGTGCTCACAGGCTCTGAACCGTGGCCTGAGGGTCCCAACCCAGTGAGCCCAACTCCTCTCCTGCAACACTACAGAGATCAGTTCTGTGAAAGTGCCAGGGGAACCCTAAAAAGGGCCGACTGAAGCCCAAAGCAGAACCAGACCCTACTGGAGTCCCACAGCAAGGCAGGTCAAGCCAGGATGGACCCCGGCTCCTTCCCCATCAAGCTGGGCTTCAGGGATCAGCGCCACCCCCTCTGTGCCTGCAGATGTGGTGGTGCTGGAGGTGAGCAGCTCGCTGGTACAGCCCTCCCTGTTCTACCACCTTGGTGTGCGTGAGAGCTTCAGCATGACCAACAATGTGCTCCTCTGCTCCCAGGCCGACCTCCCTGACCTGCAGGCCCTGCGGGTAGGTGGCCTGGGGCTGGTGGAGGCAGGCACAGGGCTGGGGTAAGGCCTACACAGAACACCAGTATCTGACTGTCTGCCTCCTGCAGGAGGATGTTTTCCAGAAGAACTCGGTGAGCAGAATCCACCTCTCACTCAAAAGTGCCCTTTGACTTCCGCTATGACCTCTGACCTCCACTAATCCCCCTGGCCTCCTCAGTCACCTAACCCCCCACTGACATCCCAAGTATTCCTCTGTTTCCTGTTGCCTCCTCTCATGACGGGTGCCCCTTTCCTGCGATTCCAATTCCCACTGATGCTGACCTTTGATGCTCTCACTCCCCTTGTCTAGCCCTGTGCTGACCTCTGACCTCACTGATTCCTGCCTCCCTCCCACCAGGATTGCGTTGGCAGCTACACACTGATCCCCTATGTGGTGACGGCCACTGGTCGGGTGCTGTGTGGTGATGCAGGCCTTCTGCGGGGCCTGGCTGATGGGCTGGTACAGGCTGGAGTGGGGACCGAGGCCCTGCTCACTCCCCTGGTGGGCCGGCTTGCCCGCCTGCTGGAGGCCACACCCACAGACTCTTGGTAATGAAGGCCCCCAGGGAGGGTGCTCCAGGAGGGGGCTGGTGAGGGTATGGTGGGCTGGGGCTGAGGTACAGGCCCCACCATTCTCTCTCCCTGCCTCCCCTACCCTGGGCATCAGTGGCTATTTCCGGGAGACCATTCGGCGGGACATCCGGCAGGCGCGGGAGCGGTTCAGTGGGCCACAGCTGCGGCAGGAGCTGGCTCGCCTGCAGCGGAGACTGGACAGCGTGGAGCTGCTGAGCCCCGACATCATCATGAACTTGCTGCTCTCCTACCGCGATGTGCAGGTGCGTGGTGTTCAGAGAGGCAGTAGGGCAGCTGGCATTTGAGGTCAGACAAACCCAAGTTCAGTTCCTGGCTGGGCCACTTGCTCACTGGTGGCTTTGGGCAAATTATCCAATGTCTCTGAGTGTTGGCCTCCTTATTTGTTAGAGAGGATGAGCATGTCGCTGCCTCCTGGGGCAGTTGTGGGGTTGGGAACGCCCAGCATGGGGCATACAGTAGGTTCTCCCTGTGAGGTGTGTCCGCTGGGCCTGAGGGAGGCGTGCAGAAGATGGTGGCTGGGTGGGATGTCAGGAGTGGGACAGGACCCTGGCTCAAGGTTCCTTGGGGCCTGGAGGCCCATGATGCCAGTGCTTGCCGTTCCCTGATGCAGGACTACTCGGCCATCATTGAGCTGGTGGAGACGCTGCAGGCCTTGCCCACCTGTGATGTGGCCGAGCAGCATAATGTCTGCTTCCACTACACTTTTGCCCTCAACCGGTGAGTGGCAGAGCAAGGGTTAGGTCATAGCCACATAAAGGTTTCCGAAACCTAGGTCTCTGCGTGCAAAGCCATTGCTGTCTGGGATCACTGCTGTTCGGGGAATTTGCTGACCGGGGTCACTGATGTCAATAGGTCCCTGTTGTTCTGAGTTACTGCTGCCTGGGTCGGGGTGGGGGAGGTGGTGCTGCCTGTGGTATGGTCACCGCTGTCCAAGATCACTGCTCCTAAGAGTCATCGCATCTAGGAATCACTTCCATCTGAGGTCACTAGAGAGGTCAGTGCTGGCCAGGGTCATTATCATTTTGAGGTCATTATTGTCAGGCCCCTGGAAGGGTCCCTGCTGGTTCAGTGTCTAGAGGTCCCTGGACAGAGTAGGCCAGGGCCATCAGGGAGGGCCTGAGCCCATCTTTTCCCTAGGAGGAACAGGCCTGGGGACCGGGCGAAGGCCCTGTCTGTGCTGCTGCCGCTGGTACAGCTTGAGGGCTCTGTGGCGCCCGATCTGTACTGCATGTGTGGCCGTATCTACAAGGACATGTTCTTCAGCTCGGGTTTCCAGGATGCTGGGCACCGGGAGCAGGCCTATCACTGGTAAAGAGCACAGTGAGTGGCCGGTGGGCTAAGCTGTGAGATGAGGGGTGGTGCTGTGGGCATCAGTCCAGCCCTGTGCCCCCTACCCCCACCCCAGGTATCGCAAGGCTTTTGACGTAGAGCCCAGCCTTCACTCAGGCATCAATGCAGCTGTGCTCCTCATTGCTGCCGGGCAGCACTTTGAGGATTCCAAAGAGCTCCGGCTAATAGGTGAGCACAGATCCTGGCTCTTGTCTCGTCACCCACAGGGGTTCCGAGGGGCCTGGGAAGAGGGCAGGGAGAGAGCACACTGGGCAAGAGCTAGGATGAGCTCATCCATTTTGGACTGTCCTGCCCATACCCACACCTGGGTCCTCATACCTGTTCTGGGCCCTCAGGAGCCCTCAAACCCACAAATGTTCCCAAACTCACATCTGCGTGTCCATTACATCCTGAATTCCACATATACCTGTGCCTGAGCTCCTGTTCCCACCCGAGATCTTGCCATACTCAATGCCATACTCATATCTATGTTCATGTCCACACTCGGGCCCACAGAAATGGTGGGCCTCACTCACCCCTGCACCCACACTCACTGGAGCCCATGCCTCTCTCCCCCAGGCATGAAGCTGGGCTGCCTGCTGGCCCGCAAAGGCTGCGTGGAGAAGATGCAGTATTACTGGGATGTGGGTTTCTACCTGGGAGCCCAGATCCTCGCCAATGACCCCACCCAGGTGGTGCTGGCTGCAGAGCAGCTGTATAAGCTCAATGCCCCCATATGGTAGGTGGCCCCCTCTGCATTCTTGGCCTGACCTGGGCTGTCAGCTCCTGCACCTATGTCCATTGGCATGCTAGACTGAACCCTGAGCCAATGACCTGGCTGCTTTTAGACCAGTGCCCGTGGCACCCCATGCCAACGTTCTAGCTATATCCAGGCCAGTTTCCTCTCCCTGGCAGTGCTGGTTGGTGCCTGGGCTGAACTGAGGATGTGGCTTTGCATGCAGGTACCTGGTGTCCGTGATGGAGACCTTCCTGCTCTACCAGCACTTCAGGCCCACGCCAGAGCCCCCTGGAGGGCCACCACGCCGTGCCCACTTCTGGCTCCACTTCTTGCTACAGTCCTGCCAACCATTCAAGACAGCCTGTGCCCAGGGCGACCAGTGCTTGGTGAGGCCTGTAGGGGTGGTGGACCCGGGAAAGGGGTAAGCCCCTTCTGACTGACCCCACTCCCCAACTGCCTGCAGGTGCTGGTCCTGGAGATGAACAAGGTGCTGCTGCCTGCAAAGCTCGAGGTTCGGGGTACTGACCCAGTAAGCACAGTGACCCTGAGCCTGCTGGAGCCTGAGACCCAGGTGAAGTCGCTGCTGAGGCCCCTCACTCACCTTTGCTAGGACCTTTTCTGTGGAGCCTTTCTCCCATCCTCAGACCCCTCTCCTGTCACCAGCACTCCCCATCACACCCCATTTCTTCTTGCAGGACATTCCCTCCAGCTGGACCTTCCCAGTCGCCTCCATATGCGGAGTCAGGTGATAGGCGGGACCTGGGGTGACTGGAAAGACGGGAGGTGAGGGTCGCTGCCACCCAGCCTGACGCTTACTGGGTTCTTCATCCCTTCCCAGCGCCTCAAAGCGCGACGAGCGCTGCTGCTTCCTCTATGCACTCCCCCCGGCTCAGGACGTCCAGCTGTGCTTCCCCAGCGTAGGGCACTGCCAGTGGTGCGCAGCCTTTCATGGTCGGGGTACTCTGAGGGCCAGGATGCCCGGGGGGGAGTGGGGGAAAGAAAGGGACGACGTCCGTTGGATGCTCCGGCTTAGGTGGGGACCAAGATGCCCCTCCCGCGGGTCTGACCTCCCCCACCTTCAGGTTCTGCGGCCTGATCCAGGCCTGGGTGACGAACCCGGATTCCACGGCGCCCGCGGAGGAGGCGGAGGGCGCGGGGGAGATGTTGGAGGTGAGGACGCGGGACTGGGAGCTCGCGGAGGGCGAGGGGCCGCGGGCCCTGCTGAACTCCCATCTCACCCCGCGCCCGGCAGTTTGATTATGAGTACACGGAGACGGGCGAGCGGCTGGTGCTGGGCAAGGGCACGTATGGGGTGGTGTACGCGGGCCGCGATCGCCACACGAGGGTGCGCATCGCCATCAAGGAGATCCCGGAGCGGGACAGCAGGTGCGGTGCGTGGCAGCGCGGGTGGGGCTGAGGGCTCGCGAGGGCCGAGTGAGCCGGGCCACGAGCGGAGCGGCTCCTGTGGGCGGGGCCTAGTGGGCGGGCTCGTAGGACCTGAGAGTTCGAGCCCTGTGGACTGGGCCCGTGGGCGGAACAGCCAGGACCGTGCGGGCGGGATTGAGGTCTGGAGGGTCCTGTGGGCAGGGTAGTAAGGGTGGGGAAGGTCGGAGAGGGCTTGTGGGCGGGGCGGGTCCTTGGGGCGGGGCCAGGCTGGCGTGGGATGGGCGGGGCTTCTCTGCCCACCTCGGTCCCTTTCCTCTCTCCCTTACCTCCCCTCAGGTTCTCTCAGCCCCTGCATGAAGAGATCGCTCTTCACAGACGCCTGCGCCACAAGAACATAGTGCGCTATCTGGGCTCAGCTAGCCAGGGCGGCTACCTTAAGATCTTCATGGAGGAAGTGCCTGGAGGTACCTGCCCTGTGTGGGATGGGAATGAAACCGAGGTGTGAAGCATGGGACCGAGGCAGGCAGGGGTAGAGAGCCCTAGGGGGAAATGCACCCTAGTGCGTGTGGGTGGTGTAGCCTAGAATTAGCTGAGGAGTGGCGCTGGGTGATGGAGTTGGGCTACAACATGGGTGTGTCTGGGCCTTGAGCAGAGAGATGTGGGCTGGAGCCAGTGGGTGGGAAGAATGAACTTGGACTGTCCCCACCCAGGCAGCCTGTCCTCCTTGCTGCGGTCGGTGTGGGGACCCCTGAAGGACAACGAGAGCACCATCAGTTTCTACACCCGCCAGATCCTGCAGGGACTTGGCTACTTGCACGACAACCACATCGTGCACAGGGACATAAAAGTAAGCCCTGGGGCTGGCCCGCCCTCATCTGCTGAGGGTGGCGGGGAAGGAAACATGGTCCCAGACGCAGGCTGGCAGTTTAGATTAAGTGAGCAGACCTGTTGCAAAGGGTAGGGAATTCATCAGGGAGGCTCCTTAGAGAAGGAGGGGAAAGGTTCAGCTCTGAAGCCAAACCAATTGTCAGCTCCCAGAGGGGCATATAAGTGGGATGGCAAGGGGAGAGTGTTGACAGAGGCAGGACCAGGCTGGGATCTCCAGGAGATGGGATCCCAGAAAGAGGGTCTACTTCTGCTGGCAGGGGCCCAGACCAGTGTCCACTAATGGCTGTCAATCAGGGGGACAATGTGCTGATCAACACCTTCAGTGGGCTGCTCAAGATTTCTGACTTCGGCACCTCCAAGCGGCTGGCAGGCATCACACCTTGCACTGAGACCTTCACAGGTAACAAGGTGTGGGGGTGGTGAGTGGGGATGCTGACCTGGGGCAGAAGATCTCTTGGAACTTTCCAGGGAAGGGGGTTTCTCCTAGGCATGGAGTTAGAGTCCTAATGGGGAATGAAACCCAGGGTGAGTGATTGGGCCAGGGCTGAGGTGGTGGCATCTGGAACTGGAGCTTGGAGAAGTGATGAAATTGACTTTAGCACTTGAGGAGTGTTGATGCAGGCCAAGGTGGGAGTTGGAGGAAAAAGCAGGTGATGGAGTTCAGGGGGACGAGGCAATCCAGGATGTGTGCTGGAGCACTACTGTGGGTGATGGAGTCTGTGAATGTGGTGGAGCCCAGGATGAATGACGGAAGCCTTGGCAGGCGATGGAGCCCAGGGTGGTGATGGAACTCAGGATAGATGTTTGATGACCAGGATAGGTGTTGAGGTATATTTTGGATGATAGGTTCAGTATGGGTGCAGTCGGCCTGAGGATGACGGCATTCCCCTCCCTGCTCCAACCCCATGATGAAGCCTAGATGGGCATTGGTGCTCCTGTTTCTGTCCTAGGAACTCTGCAGTATATGGCCCCAGAAATCATTGACCAGGGCCCACGCGGGTATGGGAAAGCAGCTGACATCTGGTCACTGGGCTGCACTGTCATTGAGATGGCCACAGGTCGCCCCCCCTTCCACGAGCTCGGGAGCCCACAGGCTGCCATGTTTCAGGTGAGACCTCTTTGGGCCTGGCCCATGGAAGTGGCATAGGGCCAGCCTGGGCCTTGGACACCTCTGAATGTCACCCTTGTTCACCCTCCCCCCACAGGTGGGTATGTACAAGGTCCATCCGCCAATGCCCAGCTCTCTGTCGGCCGAGGCCCAAGCCTTTCTCCTCCGAACTTTTGAGCCAGACCCCCGCCTCCGAGCCAGCGCCCAGACACTGCTGGGGGACCCCTTCCTGCAGCCTGGGAAAAGGAGCCGCAGCCCCAGCTCCCCACGACATGCTCCACGGCCCTCAGGTGCTTGCGGGTGGCGGGATGGGCACAGTGGAGGGCAGAGGAGTTGTGGAGCTGTGAGGGTGGAGGAGAGCCCAGCTGATGGCTCTGTCCCTCCCTCAGATGCCCCTTCTGCCAGTCCCACTCCTTCAGCCAACTCAACCACCCAGTCTCAGACATTCCCGTGCCCTCAGGCACCCTCTCAGCACCCACCCAGCCCCCCGAAGCGCTGCCTCAGTTATGGGGGCACCAGCCAGCTCCGGTGAGACCAAGGCTCCTGGGATGGGTTCCTTTTGCCTGGTTTTGCCTTTTTCTCCTCTCCTACAAAAGCCCTCCCTGGGGACCTGGGCACCTTGACCACTTGTGAATGTGGCATTTGGTGCCTCCCCATGCCCTGTTCTGGCAACTCTAACTTGGACTTGTTGTGTCCTCTCAGTGCGGGGTTTATCTATGTTCATGCCTGTGAGGTAGGCATAAAAGTAGGAGAGCCAGGATTCAAACCCGGCAACAGAGGTGACTGGCCGGTTGCTGCCCGTCCTCAATCAGCAGCTCGCCCTTGTGCCCAGGGTGCCCGAGGAGCCTGCGGCCGAGGAGCCTGCGTCTCCGGAGGAGAGTTCGGGGCTGAGCCTGCTGCACCAGGAGAGCAAGCGTCGGGCCATGCTGGCCGCAGTATTGGAGCAGGAGCTGCCAGCGCTGGCGGAGAATCTGCACCAGGAGCAGAAGCAAGAGCAGGTGGGCGGCCCACTCTAGCGCCCCCTGGTGGTCGCAAAGGGTCAGGACACCTGTTGATGTCCCCGCCCCCTACCTCCGCGGCAGCGTCTCTTTTGGCTGGAGCACTCGCTGACAACCCCTCTCTTCCTTCTCAGGGGGCCCGTCTGGGCAGAAACCATGTGGAAGAGCTGCTGCGCTGCCTCGGGGCACACATCCACACTCCCAACCGCCGGCAGCTCGCCCAGGAGCTGCGGGCGCTGCAAGGACGGCTGAGGGCCCAGGGCCTTGGGCCTGCGCTTCTGCACAGACCGCTGTTTGCCTTCCCGGATGCGGTGAGGGCGCCTTCTGGTAGTTAGAGCTGCCCAACAACAGGTAGTGAGTTCCCCGTGCCTGGTGAGGTGCCAGGACTTGACGTTCCCAGATTCCCTGTCTCCTCTGTGAAGATCAGGCCTGCAGCAAAAAACCGTCTGCCCAGTCCTAGCTTCCCAGGCCTTCCCTGGACCTCAAGCCCGCCCACCCCACTCGCCTCCCGCCGAAGACTTTCTAGGCCTTTCCAACTCAAGCCCTGCCTCTAGTTGAGGCTCAGCTGTCTCAGCGGCGCCTCCCTCCCCCTGCAGGTGAAGCAGATCCTCCGCAAGCGCCAGATCCGTCCACACTGGATGTTCGTTCTGGACTCACTGCTCAGCCGTGCTGTGCGGGCAGCCCTGGGTGTGCTAGGACCGGGTAGGAGGGGAATGCCACGGGCCTCCTGCCAGCGAGGGTGTGGTGCTTGCTGGGCGCGGTGAACATCGAATGGGGCCGGTGGGGGCCAGGCGGGACAGGGGCAGGCAGGCGCCGGTGGGGGCGTGACTAAATGGACATCTCCCATACCGGCACCGCCTGGGGCCTGCCCAGAGCCGGGCACCCTACCCCCGCACTTTGGGGTCTGGGGTTCCCAAACGGGCGTTGTAGCCTTGCCTGAGTTCACCGCACTGGGCTGCAGAGGTGGAGAAGGAGGCGGTCTCACCGAGGTCAGAGGAGCTGAGTAATGAAGGGGACTCCCAGCAGAGCCCAGGCCAGCAGAGCCCGCTTCCGGTGGAGCCCGAGCAGGGCCCCGCTCCTCTGATGGTGCAGCTGAGCCTCTTGAGGGCAGAGACTGATCGGTAAAGCCCCTTGGAATCGCTCATAGCCTCTGCCGGGCTTCAACCCACTCACCACTCACCGCTCCATTCTACTCTTCTGCGCCCCACAGGCTGCGCGAAATCCTGGCGGGGAAGGAACGGGAGTACCAGGCCCTGGTGCAGCGGGCTCTACAGCGGCTGAATGAGGAAGCCCGGACCTATGTCCTGGCCCCAGAGCCTCCAAGTGAGTGGGCCTTGGCTGGAGAACATTATTGGTGGGTTCAAGGCAGCTTCTAGCACAAGGCACCCTTGGGCTCATCACCTGACTTGGGCTCATCACCTGAGCGGGCCTTGGCGGGAGAACATTATTGGTGGGTTCGAGGCAGCTTCTAGCACAAGGCACCCTTGGGCTCATCACCTGACTTGGGCTCATCACCTGAGTGGGCCTTGGCTGGAGAACACTATTGGTGGGTTCGAGGCAGCTTCTAGCAGGAGGCACTCTTGGGCTCATCACCTGACTGCTTCTTGACAGCTGCTCTTTCAACGGACCAGGGCCTGGTGCAGTGGCTACAGGAACTGAATGTGGATTCAGGCACCATCCAAATGGTGAGTCGGGGAGTGCTTGGCTATCCCTGACCTCACCAGCCAAAGCCTCCATCTCTGTCCATCTTCCTGCTCTTCTACTGTGCCCTCTGATGCAGAGAATCTCACTACCAGAAGAACACTTAGTATTCTCGTCCCATTGTATGGATGAGAAAACTGAGGCCCAGAAGGGTGTGATCTGCCTCATTATTTTGGCAACAGAGCAGAGCTAGTACCTGGGTCTCGACACATCTTTCTGTAATTTCTTATTTCCCTCTTTCTGCGGGTCTTTGACCACATCCAGCTGTTGAACCATAGCTTCACCCTCCACACTCTGCTCACCTATGCCACTCGAGATGACCTCATCTACACCCGCATCAGGTACATCCTGGGCCCCCCAAGTGTGAACCATGCATATGGCCTCATCCTGGCCAACTGCAGGCCTGCCTAGGTTCCTTCCTGGAAACCAAAGGGGCACCTGGGTCCCCTAGGGACAGAGGGGGCACTGGGCAGACAGTGTGTGCAAGATAGAGTCCAGGGCCACCTTCTGGCTGAGCCACACTGAGTCCATTACCCCCAGGGGAGGGATGGTATGCCGCATCTGGAGGGCCATCTTGGCACAGCGAGCAGGATCCACACCAGTCACCTCTGGACCCTGAGAGCTGAATGAGGGCATCATAGGCCAGACAGGCCCAAGGATGGATGAATGGAGAGGACAAAGGCAGCTTCTGACACACCAGCCCCAGGACCTGGGGCGACTGGAGGAAGCCAGGCGAGTGGGGCCCAGGACTGGTTCCAGTGAGAGAAACCAACCACAGGCACCCAAGCACTACCAGACAAAGCGTATTAAACAGAACACTTTTGAACCTTTGTCCTGGCAATTTTGGAGGTGTATGGTGGGAGGGGTATCCTGGGAAGAGCCCCCTAGGTCTTTTTTAAAAAATTTTTTTTGTTGGCCGGGCATGGTGGCTCATGCCTGTAATCCCAGCACTTTGGGAGGCCAAGGTGGGCAGATCACGAGGTCAGGAGATCAAGACTATCCTGGCTAACATGCTGAAACCCTGTCTCTACTAAAAATACAAAAAAATTAGCTGGGTGTGCTGGCGGGCACCTGTAGTCCCAGCTACTCGGGAGGCTGAGGCAGGAGAATGGTGTGAACCTGCGAGGCGGAGCTTGCAGTGAGCCGAGATTGCGCCACTGCACTCCAGCCTGGGCAACAGAGCGAGACTTTGTCTCAAAAAAAATAAATAAATAAATGAAAAAAAAATGTTTTTAGGCCGGGTGCGGTGGCTCATGCCTGTAATCCCCGCACTTTGGGAGGCCGAGGTGGGTGGATCATGAGGTCAGGAGTTCGAGAAGAGCCTGACCAACATGGTGAAACCTCGTCTCTACTAAAAATGCAAAAATTAGCTAGGCGTGGTGGTGCGTGCCTATAATCCCAGCTACTCAGGTGGCTGAGGCAGGAGAATCGCTTGAACCCAGGAGGCAGAGGTTGCAGTGAGCCGAGATCGCGCCATTGCACTCCAGAGCGAGACTCCGTCTCAAAAAAAAAAAAAAAAAAACACCTTTTTTAGAGACAAGGTCTTACTCTGTCATCCAGGCTGGAGTGCAGTGGCATAGTCATATTCACTGCAGCCTCAAGCTTCTGGATTCAAGCGATCCTTCCTCCTCAGCCTCCTGAGTAGCTGGGACCACAGCTGTGCACCACCACACCCACCTAATTTTTAAACTTTTTTTTTTGTAGAAATAGCATCTCGCTTTGTGGCATAGCTCACTGCAGCCTTGAACTCCTGGGCACAAGCAATCTGCCTGCCTCAGCCTCCTGAGTAGCTGGGACTACAGGCATGTGACACCACCACCTGCAGCTAATTTTTAAAATTTTGTCGAGATGGGGTCTCATTATGTTGCTCAGACTGGTCTTGAACTCTTGGGCTAAAGCAATCCTTCTGCCTCAGCCTCCCAAAGCATTGGGATTACAGGCGTGAACCACTGTGCCTGGTTTCTCTGAAGTCTTTGTGGCAGAGTCTGAAGTTCCTTAATCTGGCCCCTCTTACTTCCCTGGCTCTTTCCTACAATCACCTTTCTTCCTCCCTGCCCCAGCAGACACCAGCCTTTTATTGCTCTTAGAATAGACTTTATTGACTTTAGCCAAGGGCAGGCCCTGAGATGGGGGTCCAGAGAGAGAGGCTTGGTGGGGCTACGTCCTGGGGGCCAGGTTGGTTCTGAGGGGTAGAAGGCCATCCACCCATTCGCACGGCTGCTCCAGGAGGGCTTGCCACAGCTGCTTCTCCTCAGGTGTGGAATCCATCCAGGGCACCTGCAGCCCATAGCTGCTGCCTGGATGTGGGTGGGCAGGGGTTGAGGGCATGATCACACTGGACACCTTGGGGCCCCCAAACACCTGCCTGGTCCCAGATTATGCACTGTCCCCCGTTACCACCCTCAGTTCTCAGTAGATATCAAAGCTCAGGAAAGGACAGAGAGGTATCCAGGGCCACACACTGAGCCCCCATCTCCCAGGGCCTGTCCCAGGGCCTGTCTCAGGGTGCTGTCCCACTTACCGGTGCCCAGGCTGAGGCGTGTGCCCCCCAGCTGGCGGTTGGCCAGGGCCCCATGGTCCCAGAGGGAGAGCTCGGCACAAGCCTGGCGCAGGTCAGCAGGCCCAAAGCCATCGTACACCATGGTGTGATTGAACACAGGGCTGAGGCTGCGTCGCACAACCCTTGTACGCTGGCGGCTGGCCTGGCTGTCATCAGGCAGCACGAAGCTGTGCGGGAGGTGGCCTGGCATCAGGTGACCCCCCTCACACTCCCTAGAGTCATCCAGTCACCACGTCCCACTCATTCTCTCTCACATATGTCCATGTCCCCTGGCTCCTGCCTGCCTGGCCTTAGACCCTCACTGCCCTGGGACCTTTGCACCAGCCTCCTCTCAGGTCTCCTGGCTTTAAAAGTTACAGCTCCTGGCCGGGCGAGGTTGCTCACGCCTGTAATCCCAGCACTTTGGGAGGCCGAGGTGGGTGGATCACCTGAGGTCAGAAGTTCGAGACCAGCCTGGCCAACATGGTGAAACCCCATCTCTACTAAAAATACAAAAATTAGCTGGGCATGGTGGCATGCACCTGTAATCCCAGCTACTTGGGAGGCTGAGGCAGGAGAATCGTTGGAGCCCAGGAGACTGCGGCTGCAGTGAGCTGAAATCACACCACTGCACTCCAGCCTAGGCAACAGAGTGAGACTGCATCTTAAAAAAAATAATAATAGCCGGGCGCGGTGGCTCATGCCTGTAATCCCAGCACTTTGGGAGGCCGAGGCGGGCGGATCACGAGGTCAGGAGATTGAGACCATCCTGGTTAACATGGTGAAACCCCGTCTCTACTAAAAATACAAAAAAATTAGCTGGGCGTGGTAGCGGGCGCCTGTAGTCCCAGCTACTCAGGAGGCTGAGGCAGGAGAATGGTGTGAACCCAGGAGGCGGAGCTTGCAGTGCACCAAGATGGTGCCACTGCACTCCAGCCTGGGCAACAGAGCGAGACTCCGTCTCAAAAATAATAATAATAATAATAATGTTACAACTCCTATTCACAGGGCTGCAGAGCAATGTCTCTGAAATGCAGTTCTGCTATTCTCGCTGGCTCAGTGACTTTTATTATCTCCCTGTTGCTCCACCACCACCCCTCCTCAAGCAGTTTCCAAGGTTTTTTTTTATTTTTTGAGATCGAGTCTCGCTCTGTTTTGCCCAGGTTGGAGTGCAGTGGCGTGATCTTGGTTCACTGCAACCTTCTGGGTTCGAGTGATTCTCCCGCCTCAGTCTCTCAAGTAGCTGGGATTACAGGCACCCACCACCACGCCCGGATAATTTCTTGTACTTTTGATAGAGATGGGGTTTCACCATGTTGGTCAGGCTGGTCTCAAACTCCTGACCTCAGGTGATCCACCCGCCTCAGCCTCTTAAAGTGCTGGGATTACAGGCATAAGCCACCGTGCCTGGCCTGTTTCCAAGGTTTTCAAAGCCTGGGAACCCCCTCTGCAAAATACAGTGTTGCTCAGAAGTACAGTACCTCTGTACTGCAGCCTCTGGCTGCATCAGAGTGGACACCCAGAAGTGACCCGCCCACCTCCATTTCACTCTCTAACAGTGGGGGCAGCACCTGGAGGCACCCCTAGAAGTCCCCTAGAAGCTTACACTGAACTATAAGTTCCCAGCCAAGCCCCACAGCCTGGCCTCCCAGGTTCTCTATGGAAGGACCCTTGCAGCCCTCAGCCTCAGCTTTTCAACAAGTCCTATAGGCGCCAGTCACGCTGAAATGCAGCTCCTCAAAGGTGTCCTCAACTTCCCTGACTCCAGGCCTTTGCTCAAACCGTCCCCTTCACCCCTGCTCAGTGGTGAAAGCCCAGGCTGCGTGATCAAAGGTTGATTAGTAAGGGTTTGTGGAGGTTGGGCACTCCACTGCAGGCAAAAGAATGGGAAGCCCGGAGGGCCAGCACTCCTCACCATTGTACGTAAGTGTCCAGGGATCCTGCCCGCAGCGGCAGGAGGTCCCGAGCCTCCTTCACCCAGAAGTGCAGCTCCCCGCTCGGGGGCAGTCCTGCGCCTGCGGAGAGGCTCGGCTCAGGCCCGCACACGGATGGAGTCCACCGCCCCCAAACCCGGGGACTGGAGTCTCCCGCTTTTCAGGGCGTGTCCAGCTTGGCCTCTCCGGCTGTCACTCACCCTCGGAGCCGGCGGGGACGTACTTGAGGGACAGGGCGAGTAACCCGCGGCTCGGAAGGTCGTCGGGAGAGGGTGGGACCTGCGAGAGGCGGGCTTATCGTGGAGCAGGGGCTAATGGAAAGGGGCCTCAGGAGGGTGGGGTCTGCAGACCCGGATGGGGTGCGGCTAGAAGAGACGGCGGGGCCTGCAGGGGCAGAACCTAGGGGTCCTAGCGCCCTCGGGGAAGGGGCCGTGGCCGGCCGGGCTTCGCCTGGGGCCATGAGGTTAAGAGGTTGAGGGGAGGTTCTGTCGAAGGCGGGGTGTGAGGGGGCTGCGGGAGAGCCTGGTGGGGTAAATGCAGGAGACCCGGGCCGCAGGTCTCCCCACGCGGCCTGGCTGCCTCACCCGGGGCTGCAGGGGGAGCCAGGTGGGCTCAGAGCCCCAGTCCCACGTGTCCAGGGGCACTTCAACTTCGCCCAGAAAGATGTTGCGACCCAGGCTTTCGCGGTGCCACACAGACAGGCTCAGCACGCGGCCCTGAAGCTCGGCCTGCGGGACGGAGTACTGAGGACAGGAGGTGAGCTTTAGTGGAGCACTGCTGGTGGCCCGCGTAGATGCTGCGCGAGTTGGCTGAGGCAGGTCCTACCGCGTTCCTACCATGATGGAATTCTGGGGAGCCCCTAAGGGCATTAATGGGGACCTGCACTATCACCACGCCCACCACGAGGCTGACAACACTGGATAACGAGTTAATGGGCCCCCTCCGCCGATCCTCCGGGCAATGACGTTACTGGCTGCCCTTGCCACCTAGCCCCGCAGGAAGGGGGCGTCCAGTTCATTAACGGGGAACCGCATCGTGGTCACAGCCTCACCCGGAGAGTCTCGTTGAAAACCGGATTCAGATTCCGTTTCTTCACCGCCGTCTTGCGCTTGCTCTGCTTATCCGGGAGGAGGTAGCTTTTGACGTAGCTGGGGAGGTGAGAACCCGAGGTGAGGAGGGGCCCTCCCAGAGCCTTCTCCCCTGCCTGTGGGCTCCCCCAGCCACCATCCCGAACACGTGCCAGGCCTCGTGCTAAGCGCTTTACAGGGATTGTCTCGCTTAATCGCACGCCTCCCAATAACGCTGTTGTTCCCATTTTGAAGATGAGGACGAGGAGGCCGAGACCCTGTGAATGGTGGGCTGGGCTGTGACAGCCGCGCCCCGCTTGGCCGGCGGGGCACTCACGGGTCCGAGCGGCGGCGCCGGGCGGCGGCCAGGCCCTGGCACTGGATCACGTGCACGCGCAGCTCGGCGGCGCCCGGCTCGTAGTGCAGCGCGAAGTGCACGGAGCCGCGGACCTGCACCGCCTCCGCGTCGCCTGACAGGCTCATCTGGCTGCCGCTCAGCTGCGGACGGGAGTGGGTGGGAGTCAGGGCCGCTCGCAGGGCTCACGTCGGGGCCGCGGGCAGCGCGGAGGCTTCAGACCCGGGTCATAGGTGGCAGGCTGGGGGGCTGCAGCGGTGGGTCCCGCGGCGAGGGAGGGGCAGGCAGGGGCTACGCATCGGAACGGGTCCACCCCCCGGCCGCCCGGGTCCCCTCCCTCCCGCCTCACCGTGGAGGAGTTAAGGCTGGACACCGAGGAGCTGCTGCTGAGCATGCGGTCGAGAGAGGGGTCGGGCCCCGGGGCCTCCTCCCCATTCTCCAGGATCTGGGACGCGGCCTTGGTCTGCAGAGGGGGCAAGTGACGGGGCGCCCCTTCTTTCCCCACCCCTGCCCCGAGCGCCCTGGGTCGCGGGCGGCTCGCAGCCCTGGGCAGGAGCGCTCCCCGCCCGGAGTCCGCTCCGGATGTTGAGAGCAGCCACGGGCCACTCCCGCCTACCTGGGCTTGCTGGGGCCGCGGCTCCTGCTCTCCCCCCGACGCGGGCTCCAGCTCCGGGTCAGCCTCCTCGGCACAGACCTGTTGGTCTCCTTGGCCAGGATCTGGGGTGGGGCACGAGATGCTAAGCGAGCCCTCTCCTGCCCTCCCCTAAGCAAATTTGTAGGAACTGGTTTACAACCCCAGCGAGCTGCAGATTCAGGCCCCGGTGCTGCCCTGGGATCGTCCCCACCTCCGACGCGGGGTGGGAGTGGGGGTGACGAGGGTGAACACAGGTGGTTGGGGCCCCTTAGAGCTGCCTCTGACCCGCGAAACCTCTCCGTGCTCCCCAACAGGCGCTCCCACTCACCTTCCTGGGCCTGGGACGCCTCCTCAGGATCTGAAGCCTTTAGGGGGACAGAAGGCGATGGGAAATCAGGTCCCTGAAGGAAGAAAGGGGTAGAGGTCACAGTACGGGGGCTGGTGAGGAAGAGGTCAAAGGTCATATTGGGGTCAGAGGTCATAGGGCTCCAGCCAGCTACCCCAGTTTCAGGTTTAGGGCAGCCCTCCGGGCAGGGCTGGCAGCCAGCTGCAGGAGCGGTGAGACCAGTGCTTCACAGCCCACCCCGCAGGGCTTGTGCCGCCTGACTCCCTACTCCCATTGGTGGGGTCATTCGTACCTGAGTCCTCCACCTCTGCCAGGCCAGGCCAGTCCCATTCCTTTCTCACTCCTTTTTTTATTTTTATTTTTTATATTGACCCATTGGTAGACAACCTTTTTTCTTTTTTTAAATTTATTCTTATTATTTTTAATTGAGACAGAGTTTCACTCTTGTTGCCCAGGCTAGAGTGCAATGGTGTGATCTTGGCTCACTGCAACCTCCGCCTCCTGGGTTCAAGCGATTCTCCTGCCTCAGCCTCCCAGTAGCTGAGATTCCAGGTTATGCACCATCATGCCCAGCTAATTTTGTATTTTTAGTAGAGATGGGGTTTCTCCATGTTAGTCAGGCTGGTCTTGAGCTCCTGACCTCAGGTGATCTCGGCTTCCCAAAGTGCTGGGATTATAGGCGTGAGCTGCCACGACCGGCCTTTTTTTTTTATTTATTTTTTATAGACATGGGGGGCATTTTGCTATGTTGCCCAGGCTGGTCTTGAACTCCTCGGCTCAAGCGATCCTCCCACATCAGCCTCCCAAAATGCTGGGATTACAGGCATGAGCCACCGTGCCTGGCCCCACTTCACCCCTTAATAGCCAGATTCAGAAGTTCCCTTAGAGGCTGGGTCCATATACCACTCACTGTTCACCACCGTTCACCACTGTTTACCACCATTCACCACCGTTCCCCACCGTTCACCACTGTTCCACCCAGGAGGTGATGAGGTGCAGACACAGGAAGGAACATTTCCAGGGTCTCCCCATTCCCAGGCTGGGGCTCTTTCCCCCCTGCCCCCTGCACATTCCACCTCCCCTCCAGGGACACTGTACTCACATGTTGGCTCATTCACTTACCTCAGTCTCCCTGAGCCTCTCCTGAGGGGCCTCATCAATGGTGAGCCTAGGAGTAGGGAGAGGACGCTCTCAGAGGGAGGGACCCTGGTGACTGGTGGGCACCATCTCCCCCTTCCTGAGACTCCTCCTCACCTGGGCTCTGGCCCCTCTTCCTTCTCTTTCACAGCAGCCTCAGCCTCCCTGTCGTGGCCTGGAGCCTGGTCTCCTGGGCGCAGGTGAGAAGTTCTGTGAGCCCCCATGCTCAGGAAGCCTGGCTGTGACTCGGGAGAGGCCCTGGGAGATACCCACCCACCCCATGCCCACGGAGGGGCATTGCCCACTGAAAGACACACAGTACTGGGGGCAGCCAGGACTGGAGCCCTAGTGGTCCTCTCTCCCTGTCCACATACAGCCAGCGCCCTGGACGGCACATGGCTTGCCCTGCCCCGAGGATCTCCTCTCACCCCTGGTGCTCTTCTTCCTGCGCATAGACGCTCGGACAAGGTCAGAGCCGAAGTGGGCATTGTGGTGCCGCTGGGAGCGTGCTTCCTGGAACCAGTCCCCTGTCAGGATCTTCAGCTGCCCAGGGTCTGCCACTGAGGCCCGGAGCTTGCTGGAGGAAGGGGGAGGGTGTGGCTGTCATGACTCACCCAAGCAACATTCCCGCCACCTACATTGTTAACAGGCTTGGGACCAGGGGCCAGGGACCCAACAGCAAATCAGACTTGATCTGTGCTGTGGAGGAGCTCGGGCTGCTGGGGAGACCAAGTCCAGAAGAGACAAGTACACTGTAGTGAGGTGGATGATGTGATAGAAGTAAGAAGAGCCAGCTCTGCCTGTGAGAATCCAGGAGGGCTTCCCAGAGGAGGTGACATTTGAATTGCCTTTATTTATTTATTTACTTAATTATTTTGAGATGGAGTCTCCCTCTATGCCCAGGCTGGAGTGCTGTGGCGCAATCTCAGCTCACTGCAACCTTCACCTTCCAGGCTCAAGTGATCCTCCCACCTCAGCCTCCTGAGTAGCTGGGACTACAGGCGTGTGCCACCATGCCCAGCTAATTTTTTATATATTTTTTTGTAGAGACGGGGCTTTTCCATGTTGCCCAGGCTGGTCTCTAACTCCTGGACTCAAGCAATCCACCTGCCTCAGCCTCCCACAATGTTGTAAGTCACTGTGCCCAGCCTTGAATTTCTTCTTAAAAGACAAATTGGAACTCTCCAGGTAGAGAAGGATAATAATTATTATACTTTTAATTTTATTATTTTTTTTTGAGACAGGGTCTTGCTCTGTTGCCCGGGCTGGAGTGCAGTGGCATGATCATGGCTCATTGCAGCCTGACCTCCTGGGTTCAAGCAATCCTCTCACCTCAGCTGCCTAAATAGCTGGGACTACAGGCGCACACCACCACGCCAGGCTAATTTTTTATATTTTGTAGGAATGGGGTCTCACTGTGTTGTCCAGGCTGGTCTTGAATTCCTGGGCTCAAGCAATCCTCCCGTCTCAGCCTCTCAAAGTGCTAGGATTACAGGCGTTGCCACTATCTCTGGCCAATTCCTCTTAAATCAGTGAAGTAGGACTCCTTAGCCCCATTTTACAGACGACGAGCATGGTGCTCAAGGAGGTCAGGTGAGTTGCCAAGGCTACGTAGCTAGGAAGTGTCTGTCCCCAAACATTGCTTGTAACGCCCATGCTCTTCTACAACTGTGCTCTTCCAGGAAGAAGTACCAGCATAGGCATAGAAGTGAAGAGTGGGTTCAGGGACTGGGGAGCACCTGAGTGGCTGGAGGGGTCACTTTGTGTCTGTGTGTCGGGTCGGAGTTATGGTGAAAGAGGAGATGGTGGGGGCTGGCAAGGACCGACCAGGGAGGCCCAGTGGACCATGCCTAGGAGCTTGCCCTTGATACTGGGGAGCCAGGGGAAGTTTTCAGCGGGGATATTAAGGACGGATCTGGCCAGGCACGGTGGCTCGCGTCTGTAATCCCAGCACTTTGGGAGGCTGAGGCGGGTGGATCATCTGAGATCAGAGGTTCAAGACCAGCTTGGCCAACATGGCGAAAACCCATCTCTACTAAAAATACAAAAATTAGCTGGGCATGGTGGCATGTGCCTATAATCCCAGCTATTTGGGAGGCTGTGGCAGGAGAATCGCTTGAACCCGGAGGGGTGGAGGTTGCAGTGAGCCAAGATTGTGCCACTTCACTCCAGCCTGGGCGAAAAAATGAAACTCTGTCTCAAGAAAAAAAAAAAAAAGCAGACAGATCTGGGGAGCACCAGCTGCAGGAGGTGGGCCCAAGAGGCAAGCCTGGAGGCAGGGAGGCTGGCGAGAAAGCTGGTGCAGTCACCCCTGGAGAAGTGATGAGCTGTGAGCTGGCCAAGGCCAGAGGAGACTGAAGGGCAAAACCAAGAACCACGCAGACATCTGACAGGCAGTGGTGTCGGTAGGGAGCAGGATGGGGGCCACTCAAGCCTCTTGGTGCTCCCCGGCCAGGGTCTGCCCTGCCTTACCTGACCCGCCCCTCCTCCAGCTGGCGCAGGCGGGCATCTCGTTGGAGGACGCCAGCAATGGCCTCCTGCTCCTCCTCTGTCAGGAAGCTGAGGTCCAACAGTCCTTCAGTCTCAGGCTTTGGCCCATGCGCCATGGGGAGGGAGGGCAGAGCCCAAAGCCCCTCTTGCGATGGGTGGCCCCTCTGGGGCATCAGCTGGGGCTGTGCCCCAGCTGGGCACACGGAGCTTCCTGGGGGCAGACCGAGGGTCAGGTCAAGCCCTGCACAAATGCTTGGCACATCCTAGAACCAACAGCCCTTTTCTCCCCAAACACTTGGCCGGGTATGGGTAGGGTGCCACCCCAGGATGGCTGAGCTCAAGGTGGGGTGAGAGACACTCATGCACACATGCATACACTAGCCCTTGAACACACTTGGAGACACAGTGGAAGAAGCAAGAGACACACATGCACACACCCTGAGGTAGGGCCACACAGGACTGCAGCGATGGAACACACAGACACATGTGCACACGCGGGTCCATGTAGGCATAGATATGGTCGCACATGCACACAGACACCTGCATAAAGACAGGCGCATGCACAGCTGTTCCCCCAGAAAGGGCCCTCTGCAGACACAGACCCGGACCCATGCCCACGAGAGACATGCACACACATTCTTTTTTTTTTTTTTTTTTTTTTTTTTGAGGAGTCTTGCTTTGTTGCCCAGGCTGGAGTACAGTGGCACGATCTCATCTCACTGCAACCACTGCCTGACGGGTTCAAACCTCCTGCCTCAGCCTCCTGAGTAGCTGGGATTATAGGCACGCACCATCACGCCCAGCTAATTTTTGTATTTTTAGTAGAGACGGGGTTTGACCATGTTGGCCAGGCTGGCCTCGAACTCCTGACCTCATGATCTGCCAGCCTCAGCCTCCCAAAGTGCTGGGAGTACAGGCGTGAGCCACCACGCCCGGCCCTACACATGTTCTTAAATCTGCACACAGTGGCCAGGCGCGGTGGCTCACGCCTGTAATCCCAACACTTTGGGAGGCCAAGGTGGGCCGATCACCTGAGGTCAGGAGTTCAAGACCAGCCTGGCCAACATGGTGAAACCCCCTTCTCTACTAAAAATACAAAAATTATGGCCAGATACAGTGGCTCACCCCTGTAATCCCAGCACTTTGGGATGCCAAGGCGGGCAGATCACCTGAGGTCAGGAGTTTGAGACCAGCCTGACCAACACGGAGAAACCCCGTCTCTACTAAAAATACAAAATTAGCCGGGCATGGTGGTGCATGCCTTTAATCCCAGCTACTCGGGAGGCTGAGGTGGGAGAATTGCTTGAAACTGGGAGGCAGAGGTTATGGTAAACCGAGATCACACCATTGCACTCCAGCCTGGGCAAAAAGAGTGAAACTCCTCCAAAAAAAATGAAAAGAACAGAACAATTAGCTGGGCATGGTGGTACATGCCTGTAATTCCAGCTACTTGGGAAGCGAGGCAGGAGAATCACTTGAACCCAAGAGAAGGAGGTTGCAGTGAGCTGAGATGGCGCCACTGCACTCCAGCCTGGGCAAGAGTGAGACTCCGTCTCAAAACAAAAACTAACAAAAAAACCTGCACACAGCATATGCACACCAATGGGGATAGGCCCACCCGGATGGGTTCACCTAGACAAGAACAAGTCTGGGGACAAATATGTCCCTCGATAAAGATGTACATAAAAATCATACAGACTTTGGCACACATACATTGCCCGGCTAACTGGGTTGTGAGCTCCTTGGAGGCAGGGAGAGGGAGTCACCCTCAAAGCCATTACTTTGCACACAACAGATGGTTGGTAAAAGTTTGATTAATTAAATGCAGAAATATGCCTGCACACACATGGGAATGCACACATACAACCACCCACCTAGACAGACAGATACACACACACACACACGTACACACACACACATCTGCTCACTCCCCCGCACCAGGAACCTCACAGCCTGGGTCCCCTCCTGCCACCACCTCCACCCTGCCCTGGCCCACTTGGCCTTCCTGTCTGAGGCAACCTCCTCCTCAGCCCACACCCCCAACTTCCTCTCCTGAGGTAACTGCCGCACCCACTCCCACGGAGGCCTCCAACCCAGGGATGCCCCCGCCGCCAGCCCTGCCCTGTTGCCTGGAGCCACAGGGCCCCTCTGTTCTGGCCACACAGTTCTCCCCAGACCAGGCTGGGGTCCCGGCGGTGGAGGCCTAGGCTAGCGCAGCAGCCCATGCTCAGGTACCACAGTGACTCCGGAAAGAAAGCATTTGCCCAGCGCTGAGGGGCATGTAGACGTGGCAAGGGGCCCATGACTTGGTCAGGGCTGTGTCCTGAGCCCACTGGGCGGCCTCTCCTCTCTTCCCCGCCCCTTCCATTGCCACGGCTCCAGGTGGGGCTGAGACCGGCGGAGGCAGCTTGGCGGGCAGGTCCTGGCTTGTGTCCGCCGCCTGCTATGCTCTGTCCCCTCCCAGCTGAGTCAGTGGCCGAGCCCCAGCGATCCCTCTTGACACCCTCAGGAGCAGAAGGCCTCAGCACGGCTGCACGGTGTGCATTCACTCTGTGGATACCTGTGTGCTCCACAACAGCAGTTTCCCTGGACTTCTGTGGCCAACGTGTGAGCCCACGTTCGGCCTCCCCTGTGGATTGGGGTGTGAGCCCACGTTCGGCCTCCCCTGTGGATTGGGGTGTGAGCCCACGTCCCTCTCTGTGCCCTGTTGTGTGGCTGTGTGGGTCCGAGTCTGGTGGGCATGTCTGCGTTGCGTGAGTCTGTGAGCTGTGTAGTTGCTGTGTGTCTTTGTGTCCTGTTGCAGTGTGATGCTGCATGGTGACTATATTGTCTGTGTGGTGTGTTCAGTGACTTTCTAGGTGACAGCGCCGTGTGGGGTGTGTACAGTATGCATTGTGCATTTCCTCCTGTGCTGTATGTGTGACTGGGCTGTGTGCTGTGGGGTGTCCCCTGGTGCCTTGGGGGCCACCAGGTGTGTGTGTCTGAGTGTGGATGGAGGCCGGGGGGACGTTCGGCAGAACTGAGCCTATTTCTGTCCTTCAGGCCTGCCTGAGCTGGGCCATGGGCATCAGCCCAGCGTCCTCAGCAGTGCCCCCTCCCTGAAGTCCCCTCTCCTACCAACCAGAGGCAGAATCTCCTACCAGAGTTAGGTAGGAGTTTGGTCTTCTCTGCTGTTTTGACACGGTGGGACAGACCCATTGGTCAAGAGGAGGGTCTGTCCATCTGTCCAGCTGTTCCAGTTCCAGACATGTGCCCACCTCCCCCAACCCCAAGGTGCTGGAGGGTGCTCAGGATACCAGGTGGCAGTGCCTGCGTCTCTGGACCCTGGCAGGGGACCCTGGCACCGACACGTGTTACCTGTAGGGGTCCAGTATGGGAGGACACCTTCGCAGGTGGCTCCAGCTCCCCTGGCAGCCGAGTTTCAGGGACCGGGAGAAGAGCCGTGAGGGAAGAAGGCTGACTCAACAGGCAGCCCAGCCAGCAGCTGCCCCACACGGAGGAGGAGGAAACACCTCGGCAGGGCCTGATGCAAAACCGGGCCTGGACTCCCAGCGCCCGGGGGTGCGCCCCCGCAGCCGACTGGAGAGGCCCAGCTTGGCCCCAGCTCCACTGAGCAGGCCCTCTAGAACGGGTAGCAGCCCCACCTTGCCCACAACGGGGCTGATAGGAACTCGCTTTGAAAGCAAGTTAGAAACCTTTCTTTTCCAGCCCCAAGGGGAATGGCAGGATGGCAGACTTTGCAGTTAGACCACCCTGTGCAGAGTCCCTGCTCTGCCAGTGGGTGTGTGATGTGACCTTAAGCAGGTCTCTTCCATTTCTTCTGATGCAAACTGTGGGTAGCAGAGTGCAAGGAGCCTATACTAAGGGAAGTGAAAGTGCCCGGTGCGAGCTGGCATAGTCGGGGTGAGGTGTCCCCACTCCAGCATAGCCTAATGCCCACGGCCATCTCAGCAGCTGCTGCCCTCTATATCCACATGCACTTCTGGGACATGCTGGCAGAGCAGCCCTCTCTGTCCCCTCTGCTGTCCTGAGCCCCATCTGTTTGAGGAGGCCTGAACTCTTCTAGTGCCAAGGTGAGGGTCCCACACCCTCTGTCTATGTGGAGCCCCCCTGAACTCACCCCATTCTACACCTAGATTCTGCCCACCCTGAGATTAGAAGGTTTGGGCCCTAGATTACATTGGCTTCAGGACCATGAACCTCCTGGGTTGTCTTGGGCACAAGAGGCCACACCAAAGCTTTCTGACTCCCCCCAAGTCCACTTCACTTCCCATGGCCTGCCCTGGCCCAACCCCCTCCCCTGAACCTAGGGCCATGGATTAAAGATTAGTGGGCTCCTCATAGACCCCTGGGAGAGGCAGGACAAGGGGTGGATTCTAAACAAAACCAGTCTGGGCACAGTGACTCATGCCTGTAATCCCAGTACTTTAAGAGGTCGAGGTGGGCGGATCACTCTAGGACAGGAGTTTGAGACCAGTCTGGCTAATATAGTGAAACCCCGTCTCTACTCAAAATACAAAAATTAACCGGGCATGGTGGCAGGTGCTTGCAGTCCCAGTTACTCGGGAGGCCGAGGCAGGAGAATCGCTTGAACCCAGGAGGCGGAGGTTGCAGTGAGCCGAGATCGCACCACTGCACTCCAGCCTGGGCAACACAGCGAGACTCCGTCTCAGAAAAGCAAACAAGGCTGGGCGTGGTAGCTTACACCTGTAATCCCAGCACTTTGGGAGGCCGAGACGGGTGGATCACGAGGTCAGGAGATCAAGACCATCCTGGCTAACACGGTGAAAACCCATCTCTACTAAAAATACAAAAAAAATTAGCTGGGCGTGGTGGCGGCTGCCTGTAGTCCCAGCTATTTCCCGAGTAGCTGAGGCAGGAGAATGGCATGAACCTGGGAGGTGGAGCTTGCAGTGAGCCGAGATCGCACCACTGCACTCCAGCCTGGGCGACAGAGCGAGACTCCGTCACAAAAAAAAAAAGAAAAGAAAAGAAAAGAAAACTAAACACCCACTCTTCCTTCCTGTAATCAGAACCGACTCCCACCACCACTGAGAGACAGAGGACCCTCCTCCACCTCAGAACCACAGTGGAGGCTTCCCTACTTATTTTTTGCAAATTAATCTTATTTTTCTCATCTGTTAAATGGGGGTAATCTCTCCTTAGAGGGTTTTCACTAAAATTCAGTGAGATCCTTGCAGACTTTTTTTTTTCTTTTTTTTAGATGGAGTCTTGCTCTGTCGCCCAGGCTGGCTTGGCTCACTGCAGCCTCCGCCTCCTGGGTTCAAGTGATTCTCATGCCTCAGCCTCCCGAGTAGCTGGCACTACAGGCGCCCGCCACCACGCCTGGCTAATTTTTGTATTTTGAGTAGAGATGGGGTTTCACCATGTTGGACAGGCTGGGCTCGAACTCCTGGTCTCATGTGATCTGCCTGCCTCAGCCTCCCAAAGTGCTAGGACTACAGGCGTGAGCCACCTTGCCCAGACCCCAGTACTCTTGATTAATGCATTTATGCACCCACACATGCAATACCCATGGAGCAGCTGCTGTGGGACCATTACTGTGATGCTGCCTCCTTCATTAAGGCCCTCAAAATGGAAGGAGAGTGGCCAAGAACATCCACACCCCTTCCTGCCATCCTGGTCCTGGCGCCCCCAAGGATGTTTCTCTGCCCTCCTCTCACCTCCTTAGCAGCTCTTCCTCCTGGAAGGCATGAAACTTCATTATCTGGTCTTCGGGTTTCTAAATTTCCCTTCCTTTCTCTGCTCTCCTGTCCTTCCTATAGCTGTGACTCCCTGACGCTGATACTTCCAGCCATCTCTCCTGCTGTGTCTCAACCTGCATTCCTCTGGCCTCTTCCCCACTTGAAACCTATTTCCAAGTTTCCACCTCTGTAACCAGCCCCCATCATCCTGGCCCCTGGCCTCCTGCTGCTTCCTGCCACCTCCAGATGCTGTCCACACTTCACTCCAGGTGCCCTCCCATCTGTGTGTCTCTGCTGTCCTCCCCCTGCCCAGGTCTCAGTCCCCGCTCAGCCTCTTCTGGAAGCCTCCTCTTCTCCTGCCTCCTTGCGGCCACACAAGGCCACTCTGGCCCTATGTTGCACAACTTTCAAACGTACTTTTCTTTGTCATCCTCTGGTTTGGAAGGTGCCAGCAGACAGCCAGGCCATCCCTCGGGCCCATTCATACATTTCTAAACCAGTCCAGTCCCCTTTAGACACGTCCTGAGATGGAAGTCTCACCACTTCCCAGGACAGCCTGGCCCTCAGCCTGACCCTCAGGATTGCTGCCCTTACTCTGGCTTTCTCCCCTTCGTCACCTATACCCGTAGAGCCTTAGCTGTGGGCTATTTCCTGTCCTTCAACACCCCTGGGCCTTCTGTGCTCCCTGTGGGAATACTTTTCCCCAGCTCCAGGACTAGCTCAGCCTCCTCCAGAGTTCAGTGCCCCTGCGCTGCAGCCAGTCTCTAGGCAACATCCCTCTGTTAAGAGGGACATTAAGAGGCAGGGTCCTAGAGGCCAGCAGATCTGGGTTAAAATCTGGCTCTGCCGCATGGTTCCCTGTGGCCTGGGATCAATGACAATCCCTGTAAGCCTCACTCTCTTCCTTTATGAAGTGGGGACAATAGCCATCTCACAGGCCTGCTGCTGTCAGGAGAGCTTGTTTTTCACCTCCGCGGCCATTCTCCTTTCGCATCACAGCACCTCTCATTTCCACTCCTGTGCTCCAGTGAGGCCATCGCACAGGGTGGCTCTGAGTGGGGGCTCTGGAGCCCAGCTGCTGGGTTTGAACCATAGTTCCACTCTTCCTACCTCTGTGACCCGGAGCAAATCACTACTTCTCTGCTTACTTCTTCATCTGTAAAATGGGATGATGGCACTTACCTTGTTGCAGGGCTGTTGTGAGGCTAAGATGGTATTTTATTACAAGGCCTAGCACAGAGTAAGCACTCGCTAACTGTTGGTGACTTTTTTTTTTTTTTTTTAAGAGACGGGGCCTTAGGCCGGGCATGGTGACTCACACCTGCAATCCCAGCACTTTGGGAGGCCGAGGCAGGCGGATCATGAGGTCAGGAGTTTGAGACCAGCCTGGCCAACATGACGAAACCTTGTCTCTACTGAAAATACAAAAATTAGCCGGGCATGGTGGCAGGCGCCTGTAATCCCAGCTACTCGGGAGGCTGAGGCAGGAGAATCGCTTGAATCCGGGAGGCGGAGGTTGCAGTGAGCTGAGATCATGCCATTGCATTCCAGCCTGGGTGACAAGAGCAAGACTCCATCTCAAAAAAAAAAAAAAAAACAAAACAAAAAAAAAGAGAGAGAGAGAGGGAGAGACGGGGTCTTGCTCTGTCACCCTTGACCTCCTGAGCTCAAGCTATCCTCCCATTTCAGTCTCTTGAGTAGTAGCTGGGGCTGCAGGTACGCACCATCATGCCCAGCTAATTTTATTTTTTAATTTTTTGTAGAGATGGGGTCTCACTTTGTTGCCGAGGCTGGTCTCAAACTCTTGGGCTCCCTCCCTCCTCCAGCCTTGGCCTCCCAAAGTGCTGGACACTGTGGCTGACCCTGTTGGTGACTTCTATGGCACAATTTTATGTCCTGTTTCCCCCAGGCAAATTTTAAATTCTGCTAGGCTAACGCAGGCCTTAAGCCTTTTTTCTATCTATTCTACTGTGGCTGTCTTTGGTTTATTTTTTAATTTTTATTTTTGAGACGGAGGCTTGCTCTGTCACCCAGGCTGGAGTGCAGTGGCGCGATCTCGGCTCACTGCAAGCTCCGCCTCCCGGGTTCATGCCACTCTCCTGCCTCAGCCTCCCAAGTAGCTGGGACTACAGGTGCACGCCACCATGCCCGGCTAAGTGCTTGTATTTTTATTAGAGACGGGGTTTCACCGTGTTAGCCAGGATGGTCTCGCTCTCCTGACCTCGTGATCCGCCTGCCTCAGCCTCCCAAAGTGCTGGGATTACAGGCGTGAGCCACCGCAACCGGCCTGTCTTCAGTATTGAATTTGTCCCCCCTCAACCAACTCTCGGATGGACCCAATATGCAAAACAGGTTTTTGAAAATGGAATTGCTGGGGCCAGGCGTAATGGCTTATGCCTGTAATCCCAGCACTTTGGGAGGCTGAGGCGGGTGGGTCACCTGAGGAGTTCGAGATCAGCCTGGCCAACATGGTAAAACCCCGTCTCTCCTAAAAATACAAATATTAGCCCAGCGTGGTGGCGGGCACCTGTAATCCCAGCTATTTGGGAGGCCGAGGCACGAGAATTACTTGAACTCAGGAGGCAGGCGTTATAGTGAGCTGAGATCGTGCCATTGCACTCCAGCTTGGGCAACGGAGTGATTCTGTCTCCAAAAAATAAATAAATAAGAAAGAAAGAAAAAAAAGAAAAGTAAATGGAACTGCTCTGAAGTGGGGAGAGGTCACCTCTGCCTTGCCCTGGAGAAGTCCCAGGCTTGCAGACCACAGCACTGCAGGGTCTGGGGTGAGCTGGCAGATGCCTGACCAGGGACCCCATGGCCAGCTGCTAGAGCATGTCCTCAAGGCCACGTTCAAGACCAAATCCTTGGCTAGTTCAACTGAAGTGATGCATGGACAGGGTTGGGAAAGGCTTCAGGGAGGAAGCGGCTTTTAAGCTGGGCCTTGGTTAGGCAGGGCCGCCATGAGAGGGATGGTGGAGAGCAAAGGATCGGAGGCAAGCGAAGGCTGGATGGATACAGTGACCAGAGGCTGGCAGTGCTCTTGGCTCATCCCCAACTCTGTACCCCGGCGGGTGGTGGGGACAGCAGTGGAGGCTCTACTCAGCCCTAACCCCAAGCCTACAAGTCCTTCCCAACAGGGACGATGGAAGGGGTTTCAATGCCCACCTGCCTCAAGAGGAAAGCTTTGGAATGGGGAATGGAGAATGGCAGGGAATCCCCAGACTTCAGGGGCGGGATATACCTGAGGGATGCTGATGGCCCCAGGCACTGGACGCAGACTCAACCATGGTGCTGGCAACTAGACCCTTGTCAAGGGTAATAGGGTCCCAAGAATACCAAGACGCTATGAGCTAAGGGGCAAGGGGGCCCCAGAGAGGGAGAAAACAATGACAGGGCACCAACTGGAGTCAAAACTCTTTATTGTCCTGCCCAGGGAGCCCTTCCCAAAGGAATCCACAGAGCAGGGGGGCGAGGCGGGCGGCACAGGGCCTTGGTGACAACGTGAAGGGGGAGCTGGAGTTAGGTGGGGGACAGCCCCTTCAGCTCCCTGATGGCACTGGCTGTGCTGGCAGGCCACCCAGGGGAGCCATCACCAGCATGAGGTCCACACCTGGGGCTGGGGCTGAGTGCTGTCTACACTGCTCTGTCTACACGGT
The DNA here is from genome assembly GCF_000001405.40 of Homo sapiens. Lineage (NCBI taxonomy): Eukaryota > Metazoa > Chordata > Mammalia > Primates > Hominidae > Homo > Homo sapiens. Next base: position 27,336,146 of record NC_000001.11, on the reverse strand, counting down.
TACTCTGGCACTTGTCAGGTCCACTCACCTCTCTGGCCTCAAACTGCAGGGGGAGATGGGTCCAATGCTGGGAGGCACTGGGAGGCCGTGGAACAGTGAAGAGCGGACTGCACGGGCTGGAGGATGCCAGATGGGCACACATGTCCCCCAGGGCAGCTGCCGGCAGGAGTCTGACAAAGGGACCCAGCCAGCCCCTCTGGACCATTCTAGAGGCCAGTGGTGAAGGTCCTGAAGCAACTTGGCTTATAGAGACACGTTAAGTGTACCCGGTGCACCCCATGCTGGGACCAGCTCTGGTCCCAGGGCCACCTTGACAGGTGAGCCCAAATGTCCTCCTCTCCCCATACTGGGCACTGGGCTGAGGCAGGACCCCAGCAGGTGGTGGCGGGAGCAGCTCTACAGCGGGAAGCCAAAGCCTTTCAACAGAAGAACAAAGGGGCTTCCAGGGCCGGAGTCACAGGCCTGGGGAGGAGGGGACAGGGTGCTTCTGAGAGGCAGGGAGACAACAAACCCCCACTTCATGCTGGTCCTCAGTCCTTCCATCCTGCCAGCCCCGACCCCCGGTCCACAACAGCAGGCCCAACCCTGCCTTTTGGGGTGAGGAGAAAAAAATCTGGAACCAAAAGGGATGGCGGCTGTTTCCTCGGGACCCTGGTGGGTGTGGGGCCACCGAGCAGCCATCACCGGAGGTTAAAGACCAGGCTGACGGTGAGGATGATGCCCAGGAGAAGGATGAAGGGCAGCCAGGTCTTCACGAAGGCCCCAACGCTGACAGAGAGAAAGGAGCGAGCATAGGTGGGCAGGGCCTGGTGAGCAGGCATGCGGCCCGCAGCCCTGAGCACCCACAGACCCCAATAGGGCTGCCATCCCTAAGGAAAACCCAACCACCCCCTCACCCCAAACTTGGCCAATCAAGGAAGCAGGCTGGGCATGGTTGCCCACTATGGGGGATCACCAGCTATGGTCCCGGGCAGGGGCTGCTCCGCGCTCCTGGTGATTTACTGACACCTCGCTGGTTGGGAACAGGAAACATGCTCCCCATTTCTAGGCCTCACTGGCTCCATCTATAGCCACCTACCTCTAGGGTCTCCAGCAAGAGGACCAGGAATTGCAGTTTGGGTATGGAAGCCACGTGTGCCCTCTGCCTATGGACTTCATAATGGGGACTACTGGGAGCTCTGGGGCTGGCAAGGGTCAGCAGTGTTGTGGCTGGAGCCAAGCAGCTGGGAGCCAGGGGTCTGGGTTCAACCTCTGTGTGACCAGTTATTCTCAGGGGACTTCTAAAAGCCATGCAGTACTTAAAAATATCCCTAAAAGTCTTCTTTTCAGAACCTCTTAATGATGAACGTGGCTAAGAGGAAAGCTTGGAGAGGCGGCCAGATCAGCACTAACCTATGCTGGCTCACGAGTCTGGGCTCTGCTGTGTCCATGCTGTGGCGACCATGGGCGACTCACTCAATCTCTCTGCCTAGGAAGGGACCTGTGGGGCAGTCATTATGAGAGGATCTATCTGCTCACTTTACCGGAGCACAGGGATCCGTAGAAGCCTCCCTGAGGAGCCGGAATCATTGCCTGCATTTCACCAGAGACAGCTGTGGCTAAGAGAGACCAAGGCAGTTGCCCATGGTCTCACAGCAGGCAAGAGCCAGAGCTGCATTTGGGGCCCAGGTGGAGCTGGACTTCAGCACAGCCACCTCCCTCTCCATCAGGCCCTCAGCTCGTCACTCTAGAACCACCACGGCTCCAACTGGCATCTGTTCCAACTGTCCTGGCTGACTGAAGGACGCTAGGAATGGTCTTTCTAGGATCCTTGGGAGAGCAGCCTCTGGGCAGTGTGTGGGTGGGCAGGCAGGAGGGCAGCTCACCTGACGTACTTCCCGTAGAGCAGGCAGAAGAAGCAGAGCGTCACCATATTCCAGTTGGTGCTGTTGTTGTAGCGCATCAGATTCAGGGCCAATGCCACGTGCGAGTGGCAGTTGTCACAGCAGAGATTGTGCTGGAGGCACCAGAAGGGCTGGTCAGGATGGGCTGCAGGGGAGCCTCCCCCCTGGTCCCCACCTGGGGAGTGCCGGTGCCGCCCTGGCCCACCTACCATGCGGTGCTTGTACTCCTCAGAGGCGTCGTGCACAGCCGTGTCCCATGCGTTGGGCCCGCTAGCATAGACCTGAGCAGGGTCCAACTTCCAGTACCTGGGGGGAGAGAAGGGCTCTGGACACTTGCTTGGCTCCTTTGTGCCCTCAGCTCTACGCACGTCCTCTGAGGCCTGCCCTGTGCCCGGGCCTGAGCTGGGTGCTGAGATGTACAGTAAGCCAGATCTGGGGCAAGTGTTATGTGGCAGTCAACTGTGACACAGGGTGAGGTGGCTGGTGCCATGGGGGATCCTGGGGGGATATGGAATGAAATTGGGGGTGCTATGCTCTGAAAGTCTGTGTCCCCAAGTTCATATGTTGAAATCTTAACCCTCAAGGTGATGGTATGAGGAGGTGGGGCCTTTGGGAGGTGATTAGGCCATGGGGTGATTAGCTCTCATGAATGGGATCCGTGTCCTTATAAAAGAGCCCTGAGGGAGACCCCTCACCCCTCCACCACGTGGGGACACAGTGGAAAGGCACCTCAGGCCCTCACCAGACACTGACTCTACCAGCACCCGCACCCAGGACTGTCCAGTCTTCGGAACTGTGAGAAATACATTTCTGTTGTTTCTAAGATACCCAATTGATGAGATTTTGTTATGGCAGCCAGAACGGACTAAGATGGGGTGTGAGAAGGCTTCCTGGAGGTGACACCTGGGTCCAGTATGAAGGAAGAGGGTTAGGCAGGCATAGAAAGAAGAGGTGGGCATTCCAGGCTGAGGGAACAGCTTAAGCTAAGTGACAGGCATAAAACTGTGCAGCATGTCCCATAACTGAAGTGACTGAGCCCTCCTGGAGGATGCAGAAAGAGAAACACGGTGATGGAATGCTGGCAGCTAAGGCTGGAGATGCAGGTGAGGCCACATCACGCGGGGAGTTTACCCAGCAGCAAGCACTCTCCCCTAGTCTCCCAGGCAGCTTGCCAGGGTGAGTGGCAGGGAAGCTGATGGTGCTAAAGCCCATAAACCTCAAGGTGGGTGAGAATTGCTGTTCCAAGCACCAGAGTGCCCGGTGGGTCTCAGGCCAAGGAGAGCTGGGAGGTCAGGGCGCCCCCTGGCTGTTGTGTAGGGGAATGGCTTGGTGGAGGAGTCTAGAGACCATGGCCTGGACTGGGGCCGCTTAGGGGCTACTGCTTGGAAAATGATGCCCTTAAAACTGTCCTTGAAGAGCAGTCTGGCAGCGAACACCTGGTGGCCCAGAGACTCCTGGACTACACTGCTGCCTGCCGGAGGAAGCCAGAGAGGGCAGCAGGAAGCCCTGCTCCAGGCCATCTCAGCTGTGTGGGACACCAACTCCTCCTCGGCCCAGTCTCTCCTCCCAGTGCAGCCTTGGGCAACAGGTCACCTGAGGACACTGATGACTGAGGCACTCTCACCAGGCCCACAGCTGAGGTGGGCACCCGAGACTGCAAAGATGAAGACCAAATGTCCCAAACCAAACCAGCAATAGCTCCCAGAAGGTTGAACGGTTTTTATTCTCTCCAACCAGAACTTTCCAGCAGAGCTCCAAACAATGCCTCTCTTCTACCTTCCATGCCTCATTTGTTCCCAAAGGGCAGGAGAGTGAGTCTAGAGGGAGACAGATCTGGGTGTGGGTCCCAGCTCTGCCACTTCCTGTGTGACCTTGACCAAGTCCCTTCCCTTTCCTCACCCTTGCCATGGAGTTGAAAATACAAACCTGAAGAGCTGTGGCAAGGCCCAGATGGTCTACAGGTAAAGGCCCTAGCCAGGGGCTGGTGCGGTACACACTCTGTATGGGGTTGCCATGCTCTGGTGGACCCTGGCTGACCTCTCCCCCGACCCCAAATACTCTATTCTCAGGGTGCTGGCCCCTCCTGTGCCCCAGAAGGCCTGGCCCGCCCCGGCAGGAGCGACCTGCCTCTAGAGCCAGTCACATGGGTGTTCATCACTTACTTGGCAGGCTTTCCAAAGGCCATGTTGTCCTCCTGTTGAGGGACAAAAGCAGAGGTCAGTGAGGAACTTACATTTGGGCCAGATGACAAACCTGGGTAGGTGGCAGAAGTGCAGTGACTTAGAAGAGGGTATGTCAGGGGTGGGGGGGCCAGAAGTGGGGCCTGGGCCCTGCCCTGGGGCTGGCATGGCATCTAAAGAGCTAGCAGCTGTTCTGCAGGAAGAAGGCAGTGTGGCACAAGTGCACAGAGCACTGCATCAGAGACCAAAGATCTGGGGCTCCAGCTGCCACTGTCCCTTGGTGTGGCACCCAGGAATTCTCTTGCCCTCTCTGGGCCTCATTTTCTCCAAGTTCTCTGGTCAGTCTTCTCTGATCTCTGAGGACCAGCAGGAGGTTTCCATCATGGTCTGGCCTCCTGACTCAACAGTGGTGGCCCACATGGAGACCATCTCCTCGCCCAGCAGTCTGACTGCATTCATAGCAGGGCGGGGGCGCTGGGCCCAGAGGGACTTCCTGTGAGGGAGACACTGCAGTGAAGTCCTAGACTCATCACATTATTCCTGGGGTACAGGACTTACACAGAGACAGACTCTGGGTTCAGATCAGGGAGACCCTGCTGACAGACCTGGTCAATGATTAATCACCATAAAAATATATGATAAAGTAATGGATGTGAAAGTATTTTTAAGTACAAAGTGACAGACCTTTGTCGTGTTAAGATGATCATGACAACTATTAATATAAACAGGTTGGTGCCACCACACCCCTTCAGTCCAGCCTCTGACACCTGGAGACAGGATGATGCATGCTCCTCTGCTGCTAGCCCACTGGACCAGTCTTGGTCACAGCCCCAGGGAACAGACCTGAGAACACAGCTGCTTCATTCTAAAGCCCCACCCCCTCTTCTCCATGGCCACACCCAGGGAACCGAATCAGCCTCCCGTGTCCCCCCACCTTGACTCCCACCTTCTGAAGGTCCAGAGATGTGGTTCCTGGATGGTCTGACTCTCCACTCTTGCCTCTAATCCCTACCCATGTCTCGGTACCCCAGGGGTGGGGGCAAAGGGCTGGGTCAGTTACTTAAGAATCCTTCTGGCCACACTGCCCTCCCGGCCTGTCCTGGAGGCAAGAGAAGGGGGAAAGGGGTCAAACACTGGTGAGGGGCAGAGGGCCAGGGCCAGGACTGCGGGTTATCTACGTTCTCCTGGGTCTGGGGAGACGAAGCCTGCCTGCAGGCAAGACAGGACAGCCTTCCACTTAAACCTTGGAACCCCCCGGGTGGGCAGAATGGGGACTCACTGAGACAAAGTAGGGGCCCGCGAAGTCCCGAATGACTCCTGTGGATGTGCAGATGCCCATGTGGCCGATGATGGGGAAAAACCACCTGTGAGGAAAAGGACGGGGAAGGGACAGAGCTTAGGGGATCTTTCAGCCAGTTAGACGGACGCTGGGGACCCTTCATACAGTACAGAAGCATGTGAATATTACGTTTCATTGACAGGTGGCCATTAGGGTGGTCCAGAAGGCTGGGGAAGCACAGACAAGGGTAACTGCAAACCGACAGCACAATGGGATACCTCAGCATCCCGCCAGGATGGCTGTAACTCAAACGACAGCAACACCAATGCAGGTGAGGGCAAGGGACAACCAGAGCTCTCATTCACTGCTGGTGGGAGGGATAAACTGTTTCTACCTTTTTTTTTTTTTCAAATGGAGTCTCGCTCTGTCGCCCAGGCTGGAGTGCAGTGGCACAATATTGGCTCACTGCAACCTCCGCCTCCCGAGTTCAAGCAATTCTCCTGCCTCAGCCTCCTGAGTAGCTGGGACTACAGGTGTGCACCACCACGCCTGGGTAATTTTTGTATTTTTAGTAGAGATGGGGTTTCACCATGTTGGCCAGGATGGTCTCGATCTCTTGACCTCGTGATCCACGTGCCTTGGCCTCCCAAAGTGCTGGGATTACAGGCATAAGCCACTGCACCCGGCCTACCATTTTGTTTTTGAGATGGAGTCTCGCTCTCTTGCCCTGGCTGAAGTGCGGTGGCACAATCTCAGCTCACTGCAACCTCCGCCTCCTGGGTTTAAGCAATTCTCCTGCCTCAGCCTCCCGAGTAGCTGGGACTACAGGAGTGCACCACCATGCCTGGCTAATTTTTGTATTTTTAGTAGACATGAGGTTTCATCACGTTGGCCAGGCTGGTCTCGAACTCCTGACCTCAAGTCATCTGCCTGCCTCGGCCTCCCAAAGTGCTGGAATTACAGGCGTGAGCCACCGTACCCGGCCTGTTTCTACCATTCTGGAAAACAGTTTGGCACTATACTAAATGCCTCAGCAGTTTCACTTTTGGAACCTTCTTTGCCCTCACCCCTGGGAAATAACATTTGCCAAAACTCATTGAACTGTACTCTTAAAATGTGTACATTTTATTATATGTAAACTATAATTCAATAAAATTGATAAAAACAACTAGAAAGAATCCAAATGTTCAACAACAGTACGATGAATAAGTGTGGTATAGTTATACATTGAAATAGTCCATAACAATGAAAAACAGTGTCACTTCTGCTACACACAACACAGGCTTTCACAGACATAAGGGTGAATGAAGGAAATCTTACACAGAGTACGTAACATAGCACTCTGTTTACGTGAAGTCCAAGAAAAGGCAAGACTGATCTATGGCTAGAGGTCCACAGCGGGGTGGAATCTGTGGTAGAACTGACTGGGAGGGCACAAGGGGGTCCTCTGGGTCTTAGCATTGCTTTCTAGCCCCCGTCTGGGTGGCGGTTACATGAGTGTGTGATATGCAAAAATTCTTCCTGCTGTATACTTGAGATTCGCACACCGTTTGGTACATAAGTTATACCTCAATAAGAAAGTTAAAAAAAAAAAAAAAGGTGGGCGGTCATGACACCAGTATGGGTGGGGGAGTTCAGGAAAGGCTTCCCTGAGGAAATAACAAAGAAACAGAATGTGCAAGGGTAGAAATTGGAACAGAAGCATGGTGTATGCCAGGAAATAAAAGTTCCTTTTTTATAAACCATGGGCATTAAAAAACAACAATAAATCTCAGATGCACCCCAATATGTCACACATAGGAACCCCAGACCTGTCTGTGTTCTGAGAACCATGGCCCTACAGGACCTGGGTGCTGGAGAGACTGATCCAGTTTAAGGAGAACTCACAGGGCCAGTGGCCGAGTCCTGGCCTCAATGCTGCCTGGGCACGAGCATAAAGCACCTGGCTAGGGGTGCAGGCCAAGCCTCCAGAGACGCAGTTTAAAAAAGCAGTTACAGGGGGCTGGGGTGGAGCCAGTAAAGACTTCACAGAGGAGGTGACTTTTAACCTTGACCTGTGAAAGGACACAACATCAACAGGCAGAAAACAACACTGCAGAGCAAGAAAGTGGTACATGTGCCTGGAAGAACGAAAGGGGGAGAGGCCAGCTCAGGGGCTACTGCTGTACCACTGGCAAGAGATGATGGAGGTCCTGACTAGAGGATCAGGGGCAGGGTGGTGAGAAACACATGGATTCAAAAGATCTTTCAAATGAAGACTGGAGAGTTTACGACTGACAGGATGGGGGTCTTCCAGGTCTACAGCTTGAGCGCTTGAGACAATGGTAGGGCCAGAGTGGTCTTTTGAGAATTGAACTCAGATTCCATCATTCCCCTGTTCAACACCTATTAATGGCTTCCTACTACACTTATAATACACTTCGAACTTCTTCCAACACTGTGGTGCTAATTATCCCTTGAACTTCATCTCAGTCCCCTCTCTAGCTACACTGCCTGCTTGTGGCCTCAAACACGCCAAATCCTCCCACCCCATGCTTTCTCTGTATCTGCCCTCTCCTCCGTCTGGAACACTCTTCCCAGAGAGCATGGCACAGCTGACTCCTCACTGATTAGGCCTCAGCCTCACTGTCACCTTCGGAGGTCTTGCCTGAACGGTGTCTTCCAGCACAGCCACCCAATCCCAGATCCCACTACAATGCTTTACTTCCCTCATAGTATCTACTACCATCCAAAATTATCTTGGTTATTTATATGCTGTCTCTCCACTAGAACATAAGCTCCAAGAGAGACAGGATTTTTTCTTGTTTACTACGGCAGTGCCTGTATATAGCTGCAACTCACTAAATATTTGTTGACTAAATAATGAATGAACATCCTGCATTTAAGAGTAGAGTCTGGGGCTGGGTGCTGTGGCTCACGCCTGTAATCATAGCACTTTGGAAGGCCAAGGCAGTTGGATTGCTTGAGCCCAGGAATTTGAGACCAGCCTGGGCAACACAGTGAGACCCTGTATCTAAAAAAATCTAAAAATTAGCTGGAGGATCACTTGATCCAAGGAAGTTGAGGCTGTAGTGAGCCAAGGCTGGGCCCAGGAAGTTGAGGCTGCAGTGAGTCAAGGCTGGGCTCAGTGGCTCACGCCTGTAATCCCAGCACTTTGGGAGGCAGAGGCCGGTGGATGACTTGAGGTCAGGAGTTCGAGACCAGCCTGGGAAACATGGCGAAACCCTGTCTATACTAAAAATACAAAAATTAGATGGGCATGGTGGCATGTGCCTGTAATCCCAGCTACTCGAGAGGCTGAGGCACGAGAATCACTTGAACCCCGGAGGCGGAGGATGCAGTGAGCTGAGATCACGCCACTGCATTCCAGCCTGGGTGACAGAGCAAGACTCTGTCTCTAAATAAATAAATAAATAAAAATTAAAAACAACAAACAAACGCCAACAGTGAAGTCATGCTCAGATATCATCTGGGTTGAGGCTTGCCTTTGTTCTGGGCAAGTTACTAATTCCCATCTCTCTGTGGATAGTAAAAATTACCTTAATGAGGAGCTATTGTGAGGATTAAATGGATAGACTTATCCATTTACACAGTGCCTAGGACTCTGCCTTCCGCTTGGCAGCTGCTCAATGTTGTCATCTCGAGGTGTTCAATACATAAGCACTATCTGACTGACTGCACTAACATAGAATAAGTTGCAGAAGATCCACAGGCCACAGGATGGACATTCAGGATTATGGGAAAGTAGCTCATCCTGATCTCAGGACTGCCCTCCACCCCCATCTCTGCCCCCTAATCCTTTCATCTGCTTGGGAGGAAGTCTGGGTCCAACCAGGATTCCACACGCCACAGCTGTGCTGGCAGCAGTGGATGGAAATCAGAGTAAAGGCTGGAAGCCCCAGAGAAGAAACCCTCAAAGTGGTTTGTCAGCCTGGAAGCTCCAGGAAGGCAGCTCCAGAGCCGCTTTGTGGACTACCTTCTATTCAGGACCTAGTACATAATAGGTGCTTTATAAAGATACAATAAATGAATAAATGACTCACTCATCCTGGAGCTCAATCTGGGAAGGTAGGCTAACTCAGCAAAAGAGCACCACACTGGCTTCTAAGCCTTACTTCCTCATCTATAAAATGGTGACAACAGTATCTACTTTCATAGGTTGACATTAGGATTGAGTGAGTGAACATACAATGTTTAGGACAGAGTAAGCATCTAATCTTAGCTGTTTTTATTAGTAGCAGCAGCTATTAAACTAGTTTCTTTTTTTTCCCTTTTTTTTGGTTACAGCAGCACTTTTATTTTTCCTTACACAATGACATGCCGCTGGGGCCTAATGTTCTCACATAACAGTAGAAAACCAAAATCTGTTCTCATCTCCTTAAAGAATCGAGAATTGCATACAAAAAAAAACCTTACATAAATTAAAAGGATGAATACATTTACAGGTGTAAATGCAAACTGCTTCCAACTCAAAGCAAGTCACAGCCCACAGTGTTCTGGCAGGAAAACATCAGCTAAGAAAGGAAACTGGGTCCTATGGCTTGGCCTTTCCAACCCTGACAGACCAGCAGGACAGAAACAACTGGTTCAGGAGCCCTTGTCAGCCTCTAGAGAAATCCCAGAACACTCAGCCATGACATATTAATACCCTGCAAAGATCGGAGACTGCTGGCCATGCAGACTCACCAAGTCGCACTTGTCTTCCACAAGCACATTCTTACCTTGCCACGCAGTGACCAAGCCACATGTACTAAGGGTTGAAAGCAAAGATATGTACAGGGTATTAAACAAATACCAAGGGGAACAGTTAACTTGAATACAAGGTCAAAATCAGCAACAAGTTCTACAATCCAGTGCTGATATTAGATACAAGCTTCAACGACAATTTCTTTTCGAAGGCTTATTCCATTTTCGTGAGGCTAGCATGAGGTATATGCATTTGCCAGGGCCAATTTATACTTCTGAATTAACCCATGCAGCAAATGCTACGCATCGGCTCGCAGTCCATTTAGAAGCATTTGCGGTGGACGATACAGGGGCCTGACTCGTCATACTCCTGCTTGCTAATCCACATCTGCTGGAAGGTGGACAGTGAGGCCAGGATGGAGCCGCTGATCCACACAGAGTACTTGCACTCTGGGGGCACAATGAGCTTGATCTTCATGGTGCTGGATGCCAGGGCGTTAATCTCCTTCTGCATCCTGTCGGTGATGCCCGGGTACATGGTGGTGCCTCTGGATAGCCCTATGTTGGTGTACAGGTCTTTGCGGATGTCTACGTCACACTTCATGATGGAGTTGAACGTGGTCTCGTGGATGCCGCAAGATTCCATACCCAGGAAGGAAGGCTGGAACAGCGCCTCCGGACACTGGAACCGCTTGTTGCTGATGGTGATGACCTGGCCATCCGGCAGCTTGTAGCTCTTCTCCAGGGAGGAGGATGTGGTAGTGGCCATCTCCTGCTCGAAGTCCAGGGAGACAAAAATATGGAACGCTTCACGAATCTGCATGTCATCCTTGCGCAGGGGCCATGCTAATCTTCTCTGTATCGTTCCAATTTTAGTATATGTGCTGCTGAGGCGAGCACTAAACTGGTTTTTCATGCAGAATTACCAACATCTCTGAGGGGGTAGACAGATCTTTGGGTTCCATTTCCTCCTCTGATCTCTCCTCCAAAGACAGGTGACAGTTACTTGCGCCACATCTATGCCTAGCTCTGCAATCATCACTATACAGTAATACTACGATGGCTAATTGACCTTTCTCTCCCTCCTGCTGGAGGTGAGTCCTTTGAAGGTGACATGGTTTGGATCTGTCCCCGCCAAATCTCCTGTCAAACTGTAGTCCCCATATTGGAGGTGGGGGCTGGTGGTGGGATCATGAGGCTGGTTTTCTCATAAATGGTTCAGCACCATCCCTTTGGTGCTGTTCTCGTGATAGTGAGTTTTCCCAAGATCTGGTTGTTTAAAAGTGTGTAGCATCTCCCCCCTCACTCCCTCTTGCTCCTAATCCCGCCATGTGAGATGCCTCCCTCCCCCTTTGCCTTACACCATAACTGGAAGCTTCCTGAGGTCTCCCCAGAAGCAGAAGCCACTATGCTTCCTGTATAGCCTGCAGAAGCATGGGTCAATTAAACCTCTTTTCTTTAGAAATTATCCAGTCTCAAGTATTAGTGCAAGAATGGACTAACACAGAAGGGAACATGAACCCTTTGACAGGAACACAGTGTCTTATTCATCTTGGTCTTATGAACACCTGTACACAGATCTGAATAGAAATGGGCTATGAGCTGCTTTTGGCCCAGGTGACAAGGGATTGTGGTGCCTCCACCTCACGCTGCTACCATTCTCCGCAGAGGACCACGCCACAGATGGTGTTTTTGAGAATAAGAAAGGCTAAAGAGAGTTTAGGATCACAAGACAGGTTTTAAGAAAACCAATACATTTCCTGAGTATCCCTCCCAGTTATTTTCTTTTTTTTTGAAACGGAGTTTTGCTCTTGTTGTCCAGGCTGGAGTGCAAAAGCACGATCTTGGCTCACCGCAACCTCCACCTCCCGGGTTCAAGTGATTCTCCTGCCTCGGCCTCCTGAGTAGCTGGGATTACAGGCATGTGCCACCACCCCGGCTAATTTTGTATTTTTAGTAGAGATGGGGTTTCTCCATGTTGGTCAGGCTTGTCTTGAACTCCTGACCTCAGGTGATTCGCCCGCCTGGGCCTCCCAAAGTGCTGGGATTACAGGCCTGAGCCACCACGCCCGGCCCCTGTTATTTTCACACTAATATTTTATTTTCTTCACAGCACTCATCACTATCAGGTGCTCTTTTATTAGCTTACTTGTTTACTGTCTATCTCCTTCCACTATGACTTAAACTCTCAAAAGTCTAAAGACCATATCTCCTTTATTCATCACTGTATATTCGCATCACCTAGAACTATCTGGGAACACAGGGGTCACTTAGCACATGTGTTAGAAGAACACTGAATGAATTAATGTGCACATTTTCCTAAGATTTTATTTCACTATTTATTTTGAGACGGAGTTTCACTGTGTTGCCCATGCTGAAGTGCAGTGGTGCAATCTCGGCTCACTGCAAACTCCACTTCCCGGGTTGAGGCGATTCTCCTGCCTCAGCTTCCAGAGTAGCTGGGATTACAGGCACGTGCCACTATGCCCAGCTAATTTTTGTATTTTTAGTAGAGACGGGTTTCGCCACGATGGCCAGGTTGGTCTCGAACTACCTACCGATCCACCCTCCACTGCCTCCCAGAGTGCTGGGATTACAGGCATGAGCCACCGCGCCTGTCCCAATATTTTATTTTTAAAGAACAGATTTGGATGCTCTTATATGCATAAGTACTTGAAAACACAAAATAATTCAAGTATTTTAACATAATTCAAAAACTACGATCTTTTTAGAATCAGCAACACCTAAGGCCCCAAATGATCCCTTCTCCACATCACCACTGGCTGTTATTGATAGCGGAACAAGCTATCCCATCAGGTGAGAGTGGATAAGATGTAGTGCAAAGAGCAAGTTAGATCAGAAGACTGAGCTCTTCATGCCTTTGCTTATTGGGGTGCGAACCTGATCAAGACACTTAATGCTACAAGCAGCTCAGCTTCACCATCTGAGAAGATAACCTACCTTAGAAAATGGATGTTTAATTCTGATAAAATGGGTGTTTAAGAGCTTGGCAAACTATCCAGCACGGTGAGGAGGGGTTACGTTTATCAGCTGTCAAGGTTGAAGCAGGAGGGCAAACCACCTCTCCCCATATGAGAGCTCCTCCCAAAAGGCGCCAAGTAGTACCAGAGCACCTGCTTCTCCCCTGACAAAGGCTGATGTTACAGAAAGAACTTTGGTCTGGGAGGCAGACAACCTGGGATCTAAACCCAGTTTGCAACTGAGATGGCACGTGAGACAAAGGGTTGGACTCTCAGATCTCTGGGGGCCCTTCCAATGTTGACATCCCAGGATCTCGTGTGGTCCCAACCAAACTCCCACTCTTGCTCCCAGACCCAGCAGTATGTCTGGAATATGGTAAGCGACCAGTAAGCATTTGCTCAATGAGAGAATAAACCAGTGAATTAATAAAAATGTCTCCTCAGATCCGATAAGGGGCTCCCTCTTCTACACACTCACAGCTCGAGTCTCCCAGCCACTTGCCCTTTCCTGCTGGCCTACAACTCTCTCCCTGGCTACACCAGGTGTATTGAGAGCAGGGAGCGTGTCCCAGCCGTGTGCACAAACTGGCACTACATGGATGGCGGGGTTCTGGTGACTGGGCGAGGCGTGCGGGCCAGACCCGAGGAAAAGGCTTGCTGCGCGTTGGGGCCGGAGGCTAGCCCGGCCCGACTCCGGCTCTCCCTGGGCCCTCCTCGTCCCCAGGCGGATGCCGGAAGAGACTCACGTGAGCACCGGGATGGGCGTCCACACCACGCAGTAGGGGAAGCGACTCCGTTCCACATCCATGGCGACGCCGCCGGAGCCTTGATATTGCTTCATGTCCGTCTCGGCCGCCGTCGGCGCCTCCACTTCCGCCATCCTGGGCGGGGGTGGCGGCGGCGGCAACAAGAGCAGAGAACTCCCTTCCGCTTCCGCCATGCGGCGCGCGCCCCGCTCCGACTGGCCCCGGCTCTGGTGCCGCTCGTCCCCATGGCGTCACTTCCCGGAGATGGGGTCCGCCCCGCTTGGCCTTCCCCCGGGAATCCGAGCCGCGTTCCTCTGGGCCCGGCCAGCCCCGCCCCACTCCCTATGCGCCTGCCAGCCCCGAGTCTTTGCCGCTTATGCCCCGCGGCTGCAGAAGGGATGCTCTCAGGCAGTTCGCAGTCTAGCGCCGGAGACTTATAGAGAACTCTAATTCAGTACGCTGAGGGCTCCTAGGAGGTGTGGTACAGTCGCTATTTATTGAGCACTTCTTAGGTGCCAAGCACTTGACATGAATTGTTTCTAATCCCCATAAACTAATTAGACATCCAAATTAGGTATTCCCTCCTGTTACAGGTGAGAAACTGAGGTTCAAAAGGTGAGAGACCACGATGCAAACCCAAGTCTTTTTTTTTTTTTTTTTTTCTGAGGCGGAATTTTTTCTCTTGTTGCCCAGGCTGGAGGGCAATGGCACAATCTCGGCTCACTGCAACCTCCACCTCCCAGGTTCAGGCGATCCTGCCTCGGCCTCCCGAGTAGCTGGGATAACAGGCGCGTGCCACCACGCCCGGCTAATTTTTGTATTTTTAGTAGAGGTGGCGTTTCACCATGTTAGCCAGGATGGTCTCAAACTCCTGACCCTGTGATCCGCCCGCCTTGGCCTCCCAAAGTGCTGGGATTACAGGCGTGAGCCACCGCGCCTGGCCCAAACCCAAGTCTTATACCTCCCTTGCCCTTTTCATTCTGTGGCCCTCTCACGAGGTAGTGGTAGCATAAAGGAAGACACACACAGTTGTGTGTGCGCACGTGTGTGTGTGTGTGTGTTTTATTGTATATACAGGGAAGACTTGCTGGAAGATAGGATATTATTGAGTTGAGTCTTGATGTTTGCCATGTGGCACAGGAGTGGAAGTATGAGTGCAGCGGTACAAAGAAAGGAAGGCCGTGCAGAGCAGTGTGTGCAAGAGTGTGAATACTTACTGGAGTAAATCATAAGCCTTAGATGTGATCCAATCCCTTCATTGTACAAATGGGAAAACGGGCTCAGGGAAGTTAATTGTTTGAGATCACACACAACCATAATTAGAGAGAAGCCAGGCTCAAATGTTGGAGACTTTTGGCTTTTTAAAGGATGTCAAGACAAAGAAAATGAAGTCTACTGGGGTCTACTGGGGTGGGGAGGGGAAGTTGGGGACAGCCCAAAGTCAGAAGGAAGGCTGCCACTAAAAATCAGCCTTAAAGAAAAAAAAAAAAGAATAAAAAGAGTAATCAGGTAAAGGAAGGTATGGACAAATGCACTCAGGAAGTTAGGAGCTTCCCATTTGGGGAAGGTCCTTCTTCCACTGAATTACCCTCCCTCAATGCTGATCTATGGAGAGCTTGCTGTCCTGTTTGTAGCACCTAATATTTTCATGTTTTTTTGTGGGGGATGTCTGTCTCTGCTATAGAACTCTAAGGTCCTTGACTTCAGTAGCTGGCACAGTTCCTGGTGCAAAGCATATGCCCACTAGATGTTTACTGATTTATTAGGTGATTGAATAAATGGATGTTTTATAAAGACCTCAGAGATTCGCAGGCATGATAATGATTACAGTGGGTTAGAAAATGATTCTAACCCACTCCAAATTCTTTGAGCACGTTTGTACCTCTCCTTGACCCCTGTGCAGTGTGTGATCCTTGAAGGGCAACAACCAGCATCCAGCACAGGGTTTGGAATAGATTAGGTGTGTAGTTTACAGTTGTTGAGAATAAATTACATGACTTCTTGATTCAATCACTGTAGTTATCTAATCTCTTCTGGACCACAGGCTGTGAGGAAGGTCTGTGCCTTAGACATCTCCCTACCATGACTGTCAGCCCATAATTCTAGCACAGGGTTGCTGGGTACCCTTTAAACATTTATTGTAGGTATTGATGAATAAACAACCAAAGTAAGTCTCTCAGGGCCTGCCACAAGTTTGGTAGTACTAATACA
Organism: Homo sapiens; assembly: GCF_000001405.40. Lineage (NCBI taxonomy): Eukaryota > Metazoa > Chordata > Mammalia > Primates > Hominidae > Homo > Homo sapiens. The sequence goes on along the minus strand of NC_000001.11, from coordinate 27,320,180 downwards.
CGTACCACATTTAATCTGCCAAACTTCAATGGCTTCCCGTTGCACTTCGTATGAAACACAAATATCTTACTATGGCTCACAAAGCCCTGCACCATCTGGACCCATGCCCCTTCCTTATTTACTATACTACAGCCATCCTGGCCTTTTCTTTCAGTTCCTCTCATGCACTCCTTCATATTCCAGGGACTTGGCACACACTGTTCCCCTCTGCCTGAAATACTACTCCTATCTACTTAAAGCGGCTAACTTTCATTCTTCCAGTCTCAGATCAAATATTACTTTCTCAGCCCATCCCTGGTCTCCCAATCTAAATGAGAAAGCCCCCATTAATCTCCTGTTCTTTTTCTTCATAGCTTCTTTGTAGCTATGTACTATTTGCCTCCCCCACTTGACTGGAAACTCTATTTGTCTTGCTAACGTGTGTATACCCAATGCCCAGTATAGTGCCTAGTGCATGGTATTTGTTTAATCAATATTTGTTAAATTGAATGAAAGGCAAATACTTACAGGCTTGGTATCACGTGCTGGTTACAGTCTAAACGCAGGAACCTGCTACCTCTTGGTGTCCCAAACCTTTTCAATGGGCTTGGGTTGGTGGGAACAGTGCTCAGGCAGAGGATCAGACCACAGAGCCCTGGCTCCTTTCCTAAGGTCCACGTCATCCTACCCTTGGCCTAGGCAGCTGCAGAAACGTGGCATGAGGAGGGCCGGGTACCTGGAGGTAGAAGCCAGATCCTCTGGTGCCTGTCCCACAGGCTTGCCCCGCACCACAACCCATCCACAAGATTTTTTTTTTTTTTTTTTTTTTTTTTTGAGACAGAGTCTCACTCTGTCACCAGGCTGGAGTGCAGTGGCACAATCTTGGTTCACTGCAACCTTTGCCTCCTGGGTTCAAGCAATTCTCCTGCCTCAGCCTCCCCGAGTAGCTGGGACTACAGGTGCGCAACACCACACCCAGCTAATTTTTGTATTTTTAGCAGAGATGGGGTTTCACCATGTTTGGCCAGGATGGTCTTGATCTTTTGACCTTGTGATCCACCTGCGTCAGCCTCCCAAAGTGCTGGGATTACAGGCATAAGCCACCGTGCCCGGCCTTTTTTTTTTTTTTTTTTTTTTAAATAATGGATTCATCCCTGCAGAACACTCCTTCTCACATATACACCTTGGTTCTCTCACCCAATTGTAAGAGTCTCTCTGGCCTGTGCCCTGGACTCCTCTGCTGTTGCTTCCTTATCACCCATAAACAGATGGGAAATCTCCATCAAAGACTAATATTTCCTTCCAGGCTCACAGGATCACAGCAGGGTCCTGGAGGAAGCTCCTGTTATGGCTGAGCTTGGGACAGGATTGATAGGTTTCAGAGCTATCCCTCCCCCAACACACACCCCAACCTAAAATAGGAATGACCATCTGGATCCACTTATGGGTTTGGCTGGGGGAGGGAAGGATGCCAGAGCTGAAACTGTCAAGCTGGGAAACCTTTGAGGGTAAGATGCTGCTTGTTTGAAGGGTGAGCTTGGGGCATTTCCTCTCTTGGTGGGAGTCAGCGCACCCCCTCAATTGGCCCCATGTATAAGTCCCCAGGACTCACAAATCTCCTCTTTCAGGATATCTCGCTCCTGGCATTCAAGGCCCCTCATGATGCCCTCAAATTTTCCTTCCAGCCTCATTTCTCACAGTCTCCTTCGGGACTTGCCTGGAGTTAGCCTCACTGGCCTGTTTGCCCTTCACAGAACAAGTCCTGCACTTCATACCCTGTGTGTTGGCTCACACCATTCCCTCATCGGGGATGTCCTTCCTTTCCTCTTCTACACTACTTTCAAGGTTTCAGGCAAATGCTCCCTCTTTGCTCCCAGAGCACGAAGGCTGTGTTTCCACCTATTGAATATTCATGTGTACTTGCATTAGCATTAGCTGTTTACATGTCTGTCGCTCCCAAGAGACTGTGAACTCCTTGAGAAGGGGACTAACTGGATCTATTGGTCCCTGTATCCAACTAGGCAACTGGCAGAGAGGAAGTGCTCAGGTAATGTCACTGGAGTTATTTGTTGACTGTAGATGTCTCCTTAAGGGCTCTGGGGAAGAATCACCTCAATCCAGGGAAAGAGCCTGAGCCAGGGGCATGCTGCAGTATATGCAGCATGTGGGAGGACAGCGTACTCTCTTCTGCTCAGCTTCATCATTGCCCTCTCTGGCCCCTGGAAGCTGGGCCTCTTTCCATTATGACTCCAAACCTTCCCATGGTGGGGAGGAGATTAAGGGGACCAACTCAGTGCAATAAACTATTTCAGAGCAAACCCACTGGTCCTTTAGACATCAGAGTTCACAAAACGACTTCCTTTTCCATTCCATTTTTTTGTTTTATTTGGAAATGGAGTCTCCCTTTGTCACCCTGGCTGGAGTGCAGTGGGGCCATCTCGGGTCACTGCAACCTCTGCCTCACGGGTTCAAGTGATTCTCCTGCCTCAGCCTTCTTAGTAAGCTGGGATTACAGGTGCACACCACCACGCCCAGCTAATTTTTTTTTTTTTTTTTTTGAGATGGAGTCTTGCTCTGTTGCCCAGGCTGGAATGCAGTGGCACTATCTCAGCTCTCTGCAACTTCTGCCTCCCAGGTTTAAGTGATTCTCCTGCCTCAGCCTCCTGAGTAGCTGGGACTATAGGTGTGCACCACCATGCCTACAGATTTTTGTATTTTTCGTAGAGACTGGGTTTCACTGTGTTAGCCAGACTGGTCTTGAACCCCTGACCTCAGGTGATCCACCCACCTTGGCCTCCTGAAGTGCTGGGATTACAGGCGTGAGTCACCGCGCCCAGCCCCAGCTAATTTTTGTATTTTTACTAGAGTCGGGGTTTCACCATGTTGGCCAGGCTGGCCTTAACTCCTGACCTCAAGTGATCCATCCACTTTGGCCTCCTAAAGTGCTGGGATTACCGGCGTGAGCCACTGCACCCGGCCTCCATTCCATTTTATAGATGGGCTAAGTTACCCAAGGTTATAGAAAGCACAGCTAGGACCAGAATCTAAGTCTCCCACTTTGGGGTGCCCAGGAAAGCATGATGGCTACACATGTGGACTCAGGAGTCAGCCAGCTCAGTGTTTGAACTTAAGCTTTGTCAATATCTGTCGCACCTTAGGAAAGTAGCAGAACCTGGTAGGGCATCAGTTTCCTTCTCTCTAAAATGAGAAATAGGCCAGGCGTGGTGGTTCACACCTGTAATCCCAACACTCTGGGAGGCCAAGAGGGGAGGATTGTCTGAGCTCAGGAGTTTGAGACCAGCCTGGGCAACACAGCAAGACCTCATCTCTACTAAAAAAAAAAAAAAAAAAAAAAAATTAGCTGGGCATTGTGGCACATGCCTGTAATTCCAGCTACTCCAGCTACTCGGGAAGATTGCTTGAGCCTGGGGGGGCTGCAGTGAGCCACTATTTGTTTGTCTATTTATTTGAGATGGAGTTTTACTCTTGTTGCCCAGGCTGGAGTGCAATGGCGCGATCTGGCTCACTGCAACCTCCGCCTCCCAGGTTCAAGTGATTCTCCCTGTCTCAGCCTCCCAAGTAGCTGGGATTACAGGTGCATGCCACCATGCCCGGCTAATTTTTGTATTTTTAGTAGAGACGGGGGTTTTACCATATTGGTCAGGCTAGTCTCGAACTCCTGACCTCAGGAGATCCACCCACCTCGGCCTCCCAAAGTGCTGGGATTACAGGTGTGAGCCACCACGCCTGGCCAGTGAGCCATTATTAATTTCATCATCCAGGTATTAAGCCTGGATGTTGATAGTTATCTTTTCTGCTCCTCTCCCTCCTCCCACCCTCCACCCTCCAGCAGACCCCAGTGTCTGTCTCCTTCTTTGTGTTCCTAAGGTTTTGTTTTTTTTTCTTGAGACAAAGTCTTGTTCTGTCACCTAGGCTGGAATGCAGTGGCACAATCTTGGCTCACGGCAACCTCTGCCTCCTGGGTTCAATCGATTCTCATGCCTCAGCCGCCCAAGTAGCTGGGATTACAGGCGCACACCACCATGCCCGGATAATTTTTGTATTTTTAGTAGAGATGGGGCTTCACCATGTTGACTGGGCTGGTGTTGAACTCCTGGCCTCAAGTGATCCTCCTGCCTCAGCCTCCCAAAGTGCTGGGATTACAGGTGTGAGCCACTACATTTGGCCTGGTGATGACCCCTTTTAGGACTTACTAGAGTGATGAGGGGAGACCAGCGTGAGAGTCTCTAAATCACTGTAAAATAGGGGTAAACTATGGCCTCATTAGGACCAGGACCTTATTTTATATGTAAAAAAAGAACTGGGTGGGAGCAGGAGGCAGAGCAACCAAGTGGCACATTCCTTCTTCGGGCCGCCACCCCTGCCAGACATGTTAATATCCCTAGACCTGACAAAGAACCTGGCACGTGTGGGGCACTGAATGATGGCAGAATATACTGGGGAGGACTCACATTTCACAGTAAAATCCAGTGTTCAGCAACCTTGTACAATCCCTGTATTTGCTATTCCTCCAGATAATCTGGAGACTCCAGGAAGGCAAGGAATATGTTGTGTACAATTTTGTTATGCCAATGCCTGGCCCAATGCCAGACACAGAGTAGGAGCTCAAAAGTATCATGGGCCAGGCATGGTGGCTCACACCTGTAATACCAGCATTTAGGGAAGCTGAGGCGGGAGGATCACTTGAGGCCAGGAGTTTGAGACCTGCCTGGGCAATATGGCAAGACCCTGTCTCTATTTAAAGAAAAAAAAAAAAAGTACTGTGACCTATTATAAGAAAATGGTTTATAAAGAATTGTACTAGGCCGGGCGTGATGGCTCACGCCTGTAATCCCAGCACTTTGGGAAGCCAAGGCAGGCGATCACCTGAGGTCAGGAGTTCGAGACCAGCCTGGCCAACATGGCAAAACTCTATCTCTACTAAAAATACAAAAATTAGCTGGGCGTGGTGGCACATGCCTGTAATTCCCGCTACTCGGGAGGCTGAGGCAGGAGAATTGCTTGAACCTGGGTGGCAGAGGTTGCAGTGAGCCGAAATATCACGTCCTGCCCTCCAGCCTGGGCCACAAAGTGAGACTCCATCTCAAAAAAAAAAAAAAAAAAGAATTGGACTAGGAATTAGGGATCAGAAATCCAGTCCTGACTTTGGTTCTAATTCACTAGGGTGCCTCAGGCAAGCCCATCCCTTTTCCTGCCACTCTTTGAAACTCATGGTCCCTATCTGTACAATGTGGAGATAGAGCTAGATCAGTGGTTCTCATCTCTGGCTGCACAGTAAAATGAACCTGGGATGATTTAAAACAATGGATGCCAGCCCAGGTCAGGAATGGAGCAGGACAAAACTCCCATGCTGTTTAGTAGTGGGAGCGCCTGTGAACAGCCACTGTGCTCCAGCCAGCGCAGCAAAGCAAGACCCCACCTCTTAAAAAAAAAAAAAAAAGGACGGATGCCTGGGCTCTACCTCAGACCAATTAAAACAGAATCTCTGGGGTGGGGCATGGAAAGTTATAAAAGCATCCTGGGTGATTCTGATTTACAGCTAGGGCTGAGAGCCTCTGAGTGAGATGACTTCTCATCACCTTTTAAGTTCTGCAACAATATTTGGGCATGCTCTTAAGCAGAGACAGGAGCAGCCCTCTGGGGCCACACTTGCCCTCCACAAATGCAGAAGTCCCTATTTCTAATCTCTGCTTTACTATACATTCACAGTATGGGCTCATCTGAGCCCCAGACTCTATTATCCGCAGGGCTCATGAATGCTTTGGATGAATCACACATGTGGACACTCTTAAAAAATGGAGCACCACTGATCTTTTTGCTGTCTCTGTAGTTTCGCCTTTTCCAGGAAGTCATCTAGTTGGAATCATATGTAGCCAGTTCAGTCTGGCTTCTTTCACAAAGCAATACACATTTAAGTTTCCTCCATATCTTTTTGTGGCTTGATAGCTCATTTCTGTTTATCATGAATAATATTCTATTTTATGGCTGTATCAGTTTGTTTATCCGTTCACTTTTTTTTTTTTTTAATTGAGACGGAGTCTTGCTCTGTCGTCGCCCAGGTTGGAGTGCAGTGGCACAATCTTGGCTCACTGTGACCTCCACCTCCCAGGTTCAAGCAATTTGCCTGCCTCAGCTTCCCAAGTAGCTGGGATAACAGGCACGTGCCACCACGCCCGGTTAATCTTAGTATTTTTAGTAGAGACGGGGTTTCGCCATGTTGGCCGGGCTGGTCTCAAACTCGTGATCTCAAGTGATCCACCTGCCTCAGCCTCCCAAAGTGCTGGGATTATCGGCGTGAGCCACCGCACCTGGCCTCCATTCACCTTTTGAGGGGCATCTTGGTTGCTTCCAGTTTTGGCAATCATGAATAAAGCTGATATAAACATTCATGTACAGGTTTTTACATGGTCATGTTTTCAACCCTTTTAGTTAAATACAAGCAGAGCGACTGCTGCATTGTATGGTAAGAGTATGTTTAGCTTTGTAAGAAACTGCCAAACTGTCTTCCAAAGTGGCTGTACTGTTTTGCATTTCCTCTGCCAATGAATGAGAGTTCCTGTTCCTCTACATCCTTGTCAGCATTTGCTGTGGACAGTTTTAACATTTTAGCTATCCTAGTAAGTGTGCAATGTGCAACGGTATCTCATTGTTTTAATTTGCAATTCCCTGATGACATAATGTTAAAAATCTTTTCATATGCTTACTAGTCACCTGTAAATCATCTTTGGTGTGGTGTTTGGATCTTTTGCCCATTTTGAAATTGGGTTGTTTCCATATTGTTGAGTTTTAAGAGTTCTTGGCCAGGCGCAGTGGCTCATGCCTGTAATCACAGCACTTTGGGAGGCCAAGGCGGGCAGATCACGAGGTCAGGAGATCGAGACCATCCTGGCTAACATGATGAAACCCTGTCTCTACTAAAAATACAAAAAATTAGACAGGTGTGGTGGCGGGCGCCTTTAGTCCCAGCTCCTCGGGAAGCTGAGGCAGGAGAATAGCATGAACCCGGGAGGCAGAGCTTGCAGTGAGCTGAGATTGTGCCACTGCATTCCAGCCTGGGTGACAGAGCAAGACTCCGTCTCAAAAAAAAAAAAAAAAAAGTTGTGTATTTCGAATACAAATCCTTTATCTGTGTTTTACAAATATGTCTCCCAGTCCTTGGCTTTTCTTTTCATTCTCTCCACTGTGTCTTTAACTGAGAAATTTTTTATTTTAATGAAGTCCAACTTGCCAATTTTTTTCTTTCATGGATTGAGGTTTTGGTGTTGTATCTAAAAACTCATTGCCAAATCCAACAAAATAAGTGGCTGGGACTGCAACTCGGATTATGTTAAAGCTATAGATCAAGTTGGATTTTTTTCCTATGTTATCTTCTAGAAGTTTCATAGTTTTGTATTTTAAATTTAGGAGGTCTGTCATCTATTTTGAGTTAACTTTTGTAAACAGTGTTAGGTCAGTGTTTAGATTTTTTTTTTTGCATATGGATGTCCAGTTGTTCCATCACTGTTTGTTGATAAGACTATCGTTTCTCCATTGAATTGACTTTACTGCCTTGTCAAAGATCAGCTGACTGTATTTGTGTGTGTCTATTCCTGGGTTCTCTATTTGTTCCATTGGCCTATTTGTCTATTCTTTTGCCAGTACCACACTGTCTTGATTATTGTAGCTTGATAGTAAGTCTTGAAGTCAGGAGTGTTAATCCTCTGAATTTGTTTTTCGTAAGTATTATGTTGGTTATTCTGGGTCTTTCTTCTTTTTCTCCATTTTTAACAAGAAGTTTATTTAAACAACAAGATGCTTGACTTTAAAGGAAAACTATTTAGGATTTTTTTTTAAGAGTAATTTATCTCTAGTTAAAGACAGATTGCCCTACATGTAAGAGCTATATACACGAAAAGTTATAAAATTGTCCTTGGTTTTACAATGATAAATGAAAAACATTAAAATTCTCCAATTGAATAAGGTATGCAAGGATTTTTTTTTTTTGTTAAAATAGTGAGAACAAAATAACATTGCAATGTAAGATAAGAGTTGAATGAGCATGCCACTGATGGAGAAAGGGAGGTAATTTTCAAGAATCGGTATTTTTCCCCACAGATATGTTTTGATTGACATCAAGTGGATGTCATTGGCCATTTAATATTTAAAACAGCAAAATGCTTGTGAACATACACCCATTATTTTATGTACAATAAGGGAATGGGTAAGGGAAAAATAAAAGAATAGAGAAAACTATACTATAGTAATAGTCATGATGTGGTGGAACCAAATTGCAGTTTTCTAATTGAGAATGTAATCTTGGTCTATAAGAACAAAGTTCTAGAGTAAAGAAGCAGGTTCCTTTTTCAGTAGACACTTCTTGTCTGTTGCTGAAACACATCAATTGTATCTTCATCCTCCATTTCCAACTGTGCAGGTGTGTCTGTTTCATTGACTGGTTGCCTGTCAAATTAGAATCTGATCTGCCTCACTGACAAACTCTGTCATTCACAATAGACTTTCATTACTCTACTAAGTGGTATATGACTCTTTTTTTTTCTTTTATGAGATGGCATCTCGTTCTGTCACCCAGGCTGGAGGGCAGTGGCGCGATCTCGGCTCACTGCAACCTCCGCCTCCCGGGTTCAAGCAATTCTCCTGCCTCAGCTTCCCAAGTAGCTGAGACTACAGGCACATACCACCATGTCCAGCTATTTTTTTGTATTTTTAGTAGAGACGGGGTTTCACCATATTGGTCAGGCTGGTCTCAAACTCCAGACCTCAGGTGATCCACCCACCTTGGCCTCCCAAAGTGCTGGGATTACAGGTGTGAGCCACCATACCCGGCCGGTATATGACTTTTAATTTTAAACTGCACCATGGAACAATCCTGCCCCATTACCTTCAAATTAATAAGATTGTTATTCTCAGTCTTGACTCCTTCCTTGGGCTTTTCATCAGCCACACGAGTGCTGGAGTCTCCTCAGCTGCTACTTCACCAATGAGGCACCAGGTCTGCACAGAATGAATGAGCACACAAACGGCACCAGGAGAGGCAGAAGGAGGTGGAACAGTGGAACTATTCTGGGTCTGCTACATTTTCATGTAAACTTTAGGATCAGTTGGTGATACTCACAAAATAACTTGCTGGGACTATGACCAGGATCACATTGAAGCTATAGATCAAGTTGGAAAGAACTGACATCCTAATATTGAGTTTTCCTATCCGTGAACATGGACCATCTCTCCATTTACTTGATCTTCCTTGGTTTCTTTTATCAGTTTTGTAGTTTTGCTCATACAAACCTTGTACATATGTTGTTAGATTTATTCCTAAGTACTTTTTTGGGGGGATGCTAATGAGGGCTGAATACGTGGAGGACAAGGTGCTTTTAGAACAGTGAAACTATTCTGTATGACAATGTAATGGTGGATACGAGACATGCATTTGTCAAAACCCATAGAACTTTGCAACACAAAGAGTGAACCGTAATGTAAACTATGGACTTCAGTTATCATAATGTATCAATATTGGTTCATTAATTACAACAACACACTAATGCAAGATGTTAATAATTGGGAAAATTGAGCTGGGGAAAGAGGGTTATATGAAACTCATTATACTATCTGCTCAATTTTCTGTAAGCCTAAAACTGCTCTAGAAAGTAAAGGCTATTAATTTTTTAAAAAATGGAGTACCAACTCCAAATGAAATGGAGACCCTCGTGAAGTCTTCCAATGCCTCCCTTGCCTACAGGATTGAGTCTGTGGTCTCTCACCAGCCATAGGAAGTCCTTCAGTTTGACTGCTCCTCCAGTCTACCCTCTACAATCCAGCCAGATGGAGTCACTCAGGGTTCATGAAGGAACCTGAGACTCTGCACTACTCCCTGGTCTGGAACATTGTCCTTCCTTTGTCTGGTCTGGAAATGCCTTCAAGAAGCTTCTGCAGACGTTAATTTGGGTACACAGAGGAATGATACCAGCCCACAGTATCTGTTTTATAATACCACCTATTGTGTTTCCGGCAGGACCTCTCAGTAGTTTCAGTAGTGGAACTGCTATTCCCACAGACTAAACCATAGTTCCCCAACTGTGCATCAAGGTGCCTGAGGGCACCCACAGCAAATTCACAGGGGGCAAAGTAGGATATTTTGAAAGATATTCAACATCTTTGGCTAATGAGAGAACTATTAGCTCAAGGTAGTTCACAGTTCCATTATTACATTATGCCACAATCCTTTTGATGATGTCATCTTTAAGAAGCTGGGTCTTGGCCGGGCGCAGTGGCTCATGCCTGTAATCCCAGCACTTTGGGAGGCCGAGGCGGGTGGACCACAAGGTCAGGAGAGCGAGACCATCTTGGCTAACGTGGTGAAACCCCATCTCTACTAAAAACATAAAAAATAAGCCAGGTCTGGTGGCAGCTGCCTGTAGTCCCAGCTACTCAGGAGGCTGAGGCAGGAGAATGGCATGAACTCAGAAGGTGGAGCTTGCGGTGAGCCGAAATCGCACCACTGCACTCCAGCCTGGGCAACAGAGCAAGACTCCGCCTCAAAAAAAAAAAAAAAAAAAAAAAAGAAGCTGGGTCTTTAGTGGTTGCTGTGATAAAAAGCAAATGAAAATCAATGTGGGACAGGAAATGAAGGCAGCAGTGTTTGCTTTGATTAGAAAATTTAACAAGTTGTTCAGTGCCCAATGGGCAGCATAGATCCCATTAGTAATTGCAGTTGTTTAAGAATGAAGGCTGGGCGCGGTGGCTCACACCTGTAATCCCAGCACTTTGGGAGGTTGAGGCGGGCAGATCACCTGAGGTCAGGAGTTTGAGACCAGCCTGGCCAAGGTGGTGAAACCCCATCTCTGCTAAAAATACAAAAAATTAGCTGGGTGTGGTGGCGGGCACCTGTAATCCCAGCTACTTGGGAGGCTGAGGCAGGAGAATCGCTTGAACCCAGGAGGCGGAGGTTGCAGTGAGCCGCAATTGCACAATTGCACTCCAGCCTGGGCGACAAAAACGAAACTGTCTCAAAAAAAAAATAAAAAATAAAAAATAAATAAAAATGCAAAAAAAAAAAAATAGCTGGGCATGGTGGCACATGCCTGTAATCCCAGCTACTTGGGAGGCTGAGGTAGGAGAATCACTTGAACCCGGGAGGCGGTGGTTGCAGTGAGCTGAGATCATGCCACTGCACTCCAGCCTGGGCAACAGAGCAAGACTCCGTCTCAAAAAAAAAAAAAAAAAAAAAGAATGAAATAAATATTGTTTCTTCCAATTCAGGTGTATTATTTTTTAAATGGCAACTAACTTGTTAGGACATAAATACTTTTTAAGTGATTTGGACTTAACTACTTAATAAATTGAACTGTTATTTCTTTTGGCTTAGAGGCTCCATGAAAAAATTACTGAGATGGTAATGGTGCTGTGAGCTAAGAAAGTTCAGGAACCTATAGTCTAAGAGATTATCTAATCCAGGGCACTTCAAAAACTTGCATATGTGAAATCAATTTAGTGGGTTATAGCCATATTTTTTTCCCTAATAAAACAGAAGGGTAAGCAGAGTACACTGCATGTAGCAAGGGTAAATATTATTGTGTAAAACTTTTGTTCATTTTTTTTATATATATATACACACACACATATCTACAAGTAATCATGTGTATATTGGGTCACAATGTAAAATGGTTTGAAAAACCACTAAGATTCCAAGTCCCTTATTTTACTGATGAGAAAACAGCCAGAGAGTGAAAGCTGATGATTACAAATCACAGCCATGAGAGCTGGGCTCTGCACTCAGCCCTGCTGGGCTGGGTGGCCGCTGCTCACGGTGACCCTTCAAGGCAGGCCTCATTCTGTCCAGTAGAGGTGTGGTTACTAAGTCATAGAGCTACAGAGGTGAGGGACCAGGTGCCCTCACTTTGGTTCCAAGACCCATCTGCACCCCACAAATGCCACCAGCCACACCTAGAACAAAATGGTTTTAATCAATTGCGTCACCCTCACTCTCCTGGGAGCGGAGCAACAAAAAGGCTCGGCTCCTGCCCCCAGAGGACAGTAAGGCTTATGTGTCTCTCCACACTGCAGGGCCCAGGCTGGGCAGGCAGGGGGTGGGAAGCAGGACAGGGGGCAGGGAGGGAGGGTGGGAGGCAGGGAGGAAATGGCAGGTGGCTGGAACACAAGAAAGCAAAGGGGACCCAGCTGGTCCTTGGGCCCCAGGGCCCAGCCCCAATACTCCTGCTCTCCCTTCTCCCTGGCTAGAGAAAGGTCACGGAGAAGAGACAGGGGAGCAGGTCCCAGCAGCAGGAGAAGCAGCAGCAGCTGTTTCCTTCACCAATAAATATACTTCATTACCAAGCTAGAAGAGAGGGGTGGGAAGAGGGACTGGGGTGGGAAGGAAGGGGGAGAAGCTGCCACCTGTGTTGCTGGGATTAAAGCAATGAGATGGTGCCAGACCCCCCACCACTATCCTCACCCTCCACTTGTCTTCTTAAAACTGTGAAAAAGCTTTTAACATGGCCCTCCTGTCTCCAGGGCTGCTCTGAAGCCTGACTGAGAGGAGGCACCTGGCAGAGACAGGGGCTGAGGGAGGGAGCGAGGGAGTGGAGGGAGAGGAGAAGGGAGGCTGCTTTTCCCCAGGGGCTGCAGCTGGAGGGCTGGAGCCAAGTAAGCACTGAAGGGGAAGCAGGGAGGGAGAGAGGGGGAAGGATGAACCAACTACCTGGAGCAGCTGGAGCTAAGAGCCGGGGGCAGAGGGGAGGAGAGGCCTGGTGAGTGGTGGGTTGATCGCTGCATCCAGTGTAAAGCTTGGGGCTGCTGGGGAGGGAGGGGCCGAGTAAGGGACTTTCCCATCTGAGTGGCTCAGGAGACCCACCCCTCTCCCCTCAGAGCAGCAGGGGACAGAGAAAAGCCATCACTTCTTTGGTCTTTGTGGCGGCTCAGCATGTGGGATGGGAAGGAGGGCAGAAAGGGCAGAGAAGGGCCCTTAGCAGGAAGCGCCACCTCAGCAGAGTAGGCCTGGCTGGGAGCTCTGGCAGAAAGGTCACAGTGAGGCTGAGGAGCGCCCAAGAGGAGAATGGCCGTAGTGCAGAAGTGCTGGCATGGATGGGTGGGGTAAGGTGCAGTGCCCCACCCTCTGCCAGGGCCCTTGGGAAAGGCAGAGCCTCCAGAGGTGGCCAGTGAGAGTAGGTGCAGGGCCAGAGCTAGTAGCCAGGAGAGGAGCGAGGGTGCTCCACAGCGACCTCAGCAGGTGGCCTGGTCTTGCCCACTCCAGGGCTCCCATCCTTCCTTTGGGCTCCGCTCTAACACTGGTGGCTCTGGAGGGAGGGTGGGACCCATCCTTTTTCAAAACCTTTCCTGAAGACCACAGGGGAGCTAGCCTTGCAGGCTAGGGAGCAAGAGTGGCAACAGGCCAAGGCGAGCCCTTACCAATTGGGAATCCCACTCCTCCTGCTGCTGCCAGCTAAAGGGCAGGACAGTCCCTGAAGACAGTTCAGCTTGTTCCTCCCCACCTGAGGCAGAAGGGGTTTTGAGGCAGGCCAGAGCCCTCCAGGGACATGAAAGCAGGAGATGGGGGGGGGCATATGGAGGGGTGTCCCCTCCTGCTCTTTTTTTCAGGGCTGGGGATAGTCAGGGGACAATCAGCCCAGAGTCCGAAAGCCAGCAAGTTGTAGCAACCTCCACCCCTAACGCCAAACTAACAAACAAAACAGGGGAAATGAAAAAAAAGGGTGGTGGGGAAGACAAACCAAAACAGAATCCCCTGACCTCCTGCCCAGGGCAGAGGGTCCAGCCAGTAGCAGGGGCTGGGGACCAGGGCTGGAGGGTCTAGCTGGGCCGGCACTGCACCTGGCCCTCAGAGCTGTCCTCATCATCAGAGGCCCCGGCACCCCCACTGCTCAGGCCCGTGATCCGGTAGCCCATGTTGAGCAGCATCACCTCCAACGGGTCTGCATTCATGCGCCGCTGGTTGGCCTGTGAAGCACCCTCCATATCTTCCACGACTCGGCCTGTGAGGTCTTCACTCTGTGGTGGAGAAAGGGGTGACACACGTGGGGCTCAGGGAGGGAGAGGCACCAGGGTACACGTATAGGGGAGGGGGAGGGAAATACACAGACTAAACTATCTATAGGGGGAGGTACACATACATGCCAGGAGGTGTATATGGTGGAGGGGAACACACAACCTTGGCTACATATTGTTGGGGGTGCTCACGCTGGAATATATATGGGAGATACGCCACCTCAGGATATACAGGCAGGTCATAACATGCTGGGATATACGTGGGGGACAGTACACACCAGGATATGTTGGACACACATACTGGGATACCTGGGACAAGGGGCAGATACAACTTCCCCACCCCATTCTGTTTTGTTGCCACAACTCTTGCTTCATCTTTCTTTCTCCTCTCCTCTCAATGGGGAAGCCTATAGGGGTCCTCTCTTTAAAAGTCACAGCAAATTATCTTGGGAATCAGACATACCACTTGACTTTTGTTTTGCCAGCTGGGAAGAGGGAAGCAGTAGGGCAGAGGGGAAGGGGAGGCACCAAGCCAGCTTCCCTGGCTACCCACCCTGGGAGTGGAGGGGACTCCACTGTCCTAAGTGTCCTTGTGGGCTGGACACTTCACAGGCATCTCTTCTTTACTTCTCACCACAACCTTTCAAGGTGGTGCTGTCATTCCCATTCCCAATGTACAGATGATTAAAAGCCTGGGTCAGAGATGGTGAAGTCTCTCAGGCAGCGAGTGAGGAGACTGGATTCAAACTTAGGCCTACCAGATGCCAAAGCCTGCATAGTTCCCTTGTGACCAGGGCCTCTGCACAGCTTCTGGAGAATTGCTGCTGCATTTGGAGCTTCTGGAATCTGAGAACACAGCCTTGGGCCCCGGGGTAAGGCTTACTTAGCAGCTTCTAGCCTCTGGGTGGCTCATTTCTCTTCCCTGCGCTAGCAGGCTCCACTGGAGCCTTCCACAGAGTCCCTGCCCTCCTCTCTGCTTGGCTCTGCACCCTCACCTCTGGTCGGGGGTTCCAGAGCCGCACAACAGGATCGATGCCACTGGTGGCCAGGAAGCAGTAGCTGGGGTGTGGCTGCAGGCAGTTGACAATGGACTCATCCCCTTGGAGCACACGGACCAGGTTGGTGGTCTCCTTTTCCCAGATGAAGAAGGAGCCATCGTCAGAGCCACTGACGATATACTGAGCGTTGCTGGCGGGGGGGCAAAGGGCAGGGAGGTCAGGTGGGGTACTGCCCTACAGCCTCAAGTAGAGGCTGCATGGCCTAGGTAAAGGGGGAGCAAGGAAGTCTGCAGCCACTCAGTCCCCCACACGCTGGGGTGTGCACTTGACCCAGAATTCCTCCAGGTATATAGCCCTGGTCACTGTTCTCTTAAACCTAGGGCCAGCGACTACCTGGATTTCTCCAAGACAGTCTCCCCTATAGTTCATTATTACCTCCTTGGGCCAGGATCATCTTACATCATCTCTCGGGTCTCCAAAATACCCTGTTTTAAGCCTCCCCTGAGCAGTTCCAGGCTTCTGGCATCCAGACTCCCCCTGCCCCTCACACACCACTGACATTTAGAGGGCATCTTGATGGATTCTTTTTTTTTCTTAGAGACAGGGTCTCATTCTGTCACCCAAGCTGGAGTACAGTGGCATGATCATGGCTCACTGTGGCCTTAACTGGTCCTCCAATGTCAACCTCCTGAATAGCTGGGACTACAGGTGCACGTCACCACACCCAGATAATTTAAAACATTTTTTGTAGAGATGGGGGTCTATGCTGTCCAGGCTGGTCTCAAACTCCTGGGCTCAAGCGATCCTCCTGCTTCAGCCTCCCCAAGTGCTGGGATTACGGGCATGAGCCACTGTGCCTGGCCTATGGAGAGATTCTTGATTCATGTTCATGTGTCTCACCTACCCAAAGAAAGTACATCTACAAATGAGGGGTGGGGATGATGGTGTCTGAAACACAGAGTTTGTCCCTTAGTACACAGGGCACAGTTTTGAGCACAAAACAGATGTGCCAAGATTCCCAGCCTTGGAGGGCTGCTGCCTCATACTCTCAAGCAGAGGGAGGTTCCTTGAATGCAGATAAAGAAACCAAGCTCTGGCACATGCAGACAGAGGGAGAAGGAGGTGGGGGATGAAGGAGTAGTTCAGGCACTGCGCTGGAGGCTCTACTTGGGTTATCTTATTAGTCCTTGTTATGGCCTCATAAATGGGCATGGCAGGTTGGTCATTTCATAGATTAAAAAACTTTAGAGGCTGACAAAGGTGAAGCCATTTGCCCAAGGGTACAGAGGCAGAGCAGGGATTTGAGATTCTTCTCTGAAACCATTATGCCCCAACACTCCCCACTCAACCTCCCGCTGCCAACTGGGCTGCACCCTCCTCTTCAGGGCCTCGGACCTGCCAAAGAAATTGGCCTCTTTGATATCCGTGGTGGTGTTGCAGTGGCCGCAGTAGCGGAACTGATAGTCGTAGCTTCGCTCCCGCAGCACCATTTCATCCTCTGAGATGGAGTCCTTGCGGCTCGTGCTGCGGAGGCGGACTGGGGCGCCGCCACCAGGTCCCTTCTTCTCCTCTGGGGGCAGAGATCCAGAAAAGGTAAGCGCCTTGTTCCTTTCTCTCCTTCCCTATTTTCCCCCACCTATGGCTCTGTTTTCAGTCCAAAGTCTGACAACATAGAGCTACCTGCCTCCACCCTTATCCTGGAAAACTGGGGAAAGGTTGTGAGGAAGATGCATCTTTGGATCTAGCCCCTGAGGATGTTCAAGAGGAGACCTTTGATGCCAGGAGGGCCCTGGTTCAGGTCCCTAAATGAGGGCCTGAAAGCCCCAAAGATGCAGAGACTCAAAGTCTGTTTCTGTGGAGGTAAGAGGCAGGGGAGGGTAGAGTGAGGCACTAGCAAAGAGAGAATGGATGACTTTTTTTTTTTTTTTTGAGATGGTCACGCAGGCTGGAGTGCAGTGGCGTGATCTCGGCTCACTGCAACCTCCACCTCCAAGGTTCAAGCGATTCTCCTGCCTCAGCCTCCTGAGTAACTGGGACTACCAGGCACGTGCCACCACGCCCAGCTAATTTTTGTATTTTTAGTAGAGACGGGGTTTCGCCACATTGGCCAGGCTGGTCTCAAACTCCTGACCTCAGGTGATCCACCTGCCTTGGCCTCCCAAAGTGCTGGGATTACAGGCATGAGCCACCGAGCCCAGCCTGGGTGACTTTTATAAACAGATTCATGGCACTTAGGGCAGTAAGGACCATGCCCTTACCCTCTGGAAGACAAGTTATTAGGGTCCCAAATGAGAGTCACTGATCAGTTAAGTGACAGGTAAAGTCACACAAGTTTTCTCAGTTCCTTAAAAGTGACTCACTCATACCTGCTTCAGGGCCTTGGAGCATGCTGGTTCATATGCCAGGAGCTCTGCATCTCCCACAGCTACATTTTGTTGTTGTTGTTGTTTGAGACAGGATTTTGCTCTGTCACCCAGGCTGGAGTGCAGTGGTGTGATCATGGCTCACTGTAGCCTTGACCTCCTGGGCTCAAGTGATCCTCCTGCCTCAGCTGCCCGAGGAGCTGGGACTACAGGTGTGTGCCACCACCCCTGGCTAATTTTTTTTAATTTTTCTTTTGTTGAGATGGGATCTTGCTATGTTGTCCTAGCTGATATTGAACTCCTGGGCTCAAGCTATTTTCCCACATCAGCCTCCCAAAGTGCTGGGATTATAAGCGTGAGCCACCGCGCTAGGCCACACAGCTATATTTTGTATCTAGTTAATGCTTCCTTTGGATCCTTTAGATCTTAGTTTAAATGTTTCTTCCTGAAGAACCCCAGAATGCCATCAAGCCCACCCCCTCCCAGCATGCACACCATTCAGGTCCCCATGGCACTTGTCATACTTTTTTGTTTCTCCTTTATCACTTGGTTCCTTCACTAGACTGTAAATGCCATAAACACAGAAATTCCACGTGACTTAGTCACAGCTCTATTCCCAGGACCCAGCACAGTGCCTGGCACATGGCAGGTGTCTGATAACTATTCATTAAACAAATTAATTTATCACGTGGTTGGTAAACTGCAAAGGAGAGAGGTGAAGATCCATGTCTGCCTCCTATGAGCTCACCGTTCACGTTTACAGACCACACTCCGATGGCCCAGTTCATTCTCCAGCACACTGAGGGGAGCTGGGCAGGGCTTCGTGCTCTTTGTGCAGGTAGGTAGAGAGGCTGTGCTTTCTTCAAGGCCACACAGTCAGGTGGTGGAGCTGCATTTGGAACCGAGGCCCCACATTCCAAGCCTGAGGCATTTCTACTGCTCTGCGCTATTGTCTCTGCTGCACTTGTACACTCGGAACAAACACAATGACCAGCTTCTGCCTCTCAGATGCCCAAGTGGAACCACCAGGGCCCTGTCTAAGCAGGTGTGAATGCCTAGCGGGAGCCTGACTGAGCTCAGCTTCCTCCTATCCTGGGCACCAGGCACTCCCCCAGGTGCTTTAAACATGCCATTTAAACATGCTGATCCTCAATAGAAACGCTCAGTGGGAGGTGCTGGCATGCCTCCTTTTCAGACCAGGAAACACTCTGAGAGAGACACCAAGTAACTGCCCCAAAGTTGCATGGTTTCTGAATCAACATCTGAACCCAGGCCTCTCCAATCCCAGAACCATGACCTCTCCAGAATGTCATGCAGC
Source organism: Homo sapiens (assembly GCF_000001405.40). Classification (NCBI taxonomy): domain Eukaryota; kingdom Metazoa; phylum Chordata; class Mammalia; order Primates; family Hominidae; genus Homo; species Homo sapiens. The sequence continues at coordinate 27,301,509 of NC_000001.11, read as the reverse complement.
ATCTCAAAGAGAAAGAGTAACAGCACCCCCTCCTCAGTGCCCACTCACCACCATCATTTTTAGAGAAGAGGGCAGCTGTGATGTCGCGGCCCAATGCATCACAAGCGCTGCTGTGGGCCTGCTCCGGAAATTTCCCTTTGAAGTCGTCCAGGCACTCCAGGGCTTCAGCCACATACTTGAGCTCAAAGAGGCAGCGGGCCAGGCGAAAGTGTGCCTTCAGGTGGCATGGGTTTAGGGAGATGGCCTTGAGGCAGTCCCTCAGGGCATCATAGTGGTCACCATCCCTGGGAAGGCAGGGAAGAGCGGCTTGGAGGTGGAGCCACGTGGCAAGCAAGGGGTCCCCATTCAGTCTCCTCTGCTTCCTGTGGCCACCCCAGCCCACCACTGACAGATCTCATGGCAAGGGGACTTGAGGACGAAGAGAATCCTGGCTCAGCCCAGGCCTCCCCCATCAGGAGACAGAGTATGGTTAAGGAGCAAGCCAGGAAACCCTGAGGTCTTGAGGGTGGCAAAAGCTGGTGTCAGGCTGCCCTCTGCTGGGCACAGAGTGCAACTGCACACTGGCTCACCCCAGGCACCCGCAGCTCTGCAGCAGAAGGCCTGGCATCTTGCCCACCACAGGCTCCCCAAGCCCTCCTTCTCTCTTCCCCCATCCACCTTCTCAAATCACCCCCGGCTGGCCTTCAAAGCCACATCCAAGGCAGGGGGCCCTCAAGGACAGTTCTGTGGTCTGGGGAAGCCAGAAGTGTCAGGCTGGGGACGCAGGGTCTGACCAGCAGGCAGCAAGCCCTCAGCCAGACCCCCCCCTGTCCTGGCTGACTGATCCACAGCAGCTGTGGCCTCTACCTCCTGGGGCTGGAGGATGGGGCCTGACAGTCTGGCAGAGTCAGCTCTCTGGAAGCTGATGGTAAGGGGGGTTGTGCACACCAGGAGCTCCAAATCGTCCCCACTCACTTCTCCAACCTCCTGAAGCATGGATGAAGGGAAGTGGGAGTGCTTTTGATGGGGAAGCGGGGAAAGAGGAAGTGAAAGGAGGTCAGAGAAGCCCCTCCTTTTCCCACCCTGTGCCAGAATATAGGAAGCATACTCCCCCAGCACCCACAGACCTGTCCTTGCCTCTTGTCTGGAGAGCCAGACAGGCCACAGGAACTGCTTCTTCAGAAGCCATTTTTTTTTTTCAGCTGGGCTGGAGTAGGCCTAGGACCCAACTGTGCCAAGCAGCAGTAAGAGGCACCCCTTAGAGTTAATGGCCCCTTCTCCAAGGGCACAGCTCACAACAATCCGGCATGGCTAAGGCAGGCCTGACATGGGAAGGTTCTTCCTGAGCCTCCTTCTGCAGCACTCAGAGGGAGCACCCAGTCCTCGGAACAGCCACGCTCAGACCAGGAACCAGCAGCTCAGCCCATGTGGGGGCAGGCAGGAAACAGAGCTGCTTCAATGGCGTGGCCTGCGTCAGGATGAGTGGCTCTGACGAAGGAGCAGGCACTGTTTGGAAACCCAATTACTGCCTGCAAGGTGCCCCTCTGAGCTCCTGGGGAGAGCCAGACCAGAGACCAGCCAGGAGCCAGAGGGTGACAGCTCCCACTGCATCCAGGAGCAGATGGCAGCCCTGGGGAGACTGGCCCAGGACAGAATGTGACATTCTAGGGGTCACTGGCAGGCATGTGGGGATGGGGGTAGAGAGCAGGCTGGCCCCAGGGCTCACCCTTCCTAGACTCACTGCCAGATCAATCTCCCTGAAAGGACAGCCCTCGGCACATCCCTCTCCTGCTCAGAACTCTCCAGTAGCTGCCCATCATGCACTGAATCGAGGCCAACGTCACCGCTCTGCATTCCAAGCTCTCCCTAGGCCGGCCCCAGGCTACCTCACAGACTCATCTCCTGCCAGTCCCTTTCCGAACCCTCTGCTCCAGCCAAATGGATTTGCTGTTCTGCAAACAAGCTCTTCAGTCAGTCCCCCACCCCCATGCCTTTGTTCACACCATTTCATCTCCCTGGAATGTCCTTCCCCCACAGGCCCCTCCTCTCCTTCATCTCCTGTCTAAGCCTGCCTACACTTAAAGCCCATTCAGACGCCATGTCTTTCTGATGCTTCCCTGCTCCCCAGCTAAAGCGACCCAACTTTTCTTGATGCCCACAGCCCTTTACCTGACCATTCACAAGACTCACTGCTTCCTATCTCTTTAATGCTGAACTATGTCCACCACTTTACCCACTGTCTGGAGAGGCTCCTCTGGAGCACAGGAACTCAGAGTGATAGAACTTTGTGTTCCTAGTACCTAGCACATAGTAGGAGCTCAGAGAACATGCTGAGGGCACATATGGATTAGGAAATCACCAACCTCTCTTAGCAAGAATGCAGGAGTGAAGCTGAGCTCTTAGCCTACAGCCTGGATGAGGACCACTGAGTTCTACCCAACTGTTTGTTGGACAGAGAGGTGAATCAACTCACGATTCATCCAAAACAGTCATCTCCTGGGTTTGGCTACCACCTGAGCCCTTGGCCAACTCCTGATGCCTTAGCTAAGGCCGGGGGACAGCATCTTCCCCACCCCCACCTAGCATTACCATCCTGCTGACTTGGGTGGGTTTCTTAAGTTTCCCTCTCTGGCCTGCCGAGTTGCAGCCAGACGATGGCACACCAGCTGGCCTGTCTGTCTGGGCAGAGCCGACGGATGCCAGACGGAGCAGAAATGGCTGTGGGCCCAGCTCTATCCATCTCTAGTCCTGGCCCTGGCTGGGGGATGGGGGGGCGGGGTCTGCATGTCTGCTTGCCTGCTGGTGCTGCAGGCAGTAGGGCTGGGGGCCCTGATGGTCTCCAAAGATGAGGAGTTCTTTCAGATATGGTCTACTTCTTTATTACCAGCCACCATACCCTAGCGTGACCCATAGCCAGCTTTGGATCTCTGGGATATGGTTTGTACTCAGTCCAAAGGGTCTAAGAACACAGAAAGCAAGCCTTAGAGGGGCAAGGGACTGCAGAATATTTTAGACACATACCAACTGAATTCACCAAACCCCTCATTTCCACTTAGCAAGATTCCACTGCTCTTCAAAGTCCAATTCTCCAACAGTTGGGACTAACAGTCCTCAACTCATACTTCCCCAGGGGCCACAGCACTTTATAATAATATGCCATGTAGAAACTAGTTTTGAACATGTTCCACGTAACTGTGAGCTTCCTTAGTGCTTGAGACTTCCTGATTAATGGGTCAGGTGCCTGCCCACCATTAGCCTGGAGGTGGGGAGGAGAGGCCAAGAAGCCCTAAGAGGCAGCAATATGTTCTTGCCACTTTCCCTGGATGCCTTGGCAACTTGGCTCCATCAGGCCCCTGCCTTTTGGTCCAGCTGCTTTCTCCCTCATCCTGACCCAGATCCCCTCTGCAGTGGCCACTCACCACTTGCGCTTCATGTAGGCTGCTGCTCGGTTTCCATAAAGCATGGCATTGTGAGGGGCCCTCTGCACAGCCTTGCTGTAAAGCTGAATGGCTTGGGTCCACTGCTGGCAGGCAAAAGCCTCATTGGCTTGCTGTTTCACACGCTCCAGGTATGGTGGTAGCTCTACTTGGGGGCTGCAGGGGAAATAGAGCCAAGTCAGAACAGTCAAAGAAGGTCAGAGCAGCCCCTCAGGGAGTCTGTAACATGGCCTGAGGGCCACCCAGATTTTCTTGGCCCCTGGGATCTGACTGCTATCTGGAAGAGGGGACCACTACCCTGGTCTGGGATATTACCTATTACTGTGATAGGGAATACCATTTGGAATTTCATTCCAAATACCATTCCAAATACTCTCAGCCAGTGAAAAGAAGGGCAGAAATGAAGCTGTACTTCAACTCCTGGGCATGGTAGTAGCTGATACCACCTGCCTCCATGCTGAGCTGAACCTTATGACCACCCGAGTCCCTCCTGTGGATCGCTGTCTAGAGAACTCTATTTCTCTCAAGGCTAGGGAATTTGAGCGCCTCTGTATCCAAAGCCCAGCACAGAGGCTGGCAGAGAAAAGAGGCAAGGATATGCTATAGGATGGGGAATAATATAATGCGGAGGCCCATTTGTATGCAGCCCCTTTTTGGAGACAGCTCAGTGCTAAGAGGCAGCTAGCTCCTGAGTCCTGACCCCAGTTACTGGTACCAACAGGCTAGAGCTACAGTCTGACCATGACTAGTGTTCTGCCAGGCAGAGGGGCACTGGAAACACTAGGCACCCTCCAAGAAGGCTCTTTGCCTTGGTCCTCACTCTCTGGGATGCATGAGTGGGTGTGGGTCAGGAGGAAGATTTACAGGTTATGTCCCTCCCTCCAGTCCATATAGTGTAACTGGGGCTTGGAGGGCTGGACAAGCCAGCTGGCCTCACCTGACATGTCCCCTACTCTCCGGCAGCCGGAAGCCATTGCTATGAAGGTGCAGGCCATTGGACACACCGTTGGACACACCGTTGGTGGACATCTTGCCATTCTGGACTTCTGGCAGGAGATAGTGAGAAAGTGACAGCAACAACTCAGGAAGAGGACCCATTTCTTCCTGGCAGCCCTCTAGCTTCCATCACGGGGTCTGATGGTTCCATCGTGGGACTGTTCTCCCAGAGTAAGATCCATTCCCAGAAAGCAAGTTCTGACATAAAGAAAAGCCCGTGCGCCCTCTGCTGGCTGGCGAGGGACACAACTTCACCGTGGCATTACTCAGCTGGGGCTGGGGCTGGGGCTAGGGCTGGGGCTGGGGCTAGGGTTGGGGCTGGGGCTAGGGCTGGGGCTGGGGGTGGGAATGGAGTGAGGAGGTGCCTAAATCAACTGTAGGCCCCAGGAAGAAATCAATGAGAAGACTGGGCCAGGATACAAAGGAGAGGGGAACTATTTCAGGTTCTCAAGAGCCAAGCCATGGAAGGAACCTGTCTTTTCAGAGGGAAGCAAAAAGGGCAGTGATGCAAAGCTCTTGAAGAGATCTCTGCTCTATTGTCATCCTCTTTCTTACTGCATAGGTGGGGTTATTTCAGAGATCTGCTATTTTTGGAGGATCACGGTCCAGAGTAAAGGGCAGGCTTCTCAGCAGGTGTAGCATGCACTTAAGCTCCCCTACACCGCCGCAGTAGAGATACCCTAAGGGAGAACTTACCCCCCGAGGAGTGGCATTTTCTAGGCAAGAGGAAGGTGTACGGCCGCTGCTTGTAAGTCAAGTCAAACAAATAGACCTAGAGTTGAGGGGGGCAAAAAAAGAGATGGAAGCTGTGAGGTAAGGATGTGGTTGAACCAGTAAGCAGGTCTTGGTTTCTCAAGAACTAGAGTCTTGGAACACAGTGAGTGTTGAGCATAGAACAATCAAGCTATCCTAAGAGGTACTTCCAGCAAACCTCAGGCTGGAAAATCTTCCTAGCTCTAGCATTCAGGGTGGGCTATCTGATCTACCCAAAGTCCTGCTTGAAATACTATCATTAATTAGAATCACATTTGGCTGGGCATGGTGGCGTAGCCTGTAATCCTAGCACTTTAGGAGGCTGAGGCAGGAGGGTGGTTGCTTGAGCCCAGGAGTTTGAGACCAGCTTGGGCAACATGGCAAAACCCCGTCTTTACAAGAAATACAAAAACTAGCCAGGTGTGGTGGCGTGTGCCTGTGGTCCCAGCTACTCAGGAGGCTGAGGTGGGGGAATCACTTGAGCCTGGGATGTCGAGGCTGCAGTGACCTGAGATTGTACCACTGCACTCCAGCCTGGGTGACAGAATGAGACCCTGCCTCAAAACAAACAAACAAACAAACAAAATAGAAGGTCAGGTGCAGTGGTTAATGCCTGTAATCCCAGCATTTGGGAGGGTGAGGTGGGCGGATCACCTGAGGTCAGGAGTTCGAGACTAGCCTGACCAACATCGTGAAACCCCATCTCTACTAAAAATACAAAATTAGCCAGGCGTGGCATGTGCCTGTAATCCCAGCTACTTGGAAGGCTGAGGCAGGAGAATTGCTTAAATCCAGGAGGCAGAGCGGAGGTTGCAGTGAGCCGAGATCGCACCATTGCCCTCCAGCCTGGGCAACAAGAGCGAAACTCCAACTCAAAAAAAAAAAACAAAAAACACGTCACATGTTTAAAAAGATGAAGAAGTCCTCAAAGGTCACAAAGCCAAATGTTTACCCTAGCACTACTCCTGAGCTTTTCATGATTCCTTGGACAGGTCCAGGAATGTCTGGCTTATCCTCACCTATTCTGCATCCCGCTTCATTTGTATATATTTGGGCCTTGCCTTGTAATGTCATTAACTGTTTCGTTTGTCATGTCTCCCATCAGCCTGGGGATGGATCATATTTCCCACTTGTCTCTATTATATTTATAATAATGCGAGTCCCAGAGTAAGTGCTCAGTGTTGGTAGAGTAAATAAATGTATGCAAGGCTTACTAAATATCCTGAGAGCACACAAACAGAAGGTTTAGCAACCTGCCATTATCAAAGAACACTTCCCAAAGCTGGCACTAACCCACAGCTTGCTCTGAGCTGCATGCTCTGAGCCCCAGGGATTTCCTCCTAGGAAAATAGCAGACGAGGAAACTGAGGCTCAGAAAAATAAAGAGACTTGCTCAAAGTCACAGTAAACAGCTGCTGAACAGCAGGCCAGCATTTGAACAGAAGTCTGTCCATTCCAAAGCCTATATTCTTAACCAAAATGCCATACTATCATATTTCTATCTAGTTCATTAAGAAAAAATGAAATAAAAAGACTGAGCTAGGACATCTCTCTGGGAACTCCAATGATGCCACATCACCCCCACATTTCAATGTAACATCATTTACCATAAGGCTGTTGTGTCTTGTCTGCCTCAGCAGTGAACATAAGGTACATGCCCCTGGCTGCTGGGCATGGAATGGTGATGGGGCAGAACCACCTTATGCTGTACATACCTGTTCCCCCCCCATGTTGACTAGTAGCTCTGTGCCATTGGGGCTGAAGGTCACATAGGTGGCAACCAGCACTCTCAAACGGTTGTTGTAGTCAGGAAGCTTCACTGGCAGGTGACCTGCAGGGAATAGCCCAGTCATACTAGGGTCCCAGTCCCTTTCAAAGGGGCATGAGATTGTGTGAAGTCAGTCATATCAAAAATTATACCAATCAACTTTAGCATAAAAGCAGCTACAAGTGTTGAGCCCTTACTATATGCACTGGGCTAGTTGCTTTATATATTTTATCTCATTTAGTCATTATAACCCCATTTTACTTAACCTTGATGAGTTTCTTTTCTGTAATTTGCTGAAGGTGACATAGCTTGTCAATGGCAGAGTTGGGATTAAAACTCAGGTCTGTCTGACTCTAAAACCCTTGCTCTTGACCACCATGCCATGCTGTCTCCCTGGACTGCCCCCAAAAGAGTCAGCATCTAGCCGAGAGTTTGGGGCCAGAGCTGTGCTGAGCGCTACCTGCTACGTAATACTGGGCTGCACCGTCCGGAAGGGGTTTCTGCCGGTCACAGAAGGTGTGCACACCCGCTGAAGGGCTCTGCTTCATGCTCTTTCTGGTGGGAAGGAAAATCATATAGGTTAAAGTTACAGCACTGCCCCTGGCTAGACCAGACCACACTCACTAGACGAAAACTTACATTTGTATCTGAGACATACAGGAGGTATTTTTCCTCCTTACCTAAGCAACCCCAAAGGCCCACCAACTAGACAATTACAGACATATACATTACAGTGCTTTACCAGGTAGGTCCTATAAGCTGTCTGGGTCTTCATGACCATCTTATTTTTCCCATTTTACAAACAAGCAAGCTAAGGTTCAAGACCCGCTCCAAGCCATGCAGTGTGTGAGGGGCAGCAGTGGTCACCAAGCCCATGAATGAAAATAAACAGGCGACATTCCTGCATCCATCCCAAGAATCATGGAAAGCCCAGGCTGGAGAGGCAACTCAGGTCTGAGAGTGCTGTGGGGGTTCTGAGTGTTATAAGAACTAGCAGGAAATATTATATACAGTGATTTCTTTAAGAAAGACACTATAAGAGATTTATATAAGAAATTATAAGAATAAATAAATATAAGGAAATCATAAGGAATTTATGTAAGAGATTATGGGTAATTTATACTTTTTTTTTTTTTTTTTTAATTGAGACTGAGTCTCACTCTGCCACCCAGGCTGGAGTGCAGTGGCAGGATCTCTGCTCACTGCAAGCTCCGCCTCCCAGGTTGACGCCATTCTCCTGCCTCAGCCTCCCCAGTAGCTGGGACTACAGGCACCCGCCACCACGCCCGGCTAATTTTTTGTATTTTTAGTAGAGACGGGGTTTCACCGTGTTAGCCAGGATGGTCTCGATCTCCTGACCTCGTGATCCGCCTGCCTCGGCCTCCCAAAGTGCTGGGATTACAGGCGTGAGCCACCACGCCCGGCCTAATTTATACTTTTCATATTTTCCAACATAAGCGAGGATTAAGTTTTTTAAAAAATCACAAAATTGAAGAAAGTCCATTTCATAAAGAAGAAGGGGCCAGGCTGGGTGTGGTGGCTGACGTCTGTAATCCCAACACTTTGGGAGGCCGAGGCGGGCAGATCACCTGAGGTCAGGAGTTCAAGACTAGCCTGGTCAACATGGTGAAACCCCGTCTCTACTAATAATACAAAAATTAGCCAGGTGTGGTGGCAGGTGCCTGTAATCCCAGCTACTCGGCAGGACAACAGCTTGAACCCGGGAGGCAGAGGTTGCAGTGAGCTGAGATTGTGCCACTGCGCTCCAACACGGGTGACAGAGCAAGACTCTGTCTCAAAAAAAAAAAAAAAAAAAAAAGTAAAACAATAAATAAATAAATAAAAGAAGGGGCCAGGCACAGTGGCTCATGCTTGTAGTCCCAGCACTTTGGGAGGTCGAGGTGGAAAGATTGCTTTAGCTCGAGTTTGAGACCAGCCTGGGCAACAAGGAAAGACCCCGCCCCTATAAAAAAATTAAAAAATTAGCCAAGCGAGGTGGCGTGTGACTGTAGTCTCAGCTACTTGAGAGGCTGAGATGGGAGGATCGCTTGAGCCTGGGAGGTTGAGGCTGCAGTGAGCTGTGATAGAAGAAGAGGGCATGGCAATGGCAGTGAGGGAAAGGGGCAGTAGGTTCTCTGGGGACTTACTCACAGGAGACAGGAGGCTGAACTATTCATACCTGTGGTTATGGATCATGCGGATGTCATAGAGCCTCACGAAGGGCCCGCTGGCCCCAACTGCCAGGCAGTTGTTGTCCTGGGGGTTGACAGTGAGGCACTTGGCCTCCACCAGCTGGCCACAGTACTCTGTCAGGTCAATCAGCACCTCCGAGTGTTTGCTGTTCTCTCGAAGGTCATACTGGCTGTGAGAGAGGACAGAGTTAGGGAATTGGGGCTTGGGGTCCTTGAGAGGAAGGCAGGGGAAAAGATAAGTTCTTGTTATGCAAGAGGATTGGGAGGGACTTTGGACCTGTTTCTAAATAAGAATGTCAAAAACAACTCCCATTTCTTGAGTGTCCACAGTGTGCCAGGTACCTGTAGTAGGCTTCTCACACATTCTATTCTACTAGAACTCCTAAGGTGGATACTATTGTACATATTCTACAGATGTTAGTATTATTGCTACTATTATACTACTACTGATTACCAACACTTAGTGAAAATGTGCTTTATGTCCAGTATTGCCCCTTAATTAATTCCTAACGCCATCCCTAGGTATCATTAGAATACTGAAGTTCAAAGATGTTGAATAACCTGACTGAGATGACACTGCTAGTAAGTGCAGAGCTGGGGAAGCTTTCTGAGACTGCATCTTAAACACTGCTCCGTTCCTACCTAATCTAGTTTCTTTCATGAAACAAGGTATGGAGGTGACAGAAAAGAGACTCTGCAGATCATCTAAGAGCTATCTAGATATACCATGGGCCAAGGCAAGCCTAAAAGTCTCATCCACGCAGTAAAGGTAATGCCAAAAAGTCTACCAAACAGCAGCAAACTCCCACCGCTCCAGACGGGGAAACTTTGTGCTGCCAATACACAGGTATCCTCAGAGAGTGGTGGGTAGGGGGGACATCACCTATATGCTCTCCCCTCTTGCCTAGACATCTGTTATCACCTCTTTGCTGTTCACCTTGTCTTTCTAAGCCATCTTCACCAGGCTGCTCTTCCTAAAATATTATTTTACATCACTCTCCTGCTCAAAAAAATTGCAGAGATTCCTCAATACTTTTAGCACAAGTTTACTTTTACCAAACTCCTCAGTCTGGTTTTCAAGACTCAATTTCACATTTCTCTCCAACCTTATTCCTCAGTTTTCTAAATGTGGGTCAATTATAACTACAGAATTCTTTATCCTGCACATGCCATGTTTATTTCTGCCTTTGCAAACTCTGCTCAAGCTGGGGAATACACTCTGCTTTTCCTTGCTCATCCAAATCCTGTCTGTTCTGGAAGGCCCAGCTTATGTTCACCTTCTGCTAGGACACCTTCTCTGACTGTGCCTATGCCTAAACACTTAGGATCCTACCCAATGCGCTAGACGCTCCGCTTCTACCAGCTGGCCCTGGCAAAATCTGGTCAGCCAAGGTCAAAAAGTGCTACACAGAGTTGGACCTGCCACTGACAAAGTGCATTCTGTCTTCTGAGGTTCAGGGATGCAGTGACTTACCCCAGTCAAATACTGAGTGCGATTGCTAGGATTTGACCCCAGGTCTGTCTGACTTCACTGCCTTGCTCTTGACTATGTTATAATTTATATATGACTTAGATATTCCTCATCTGTAAAAGGAAAGAGGGCACAAAGTCCTACAGGAACTCAAGGGAGACAGATTAAAGCAGGCTGGGGAGATAAGAAAGAAGTTCTAAGGTCACAGCTGAAGAAAGGAGTTAAAGAAGGGCAACGACACCATTTTAGAATGAAGGGAAGTAGAGGCAAATGTGTAACAATGCAGGGCACTGGAAAAGGGGACAGTCCATTTTACCATTTCCGGGTGGCTTGCCCCCTCCCAGGTATATAGCCACTGACCAACTGTTCAAGAGAAATGTATCAAGCGGCTCTATGTGCCAGGCGCTGTGCTGGGCTCTAGGGATACAACCAAGAACAAGACAGACATGGAGTTGCTCTAAGAGAGTTTACTTTTACTATTTAGTGAGGATACAGACAAAAAAGTAAACCAATAAGTAAAAATAAAATAAGGCCAGGTGTGGTAGCTCACACCAGCAATCATAGCACTGTGGGAGGCCGAGGTGGGAGGATCACTTGAGCCCAGGAGTTTGAGACCTGCCTGGGCAACACAGAGAAACCCCATCTCTACAAAAAAAATAGAAAAATTAGCCAAGCATGGTGGAGCGTGTCTGTAGTCCCAGGTATTCAGGAGGCTGAGGTGGGAGAATCGCCTGAGCCCAGGAAGTCAAGGCTGCAGTGAGCCATGATCACGCCACTGCACTCCAACCTCGGCAATAGAATGGAGTGAGACCCTGTCTCAGAAAATAAATTAATTAGCTCCCTCTCCCTCTCCCCCTCCCCCTCCCCACGGTCTCCCTCTCCCTCTCCCCACGGTCTCCCTCTCCCTCTCTTTCCACGGTCTCCCTCTCCCTCTCTTTCCACGGTCTCTCTCTGATGCCGAGCCGAAGCTGGACTGTACTGCTGCCATCTCGGCTCACTGCAATCTCCCTGCCTGATTCTCCTGCCTCAGCCTGCCGAGTGCCTGCGATTGCAGGCGCGTGCCGCCACGCCTGACTGGTTTTCGTATTTTTTTGGTGGAGACGGGGTTTCGCTGTGTTGGCCGGGCCGGTCTCCAGCTCCTAACCGCGAGTGATCCGCCAGCCTCGGCCTCCCGAGGTGCCGGGATTGCAGACGGAGTCTCGTTCACTCAGTGCTCAATGGTGCCCAGGCTGGAGTGCAGTGGCGTGATCTCGGCTTGCTACAACCTCCACCTCCCAGCCGCCTGCCTTGGCCTCCCAAAGTGCCGAGATTGCAGCCTCTGCCTGGCCGCCATCCCGTCTGGGAAGTGAGGAGCGTCTCTGCCTGGCCGCCCATCGTCTGGGATGTGAGGAGCCCCTCTGCCTGGCTGCCCAGTCTGGAAAGTGAGGAGCGTCTCTGCCCGGCCGCCATCCCATCTAGGAAGTGAGGAGCGTCTCTGCCCGGCCGCCCATCGTCTGAGATGTGAGGAGCGCCTCTGCCCGGCCGCGACCCCGTCTGGGAGGTGAAGAGCGTCTCTGCCCAGCCGCCCCGTCTGAGAAGTGAGGAGACCCTCTGCCTGGCAACCACCCCGTCTGAGAACTGAGGAGCCCCTCTGCCCGGCAGCCGCCCCGTCTGAGAAGTGAGGAGCCTCTCCGCCCGGCAACCACCCCGTCTGGGAAGTGAGGAGCCCCTCTGCCCGGCCAGCCGCCCCGTCCGGGAGGTGAGGGGCGCCTCTGCCCGGCCGCCCCTACTGGGAAGTGAGGAGCCCCTCTGCCCAGCCAGCCGCCCCGTCCAGGAGGGAGGTGGGGGGGTCAGCCCCCTGCCCGGCCAGCCGCCCCGTCCGGGAGGGAGGTGGGGGGGTCAGCCCCCCGCCCAGCCAGCCGCCCCGTCCGGGAGGGAGGTGGGGGGGGGGTCAGCCCCCCGCCCGGCCAGCCGCCCCGTCCGGGAGGTGAGGGGTGCCTCTGCCCGGCCACCCCTACTGGGAAGTGAGGAGCCCCTCTGCCTGGCCACCACCCCGTCTGGGAGGTGTACCCAACAGCTCATTGAGAACGGGCCAGGATGACAATGGCGGTTTTGTGGAATAGAAAGGGGGGAAAGGTGGGGAAAAGATTGAGAAATCGGATGGTTGCCGTGTCTGTGTAGAAAGAAGTAGACATGGGAGACTTTTCATTTTGTTCTGTACTAAGAAAAATTCTTCTGCCTTGGGATCCTGTTGATCTGTGACCTTACCCCCAACCCTGTGCTCTCTGAAACATGTGCTGTGTCCACTCAGGGTTAAATGGATTAAGGGCGGTGCAAGATGTGCTTTGTTAAACAGATGCTTGAAGGCAGCATGCTCATTAAGAGTCATCACCACTCCCTAATCTCAAGTACCCAGGGACACAAACACTGCAGAGGGCCGCAGGGTCCTCTGCCTAGGAAAACCAGAGACCTTTGTTCACTTGTTAATCTGCTGACCTTCCCTCCACTATTGTCATATGACCCTGCCAAATCCCCCTCTGCGAGAAACACCCAAGAATGATCAATAAAAAAAAAAATAAATAAATAAAAATTAATTAATTAATAAAAATAACTACAGGTGGCAATTAGAGTTACAGAGGATATAATTGTTAAAACAAGCATAACGTCTGTCTACTTTAGACAGGATGGTCAGAGAAGGTGCTTCTGAAGAGGTAACTGAAGCTGATCTCCTTAGGATAAGAAAGAGTCCGACATGGGAAGAGCTGGGGACAGAGAATCTCAAGTAGAGGAAAGAGTAACGTGAATGCCCAGAGGCAGTAGAGACCCTGGACACCTGAGGTGGTGAGAAAAAGCTTGTGGGCCTAGAGGTAGTACAAAGGAGGGCAAAGAGGGAGGAAGGTGAGGGCGGAGTAAGCAAATGTTCCCAGTGGAGTTTGTACACAGACAACTGCCCTGGGCAGACAAAGGAGGTTGGACCTCTGCTGGAGGGAAAGAGCTAGGTCTGTAGAAGGAAACACTATAGGATGATGGGATGGGGGAGCGACAGGCTCCACTAGATGCCCCAGACTCTTACCGGATAAGCCCATCCTCAGCAGCACTCCAGAATGTGTTGGGCCACATGGGCGCTGTGGCGATGCGCTTCACCCGGTTTGTGTGGTCTCCAAACATGTGGATGGTCTCCTTTACTGTCAGGTCGTGCACATGCACCTTAGAGTCGGCTGCCCCCGTGATCAAGATGCGGTCCCCAGCGTGAGGCAGGAACTATATAGGAGAAATGGAGGAAGGGGTGGGTGGTAAGAGTAGAAATGGCCACGGAAGGAGGCTAGCCTGGATGTCTGCACCCTTTTCTCTCTCCATGTCAGATAAGAGAATGAGCCCATGCAGGCTGGGCGCGGTGGCTCATGCCTGTAATCCCAGCTGCTCAGCAGGCTGAGGCAGGAAAATCCCTTGAACCCAGGAGGCAGAGGCTGCAGGAAGCCAGAGGCTGCAGTGAGCCGAGATTGTGCCACTGCACTCCAGCCTGGGCAACAGAGCGAGACTGTCTCAAAAACAACAACAACAACAAAAAACAAAACAAACCCTTGAGGTTCAGCAGTAATATACAGCAAGATTGTGTTCAAGCCCAAGTCTGTCTGACTCCCACATGCCCTACTTGCCTCATTATGACTACTTAGTAACCTAGAGATTAAGTAATAAATTAGTCCTGAAGTGAAAAAGACTTTGAGTGTTTAAGGGAATGGGTGTGTGTGGGTTTTTTTTGTTTTTTTTTTTTGAGACAGCGTCTCGCTCTGTCACCCAGGCTGGAGTGCAGTGGTGCAATCTCGGCTCACTGCAACTTCCACCTCCCGGGTTCAAGCGATTCTCCTGTGTCAGCCTCCTGAGTAGCTGGGATTACAGGTGTGCACCACCACGCCCAGCTAATTTTTGTATTTTTAGTAGAGACAGGGTTTCACCATGTTGGCCAGGCTGGTCTCGAACTCCTGACCTCAGGTGATCCACCTGCCTTGGCCTCCCAAAGTGCTGGGATTGTAGGCATGAGCCAGAATGCCCTGTTGGGAGTGAGTGTTTTAAATTAGTTTGACTGCTTCTGAAAAACAATCTGGTAATAGTAACAAAGATTAAAAACAATTTCTAGTTTTTGACTCAAAACTTCCACTTCCAAGAAATAATCCAGGCCAGGCGTGGTGGCTCATGCCTATAATCCCAGCACTTTGGGAGGCTGAGGCGGGCAGATCACAAGGTCAGGAGATCCAGACCATCCTGGCTAACACGGTGAAACCCCGTCTCTACTAAAAATATAAAAAAATTAGCCGGGCGTGCGCCTGTAGTCCCAGCTACTCGGGAGGCTGAGGCAGGAGGATGGTGTGAACCCAGGAGGCAGAGCTTGCAGTGAGCTGAGATCACGCCACTGCACTCCAGCCTGGGCAACAGAGCGAGACTCCATCTCAAAAAAAAAAAAAAAAAAAAGGAAATAATCCAAAAAGAAAAAAGGGACCTGGTCAGAAATGCTTGGATGCCTCTTATAATAGCAAATATTGGAAACAGCTCAAATGTTGGACAATAGGGAAGGGCTGAGCATCAAGAGGATACATCTCTATGCAGTATTTATTAAAAAAAAAAACAAAAAAAACCGGCCAGGTGCCGTGGCTCACACCTGTAATCCCAACACTTTGGGGGGCCGAGGTAGGCGGATTACCTGAGGTCAGGAGTTTGAGACCACCCTGGCCAACATGGTGAAACCCCGTCTTTACTACAAAAAAAATTAGCCGGATGTGGTGGTGTGCACCTGTAATCCCAGCTGCTCGGAAGGTTGAAGCAGGAGAATCACTTGAAGCCGGGAGGTGGAGGTTGCAGTGAGCTGAGATGGCATCACTGCACTCCAGCATGGGTGACAGAGCAAACAAGACTCCATCTCAAAAAAAAAAAAAAAAAAAAAAACCACCATCCTGATAAAGGCAAGAACAAAATACTCCAGATGACATCTGATAAGAAAAAAACAGCTGCAACCATAGCTTCAAATAATGAAAAAAGAAAGTATGCAGTTCTGGGCTGGGCGCTGTGGCTCGCACCTGTAATCCCAGCACTTTGGGAGGCGGAGGCAGGTGGATCACCTGAGGTCGGGAATTCAAGATCAGCCTTACCAACATGGAGAAACCCTGTCTCTACTAAAAATACAAAAAATTAGCCGGGTGTGGTGGTGTATGCCTGTAGTCCCAGCTACTCGGGAGGCTGAGGCAGCGGTGAGCCGAGATCTTGCCACTGTACTCCAGCCTGGGCAACAAGAGCGAGACTCTGTCTCAAAAAAAAAAAAAGAAAAGAAACAAGAAAGAAAGTATGTAGTTCTATCACATAACTTTGAGGATAAAAAATATTTGGGAGTGGTGTTGAATTCTCGTGTGAGTTCAAAAAATTGAAATATCTTTTTTTTAAAATTGAAAAGTTCCTCCCTACCCACAACAAGGCTGAGTGGTAGTGTTGGGGGAGGGGCAATGTCCTACACTGAAACAGCTGATGTCCCACTTGACTTTAAATGTTCACAAAGAACAACAATTCACTCTTTCCACATAGGCTTCTCTAAGGGCCATTAGAACAAGGTCTAGCCAGGCACTGTGGCTCATGCCTGTAATCCCAACACTTTGGGAGGCTTAGGTGGGTGGATAACCTGAGGTCAGGAGTTCGAAACTGGCCTGGCCAACATGGTGAAACCCTATCTCTACTAAAAATACAAAAATCTGCCAGGTGTGGTGGTGCACACCTGTAATCCCAGCTACTTAGGAGGCTGAGGCACAAGAATCGCTTGAACCCAGAGGCGGAGGTTGCAGTGAGCCAAGATTGTGCCAACTGCACTCCAGCCTGGGCGACATTCAGAGTAAGACTCACCCTCAAAAAAAAAAAAAAAAAAAAAAGACCAAGGTCTAGATGAAATAGACATGATTTAATTATTTTAGGGACAACCAGTAGTCTTTAATCCTGTCTAGAGACGGCATACACTCAATGCACAGCAGAAATAAACTGGGGAGCCCTTGTCATGATCTTGTGGCTGCTGCCACACGCATCACACACCATAGTCACCACCAGGGGGAGCGCATGAGTTAAATACATATACATCTGCAGTGTTTCCACTACCTAAAGAAAGAAGAATCCTTTTCAGGTT
Source organism: Homo sapiens (assembly GCF_000001405.40). NCBI lineage: Eukaryota > Metazoa > Chordata > Mammalia > Primates > Hominidae > Homo > Homo sapiens. The sequence continues at coordinate 27,284,780 of NC_000001.11, read as the reverse complement.
GTTTTTTTTTTTTTAAATAGAAGAGGAGGCTGACAGTCTGCATGTAAGTGCCGTTCCCAAGGTCTTACCGTTAGGGAGTATCAAGACCATTATGAAATTCTGGTGTTAGAAATCAATGTCTTGTGCTCTGATGCTAAACTAATGGCTTAGGTCCCCTTCCCCAGGCCTGACTGTGCAGACTAAAATTGGACCTAAACTCTTTGCAGGGGAAGAAAGCAGTTTCCGTTAGTCATATAAGAGGTAAATCATCATTGTTCTGTCTCTAAAGGCGAGAATCATAGCTTGAGAAGAAAAAAGGGTTTAGGAAAACAAGTAGGTTTGGAGCTATCATCTTGTTCAGGTATCTTGTAATTCCTCTTGATATTAATTACGAAAATATTTCTTAGAATAGTGAGGGTTTCCGAAGGACAACTTCATTCTCACATCTATCCATTATAGAATCTCAGAGCTGGAAAGGCCCTTCCTTGCAGGCCATTTCTTCCAACTTTAAATCTTGGAGATAAAGCACCTGGCGAGTGGACAAGTGCAGGGATAGGACATTTACTCATCTCCTCCAGGGGCCCATTCTACATTTTTCAAAGAGCTCTAAGCATTAGACAGTTCTTTCTTTCCTCAGGCCCACATTTAATTCTGTGGACTTACAGCCACTAGTCCTAGGTCTGTTTTCCACAACAAAAAAACATGTCTCATGTCATTTCCAGGGCTTCAACAGAGCTTCAAAGGTCTGAAGACACTTGTAAGTCCCCTTCTCACCTCTCCTCCGCTCAACTCCCCTCCTCCAACAAATCAAAATATTCATTTCCTATGAAGGGGTAGAACAGATAAAAAGCACTGGGCACAGACTTTATTTTTATCAATTATCTCATTGAACTGTCACATCAACCTTGTAGACTGTTATTTCCTTTTAAAAAAATTAATTTGTTTACAAATCTGGGAGATTTTCCTTCGCTGCTTCCTTTTTTACAGATGAGCAAACAGGCTCAGACAGGTCAGGTGATTTGCCCAGGTCACACAATGCCCAAGAAGCAGATAAGGGAGTCAAACCCAGGTATGCCTGCTCTCTAAGTTCACGTTCAGAACCATACCCCCACCACTACCATTCACATAAAGATAAATTCATCTAGAATTGGCCGCTTAGCTCTAAAAGAGGAAGAAGAACATGGAAGAGAAATGAGGTTTCAGGAATCACCAACAGATACTTAGATCATAAGGTTGTCTGTGACCCTAGACGGTATATGGGACACACACATACCAACATGGCGTGGCCACAGCCCAGTCACTCTTGTGCTTGATCTGTGGCTTGTGCTTGCTCTGTGGCTTGTCCTGCTCACCTTGACAGAGAAGATATTTGCGGTGTGTCCCGTGTGCATGGAGAGCAGCTTCTTGTGGTGCAGCGGGTCCCACACAATCGTGTGCTGGTCATCGGAACCAGAGGCCAGCAAGCTGAAAGCAGAGTGAGGGATTGTGATCTCTCCTCAAATTCCTAGGCTCCCTTTCCCCATCCCATGTTCTCAGTTTACAAGGAGTTAGGTTACAGAATTTGAAGAACAGTAAATGTCACAGAATTTAAGGTTGCCTTGTAAACAGCTGATTCTCTTCTATTTTGTCCTGAGAAATTTCCATTATTCTTTTTTTTTTTTTTGAAATGGAGTCTCGCTCTGTCCCCCAGGCTGGAAGTGCAGTGGCGCGATCTCGGCTCACTGCAAGCTCCGCCTCCCAGGTTCACGCCATTCTCCTGCCTCAGCCTCCTGAGTAGCTGGGACTACAGGCGCCCGCCACCACACCCGGCTAATTTTTTGTTTTTTTGTAGAGACGGGGTTTCACTGTGTTAGGCAGGATGGTCTCAATCTCCTGACCTCGTGATCCACCCGCCTCGGCCTCCCAAAGTGCTAGGATTACAGGCGTGAGCCACTACGCCCGGCCAAGAAATTTCTATCATTCTTAAACACATTGGCTTATTAAAAAAACAGGGTTTTGGGCCGGGCGCGGTAGTTCATGCCTGTAATCCTAGCACTTTGGGAGGCTGAGGCAGGTGGATTGCCTGAGCTCAGGAGTTTGAGACCAGCCTGGGCAACATGGCAAAACCTCGTCTCTACTAAAAATACAAAAAATTAGCCAGGCATGGTGGCGCATGCCTGTAGTCCCAGTTACTTGGGAGGCTGATTAAGGAGAACCGCTTGAACCTGAAAGGCGGAGGTTGCAGTGAGCCAAGATCACGCCATTGCACTCCAGCCTGGGTGACAGAATGAGACTCTGTCTCTAAAACAAAACAAAACAAAACAAAACAGGGTTTGGATGGTCATCCAACTTTCCATCTATCTGAGATTGTTTAATTGTGTTGAAAATTATGGGCTAAGCTGAAGAACGGCAGACAGCAGCAGTCTCTTTTCATTTGGGTCCAATCTTTTCCTTGGATCCTCTCAGGAGGAGCCTTGCTGTTCCACCCTCCTTACTTCCTTCCCCAGCACCCTTCAGGTGCTCTAGCTCATACTTACTCTCCTTTCTCATTCCACTCCAGACAGTTGACACATCCTGAGTGACCCTGGGGGAGCAAATGAAGAGACAGGAAGAGAGTTGGTTAGGGGTTCTCCTGGGGAACTCAACACCAAGAAGTGGAACTGAACAGGTAAACCAGTCTTTCCATTTTCAATATTTTCCAAGTGCATGTGAGTGGCCAAAGTGGACTTAAACTGACTAGCGTCTTACAATATATAAAGTACTTTCATATTCATGATCTCACTTGATACTGGGCACTTCTGAGCCATAAAGGACAAGTTTCATTGATCCCGTTTTGCAGAAAAGTAAACTGAAGTTCAGACAGTAGAAAGCAGTAAAAGTGAGATCCAAACACATTTCTGCTTTTACCATTAGAAGGAGTATGTCAGCCAGGCACAGAGGCTCACACCTGTAATCCTAGTGCTTTGGGAGGCTGCCCAATCTGCTTTGGGCAGATTGCTTGAGCTCAGGAGTTGTAATCAACCTGGGCAACACGGCGAAACCCCATCTCTACAAAAAACACAAAAATTAGTTGGGTGTGGTGGCATGTGCCTGTAGTCCAAGCTACTCGGGAGGCTGAGGTTGGGAGGATGACTTGAGCCTGGGAGGTGGAGGTTGGAGTGAGCTGAGATCGCACCACTGCACTCCAGCCTGGGCGACAGAGCCAGACCGTGTCTCAAACAAAACAAAACAAAAACAGAAAAAGAGATATGTCTGAAACAGTACCTTCAAGGGATACCCTCTCAGTCACAGAAAATTTGCCAGGAAACATTCAATCCAAGGACAGCCAATTAACTAGAAGGCTAATCTTTTATTCACCCAGCATTTTTTTTTTTTTTTTTTTTGAGACAGAGTCAGGCTGGAGTGCAGTGGCATGATCTCAGCTCACTGCAACCTCCGCCTCCTGGGTTCATGCCATTCTCCTGCCTCAGCCTCCTGAGTGGCTGAGACTACAGGCGCCCGCCAACACGCCAGGCTAATTTTTTGTATTTTTAGTAGAGACAGAGGTTTCACCGTGTTAGCCAGGATGGTCTCGACCTCATGATCCGCCCGCCTCGGCCTCCCAAAGTGCTAGGATTACAGGCGTGAGCCACCGCGCCCAGCCTCACACGGCAAATTATTCATCAAGCACCTACTGCATGCCAGGTACTGTTCAGATGCTGGGGGTACAGGAGTATAAAAAACTCCTTGGATCTTCCAGAGCTTAATTCAAATAGGTAGAGCCTGGTGCAGTAAGGTAAATTAGGTCAGAGTCTTTATCTTGGGGATTTGAAAAAAAAGAGAGAGAGACTCTGTCTCAAAAATAAAATAAAATAAAATAAAAATAAGAAAAAGAAAAAGGAGAGAGATACCAAACAAACCCAGAAAAAAACAGGAATGTCAGGCTTTAGGAAGAGGCTTAAAGGATCTTTGAGAACATTTTCTGACTTTCAGGCAAAGCCTGTGATCCAGTTTGTGTAGCTACACATAAGGACCCTCTCTTAACTACAACCCAGTGAGATTCATCATATACACATTTAACGTACCTGCTGACTTCAGGCCTAAACCCTTGTGTAATGAGGCTCAACCTAAAGGGTCAATGTCAAAGAGCATGAAAGTTACAGATATTTAATGAAGCCTCCACAAAAAATGCCAACTAGGAAAGACAGGAAGCAGACAGCCAAGTGCTTCTCTCTAACTTCTTAAAAAACAGCATGAATGAGTCTGAACAAGCAAGATTTAGATTAAAATCCAGCAAAATTAACAGAACACTTACTAAATGCCAGGGTAGATGCTAAGCTTTCACTTTTGTCAATTTATTTAAGCTTCACAATACACATACTTATTACCATGTATTAAGGTTATGTAGGTGCAATATTTTAACAGAATGGAGTAAGTTCTGACAGCAAATAAAACTTTAAAAAATTCCTCACTCACTCTCCATTGACTTAATGATATGTTGTCTTAAAGTCAGAATGATTTGAATATCCAGACATTTCCATAAAATCTTTTCTTTTGTTCCTTCTTTAATCCAGCTCAATGTTTTCTCAAATTTTAGTGTGCCTAAGAATTACTTATATGGAGTAGTAATAATTATAAGAATAGGTAAACTTAGCTTACTATGTGTCAGGCCCTGTCCTAAGTACTTCACATAATTACCCTTGAAAATCCATTAAGTTGTCCATAAAATACAACAAATATCATTTTATGTGTACAAGCTGTATTTCCTTGAGCAAGTTCTTTAACCTCTCTGTGTCTCAGGCTCTACATCAGTAAAAAAGATAATAATTGTAGATAGCCTCATAGGGTTGTTGTGGGAAATGAACAGTATTTGTAAAGCACTTTGAGTGGTTACTTTGATAGCTGAGTGGCAGAATCAGAAATAAAATCCAAATATGTCTTTTCCATTGCACCAAGAGAGTTCAAGACTTACAGCACAGGCTGGGCATGGTGGCTCACACCAGTAATCTCAGCACTTTGGGAGGCTAGGCAGGAGGATTGCTTGAGCCCAGGAGTTGGAGACTAGTCTGGACAACATAGTGAGATGCTAGCTCTACAAAAATTTAAAAAATTAGCCAGGTGTGGTGGCGTGCACCTGTAGTCCCAGCTACTGGGGAGGCTAAGGTGTGAGGATCACTTGAATCCGGGAGGTGGAGGCTACAGTGAGCCATGATCACGTCACTGCACTCCAGCCTGGGCAACAGAGCAAGGCTCTGTCTCACAAAAACAAAAACAAAAAAATCCCAAGAAACAAAAAATGTAAGCACAGCCCAATGTGAACTATATTGGAGAAAGAAAAATCCTCCTAAAAGTCATGAAAAGGAGCGATTATATTTCTGGTCGGGCTCCAGCGATCCTCCCACCCCAGCCTCCTGAGTAGCTGGGACTAGAGATGCGTGCCACCACACCTGGTTAATTTTTGTATTTTTTGTGGAGATGGGGTTTTGCCATGTTGACCAGGCTGGCTGGTTTTGAACTCCTGGGCTCAAGTGATCTGCCTGTCTCAGCCTCTCAAAGTGCTGGGATTACATGCGTGAGCCACTGTGTCCGGCCTTAATTCAATCTTTTAACAATTATTCAAGCACCTATTATATACTAGGCATTCTTACACATGCAAAGGTTGTTGTGGCAATTAAGAGAACTCTAGTAGGGTAAGAGAGAAAATAAACAAACATATAAATCAGTAAGATGAATTCAGATGGTACTAAGTGTGATGAATATATGTTATTTATTTTTATTTTTTGAGACAGTGTATTACTGTGTCACCCAGGCTGGAGTGCAGTGGCGCAATCTCAGCTCACTGCAACGTCCACCTCCCAGGTTCAAGTAATTCTCTGCCTCAGTCTCTCAAGTAGCTGGGGTTCGAAGCACACATCACTGCACCTGGCTAATTTTTGTATTTTTAGTTGAGACGGGGTTTTGCCATGTTGGCCTTGGCCTCCCAAAGTGCTGGGATTACAGGCATGAGCCACCATACCTGGCCTGGATATACTTTAGATATAGTGGTCAGGGAAAGCCGCTCTGAGGAATTAATATTTGAGGTGAAATCTGAATGCTGAGAAGTAGCAAGTTACATAAAGATGTGAAGGAAAAGCATTTCAGGCATATGGAATAATGAGTATAAAAATAACAGGCCTGATAATGCCAAAGAAACAGAATGAAAGCCAATGTGGTTAGAGCATTGTGATGAAGGGGACAGAGTAAGATGAGCAAGATGGGCTCAGGGAGGTGAGCAGAGGCCAGATCCTAAGGGTGTTTTACAGGTCATGGCAAGAAGCTTCATGGGGCCAGGAATTGTGTTGGTCTTATTCACTGCTATATTATTTTCCCAGTGTCTAGAACATTTCTGTCATATAGTAGGCATTCAATATTTGCTTGAAAATATGACTGAATTAATGAATAGTTCCTAGTTCTGCCCTCTGGTACTTCAAAGCATGAGTTTACTCCATCATCTAAAGCAGAGGTCAGCAATCTTTTCTGTAAAGGCTCAGATAGTAAATATTGTAGGTCTTGCAGGCCATATGGTCTATATCACTACTACTCAATTCTACCATTGAATCACTAGAGCAAACATAAGCAATACATAAGTGAGTATGCTGTGTTCCCATAAAACTTTACTTATAAAAACAGGTGGCAATAAATTTGAATTTAAAGCTCATATGGGCCAGGTGTGGTGGCTCACGCCTGTAATCCCAGCACTTTGGGAGGCTGAGTTGGGCTGATCATTTGAGGTCAGGGGTTTGAGACCAGCCTGGCCAACATGGTGAAACCCCATCTCTACTAAAACACAAAAAAAATTAGCTGGGTGTCATCATGCATGCCTGTAATCCCAGCTACACAGGAGGCTGAGGCAGGAGAATCGCTTGAAACCAGGAAGTGGAGGTTGCGGTGAGCCAAGATCATGCCACTGCACTCCAGCCTGGGCAACAGAGTGAGACTCTGTCTCAAAAAATTTTTTTCAAATTAAAATAAAATAAAGCTCATATGGAAATACCAGAGACCCAGAATAGACAAAACAATCTTGAAAAATGAACAAAGTTGAAAGACTCATACTTCCCAATTTTATAACTTACTACAATGCTACAGCAATCAAAACAGTGTGGTACTGGCATAAGAATAGACATTTAGATCAATGGACTAGAGTTGAGAGTTCATAAATACATCCTTAAATTTACAGTCAATTGATTTCTGATAAGAGTATCAAGACAGGCTGGGAACAGGGGCTTGTACCTATAATCCCAGCTATTTGGGAGACTAAGACAGGAAGATCACTTGAGACTAAGAGTTTGAGACCAGCCTGTGCAACATAGCCAGACTCCGTCTCTTAAAAAAAAAAGAGTGTCAAGCAATTAAGTAGAAGGAAAGAATAGTCTTTTTAGCACATGGTGCCAGGACAAGTGGATGTCCACATGTAAAAGAATGAAGTTGGATCCTTACCTCACACCATACATAAAAATTAATTCAAATGGATCAAAGACCTACATATAAAATCTAAAACTACAAAACTCTTAGAAGAAAACACAGGTGTATATATTCATGACCTTGGATTAGGCAATGTTTTTTAAGACACAACACCAAAAGCACCAGCAACAAAAGAAAAAAAGTTTAGTTGGGCATGGTGGTGTGCGCCTGCAGTCCCAGCTACTCAAGAGGGTGAGATGGGAGGATTGCTTGAGCCTGGGAGGGTAAGGCTGCAGTAAGCCATGACTGTGCCACTGCACTCCAGTGAGGGTTACAGAGACAGATCCCATATCAATTAAAAAAAAAAAATAAAACATAAATTGAATTTCATTAAAATTAAAACTTTTATGCAAAGTCACCATTTAAAAATGAAAAGACAACACACAAAGGAAAAGAAACAAAATTTCAAATCATACATATCTTATAACTCAACAATAAAAAAGGACAACCCAATTAAAAAATGAGTGAAGCATCTCAACAGACATTTCTCCAAAGAAAATACACAAATATGACAACAAGCACATGAAAACATGCTCAACATCATTAGTCATTAGGGAAATGAAAATCAAAACCACAATGAGATACCACTTCACACCCACCAGGAGGGCTATAATAAAAAAAAAATTTTTTTTTCTTTTCTTTTTTTTTTTCGAGACGAAGTCTTGCTCTGTCACCCAGGCTGGAGTGCAGTGGCGCAATCTCGGCTCACTGCAATCTCCTCCTCCTGGGTTCAAGCAATTCTCCTGCCTCAGCCTCCCAAGTAGCTGGGACTACAGGTGTGTGCCACCACACCTGGCTAAGTTTTGTATTTTTAGTAGAGATGGGGTTTCACTGTGTTAGCCAGCATGGTCTCAATCTCCTGACCTTGTGATCTGCCTGCTTCGGCCTCCCAAAGTGTGGGATTATAGGCATAAGTCACCGCGCCTGGCCTATAATAAAAAATATTGATAATAAGAAGTGTTGGCAAGGATGCAGACAAATTGGAACCCTCACACATTTCTGGTGGGAATGTAAAATGGTGGTACCACTTTGGAAAACAGTTTGGCAGTTCCTCAAAAAAGTTAAACACTGAGTTACCATATGACCCAGCAATTCCACCCTTCGGTATATACCAAGAAAAGTGAAGAAAACATGTCCACACAAAAACTTGTACATGAAGGTTCATAGCAGCATTATTTATAATAGCCAAAAAATAGAAACAACCACATGTTCCACCAACTGATGAATGGATAGACAGAATGTGGTACATCCAAATGATGGAATGCTATTTGGCCGCAAAAAAGAGAAGTACAGATTCATACTATAACATAGATGAATCTTAAAAGCATTATGCTAAAAAGCCACACACTTTATAATTTCATTTACGTGAAATGTTCAGAATAGGAAAATCCATTGCAACAGAAAATAGATTAGTGGTTTCTGGGGTAGGGCCAGTATGGGAGAAGGAAGTGACTGCTAAGATGGGTAAGAGGTTCCTTTTTGGGGTGATGAAAACATCCTGGAATTAGATAGCAGGGATGGTTGCAAAACTTTGTGAGTATAGTTTGTGAATAGTCAAAACCACTCAATTAAATAAAATAACAAACAAGCAAACAGGCGACATTCTGGATTTGGCCCACTGGCCACAAATTGCTGATCTGGATTTAAAGGACAGTCCTCACGAAAGGAAATCTCTCACAAAGTCAGATCCCCGCTCCATCTTTTTCTTTATTTTTTTTTTTTTTTTGAGACAGAGTCTCACTCTGTCGCCCAGGTTAGAGTGCAGTGGTGCAATCTCGGCTCACTGCAACCTCCGCCTCCTGGGTTCAAGCAATTCTCCTGCCTCAGCCTCCCAAGTGCTGGGATTACAGGTGCCTGCCATCATGCTTGGCTAATTTTTCGTATTTTTAGTAGAGAAGGGGTTTCACCATGTTGGCCAGGCTGGCATCTTTTTCTTTAAACATGACTGTTTAATGAACTTGGTATCTAGTTTACTTCTCTAAAATGGTATTACCTTAAAAAGCTCTGACAAGTCTTTGTTAGAATAAGGTTACACTATGCCCATGGAACTGCTCTGGTCTACCAAAGCTATTCACAAAGGAAATCAATCTAGTTTCATATGACTTGTTTCCATAAATTCATAATTTGAATGTATGCTAAAATAATATAAGAAACAAAATGGAAAAAGCAAGCAGGCCAGATTGTAAAGGTGAGATAGATACATAATGTTTGCAATTGTTTAAGGATAATATGAAGAAAACTAATAAGGCAAGAGAATAAATCCACCAAGCCAGGAACTATCTATTAAGCCATTTTTAAAACAGACATATGGTTGAGGTGGAAAGGATATGAACTCTGCAGCCAGATAAGCCTGATATAAATCTTTTAAATCTTATTTCTACCACTTATCTGACCTTAGAAATGCTGAGTTTTACTCTGATTTGTAAAGTGAGATTCCTTTCTTCTTCTCTCTACCATGTGTCTAATACGGTGCCAAGAAATCCCACAAGTGAATGAAATAGCAGGAATCAAAGTGTGATCACAACTTCCAAGGTGATCTTGGGAGATCCCTGGTAATACATACAAAATGAAAGCAAGCAACTCCCCAAAAAAGTGAGGACTGCAGGCCATGGCTGGAATCCCAGGATATTTGGTTCTTGTCAGTTGTGACAATAAAACTCATGAGATGAGCTGGCACATGTAACTAAAGAGGGATGTGGAATGCTCAGCAAAAATGTCCAAGGAAAGTGGAAAACTGATTGGGTCTTATATACTAGAACGGCTTAAATTAATCCTCATTAATTTAAATTTAAATTGTTTAATCTCAACCTCCCTTCTGGCTCTCTTACTTGGTTGCTGCCACTACAACAGTTCTTTGTATTTTCTTTTACTTTTAAAAAATGTTTTATGGAGATGGGGTCTTGCTGTGTTGCCCAGGCTGGTCTCAAACTCCTGGCCTCAAATGATTCTCCTGACTGCCAAAGTATGGGGTTATAGGCATGAGCCACTGTGCCCCAGCCAGTTCTCTGTATTTTCTTTTCTTTTTTCTTTCCCTCTCTCTCTCTCTCTTTTTTAAAGACAGTGTCTCCTTCCATTGCCCAGGCTGGAGTAAGTGGTATGATCATGGCTCACTGCAGCCTCAACCTCCTAGGCTCAAGCAATCCTCCCATGTTAGACTCCCTAGTAGCTGGGAGTACAAGCACACACCACCACACCTGGTTAATTTTTGTATTTTTTTGTAGAGATGAGGTCCTGTTATGTTGCCCAGGCTGGTCACAATTCTGGGCTCAAGTGATCCTCCCACCTCAGCCTCCAAAGTGATAGGATTACAGGTGTGAGCCACTATGCTCAGCCCTTTGTATTTTCCTAATGAACAATTTAAACTTTCTATTTTGAAACAATTTCAAACATAAAAAGTTTGCAAGAATAGTATAAGAATGCCCATATATACATTTTACCTAATTGATAAATTAAATAATCTTTTTCCCTCTCCCTCCCTCTCCTTTCTCTCTCTCTACACACGCACACACACACACACACACACGTGTAAAGTACTTAGTACTTTTTTTCTGAACCATTTGAGAAATCAGTTGTAGACTTCAGGACCCCTTACACTTAAATACTTCAGTGTATAATTCTTAAGAACATTGGTCATTCTTTTATTTAACCAGCGCATATTTATCAAAATCAGAAAATTTAACACTGATACAATACTGTTGTCTAACGTATAGTCCATATTCAAATTTCACTAACTGTCCAATAATGTCCATTTTATTTTCCTCATTCAGAATCCAATCCAGGATCACACACTGCATTTGGTTTATGTTTTCTTAATGTCATTAAGAAAATTAGTCACTGGCCGGGCACGGTGGCTCACGCCTGTAATCCCAACACTTTGGGAGGCTGAGGCAGGCAGATCACGAGGTCAGGAGATCAAGACCATCCTGGCTAACATGGTGAAACCTCGTCTCTACTAAAAATACAAAAAATTAGCCGGGCGTGGTGGCGGGCGCCTGTAGTCCCAGCTACTTGGTAGGCTGAGGCAGGAGAATGGCGTGAACCTGGGAGGCAGAGGTTGCAGTGAGCCAAGATCGTGCCACTGCACTCCAGCCTGGCTGACAGAGCGAGACTCCATCTCAAAAAAAAAAAAAAAAAAAAGAAAAGAAAAAGAAAATTAGTCATTTTCTGTTTCTTTTAATCTGAGACAGTTCCTCAGCCCTTTTTTGTTTCCTATGACACTGAAATTTTTGAAGACTATATCAACTTTTGCCCTGTCCCAAGACTAGAATTAGTTATTTCTCCAAGGATCCCTGCTTCCTTTTAATAGAGAATGGCATTTAGAAACTAGTAACCCATAATTACTATGGTATTACTGCTTCTAAATTACCTTTGCGTGGACAGAGCTGGAAATAATAGATAAATACAAATTTCTATATATGTAGTTTATTTTTATTTTTTTAGAGACAAGGCTGGGGTTGCCCAGGCTGGGGTGTAATGGTGCAATCATAGCTCACTGCAGCCTTGACCTCCTGGGCTCAAGTGATTCCCCTGCCTCAAACTCCTGAGTACCTAGAAGTACAGACATGTGTAACCATGCCCAGCTATTTTTTATTTGTGGAGATAGGGATCTCACTATGTTACCCAGGCTGGTCTCCAACTCCTGGCCTCAAGCTATACATGTTTTTAAAATCATGAGTTTATATTGAAACAAGCTAATTCCAATCCAGTACCTTAGAGTTCTTCCTCGTCTTTCCCTATTCCATATTTGAATTTCCCTTCTACAGTGAGAACTCTGGCTCCCAACAACATTGACTTCTTTATTCAATTCTGTAACATACACAAAGTAGTTATGGAATTGCTACAGCAATACTGCTACAAATGACAAATCTACTAAGTAGAGCTCAAGATTTCTTTGAAGTTCATTTTATCTTTACACTGAAAATATATACAAAGTATCATGTTTAAAAATTGGCTGGGCATGGTGGCTCACGCCTCATCCCAGCACTGTGGGAGTACTTGGGAGGCCAAGGTGGGATCACTTGAGCCCAGGAGTTTGAGACCAGCCTGGGCAACACAGCAAAACCTTGTCTCTACTTAAAAAAAAAATTTTTTTTTTTTAAGACAGAGTTTCACTCTTGTTGCCCAGGCTGGAGTGCAATGGCACGATCTCAGCTCACCACAACCTCTGCCTGCCGGGTTCAAGCGATTCTCCTGCCTCAGCCTCCCGAGCAGCTGGGATTACAGGCGTGCACCACCTCGCACGGCTAATTTTTGTATTTTTAGTAGAGACAGGGTTTCACCATGTTGGCCAGGCTGGTCTCGAACTCCCAACCTCAGGTGATCCGCCCGCCTCGGCCTCCCAAAGTGCTGGGATTACAGGAGTGAGCCACCGTGCCTAGCCTATTTTTTATTTAAAAAAAAAATTTTAGGCCGGGCGCAGTGGCTTACGCCTATAATCCCAGCACTTTGGGAGGCTGAGGCGGGCGGATCACCTGAGGCCGGGAGTTCGAGACCAGCCTGACCAACATGGAGAAACCCCATCTCTACTAAAAATACAAAAATCACCAGGCATGGTAGCACACGCCTGTAATCCCAGCTGCTCGGGAGGCTGAGGCAGGAGAATCACTTGAACCCAGGAGGCGGAGGCTGTGGTGAGATGAGATCATGCCATTGCACTCCAGCCTGGGCAACAGAGTGAGACTCCATCTCAAATAAAATAAATTAAATTAAATTAAAATAAAATAAAATACAAAAAGTAAATTACATGAGTTAGTTGGCATCCCACTTCCCAACTTTGCTGATTTAATTTTACTTTTTGAAAACGTAAAGTCTCAACATGGTTCTAAAAGTAAACAGGCATGGTGGCTCGCACCTGTAATCCCAACATCTTGGGAGGCTGTGGCAGGCAGGTCACTTGAGGCCAGGAATTTGAGACCAGCCTAGCAAACATAGTGAAACCTTGTCTCTACTCAAAATACAAAAATTAGCCAGGCATGGTGGCAGATGCCTGTCATCCCAGCTACTCAGGAGGTTGAGGCACATGAATTGCTTGAACCCAGGAGGCAGAGGTTGCAGTGAGCCAAGATCACGCCACTGCACTCCAGCCTGGGCAACAGAGACAGGCTCTGTCTCAAAATAAAAATAAAATAAATAAAAGTAAAAACTACAAAAAGGTCCACAGAAGAGTTACTCACCTTTCTCTACCCTTCTACCTTATACCTCCCACCCGCTGGAGTGACCAATTTCATTAGTTTCTCCTTATCCATCCTGTGCTTCTGTTTACAAAAACCATGCAGGTGCATATATCAATTCTTATTCTCCCTCCTTTGTTACACCAAAATTGGCAAAAATTATATTAAAATGGCCCTCAAGCATATGGAATATATATTAAACTTCATTCATAAGAGAAATGTAACTTAAAACTATACTGAGACACTTTTCACTAGTTAGAATGATAAAAAAAAATTCAAAAGCTCAACCATACAGTCTACTGATGAGTTATGGAGAAACAGGCACATTCATGCATTGCCAGTGGGAAGACAAAATGGTGCAACTCCCATGGTGAAGAATTTGGCAACATCTGTTTTTATTGTTTGTTTGTTTGTTTGTTTTTGAGATAGGATCTTACTCTGTTGCCTAGGCTGTTTTATTATTTTAATTTTTAATTTTTTGAGGGAGAGTCGCTCTGTTGCCCAGGCTGGAGTGCAGTGGCACAATCTTGGCTCACTGCAACCTCCACGTCCCCCCAGGCTCAAGCAATTGTTGTGCCTCAGGCTCCCAAGTAGCTGGGACCACAGTGGTGTGTCACCACCCCTGGCTAATTTTTGTATTTTTAGTAGAGACAGGGTTTCACCGTGTTAGCCAGGCTGGTCTTGAACTCCTGAGCTCAAGGAATCCGCCTGCCTTGGCCCTCCAAAGTGCTGGGATTACAGCACTTGCCCTAATTATGCCTCTTAAATGTCTCTCAAATCCACTGACTTCTCTCCATCCAAATTACTGTTATTTTAGTTCAGGTAACCCATCACCTCTTCCTGAATCACTGTCATAACCTCTTAACTGGTTCTGCCTGTCTCCAGTTTAAACACCTGCAATCTATTCTTCATTTTGAAGCCAACATTAATTTTTTAAAAAGCATAACTCTGCTCAGGTATGGTGGCTCATGTCTGTAATCCCAGCACTTTGAGAGGCCAAGGTGGGTGGACTACATGAGCCTAGCGGTTCAAAACCAGCCTGGGCAACACGGTAAAACCCTGTTTCTAACTAGCTGGGCATGGTGGTGCATGTCTGTAGTCCCAGCTGCTCAGGAGGCTGAGGTAGGAGGATCACCCAAAGCCCAGGAGGTCAAGGCTATCGTGAGCCATGATCGCATCACTGCGCTCCAGCCTGGGTGACAGAGCAAGACTCTGTCTCAAAAACAACAACAACAACAACAACAACAACAACAACAACAACAAAGGCCGGGCGTGGTGGCTCATGCCTGTAACCCTACCACTTTGGGAGGTCGAGGCAGGCGGATCACAAGGTCAGGCGTTCAAGACCAGCCTGGCCAATATGGTGAAACGTCGTCTCTACTAAAAATAGAAAAATTAGCCAGGAGTGGTGGTGCACACCTGTAGTCCCAGCTACTCAGGAGGCTGAGGCAGAATTCCTTGAACCTGGGAGGCGGAGGTTGCAGTAAGCCAAGATTGTGCCACTGCACTCCAGCCTGGGTGACAGAGCAATTCCATCTCAAAAAAAAAAAAACCGAAAAAAAAAAAACAAAAAACAAAAAAAAATCTGATCATGTTGCTCTTATGGTCAAAACCATTCAATGACTCTCCATTGTCCATCGTCTTCCACGTAGCTTACAATATCCTTCATTATGAATAGCCCATCCACACTTACCTCACCAACCTCATTTCTCATCCCTCTTCCACTTGGACTTTGTGACTAATTGTTCTCTTGAACTGAGTATTCTCTATTCTCTCTTGCCACACTCATATGTTAGCCTAACGAATTTACTGTTTTGTACTTTTTTTTTTTTTTGAGGCAGTCCCACTCTGTTGCCCAAGTTGGAGTGCAGTGGTGTGATCATGGCTCACTGCAGCTTCAACCTCCTGGGCTCAAGCGATCCTACTGCCTCAGCCTCCCAAGTAGCTGGGGACTATAGGCATGTGCCTCCACACCTAGCTGATTTTTTTTTTTTTTTTTTTTTTTTTTTGGAGAAACAGGGCCTCCTTATGTTACCCAGGCTGGTCTTGAACTTCTTTCTGGACTTGCCATCCTCTCATCTCAGCCTCCCAAAGTGTTGGGATTTACAGGCGTGAGCCACTGCACCCAGCCTACATTTTTAATTTAAAAAAGTATCTTGGGCTGGGCGCAGTGGCTCACACCTGTAATCCCAGCACTTTGGGAGGCTGAGGAGGGTGGACCACCTGAGGTCAGGAGTTCAAGACCAGCCTGGCCAACATAGTGAAACCCCATCTCTACTAAAAATACAAAAATTAGCTGGGTGTGGTGGCGTGCACCTGTAGTCCCAGCTACTTGGGAGGCTGAGGCAGGAGAATCACTTGAACCCGGGAGGCAAAGGTTGCAGTGAGCCAAGATTGCGCCACTGCACTCCAGCCTGAGCGACAGAGTGAGACTCTGTCTCAAAAAAACTAAAAAATCGGCTGGGCGCAGTGGCTCACACCTGTAATCCCAGTACTTGGGAGGCCGAGGTGGGTGAATCACGAGGTCAGGAGATCGAGACCAGCCTGACCAACATGGTGAAACCCCACCTCTACTAAAAATACAGAAATTAGCCAGCCATGGAGGCACACGCCTGTAATCACAGCTACTTGGGAGGCTGGGGCAGGAGAATCACTTGAACCTGGGAGGCGGAGGTTGCAGTGAGCCAAGATCACGCCACTGCACTCCAGCCTGGGTGACAGGGCAAGACTCTGTCACAAAAAAACCACAAACAAACAAACAAACAAACAAACAAAACCCTAAAAAATTAAATTAAAAAAAAAAGTATCTTGAAAGCCAATCTGTTATCTCTCTGGCCTATAACTCTGCACTCATCTGTGAAATCTCTCTTTTTTTAAGTTTTCATTTTTGATGGTATAGAGACAGGGGTCTTGCCATGTTGCCCAGGCTGGTCTCGAACTCCTGAGCTCAAGTGATCCACCTGCCACAGCCTCACAAAGTACTGAGATTACAGGGGTGAGCCACCATGCCTCGCCTGTGAAATTTCTCAAAATGATGATGAACACATTGGGGTTTGAGAGAGAGTATTTGTTGAGCATTATGTTTGATATAAGACAGAAGGAGTATGATAGTAGCAAAAGTTGGTACAAACACCATGGAAGGCAATTTTGGTAATATTTATCAAAATCACAGATGTGTATATCCTCTGACCTACAAATTCCACCCTAGGTATTCGTCTGATAAGAGATATAACCACATGTGCCAAATGATGTCATAAGGAATGACCTTGTACATGCAAAAAATTGTAAATAATCTACATGTCTATTGGTATGGATAATTTAAGTAAATTATGGGTCCACATACACAACAGAACACTCTGAACCATGAAAGAATTAGAAATTAGAAATATGTATGAATATGGCAAAATTATGAAAGTATCTTTTTAAAGATACTTCATTGTTTTAGACCTTAATTTTTTAGTAAGTTGTTGATTTTCTTACTGAAACAGCAAATATGTTAGGCTAACATTTGTGAGAAAAGGTAAGAATTTTATGCATAAAATTCCTCTGAAAGGATACTAAAACTCATTATATTAGTCAATTCCACGTAACTGGATTACATAGCTGGGAAAAATAATGAGGAGATGACTTTTTAAACTTTTGAATTTGAACCATATGAATATTGACCTATTAAAAAATAAGGTGAGTGGATCACTTGAGGACAGGAGTTTGAGACCAGCTTGGCCAACTTGGCGAAACTCCATCTCTAGCAAATAAAAAAATTAGCTGGGTGTGGTGGCACACGCCTGTAATCCCAGCTACTCAGAAGGCTGAGGCACAAGAACTGCTTCAGCCCAGGAGGCGAGGTTGCACTGAGACGAGATTGGCCACTGCACCACAGCCTAGGCGACAGAGTGAGGCCCTGTTGCCAAAAAAAAAAAAAAAGAAAGTAATCCAAGTTAACTTGGAGGCTTTTTAAACTGTCAGCTCTGTAGGTATAAATTCTATCAACATACAGGAAGGGTAACAAATATCAAGACTAGCTAAAGTCTGAATTTTAAATGGACATAAAATGTAAACTATAAAGTCAAAAAGTAAAAATCAGACCAGATTATTAAGGCGGAAGCTACAGAAATCGCATGGTTGAATAGGGATAAGGTTATGAAAGCTACCTCTAACGTGGAAAAACAAAAAAGTCAATCACACCAACAGGTTTTTATTGAGCATCTACTAAATGTCTGACACTATCTCATAATAGTTCTCTTTCAGCTTCCCTTTGCATTTTTCAAAAGCATACAGAGTAGAAAATTGGAAAACCCAGGAAAAAATGTTTTGCCCAGATCATAAAGAAAACATAACCAGTAACCACCAAAAGGCAGCAGCTTTTACTGTTGATCTTCCCTCTTATCCCACCCTTACCTCCCACTAATCACCTTTTCTTAATGCCAAAGATAAACTATTATTGACTAACATGAGGTCCATATGTGACAATGATGGAAATAAAACAGGGAAAGAAATGACTGAAGAAGTTTTAAATAGCTAGATGCCATCAAATCACCATCTTGGGACTGGCGTCTTAGGAAACTTTAAGAGCTTTCCATAAATAACAACAATAATAGCAGCTAATGTTTGTTGTGTGCCATGGACTTATACAATATACTGGACACTGTGCTAGGTCCTTTACATAAATTAACTGACTTACACCTAAGAGACATTATTTTACAGATGAAGAAATGGCCTTTAGAAGTTAAACAACTTCTCCAAGTTCATATTGCTTATAGAGGTATTTTAATTACTATTTGGGGTAATGCAAATAGTATTCCCTCCAACTCCAAACCAGGAAAGAGGAAAACAGATGGCTTTTTGAGAGTTAGACTGTAAAAATCAACACATTCAAGCTTTTTCTCCTCCTTGGCTACCGTGATACCATGTTCTCCTCAGACCTCCATGGCTATTCTTTCTGTCTTCAGTGGGTAGAGGAAGAGGAAAAGTAGGTACTCTCTAAATGCTGAAACACCTTGGTTCTTGGTCCTGGACCCTTTTCTTGCTCCTCCTGCTTTTCCCCCAGGCAATATTATTCAGGCATCCCATTCCATGGCTCTATAGAGTAGTGGTTCTTAACATTTCCAGTTTCAGGACCCCTTTACGCTATTAAAAATTACTGAGGATCCCAAAGAGCTTTTGTTTATATGGGTGATATCTGTCAATATTTATCATATTAGAAATTAAAACAATTTTTTTTTTCTGAGATGGAGTTTTGTGCTTGTTGCCCAGGCCTAGAGTGCAATGGCGAGATCTTGGCTCACTGCAACCTCCACCTCCGGGGTTCAAGCGATTCTCCTGCCTCAGCCTCCCAAGTTGCTGGGATTACAGGCACACACCACCATGGCCGACTGATTTTTGTATTTTTTTGTAGAGATGGGCTTTCTCCATGTTGGTCAGGCTGGTCTCAAACTCCTGACCTCAGGTGATCCCCCTGCCTCAGCCTCCCTAAGTGCTGGGATTACAGGTGTGAGCCACTGCGCCCAGCAATTTTTTTTTTTTTAAACAGGGTCTCACTCTGTCACCCAGGCTGGAGTGCAGTGGCACAATCACAGCTCACTGCAGGCTTAACCTCCTGGGCCCAAGTGATTCTCCCATTTTAGCCTCCCAAATAGTTGGGACAAGTATGCACCACCATGCTTGGCTAATTCATTTTTTAAAAAATGTTTAGTAGAGACAAGGTCTCGCTATGTTGCCCAGGCTGGCATATTCTTAATTCACTAAAAAACAACAATAAAAAACACATTTTAGATGAAATAACTATATTTTCCAAGGCAAAGAATTTAATGAGAAGAGTGGCATTGTTTTACATTTTTGCAAACTTCTTTAATGTCTAGTTTAATGGAAGACCAGTAGATTCTCATCTGCTTTTGTATTCAGCCCATTGCAATGTCATTTTTGGTTGAAGTATATGAAAAAAATCCAGCCTCACAAAGAAGCTGGAATTGGAAGGAATATTTGAATAGCCTTTTCAGGTAACTGTGTATATCTTTCTTTGATACTATGCCAAAACTCAACAAGTACTAATTTCTTTTAAGCTTACAGTGTGGGCTAGGCACAGTAGCTCACACCTGTAATCCAAGCACTTTGGGTGGTTGAGGCAGGTGAATGGCTTGAGCTCAGGAGTTTGAGACCAGCCTGGGCAACATGGTGAAACCCTGTCTCTACAAAAAAATACAAAAATTAGCTGGGCATAGTGGCATGTATCTGTAATCCCAGCTATTCAGGGGGCTGAGGCAGGAGGATCACTTGAGTCCAGGAAGTTGAGGCTGCAGTGAGCCATGATGGCACCACTGCATTCCAGCCTGGGCAACAATGCAAGACACTGTTTCAAAAAAAAAAAATTAGATTCAAAATGTGATCTTGGCTGGGTGAGGTGGTTCACGCCTGAATTCCCAGCACTTTGGGAGGCCAAGGTGAGAGACCTGTTTGAGGTCAGGAATTGGAGATCAGCTTGGGCAACACAGCAAGACTCCAACTCTACCAAAAACAAAACAAAACAAAACAAAACAAAACAAAACAAAGACCCACAAAACACATGATGTTGAGGAAGAAAAGAGAATGGAACCAACATTATGGAGTCTCTATGTCAGACACAATGAAAAAGCTGAATTTCTGGACCAAAGATCTGGCCTATCCATGGACAGGACAGGACAAACTTGAACAAGCGTTCTGGTTTTTGGTTTTGGTTTTTTTTTTTAAACATTTTATTATTTCATTTTAATTTTTAGAGACAAGGTCTTGCTATATTGCTCAGGCTGGACTTGAACTCCTGGGCTCAAGCAATCCTGTCTCAGCCTCCCAAATAGCTGGGACTATAGGCATGTGTCATTGAACCTGGCTTTCTTTTATTTTTTTCTTTTTTGAGACAGAGTTTCACTCTGTTGTCCAGGATGGAGTGCAGTGGCACTATCTTGGCTCACTGCAACTTCCGCCTCCTGGGTTCAAGCAATTCTCGTGCCTTAGCCTCCCAAATAGCTGGGATTACAGGCATGCACCACCATGCCTGACTAATTTTGTATTTTTAGTAGAGTTGGGATTTCACCATGTTGGCCAGGCTGGTCTCAAACTCCTGACCTCAAGTGATCCACCCTCCTTGACCTCCCAAAGTGCTGCGAATACAGGCATGAGCCGGTCTTTTTTTTTTTTTAAACACCTATTCTCAGTCTACATCCCTACAGCATTGCTTTGATGCTAAAATAAGAAAGTGTGTGTGTTTGTGTGTGTGTGCACGTATACATTATGTGTATATGTATATGTATATGTATACGTATATGTATATGTATATGAAAACACTATAAATTCTATATTCCTGTATACGGGTAGGAAATCTGTATTCACTGCCCAAGCCAATAGTAAAAATAGTGGTATGGAATTGAACAAACTTTTTTAAAGCAAATAATATGTCCAAAAAAATAATTTAAGGCCAGGCGCGGTGGCTCACGCCTGTAATCCCAGTGGGAGTCCAAGGCGGGCGGATCACGAGGTCAGGAGATCGAGACCATCCTGGCTAACATGGTGAAACCCCGTCTCTACTAAAAATACAAAAAAATTAGCTGGGCATGGTGATGGGCGCCTGTAGTCCCAGCTACTCGGGAGGCTGAGGCAGGAGAATGGTGTGAACCCGGGAGGCAGAGCTTGCAGTAAGCAGAGATCGTGCCACCGCACTCCAGACTGGGTGACAGAGCGAGACTTCATCTCAAAAAATAAAATAAAATAAAAAAATAATAATTTATATGTGACTATGTCAATTGCTGATCTTGATTCAGATTTAGTTGTCTACTGAAGGAGAAGTAACTGTCAGATATGGCCTGCAGAGAAACACTTGTTTATGCCTTGATAAGGCCAAGAGGATTTCTGCAGGCAGAGAATGGACAGCAGGCCATCTGCATCTAAGGTGCAAACTGGATCTCTTACCTGCAGCTCTGCTTCCAGGCCCAGCCGCCGGATAAAGGGGTCAGTGACATGGTAGCGCCGCTCAAAGCTCAGGGCACCCCGCTCCTAGGGGACAGAAACAAATTCGTGATTTCATTGATTCAATTAAATATGATTTATTATGTGCCTATTATATATCCAGCTCTTTCCTGGGCACCACAGGAGCTAAAGAAGACAACAAGGAACTGGCCTACAGGACTTTGTATTATTCTGGGGCAAGGATTAGAGAAGAATAGAAGACAGTAGTATATAATTAAGCACTAAGTTGTGCCGTTCATTTTTTTTTTTAAAGAAAGCAAAAAATTTTTAAAAAGGAAAGAAGAAAAATTGGAAACAATGGGGAATAGTTCCATATTTAGGTTGGACAGGGTGGGCATCATCTTTAGGACACATATTGCACACAAAGGGAAAAAAAACCCCTGCTGATTCCATGCCTCTAGGAAATGGCCCCTGTCTTTGAGGACCACTCAGTCTAATGAAATCACACACAAAAAACTTCCACAAATGGACAAAGCTAAAAGGATTCAGGGGCTGGGCATGGTGGCTTATGCCTGTAATCCCAGTACTTTGGGAGGCCAAGGAAGGCCAAGGAACCTGAGGTCAGGAGTTCAAGACCAGCCTGGCCAACATGGTATAACCCCATCTCTACTAAAAATACAAAATTAGCCAGGCATGGTGGCACGTGCCTGTAATCCCAGCTACTCGGGAGGCTGAGGCAGGAGAATCACTTGAACCTGGGAGGTGGAGGTTGCAATGAGCCAAGATCATGCCACTGCACTCCAGCCTGGGCAACAAGAGCAAAACTCCATCTCAAAAAATAAAAATAAAAATAAGATAAATAAAAGGATTCAGGGATGCAGGGAAAAATACACAAATATGCCAAGTACATGGCTCATGTAGAGGCACATACTCAATCCTTCTAAATGGTGACCACAGCTTATGCTGCATGCCACTTGATTTTTTAAAAATTTTTAGTTAAAAATTTTTTTAGGTCAGGCATGGTGGCTCACGCCTGTAATCCCAGCACTTTGGGAGGACAAGGTGGGTGGATCACGAGGTCAGGAGATCAAGATCTCCTGAGTAACACGGTGAAACCCCGTCTCTACTAAAAATACAAAAAATTAGCTGGGCGTGGTAGCATGCGCCTGTAGTCCCAGCTACTTGCGAGGCTGAGGCAAGAGAATCACTTGAACCTGGGAGGTGGAGGTCGCACTGAGCTGAGATCACACCACTGCACTCCAGCCTGGGCAACAGAGCAACACTCTGTCTCAAAAAAAAAAAAAATTTTTTTAGTACTTTAGTACTTTTTAAGCACTTAATTTGTCAAACAACTTTCTCAAGCTCATTCAGATTTCATTCTCAAGGTCAGCCTACAGGCAGATGGCCATTATCATCATTTAACAACATAAAACTGAGGCACAGGAGGTAAAATGACTAAAGACCTATAGTTAGTTAATTAGGGCAGTGGTGAGATGAAGCTCCTGACTCCAGCTGGGGATTCTTACCAGTGCTGGAGCACATCATGCCTTGGTTTAATGTATTGCATTAAACCTCTATGGCTCCTTTTCTGAGGGTTTCTCTAACAAAGCCTGGGGCTACTTCAATAACTGAACTTGACTGCCCAGTCATCCATTTATCTCACAGGTATCAGAGTGTCTTCTACATACAAACTGCAGAGGACAGGCTTTAGCACAGGAGAGCCTCAAAGAGAATACAAGCTGAACTGGGACTAATACTCTCCCAGGATCTCTTACATATACAACTTGGCAGCTGGAGCAACATGAAGAAGTTATATTTGCTCTTGTGCACCACCTGCCCAACACAAGGATGTGTATGTATCTGCACAACACATTGACAGCTCCCCTCCCTTGCCAGCCTGCATTAATCTCAGCAGCCCAGGCACAAGTATGTGGACAGAGTCTCCATGAAATCCATGTTCTTAGACAATACAAGATGGAGAGAAAGAGACCTTGATTCTAGTCCTGGGTCTGCCACTAACTAGCTACGTGACTTTAGGCAAGTCACAGACTATAGATTTCAGTTTTTTCATCTGTAAAATCAATCTGTGGGAAAGAAAAGATCTCATGATCTGGTGCAGAAGTCTGGGCTGCTTACCTTGATCTGCCTACGGATGAGGTCTCTAGTTATGTTGACTTTCGCCATCTTTTCTTAATGGTTCAACAGAAGGAAGCTATAATAGGATCTTCAGGACCCCTGAGCATTCCAGCCAAGCCCAGGTCCACAAAATACACATTTAATTACCTGGGGGAAAAAAATCATCAAACTTTGGAGGATGGATAATAAAGTGACTCCCAAGACCTAATTCCACCCCTAAAACAGCCCACCCAGTGAAGTGGCCCTTGCCTGTCATTTGTGGCATGGTGGGCTGGCCCTGCTCCATAGTGTTGAAAAACCTCTGGAATGGGTGAAGTGGGTGGGGAGAACAGTAGCACATCCCAACAAGCATTGGAACAAACACGGAAGAAATATGTTATGCTTCATCGGAAAATGGCAGGTTGTGTATAAGTATGAAGGATAATGGTAGCATATCCTTAAAGTTAGAACAAGGCAAAGCTAGAAAGACATCAAGTTTCACTTGCTCAGTAGGCATCTGTGGCAGCTCGTCTGAACTTTTAGTTATGCTTCAAATCTCTGATCCTCAGCTTGGCTCTCCCCGAAACCAAATCAGTATCACAGACAGAACTCTCAAGTCTCCAGTAGATTCACAGAATTAAACAGTGTAAAGGAAATGTAATGGTGACCGTGTCCAAGACCCAACCTAATAAAGAAATCCTTCTTTAACATCCTCGTAGGGCCGGGCGCGGTGGCTCACACCTGTAATCCCAGAACTTCGGGAGGCCGAGGTGGGCGGATCACAAGGTCAGGAGATCGAGACCATCCTGGCTAACATGGTGAAACCCCGTCCCTACTAAAAATACAAAAAAATTAGCTGGGTGTGGTGGCGGGTGCCTGTAGTCCCAGCTACTCGGGAGGCTGAGGCAGGAGAATGGCGTGAACCTGGGAGGCGGAGCTTGCAGTGAGCCGAGATTGCGCCACTGCACTCCAGCCTGGGCGACAGAGCGAGACTCCATCTCGAAACAAAACAAAACAAAAAAACAAAAACAAAAAACAAAAAAAATCCTGGTAGGTAGGCTTTTAGTCTCACTACTCTTTTTTTCCTGAGACAGGGTCTCACTCTGTCACCCAGGCTGCAGTGCAGTGGCATGATCATGGCTCACTGTAGCCTCAACTTCCAAGGCTCAAGTGATCCTCCCATCTCAGCCTCCTGAATAACTGAGATCACAGGTGCACACCACCTCTCCCAGCTAATTTTTTCTTTTCTCTCTTTTTTTTTTTTTTGTAGAGATGGAGTCTCGCCATCTTGCTGAAGCTGGTATTGAAATCCTGGGCTCAAGAGATCTGCCTACCTCAGCTTCCCAAAGTGCTGGGATTACAGGCATGAGCCACTGCGCCTGGCCTAGCCTTACCACTTGTTGAAGCAACCTGTTCCTGTGTTATACAACTCTGATTGTTAAAAATAATAAGCAATTCTATTTCTGAGGATTTGCCATAAGAAAAAGAAAAGTCAGGTGTGGTGGTGCAGTGCTGTGCACCTGTAGTCCCAACTACTCAGGAGGCTGAGACAGGAGAATCACTTGAGCCCAGGAGTTCAAGCCCTCCTTGGGCAACATAGCGAGACTCTGCCTCTAAAGAAGGAAAACAATTTTATCATAACAAAACTCAAAATATGGCTGGGCAGAGTGGCTCATGCCTGTAATCCCAGTACTTTGGGAGGTTGAGGTGGGAGGACTACTTGAAACCAGGTGTTAGAGACCAGCCTGGGCAGCAAAGTGAGACCTTATCTATACCAAAAAAAAAAAAAAAAAAAAAAAAGTTGGGCATGGTGGCATGCGCCTGTAGTCCCAGCTACTCAGGAGGCTGAGGTCGGAAGATCACTTGAGCCCGGGAGTTTGAGGCTGCAGTGAGCTATGATGACACCACTGCACTCCTGCCTGGGTGACAGAACAAGACCCTGTTTCTAAACAAATTAAAAATAAGTAAAATAATAAAAAGAAAACAATAGCTCTCTTTGGTTAATGATATGACTGACTTTTTCTACTTTTTAATATTTTCAAAATTATTCTATAAAAGCACACTAATTTGTAATCAGATTTAAAAATACTAGACTTTCAAGGAAAGTTCTGCCTCCTGGCATTTTCACCTTTTAGTCCTGGTTCCACCTCTGAAGCCACACAGAAGTTTAGTCTTTCTTCCCAATGATGGCCCTTTGTGCTCAGAAGACGGCTCTCAGGGTTTACCAGTTCTCTCTGCCAACCCTGCCAGTCATTAGGACCTCACAGGGCTACTTTTCAATCTCTCACCAGCTGGCCTCCTCTACTGAAATCACGTTTTTCACCTGATCTGTGAGCAGACTCCTTCCTTTCCTCTGTCATTTAACCACAAAAGAAGACTCGACACCTAAACATTATGTTATTGCAGATTTTGTTTTCCTTTAGTGCTAGGCATGCAGTAGGACAATAAAAAAAACTCGCTGCCAAATTAGATGTTCTCATTCAGTCCGAGTTCTTTGGGGCTAACGCCTCCATAATCAATTTTGGGATAACAAGCTCTTTCTTTCTTTCCTTCCCTCCCTCCCTTTCTTTTCTTTTTTTTTCTTTTTTTTTTTTGGCAGAGTCTTGTTCTGTTGCTCAGGCTGGAGTGCAGTGGCATAATCTTGGCTCACTGCAACCTCTGCCTCCTGGGTTCAAGTGATTCTCATGCCTCAGCCTCCCAAGTAGCTGGGACTACAGGCACCTGCCACCACGCCAGCTAGTTTTTGTATTTTTAGCAGAGGCAGGGTTTCACTATGTTGACCAGGCTGGTCTCGAACTCCCGACCTCAGGTGATCCGCCCGCCTCAGTCTCCCAAAGTGCTGGGATTACAGGTGTGAGCCACAGTGCCCAGCCATTTTTTTTTTTTGTAATTGAGATGGGGCCTCATTATGTTGCCCATGCTGTCTCAAACTCCTAGGCTCAAGCAACACTCTCACCTTGGCCTCCCAAAGTGCTGGGATTACAGGCATGAGCCACCGTGCCTGGCAGGACCATAAGCTCTTTAAAAGACAAGAACCGCCAGGCGCAGTGGCTCATGCCTTAATCTCAGCACTTTGGGAGGCCGAGGCGGGCGGATCACGAGGTCAGGAGTTTGAGACCAGCCTGGCCAATATGGTGAAACCCCGTCTCTACTAAAAATACAAAAATTAGCCAGGTGTGGTGGCACACGCCTGTAGTCCCAGCTACTCAGGAGGCTGAGGCAGGATAATCATTTGAACCCGGGAGGCGGAGGTTGCAGTGAGCCTAGTCTGCACCACTGCACTCCAGCCTGGGTGACAGAGCAAGACTCTGTCTCAAAAAGAAAAAACAAACAAACAAAAAAACAGGCAAGAACCTTCCCTTACAACATGAAACCATTCAGCATTGCCATCTTAGTGTCATTACCAGGGAGATATGGCAGTCGCTGGCATTTTTAAGAGTAAGCATCAAGAACACCAGGAATACCAGCTGAGAACTATAGTTTCATGATGATTTTTGCAGGAGTCTTTGGCCATCAGATTAAAAATGTGAATTTGAACAAATTAATGTAAGCTAAACACTAGCCTGAAATGGCATCTATAGCTCTGCTTTGTGATATACTGGTCAAAGCCAAACAACAACAGTAATTTCCCCACAAGCACCAAGAATATGAGGTGAGGATGATTACATTGGAAATAACACCAAAGAAGTGAGTATATCTGGTATTAAGAAAGAACAGTTGTGTGGCCTTGCTTAAGTCTCTTAATCTTTCCAAGTAGACACTCATTCCTGTGACTCACAGGCATAGGACGCATTGGAACAAACACTGACGGGGTTACGTACGCTTCACCCGAAAAAGGCTCATTCCTTACCCCCAATACCCTTTTCCTTAGAAGGCTGCTGTGGAGCTCAAATGAAACAATGTAAGTCAAAAGGTTTTTAAGAATATAAATATTTTTATTTACTAAGAAATATATGTTGCCAGGCCGGGCACGGTGGCTCACGCCTGTAATCCCAGCGCTTTGGGAGGCCGAGGTGGGCGGATCACGAGGTCAGGAGATCAAGACCATCCTGGCTAACATGGTGAAACCCCGTCTCTACTAAAAATACAAAAAATTAGCCGGGCGTGGTGGCAGGCGCCTGTAGTCCCAGCTACTCGGGAGGCTGAGGCAGGAGAATGGCAGTGAATCCGGGAGACGGAGCTTGCAGTGAGACGAGATCGTGCTACTGCGCTCCAGCCTGGGCAACAGAGTGAGACTCCATCTCAAAAAAAAGAAAGAAATATATGTTGTCAAATATTAAGCACTTACTATGTGCCAGGCATTGTGCTGAGGGTTTTACAGTCATTCATTCAACAAATGAACATAAGGAGCTTTTACTACATGCCAGGTGCTGTTCCTGGCACAGAATGAAGGGATATATCAATGAGCAAAACAGGCAATGTCCTTGCTCATGGTACTTACATTCTAGCAGGAAGGGACAGACAATAAACAATGAAATAAATAAAAATAAGAAAATATCCAGTAGTGGAAAGTGTATGATGGCAATAACACAAGTTGAAGTGACAATAACTGGTGAGCTACTTTTAGACTTCAGGTCAAAGAAACTGTAGTGGACATTTGTCGAATTTTCTGGCTTCTCAGCATTTGAACGCTTCTTATATTTTGGGAATTCCCCTTTTGAGTCTAGTGGGAAGCAGAGCCCCTTACCACTATAAAGTGAGAAAGGAGGTGACTGAGATTCTCTTTCTGAGGCTCCCTTGCAGCTACAATGTGAATATATGGCCCAGGCTATGCCAACCAGACACATCACCCCTAAACCCTGAACTGGGATCTAGTGTCTCAGAGTCAGAGGACCACAGAGAGTTCACCTGGAGTGTAGCAAGGGGTGGCCACAGTGGCCATTAAGTCCAGTGCAGCAGGTGGTGTTAGCTGTGTAAGTAGTGGTGGCAACAGTGTGTTCACCAGGCTGAGTCTATGAATGATTTTAGTCGTGGGTCCTGCCTATTGCCCAGTTTCTCTTGTTTTAGCATTCTTCAAGCATGACTCTATGACCTTCCCTGATGTTTTGTGAATTTCCTTAATATCTTTTCAATAATCAGCCAGAGTTGGTTTCTGTTGCATACAACTACAAATCCTGCCTGATAGAGAGGGGTTCTCTGAGAAGATGACATTTAGGCTGAAACATGAATGACAAGCAGCAGCAAAGAACTGGGGGAAAACCACTTCCAGGGAGAGAGTGCTAAGACCCCAGAAGAAGAGTGGTTCAAAAAGTTTTGGCCGGGTGTGGTGGTTCACGCCTGTAATCCGAGCACTTTGGGAGGCTGAGATGGGTGGATCAACTGAGGTCAGGAGTTCAAGACCAGCCCAGCCAACATGGTGAAACCCCATCTCTACTAAAAATACAAAAATTAGCTGCGTGTGGTGGAGCATGCCTGTAATCCCAGCTACTAAGGAGGCTGAGGCAGGAGAATCGCGTGAACCTGGGAGGCAGAGGTTGCAGTGAGCTGAGATCGTGCCACTGCACTCTGGCTTGGGCGACAGAGCGAGACTCCATCTCAGCAAAAAAAAGTTTTACGGGCTGGTCCAAAGGTACCAAGTTATCTCAATTGATTATTCACAGTTACATATTGAACTCCTTGTTCTACTGTTTCCCCTCTTGTCACTACTGCACTTGTCTTAAACAAAAAAAGCTTGTAGGGTAGATGCTCTTACTGTCATAATTTTACATATGAGGAAACATATTCATAGACATGCAACAATTTTCACAATATTACACAGCTAAAACTGGAGATGGAACAGGAACTCAAACCCAGGGCCATGTGATTCCAAAGTCCATTCTCTTGACAACTATGGTATGTAATTTCCTAGAGTAGCAATCACTATGAGAATCCACCAAAAGAGCCCACTAAATTGCCATGACTTATTCATTAATTTTCTTAAAATGTTAATGGGGTATTTACCTAGCACCAAGCACTGTGATAGACAAGGAGGAATAATGAGATGAAACACATAGTAGCCATACTAAGAAAGCTCAGTATCAAAGAGAAGGGGTTTTTAGCTAAGACTGGTGCGTGGCTTGGAAATACTAAAAGGAACAAAAATGGGGGGAAAAGAGAAACCAGACAAGCAGGAAACCACAATTCAGGTAAATGGTAAAATGGAAGTTGGGATCAAATTGGTAGACAGGTTTAAAAAAAAAAAACAAAATGTCAAATTTGGCTAGGCACGGTGGCTTACGCCTGTAATCCCAGCACTTTGGGAGGCTGAGGTATGCAGATCACCTGAGGTCAGGAGTTCAAGGCCAACATGGTGAAACCACATCTCTACTAAAAATACAAAAAAAATCAGCCAGGCGTGGTGGTGCATGCCTGTAATCCCAGCTACTGGGGAGGCTGAGGCAGGAGAATCGTTTTAACCTGGGAGGCGGAGGTTGCAGTGAGCCGAGATTGCGCCACTGCATTCCACCCTGGATGACAGAGCGAAACTCCGTCTCAAAAAAAAAGTCAAAATTTAATACAACTGATGCCTACTTAGCATTCTTTTTTTTTTGAGACAGAGTCTCACTCTGTCACCCAGGCTGGAGTGCAGTGGCGCGATAGCTCACTGGAACCACTGCCTCTCAGGTTCAAGCGGTTCCGTGCCTCAGCCTCCCAAGTAGCTGAGATTACAGGAGTGCATCACCATGTTTAGCTATTTTTTATGTATTTTTTGCAGAGACAGGGTTTCGCCATATTGGTCAGGCTGATCTTGAACTCCTGACATCAATTGATCCACCTGCCTTTACTTCCCAAAGTGCTGGGATTACAGGCGTGAGCCACCACGCCTGGCCTGGTTAGCATTCTGGTGAATATTTCTGCTCCCATCCTGAGAAGAAATGATAGCATACTGGTAGAGAGCTCATCTTGGAGCATGCCTATCTTCTCTCCTCTCAAGAAAAGGGACTCAGTGCCTTTCCACAAGCTTTTACAGGCAGACAAACTAACTAGAAACACTTTATTTTAAAAAATCATTTTGTTTTTTTCTTTTTTTTGTTTTTGTTTTTAAAACTGGAAACACTTCTAAGTAGAGATTATTTAAAAGGTTCACATCGGGAAGGAAATACCCTTAAATCTACCAAGGGGCATAACAAGTTTCATACCTCAGTCCAAAAGTCTCTCAAACACAAATAATCAGATCAATAAATCAATAGTTATTCGAGGATGAGAAGATTTAAACATGATCAAATTTTAAAAGCATTATTTTAAGGAGGGCTTTGAGCTCAGATATAAAATGACATGAATGAGAGATTTGGATTGACACAATAAAGTTACATATATGATTAAACACTAGAAAAGACTACATCAAGGGGATTTCTACCTGGTGCAGTATGCAAATTACATAATGTTCAGTTCTGCTAAGAGGCAAAAAGGCTGAAATTAGTGACTAAGAATTCATAAAATAAAATTTTCAATGTCTATTTTGCCAGGCACTGTGATAAACTTTGAAAATATAGCAGATGCCTGAATGTGGCGGCTCACGCCTATAATCCCAGCATTTTGGGAGGCAGAAGTGGGAAGATCGCTTGAGGTCAGGACTTCGAAACCAGCCTGAACAACACAGCAAGACCTTGTCGGTTAAAAAAAAAAAAAAGAAAGAAAGAAAGAAGAAGAAAGAAGAAAGAGAGAAGAAGAGGAAGAGGAAGAAGAGAAGAGGAAGGAGGAGGAAGGAGGAGGAGGGAGGAGGGAGGAGGAGGAGGGGAGGGGGAGGGGGAGGGGAAGAAGAAAGAAGAAAGAAGAAGAAGAAGAAAGAAGAAAGAAGAAAGAAGAAGAAGCAGAAACAGAGAGGAGGCCGGCCGGGCGCAGTGGCTCACACCTGTAATCCCAGCACTTTGGAAGGCCAAGGTGGGCAGATCAAGGAGGCCAAGGTCAGGAGATCAAGACCATCCTGGCTAACACAGTGAAACCCTGTCTCTACTAAACGTACAAAAAGTTAGCCAGGTGTGGTGGCACGTGCCTGTAGTCCCAGCTACTTGGGAGGCTGAGGCAGGAGAATCACCTGAACCCGGGAGGCGGAGGTTGCAGTGAGCCGAGATTGCACCACTGCACTCCAGCCTGGGTGACAGAGTGAGACTCCATCTCAAAAAAAAAAAAAAAAAAATCAGAAAGAACAACATGAATTAATAAGTTAAACCTTCTCTATACTCATTTGTTCCTACATCTTAGAAGCACAAAAATGACAGTGAGGGAAATGAACTAAACACATCATAGTAGAATAAGAAAGACAACTTAGAAAACTGTAATGGAAAAAAGGGACCACAGGGACTATAACAGACCACAAGTAACTTTTTTTTTTTCTTTTTCTTTTTTTGAGACGGAGTCTCGGTCTGTCACCCAGGCTGGGGTGCAGTGGTGCGATCTCAGCTCAATGCAGCCTCCACCTCCTGGGTTCAAGCAATTCTCATGCCTCTGCCTCCGGAGTAGCTGGGATTACAGGCATGTGCCACCGAGCCTGGCTAATTTTTGTATTTTTTGCAGAGAAAGGGTTTCACCATGTTGCCCAAGCTGGTCTCGAATGCCTGGCCTCAAGTAATCTGCCTGCCTTGCCCTCCCAAAGTGCTGAGATGTGCCTGGGCACAAGTAACCTTTAACATGTATTCTTCATTCTAAAGAGAGCACAGTTAACAATATACCCTGATTTGCATACTTGAAGCTCTAATAACATTAATGGCTCATTTGTCTGCAGAATATAAAAGCTCAACAAAAAATTTCTCGAGCTAGAGGACAAAGGTTTTTTAATTTTATTTTTGTTTTTTGAGACAGGATCTCGCTCAGTTGCCTAGGCTGGAGTGCAGTGGTGCAATCACTGCATCACTGCACTCTAGCCTAGACCTCCCCAGCTCAAGCAATCCTGCCACCTCACCCTCCTGAGTAGCTGGGACCACATGTGTGTGCCACCATGCCCAGCTAATTTTTAAAATTTTTTGTAGAGACATGACCTCACCATGCTGCCCAGGCTGGTCTCCAACTCCTGGGCTCAAGCAATCCTCTCGTCTCAGCCTCCCAAAGTGCTAGGATTACAGGCATGAGCCACCACACCTGGTAGGTTTTTTTTATTTTTGAGACAGAGTCTTGCTCTATCACCCAGGCTGGAGTGCAGTGGCGCGATCTTGGCTCACTACAACCTCTGCCTCCCGGGTTCAAGCAATTCTCCTGCCTCAGCCTCCCAAGTAGCTGGGATTACAGATGCCCCCACCATGCCCGGCTAAGTTTTGTATTTTTAGTAGAGATGAGGTTTCACCATGTTGGCCAGGCTGACACACCTGGCAGATTTTGATTTGTTTAATAGAGACAGGGTCTTACTCTATCACCACTATATAGTGGTGCGATCATAGCATACTATAACCTTGAACTCCTGGGCTCACACAGTCCTTCTTCCCACCTCAGACTCCCAAGTAGCTAGGACTACAGGCATGCACCACCATTCCCAGCTAATTATTGTTTTTTCCTAAATTCAGGGTCTTGCTATGTTGCCCAGGTTGGTCTTGACTGCCTGGCTAGCTTCAAACAATCCTCCTGCTTCAGCTCCCCAAACTGCTGGAATGACAGGCATGAGGCACTGTGCTCCGGCCCAAAGGTCTACTATAAGTTAGGATATTGTGGACCAGCTCTAGTAGATACTCAATGAATTAAGGAGAAAGAAAGCAGCTGATTTCTGGGAGCTGAGATTATGAAAAATATAAAAATACTTAAGGCACAGAAGAAGACACAAGACACAATGTTACAAAGAAAATATGAGTTGCTATGCAGATGTTACACCTCCCAAAAGGTATTCTATTCCTGGAGCTCTAAAATGCCTAGCATATCACCATGTAACCCCATCATTTCTATAAACTTTTAACTTAGAATACTGGAAAACTTTCTTCTATAAGCCTATCTCTATGATTTTAAAGGATACTAACAAGAAAATAGAAGTCTGGCTAGGTGTGGTCGCTCACACCTGTAATCCCAGCATTTTGGGAGGCCAAGGTGGGCAGATCACCTGTGGTCAGGAGTTTGAGACCAGCCTGGCCAATATGGTGAAACCCTGTCTCTACTAAAAAAAAAAAAAAAAAAAAAAAAAAAAAAAAAAAAATTAGCCAGGAGTAGTGGTGCACGCCAGTAATCCCAGCTACTCAGGAGGCTGAGGCAGGAGAATCGCTTGAACCTGGGAGGCAGAGGTTGCATTGAGCCAAGATCACACCACTGCACTCCAGCCTGGGTGACAGAGTGAGACTCTGTCTCAAAAAAGAAAAAAAAAAAAAACAAGTCAATTAACAGCTCGATTTGGAGGAATTAGTCTAATCATAATGCCAAGGTGATCAGTAATATAATAGCCTGAGGTTAACATGACTTAGAACAAAGTACATTTGTGAAGATCACTCATCTAGAACCAAGAATTGAATGGTAATATCCAAATATGAAGAACCACTCCTTTCATGTGTGCTATAGTCCTTGTTTGGCTCTGGATAACGCAGCAGAAAGAGAAAAACATATAATACTTAGGCACCTGGGCCTGAATTCCAGCTTCCCCCTCAGTGTACCAATTAGTACCTACATAGGGAAGTTACTTAAATTTTCTGAGTTTCAATTTCCTCATTTGTAAAATGGGGATGCTAACACCTACTTTAATGGGTTGTTGTGAATACATGATAAAATATATATGAAAATACATAACAGGGCTGGGTGTGGTGGCTCACGCCTGTAATCCCAGCACTTTGGGATGCTGAGGTGGGTGGATCACCTGAGGTCAGGAATTTGAGACCAGCCTGGTCAACATGGCAAAACCCCGTTTCTACTAAAAATACAAAGTTACTTGGGAGGCTGAGGCAGGAGAATCGCTTGAACCTGGGAGGCGGAGGTTGCAGTGAGCCGAGATTGCACCACTGCACTCCAGCCTAGAGGATACAGAGAGACTCTTATCTCCAAAAAAGAAAAAAAGAAAGTACATAACAGTATCGTATCTAGATTGTAGTAGGTGCTCAACAAATGTTAGCTAAATTTGAATTCTACTAAAACCTGGTAACCCCTGTTATATTTGCTCAGTAGCATGGATTATAACATTTCCCCCGCCCCAATTTCCCTACCAGAGATGAAGCTGACAAGGGGTATTTCATTGTAGGATGGCAGGGGCAGAGTATAGGATGTCTTTATCACCTGTTAGGTTTGAAACGCAAGATCAGAAGGAAAATCGTGACGTTGTTAAAAGTGAAGAAATGCCACACAAAAATCTGTGCAAGAATGTATTTATAGCAAGGCCAGGTGCACTGGCTCACACCTGTAATCCCAGCGCTTTGGGAGGCCGAGGGAGAATCACTTGAGGCCAAGAATTTAAGACCAGGCTGGGCAACACAGCAAAATCCCGTCTCTACAAAAAATAAAATTAGCCAGGTGTGGTGGCCATGCATCTACAGCCCTAGCTACTCAGGAGGCTGAGGCAGAAAGATTGCTTGAACCCAGGAGTTTGAAGTTACAGTGAGCTATGATCATGCCACTCCAGCCTTAGTGAGAGTGAGATTCAGTCTCAAAAAGAAAAAAAAAAGTTTAGAGCAGCATTATTCATAATAGCCAAAAGGTGGAAACATCCATCAACTGATAAATAGATAAACAAAATGTGGTATATCCATACAATGGAATGTTATTTGGCCATAAGAAGGAATGAAGTACTGATACATGCTACAACATAGGGGAACTCTAAAAATATTATGCCAAGTGAAAGAAGCCTACATATTGCATAATTCCATTTATATAAAATAGAACAAAATAGAATAGAAATAGGAAGTAGATTAATGGTTGCTTAGGGCTGAAGGGAATGGGGGGATAGAGAAGTGACAGCTAAAGGATATGGCTTTTTTTTTTTTTTGAGACAGTCTCACTCTGTTGCCCAGGCTGGAGTGCAGTGGTGCCATCTTGGCTCACTACAGCCTCTGCCTCTCAGGTTCAAGTGATTCTCATGCCTCAGCCTCCGGAGTAGCTGGGATTACAGGCATGCACCATTATGCTCGGCTAATTTTTCGTATTTTTAGTAGAGATGGGGTTTCACCATGTTGGCTAAGCTTGTCTTGAGCTACTGGCCTCAAGTGATCTGTCTGCCTCAGCCTCCCAAAGTGCTGGAATTACAGGTGTGAGCCACTGAGCTGGGCCGGGATATGGTTTCTTTTTAAAAAATTTAAGGCTGGGTGCAGTGGCTCACGTCTATAATCCCAGCACTTTGGGAGACCAATGTGGGAAGATTGCTTGAGCCCAGGAGTTTGGGACCAGCTGGGAAACATGGTGAAACCCTGTCTCTAAAAAAAGTTAAAAAATTAGCTGGGCGTGGTGGCACACCTACAGTCCCAGCTACTTGGGAGGCTGAGGTGGGAGGACTGCTTGAGCCCAGGAGGTTTCGGCTACAGTGAGCCAAGATCACACCACTGCACTCCAGCCTGGGAGACAGGGCAAGACTCTGAATAAAAAAAAATAATAATAAAAAGTTTTTAAGTGAAATTCACATAAGATGAAACTAATCATTTTAAAGTGTATCATTAACAGACAACCTATAGGATGGGAGAAAATACTTGCAAACTATGCATCTGACAAAGGTCTAATATCCAGCATCT
Source organism: Homo sapiens (assembly GCF_000001405.40). NCBI lineage: Eukaryota > Metazoa > Chordata > Mammalia > Primates > Hominidae > Homo > Homo sapiens. The sequence continues at coordinate 27,248,530 of NC_000001.11, read as the reverse complement.
ATAAGGAACTTAAACAAATGTGTAAGAAAAAAACAATCCCATCAAGTGGGCAAAGGACATGAACAGACACTTTTCAAAAGAAGACATACATGTGGCCAACAAGCATATGAAAAAAAGCTCAGTATCACTGATCAATAGAGAAATCCAAGTCAAAACCACAATGAGATACCATCTCACACTAGTCAGGATAGCTATTATTAAAAAGTCAAAAAATAACAGATGCTGGTGAGGTTGCAGAGAAAAGGCAACACTTTTACACTGTTAGTGGGAGTGTAAATTAGTTCAACCATTGTGGAAAGCAGTGTGAAGATTCCTCAAAGAGCTAAAAACAGAACTACCATTTGCCCTAGCAATCCTATTACTGGGTATATACCCAAAGGAATATAAATAGTTTCACCATAAAGACACACACACTGTGCAGTATGTTAATTGTGGCACTATTCACAATAAGCAAGACATGGAATCAACCTAAATGCTCATCAACAGCAGATGGGATAAAGAAGATGTGGTACAGGCTGGGCACAGTGGCTCACGCCTGTAATCCCAGCACTTTGGGAGGCCGAGGCGGGCAGATCACCTGAGGTCAGCAGTTCAAGACCAGCCTGGCCAACGTGGAGAAACCCCGTCTCTACTAACACTATAAAATTAGGCAGGCATGGTGTCAGGTGCCTATAATCCCAGCTACTTGGGAGGCTGAGGCAGGAGAATCACTTGAACCCGGGAGGCAGAGGTTGTAGTGAGCTGAGACTACGCCATTGCACTCCAGGCTGGGCAACAAGAGTGAAACTCCATCTCACAAAGAAAAAAAAAAAAAAAAAGAAAGAAAATGTGGTACATGTACACCATGGAATGACCATGCAGCCATAAGAATGAGATCATATCCTTTGCAGGAACATGAATGGAGCCGGAGGCCATTATCCTCAGCAAACTAAAGCAGAAACAGAAAACCAAATATGGCATGTTCTAACTTGTAAGTGGAAGCTAAATGATGAGACTTCATGGACACAAAGAAGGGAACAACAGACACTGGAACCTACTTGAGGGTGGAGGGTGGGAAGAGGAAGAGGATCAGAAAAAATAACTATTGAGTACTAGGCTTAGTACCTGGGTAACAAAATAATCTGCACAACAAACCACCATGACATGAGTTTACCTGTATAAAAAACCTGCACAAGGCTGGGCACAGTGGCTCACATCTCTAATCCCAGCATTTTGGGAGGCTGAGGCAGGTGGATCACTTAAGGTCAGAAGTTCAAGACCAGCCTAGCCAACGTGGTAAAACCTCGTCTCTACTAAAAATACAAAAATTAGCCAGGCGTGGTGGCAGGCACCTGTAATCCCAGCTACTCGAGAGGCTGAGGCAGGAGAATCGCTTAAACCCAGGAGGCAGAGGTTGCAGTGAGCTGAGATCATGCCACTCTGCTCCAGCCTGGGCAACAGAGGGAGACTCTGTCTCAAAAAAAAGTTTAATTAATTAAATAAATAATAATGCAGAAATAGGCTGGGTGCGGTGGCTCACGTCTGTAATCCCAGCACTTTGGGAGTCCGAGGTAGGAGGATTACTTAGGCCCAGGAGTTTGAGGCTGCAGTGAGCTATGTTTGTGGCACTGGACTCCAGGCTGGGTGACAGAGTGAGACCCTGTTTCGAAAAAAAAAAAAAAAAAAAAATGGCTGGGCGTGGTGGCTCACGCCTGTAATCCCAGCACTTTGGGAGGCCGAGGTGGGCAGATCACCTGAGGTCAGGAGTTCAAGACCAGCCTGGCCAACATGGTGAAACCCCATCTCTACTAAAAATACAAAAATTAGCCGGGCGTGGTGGCGGGCACCTGTAATCCCAGCTACTCAGGAGGCTGAGGCAGAAGAATCGCTTAAACCTGGAAGGCGGAGGTTGCAGTAAGCCCAGATCGTGCCATTGCACTCCAGCCTGAGTGACAAAGCAAGACTCAGTCTAAAAAAAAAAAAGGAAAGAAAACACATGTCCATACAAAAAGCTGTACATGAATACTCAGAGCAGCATTATTCATAATAGCCCAAATTAGAAACAACCCAAATGGCCATCAATTGATGAATAAATATAATGTGTTAATATCCACTGTAATGGAATATTATGCAGCCATAAAAAGGAATGAGGTACTAATTCATACAACAACATGGAAGAAACTTCAAAACATTCTGCTAAGTGAAGGAAGCCAGTCACAAAAGACTACATGTCGTATGGTTCTATTTATGTGAAATGTCAAGAATAGGAAAACCTACAGAGACAGAAAGAGATGGGAGTGTTGGGGAGGAATGTGATAGCTCAAGGGTATGTGTTTCTTTTTTAGGTGATGAAAATGTTTTGGAATTAGATAGTGGTGACAAGTTGCACAACTTTGTGACTATATTAAAACCAATGAATTGTATAATTTAAGAGACTGTCTATTTTATGGTACGTGAATTATATGTCAATAAAGAAGAAATACCTTAAACCCTTTGCTCTCTCAGTCTATTCTGCCGTTTGTAAAATGAGAGGTGGACTCTGAGATAAGCTACAAAACCCCTTCCGATGACACTATGCTGAGATTTTAAGTAGACACTACTGGTTAGCAGCAGACCAGAGATGGAACCTAAAACATCTGTATTCTCTTTCCTCTGGACATGCTACCTCCCATAGCATGTCCCATAGGATTACAGTGGCTCATGCCTGTAATCCCAGCACTTTCTGGGAGGCCAAGGCGGGTGGACCAGGAGGTCAGGAGTTCGAGACCAGCCTGGCCAACATGGTGAAAGCTCGTCTCTACTAAAAATACAGAAATTAGCTGTGCATGGTGGCAGGCACCTATAATCCCAGCTACTCGGGAAGCTGAGGCAGGAGAATCGTCTGAACCCGGGAGGCGGAGGTTGCAGTGAGCCGAGATTGCGCCATTGCACTCCACCCTGGGTGACAGGGCAAGACTCTGTCTCAAAAATACAAACAAACAAAAAAAAAAAACCAAAAAAAACCCTTTCTTTTCTCTACCTCAAAATCACAGGTTATGGAAAGAAAATTCCATTCTTAGCCTTTCCTTCATCTGTCTCCTACCTTGAGCTGTGGTTATTTACGTGGCTTCTCTTTCTTAGAAGATTAAAAGCATGCTGAGGGCCTGCTCTTCATCCGATTCATCCATTGATCCCACTGGTCTTCCAGGAGTGATGTAAGCTTAGCAGGCACCAATAAATATTTGCTGAATGAATAATGGCATGACTGCCTTACACACAATGTTTTATACCTATCAAAGCACTTTTGTTCAAGCTTTTAATTTGAACTTTGCAACAATCCTTTTAGGAAGTTAGAAAGCTAATATAACGCTGCTATGAATAATGCTGCTATGAATATTCATGTACGATAATAATCCCCATTTAACAAGGGAGAAGTGAAGCAGAATACTACATGGTACTGAGGAAGAAGCACTGGACTGGGAGATCTAGGGTCTTGTGCTCCAAGCCAGCCTCTGCCTTTAACTGGCTGTATGACCCTGAGTGAGGCATTTTGCTCTCTCAGTCTATTCTGCCGTTTGTAAAATGAGAGGTGGACTCTGAGATAAGCTACAAAACCCCTTCCGATGACACTATGCTGAGATTTTAAGTAGACACTACTGGTTAGCAGCAGACCAGAGATGGAACCTAAAACATCTGTATTCTCTTTCCTCTGGACATGCTACCTCCCATAGCAGAGACGTGCCCCCAACCAGGGTGACAACTGACCCCCTTTCAACATTCTGAATTATGCAAAGATGTATGCAAGTTTCCTTTCACTCTATTTATAGTGGTTCTATTGGAGCAATCCTACAAAAAAGATGAAAGATGCAACGAAGCAAGGACTCAACTTCACTTTCAATGCATAAAGGTCATTGGAAATAACATAAGGCCAGGTGTGGTAGCTCATGCCTGTAATCTCAGTGCTTTGGGAGACCGAGGCAGGAGGATCACTTGAAGGCCGGGAGGTCGAGAGCAGTCTGGGCAACAGAGTAAGATCCTGTCTCTATAAAAAAGTTTTTTAAAAATTAGCCAGGCATGGTGGCACACTCCTGTAGTCCTAGCTACTAGGAAGGCTGAGGCAGGAGGGAGGAGGGAGAATTGCTTGAGCCCAGGAGTTTGAGGCTATATTGAGCTATGATTGTGCCTCTGCACTCCAGCCCGTGTGACAAAGTGAGGCGCTGTCTCAAAAACAAAACAAAACAAAAGAAAGAAAGAGCATAATAAAATGAAGAGTGTAGCTGTGGACCTAACAGATCTTAGGTTCAAATCCCAGTTCTGACACCTATTTTCTGTCTGACTTGACATTTCTTTTAAATTTTTTTTTCTTTTCTATACCTCTTACGTCTCTTCATCTTTTTAATTTTTTTAAAAAAATTTTTATTTGTTTTGAGACAGGGTCTGGCTCTGTCACCCAGGCTGGAGTGTGGTAGCATGATCTCAGCTCACTGCAACCTCTGCCTCCCGGGCCCAAGAGATCCTCCCATCTCATCAGCCTCCCGAGTAGTTGGGACCACGGGCATGCACCACCCACACACACCTGGCTAATTTTTGCATTTTTTTTTTTTTTTTTTGTAGAGATGGGGTTTCACCATGCTGCCCAGGCTGGTCTCGAACTCCTGGGCTCAAGCGATCTGCCCACCTCAGCCTCCCAAAGTGTTGGGATTATAGGCATGAGTCACCATGCCAGACCCTGACTTGACACTTCTAAACCTTAGTTTCCTAATCTGATAATACCTACCTCTGCAGGGTGAGGAGGAACAGAAGCGCTTGCATGTAAAATGCCTGACACTGATCCTATTAAATAATATTTATTGAACATTCTAACAGTTTACAAGTGTCATCTCACAGACTCCTCATAATAATCCTATGAGACAGGTGCTATTGTTATCCTCATCTTACAGATGCAGGATCTGAGGCACAGAAAAGTGAAGTTGCCAAAGCTACACAGTTCTTAGACAGAGAGTCAACCTATACAGTCTGACTCCAGGGGCCAGGCCATTGGCCACTAAATAATAATTACTGGGCCGGGTGTGGTGGCTCACACCTGTAATCCAGCACTTTGGGAGGCCAAGGCGGGCAGATCACTTGAGGTCAGGAGTTCCAGACCAGCCTGGCCAATGTGGTGAAACCCTGTCTCTATTAAAAATACAAAAATTAGCCGGACATGGTGGCAGGCGCCTGTAATCCCAGCTGCTGGGGAGGCTGAGGCAGGAGAATCACTTGAACTCAGGAGGCAGAGGTTGCAGTGAGCCAAGATCGAGATCATGCCACTGCACTTCAGCCTGGGTGACAGAGTGAGACATTGTCTCAAAAAAAAAAAAAAAAAAAAAAAAAATTACTGGCCAGGGAGCAGCGGCTCACACCTGTAATATCAGTATTGATACAATTTCAGGAAGCTGCTGAAACTTTGTCTCTTACCATTCCTTAGGGTTAAGCTGCCTTGACTCTGCTGATCTCAAACACAAATTTAAAGAGTGCCATTTCAAGGTCATGGACTAAGTTGGTACAAGGACAGTTTCTGGGAAAGCTTTCGCTGGTAGGATAGACTCATCACCAAAGCATCTTCAGGAAACTTCTTAGCCATCTTTGAGGCTCCTGGCTTAAATAATCCCATGTAGGACTGCTTGAGGTTTTCTCTGCAGAAGAGAGCTGCTTCTAAGCAATGCTTTACTTTCTGGGAAGCTTTAGATAAAAACTCACCTTGATGTCTTCTCCCCTGCCCAGTGGGCTCCGTATTGCTGTTTGAGCTTTTAAGAGACAGGGTCGCCTGGGTGCGGTGGCTCACGCCTGTAATCCCAGCACTTTGGGAGGCCGAGGTGGGTGAATCACCTGAGGTCAGGAGTTTGAGGCCAGCCTGACCAACATGGTGAAACCCTGTCTCTACTAAATACAAAAAATTAGCCAGGCGTGGTGGTGCATACCCGTTATCCCAGCTACTCGGGAGGCTGAGGCAGGAGAATCACTTGAACCCGGGAGGCAGAGGTTGCAGTGAGCCGAGATTGCACCATTGCACTCCAGCCTGGGCGACAGGAGCGAAACTCCGTCTCCGTCTCAAAAAAAAAAGAGACAGGGTCTAGCTCTGTTCCCCAGGCTGGAATGGAATGTAGCACTATCACAGTTTACTGCAACTTTGAACTCCTAGGCTTAAGGGATCCTCCTGCCTCAGCCTCTTGAGTAGCTAGGATTACAGGTGCAAATCACCATGCCTGGCTACTTTTATTTTTATTTTTTGTAGAGATGGGGGTCTCATCATTTTGCCCAGGCTGTTCTTGAAGTCCAGGCCTCAAACAATCCTCCCATCTCACCCTCCCAAAGTGCTAGGGTTACAAGTGTGAACCATCTGGCCAGGCACGGTGGCTCATCCCCGTAATCCCAACACTTTGGGAGGCCAAGGCAGGAGGATCACTGGAGGTCAGGAGTTGGAGACCAGCCTGGCCAACATGGTAAAACCCCGTCTCTACTAAAAATACAAAAATTAGCCAGGCGTGATGGCACACGCCTGTAATCCTAGCTACTCAGGAGGCTGAGGCAAGAGAATCGCTTGAACCCAGGAGCCTGAGGCTGCAGTGAGCCAAGATTGCACCACTGCACTCCATCTTGGGTGACACAGCGAGACTCTCAAAAAAAAAAAAACAAAAAAAAACAGTGTGAGACATCACACCCAGCCACTTGTTTGAGCTTTGTGAAAATTTTTTCTGGATGTTTTCAGAACTTTGTTTTCCAGTGATCATAGCTAATTTTCCTGTCTGCTCTTAGGCCTCACAATTACCTTAAGATAGTGGAAGGAAACAGAGAAAAGGGAGCATATTTTGATAATGCTATACTCTCTCACTATTTAAAAGCATCTGCAGTCTTTAACTTGCATCCTGACAAATCCTGCCACAATTCAAAATATCTCTTGTAGAGAAGGCTCTGGAGTTTCATCCTGTAACTCTACTACTAGCTGCAAGGTCAAGGAAAACTAAACCATTCAAGTTAGAAATGTTTCCTTTCTAACTCAGTGACAGTAGTGTTATATCCAGATGTGTAACTCAAAAGGGAACCAGGTAGGCCATCAGCACCCAAACACTCAGGCCTCAACTATGAAGCTCCCTGACCATGAATGCCTAGCTCCCATTCTCAGGAAGGCCCCCTAAGAGGTTCAAGGATAAGCAGTTTTATAGAATTTGGGGGGTCATGAATAAGGACAAAATTGTACAAAAGTCCTGATCCAAACACTGCCCTCAACAGCCTCTGGAGAGCTCCCTGGGCAAGGTCTGATCCTGTTCTCCACCCCATCTCCAAGAAAATGGGGTTAATACCTCCCCAGATGGCTATACGGAGGATTAAGGGTCATTATTCTTGGCACTGAGCTCTGTTACAGCTCTAGCAGTTGTGACCTTGTATCCTAAAAGAAGATAATAAATACAAAAATGCCAACGGTGACCCTCAAATCTGGCTCTGCAGTAGTAGCTGAGAATTTTCTTTGCACAGGGCCTCTGACACTGCCTCCTATACACTCTGGCCTTTTGACTGCATCCTCCCCTTATTCAGGCTTAAAGTTTTTTTGTTTTTTTTTTTTGAGATGGAGTCTCACTGTCACCCAGGCTGGAGTACAGTGTTGCGATCTCAACTCACTGCAACCTCCACCTTCTGAGTTCATGCGATTCTCCTGCCGCAGCCTCCTGAGTAGCTGGGACTACAGACACCCGCCACCACGCCAGGCTAATTTTTGTATTTTTAGTAGAGACAGGGTTTCACCACCTTGGCCAGGCTGGTCTCAAACTCCTGACCTTGTGATCCGCCCACCTCAGCCTCCCAAAGTTCTGGGATTACAGGCATGAGCCACTGCGCCCAGCCCAGGCTTAAAAGTTTTTAAGGTATTAGTCTTCAATGCCACAAAGCCCTTCAAGGAGTCAGCAGCTATTACTTAATAGCTCAAAGAATGGGCCCTAGAACTCTCAGAGTTACACATAGGCCTGAATTTACCCAGAAGAAGCCAACTAAGTGGTATTCCTTTACATCCAAGCCCTGGCTCTTGAGGGCAATCAGTGAGGTCTAGTAAAAAGGATATATTTCATCATTTAGTCCTCAAAAACCCACTAAAAAGTAGGTACTACAATAAGCCTCATTTTATAGGTGAAACTATAGCTCTGAGAGGATACATGATTGGCCCTAGGTCACAGAGCTAAGGAGGAGACATGGGTTCAAATATCAGCCCTACACTACTAGTTGTGTAACCTCCAGCATATTCCTTAACTTTAGTCTAGAGTCTCAGTTTCTCATTTGTAAAGTGGGGATAATGGTAATACCTTCCTTCCAGGGGAGCTCTGAAGATTATAAGAGACATTATAGAAAAAGTAGAGCTGGGCCTGGTGGCTCATGCCTGTAATCCCAGCACTTTGGGGGGCCAAGGTGAGTGGATCACCTGAGGTCAGGAATTCGAGACCAGCTTGGCCAACATGGTGAAACCCCATCTCTACTAAAAAAATACAAAAATTATCCAGGCATGGTGGCGCGCACCTATAATCTCAGCTACTCAGAAGGCTGAGGCAGGAGAATTGCTTGAACCTAGGAGGCGGAGGTTGCAGTGAGCAGAGATCGTGTGCACTCCAGCCTGGGCAATAAGAGCAAAACTCTGTCTTAAAAAAAGAAAGAAAAAGTATCTAGCAAGTGCCTGGTATATACTAAATATTCAATACATGTTAGTTTTTTTGGGTTTTTTTGGTTTTTTTTTTTTTTTTGAGACAGAGTCTCACTCTGTCCCCCAGGCTGGAGTGCACACGATCTTGGCTCACTGCAACCTCTGCGTCCCAGGTTCAAGCAATTCTCATGACTCAGCCTCCCAAGTAGCTGGGATTACAGGTGTGCACCACCACGGCTGGCTAATTTTTTGTATTTTTAGTAGAGACAGGTTTGCCATGTTGCCCAGGCTGGCCTCCAACTCCTGAGCTCTGCCCACATCAGCTTCCCAAAGTGCTAGGATTACAGGCATGAGCCACTGCACAACTGGCTTTTTTTTTTTTTTTTTTTTTTTGAGACAGGGTCTCTGTTGCCCATGCTGGAGTTCAGTAGCGCAGTCTTGGCTCACTGCAACCTCTGCCTCCTGCACTCAAGTGATGCCCCCGCCTCAGATTCCTGGGTAGATGGGAATACAGGCACATGCTACCACACCTGGCTAATTTTTAAATTTTCTTTTTGTAGAGACTGGGTTTCACTATGTTGCTCAGGCTGGTCTCAAACTCCTGGGCTCAAGCAATCCACCCACCTAGGCCTCCCAAAGTGCTGGGATTACAGGTGTGAGCCACCGTGCCAAGCCATGTTAGGTTTTACAGATCAAACAGACAGGGAGGCTGGGCATGGTGGCTCACACCTGTATTCCCAGGACTTTGGGAGGCTGAGGTAGGCAGACTGCTTGAGCCCAGGAGTTTGAGACCAGCCTGAGCAACATAGTGAAACCCCATCTCTATGAAAAAATTAAAAAATTAGCCAGGCGTGATGGCACACACCTGTCTTCCCATCTACCCTGTCTCATAAAAAAAAAAAAAAAAAAAAAGCCAGGAGCGGTGGCTCATGCCTGTAATCCTAGCACTTTGGGAGACCGAGGCAGGTGGAACTCAGGAGTTCAAGACCAGCCTGGGCAACATGGCAAAACCCTGTCTCTAATAAAAATACAAAAAAATTAGCCGGGGCTGGGCGCGGTGTCTCACACCTGTAATCCCAGCACTTTGGGAGGCTGAGGCGGGCGGATCACCTGAGGTCAGGAGTTCAAGACCAGTCTGGTCAACATGGTGAAACCCCATCTCTACAAAAATACAAAAATTAGATGGGCGTGGTGGTACATGCCTATAATTCCAGCTACTTGGGAGGCTGAGGCATGAGAATCACTTGAACCTGGGAGGCAGAGGTTGCAGTGAGCCGAGATCATGCCACTGCACTCCAGCCTGGAAGATGAAGTGAGGCATGGGAATCACTTGAACCTGGGAGGCAGAGGTTGCAGTGAGCTGAGATCATGCCACTGCACTCCAGCCTGGATGACGAAGTAAGACTCTGTCTCAAAGAAAAAAAAAAGATGTGGCAAACTCTCTGCTTGAATATCTGCAATGATGGGTAACTCACTCCCTCACAAGGCAGCCCATTTTGTTTTTAGAAAGCTACATTATCTCCTATCAAACCAAAGTCTACCTTCTTGGAAATTATGTCATTTAATCCTGAGATGCCTTCTAGAATCACAGAGAACATCCAGTTTCCTTTCCCCATGACAATCTTCAAGTATTTGAATGAGGTATCATGTTCCCCCAGGCTCTTAGCCTTGGTCTTTTCAGTTCTTCTTCATGTGTCACAGTCCCAGAGGCAATTCAATATCACAGAGCAGAGAGACCTGGGTTTGAATTCCAGTCCTTCCTCTTACTTGCTGTGTGACCTTAAGCAAATAACTTAATTTCTCTGAATCTGTTTCTTCATAGGTATAATAGGGAAAATGATTCTCACCTCACAGGACAGTCATGAAGGTTACACTGGATAAAGTAAAAATACTAGCTAGCACTGAGCTCAAGATATACCAGGCCCTGAATAAAATGTCAGTCACTTTTTAGGACATATCCCAACTGGCAAATACCTCTCAAAGTAAATTAACTACACCAAGGAACTGGCTTCTTTCTTTTTTTTCTTTTCTTTTCTTTTTTTTTTTTTTGAGATGGAGTTTCACTTTTGTTGCCCAGGCTGGAGTGCAATGGCACGATCACAGCTCACCGCAACCTCCACCTCCTGGGTTCAAGCGATTTTCCTGCCTTAGTAGGAAAATCCCTCCTGAGTAGCTGGGACTACAGGCGCGTGCCACCATGCCCGGCTAATTTTTTTTGTATTTTTAGTAGAGATGGGGTTTCACCGTGTTAGCCAGGATGGTCTCAATCTCCTGACCTCGTGATCTGCCCACCTCAGCCTCCCAAAGTGCTGGGATTACAGGCGTGAGCCACCGCGCTCAGCCAGGAACTGGTTTCTAATAGCAACTGCCAGAACTTTGGCTTTTCAAGAGATGACAGCTAAGAAAGTACAACCTAAGGGTTTTGTGGGCCCAGCAATCTGCAATGGCAGCCTAAAGATACAGTGGAGCATCTGGAAAGGTGAGGTGGAAAGAAGAAAGGAAACAGAATAGATAACTAAACCAGTGACCCAAAGAAAACACAAGTATCACCAGATTACATGTTCTGTTTGACTTCCTCTCTGAGACTCAGAACTGCACATGTCAGCAACATTCCTTAATTTTTAAAAAGAGAGAAGAGAGTGGTCACGGAGGCCGTGTCTGTAGTCCCAGCTACTAGGAAGGCAGAGGTACGAGAATCCCTTGAGCTCAGGAGTTTGAGACCAGCCCAGGCAACAGAGTGAGACCCCATCTCAAAAAAATAAAAATAAAAGGAGAGGCCAGGTGCGGTGGCTCACACCTGTAATCCCAGCACTCTGGGAGGCCGAGGTCGGTGGATCACGAGGTCAGGAGTTCAAGACCAGCCTGGCCAAGATGGTGAAACCCCATCTCTACTAAAAATACAAAAATTAGCTGGGCATGGTGGCAGGCACCTGCAATCCCAGCTACTTGGGAGGCTGAAGCAGAGAATTGCTTGAACCCAGGAGGCTGAGGTTGCAGTGAGCTGAGATCGCGCCACTGCACTTCAGCCTGGGCAACAGAGCAAGACTCCATCTCAAAAAATAAATAAATAAATACATACATACATAAAGGAGAAAAAAATAAAAATAATTAAAGACCAAGTCATAGTCTAGATCTTCCTTAGCAGTTGGCCCAAGATCCACAAATGTTTGGCAGTGGGCTTCAAGATTTTCAGTTGTCTTTCCAGATCCTAAAGTCTAGGTGTGCAAAAACACCCTACATAAGATGCCCAATGAGTCAATACTGAACTCCTCCCGGCTAAAAAAAACTGTCAATTGTATGAAACTGGTAAATAGTTGTTAACATCATCATCATAATATTTACACGTGTTCTCTCTTTCCCTCGTGACCCTCAATGAAGGTGTCCCAGGCAGAAATATGGGCTACTGCTCAATTATTCGGCAGAGTTGATCCAAAAGCACTGTTCCTTCAAATTGAGATAAGACTCGAACAGAAGTGCTCCCATATAGGTCAAAAAAGGAAAGGAGAGCAGGACTCCAGCCTTAAAGCAGCATGATCACAAACTATGACGGAAAAGGTCATTTCCCACCTGCCAACGAAATACAACAACCTACAATGAAGAAACCTCAGTAAGTCTCAGACTTGGCCCAAAGGAGCCCAACTAGTTACTCCCTGGTCTGTTACAGAGGATCTGGCTATTACACTCAACAGCAAAAATTCAATTCAATCCCGCTAAAGATATAAGAATCACAAGGAAGAATAAGCCAGAACTCAAGACAGAAATAGCATTAAGTAGTTCCTTCAGTACAGTGAGCAGAAGCTGGCCACTCAACGACTCTAAAAGACACAGAAAAGCTTAGTAGGGACCACTGGGCATACCGGTGTCCTAGGTGGGGATTTCGTAACGTCTTTGAGTCAGAAGCTGCCCTCAAAATAGTTTCTTCTCAAAACGGTTTCAGGCTTTGTTAGAAAGGGAAGACTTCACTGCCACTTTACCCAGATCATCTACCCCATCCTTGGAATGAATGGGGAAGCTTCAGCCACCCTACCAGGCTCCTAAAATCACCAACTTGAGAGAAAAACTATAACGTTGCTCTACCAGTACTTCAGGAGGTTAAAGAAAGTCACAGAAGAAAAGAACTCTGGGGAAAACAGTCAAATTCGGCTATTAAGACATTAGTTACAGGCCCCTGTACCTCTCCTCTAGAAACCCTGGGAGTACACCCGCAGAGGAGAGAGAGCCCAAGCCACCAAGCAAAGTCAACCAATCTGGCAAAGGGGCGTCCCACTGCGGCTTTCAGTCCAAGAAGTGGATCCTGCTGGTTCGCAGTCTCTCTTCTATCTCCTCACTTCCTATTTACCCTTTGAAGTGGGTACTGAATAGCCCGTTCCCAAGCAGAGGCCCTTTGTATACGGGGTGCTACAGTCGCCTGGTGGAAACACCTTGGCAGAGTTGTTTGGTGCCAGGATGGGCCACTGAAGGCATCTGCTGTGGACACACACACACACACACACACACACACACACACACACACACAGAAAGAGAGAGAGAAAAACAGAAAGAGAGAGAGCGAGAAGCTAAGAGGGCAGGTCAGGTCGGCGTTGCCCTCCCAGCACTTACACCTGCCCCTTCTTCCTGACTCCGGCGCCAGATCAGATGTCAAACAAAAACTCCGCAAAAAAGTCCCATGATGGAATGACTTCCACCTCTCCCTCCGCAGAGCCTCCCCGGACTCCCACAGCCTCCCCCCGCGTCCCGACCAAACCCTCCGCCCCCACCCCGCCCCCGGACCACTCTGCCCTCCGCCCCGGCGAGGCCTGGCCCCTCTCGGGACACCCGGGGCCCCGAGGCGGGTAGGCTCAGGCCCCCAGGCCGGCAGGGCTGGAGCCGGCCCAGAGCGGGCGGCCCGTTCACCGGGGCTGCGGGAGCCGGTCCCCGCCTCGGCGCCCGCGGAGGGCAGGGGGCGGCGGTGACCCGTACCTGTCAGGTCTCTTCCCCCGACCGGCAGCGGCGCAACTTCAGGAGCCCATGTCCGTCCGGGGGGGGCGGCCCCTCTCCCGGGAAGGGGGGCGCGGATCCCGGGGAGGGGGCTGGGGGGCTCGAGCAGTTCTAGCCCCTTCCCATGCTCCCCGCCCGGCGCCTGGCCGGGGCCGGACAGCGCCTCCGCCCGCCCCTGCGCACCGCCTCACACCCGCGCTCACACACACTCACACTCCCTCGCGCGCTCTCACACACGCACTCCCCTCCCTCCTCCTCCTCTGTTTATCTCCTCCAGCTGTCTGGGGACCCAGGAGAAGCCCAGCAACGCGCCTGCGCCACGCAGTCTCCGCCTCCGCCCTGCGCCTCGCAGCCGGCGGGTACGCTACGAAGACTGCGCCCGGCCGCTTCCAGAATGGCTAGCCGGGCCCCCCCACTTACCCCCCCGCGCCCGGTCAACGTCTGCTGCCGGCGGCGCCCACTAACCTGCTAGTGGGGGAGCCCCGCACCGCCGTGGCCAATGGGCTTCGCCGCTTGCGGGACCGGCAGCCAGTGGGCGGGCGGGAAAGCTGGGCTAAGCCCTGGGGCACCCTGGGAGTCGTAGTTTTTCGCCGTCGAGGAGTTCCTGCAGAGCGGGCTCACCCCGCCCGGTTGCCATTAGTTACCCGGACGCACCTCCCACCCCACCACCGGGTAAAACGCTCCTCACACCGCTTCTGGGACACCCGCCCACACGCTCGCCCACTGAACCCCAGGTCCCCTCACAGCCCCTTAAGAGCTCCTAAGACTTCCTCTCAGCCCCCGAATTCTGGGACCTCTCAGGCTAGGGCCCCGGGGGGCTCCTCAGCCCACTCCTTCCTGCTCTGGGGGGCTGCTGAAGTGGCACAGTCCTCACTGACGTCTCCTGGGCCTTAAGGAAGAGAATGAAAGAGAATCGGGCCTACGCTGAGTAGCCTGGAGAGGAGTCAGCCACACACACTCTGGGTGCCCTCGGGGTGATGGGAGCGACTAGGTCCATCTGACCCTAGCGGAGTCACTGCTGCTCCCACCTCTGAGGAAGAGACGCAGTTCCAGCCTTGTGGAGTCCCGGGTCTGATGGAGGAGAGACCCTCCTCTTTATTAAGGAAGTTCCCAAGGTGACAAGGGTGGCACTAAGCCTATCTTCTTAAGGCAGAGACCAGGCCCCACCCGTGAAACCTCAAGTCAGAAAGGGAAGACGTGTCACCTTCTGACAAAGGAAACTTGTCACCCATAGGGTGCCATTTGTCAGATACTAACAATAATTCACTTTTATTCGCACTGGATTGGGTACAGTCTCTTAGCTAGGTACTATTGCTGTCTGTGTTTTGCAGAAAAGGAAAGCTGAAGCAGAAAGGCTAAAAGCAACTTGCCCCCGGGGTCCTGATAAGTTGGCAAATTGGGAATTAGACCCAGATCTGCCTGACACCAGAGTCTGAGCCTTTTAACACTGCCTGTCTTTCCTGTGAAAACCAGACAGCACCCGCTCTCAGTAAGGACTGAATATATGTATTTGGCATTTATAGTGTTTATCACTCCATGTGTCGCTTGTTTTTTTTTTTTTTTTTTTTTTTTTTTTCCAATTCTGCTCACATCATGAGTACGAATTTGTCTGTGAATACCTGAATACTCCCAGAGACAAAGGTAGTATTCTAATTGCTGGTGATTTCTCCGCAAGGGAGATTTCTCCCCATTTAGAGGAGTAAGAACCTATCCTTGTGAAACCGCTCACAAAGCCTTTTATGCCTTTCTCCTAAAAATATTGTGGGTCATTCCCCCTGAACTCTCCACCACAGCTGTTCTACTGAATATAAAAAATCATAGACTTTGGGACTAGAAGAAAGCTTTGAGATCATCTATCTGCAGCTCCCCAGGTTCAGGCTGCAACCTTGGTTAGGGTCATTGGGTTAATTAAACTGAATAATATCTAACATTTATTGAATACTTACCATGGGAGATAAGTGCTACTAGTGAATTAAGAAATACTCCCGGGCTGGGCGCGGTGGCTCACGCCTGTAATCCCAGCACTTTGGGAGGCAGAGGCGGGCGGATCACGAGATCAGGAGATAGAGACCACCTGGCTAACACGGTGAAACCCCATCTCTACTAAAAATACAAAAAAATTAGCCGGGCGTGATGGTGGGCGCCTGTAGAACCAGCTACTCGGGAGGCTGAGGCAGGAGAATGGCGTGAACCCGGGAGGCGCAGCTTGCAGTGAGCCGAGATCGCGTCACTGCACTCCAGCCTGGGCGACAGAGCGAGACTCCGTCTCAAAAAAAAAAAAAAAAAAAAAAGTAAAAGAAAAAGAAACACTCCCGGCCGGGCGCGGTGGCTCACGCCTGTAATACCAGCACTTTGGGAGGCCAAGGGCGGGTGGATCGCCTGAGGTCGGGAGTTCAAGACCAGCCTGGCCAGCATGGTGAAACCCCGTCTCTACTAAAAATACAAAAATTAGCCGGGCGTGGTGGCGCGTGCCTGTAATCCCAGCTACTCAGGAGGCTGAGGCAGGAGAATCACTTGAATCCTAGAGGCGAAGGTTGCAGTGAGCCGAGGTCGTGCCACTGCACTCCAGCCTGAGCAACAGAGAGAGACTCCATCTCAAAAAAAGAAAAAAGAAAAGAAAGAAAGACAGACTCCCACAATCACATAGCTAGGAAGTGGTACAGTTGGGATTAAAGCCTACACTATTCAAATCCAGAACCCTCATTTTTAAATCATTTTAGCATCCTGTGTTTTTGGCAGAGACCACCCCCCCCCCCACTTTTTTCTTCTTTTTTTGAGACAGAGTCTTGCTCTGTCGCCCAGGCTGGAGTGCAGTGGGGCAATCTCTGCTCACTGCAAGCTCTGCCTCCCGGGTTCACACCATTCTCCTGCCTAAGCCTCCCGAGTAGCTGGGACTACAGGCGCCCGCCACCAGTTTGTCATTTCATTTAGTACAGACGGGGTTTCACCGTACTAGCCAGGATAGTCTCGATCTCCTGACCTCGTGATCCACCCGCCTCTGCCTCCCAAAGTGCTGTCACTACAGACATGAGCCACCGCGCCCGGCCAGAGAACCCCCATTTTAAAGTCTTGTTTAATGCTGGCAAGGTCACAGAGGATCTTAGATATACTGATAGAGAAGAGTGGGTGATGTTTCTGTGACTCCTAGCACAGTCTATGGCACATAGCAGAAACTCAGTAAATATTTGTTGTCAGAATGAACTTTCGTTGGTAGAGACTGATGACAGGAAGAAGACTATTTCTTTTGAGACGGAGTCTTGCTCTGTCGCCCAGGCTGGAGTATAGTGGTGCAATCTCGGCTCACTGCAACCTCTGCCTCCTGGGTTCAAGCGATTCTCCTGTCTCAGCCTCCCGAGTAGCTGGGACTACAGGCACATGCCACGACGCCCGGCTAATTTTTGTATTTTTAGTAGAGATAGGGTTTCACCATAATTGGTCAGGCTGGTCTCAAACTCCTGATCGCAGGTGATCCACCTGCCTTGGCCTCTCAAAGTGCTGGGATTAGAGGCATGAGCCACCTCGCCCCACCAGGAAGAAGACTATTAACAACTGCAGTTACTATTTATTATTTTCTAATAGATACCACTCGTACTCTTACACTTGCTTGAGTTTCTCTCTTTCTCACTTCCTCTCTCTCCATATAGGCAGAGACCTATACATAAATCTATACATACATATGTGTACACGCACGCACACACACCCATATACATTAACACACACTAACTCATTTGCTTCTCCCAACCACGTTGTGAGTTAGGTATGATTCTTACTCCCATTTTACATAGAAGAAACAGAGACTCGGCCAGGCATGGAGGCTCACGCCTGTAATCCCAACGTTTTGGTTCCAGACCAGCGTGGGCAATACGGCAAAATCCTGTCTCTACAAAAAATATAAACATTGGCCAGGCGCGGTGGCTCACGCCTGTAATCCCAGCACTCTGGGAGGCCGAAGCAGGCAGATCACGAGATCAGGAGTTCGAGACCAGACTGGCCAACATAGTGAAACCCCGTCTCTACTAAAAATACAAAAGTCAGCTGGGCATGGTGGTGCGTGCCTGTAATCCCAGCTATTTGGGAGGGTGAGGCAGGAGAATAGCTTGAACCCTGGAGGCAGAGGTTGTGGTGAGCCAAGATCACGCCACTGCACTCCAACCTGGGCAACAGAGCAAGACTTCGTCAAAAAAAAAAAAAAAAAATTAGGGCAGGCATGGTGACTGGGCCGGGTGTGGCTCATGGCTGTAATTCTATCACTTTGGAAGGCTGAGGTGGGAGGATCACTTAAGGTCAGGAGTTTGAGACCAGCCTGGCCAACATGGCCAAACACTGTCTCTATTAAAAATACAAAAAAAAAAAAAAAAAAAATTAGCCAGTTGTGGTGATGCGTGCCTGTAGTCCTAGCTACTTGGGAGACTGAGTTAGGAGGATCGCTTAAACCTGGGAAGCAGAGGTTGCAGTGAACCAAGATGGCACCGTTGCACTCCAGCCTGGTACACAGAATGAGACCCTGTCTGGAAAAAAAAAAAAAAGGAGAAGAAAGAAGAAGATGGTTAAGTTCAAAATCAGACACATGCTTCCCAGCCACAGGTGTTTTCAGATTATGAAATAATTTTCTTTTTCTTTTTCTTTTTTTTTTTTTTTCAGACGGAGTCTCACTTTGTCACCCAGGCTGGAATGCAGTGGCGAGATCTCGGCTCACCACAACCTCCGCCTCCCAGGTTCAAGCGATTCTCCTGCCTCAGCCTCCCAAGTAGCTGGGATTACAGGTGCACACCACCACACCCGGTTAATTTTTTTTTATTTTTAGTAGAGACAGGGTTTCACTATGTTGGCCAGGCTGATCTCGAACTCCTGACCTTGTGATTTACCCGCCTCGGCCTCACAAAGTGCTGGGATTACAGGTGTGAGCCACCATGCCCGGCCTAAAATAATTTTCTAACCAATAGAGTTGGACTACTTTGAGAGGTTGTAAGTTCTTTGTTTCTGGTAGTATTCAAGTACAGGCTATATACACATGTGTCCAAGATACTCTAGAAGCAATTATTGCATTAGGTAGATATTTAATTAAGTGACCATTTCCAATTTTTTTATTTGGCTCTTGGAAACAGACAAGGATTATTCAAATAAAGCTATGACAGTGAATGTTGCTGTTTTTTCTCTCCTAAGAGCATGAGATGATGCCTCAACTGATCACCAACTCTGCAGAGGCAGTCACTGATACTATCATTTTCATCTCCTAATTGGATTCCTAGGCAAAAGTGGACATATTCAACCTACAATTAAAGATGCTTATATTTTACAACCCAGCAATTCTACTTCTGATATCTTAGGGGATCTATTGCATG
Organism: Homo sapiens; assembly: GCF_000001405.40. Taxonomy (NCBI): domain Eukaryota; kingdom Metazoa; phylum Chordata; class Mammalia; order Primates; family Hominidae; genus Homo; species Homo sapiens. The sequence goes on along the minus strand of NC_000001.11, from coordinate 27,229,591 downwards.
TGTGTACGAGGAGACATTGGCAGGAATATTCCTTCCAACTGTATTATAATAGCAAAAATGTTGAAACAACCTGTCTTTCTGTAAGGGGAATCAATGGATGAATTGTGGGTTAGTCATACAATGGAGTACCATACAACCAATTAAATGATTTACATGCCATCGAGATAGATAAATCTTAAAAACATAATGAGTTAAGGAAGTTTAAAGATAATACATTCAGTATGGCATTTATGTAAAATTGAACACAAAAATGTCATATATTTATAAATATATATGTAGAAAAATACAAAAAGTTAAATGGGAAAGACAGCAATTTTGGGAGAGTGCTTACTTCTTTTTTTTTTTTTTTTTAACAGTACTACTTCTGGCCAGGCTGGGTAGCTCACAACTGTAATCCCAGCACTTTGGGAGGCCGAGATGGGGTGGATTGCTTGAGTCCACGAGTTTGAGACCAGCCTTGGCAACATGGCAAAACCCCATCTCTACTAAAAAATAAAAAAAAAAAAAAATTAACTGGGCATGGTGGCACACCTGTAGTCCCATCTACTAGGGAGCCTGAGGTGGAAGAATCACCTGACCCCGGGAGGCTGAGGCTGCAGTGAGCCCAGATCATGCCACTGCACTCCAGCCAGGGCAACTGGAGTGACACCCTGTCTCACAAAAGCCCCCCAAACTCCCCAAAACAGTACTGCTGCTTGTGGAGCAGGGCTAACTCATGGGCAGTACATTCTGAATCAACCAGCGAGTGTGCTCACTTCTAAGAAAGAGGAAGAAAAGAGGTGGGGACGGGATTTTAGCTGTATTTATATCATTTTATCTCTTAAAAAAAGAGATTAGAAAAAAGATTAGAACTAAATATAATATTTATATTAAATATTAAACAAAATGTTAAACATCACTTTTATCTTGGTGGTTATATTATCTGTAGATTTCTGAATATTTGAAGTAGTTTCTAATTAAATATTACCAATTTTTTTTTTTTTAAACAGAGTTTCACTCTTGTCACCCAGGCTGGAGTACAGTGGCGCGATCTCGGCTCACTGCAACCTCTGCCTCCCAGGTTCAAGCAATTCTCCTGCCTCAGCCTCCCAAGTAGCTGGGACTACAGGCACGAGCCACCATGCCTGGCTAATTTTTGTATTTTTTGTACAGACAGGGTTTCACCATGTTGGCCAGGCTGGTCTCCAACTCCTGACCTCAGCTGATCCACCCGTCTTGACCTCCCAAAGTTCTGGGATTGCAGGCATGAGCCACCACACCTGGCCACAAATTTTTTTTTAATTAAATGAAGAAAAAAATCCATCTTGACAGGCACTAAGCCTGACTAAAAGTTAAAGGTCTGTAATCTCTATACTGTGATAATTATTATCATACAAAAATGTCATCTTTTTTTTTTTTTTTTTTTTTGAGACACTGTCTCATTCTGTGGCCTAGACTGGAGTGCAGTGGTAGGCTCCTAGCCCCCTGTAGCCTCAATCTCCTAGAGTCAAGAATCCACCCACCTCAGCTTCCTGAATAACTGAGACTACAGGCATGCACCACCACTCCTGGCTAATTATTATTATTTTTTTTAGAGATGGGATCTTGCTATGTTGCCCAGGCTGGTCTTAAACTCCTGACCTCAAGCAGTCCTCCTGTGTCAGCCTCCCAAAGTGCTAGGATTACAGATGCGAGCCACCATGCCCAGCCTCATACAAGAATTTCATTGTTTAAACAATAACAACAGTCTGGGTGCGGTGGCTCATGTCTGTAATCCCAGCCAAGGCAGGAGGATCACTTGAGGCCGGGAGTTTGAGATTAACCTGGCCAACATGGGGAAACCCCTGTCTCTACTAAAAATACAAAAATTAGTGGGGCATAGTGGCGTGCACCTGTAATCCCAGCTACCCAGGAGGCTGAGGCAGGAGAATTGCTTGGACCCGGGAGGCAGAGGCTGCAGTGAGCTGATATCTGTGCCACCGCACTCCAGCCTGGATGACAGAGCAAGACTCTGTCTCAAAAAAAAAAAAAAGAAAAACAAAACACAGTAACAACGAAGAAGTATTACCTCCTTTTATTTCATTTAGGACTTTTGGTTGCAAAGCGTCTTGGGAGTACAATCTAAGTCACCATGAGAAAAGATAGAGACCCACTGATTTTAGTTAGTTCCTTCGTTTAACCAAGGAGAAAACTGTGGCCTAGAACAATTTGGTAACTTGTTTAAAGTCACAAATCACCAAGAGCCCAAACTCTAAACTCTAGTCCAACTCATTGAGAGTTTCCAAACTTCTCTTGTGCATATACTGTACCTGTGTTCCAGCTGTGCCTTCCACTTGGAATCACTCTCCTACTCCCATCCCTGTTCCTTCTCTAAAATCCTACTTAGCTAGGCTAAGAAAGAATTCGCCAATCTAGGCCCAGTGCGGTGGCTCACGCCTGTAATCCCAGCACTTTGGGAGGCCAAGGTGGGCAGCTCATGAGGTCAGGAGTTCAAGACCAGCCTGGCCAACATAGTAAAACCCCGTCTCTACTAAAAATACAAAAAATTAGCTGGGTGTGGTGGCACATGCCTGTAATCCCAGCTACTCAGGAGGCTGAGGCAGGAGAATCACTTGGACCCAGGAGGTGGAGGTTGCGATGAGCAGAGATGGCACACTGCACTCCAGCCTGAGCGACAGTGTGAGACTCTGTCTCAAAAAAAAAAAAAAAAAAAGAAAGAAAGAAAAAAAAATTAGCCAATCTTACTCCCCAGACTCGAGTCTGAGTGGGCCCTAATCAGCTTCCCTTCTCTGTACCTTCACTTCTCTGCTCAACCTTTTAAAATTTTCATTTATTAAATTTTTTTTTTTGTTTTTGTAGAGACAGGATCTCACTTTTTTGCCCAGGATGGTCTTGAATTCCTGGCCTCAAGCAATCCTTCTGACTCAGCCTCCCAAAGTGCTGGGATTAAAGGTTGAGCCACTTCACCCCGTCAGCAGCACGTTTTCTTGTTGGAACTATTCTGATCATTAAGCAGTTCTTCTTAATGATAAAGTTCTAACTTCCACTTATTTGTCCCAGCTCTGTTATCTGTGGCAACATAGGTTTTGTATGTTAAATGAGGTGATTTTTGTGTAAACTGTTAAGGTCTGGGACAATTTGGGGGGATTAGCAGGAGCGGTAGTCATAATGATCCCTTTTGCCCTTAATAAAGCTTCAAGGGCTAGGTGCAGTGGCTCATGCCTGTAATTCTAGCAGTTTTGGAGGCTGAGGCAGGAGGATTGCTTGATCCCAGGAGTCTGAGGCCAGCCTGGGCAACACAGCGAGAGCCTGTCTCTCCAAAAAAAAAAAAAAAAAAAAAAAAAAAAAACCTTCAGTGCGTGGTGGCTCACACCTGTAATCCCAGCTACTTAGGAGGCCTAGACGGAAAGATAGTTTGAGGCCAGGAGTTTGAGACCGACCTGGGCAACACAGAGAGACCTCATCTCTGAAAATACTTTTTAAAAATATTAACCAGGCATGGTGGCATGGTGGCATGTGCCTGTAGTCCTAGCTATGTAGGAGGATGCCTTGAACCCAGGAGTTCAAGGTTACAGTGAGCTATGATCGTGCCACTGCACTCCAGCCCAGATGACAAAGTGAGACCCTGTTTCTAAAATAAAAATAAAAACAACTTCAGGCAATGAAACGTTCATGTCCCCACTAAGCCTTCTGTTTCCTAAGCTAAACGTCTCCATTCCAATCCAGCCAACAAAGGCAAAGATTGCCACCAGTGAAAACATTCATGAGACTATGTCAAGAAAACCTGTGGCATTTCCAGGAGTCATTCCAAAGATGTCTATGCAATGATGGCCCCCCTAGAAGAGTTAGATCTGTTAAGACTGTTTTCAGTTGCAAATAACATGCAATCCAACTAGCAGTGGCTTAAACATATGAGGTTGAGCTTTCTCACCCAGCAAGTCCCGAGGTGATTATTGTAATTAGTTCAGCCATTCAACATAATTTATTTCTATCTTTTTTCTGTTCCAGAATCCTAAGTTTTAGTTGTTCACTATAGTTACAAAATGGCTGCTGTAGCACCAAGCATCTCAACTGTGTTCAAGGCAAAATGAACAAGAGAAAGGGAGAGGCACTAGCTGCTTTTTATCAAAAAAGCAAAAGCTTTTTCGAAGACCCCAAACAGATTTCTATTTATATCTCACTTGCCAGAGCTACGTCTTGTAACGACCTCTATCTACAAGGTAGATCTGGAAAAGTCTGGAAAGCAATTATTTAGTATTCCTAGCCTCTATATGGCAAGAGAAGGCAAAGGAAAATAAATTGAGGCATGGATTTGAGCTAGCCAACCAGGAATATCTGCCACAGAACATTTCAAGGTGATAATTTTGGGCAGAACTCAAATCCATGGCTCAAACCTAGTTCCATATGGACAGACTCTCAGCTGTGTCAGTCAAAATCAGAGGGGATAGGCCAGGCACAGTGGCCCACACCTGTAATCCCAACACTTTGGGAGGCTGAGGCAGTAGGATTGCTTGAGCCCAGGAGTTCGAGACTAGCCTCAGCAACATAGCAAAAACCCATCTCTACAAAACAAAACAAAACAAAACAAATCAGGGGTATAACTTCTGCTAGTCAAACTCAGAAAGGACATATCAAATAGAATTCCAGGGGCCAGACGTGGTGGCTCACGCCTGTAATCCCAGCACTTTGGGTGGCCAAGGAAGGGGGATCACTTGAGGTCAAGAGTCTGAGAACAGCCTGGCCAACATGGTGAAACCTCATCTCTACTAAAAATTTTAAAATTAGCTGGGTGTGGTGGCACGCACCAATAGTCCCAGCTACTTGGGAGACTGATAGCAGGAGAATCGCTTGAACTCGAGGTGGAGGTTGTAGTGAGCTGAGGTTGCACCACTGCACTCCAGCCTAGATGACAGAACAAGACACCATCTCAAAAATAAACAAACAAATGAACCAAAACAACAGAATTGCAGTGTTTTAACGTGCTGTGGGGAATAGTTGTTAACCTTGCTTGACAACAGAGATAGAGCATGGTTCCTCTCTCAGGGAGCAGGTTAGTGCATTAAGGCACTGAAAAACGAAGACTGTTACCTGTTAGATGAACAGGTTATTTAGCCTTTTTATATCTTGTAAATAGGGTATACCATATGTCACCACCTTATAAATAGAAATTCACAGTATGCTCGTAGAAGACATTGAAATAATGAATTTCAAATTTTAAAACTGACACCACCCAACTTCCAGATTACTATAAAGCTACAATAATTGGCCGGGTGTGGTGGCTCACGCCTATAATCCCATCACTTTGGGAGGCCGAGACTGGCGGATCACCTAAGATCAGGAGTTGGAGATCAGCCTGGCCAACATGGCGAAACCTCGTCTCTACTAAAAATACAAAAATTAGCTGGGTGTGGTGGCACACACCTGTAATCCCAGCTACTTGGGAGGCTGAGGAGGAGAATCACTTGAATCCAGGAGGCGGAGATTGCAATGAGCCGAGATCATGCCACTATACTCCAGCCTGGGTGACAGAATGAGACTGTGTCTCAAAAAAAGAAAAAAAAAGCTACAATAATCAAAAGAGTGTGGTACAGGTGAAAGAATAGACAAATAGATTAATGGAACAGAATATAGAACTCAGAAACAGACCCACACAAAGGCAATTCAATGGAGAAAGGATAATTTTTTTTTTTTTTTTTGAGACAGAGTCTCACTCTGTCACCCAGGCTGGAGGGCAGTGGCATGATCACAGCTCACTGCAACCTCAACTTCCTAGGCTCAGGTGATCCTCCCACCTTAGCCTCACAAGTAGTTGGGACTACAGGTGTGCACCACGACACCTGGCTAATTTTTGTAATTTTGGGTAGAGATAGGGTTTTACCATGTTGCCCAGGCTGGTCTCCAACTCTTGGGCCCAAGCAATCTGCCCACCTCAGATTCCCAAAGTGCTGGGATTACAGGCATGAGCCACCATGCCTGGCCATGGGTAGTTTTCTTAAGAAATGATGGGGCCAGGCGTGGTGGCTCACGCCTGTAATCCCAGCACTTTGGGAGGCCAAGGTGGGTGGATCATGAGGTCAGGAGTTCGAGACCAGCCTGACCAACATGGTGAAACCCCATCTCTAGTAAAAAAACAAAAAAAAGAAAAAAAGGAAGAAAAGAAAAGAAAAATAAATGATGCTAGAGGCTGAGCACGGTGGCTCACGCCTGTAATTCCAGCACTTTGGGAGGCCAAGATGGGTGGATCACAAGGTCAGGAGTTCGAGACCAGCCTGACCAATGTGGTGAAACCCCATCTGTACTAAAAATACAAATTAGCCAGTTGTGGTGGCAGGCGCCTGTAGTCCCAGCTACTCGGGAGGCTGAGGCAGGAGAATCATTTGAACTCAGGAGGCGGAAGTTGCAGTGAGCAGAGTTCGCGCCACCGCACTCCAGCTTGGGCAACAGAGCAAGACTGCATCTCAAAACAAAACAAAACAAAACAAAAAAAGAAATGATACTAGAACAACTGGACATCCACATGTAAAAAATGAACTGAACGCTATGATTTGAACATTTGTGTTCCCCCAAAATTAGTATGTTGAAATCCTAACCCCCAAAGTGATAGTATTAGGAGGTGGGGCATTTGAGAGGTGATTAGGTCACGAGAGTAAAGCCCGCATGAATAAATGCTCTTATGAAAGAGACCCCAGAGAGCTCCTTTGCTTCCTACTGCCATGTGAGGACACAGCAAAAAGATGGTACATATACCAGGAAGTGGGCCTTCACCAGACTTCAAATCTGCTACAGCCTTGATCTTGGACTTCCCAGCCTCAAGAACTGCAAAAAATAAACTTCTGTTGCTTATGAGCTATCCAGTCTATGTTACAGCAGCCCTAAGAGACTAGGACATCCAGACACTAACTTTATAACTTTGACAAAAACCAGCCAGGCGTGGTGGCTCACAACTGTAATCCCAACACTTTGAGAGGCCAAGGCGGTCAGAGAACTTGAGGTCAGGAGTTTGAGACCAGGCTGGCCAACATGACAAAACCCTGTCTCTACTGAAAATTCAAAAAATAGCTGGGTGTGGTGGCGTGTGCCTGTAGTACCAGCTACTAAGGGGGCTGAGGCAGGATAACCCCTTGAACCCGGGAGGCAGAGGTTACAGTGAGCCGAGATCGCACCACTGCATTCCAGCCTGGGAAACAGAGCAAGACTCTACCTCAAAACAAAACAAAACAAAAACACTTTCACAAAAATTAACTCAAAGTGGATCATAAACCTAAACGCAAAATGCAAAATCACAAACTTCTTCAAGATAACATAGGAGAAAATGTAGGTGACCTTGAGTTTGATGTTAAATTTTTAGATCCATGAAAGGATAAATTGCTATGTTGGACTTCATTAAAATTTAAAACTTGCTCTATAAAAGATGTTGTTAGGAGAATGTAAAGACAAACCACAACTGGGAGAAAACATTTGCAAAAGACAAAGTACTCTTAAAACTCAACAATAAGACCAGGAATGGTGGTTCATGCCTATAATCCCAGCATTCTGGGAGGCCAAGGTGGGAGGATTGCTTAAGGCCAGGAGTTCAGGACCAGTCTGGTCAACAGAGCAAGATCATGTCTCTAAAAAAATTTAAAAATTTGCCGGGCGCAGTGGCTCATGCCTGTAATCCCAGCACTTTGGGAGGCCAAGGCGGGCTGATCATGAGGTCAGGAGATCGAGACCATCCTGGCTAACATGGTGAAACCCCTTCTCTACTAAAAAATAGAAAAAATTAGCTGGACGTGGTGGTGGGCGCCTGTAGTCCCAGCTACTCGGGAGGCTGAGGCAAGAGAGTGGCGTGAACCTGGGAGGCGGAGCTTGCAGTGAGCCGAGACGGTGCCACTGCACTCCAGCCTGGTCAACAGAGCGAGACTCTGTCTCAAAAAAAAAAAATTAAAAAATTAAAAAAAATTAGCCAGGCATGGTGGCGCATGCCTGTAGTCCCAGCTACACCAATTACCTGGAAGCCTGAGGTGCATCACTTGAGCCCAGGAGTACAAGATTGCAGTAAGCTATGATCATGCCACTGCATTCCACCCTGGTCGACAAAACAAGACCCAGTCTCAAAAAACTAAAACAAAGCAAAACACCAAAAAACCTCAACAATAAGAAAATAACCCAATTAAAAAATGGGCAAAAGGTCTAAACAGACATCTCACGAAAGAAAATATACAAGTGGCAAATAAGCATATGGAAAGATGCCAAACCACATGTCATTAGGGAATCATAAATTAAAATGAGATACCACTACACACCTATTGGAATGGCTAAAATCCAGAAAACTAACAATAACAAATGCTGGCAAGGCTATGGAGCAACAAAAACTCTCATTCATTGCTGGTGGAAATGCACAATGGTACAGCCACTTTGGAAGACAGTTTGGCAGTTTCTTTTTTTTTTTTTTCTTTTTTCTTTTTTTTTTTTTTTTATTGATCATTCTTGGGTGTTTCTCGCAGAGGGGGATTTGGCAGGGTCATGGGTCAACAGTGGAGGGAAGGTCAGCAGACAAACAAGTGAACAGAGGTCTCTGGTTTTCCTAGGCAGAGGACCCTGCGGCCTTCCGCAGTGTTTGTGTCCCTGGGTACTTGAGATTAGGGAGTGGTGATGACTCTTAATGAGCATGCTGCCTTCAAGCATCTGTTTAACAAAGCACATCTTGCACCGCCCTTAATCCATTCAACCCTGAGTGGACACAGCACATGTTTCAGAAAGCACATGGTTGGGGGTAAGGTCACAGATCAACAGCATCCCAAGGCAGAAGAATTTTTCTTAGTACAGAACAAAATGAAGTCTCCCATGTCTACTTCTTTCTACACAGACACAGCAACAATCTGATTTCTCTATCCTTTCCCCACCTTCCCCCTTTTCTATTCCACAAAACCGCCATCGTCATCATGGCCCGTTCTCAATGAGCTGTTGGGTACACGTGCCAGACGGTGGGCAGTTTCTTACAAAGCTAAAAATAGTCTTACCCCACCATCCTGCAATTGCACTCCTAGGTAAATACCTAGGAGTATTTACTAGGGTAAATAGTAGTTTATTTACTTTAATAAATACCCTAATGGACCAAAAAGACTTATGTCCACATAAAAACCTGCACATGAACATTTATCTAGCTTTATTCTTAATTGCCCCAAACTGGAAGCAGCCAAGACGTCTTTCAAAAGGTGAATGGATAAACAAACTGTGGTACATTCATACAACGGAATGTTATTCAGTGATAAATGAGCTATCAAGCCACAAAAAGATATGGAGGAAACTTAAATGCATATTGCTTTCTGAAAGAAGCCAGTCTGTAAAGGCTTCCTATTGTATGATTGTAAATACATGACTTCCTGGAAAAAGCAAAACTGTAGAGACAGTAAAAAGATCAGTGGCTGCCAGATGATCAAGGGGAAAAGAAGGGGAGGGATAAAAAGAGGATTTTTAGGGCAGTGAAACTATATTATGTGATACTATAATGGTGGATATGTGACATTATGCATTTTTTTCAAAACCATATTGCTATATGACACAGTGAATCTTAATGTAAACTATGGACTTCAGCTAATAATAATAATACATTCATATTATGATTAATAATAATATATCCATGTTGGTTTAATTAGTGTGGTACAAATGTACCACACTAATGTAATATTAATAATAGGGGAAACTGTGAGGGAGGTAGTGGAAAGGAGGTATATGGGAACTCTACTATCTGCTCAGTTTCCTGTAAATCTTTCTTTTTTCTTTTTCAGACCAAGTCTCGCTCTGTCACCCAGGCTGGAGTGCAATGGCACGATCTCAGCTCACTGTAGCCTCCGCCTGCTGGTTCAAGCAATTCTCCTGCCTCAGCCTCCTGAGTAGCTGGGATTACAGGCACCTGCCACCATGCCCAGCTAATTTTTTTTTGTTTTGTATTTTTAGTAGAGATGGGCTTTTGCCATGTTGGCCAGGCTCTCAAACTCCTGACCTCAGGTGATCCGCCCGCCTCGGCCTCCCAAAGCGCTGGGATTACAGGCATGAGCCACTGCACCCAGCCAGTTTCCTGTAAATCTAAAACTACTCTAGAAAAAGAAAACACAGTCGGGCGCAGTGGCTCACGCCTGTAATCCCAGCACTTTGGCAAGCGGAGGTGGGTGGATACCCGGAGGTCAGGAGTTCGAGACTAGCCTGGCCAACATGGCAAAAGCCCGTCTCTACTAAAAATACAAATATTAGCCAGGTGTGGTGGCTCACACCTGTAGTTCCAGCTACTCAGGAGGCTGAGGCACAAGAATTGCTTGAACCCGGGAGGTGGAGGTTGCAGTGAGCCAAGATCACACCACTGCACTCCAGCCTGGGCAACAGAGTAAGAGTTGGTCTCAAAAAAGAAAAGAAAAGAAAAAAAGAAAAAAGAAACACACATGCACATAAATAAATAAGTAAATAATAAAACTACTCTAAAAAATAAATTCTCATGGTGGCTAACACCTACAATCCCAGCCCTTTGGGGGCCGAGGCAGGTGGATTGCTTGAGCTCACGAGTTCCAGATCAGCCTAGGCAACATGGCAAAACCCCCTCTCTACAAAAAATACAAAAATTAGCCAGCTGTGATGGTGCATGCCTATAGTTCTAGCTACTCAGGAGACTGAAGTGGGAGGATGGCTTGAGCCTGGGATGGCAGTGAGCCAAGATTGTGCCACTCAGTCTGGCCTGGGCTGTAGAGCCAGAAATTGTCTCAAAAAACAAAAACAAAAACAAAAATAAATAAATAATTCTATTAATTAAGAGATATACAGTGGGCTGGGCATGGTGGCTCATGCCTGTGATCCCAGCACTTTGGGAGGCCGAGGCAGGCAGATCACCTGAGGTCAGGAGTTCCAGACCAGCCTGGCCAACATGGCAAAACCCTGTCTCTACTGAAAATACAAAAATTAGCTGGGCGTGGTGGCATGCGCCTGTAATCCCAGCTACGCGGGAGGCTGAGGCAGGAGAATCACTTGAACCTGGGAGGCAGAGGTTGCAGTGAGCTAAGATTGCGCCATTGCACTCCAGCCTGGGAGACATGAGTGAAACTCTGTCTCAAAAAAAAAAAAAAATAAGAAATATACAGTGGTTTTTGCTTTTTGGCAAAAATCTGTTTTTTAGGCTGCATTTCTTTCTTTCTTTGTTTTATTTTTTTGAGATGGAGTCTCCCTCTATTGCCCAGGCTGGAGTGCAGTGGTGCGATCTCGGCTCATTGCAACTTTTGCCTCCTGGGTTCAAGTGATTCTCCTGCCTCAGCCTCCCGAGTAGCTGGGATTACAGGTGCCCACCACCACACCCAGCTAATTTTTGTGTAGTTTTTTGTTTGTTTGTTTGTTTAGTAGAGATGGGATTTCACCGTGTTGGCCAGGCTGGTCTCAAACTCCTGACCTCAGGTGATCCACCCACCTCAGCCTCCCAACGTGCTGGAATTAAGGCATGAGCCACCACACCCGACCTACATTGCATTTTAATGCTGACAAAGATGAGGAAGGATGGGCAACCTTACATATTGCTAAAATACAAAGGCAAACCAAAAAGGGGGAGAAGATATTTACAACACATATAAATACCCATGTATTCAGGATATACTGTATAAAGAATCACTATAAATCAATAAGAAAAAAGATGACTCTAGCCAGGCTTGGTGGCTCAAGCCTGTAATCTCAGCACTTTGGGAGGCTGGGGCTGGTGGATCACCTGAGGTCAGGAGTTCAAGACCAGCCTGGCCAACATGGTGAAACCCCGTCTCTACTAAAAATACAAAAATTAGCTGGGCATGGTGGCGGATGCCTGTAATCCCAGCTACTCAGGAGGCTGAGGCTGGACAATCGCCCAGGAGGCGGAGGTTGCAGTGAGCTGAGATTGTGCCACTGCATTCCAGCCTGGGTGAGAGAGCGAGACTCTCTCAAAAAAAAAAAGAAAGAAAAGAAAGAAAAAAGATGACTCGATAAAAAACGAGCAAGCCGCTTGAACAGGAACATCACTGACAGAAAATTCATATGATCATTAAACATATGAAAAGTTTATCAATCTCAAGTCATGAGAGAAATACAAATTAAAAGTACAATGACAGCTCACTACTCACCTATCAAAATGGCTAAAATGTAAAATATTGACACTACCAAGTTTTGCTGAGGATGTGAAGCAACTGGTACTCTTATTCACTGTTTGTAGGAGTGTAGAAGAGTACAATCACTTTCAAAACTATCTGACAGTATCAAATAAAGCTGAACACACATATGCATATCCTACACTCTAAGTGGATTGTGAATATGTGTTCATATGTATACCAAGGTATGCACAAGAATATTTATAACAGCCAACGCAACCATCACAACCAGAAGTTGAAAACAACCCAAATGATCATCAATAGTAGAGTGGATAAATAAATGTGTATATAAATTGCAGTGTTATTCATACAGGGGGTTACTATACGGCAACAAGGAGAAAACTACTACCACATGTAACTATCTAGAAGGATCTCACAAACATAACACTGTAGGAAGAAGTCAGGCATGCTTCCTCCTACATGATTTCATTTATCCAGCTTGACCTTCCTAGACCTAGCTCATTTAACAGCCGTGTAGTATACCACGGAGTAAAGATCCCATAAATGTTGTTTAACCATTCCTGTATTGATAAACATAAACATTTAGGGTACTTTCAGTGTTCTTTGCAATTTTAAAAAATGCTACAATGGGATTGATTTCAACTTCCCAAACGGGACACCTTCTTGTGAGACATATTAAGCATTTATATATTGGATAAATAAATATAGATTGGAACTGGGTGTGGTGGCTCATGCCAGTAATCCCAGCACTTCAGGAGGCCGAGGCAGGCAGATTGCTTGAGCTCAGGAGTTTGAGATCAGTCTGGGCAACATGGTATTCCATCTCTACAAAAAATATAAAAATTAGCGGGGCATGGTGGTGCGTGCCTGTAGTGAAGGCTACTCGGGAGACTGAAGCAGGCAGATCGATTGAACCCAGGAGGCTGAAGCTGCAGTCAGTCATGACCGTGCCACTGCACTCCAGCCTGGACAACAGAAAGAGACCCTGACTCGGAAAAAAAAAAATTGGATAAATCTCTTATTCCTAGGAAATAGCATGTGATATCTTGTAATATTTGATTCCAGAATTTCAACTGATGGTCAGCAGCATAAGCAAATGTCTGCCGGTAAAACAGAGTTTGGCAGACAGGTGTTAATAAGGAGATTATCTTGGCTACAGCCGAATTTCCCAGGAGATCAGTCTGGGTAGCGGAGGTGAGGCCTAATGGAAATAATTGGAAAGCCCATATGAAGAGTTGAGATTATATCTCCACATGCACTGGGGCGTCTGAAAATGCCTGATCGGGGAAATGCATTCAGTCATCAGAGATTCACTAAATACCCACACTGCATCAAGCACTGAACTGGGTAGAGATCAGGCTCACAAAGACAAAAGGCACTGGTTTCCTAGATACTCATAAGATAGTGACAAAGATCAATACATCTATGATCAAAGCAATAAATTCAGTGAGTTTTGTAGAGGTTTATGTAGTTTGTCCACAGGAAGGAGCAACAGACTCTGTCCTAGGGAGAGAGAGTCAGGGAAGGGTTTAAGATGAGCCTCAAGTTTGATAGTCGAAAACTTAAAGCATGACATGAAGTTAGAAACACTGAGAACTTTAATTTGTGCAGCAGCAATGAAAAAAAGAAACTCATAACTGACATTCAGGAAGTGGCTACCTTCCTAGGTGAGAAACAGAGTGGCTCTGGGAAAGGGGAGAGAAGGAGGTTTACTTGTCATTCCTATACCTTTTAGTACTCTTTTTTTCCTTTCTTTTTTTTTTTTGAGCCAGAGTCTCACTCTGTCACCTGGGCTGCAGTGTAGTGGCATGATCTCGGCTCACTGCAAACTCTGCCGCCTGGGTTCAAGCAATTCTCCTGGCTCAGCCTCCTGAGTAGCTGGGATTACAGGCGCCCGCCACTATGCCCAGCTAATTTTTTGTATTTTTATTTATTTATTTATTTTATTTGTTTTGAGATGGGCTCTCGCTCTGTTGCCCAGGCTGGAGTGCAGCGGCGCGATCTCAGCTCACTGCAACCTCCGCCTCCCAGTTTCAAGCGATTCTCCTGCCTCAGCCTCCCCAGTAGCTGGGATTACAGGCACCTGCCACCATGCCTGGCTAATTTGTTTTTGTGTTTTTAGTAGAGACGGGATTTTGCCATGTTAGCCAGGCTGGTCTCAAACTCCTGATCTCATGTGATCCGCCTGCCTCGACTTCCCAAAGTGCTGGGATTACCGGTGTGAGCCACCATACTCAGCCAATTTTTTTGTATTTGTAGTGGAGACAGGGTTTCACCATGTTGGCCAGGATGGTCTTGAACTCCTGATCTCGTGATTTGACTGCTTCAGCCTCCCTAGTACTTTTTTCCTAAGTTTTTAAACTTTTTATTTGCATATTTTAAAAATTGTGCATTCCAAGGCCGGGCTCACTGGCTCACGCCTGTAATCCCAACACTTTGGGAGGCCAAGGCAGGCAGATCACTTGAGGTCATGAGTTCGAGACCAGCCTAGTCAACATGGCCAAAGCCTGTCTCTACTAAAAATACAAAAATTAGCTGGGTGTAGTGGCATGCGCCTGTAATCCCAGCTACTTGGGAGGCTGAGGCAGGAGAATTGCTTGAACCCAGGAGGCAAAAGTTGCTGTGAGCCAAGATCGAGCCACTGCACTTCGGCCTGGGCAACAGAGCAGGGCTCTGTCTCAAAAATAAATAAATAAATAAATAAATAAATAAAAATAAAAAATTTTACATTCCAATAATTAAAAGCATTTGAACAAAATAATGGTACTCTGATTAAAATGCATTTTACAGCCTACACCTACTTTTGAATTTTACACATGCATTGGTAATTTGTCCAAAGCTCTACAGCAAAGTCTGTGTAACTCTGATCCATGGTGTTAATCATTATGCTAGGCTACCTCCCAAGTAATAATCTCACGCCTTGTCCACTTGGAAGGCAAAAGAGAGGTGGTTGAGATTTGGTGGCACTGACTGTGATGATGAAGGAGACAGAACTTAAATAAAATCCTTAGTTTGAACCGTGGGTCACTGCAGAAGGATAATGTCTGTGAAGGTTGATTATATGAATTGGGTCATTTTTGTCATACCCAACTAAAACAGGGTTGAGGAGCTGAGGGGAAAAGCACTCAGGACACATTTTGTTCCAAAAATGTAATTCTCTGAAAGCCTGGCTGCTGAAAGTGTCTATTGTCACCTAAAACCAGTTTTATCTAATAGTTGCTGGAATGACTCTAAAACTAATTTTACCCACTGCCATCACTCACCAATCAAAGTGAGTGTGGCAATCAAAAGTTGCCAGCTCCCCAGAACCTTACTAGTGCCAATGAACTTTCTTTTTTTTTTTTTTTTTTTGAGATGGAATCTTGCTCTGTCACCCAGGCTGGAGTGCAGTGGTGCAGTCTCGGCTCACTGCAACCTCTGCCTCCCAGGTTCAAGCAATTCTCCTGCTTCCGCATTCCGAGTAGCTGGGACTACAGGTGCCCACCACCACGCCCGACTAATTTTTGTATTTTTAGTAGAGGCAGGGTTTCACCATGTTGGCTAGTCTGGTCTCGAACTCCTGACCTCAGGTGATCTGCACGCCTCGGCCTCCCCAAGTGTTAAGATTACTGGTGTGAGCTACCATGCCCAGCCAACTTTCTCTTTGTTGGAGACAGGGTCTCACCCTGTCACCCAGACTGGAGTGCAGTGGCGCAATCATAGCTCACTGCAGCGTCGACCTCCTGGGCTCAAGTGATCCTCTCACCTAAGCCTCTGGAGTAGCTGGGACCACAGGTGCACATCACCAGCAGCTAATTTTTAAATGTTTTTGTAGAGATGAGGTCTCACTCTGTTGCCCAGTCTTATCTTGAACTCCTGGGCTCAAGCAATCCTCCCACCTCGGCCTCCCAAAGTGCTGGAATTACTAGTGTGAGCCACTGCACCTGGCCAAAAATTTTCAAAGAGCAATACATTTCTCTTTTTAAATAAAATCTCCAACCTTCTGTTTGTTCTTCAGACATACTGAAGACTACCCTGTCTGCATATATGCCCCAAATTACAATTCTTTCTTCACAAATAAAATGTTAAATTTAGAGATTCATCTCTACATTTTTTTGTTTGTTTGTTTGAGACATAGTCTCGCTCTGTCGCCCAGGCTAGAGTGCAATGGCATGATCTTGGCTTACTGTAACCTCCGCCTCCTGGGTTCAAGCAGTTCTCCTGCCTCAGCCTCCCAAGTAGCTGGGATTACAGGCGCACACCACCACACCCGGCTACTTATTTTTTTTTTTTCTTTTTGTATTTTTAGTAGAGACGGGGTTTCACCATGCTGGCCAGGCTGGTCTCAAACTCCTGACCTCAGGTGATCCACCCGCCTCGGCCTCCTAAAGTGCTGGGATTATAGGCATGAGCCACCACACACGGTCTACGTTTTTATTTTAACTTCAAAGTGTTAATGACCATAACGTGGACCCTGTGAGAATCTATTGGTTTGGAAAAGAAGATGATGAGTTTGCTTTGGAAAGGGTGAATTAGAAATTTGGGCCGGGCACGGTAGCTCAAGCCCGTAATCCCAGCACTTTGGGAGGCCAAGGTGGGCAGATCACGAGGTCAGGAAATCGAGACCATCCTGGCTAACACGGTGAAAACCTGTCTCTACTAAAAATACAAAAAAAAATTAGCTGGGCATGGTGGTGAGCACCTGTAGTCCCAGCTACTCGGGAGGCTGAGGCAGGAGAATGGTGTGTACCTGGGAGGTGGAGCTTGCAGTGAGCTGAGATTGCACCACTGCGCTCCAGCCTGGGCAACAGAGCAAGACTCCGCCTCAAAAAAAAAAAAAAAAGAAAAGAAATTTGGCAGAAACATTTAGACAAAGATGTCCTGTAGTCCATTCCTCCAAGACCTTTTCAGTGGGTCTGCAAAGTCAAAACAATATCCATAATAGTGCTAAAAAGTTATTTGCCTTTTCCACAGTGGTTCTCTCATGAAGGTACAGTGGAGTTTTCCAGAGGCTACAAGACAAGTGATTATATCAATCTCATGACTAATGGTATCTGTGCCTGAGTATTCCTGTGAAATTTTTTCAGTTTTAATTCCAGTATGGTAAATATCAATAGACATAATCTACAAAAAACAGACATTTTTGGAGGGTTCTCAATAATTTTTAAGATTGTAAAGGGGTCTTGGGACCACAAAGTTTCAGATGCTCTGCTAGTCAACAGTTTTCGACCTCTTTAACAATGTCTTACAAAGAGAAATCCATTTTACATTGTGACCCAGTATCCACGTATATATGCAGATGTGTAATTGAATAAGAGTCTCACAAAACGGTATTCTGGTGCACTATTTGGGATGCACCGGGTGTTTTCTATTTCGTCAAAAAAATTAAATTGCTGATAATGGCTCACTAAATTGATTTCATGACCTGCTAATGAATAATGACCTGCAACTTGAAAAACCCTGCTCTAGGGTATAGATGAGTGGAAATATGGAAGGAAGCTGGAGCATGAGGAGGAGCCATTCCCCACAGAATGTGGTATACACTTCATATTTGTGGAGGAAGTGGATGGATGCATGGTTCCTTGAGTTTCCAGTTCTCCAACTGTGTAACCTTTGCAAAAAGTTAGAATGTTATTGTGAGGATCAAATTTTAAAAATGCAGGTGAAGTCTCTTTGTATACCGTAAAATACTACACAGAGAAGAGGGATTGCTGTTAGAAGAAGATGATAGAAAGTCTAGGCCGGGCGTGGTGGCTCACGCCTGTAATTCCAGCACTTTTTGGGAGGCCAAGGCGGGCAGATCACCTGAGATTGGGAGTTCGAGGCCAGCCTGACCAACATGGAGTAACACCATCTCCACTAAAAATACAAAATTAGCCGGGTGTGGTGGCGCACACTGGTAATCTCAGCTTCTCGGGAGGCTGAGGCAGCAGAATCGCTTGAACCCAGGAGGCGGAGGTTGTGGTGAGCTGAGATTGCACCGTTGCACTCCAGCCTGGGCAACAAGAGCGAAACTCCGTCTCAAAAAAAAAAAAAAGAAAAGAAAAAAAAGAAATATCAACCCAGTTGTTTTCTTGACTTTGTTTTAGAATGAATCCCTTCTGCATCATCTAATACAAGGTTTATATATTCATCAAAACCAATGATACAGCCTTCTATCCGCATATTCACTTGCTCATAGAGCCATACCTGAATCCGGGATCTGTTTTGTAAATATCTGAAGAGAGGTTGATGGGCTGTACCATAACCTTCTGCACTTTCTGGCCCTGGCTGCGGTACACCGAAATGAAATCTCACAAAGAGGACACTGACCCACACGCTACCTCAGAGAGCAACTTCCAGAATAATAACTAACATTTCTTGAGTACTTACTGTTTGCCTGGTATGGTGCTAAACGTCAGTAATAGATGTTTAACTCATTTAATCCTTACCACGGTTTTATTGTGTGGGCACCGTCATGGATTGTCATTTACATACAAGGAAACTGAGGCTCAGAGAGCTAAGATAATTTACAAAGTTACGTAGTATAGTGGACTTTATTTTCTTTCTTTCTTTCTTTTTTTGTTTTGTTTTGTTTTGTTTTTTATAGATATGGGGTCTTGCTATGTTACCCAGGCTGGTTTTAAACTCCTAGGCTCAAGCGATCCTCCTGCCTCAGCCTCCCAAAGTGCTGAGGCACCATGCCCAGTCCCAGACTTCAAATTTTTGTTAGCTTGTTTTTCTATCCAGCATCTGATCTCTTTTCTTCTTTGAAGAACACCTGGATTTTCCTTAAGGGTCCATGCCTCCCACACATTCAGTCCACGAGGTTTGGGGAACTTGGCTTCACCTCCTGGATTCTAGGCTGCATATGTAAGTTTCCTACAACAATGGCAAAGAGGTATCTCTTTCCTCTGGGCTGGTAGCTATGAGGATATAACCCTGGAGCTACCGTAGCCACCTTGCCAATGCTGGGTGGGAGGTCACCTGAGGACAGATCAACGCAGAGCAGAGCTGCGATGTTGCAGGGTGGGAGGTGCAGGAGGGAGCAAAGGAGAGAGATAGAGAGAGCTGATGACAAACTTTGAGCTCTCAGATCCACCCTGAAGACAGATACCCATGAACTTTTTAGTTAGAAGAGCCAGGACATTCCCTTTTATGCTTAAGTCAGTTAATTTAATTTAGTTATTTAACAAACACTTATGCAGAACTTACTAAGTGCCAAGAACTATTGTAGGCACTATACAAATATCAACTAATTTAGTCTTCATGACAACCCTATGAAAGGAGGTAATATAATTATTTTCATTTTATTTATTTATTATTTATTTATTTATTTGATACAGAGTCTCTCTCTCCCTCTGTCACCCAGGCTGGAGTGCAGTGGTGTAATCATGGCTCTGCCACCTGGATCTCTTGGGGTCAAGCGATCGCTCCAACTTAGCCTCCTGAGTAGCTTAGGACTACAGGTGTGTGCTATGATGCCTGGCCTTTTTTTTTTTTAACTTTCTTTTTCTCTCTTTTTTTTTCTTTTTTTAGAAAAGGAGTCTCACAATGTTGCCCAGGCTGATCTCAAACTCCTGAGCTCAAGTGATCTTCTTGGCTTGCCCTCCCAAAAGATTACAAGCATGAGACAGTGCACCTGGCCATAATTTATTTTTTAAATTTTGTATAGAGACAAGGGTCTCGCTATGTTGCCAGGGCTGGTCTCGAACTCCTGGTCTCAAGCAATCCTCCTACCTTGGCCTTCCGAAGTGCTAGGATTACAAGCATGAGCCACCATGCCCAGCCTATTTTCATTTTAAAGATGAGAAAACTGAGGCACAGGGAAGCTAAATAACTTGCCTGGGTCTTTGTTGGGATGTTTACTTTTGGAAACTAGCCAGGATTTGCTCTCGTTCCAGATCCCAGGCGCTGAATCCTTTGCCAGTATTTCTTAAACGCTCCTCATTTACCTTCCATCTTTATCATTATGACCATAGTCACAGACCTTCTACCAGGGCATCCAATCTTTTGGCTTCCTGGGCCATACTGGAAGAAGAAGAATTGTCTTGGGCCACACTAACTAAACTAAACACTAACTAAAATACACTAATGATAGCTGATGAGCTTAAAAAACAAAAACAAAAACAAAAAACTGTCACCCAAGCTGGAATGCGGTGGTGTGATCTCAACTCACTGCAATCTCTGCCCCCTGGGTTCAAGTGATTCTCCTGCCTCAGCCTCCCGAGTAGCTGGGATTACAGGCGCCTGCCACTGCACTTGGCTATTTTTTGTATGTTTAGTAGAGACGGGGTTTCACCATCTTGGCCAGGCTGGTCTCGAACTCCTGACCTCGTGATCCGCCTGCCTTGGCCTCCCAAAGTGCTGGGATTACAGGCATGAGCTACCGTGCCTGGCCTAAAATCTCATAATATTTTAAGAAAATTTATGAATTTGTGTTGGGCCGCATTCAAAGCCATTGTGGGCCGTATGCAGCTCACAGGACACAGGTCGCAAGTTGTACAAGTTATTGTTTTTTTTGAGACAGAGTCTCGCTGTGTTGCCCAGGCTGGAGTGCAGTGGCTCAATATCAGCTCATTGCAACCTCCGCCTCCCAGGTTCAAGCGATTCTCCTGCCTCAGCCTCCTAAGTAGCTGGGATTACAGGCACCCACCATCACGCCCGGCTAATTTTTGTATTTTTAGTTGAGATGGGGTTTCACCATGTTGGCCAGGCTGATCTCGAACTCCTGACCTCAGGTGATCCACCCGTCATGGCCTCTCAAAGTACTGGGATTACAGGCATGAGCCACCGCACCTGGCCTGACATTAACTTTTTTTTTTTTTTTTACTTTATTAAAATATTGAGTTTTATTTCACAGGCATATTTTTGTCTTCCCACAATTTCCATGTCTGACCACCGCTACTACTATGTCCTATCATAACATTCCATACATATTTAAAACCAAGCAAAGGGTGAGTTCCATCTTTAAAAACTAAACAGGCATTTTGGACAACACATTCTTGGCAATGGAACCTGGACAACATTTATCAAACACGGTAGGGAAAGTTCTCACTCTGCATTATAAAAAGGACAGCCATGTGACTTTATAGCAGCATGCTGCTATAAAGTCACATGCACACGTATGTTTATTGTGGCACTATTCACAACAGCAAAGACTTGGAACCAACCCAAATGTCCAACAATGATAAACTGGATTAAGAAAATCTGGCACATATACACCACGGAATACTATGCAGCAATAAAAAATGATGAGTTCATGTCCTTTGTAGGGACATGGATGAAGCTGGAAACCATCATTCTCAGCAAACTATCGCAGGGACAAAAAACCAAGCACCGCATGTTCTCACTCATAGGTGGGAATTGAACAATGAGAACACATGGACGCAGGAAGGGGAACGTCACACACTGGGGACTGTGGTGGGGTGGGGGCAGGGGGGAGGGATAGCATTAGGAGATATACCTAATGCTAAATGACGAGGTAATGGGTGCAGCACACCAACATGGCACATGTATACATATGTAACAAACCTGCACGTTGTGCACATGTACCCTAAAACTTAAAGTATAATAGTAATAAAATTAAAAAAAACTTTAATGGAAAAAAAGATTTTATTCAAATTAAGTGAAATATTTTCTGTATAAAATAAATTTTGCAATTGCCAAACAAAAGTAAAAAAAAAAAAAAAGGACAGCCAGATATCAACTGTTACAGAAATGAAATATGATGGAAAATTTTTAACAAATTGTTGAAACTATTTTCTTAAGGAGACTTCCTCCACTGCCAGAGATCTTGAATAGCCTCTTGGTCAGTCATCCAGAAGCAATTCTTCACAAAATTGATGAACTCGGCTTCCACTTTGGGAAGAGAACCCCCTTTTTCTATACTTGCTTGCATTTTTGCTTTAATGTCTTCTACAGAACTAGATCCTTTTGGTGTTTTAGGAGTTTTTTCCTGTGTTTTGAAGGATTCTTGTCCTTTTGATCTTGGTGCTGATGATGGTTTTGAGTCTTTTCCATTCTGATTTGACTTGTGTGCATTTTTGGCTGGAGTATCTCATATAGATTTCTTCACTGGCACTTTTTCTTCAGCTTCCTCATCATCAAAATCATCATCATCATCATCATCATCATCATCATCATCTTCATCAACAGCAAGTTTTACTTTTTTCTGTGGAACCTTGCTACCACCTCCAGGGGCAGACCGCTTTCCAGATATACTTAAGAGTTTCACATCCTCCTCCTCTTCATCTTCTGACTCTGCATCTTCCTCCACAGCTACTAAGTGCTGTCCACTAATATGCACTGGCCCTGAACCACACTTAAATCTTAAGACCACTGGTGGTGTTATTTCAAAGCCCCCAAGGGAAACTGTTGGCTGTGCAGACATTTTCAAAGTTGCCAGTGTTACTTTAATTGGACTGCCTTTGTAATTCATTGCCTCTGCTTCAACAATGTGCAATTCATCCTTTGTACCAGCCCCTAAACTGACCGTTCTTAAAGATAACTGGTGCTCATTTTCATCATTATCCACCTTAAAGTGATCATCTTTGTCAGCCTTTAGTTCACAACCGAAAAGATAGTTCTGGGGCCTCAGGGGGCTCATGTCCATGTCCATCGAATCTTCTATTGGGTGGCGGCACACACTTAGGTGGGACAGAAGGCAGACGGAGATAAATGAACGCTGCTCAAGAGAACAGCCGCTCAGGATGGAATCATACCAGGAGACATTAACTATTAACATGTAAAATGTTTATCCATGTGACACCTAAAATTGCTGTGAGTAGTCCTGCCCCACTGTGTTGCCTTCCACTTCATGTCACTGATGCTTAGTTTCTTCGTCTTTATAGGGCTAAGCATACGTCCCTCACAGGACTGTTGTTTGAAACAAATGAGGAAAGAACTGAGGCATCGCTTTGTCGCTTATAAAGCATTAAATAGAAGGGAGGCACCATAGCTGTTAAGATGATACACTTCCTCAGCCCAAGAATGAGGATGTTGGTTTTTGACCTCGTAAGCCTCATTTTCTACCAGTCTCCTCTTGGCTAGCCTTACCAGGCTTCTTTTCTGTCTTAGGGTGGGCCCTGCCTTCTCTCACCGGAAGATTTTTGCTGAAGCATTCTCCCACACTGAAACACTCTTCCCTCTGTGGTAGATTGTGCTTTCCTAAAACGGCCATGGCAATATTTCTGCTATTCCAGAATCTTGCCGCTTCCTCATCAAGAGATGGAGTCTGTTTTTGTTTCCCCTCCCCTTGAAATGGAATGGGACTCTTATTGACCGCCTCAACAACTAGAATGCAGGAGACAGAATGCCGAGTGACTACTGAAGTTGGGTCATAAAAGGTGATACTACTTCTGCCTGAGTCTCTTTCTTGGGATGTTTGCCCTTGGAACCTAGTCCTGTGCTGAGGAAGCCCAAACTGGCCCACGTGGAGCGATCACTCAAAGAAGCCCACGTGCAGAGGAGCTGAGGCCCCTAGCCAACAGCGGACATCAACCACCACCTTTAGATGATTCCAGGTTTCTGCCTTTAAGTGCTCCAGATAGTCCCCAGACACTGGTGCAGAGATAAGCCACCTGTGGTGTCTTGCCTGAATTCCTGACCCAGGGAACTCGTGATTGTAATAAACGGCTGTTTTATGCCAATAAGCATTGGAGAAATTTGGTATGCACCCATTATAACTAGAACACTTCCTCTCTTTGCCTGGCTGAGTCCTAAGTATCCTGCAGCTCTCAGCTAAAATGCTTCTTCTTTAGGAAGGCCTTTCTTTTTTTTTTTTTTAGATGGAGTCTCACTCTGTCACCCAGGCTGGAGTGCAGGGGTGCGATCTTGGCTCACCACAACCTCTGCCTCCCGGGTTCAAGCAATTCTCCTGCCTCAGCCTCCCGAGTAGCTGGGATTACAGGCACCCGCCACCATGCCCCGTTAAATTTTTTTTTTTTTTTGTATTTTTAGTAGAGATGGGTTGCACCATTTGGCCAGGCTGGTTTCGAACTCCTGACCTCAAGTGATCCACCCATCTTCGCCTCCCAAAATGCTAGGATTACAGACATGAGCCACCGTGCCTGGCCAGGAAGGCCTTTCTTGAACAGGGCTAGGTTGGTTCCCTAGTCATAATCTCTCACAGTGTCCTCTACTTCCCTTTTGTAACACTTACCACATCTGTTGTGATGTTTTTCCCCACTATCTGCTTTGCCATACTCTGAGCCCCATGAAGGCCACGACCAGGTCTGCCTATAGAATCTCCAGCAGCTAGCCTGGTAGATACGTGTGCATGGGATGCTCTCAGTAAATACTTACGAAGTGAGTGGACGAATGCTTTGCCCCACAGTGCCTGGCACAAATGCTCGGATGCAGCAAGAGATGGACCCATCCTTGAGGGTTTGGGAATTATTTCTGAAAATATTCCTAGCCGGGAGTGGTGGCTCTCGCCTGTAATCCCAGCACTTTGGGAGGCCGAGGCGGGCAGATCACCTGCGGTCAGGAGTTCAAGACCAGCCTGGCCAACATGGTGAAACCCCGTCTCTACTAAAAATACGAAGATTAGCCGGGCATGGTGGCGCACGCCTGTAGTCCCAGCTGCTCCAGAGGCTGAGGCAGGAGAATTGTTTGAACCCAGGAGCCGGAGGTCGCAGTGAGCCGAGACCACACCACTACACTCCAGCCTGGGTGACAGAGGGAGACCCTGTCTCAAAAAAAAAAGTCTCAGAAAAAAAAAAGTCTCAAAAAAAAAAAAAAAAAAAACCCGCCAGGAGCAGTGGCTCATGCCTGTAATCCCAGCACTTTGGGAGGCCGAGGTGGGCGGATCACCTGAGGTCAGGAGTTCAAGACCAGCCTGACCAACATGCAGAAACCCCATCTCTACTAAAAATACAAAATATTAGCTGGGCGTGGCAGCATGTGCCTGTAATCCCAGCTACTTGGGAAGCTGAGGCAGGAGAATCTCTTGAACCCGGGAGGCGGAGGTTGCAGTGAGCCGAGATCGTGCCACGGCACTCCAGCCTGGGTGACAGAGCGAGATTCTGTCTCAAAAAGAGAAAGAAAAAAAAGAAAATATTCCTATGTAGGGTACCCCATTGCAGCCGAGGTAGTACTGAAACACTATGTAAATCCCTGGTTATTGCCATGAAAGATATCCAAGATATGTTGTTCAGTAATAAAAAGTAAGTTTCAAGAAAGATTTTAGGCTTCCACTGTCACCTGGAATGAAGAAAGTGGCAAAGAACATTGCTCCTCCCTTAACAATGAGGAAAAGGCAGATAATTTATGAAGTCCTAATTTTTCTTGAGCTCATCAGAGAGCTAAGGTTGCAAGGCAACCAAATCAATTGAATTTCAAAGAGATACAAGCCTCTCACAGATGTGATGGAACACACAAATTGCATCACCTTTGTCAGAGCATGGGGGAATGTGGTGGCTGCCATTCAAGTGAGTAAAAGAAAGTCAACTAAAGCTTAAAAAATGTTTTAAGCACCAAGTGTGCGCCAGCATATCAGTTTGGTACAGACTGGGGCCTAGACACAAGGGGAGTTGGCACTCACTCCAAATTCTTTTCCATGGGCCTCCAGTGGGTCCTCACAAGACTGGAGGCAGGGCAGGAGACCAGAGAGAGCCCCCTCAGTGGCACGGGTGTGCAGGTAGTAGGCTGCAGTTGAGGGATGAGCATGAAGTCCCACAAGCTGCTTTTAAAGGGGACAAAGTTGTCTGCGGGAGGGAAAGCAGACCCTCTCATGCCACAGCTCAGCAAAGATTTATTGCTTCTAGAAAGGAGTAGAAGCAAAACTCATTTGCCTTTGGTGTTGGGTGGGTAGGAAACACTCTCACTCCGTGACCCACTGCACCTGGGGGAAGGGTAGAAGCAAAAACCCTCTACTTTTTCAGGGGGGCTGGAAACCATCTGGGACCCAGGATCCTACAGCAATAATAAGCTGAGAACTGCTAACACTGCAGATAACCAGAAATACATGGAGGAGGGGCAGGAATGCTGAGAAGGCTCCAGCCTAAGTCCCGGATGTATTGAGTCTGCCTAAGACGAAGGCTGGGTCAGGACAACAGAGAAACCCATCCCACTTCCTGAGGAGCCCAGCACCAAGGAACAAGCAAAGGCAGTCTACCACAGTGGGAGACGCGGGAGCATGGGGAAGGAGCTCGGCTGGGGTGCAAGTGTGCAGGGGTGGCTGAAAGTTGACCAAGCAACAAACAAAAGCTGGGAAAAATCATTGTCAGCAGACCTACAATGAGAAAAGGTAAAGGAGATTCCTCATGCAGAAGGTATATGATACCAGGCAGAACTTGGATCTACACAAAGAAATGAAGAGTACTGAAAATGGTAAAAATACAAGGTAAAGATGAAAAACATTATTCTTTTATTTATTTATTTTGAGATGGAGTTTCACTCTTGTTGCCCAGGCCGGAGTGCAATGGCACGATCTCGGCTCACCGCAACCTCCGCCTCCCGAGTTCTAGCGATTCTCCTGCCTCAGCCTCCTGAGTAGCTGGGATTACAGGCATGCGCCACCACGCCCAGCTAATTTTTGTATTTTTAGTAGAGACGGGGTTTCACCACGTTGGTCAGGCTGATCTCAAACTCCCGACCTTAGATGATCCACCCGCCTTGGCCTCCCAAAGTGCTGGGGTTACAGGTGTGAGCCACCACGCCCAGCCCATTATTCTTATTTTTAATCTCTTTAAAAAATAATTGGCCAGGCGCAGTGGCTCACACCTGTAATCCCAGCACTTTGGAAAGCCAAGGTGGGAGGACTGCTTGAGCCCGGGAGTCCAAGACCAGCCTGGGTAATTTAGCGAGACCCCATCTTAAGAAAAAAAAAGAAAAAGATTAAGAAGAGTACCAAAGTTGGTAGGAAGGAACTGGAAGTATATTGTTGTGAGGTTCTTGCAATATATGGGAAATGGTTTAATATTATTTGAAAGTAGATTCTGGGCCAGGTGCGGTGGCTCATGTCTGTAATCCCAGCACTTTGAGAGGCCAAGGCGGGCAGATCACGAAGTCAGGAGTTGAGGCCAGCCTGACCAATATGGTGAAACCCTGTATCTACTAAAAATACAAAAATTAGCTGGGTGTAGTGGCACATGCCTGTAGTCCCAGCTATTCAGGAGGCTGAGGCAGAAGAATCGCTTGAATCCAGGAGGCGGAGGTTGCAGTGAGCCGAGATCACACCATTGCACTTCAGCCTTGGCAACAGAGCGAGACTCCGTCTCAAAAAAAAAAAAAAAAAAAAAAAAAAGAAAGTAGACTGTGGTAAGTTAAATATATGCATTATAAGTCCTAGGGTAACCACTGAAAATTTAAAAATAGGTATAACTTGTAAGCCAATACTGGAGATAAAGTGAAATAATTTTTTTTTGAGACAGAGTCTCGCTCTGTCGCCCAGGCTGGAAGGCAGTGGTGCAATCTTGGCTCACTGCAACCTCTGCCTCCCTGGTTCAAGTTTACGACCAGCCTGGGCAACATAGCAAGATCTCATCTCTACTTTTTTTTTGGTAGAGACAGAGTTTCCCCATGTTGTTGCCCAGGCTGATCTTGAACTTCTGAGCTCAAGTAATCTGCCTGCTACTCAGCTACTCAGGAGGCTGAGGCAGGAGAATCGCTTGAACCTGGGAGGTGGCGGTTGCAGTGAGCTGAGATTGCGCCAATGCACTCCAGCCTGAGTGACAGAGCAGGACTCCGTCTCAAAAAAAAAAAAAAAAAAAAGAGGGGGATTTTTCCTCTCAGAAGTCCCCCCTCTCTCACTAGAGAGAGAGCTGTTTTCCTTTCTCTTTCTTTCTCTTTCTCTTGCCTATTAAACCTCTGCTCCTAAACTCCTCATGTGTGTCCATATCCTAAATTTTCTTGGTGTGAGATGATGAACCCTGGGTACTTACCCAGACAACATAGTTGCTTCATATTGGGGACCTTGTCCAGGATACCAAGGTACATAATTCATTGAAACAGTGAGTAGGGGCCGTGGCCTTGCTCCCGCCGTGCGGGAAAAGAATCCAGGCCCTTCCATGCGCGTGTGGGCGCGGGGGCCCCGAAGTGCTCGTGGTTCCGCGCTAGGTCTCCGCTGGGGCAGGAACCGGAGCCATGGGTGGGACCACCAGCACCCGCCGGGTCACCTTCGAGGCGGACGAGAATGAGAACATTACCGTGGTGAAGGGCATCCGGCTTTCAGAAAATGTGATTGATCGAATGAAGGAATCCTCTCCATCTGGTTCGAAGTCTCAGCGGTATTCTGGTGCTTATGGTGCCTCAGTTTCTGATGAAGAATTGAAAAGAAGAGTAGCTGAGGAGCTGGCATTGGAGCAAGCCAAGAAAGAATCTGAAGATGAGAAACGACTAAAGCAGCCAAAGAGCTGGACCGAGAGAGGGTTGCTGCCAATGAGCAGTTAACCAGAGCCATCCTTCGGGAGAGGATATCTAGCGAGGAGGAACGCGCTAAGGCAAAGCACCTGGCTAGGCAGCTGGAAGAGAAAGACCGAGTGCTAAAGAAGCAGGATGCATTCTACAACGAACAGCTGGCTAGACTGGAGAAGAGGAACTCAGAGTTCTTCAGAGTCACCACTGAACAATATCAGAAAGCTGCTGAAGAGGTGGAAGCAAAGTTCAAGCGGTATGAGTCTCATCCAGTCTGTGCTGATCTGCAGGCCAAAATTCTTCAGTGTTACCGTGAGAACACCCACCAGACCTTCAAATGCTCCACTCTGGCCACCCAGAGTGGCCATGCTTGAGAAGGGAGGATAAAAACTTTCAGAATGAGCAAAACACCATCAACGTTAATTCCAGAGATGGAACATTGTTTTTCCTAGTGAGAAAACAACCCATTTGAAGAGAAGACCACTAATGAGAAGACCACTAAAGAGAGACACCAAGAATGGATTCAGCAGAATCATTTCACATTTTGAACAGCAGCAATTTGAAGGGCCAAAGCCTTGATCAGGGATCAGTCATTAAAGGACACTCTTCAGTATTAGCAAACCCTCTTATGATGATTAAAAGAGAAGGGCAGCCCTCTCCACATTTTGGTACTTTCTACTCAACTTCCACTGACCATAAAATGTTTCTCTTCTGAACAAGCCCCATCATTTGGTGAACCTCCACCCTAACAAAGTAGATGGGGTCGGGGGCTAAATTAATTGGAGTAGGGTGAGGAGAGAGCCACAAAACATAGATCTGGAGGCAGCAGTGCTGGGTGGAGAAAGCCAGAAAACAGATCTGGAGGCAGCAGTGCTGGATGGAATTGTCTAGGCTGTGGCATGTTGGTTTTGTCTCTCTTTCTTTTCTCCTTTGATTATATAAAAGCTATTTCATTGTAACTTATTATGGTGATTATACAGGCAAGAAGACAAAAAGGAGAGAAAATGTACCTCTTCTACTGGAATAATGTTTATGATTACAAGTGAGATAAGGTATTTTTATCAATATGAAGGCAACCTTGGCTGATATAACCTCTATAGTGAATACTCACATCTTTACTTCACTCACTATCAATAATAAATATATTTTCTGACAAAGACTGGCAAAAAAAAAAAAAAAAACAGTGAGTAGAGGAGCAGACTCCAACTCTGTCCTTTCATTTTGGGGCTCTCAGCCTCCAGTTTATTTTATTATATTTTATTTTATTTTACTTTGAGGCAGGATCTTCCTCTCTGACCCAGGCGGGAGTACAGTAGTATAATCTCGGCTCACAGCAACCTCCACCTCCCAGGTTCAAATGATTCTCCTGCCTCAGCCTCCCAAGTAGCTGGGATTACAGGCCTGCACCACCATGCTGAGCTAATTTTGTATTGTTAGTAGAGATGGGGTTTTGTCTTGTTGGCCAGGCTGGTCTTGAACTCCTGACATCAGGTGATCTGCCTGCCTCAGCCTACCAAAATGATGGGATACCAGGTGTCGGCCACACCGTGTCAGGCCTCCATTTTAGAACCAAATCAAATCACTAACAGGCATCCTTCAGCCATTTAAGAATGCGATTAGCATGGCGTGTTCTTAAAGACTTAGATGTGAGGCTTGCTGAGGAGAACACGGAGAATCCCCCAGTACCCACAGATTGCTGGGCATATTAGCCATGTTTGAACCAGCTTCCTTTCACAGAGGACTTAGCTGTCATGTGGGGCTGGAAGAGGTCCTGGAAGTAACTGAGGATTTCTGGCTGAGGCTACCCCCTGGTGTTATCCAAAGGCTTCTGGACTGACCCCAGCCTCCAACCACCCGATGGGGTGTCAGCAACAGGATCTCCAACTTTTCTGTCGTAATCTCCTCCTTTTCTGTCCATGACTGCCATGTCTCCTATCCTTTCTGTCTATGCAGACAGCACCTCCTCAAGCCTGCATATAAAATCCAGTGCATCCGCCACTGGCCAGCCTTTTCCTCTCAGAAGTCCCCTCTCTTTCACTAGAGAAGAGAGCTGTTTTCCTTTCTCTTTCTCTTACCTATTAAACTTCTGCTCCTAAACAAACAGACAAACAAAAACAAACAAACAAAAAAACCCAGGCACGGTGGCTCACACCTGTAATCCCAGCATTCTGGGAGGCGAGGCGGGCGAGCCATTTGAGGTCAGGAGTTCGAGACCAGCCTGGCCAACATGGTGAAACCCCATCTCTACTAAAAATACAAAAAAATTAGCTGAGCATGGTGGTGCATGCCTATAATCTCAGCCCTATTCGGGAGGCTGAGGCAGGAGAATCACTTGAGTCTAGGAGGCAGAGGTTGCAGTGAACCAAGATCATGCCACTGCACTCTAGCCTGGGTGACAGAGTGAGACTCCATCTCAAACAAAAAAAGAAAAATATAAAAATGAGGCCAGGCGCGGTGGCTCACGCCTGTAATCCCAGCACTTTGGGAAACCGAGGTGGGCACATCACCTGAGGTCAGGAGTTCGAGACCAGCGTGGCCAATATGGTGAAACCCCCGTCTCTATTAATAATACAAAAATTAGCTGGGCGTGGTGACATGCGCCCATAGTCCCAACTACTCGGGAGGCTGAGGCAGAAAAATCGCTTGAACCCAGGAGGCGGAGGTTGCAGTGAGCTGAGATCACGTCATTGTACTCCAGTCTGGGCAACAAGAGCAAAACTCCGTCTCAAAAAAAAGGAAAAAGAAAAAGAAAACCAGATCTAGACTAGTCCTACATTCTATGGTCAGGAAGACTGAGACCCAGAAATACATCAGTGACTTGAGTAAGATCACACCATGCAATGGGTGGGAATCTGTAGATGTGATTTGGTGAGCATTACAGGTTAAGTGCACCACACTTAGAAACAGACAGACCTGGGTCTCTGGTACTGGCTTAACCACAAAACTCTACAACTTGGATAACTTCTCTGGACCTCATATCTCTTCTGTAAAAGGAGGCGTTTACTTTGTATTTCTCTGCTGTAAAATCTCTTCTAATCCTTCACGTCCAGAGGTTCTAATTCGGTACTTTGTGTGCCCTCCTCTCACAGTGCCACCTTGTGGCTCACTATGAACCCTGCATCTTCTCTTCCTAAATTAAAATCTTTGTCATAGAGGATAGAAACCCTTGTAATAGCGGACCATTCCCTTACTGTGAGTGATCTGGCTAACAGATCCCACTCCGATCTACTTTCCATGTGTAAGATGTGGGCATCACTTCAGTGCTGACACAGCTAGAAGATGTCGCAGGGCTTTTCCTGACCACCTGTCACACTCTACATTCACAGAACCAGGACTTTGTGACAGTGCTTTGGGTGGAGCTGTATCTTAATTTTCATTTTAAAAGTCTCCTCCTGGCTGGGTGCGGTGGCTCACGCCTGTAATCCCAGCACTTCGGGAGGCCGAGGCGGGAGGATCACCTGAGGTCAGGAGTTCAAGACCAGCCTGGCCAACATGGTGAAACCCCGTCTCTACTAAAAATACAAAAATTAGCTGGGCGTGGTGGCAGGCACCTGTAATCCCAGCTACTTGGGAGGCTAAGGCAGGAAAATTGCTTGAACCTGGGAGGCGGAGGTTGCAGTGAGCTGAGATTGCACCACTGCATCCCAGCCTGGGCGACAAGAGTGAAACTCCGTCTCAAAAATAAAATAAAAGAAAATAAAAGTCTCCTCCTGCCCTGTGTCTGGTCTGTGGCATGACACTCACCTCCTTTGCCAGGCCCCAAGTTTGATTTATTTTTTCTCTTTCTCTGGACACAGCTCAGCTTATGACCAAGAGAGGAAACGGCAGGAGGAAGGCCATGAGCCTGTTAACATCAAGCTGGGGGAAGTGCCAGAAAGATTCCCAAGGTCCCTAACCTCAACAGCTCTGTGACCTTGGACAAGTTATTTAATTTTTCTTTCTTTCTTTCTTTCTTTCTTTTTTTTTTTTTTTTGAGATGGAGTCTCGCTCTGTCACCAGGCTGGAGTGCAGTGGCATGATCTCGGCTCACTGCAACCTCCACCTTCCGGGTTCAAGCAATTCTCCTGCCTCAGCCTCCCAAGTAGCTGGGACTACAGGCGCATGCCGCCACGCCCAGCTAATTTTTTGTATTTTATTAGAGACGGGGTTTCACCGTGTTGCCCACGCTGTTCTCCAACTCCTGAACTCAGGCAATCCGCCCGCCTCGGCCTCCCAAAGTGCTAGGATTACAAGCGTGAGCCACCACACCCGGCAAGTTATTTAATTTTTCTAAGCCTTAGGTTGCATCGTGGAGATAAAATTACTTGTCTCCCAGGTAGTTCTGAGAATTAGAAATACAGCTATGTGGGCCAGGTGTGGTGGCTCAAGCCTGTAATCCCAGAACTTTGGGAGGCTGAGGCAGGCGGATCACGAGGTCAGAAGTTCGAGACCAGCCTGGCTAATAGGGTGAAACCCCGTTTCTACTAAAAATACAAAAATTAGCCAGGCGTGGTGGTGTGTGCCTGTAGTCCCAGCTACTTGGGAGGCTGAGGCAGAAGAATCACTTGAACCTGGGAGGTGGAGGTTGCAGTGAGCCAAGATCACGCCACTGCACTCCAGCCTGGGTGACAGAGTGAGACTCCGTCTCAAAAAAAAAAAAAAGAAAAGAAAAAGAAAAAGAAATACAGCTATGCGTTACTTAACAACAAGGATACATTCTGAGAAATGCGTTATTAGGCGATTTCATCATGTAAACATCATAGAGTGTACTTACACAAACCTAGGTAGTATGGCCTCCTACACACCTAGGCTATATGGCACAGCCTATTGCTTCTAGGCTACAAACCTATACACCATGTTAGCGTACTGAACACCGTAGGCAATTGTAACATGATGGTAAGTATTTGTGTATCTAAACATACCCAATCATAAAAAAGGTACAATAAAAACATGGTGTTCCAATCTTATGGAACTACTGCTGTATATGTGGTCTGTAGTTGAGTAAAACATCATTATGCAGTACCTGACTGTAATATATGTAAAGTAATTAGTGCATAGTAGGTGATAAATAAATGGTAGTTGGTTATAATCACATACACCTTCTATTTACTCACCACTAATCTCTGAACTCTAGGGGATGCGGAAGAGCTAGAGAAGAGAACCTAGCTGGCTTCCACACTGGTTGCAGAGAGCAGGTCACTGGAGGCAGGATATAATGAAATGCAAATGGCAGGTCACAGCCTGTGAGTGCTGCAGGAGCACAGTGCCAGCAGAGAATAATCATTCTCACGTCTCCATAACACATCGCAGTGTTTACATTGTCCTTTAACATCTTTCTTTCTTTTTTTTTTTTTTTTTGAGATGGAGTTTCGCTCTTGTCGCCCAGGCTACAGTGCAATGGCACAGTCTCGGCTCACTGCAACCTCTGCCTCCCAGGTTCAAGCAATTCTCCTGCCTCAGCCTCCTGAGTAGCTGAAATTACAGGCATGTGCCACCACGCCCTACTAATTTTTGTGTTTTTAGTAGAGATAGGGTTTCGCCATGTTGGCCAGGCTGGTCTCGACCTCCTGACCGCAGATGATCCGTTCGCCTTGGCCTCCCAAAGTGATGGGATTCTAGGCATGAGCCACTGCGCCCGGCCAATTGTCCTTTAACATTTATAATTTTACTTATAACAACTGTGAGGTAGATATTAACGTTATCATCTCCATTTTACAATGACATGCCCAAGGTTGTATCACTAAGAAGTGGCAGAGGTGGCTTGAGCTTGGGGCATCCTCACTCAGAGGCTGCCTTCTTTTTACTCCCCAGAGAGTTTTCTAGATAACAAGTCTAGAAAGATAGGTCTTGAAGGGTGAGAGGCATCGGAGAAGCAGAGAAGGCTATTTAAGCAGTGACACTATCAAGAAACGGAAAAGGGTGGAAATTGGACCAGTGACCACCAGCAGTCCTCCAGGTAGGGAGAATGCCCTGATTCTATACCCTAAGATACACTAAGGACCTCTAGCCCAGCCTGGTTGGACAGAAGTCAGGGAGGCTTTCCTGGAGAAAGCAACATCCGAGCTGAGGCCTGAATGATGAGCAGGAGTTGGCCTGAGCTCCCAGGCAAAATAACTATCAGGAGCACATTTGGGGAACTGGAAATAGTTCAAAGAGGCAGGAGCAGAGTATGGCTAAGAATGAGGCTGTGGTCAGATGGGGCAGGGCTTTGTAACCCACATTAAGATCTTGGACTTTATCTCAGGCCACTAAGGACTCAATGCTTTGTTTACCGAGAAAATTTGAGCTTTACACCAATCACTGATTGCAATATGGAGACTGACTGGCAGGGGCCAAACTGGAGGCAGGAGGCTGGTGAGAAAGTTGGTGCAGTAACCCAGTGAAAATAGGAGGGTTGCCTGGTAGGGGGGGTGTAGCAAATATTGGGAGATATGAGCAGATTTAGGAGATAATTAAGAGGCAGAATGGAGGCCAGGCACGGTGGCTCATGCCTGTAACCCCAGCACTTTGGGAGGCAGAGGTGGGAGGACTACTTGAGCCTAGGAGTTCGAGACCAGCCTGGGCAACAGAGTGAGACCCTGTCCCAAAAACTTTTAAAAAGAGGCAGAGTGGACTGGAGTTGGTGATTAATTGAACACTGGAAGTAATGGGGAGTCGGGGAGCAGAGGTGGGAAGAAAGAAGGAGGAGGTGAGGGTATCTTCCAGTTCCTGGCTGGAGCAGCTGGTTGGGTGGCTGTATCAATCCCTGGGCTGGGGAAGATGAGGGAGAAGTCCCTGAAGAGAGGACAAAGGAGCAAGGCTTTGAGGGGTAAGACGAATTTAGCAGCTGATGGAAGCGGGAGTGTCAAATGCTCTTAGTGAAAGCAAGCTGAATTTTCCCTTTGTATTCATTCAACACATATTTGTGACTGGGGGTGGGAGCTCACACCTGTAATCCCAGCACTTTGGGAAGCTGAGGTGGGTGGATCACTTGAGGCCATGAGTTCAAGATCAGCCTGGCCAACATGGTGAAACCTCTGCCCCTACTTAAAATACAAAAATTAGTGAGGCATGGTGGCAAAAGCATGTAATCCCAGCTACTCAGGAGGCTAAAGCAGGAGAATCGCTTGAACCTGGGAGGTGGAGGTTGCAGTGAGCCGAGATCGTGCCACTGCACTGCAACCTGGGTAACAGAGCAATACTCTGTCTCAAAAACAAAAAACAAAAAACAAACAAACAAAAAAACCCACATATTTGTTAGGGGCCTACTATATGTCAGGCACCATCCCAGGCACTGAGAATACAGCAGTGAACAAAACAGACCAGGTCCTGTCCTCCTGGAGTTTACATTCTAGTGGGTGGAGACAGACAATAAGCAAAGAAATGTCTATAAATATGTCAAGGCGTGGTAGGTGCTATGAAGACAAATTAGACTGATTATGAGGCTACACATGGAGGTTGTCATTTGGATAGGGTGATCAGAGAAGGCTTCTCTGATTTTTAGGCAGAGACCTGAATGAAGTGAGGAGGGACACATGCAGATATGGCGACGCACCCTTCTGGGCAAAAAGAAGGGCATGGCTTTGAGGTCAGAGATTCTCTCCATGCTGTGACCACTCCAGTCACGGCAGGGGTCAGAAATAGGCACTGAATACCCTGAAAGGAATAAGGATTTTACTATAAAACCATTTCCTTCTCCCCTGAAAGATGAAATTCCCCCAGAGCACTTTTAAACCCATGCAGTCTTCTGAAGACTTGAATTGGTTTTGCTCTTTGCCAGCTCCATCACATACTAGTTGCGTAAACCTGGACACATCATTACCTTCTCCAAGCCTCAGTTTTCTCATTTATAAAATGGGTATACTAATACAAATTTGCCATAAGGAACAAATGAAGTTATACATACAGTGCCTGGCACAGAACAGATTGTTTAATAATGTTAGCCTTTTGTTAACAACCAGGATGGAGAAAACTGGCTTAATTGGGGTGTGAGAGTCTAATTAATTCTAGCCTTGAACTCTCATTGCTGCTATTGCTGGCAGGAAAAAACTACACAAATACATTTATTCCCCTTCAACTCCTTTTTCTATCCAACTTCCTTTTCCCAGCTTCTGACCTGGGCATATGTGTGGTTTCAAGAAGGCTCGTTGAAGAGAGAATTGACAATTCTCCTGGTGGCACAATATTCTGGTTTAGCCTTGAAGCCCCGTCTTCCCCATCTTCTGCTGCTGAGCCCCCTTCCTCCACCGATGTACTGGACTTATCTCACTGGGGGAGGAGAGAGTGAGCAGAGTGGGTGTGGTGGAAGAAATGACTCAACCTAGAACTTGTGGAATTTTGCATAAGGCTCCACCCTGCAACTCCCTGCCCAAGAGGTCTCTGTGCTGGGTCGGTGGAATGGTGCCAGCCCTTACCAGGTGTGGCATGTTGAGATTCTAAATGTTGAGCCTCACTGGTAGTCTCAGCTACTCAAGAGACCAAGGCAGAAGGATCACTGGAGCACAGGAGTTTGAAGTTGCAGTGAGGTGTGATTGCGCCACTGCACTCCAGCCTGGGCAACAGAGCGAGAATAAAAAATAAATGTTGAGGGTCAGGCGTGGTGGCTCACACCTGTAATCCCAGCACTTTGGGAGGCCGAGGCAGGTGGAGGCCAGGAGTTTGAGACCTGGCCAACACAGTGAAACCCCGTCTCTACTAGCTGGGTGTGGTGGTACGCACCTGTAATCCCAGCTACTCTGGAGGCTGAGGCATGAGAAACATTTGAATCTGGGAGGCGGGGATTACAGTGAGCCGAGATTGCGCCACTGCAGCTTGCGCGACAGAGACTGCTTCTCAAAACAAACAAACAAACAAAAAAATGTTGAGTCTTTAAAGACACCTGAACAAGGCTAGGGCAGGTGTGGGCAGTGGAGGTGATCATCTCTATGCTAGTGACTTAGAGTCGTGCCAGAGCTAGGCCTCTGGAGGCAAAGATGGAAGAGCACGTGGAAGGGAGGGGCAGTGGGTAGGGGGAGGGAAGGATCGAGGGAAGCTGGACTGTGTGACCTTGGCTGAATCACTATGTAATCAGGCCACACCCTTGCTCAATAGCCTTCAATGACTCCCCATGCCACAGGATAAAGTCCCAAAAACTTAACCCTGATCCAACCTACAATTTCATTTGGTTTACTACTCTACTCCACCCCTTCCCCATGCTTCCTGAAATGCAGCCTCAGAGGTCTCTGCTTGGTCTCTTTTCTTTTTTTTTTTCTTTTTCATTGTTTTCTTCTTTGTTATTCAACCAGAGCCAAGTCAGAATCTTTTTTTTATTATTGCCTTTCCCCCCAGGATTCCTAATATGATACCCACAATATATAATATCTGTGTTTAATAAACTTTTTATTTGGAATCATTTTAGATTTACAGAGAAGTTGCAGAGATAGTCAAGGGAGCTGGGTGCAGCGGCTCACCCCTGTAATCTCAAATCTCAGCACTCTGGGAGGCTGAGGTGGGAGGATCCCTTGAGGCCAGAAGTTTGAGACCAGCCTGGGTGACATAGAGAGACTCTGTCTCTCTCTTTTTTTTTTTTTTTTTGAGACAGAGTCTTGCTCTGTCACTCAGGCTGCAGTGCGGTGCTGCGGTCTCGGCTCACTGCCACCTCCACCTCCTGAGTTCAAGCGATTCTCCTGCCTCAGCCTCCTGAGTAGCTGGGATTAACAGCCCGGCTGATTCTGTCTTAAAAAAAAAAAAAAAAAGGCCAGGTGTGGTGGCTCACGCCTGTAATCCCAGCACTTTGGGAGGCCGAGGCGGGCAGATCACGAGGTCAGGACATTGAGACCATCCTGGCTAACATGGTGAAACCCTGTCTCTATTAAAAAATACAAAAAAATTAGCCGGGCGTGGTGTCGGGTGCTGTAGTCCCAGCTACTCGGGAGGCTGAGGCAGGAAAATGGCCTGAACCCGGGAGGCGGAGCTTGCAGTGAGCCGAGATGGCACCACTGCACTCCAGCCTGGGCAACAGAGCAAGACTCCATCTCACAAAAAAAAAAAAAAAAAAATCAGGAGCCGGGTGCAGTGGCTCATGCCTGTAATCCAGCACTTTGCAGAAAAAGCCTAAAGAAGAAACAAAGTCAGCATTATTTTACCATCTAGTGGAAAACTTCCTATCAGAGTGGTCTGAGGATGGAATAGGATCCCTGTAAGTCTGTGCTTCATTCACCAGCCCAATGTGGCTAATGAGCACATGAAATGGTCTACATGGTGATGATTTTTAAAATTTATTATTTATTATGATGATGACTATTTTTGAGACAGGTTCTTGCTCTGTCACCCAGGCTGGAGTGCAGTGGCTCGATCATGGCTCACTGCAGCCTTGACCTCCTGAGCTCAAGCAGTCCTCCCACCTCAGCCTCCTTAGTAGCTGGGATTATAGGCATGTGCCACCATGCCCAACTAATTTTTGTATTTTTTGTAGAGACAGAGTCTTGCCATCTTGCCCAGGCTGGTCTCGAACTCCCAGACTCATACAGTTGTCCCACTTTGACCTCCCAAAGTACTAGGATTACAGGCGTGAGCCACCACACTCAGCAAGACAGTTTAATACCAAAAAAATCTCCATAACAATTTTTTATAATCATATCATGTTGAAAGATAATATTTCAGATTTGCTGAGTTAAATAAAACATATTATTAAAATTAATTTCACCTCTTTCTTTTTTACTTTTTTGGTAGTTACCAGAATGTGTTCAATTATATACATGGCTTGTGTTAGATATATTTGAGCACTGAGTAGATTTGGGTGTAGGGTGGTGGGTGGTGGTAGCGGAGTTTGGATTAGGTGATTTTCTTTTAATTACTAAAAAGTATGTTTTGTTGGCCAGGCGCGGTGGCTCACACCTCTAATCCCAGCACTTTGGGAGGCTGACATGGGCAGATCACGAGGTCAGGAGCTCAAGACCATCCTGGCTAACACAGTGAAACCCCATCTCTACTAAAAATAAAAAAAAATAGCTGGGCGTGGTGGTGAGCGCCTGTAGTCCCAGCTACTTGAGAGGCTGAGGCAGGAGAATGGCATGAATCCGGGATGCAGAGCTTGCAGTGAGCCGAGATGGCACCATGCACTCCAGCCTGGGTGACAGAGCGAGACTCCATCTCAAAAAAAAAAAAGTATGTTTTGTTTTGTGGGTTTTTTTTTTTTTTTTTTCGAGATGGAGTCTCGCTCTGTTGCCCAGGCTGGAGTGCAGTGGTGCATCTCGGCTCACTGCAACCTCTGCCTCCTAGGTTCAAGCGATTCTCCTGCTTTAGCCTCCCTAGTAGCTGGGACTACAGCTGCGCGCCACCACGCCCAGCTAATTTTTGTATTTTTAGTAGAGATGAGATTTCACTATGTTGGCCAGGCTGGTCTAGAACTCCTGACCTCGGGATCAGCTCTCCTCCGCCTTCCAAAATGCTGGGATTACAGCTGTGAACCACCACACCCAGCCCATTATATCATTCTTATACCTTTGCATCCTTATGTAACTGGTGGAAGGTGTCCAGGTTCTTGGCGTCTTGAACAAAGAATTGGACCAAACACACAAACAAAGCAAGGAAAGAATGAAGCAACAAAAGCAGAGATTTGCTGGGCGTGGTGGCTCATGCCTGTAATCCCAGCACTTTGGGAGACCAAGGCAGGTGGATCATGAGGTCAGGAGATAGAGACCAGCCTGGCCAGCATGGTGAAACCCTGTCTCTACTAAAAATACAAAAATTAGCTGGACATGGTGGTGCACGCTTGTAATCCCAGCTACTCAGGAGGCTGAGGCAGGAGAATCACTTGAACCCAGGAGTCAGAGGTTGCAGTGAGCCAAGATCAAGCCATTGCACTCCAGCCTGGCGACAGAGCGAGACTCCCTCTGAAAAGAGGAAAAGAAAAGAAAAAAAAGAAAAGAAAAAAGAGCCCAGGCGGGTGGATTGCCTGAGCTCGGGAGCTCGAGACCAGCCTGACCAACATGGTGAAACCCTGTCTCTAGTAAAAATACAAAAAATTAGCTGGGTGTGGTGGCAGGCGCCTGTAGTCCCAGCTACTTGGGAGGCTGAGGCAGGAGAATCACTTGAACTCGGGAGGCGGAGGTTGCAGTGAGCCGATATCGTGCCGCTGCACTCCAGCATGGGTGACAGAGTGAGACTCCATCCCAAAAAAAAAAAAAAAAAAAGGAAAAAGAAAAAAAAAGCAAAGATTTATTGAAAATGAAAGTACATTCCACAGGGTGGGAGCGGGCCTGGGCATAGGAGCTCAAGAGCCCTGTTACGGAATTTTCTGGGACTTAAATACCCTCTAGAGGTTTCCATTGGTTACTTGGTGTACCCCCTATGTAAATGAAGAGGATGAAGTAAAGTTACAAAGTTATTGGCCAGGCACAGTGGCTCACGCCTGTAATCCTGTGGGAGGCTGAGGAGGGTGGACCGCTTGAGCTCAGGAGTTCAAGACCAGCCTGGCTAACATGGTGAAACCCCATCTCTACTAAAAATACAAAAATTAAGAGTGGGCGTGGTGGCTCACACCTGTAATCCCAGCACTTTGGGAGGCCAAAGCAGGCAGATCACCTGAGGTCGGGAGTTCAAGACCAGCCTGACCAACATGGAGAAACCTGCTCTCTACTAAAAAATACAAAAACTAGCTGGGCGTGGTGGTGCATGCCTGTAATCCCAGCTACTCAGGTGGCTGAGGCAGGAGAATCGCTTGAACCCTGGAGGCAGAGGTTGCAGTGAGCCGAGATCGCTCCATTGCACTCCAGCCTGGGCAACAAGAGTGAAACTCCATCTCAAAAAAAAAAAAAGAAAGAAAAAGAAAAAGCTGGGTGCAGTGGCTCACATCTGTAATCCCAGCACTTTGGGAGGCCGAGGCGGGAGGATCACGAGGTCAGGAGTTTGAGCAGCCTGACCAACATGGTGAAACCCCTGTCTCTACTAAAAATACAAAAATTAGCCAGGCGTGGTGGTGGGTGCCTGTAATCCCAGCTACTTGGCAGGCTGAGGCAGGAGAATCGCTTGAACCCGGAAGGTGGTGGTTGCAGTGAGCTGAAATTGTGCCATTACACTCCAGCCTGGGCAACAAGAGCAAAACTCTGTCTCAAAAAAAAAAAAAAAAAAATTAGCCAGGCATGGTGGCACATGCTGTAATCCCTGCTACTTGGGAGGCTAAGGCAGGAGAATCACTTGAACCAAGGAGGCGGAGGTTGCAGTAAGCCGAGACTGTGCCACTGCACTCCAGCCTGGGCAACAAAGTGAGACTCCATCTCAAAAAAAAAAAGAAAGAAAGAAAGAAAAAAAGCCATTTATTCTGTGTACACCCCATGTAAATCAAGAGGATATTTCCTGTCATAGCTGAAGTGTTTCCATTTGATTTAGTTCTAGGAAGTCCTTAAGTTCCCTGCCTCCAGGCCCTATTCTCCTGCCTCATTTCCCCCTTGAAAGACGTGATTCCCATAAATCTTTATAGGAGGCAGAGGGACTGATGGTGTTTTTTCTGTAACTGCTTTATGCTGGCTTGCGGCATAGTTCCCTCCTATTGGGGACCACAGAACTCTCACCCTGCTCTGTCTAGTGGAGGCAGGGTAGCTCTTTGAAGGCCAGGGGTGGTGTCTTCACCTGGAACTGGCTGGAACAGTTGTCACATGATCATCTGAAGCTTGATGGTCTCTAGGTGAGAGGAAATGAATTTGGTTAAAAGAGTTAATGGTAACTTCATGGGGTGGATAGCTATGCTGTCAGGAATATTTGTTATAGAGATCTGCAGGAGAAAAACAAAACCTGGTCTGTTGTCTGTTCTAGGATCTACGTGTTACCTTAAAGTCTTAGCAAGAGCAACTCCATTTTGGTCTGGTTTGGTCTGTTGGGGCCTAGTGCATGAGCTCAATCCAAAACAATGGCCTCTCATAATTTTGTTTTTGAAAATTCCCCCTTTTTGGTCAGGTTCTCACTTAGGTGAGAGTGACCAAAACTTAGGGCCTTAGTGCTACTGTCAGTTACCATCATTTTGAGTTTCTGGTCTCAGCACGTCATTCATAGGTTACAGTATCCTCATGGTCACAGATTTCTTTTTTTTTTTTTTTTGGAGACGGAGTCTCGCTCTGTCGCCCAGGCCGGACTGCGGACTGCAGTGGCGCAATCTCGGCTTACTGCAAGCTCCGCTTCCCGGGTTCACGCCATTCTCCTGCCTCAGCCTCCCGAGTAGCTGGGACTACAGGCGCCCGCCACCGCGCCCGGCTAATTTTTTGTATTTTTAGTAGAGACGGGGTTTCACCTTGTTAGCCAGGATGGTCTCGATCTCCTGACCTCATGATCCACCCACCTCGGCCTCCCAAAGTGCTGGGACTACAGGCGTGAGCCACCGCGCCCGGCCGGTCACAGATTTCTTTCAGCTCTTGTCATTCCAGTTGAAGACAGATCATTTGACATTGTAGAGATAGCTGCATGCAAACATTTCAAACCTTTGAGAGAATACAGCACACCAAGGGTTTGGAGTATCCTCCTTACCCAGGGTCCCCATAAACCAAAACTCCTAAAATCAAATAGATCAAAGAATGAGCTGAAGAGTCTACTCACCTAACTAAGAAATCTCTTCGCTAATCCTCTACCACTGAATCTCTATAATCTTCATTTGATGTATTTTTCCATAGGCCACAAGTGCCAGCAGCTGTACAGATATTTCTTTGTTAGCCAATTTTAACTTTCACAAGAGAAT
Source organism: Homo sapiens (assembly GCF_000001405.40). NCBI lineage: Eukaryota > Metazoa > Chordata > Mammalia > Primates > Hominidae > Homo > Homo sapiens. The sequence continues at coordinate 27,186,541 of NC_000001.11, read as the reverse complement.
TTAAAGTCTATCGTGTGGCCGGGCGCGGTGGCTCACACCTGTAATCCCAGCACTTTGGGAGGCCAAGGTAGGCAGATCACTTGAGGTCAGGAGTTTGAGACCAGCCTGGCCAACATGGCAAAACCCTGTCTCTACTAAAAATACAAAAATTAGCCGGGGATGGTGTTAGGCCCCTGTAACCCCAGCTACTTAGGAGGCTGAGGCAGGAGAATCGCTTGAACCCAGGAAGCGAAGGTTATGGTGAGCCGAGATTGTGCCACTGCACTCCAGCCTTGGTGACAGAGTAATACTCTGTTTCAAAAATAAAATAAAATAAATAAAGTCTATCATGTAACTATAGCCTTTGCAGTAGAATCTGCTATAGAGCCTATCATGAGGGATATATGTCTAATCATTGCATTTCCAAACCATGGAAAAAGGACCTATCAAATGATGCCCTTTCAGAAGAGTGAAGACCTCCTGACAAAGTTCTCTTTAGCCCACTATGTGGGTGAAGAGGAGTGAACTAATTTTCTGTTTCTGACTGATTATGAGGCAATGTATGTATCATTAAAGTTTCTCACCTACATTGGGCCTTCATCTTTTATCTGTCAAAGTATAAGCTTATCCATTTATAAGACTGGCTGCAAAACCCTTCATAAATAAAAGTATGCAGCACAAGTGCACACACCAGACCCCTTTTCCATTTCTATTGTTCACAGAGGCATAAGCAAGGAAAAAATATTCAATGAGTCTCATGATAGTAGAGAAGTCTTGAGTCTCATGATGGTAGAGAAGTCTTTTTTATTAATTTATTTTTTGAGACGGAGTCTTGCCCTTTTGCCCAGGCTGGAGTGCAATGGCATCATCTCGGCTCACTGCAACCTCTGCCTCCTGGGTTGAAGTGATTCTTCTGCTCAGCTTCCCAAGTAGCTGGGATTACAGGCATGCACCACCACACTCGGCTAATTTTTTTGTATTTTTAGTAGAGATAGGGTTTCACCATGTTGGCCAGGCTGGTCTCGAACTCCTGACCTCGTGATCCTCCTGCCTTGGCCTCCCAAAGTGCTGGGATTACAGGCATGAGCCACCACTCCCGGCTGGTAGAGAAGTCTTGATCCATGATCTTGGGAAAAGCGGTTCACATCAAGAATGTCATCTTCTTCTGGGGAGAAACTTCCCTGGTTAGCGTTATCTTAAGGGTTCCAATGGGTGTACAGTTCCGAGAATGTGGAAGGACCCTTCTGAGTTGTGAGATTATGAATCCAAAGTTCAAGGTCCCAAAGTTTTGCTGTAGTGTGGATGGCAGAGTCTTTCTCTGATGTTCTTAGAAGATCCAGTCTTTGTGTTCTAGATTGTGAAGGGGTTGATTGTCCTGTCAGTGAACTATAAAAAGCTTTCTTTACCTGGTGAAAATACACTGTAGCATAATAATTTACTGTTATAACATCAGCCTTCTTGCATGGGAAAGCTATTATATAACCAGAAAACAGGCATTGAAGATGACAATTGAAATGTTTAAATGGCCCATCAGGTAACCAAATGTACCTGAAGCTTTGGGGCCAGGTGCAGTGGCTCACGCCTGTAATCCTAACACTTTGGGAGGCCAAGTCGGGTGACCTGAAGCTTTGATTGTCTTCCCAAGAATATGAATTTGACAAACCAAACATTGGCTATAAACTGCGTTAGCAATGTATAAGTCAGCACACCAATATATATTTAATTTGGATCATTTTATCTTTTCCATGATGAGTCATGGAATGCATAATCTTTACTAACAAAAGCTTTAAGGACTCAAGAAGGACAGGTGGCTGTCCTGGTTCTCCATGAGTCCATGCTTAACATTGGACTTATGTCCTTTTGAATATCAGTTGTTTCTCCAATTTAGGTGCATAGCACTGATAACTAATGGGTTATCACAGGTAATTTGACTTAGACCATGGAGTTTATTCAAATTGTATATCTAAACAATTTCAGTATCAGCTGATTTAGCATGCAAATCTGGGAATGTATTTTCTTGGTATTCAATTAATTTTTGTTCTACTTGGGTTAGCAGTTTTATACAAGGAAATTTGCTTATTTCTGTGGTCTACAGTAACTCAACATAATAAACATAATTATGGTTGATAGCATATACTCAGACATTTAGAATTTTAGAAATCCCATACAATTTTCTAACATACATTAATATTTACCAAAATATAATGTGAAGACGATTAAACATTTTTTTATTTTGACAGTGCTTCCCAGGTAACTAAACATATCAAATAATCCTGTTTACCTCTCTTTTGAACGCTTCAGGAGCCCTCTATAGTATCTCAAAGTTAGAGGTCAGAAAAGAACATTTTGTAATCCCAGCACTTTGGAAAGTCAAGATGGGCAAATCACCTGAGGTTAGGAGTTCAAGACCAGCCTGGCCAACATGGTGAAACCCTGTCTCTACTAAAAATACAAAAAATTAGCTTGGCATGGTGGTGTGCACCTGTAGTCCCAGCTACTCGGGAGGCTGAGGCAGAAGAATCATTGGAAGACCGATGTTGCAGTGAGCCGAGATAGCATCACTGCACTCCAGTCTGGGCAACAGAGTAAGACTCCCTCTTAAAGAAAAAAAAGAAAAAGAAAAGAAAAGACAATTTTGAAGCTGAAATTTGATTTTGGGAGCCTACTAAATAAGTTAAAGGTGAGTTAATGAAGTTAAATAAGTTAAAGACTCCATCTCACAAAAAAAGGTTAGAAAGATTTGTCTATAAGGTTTTATTAAAAATTGGGTTTGGGGTTGACATTAATAGTACAGTAATGCAAGGGTGAAATTTGGCTTTCTCTCTTGAACAAGATTTCCATGTAATTTTAAATGATAAAGAAAGATTTTTGTTTGCCTTTTGAATAAACTACTGGTAAATGACAATGAAAGATTTTTGTTTGCCTTTTGAATAAACTACTGGAAAAAAAAAAGGGAAAGACAAGAGACAGATTGTTTAGAAAGCTAAGTCTTCCCTCTATCAATGAGTAAAGGTTTTTGCCTTTCAAAAGTTTTTTAGTCATCATTTTGGCTAAATGAATGACTTACGGTAACCTGGAATTCTATTTCATAATATTAAGTGTTTTAAACCTTTAACTTATTATTATTATTACTATTTTGAGATGGAGTTATCGCTCTGTTACCCAGGCTGGAGTGCAGTGGCATGATCTTGGCTCACTGCAAGCTCTGCCTTCTGAGTTCACACCATTCTCCTGTCTCAGCCTCCCGAGTAGCTGGGACTACAGGCGCCCACCACCACGCCTGGCTAATTTTTTGTATTTTTGGTAGAGATGAGGTTTCACCATGTTGGCCAGGCTAGTCTCAAACTCTTTTTTTTTTTTTTGGAGACCTAGTCTCTCTCTGTTGCCAGGATGGAGCACAGTGGCGTGATCTCAGCTCATTGCAACCTCTGCCTCCCAGGTTCAAGTGATTCTCCTGCCTCAGCATCCTGAGTAGCTGGGACTACAGGTACATGCCACCATGCCCAGCTAATTTTTGTATTTTTAGTAGAGATGAGGTTTTACCCTGTTGGCCAGTGTGGTCTCGAACTCTAGACCTCAGGTGATCCACCTGCCTCAGCCTCCCAAAGTGCTAGGATTACAAGCATGAGACATCGCACTCGGCCTAGAATTTTTTACAAAATTAATTTTTTTACAAACCTTTCACAACTTGTTCAAACCTTTAGCTTTATCCTAACTTAAAACAATCCTTTAACTCTTTAGGCAAAAAAATCCATATTACCACGCTGGCTTATAATCTTTTACAAAAAGACATTTCACTTTTCTTACATACCTTGCATGTAAAACCGTTTCTTCAGTAGTCTCAATTATAGGTTACAATGTTAACTCTTAGTGACTTTTGCTTTTGGTGAAAACCTTGGTAAGTTAGGGATTTTAATTATGTATTAGGTGTGGAGCCTAGGACCCAGACAGAAGTGCAGATGAGGTCTGACTCTTTCCAGCATCTAACGCCACGTGTCCCAGGCCTTAGCTACCTGTAAGGCAGGCAAGTTGTACAGTTAAAGAGTCATGGTGGCATCTTATGAAGTAGTTACGAGGCCTAATCATTTTTAAATTATTCAACATTTCTTGCATAAATTCTCTTTCATAAATTCTTTCACAGCCGGGCGCAGTGGCTCACACCTGTAATCCCAGCACTTTGGGAGGCCGAGGCAGGCAGATCACCTGAGGTCAGGAGTTCAAGACCAGCCTGGCCAACATGGTGAAACCCTGTCTGTACTAAAACTACAAAAATTAGCCAGGCATGGTGGTGGGTACTTGTAATCCCAGCTACTTGGGAGGCTGAGGCAGGAGAATCACTTGAACCCAGGAGGTAGAGATTACAGTGAGCTGAGATCACGCCATTGCACTCCAGCCTGGGCCACAAGAGTGAAACTCCATCTCAATAAATAAATAAATAAATAAATAAATAAATAAATAAATAAATCAATCCTTTCATGACTTACACAGACCATGTATGACATGCTTGGACTTTCTGACTTGTCCTAAACATCCCTTTTTTTCTTTTTCTGTCTTTTCTGAGATGGAGTCTTGCTCTGTCACCCAGGCTGGAGTGCAATGGCATGATCTCGGCTCACTGCAACCTCTGCCTCCCAGGTTCAAGCAATTCTCCTGCCTCAGCCTCCTGAATAGCTGGGATTACAGGCGTGTTCCACCCACACCCGGCTATTTTTTTTTTTTTTTGTATTTTTAGTAGAGATGGGGTTTCACCATGTTGGTCAGGCTGATCTTGAACTCCTGACCTCATGATCTACCCGCCTTGGCCTCCCAAAGTGCTGGGATTACAGGCGTGAGCCATGTGCTTGGCCGACATCCCTCTTTTTAAACAACCAGTTATTTTACTTTAGGACAAGAATTTACCATAAAAGATCCTTTCTTATATAAAAACTCTTTTCTTTATAACCTTCTTTGCATAGCTAGGGGGCATGGCTAATTTCACATGTCCCCAGGCCTTATATAGAATCTAATGTTCTGGCCAGGCATGGTGGCTCACACCTGCCTGTAATCCCAGCACTTTGGGAGGCCAAGGTGGGCGAATCACCTGAGGTTGGGAGTTCGAGATCAGCCTGACCAACATGGAGAAACGCCGTCTCTACTAAAAATACAAAAAAATTAGCCAGGCGTGGTGGCACATGCCTGTAATCCCAGCTACTCGGGAGGCTGAGGTATGAGAATCGCTTGAACCTGGGAGGCAGAGGTTGTGGTGAGCCAAGATCATGCCACTGCACTCCAGCCTAGGCAACAGAGGGAGACTCTGTCTCAAAAATAAAATAAAATAAAATAAAAGAATCTAATGTTCCAAAATAAATTAAACCATCTTTGAAAATCAAAGAATCAGTTTATGACCTTAAAGCATTTAGCAAACCTAATATCTGACCTGCATAATTTAGACCAAATGTTCACATATTTGAAGATATTTTTATTTTACCAATAATCTTTAAACTCTCTTTGGCCAGACTCTGTGGCTTATGCCTGTAATCCCAGCACTTTGGGAGGCCAAGGCGGGTGTATCACCTGAGGTCAGGAGTTTCAGGCCGACCTGGCCAACATGGTGAAACCCAGTCTCTACTAAAAAAAAAAAAAAAAAAAAAAAAATTAGCCAGGCATGGTGGCACACACCTGTAATCCCAGCTACTTGGGAGGCTGAGGCAGGAAAATTGCTTGAACCTGGGAAGCAGAGGTTGCAGATTGTGCCACTACACTCTAGCCGGGGAGACAGAGCAAGACTCCATCTCACAAAACAAACAAACAAATAAACAAAAAACTTTCTTTATTTCCCAAAGATTACTTAAGTCACATAAACTAAATAAAAGGCATTACACCTTTTACTTTTCTGACCAAATATTTTATTTAAGCTCTTATTAAACTAATTAATTAAATCTCTTTCATAGTATATATAGAAGACGTATAAATACACGGACAGACAGAAAATAAAGGACTCATTCCCTAAGTCAGGAATTGAACCCTAAACCCAGGCTGCTATTGTGAAAAGAGAAAGCATGGCCACGTGGTTACAAGGTCAAGCTCTCAAGGACATGACTGACCAGTTTGCTGGGCCATCTTGAAGAGCAAACCTATGGGGTCCTAGGCAAGCATTTTATCCTAAGGTACCCCTCTTTATGACAGAACAATACAGAAAAACACACAAAGCACATCAGATTCACTACAGCTTAAGAACAGCCTCAGAATTCTTTTTTGTAATAATCAAAACTTTACAGAGGCAATAAACAGTGACTTTTACCCTTCATTAAACCAGTTTGCACAGAGAGAGAGAGGCCAGAGTAACATAAGAAATTCTTACCCTTTTGCCGGCATGTCAGGTTTCTGGGTTCTCTCTGAGCAGCCCTAGCAACCCTGCTCGACTGTATGCAAACAAATGCATTGCCATGAATTACGAATATTCACAAATAGTTTAGAAATTTTGGAGAAACTAGGCAGAGAGAGAAATATGACTCAAATTCTATCTATGAAAGTATACTTAGCACACTTAAAGTATCAGGAAGCCTAAACTCCAAAAAGTTAGTTTAAGGTTAAAAAATTGGTGTGCTCCATTAATTCCTGCAGGCCTGGTAAAGGTAGCCTAGGAATTCCAGATAAATGGAACAAATGATGACGTGCTAGAAATGCATAGGAAACAAAATAACTATTGATAGAACCAAATAAAAGCCTTCCACTATAAACTTAAAAAAAATAATGGTTTTATATACATGCATACACAAGCAAAGCCTAGAGGACAATAAACAGCAAATGAATGACAATTAGAAGCAAATAAACAACCAACTCTTAATTTTCCTACTCAATCTACCCTGGAGGCTACAGTGTTACCCATGATGAATATTTTATTCCTGATACACAATTGAATATCCTTAAGTCCACTAATATCACCATAAGTCTTGTGCAATCAAGAAATTCACTCTAGGAGCATGACAAATGAGTACTCCAGTGCCAGTACTATCCAGGCAAAACAGTAAACATAGCTGGAAGCAATGCAAGCATGTATGTGAAATTTGGCTCCATACCAAATCTGGCTTCATGCTTAACTACATTTAAAAAAGAATGGCCAAACTGCCAATGTGTTTCTTTACAATACTTCTTTTTTTTTTTTGAGATGGAGTCTCACTCTGTTGCCCAGGCTGGAGTAGAGTGGTGCTATCTCAGCTCACTGCAACCCCTGCCTCCTGGGTTCAAGCAATTCTCCTGCCTAAGCCTCCCAAGTAGCTGGGACTATGGGCGCCTGCCACCAAACCTGGCTAATTTTTGTATTTTTATTAGAGACAGGGTTTCAGCATATTGGCCAGGCTGGTCTCGAACTTGTAACCTTGTGATCCACCTGCCTCAGCCTCCCAAAGTGCTGGGATGACAGACGTGAACCACCGCACCCAGCCTACAATACTCCTTATTTTACTTTAATCAAGACTAAGAGCTTTAACTATGAAAATGTTAATTAGCCAAATGTCTTCAATTCTCTATCAGGCTTGTTTGTTTGTTTGAGATGGAGTCTCCCTCTGTCACCCAGGCTGGAGTGCAGTGGTGCCATCTTGGCTCACTGCAACCTCTGCCTCCTGGGTTCAAGTGATTCTCCTGCCTCAGCCTCCCGAGTAGCTGGGATTACAGCTGTACACCACCACGCCCAGCTAATTTTTGTATTTTTAGTAGAGATGAGGTTTCACTATGTTGGCCAGGCTGGTCTCAAACTCCTGACCTCGTGATCAGCTCTCCTCCGCCTCCCAAAGTGCTGGGATTACAGGTGTGAGCCACCACACCTCACCCATTATATCATTCTTATGCCTTTGCATCCTCATGTAACCGGTGGAGGGTGTCCAGGTTCTTGGCATCTTGAACAAAGAATTGGACAAAACACACAAACAAAGCAAGGAAAGAATGAAGCAACAAAATGAGAGACTTATTGAAAATGAAAGTACACTCCACAGGGTGGGAGCGGGGCCGGACACAGGGGCTCAAGAGCCCTGTTACATAATTTTCTGGGGTTTAAATACCCTCTAGAGGTTTCCATTGGTTATTTGGTGTAGTCCCTATGTAAATGAAGAGGATGAAATAAAGTTACAAAGTTATTTACTTGATGTACACCCTATGTAAATGAAGAGGATATTTCCTGTCATAGCTGAAGTGTTTCCATTTGATTTAGTTCTAGGAAGTCCTTAGGTTCCCTGCCCCCAGACCCTATTATCCTGCCTCACTCATAACTTAGCTTCAGGATTGGGTGATCTTTACGATAAATTTTTTTTTTTTTTTTTTTTTTTTTGAGATGGAGTTTTGCTCTTGTTGCCCAGGCTGGAATGCAATGGCATGATCTCAGCTCATCGCAACCTACACCTCCCAGGTTCAAGCGATTCTCCTGCCTCAGCCTCCCGAGTAGCTGGGATTACAAGCATGCGCCACCATGCCCACCTAATTTTGTATTTTTAGTAGAGACGGGTTTCTCTGTGTTGGTCAGGCTGGTCTTGAACTCCTGACCTCAGGTGATTCGTTTGCCTTGGCCTCCCAAAGTGCTGGGATTACAGGCGTGAGCCACTGTGCCCAGCCTTCACTTCTTAATTTTAAAGTATATTTTTAATTTTCTCAGGAATACTCATTCTCCTGTTTCCTATAGTCAAGTGCTAGCTGTCCTTCAAATGCTATTCATTCATTCATTCATGCAGCCAGTGAATCAACCATTTCCTGAGCAGGTCCCATGCCCTGGCACTGGGAACTCTCTGGAAAACAAGAATTCCTAGCCCAGAGTGAGAAACAGAAGTGGCCATCCAGAGGAACCCTGTGCCAGCATGGGAGGGGATGATGAGTGCCTTCTCAAACGCACCCTTTCCCCCCTATTGTAATTTTCCTTCTACAATGAACTCCCAGTGCCTCTGTCTCTCTCTTTCTTTTTTTGGAGACAAAGTCTCACTCTGTTGCCCAAGTTGGAGTGCAGTGGCGTGATCTCGGCCCACTGCAACCTCTACCTCCCAGGTTCAAGTAATTCTCATGCCTCAGCCTCCAGAGTAGCTGGGATTACAGACAGGGATGCACCACCAGGCCCAACTAATTTTTGTATTTTTAGCAGAGATGGGGTTTCATCATGTTGGCAAGGCTGGTCTCGAACTCCTGAGCTCCGGTGATCCGCCCGCCTCAGCCTCCCAAAGTGCTGGGATTACAGGTGTAAGCCACTGCGTCTGGAATCTTTCTTTCTTTTAATACCGGGGTGTTCCTGAGTTTATTTGGGGCACACACCGGGCGAGGGCCCTGTACCTAGAAGAAGGTGTTGGGTCTCCGGGTGGTGAAGTGTGGCTTGTGCTGACAGCGCAGGACCCGGTGGGGTAGCGGAAACTTGATCTTGGAGTCGTGGAACTGCTTGACGGCCGGCCGCGGGCACTTGCTGGCTGCGATCGCCTCCACCTTCGTGATCTGGATGGAATGGGTCCAGGCGCGGTGCCGGGCGCCCATGTCTCGGTAGCACTGGGTGACAGCGCCCGCGGTGTTCAGGTCCCAGTATTCTCAGTACATGTTGTGGATGCCGCTCCGGGAGTCATAGTGCAGCCAGATGCCGAAGTTCTTCACCCCCAGGGGAACTTCTCAAACACCGGCCCACAGTAGACAATCTCCCCTGAAAACTTCTTCATCTTCTTTAACTGAGATACGAAGTACCAGAAGCGGGACTCGGCGACGACATGATTAGGCGCAAAGATTCCCATGCGGTAGAGGGGCGGTGTGTGGCATTTGGGGGTGGGCAGGCAGCGACCCACCACCTTGTACTCTCATAGTGTGCCCAAGGCCTTCGTGGCGTCCTCTCGGCGCTGGTTGCCACCCGCAAAAGGACTCTTTCTCTTTTTTTTTAAGTCAGGGTCACACTTTATTGCCCAGGCTGGAGTGCAGTTGGACGATCCTAGCTCACTGCAGCCTCAACCTCCCAGGTGCAAGTGATCCTCAGCTCCCCTACTCCCAGGGGTCTCACTATGTTGCCCAGGCTGATCTCCAACTCCTGGGCTCAAGGGATCCTCCTACCTCGGCCTCCCAAATTCCTGGGATTACAGGCGTGAGTCACCCTGCCTGGCCAGGTCTCACTTTTCCATTAGTTTCCTGTGTTTCTAGGAAATTGACATCCAGGTCCCCAACCTCCATTGGTTTTCTTTCCTATGATCCATCTTCAGGAGAATTGGCACTGACATCCAGGTGCTGCTTCTTTCCCACCTCCCTCCTCACACTTTGCAAAGGAATTTTACCCTACAGCATTGGGGGTTGGGGGCTGGAGAGGGAATGGAAACCTCCAGGGGCACCAATCAAAGGTGAAGGGCTCTATCTACCAAATAACAAGGAGCTTTGCATACCTGGCAGTTGCCAGATCTTTGCTTTCAACAAATGCAAAGGAAGTTCTAATTCTGCTGTCATTAAAAATAACTTTGGGTGATAGGTCACTGTGTCATTTTTGGCTTGTAACCCAGAAGGAATTCAAATAATTAAGTGACATTACTATGGTCAGGCGCGGTGGTCACGCCTATAATCCCAGTATTTTGGGAGGCCGAGCGGGTGGATCGCTTGAGGTCAGGAGTTCGAGACCAGCCTGGCCAACATGGTGAAAACTAGTCTCTACTAAAAATACGAAAAACATAGCCAGACATAGTGCCACACAACTGTAAACTAGCTACTCAGGAGGCTGAGGTGGGAGGATTGCTTGAACCCAGGAGGCAGAGGTTGCAGTGAGCTGAGATCATGACCCTACACTCCAGCCTGGGTGACAGAGGAAGACTCCATCTCAAAAAAAAAAAAAAAAAAAGCCAGACATGGTGGCTCCCACCTGTAATCCCAGCACTTTGGGAGGCCGAGGTGAATGAATCACTTGAGGTCAGGAGTTCGAGACCAGCCTGGTCAACATGGTGAAACCCTGTCTCTACTAAAATACAAAATTAGCTGGGCATGGTGGCACCTGTAGTCCCAGCTACTCGGGAGGTTGAGGAATGAGAATTGCTTGAACCTAGGAGGTGGAGGTTGCAGTGAGCCAAGATTGTGTCACCACACTCCAGCCTGGGTGACAGACATTATTGTAACAAAATTCCCTCCATTCTTTTTTCTTTTTAAAGACAGGGTCTTGGCCAGGCTCGGTGGCTCACGCCTGTAATCCCAGCACTTTGGGAGGCCAAGGCGGGTGGATCACGAGGTCAGGAGTTCAAGACCAGCCTGGCCAACATGGTGAAACCCCCATCTCTACTAAAAATACAAAAATTAGCCAGGTGTGGTGGCAGGTGCCTGTAATCCCAGCTACTCAGGAGGCTGAGGCAGAGAACTGCTTGAACCCGGGAGGCAGAGGTTGCAGTGAGCCAAGATCACACCACTGCCCTCCAGTGTGGGTGACAGAGCAAGACTTTTTTTTTTTTCTTAAAAAAAAAAAAAAAAAAAAGGCCGGGCACGGCGGCTCACGCCTGTAATCCCAGCATTTTGGGAGGCCAAGGTGGGCAGATCACGAGGTCAGGAGATCGAGACCATCCTGGCTAACACGGTGAAACCCTGTCTCTACTAAAAACACACAAAAAAATTAGCCGGGCATGGTGGTGGGCGCCTGTAGTCCCAGCTACTCCGGAGGCTGAGGCAGGAGAATAGCGTGAACCCGGGAGGCAGAGCTTGCAGTGAGCTGAGATCACACCACTGCACTCCTGCCTGGGCGGCGACAGAGCGAGACTCCGTCTCAAAAAAAAAAAAAAAAAAAAAAAAGAGAGAGAGAGACAGGCTGGTTTTACCCAGGCTGGAGTTCAGTGGTGTGATCATAGCTGACTGCAACTTCAAAATTCTGGGCTCAAGTGATCCTCCTGCTTTGGCCTCCCCAAAGTGTTGGATTATAGGCATAAGTCTCTGTGTTTTGCCTCCAGTCATTCTTTTTTTTTTTTTTTTTTGAGATGGAGTTTTGATCTTGTTGCCCAGGCTGGAGTACAGTGGTGCAATCTCGGCTCACTGCAATCTCTGCCTCCTGGATTCAAGCGATTCTCCTGCCTCAGCCTCCCAAGTAGCTGGGACTACAGGCATGTGCCACCTCGCCTGGCTAATTTCTGTATTTTTAGTAGAGACAGTGTTTCTCCATGTTGGTCAGGCTGGTCTCGAACTCCTGACCTCAGGTGATCCGCCTGCCTTAGCCTCCCAAAGTGCTGGGATTACAGGCATGGGCCACCATTCCCAGCCTATGTTATACATCATTATAATGGACATTTCTTGCTTTATGTTTTTTTGCTAATGACTTATTACTTGCTGTTTATTTTATGTTTATTTTACACTATGGAAATTATGTTAGACAAGAAGCAAATTCAAGCAATTTTCTTATTCGGGTTCAAAATGGGTCGTAAAACAGAGAAGACAACTTGCAACATCAACAGCGCATTTGGCCCAGGAACCACTAACAAACATACAGTGCAGTAATGGTTCAAGAAGTTTTGCAAAGGAGACGAGAGCCTTGAAGATGAGGAGTGTAGTGACCGGCCATCGGAAGATGACAACGACCAATTGAAAGCAATCATGGAAACTGATCGTCTTGCAACTACACAAGAAGTTGCCAAGGAAATCAATGTCGACCATTCTACTGTCATCTGGCATTTGAAGCAAATTGGAAAGGTGAAAAAGCTAGATAAGTGGGTGCCTCATGAGATGAGCGAAAATTAAATAAAATTGTCGTTTTGAAGTATTGTTTTCTCTTATTCTACGCAACAACCATTTCTTGATCAGATTGTAACATGGGACAAAAAGTGGATTTTAGACAAGTGGGAACAACCAGCTCAGTGGTTGGACTGAGAAGAAGCTCCAAAGCACTTCCCAAAACCAAACTTGCACCAAAAAAGGTTCTGGTCACTGTTTGGTTGTCTGTTGCCGGTCTGATCCACTCCAGCTTTCTGAATCCTGGTGAAACCCTTACATCTGGGAAGTATGCTCAGCAAATCGATGAAATGTGCCAAAAACTGCAACGCCTGCAGCCGGCATTGGTCAATAGAAAGGGCCCAATTCTTCTCCACAACATCCAACTGCAGATCGCACAACTAACTCTTCAAAAGTTGAATGAATTAGGCTACAAAGTTTTGCCTCATCTGCCATAGTCACCTGACCGCTTGCCAACCCATCACCACTTCTTCAAGCACCTTGACAACTTTTTGCAGAGAAAATGCTTCCACAACCAGCAGGATGCAGAAAATGCTTTCCACGAGTTCGTAGAATCCTGAAGCACAGAGTTTTACACTACAGAAATAAACAAACTTATTTCTCGTTGGCAAAAATGTGTTGATTGTAATGGTTCCTATTTTGATTAATAAAGATGTGTTTGAGCCTAATTATAATGATTTAAAATTCATGGTCTGAAACCGCAATAACTTTTGCACCAACCTAATATTTTATTATTTATTATTATTTTTATTTTATATATAAATACAATTTTACTTCTTTTTTTTTTTTTTTTGAGATGGAATTTTGCTCTTGTTGCCCAGGCTGGAGTGCAATGGCATGATCTCGGCTCACTGCACAAGCTGAACAACCTCCATCTCCTGGGTTCAAGCTATTCTCCTGTCTCAGCCTCCCAAGTAGCTGGGACTAAAGGTGTGCGCCACCACACCTGGCTAATTTTGTATTTTTTAGTAGAGACAGGGTTTCTCCATGTTGGTCAGGCTGGTCTCAAACTCCTGACCTCAGGTGATCCACCAACGTTGGCCTCCCAACGTGCTGGGATTACAGGCATGAGCCACTGCACCTGGCCATAATTTTACTTTTTAAAGATAGCATCTGGCTCTGTCACCCAGGCTGGAGTGCAGTGGTATGACTTCAGCTCACTGCAACCTCTGCCTCCCAGGCTCAAGCAATCCTCCCACCTCGGCCTCCCAAGTAGCTGGGACTAAAGGCATGTACCACCATGCCCGGCTAACTTTTGTATTTTTTTGTAGAGACAGGGTCTCTATGTTGTCCAGGCTGGTCTCGAACTCCTGAGCTCAAGCAATCCTCCTCGGCCTCCCAAAGTCCTGGGATTATAGGCATGAGCCACTGCACCTGGCCTGTTATTTTTATTTTTTAGAGACGGGGTCTTGCTGTCACCCAGGCTGGAGTGCAGTGATGCAGTCACAGCTCACTATAGTCTCAAACTCCTGGCCTCAAGGTCAAGCGATCCTCCCACCTTGGCCTCCCAAAGTGAGCCACCACCGCCTGACCCCCAAATTTGTAAATTGTAATTTAACACTATATAAATTTCTGTGAAAATATAAATTAGGTGATCAATAACAAGCTTTCTTTTTTCTGGCTCTGTTGCCCAGGCTGGAGTACAGTGGCACACGATCTCGACTCATTGCAACCTCTGCCTCCTAGGTCAAATGATTCTCCTGCCTCAGCCTCCCAAGTACCTAGGATTACAGGTGTGCACCATGGTGCCTGGCTAGTTTTTGTATTTTCAGTAGAGACAGGGTTTTGCCATATTGGCCAGGCTGGTCTTGAACTCCTGACCTCAGGGAATCCACTCACTTTGGCTTCCCAAAGTGCTGGGATTACAGGCATGAGCCACTGTGCCCAGCCAAATAACAAGCTTTCAAGCATAAAATATATTACTCTAGAATACCATTCTGTAAGAGGAAGCAAAATATAACCATACATTCAAGAAGAAAAGTAATGATGTAGCTTTCTGTTTTTTAAAGTAGAGCTTGTTCAGTATTTTCTTTTCTTTGTTTTCCCCCCAGACAGAGTCTTGCTCTGTCGCCGAGGCAGGAGTTCAGTGGCAAAATCTTGGCTCACTGCAACCTCCGCCTCCCGGGTTCAAGTGATTCTCCTGTCTCAGCCTCCTGAGTAGCTGGGACTACAGGCACCTGCCACCAGGCATGGCTAATTTTTGTATTTTTAGAAGAGACAGGATTTCACCATATTGGCCAGGCTGGTCTCGAACTCCTGACCTCAGGTGATCCGCCTGCCTCGGCTTCCCAAACTGCTGGGATTAGAGGCATGAGCCACCGCACCTGGCCCAGTAATTTCTTTAAATGGGTAATAATGGATATCAAATCACCATGGTACTTACATTGAGTCGAGTGATAGAACAGTTTTATTTAAAATATTAATATTGGCTGGGCACAATGGCTCACGCCTGTAATCCCAACACTCTGGGAGGCCGAGGCGGGTGGATCACCTGAGGTCAGGAATTCGAGACCAGCCTGGCCAACATTGGGAAACCCCGTCTCTACCAAAAATACAAAAATTAGCCGGACGTGGTGGCAGGTGCCTGTAATCCCAGCTACTTGGGAGGCTGAGGGAGGAGAATTGCTTGAACCCAGGAGGCATAGGTTGCAGTGAGCCAAGATCGTGCCACTGCACTCCAGCCTAGGCAACAGAGCGAGACTCCATCTTGGAAAATAAATAAATAAATAAAATAAAAATAAATAAAGATAAATAAAATATTAATATTTCCAATATGCTAGGAGGTATAGCCTTGGCAATGATTTGTGTTTAAGGTGAAGAGTTTAGTTGTATCCCTGCAGATCCAGGCTCTGTCCTCCACCCTGCCTCTCCCCTGGTTGGCTGACTTGGATGGAGGATATCAGTGGCTCCTGTGCCCGCTGGTCTTGGGTTCTACTTTGGTTTGGCCACTAGGGAGTCCTGGCAGGAAGTCTGAGAGAGGGAAAGGAGTGAGGCCAGGATGTATCCCTCTGGTTCCTGTCCTGTGAGGCCCAGTGAAGCTGGTCCTGTCCCTGGACAGAAAGTTAGTAGTGCTCCTTTTAAGACAGAGGATTTGCCTCTTCAGGCCTGGGGTGGTAACAGCCTGGCTGCTACCAGTCCCAGCTTCCTGCCCGATCCCCTGTGATTTCCCTATACCCTGATCACACATCCAAATTAGTCGTTTTGTGTATATAACCTCCTTGAATTGTCTTGATTGTGCCATTTGTTTCCTGTTAGAATCCTCACAAAGAGGGGGTGCAAAGTTTTAAAAAATTATTTTAAGCCAGGCGTAGTGGCTCATGCCTGTAATCCCAGCACTTTGGGAGGCCGAGGTGGGTGGATCACTTGAGCTCGGGAGTTTGAGACCAGCCTGGGCAACATGGTGAAACCTTGTCTCTACAAAAAATGCAAAAATTAGCCAAGCGTGGTAGCATGCACCTATAGTCTCAGCTGCTTAGGAGACTGAGGTGGAAGGATCACTTGAGCCTGGGAAGTCGAGACTATAGGGAGCTGAGATCACACCACTGCACTTCGGTCTGGGTGACAGAGTGAGACCCTGTCTCAAAAAAAAATGAAATAATAAAATAAATATAAAAAATTATTTTAGGGGGCACAAGAGAAAAACGTCCAAGGACCGCCGATCCAGACGGTAGCCTCATTCATTCGTTCCCTCATTCATTCGTTCAGTAAACACTGACTGCATCAAGCTCAGTGCTTGGTTAAAGACAAACCGAATAGGGCCCCGCTTCTCAAGTAATAACAAAGTAGTGGGAGCAACAGGCACACAATTAAACAAACGACAATTAATAGAGTGCAATATGTGCTTTACTAAAGATTTGGGGCCAGGTGCGGTGGTTCATACCTGCAATCCCAGCACTTTGAGAGGCGGAGGTGGGTGAATCAACTGAGGTCAGGAGCTCAAGGCCAGCCTGGCCAACATGGTAAAATCCTATCTCTACTAAAAATACAAAAATTAGCTGGGCTTGGTGGTGAGTGCCTGTAATCCCAGCTACTCGGGAGGCTGAGGCAGGAGAATCGCTTGAACCCGGGAGGTGGAGGTTGCAGTGAGCCGAGATCACGCCATTGCACTCCAGTATGGGTGACAGAGCAAGACTCCATCTCAAAAAAAAAAAAAAAAAAAAAAAAAAGAAAGAGAGATGTACAAGGATGTTTGATACAACATTGTTCATAATAACATAAAATTGGAACAACCTGAATGGCCATTAACAGGGGAACAGAGGCCGGGCTTGGTGGCTCACACCTGTAATTCCAGTACTTTGAGAGGCCGAGGTGGGTGGATCACCTGAGGTCAGGAGTTTGAGACCAGCCTGGCCAACATGGCAAAACCCCATCTCTACTAAAAATACAAAAATTAGCCGGATGTGGTGGCACACGCCTGCAATCCCAGCTACTCGGGAGGCTGAGACACAAGAATTGCTTGAACCTGGGAGGCAGAGGTTGCACTGAGCTGAGATTGTGCCACCGCACTCCAGCCTGGGTGCCAGAGGGAGACCCTCTCTCAAAAAAAAAAAAAAAAAAAAAAAAGAACAGATATAAAAATTGAGGTATATTAATATATGCAATATTTAAAACAGTTAAAAGGACACGATGAGATTTATATGTATCAGCATGGCTTGATGTTATAAATATAATGTGTGAAAAAGTAAAGATGAAGAAGAATGTGTATGATATAATGTTATTGATATACATTTTAAGGGCACACAAAAATACCATTGTTTATGTATGCACATGTCTTAATTAATTCATCTCACAAATTTTTTCCTGAATGTCTTATTATGTTCTAAGTGCTATTCTCAGGTCTGGGGATACAGCAGAGAATAGCAATAGCTAACAGTTATATAGGACTTACCAGGAGCCAGCCAGTCATTGTTTTATTTTATTTTATTTTATTTTTTTTAGACAGAGTCTCATTTTGTTGCCTAGGCTGGAGTGCAGTAGCATGATCTTGACTCACTGCAAACTCTACCTCCCAGGCTCAAGCAATCCTTCTGCCCCAGCCTCCTGAGTAGCTGGGACCACAGGTGTACACCACCACACTTGGCTAATTTTTTCTGTTTTTAGTAGAGATGGGGTTTCACCATGTTGCCCAGGCTGGTCTTGAACTCCTGAGTCCAAGCGATCTGCCTGCTTTGGCCTCCCAAAATGCTGGGATTACAGACAGGAGCCACTGTGCCCAGCCATTCATAAATAATAATAATTGCAGCAAGCACTTATGTAGGTACAATTCCAAACAGTTTACAGTTTACATTCATTAACTCATTTAATCCTTACAATATCCTTACAATATAGGTTCTACTATTATCCTCTTTTTTTTTTTTTTTTTTTTTAGAGACAGTCTTGCTCTGTTTCCCAGGCTGGAGTACAGTGGCACGATCTTGGCTGACTGCAACCTCTGCCTCCCAAGTTCAAGCAATTCTCCTGCCTCAGCCTCCCGAGTAGCTGGGACTACAGGCGCACACCACCACACCCGGCTATTTTTTTTTTTTTTTTTTTTCATATTTTGGTAGATATGGGGTTTCACCATGTTGCCCAGGCTGGTCTCGAACTTCTGAGCTCAAGCAATCCTCCCGCCTCAGCCTCCCAAAGTGCTAGGATTACAGACATGAGCCACCACGCCCAACCCCCTTACCCCATCTTTTAGATTAAGACACTGGGGTGCAGTGAAGTTAAATAACTTGCCAAAGGTCACATGACTAGACAGTGGTAGAGGCTGGAGACAGTGGCTCATGCCTGTAATCTCAGCACTTTGGGAGGTCGAGGAAGGAAGACTGCTTGAGCTCAGGAGTTTTAGGCCAGCCTGGGCAACATAACAAGGTCTCATCTCTACAAAAAATAAAACATTAAGGCTGGGCGTGGTGGCTCACGCCTGTAATCCCAGCACTTTGGAAGGCCGAGGCAGGTGGATCACCTAAGGTCAGGAGTTTGAGACCAGCCTGGCCAACATGGTGAAACCCCGTTTCCACTAAAAATACAAAATTATCCAGGCCTGTAGTACCAGCAATTCGGGTGGCTGAGGCAGGAGGATTGCTTGAACCCAGGAGGTCAAGGATGCACTGAGCCATGATTGTGCCACTGCCCAGCCTGGGCAATAGAGTGAGACCTCTCAAAAAAAAAAAAAAGAAAGAAAGAAAAGAAAAGAAATGATAGTGGTAGAGACAGCATTCGAATCCATACAGTTTGGATCCAAGTTAGCCCTATTAATCATTATGCTCTACTGCCTCAAATTTCTGCCATTGAGGAGCTTACAGTCTAGTGGGTCAACACAGGCAATAGAAATATACAGTACAGCCGGGCACGGTGGCTCACGCCTGTAATCCCACCACTTTGGGAGGCCGAGGCGGGTGGATCACCTGAGGTTGGGAGTTCGAGACCAGGCTTGGCCAACATGGTGAAACTCCTGTCTCTACTAAAAATATAAAAATTAGCCGGGCATGGTGGCGCACGCCTATAATCCTGGCTACTCGGGAGGCTGAGGCAGGAGAATCGCTTGAATCTGGGAGGTGGAGGTTGCAGTGAGCCAAGGTTAAGCCACTGCACTCCAACCTAGGCAACAGAGCGAGACTCCATCTCAAAAAAAAAATAGACTGGTCAGGGAATGCCTCACTGAGAGACATTTGTGCAAAGATAGCAAGGAAGTGAAGGAGGAAACCATGTAGCTATCTGGGGGAAACAGTAAGCTCAAAGGCTCTGAAAGGGGTAAACCTGGAGTATTTAAGGAATAAATAGGAAGGAAGCCAGGGTGGTTAACGTGGAGAGAAAAGGGAAGAGGAAGGAATAAAGGAGAGGAGGCCAGAGAGAGAGGTGGGAGTAGACTGGGTGGGGCTTCGTAGGTCATAATAAGGACCCCGAGGTGGGGGTCTGGCAGGGGATGACACCATCTGACTTAGGCTTTTAAAGGGATCCTTCTGGCTGCTTTGTTGAAACAATAATCTGGGTGGGGAAAATGGCACTGCTTGGACCAGAGTGGGCAATGGAGGTGGTCAGAAATGGATGGATTCTGGAAATATTTTGAAGATTGAATTGACACTATTTGTGGAGGATTGATATGACAGAAAGGAGCCAAGGATGACTCAAGTTTTTGGCCAGAGTAAGTGGGAAGATGGAGAGGCTATCTCTTGGATGGGGAAGACAGTGGGAGAAGCAGGTTTGGGGAGGGGTTGGAAAGGTCTGGAGTTCAGTTTTGGACATGCTGATTTTGAGATGCCTGTTGCACGACCAGGTAAAAATGTTGAATGTTCAGTTGGATGCAGGAGTCTGGAGTTTACAGTAGGGAACTGGGCTAGAGATAGAAATCTATGAGTTGTCCTCATATAGATGGGGCTTGAAATCATGAGAATAGATGAGGTCATCAGAGAAAAGAATGTAGACAGAGCAGTGAAAAGGCAAGAACCAAGCCCTGGGGCCCTCAGTATTTAGAGGTTGTGGCAGAGGGGGAAAAAGGAGAGAAGGAGGAGGAATCAACAAAGGGAAATTGAGAAGGAACAGCCAATGAAGTGGGAGGAAAGCCAGAAGGTTGCGGGGTCTCATAAGCTATTTGAAGAAAGTGTTCTCAGAAGGAGCAAGTGATTATATATGTTGAAGTCTGCTGATGGGGAAAGAAAGATGAGGATCGAGAAATGACCATATGATAGAACAACATGGAGGGTCACTGGCAACATTGACAAGGGCAGCTATTTATTTATGTATTTATATATTTATGTATTTATTTATTTATTGAGACAGAGTCTCACTCTGTCACCCAGGCTGGAGTGCAGTGGCACGATCTTGGTTCACTGCAATCTCCGCCTCCTGGATTCAAGCGATTCTCATGCCTCAGCCTCCAGAGTAGCTGGGATTACAGGTGCCTGCCACCACATCCAGCTAATTTTTGTATTTTTAGTAGAGACGGGGTTTCACTATGTTGGCCAGGCTGGTCTCGAGCTCCTGACTTCAGGTGATCCGCCCATCCTGGCTTTCCAAAGTGCTGGGATTACAGGCATGAGCCACTGCACCTGGCCTATTTTATTTATTTTATATATATATATATATATATATATTTTTTTTTTTTTTTTTTTTTTTTTTTAGAGATAGGAGTCTCCCTATTTGCCTAGGCTGGCCTCAAACTCCTGGGCTCAAGCGATCCTCCCACCTCAGTGTCCCAAAGTGCTGGGATTACCGGCATGAGCCACTGCACCTGGCCAAGAGCAGATTAGGGACAGCATATGAGAGGGCAAGCCCACGGATCAGTTGGAGACAATGGGAGAGAAAAACAATGCAGGCAATGTAGACAACTCTCTTAAGCATTTGGCAGTGCTGGGAGTGGGTGGGGGATGAAGAGATGTGTGTTAAAGTGTTAAGATAACACATTATACTTATGATAGATGTTGCCTGGGGCAGCAGGAAGGGAGAAAAGTGTAACTGATAGTTTAAAAGACTTTAAAATTTGATAAAAATTGTACAGATATCTGTAAAACACATCAAAAACGTACACACACACACATATAGGGCAGTTTTTTGTTTGTTTTTCGGTTTGTTTTTCTTTTTGTGATGGAGTCTCACTCTGACACCCAGGCTGGAGTGCAGTTGTGCGATCTCAGCTCACTGCAACCTCCACCTCCCAGGTTCAAGCAATTCTCATGTCTCAGCCTCCCGAGTAGCTGGGACTACAGGCAAGCACCACCACGCCTAGCTAATTTTTGTATTTTTAGTAGAGATGGAGTTTCAGCATGTTGGCCAAACTGGTCTTGAACTCCTGACCTCAGGTGATCTGTCTTCCTTGGCCTCCCAAAGTGCTGGGATTACAGGCGTGAGCCACAGCACCTGGCCAGTTTTTTTAGGAGATAGAGTCCTGCTATGTTGCCCAAGCTGGAGTGCAGTGGCATGATCATAGCTCACTGTAACCTTGAACTTCTGGGCTCTAAGTGATCCTCCCGCCTCAGCTTCCCAAGTAGTAGAGACTACAGGTGCATACCGCCATGCCTGGCTAATTTTGAAATTATTTTGCCAGGCACAGTGGCTCATGCCTGTAATCTCAGCACTTTGGGAGGCTGAGGCAGGAGGATTGCCTGAGTGCAGGAGCTTAAGATCAGCCTGGGCAACATAGCAAGACCTCATCTCTACTAAAAATAAAAATAAGAAAATTAGCTGGGCATGGTGGCATGCACCTGTAGTCTTAGTTACTCAGGAAGCTGGGGTGGGAGGATGGCTAGAGTCCAGGAGTTTGAGGCTACAGTGAGCTATAATCACACCACTACACTCTAGCCTGGGCGAGAGAGTGAGACCTTCTCAAAACACCACCACCACCACCAACAACAACAAATAAATAAATACATAAATTATTTTGTAGACACAGATTCTCCCTATGTTGCCTAGGCTGGTCTTGAACTCCTGGCCTCAAGTGATCCTCCCACCTCAGCCTTCTAAGGTGCTGGGATTACTGGAGTGAGCTACTGTGTCTGGCCAAAATATACATATATTATTGAAAGTAAATATAACAAACTGTTACAGCTGATAATTCTGAATTTGGATGTTTGCTATATTACCTTTATACTTTTAAATTTTCTTACAAATAATTAGGGGAAAAAAAGGTTTGTGGGCCAAATCGTGTGCAGGACTTTGAGTGCCATGCTGGGATGGGGTATGTGCCTGTCTAAACAGGGGATGAACATGGCTCAGACAGCTCTTCCTGAAAGCTGTGTAGGCTGAGGGTGGTGGCTCACGCCTGTAATCCCAGCACTTTGGGAGGCCGAGATGGGCAGATCACCTGAGGTCAGAAGTTCAAGACCAGCCTGATCAACATGGTGAAACCCCATCTCTACTAAAAATACAAAAAAATTAGCTGAGCGTGGTGGCAGGTGCTTGTTGTAATCCCAGCTACGCGGGAGGCTGAGACAGGAGAAGCCCTTGAACCCAAGAGGCGGAAGTTGCAGTGAGCAGTGAGCCGAGATTGTGCCACTGCAGCTGGGAGACAAGAGCAAAACTCCGTCTCAAAAAAAAAAAAAAAAAAGTCAATCCCGGACCCGTTCCCTCAGATCTGCTAAATCCTAACTTTTCCAGTACACACACACACACACACACACACACACACAGGATTCTGACAGTGTAGAATGGGGGCAAGTTTAGTGGAAGATGGTGGGTGAAGTTGATGGAGGTGCCTGTGGGACATCCAGTCAGTGAACATTAGGGTGTCAAGGTTGCCGATAGGTGTTTATCAAATCCATTATTGATTTTCCTCCAGCAGAAAGCACAGGGAGTTGCACATAGTAGGAACTCACTAAATGTTTATTGTAAAATTATGAACTTAGCTTAAAGGCAATTCGCTGGATCCTAAATTCCAACTCCTTACCAACCTCCGAACTCTCTTCTAGTTACCCAACATGTACATGCTTTTTCATGGTAGCTATCAGCCTGGAGAACTGGGAAAAGCCTGGACTTCAGAGTTAGGCAGACCTGCATCCAAACCTGGCTCCTCTTCTTCCCAGCTCTATGGCCTCAGACAAGCAATTCTCCTCTGGGAGTCTTGGTTTTCTCATGTGCAAATAATGCATTCTGTGATTCATTCACTCAGCAAATATTTATTGAGTACCAATATGCACTGGGCATTGTTCTACATGGTGGAGAAACAGTGATGGATGAGATAGACGTGGTCCCTGCCCTAGCTGAGCTCACATTCTGAAGGGAGAAAAATGCAGTAAAAAAAAAAAAAAAAAAAAAAGGTAATAGGCCGGGCGCGGTGGCTCACACCTGTAATCCTGGCACTTTGGGAGGCAGAGGCGGGTGGATCACGAGGTCAGGAGTTCGAGACCAGCCTGACCAACATGGTGAAACCCCGTCTCCACTAAAAATACAAAAATTAGGCCGGGTGCAGTGGCTCATGCCTGTAATCCCAGCACTTTGGGAGGCCGAGGCAGGTGGATTGCCTGAGGTCAGGAGTTCGAGACCAGCCTGGCCATGGTGAAACCCCGTCTTTATTAAAAATAAAAAAAAATTATCTGGGCATGGTGGCGGGTGCCTGTAATCCCAGCTACTAGGGAGGCTGAGGCGGGAGAATCACTTGAACCCAGGAGGCGGAGGTTGCAGTGAGCCAAGATTGCGCCATTGCACTCCAGCCTGGGCAACAAGAGCAAAACTCCGTCTCAAAAAAAAAAAAAAAAAAATTAGCTGGGCATGGTGGCGCACGCCTATAATCCCAGCTACTCAGGAGGCTGAAGCAGGAGAATTGCTTGAACCCAACAGGTGGAGGTTGCAGTGAGCCGAGATCATGCCATTGCACTCCAGCCTGGGTGACAGAGCAAGACTCTGTCTCAAAAAAAAAAAAAAAAGAATAAAAGTAACAAATAGGAGAATTATACTGTATGTGAGAAGGTGAAACATGCTATACAAAGAAGAAAAAAGGAGCAGGGGAAGGGGCTGGGTGGTAGTGGTGGTGGCCAGGCAGGGGAAGTGTCACTATTACATAGGATTATAACATAGTAGGCCATGTCAGGAAGCGAGATTCGCAGAAAGGCTTGAAGGAGGTCAGGTAACCAGCCATGTGGATATCTGGGGAAGAGTGTTCCAGGCAGAAGGAATAGCAAGTGCAAAGACCCTGAGGCAGAAGTGTGTCTGCCAGTGTTTGAGAAATAGAAGGAGGCAGTGGTGAAGTGAGTGCCGGGGAGACTGGAAGAAGGCTTTGCTGGGCTGTGACATTATGATGAAAGAAGGAGCGGCTGAGTACAATGGCTTACCCCTGTAATCCCAATACTTTGGGAGGCCCAGGCAAGAGAATCAATCAAGACCAGGGGTTTGAGACCAGCCTGGGCAATATAGTAAGACCCTATCCCTACCAAAAATATTTTTAAAAATTAGTCAGGTGTGGTGGCATGTACCTGTAGTCCAAGCTGCTCGGGAGGGCGAGGCTGGAGGATCGGTTGAGCCCAGGAGTTTGAGGTTGCTGTGAGCTATGATTGCACCATTGTACTCTAGCCTAGGTGACAGCAAGACTCTGTCTCAAAAAAAAAAAAAAACAAAAGAAGGAAATGAACCCAGTCACTGCGTGCTGACTGTGTACCAGGAACTATGCTTGACATACAGTGGCCTTTTCATCCTTACAATAAACCTTACAAAGCAAGTAATGTGACTCCACCCAGCTTTCATATACATGAACACAGCGAGAGACAGAAACAAGGTGTGACTTGCTCATAATGCGCAGCTAATAGGGGCTGAGCAGATTCTTTCCTAGGGCCATGCATTTTGTGCCATAAAACTCCAGGCACTTTTAGTGAAAGGATTCAAGGAGGGGATTGGGGAGCAGACATGGCTTAAGCAGGGGGAGATGCCACCCAGGGTCCAGGCTTCCTGAGGCTGTCCTGGATCTGCAGGGGAAGGGTCTGCAGAGACCTGGCCTCTCCGAGTCAAAAGCAGTGTGGGCCTGGAATGGTTAAAAAATGAGGACTTGGCCGGGTGTGGTAGCTCACGCCTGTAATCCCAGCACTTTTAGAGGCCGAAGCAGGTGGATCACCTGAGGTCAAGAGTTCGAGACCAGCCTGGCCAACATGGTGAAACCCTGTGTCTACAAAAAATACAAAAAATTAACTGGGCATGGTGGCAGGCGCCTGTAATCCCAGCTACTCGGGAGGCTGAGGCAGCAGAATCGCTTGAACCCAGGAGGCAGAGGTTGTAGTGAGCTGAGATCGCGCCATTGCACTGCAGCCTGGGCAACAAGAGTGAAACTCCATCTTAAAAAAACAAAAAACAAAAAACAAAAAATGACTTGCTCAAACATGGTTACAAATATTGCTATGTATTTTAACTGATTTTTTTTTTTCTTTTTTGAGATGAGAGTCTTGCTCTGTCGCCCAGGCTGGAGTGCAGTGGCGCGATCTCAGCTCACTGCAAGCTCCGCCTCCCGGGTTCACGCCATTCTCCTGCCTCAGCCTCCCGAGTAGCTGGGACTACAGGCGCCCGCCACCACGCCCGGCTAATTTTATGTATTTTTAGTAGAGACGGGGTTTCACCGTGTTAGCCAGAATGGTCTTGATCTCCTGACCTCGTGATCCGCCCACCTCAGCCTCCCAAAGTGCTGGGATTACAGGCGTGAGCCACCGCGCCTGGCCTTGACTGATTATTTTTAAGAAGACAAGGCTTTTAAGGCCGAAGCGGGCGGATCACGAGGTCAGGAGATCGAGACTATCCTGGCTAACACGGTGAAACCCCATCTCTACTAAAAATACAAAAAATTAGCCGGGCGTGGTGGCAGGTGCCTGTAGTCCCAGCTACTCGGGAGGCTGAGGCAGGAGAATGGCGTGAACCCGGGAGGCGGAGCTTGCAGTGAGCTGAGATTGCACCACTGAACTACAGCCAGGTCGACAGAGCGAGACTCAGTCTCAAAAAAAAAAAAAAAAAAAAAGAAGAGGAAGAAGAAGATAAGGCTTTTAACATACAATACACATCAATGTGATTTATTTACAAATATTAAATTCATAGCAGCTGGTCTGATGGTGGGACCCATCTCACGGATGTGAGGGTCTGTTTTCCAGCCTGTCAATTTTCTCTGTGACTGAAGGCAGAACTTCATGTGGTTCCCAACATCAAAAGTCTACTCTTGAGGTCCTCGGTGCATGTAAATAAATAGAATGATGGTAAATATATGTGGTACTTGCTGGGGGCAGTGGTAAATGCTTCGCATACATTGGCTAATATCTTCATGAGAGCCCCATGAGGTTGACACTATTGTTGTCCCCCCTTATGGAGGAAGAAGCTGTAGAACAGGCACTGATTTGCCCAGGGTCTCATGACTAGTGAGCGGTGGTGCCAGAGCACTGAAAGGAGACCATGTGGCTACCCATGTTCGGCAGTCCCAGCATTTAACTATCCATTATTCTACACTGCCTGCCCAGGCTGGGCCTTGGCCATCGGCTCTCCCATGTGGTTTCTCCCAAGGCCTGTTTCCTGATATTGTTCTGTTGTTATAACCTTCTCCAGGCCGTGGAGGATCTCAGGGCTGGCATTTCCTGGTTGTCCTGGGATCTACCACGTCCCAGACTGGCACCCAAAGACTCACTGAGGCCTGAGTGAGGGAGAATTAGAGAGTGGGGAGCACACCAGTGAACGTTGCCTTCAAGACTGGAAAGAACAGTAGGTCTTGGGCTTCTGGCCCCAGGGCACCTGTGGAAAGTCACTCCACCAGCCCCATCCTTTCCCTCTTTTCTTCTTTTTACACTGAACCTGTGATGTTTTAAAAGGGTGCTGGACTTAGGTGTTAGAAACCTGACTTAAGTCTTGGATCTGCTTCTTTTTTTAAATTTTAATTTAATTTTATTGGCTCACTGCAACCTCTGCCTCCCAGGTTCAAGTGATTCTCCTGCCTCAACCTCCTGAGTAGCTGGGATTACAGGTGCCTGCCACCACGCCCAGCTAATTTTTGTATTTTCAGTAGAGATGGGGTTTCACCATGTTGCCCAGGCTGGTCTTGAACCTCTGACTTCAAATGATCTGCCCGGCTCGGCCTCCTAAAGTGCTGGGATTACAGGTGTAAGCCACTGTGCCAGGCATGGATCTGCATCTTAATAGATGTGTGACCTTGGGCAAATAGCTTTATGTCTCTGGGCCTTTGTCTTTTCACCTGTAAAATGGGAATGAGAATAATAGCTACTCTTTGGCCAGATGCGGTGACTCACGCCTGTAATCCTAGCACTTTGGGAGGCCAAGGCAGGTGGATTACCTGAAGTCAGGAGTTCCTGACCAGCCTGGTCAACGTGGTGAAACCCCATCTCTACCAAAAATATAAAAATTAGCTGGGTGTGGTAGCAGCCGCTTGTAATCCCAGGTACTCGGGAGGCTGAGGCAGGAGAATCACTTGAACCTGAGAGGTGGAGATTGCAAGTGAGCCAAGATCGCCACTGCACTCCAGCCTGGGTGACAAGAGTGAAACTCTGTCTCAAAAGAAAAAAATAGAATAATAGGTACTGTTTTTTCTGAGACAGGGTCTCACTCTGTCACCCAGGCTGGAGTGCAGTGGTGTGATCTCAGCTCACTGCAAGCTCTGCCTCCTGGGTTCAAGTGATTCTCGTGCCTCAGCCTCCCAAGTAGCTGGGACTACAGGCACATGCCACCACACCCAGCTAATTTTTGCATTTTTAGTAGATACGGGGTTTCGCTGTGTTGGCCAGGCTGGTCACAAACTCTTGACCTCAGGTGATCCACCTGCCTCGACCTCCCAAAGTGCTGGGGTTACAGGCATGAGCCACCGCACCCAGCCTAGCATTTGGATCATTGATAAACCTGGGGCACTTGGTTGTGAACTCTAAAGGGCTGAACAATTGTGAGGCATTATTGTTATTATTCTGATCCTTGCTCGAAATGCTCTTTGGTTACTTTCATTATAGCTGATGTTCTCCTTTCATCTGCTCCCAGATGACACAAGTCCCCTGCCCTTCTCTGAAGTCTCTTTTGTCATTTCCCAGGTGGCTGGAATTTGTGCCTGGAGAATGTGAGGTACAGAGAACTCAGTTTAGGCATGGGATTATAAAAAAAGAGAGAGAGAGAGAGAACTCAGTTTAATGTTGCCACCTTCAGTTACTATCATATCACTTTATTAATTATTTTATTTTTATATTCATTTATTTATTTTGAGACAGAGTCTCCCTCTGTCACCCAGGGTGGAGTGCAGTGGCACAATCTCAGCTCACTGCAACCTCCGTCTCCTGGGTTCAGGGGATTCTCCCACCTCAGCCTCCCAAGTAGCTGGGACTATAGGTATGCTCCACCACGCCCAGCTAATTTTTGTATTTTTTGGTAGAGACAGGGTTTTGCCATGTTAGCCAGGCTGGTCTTGAACTCCTGACCTCAAGTGATCTGCCTGCCTCAGCCTCCCACAGTGCTGGAATTACAGGCGTGAACCACTGTGCCTGGCCTAATTAATTTTTAGAGATGGGTCTCACTATGTTTCCCAGGCTGGAGTGCAGTGGCTATTTCACAAGCACAATCATAGTGCATTACAGCCTCAAATTCCTGGGTTCAAGTGATTCTTCTGCCTCAGCCTCCCAAGTAGCTGGGACTACAGGTGCATGCCACTGCACCTGGATATTATTATTTTATTTTACTTATTTTTTTTAAAGACAGGGTCTCCCTATGTTGCCTAGGTTGGTCTTAAACTCCTGGCCTCAACTGATACTCCCATCTCAGGCTCCTGAGTTGCGGGGATTACAGGCATGAGCCACTGCTGCTAGCTTATTATTATTTTAATATATTTTTCCATGGAAGGATAGCATACCTAGAAAAAGGTGCACACATCTTGAGTCTTCAGTGAGTTATCACGAAACAACTACGTCGCTGTAACCTTTGTAGCTATCACCCAGTAAAGAAATAGAACATTACCAGCATTCTAGAAGCCCTCATTATGTCCACTTTATGCCCCCTCCCAATTCCTACCACCTCCTTCCTCCCTCTGGCTTATCTCTGTGTTGCCAGAGCCCAGCACAAAGCCCTGTCAAGAGGCCCAGTAAACATTTGTTAAACTAAATTGAATCTCAAGTACTTGTGATGTGACCTTGAGCTAGACACTTTGACTGTTTTGGCCTTAATGTACTCTTCTGCAAAACAGGGACAGCATTTCAGTGATTTCTATACCTCCCAACCCTAGTTGTATATCAGAGCCTTTGAAAAAAATACTTTGGCACTACCCTGAAGTAATTGAATCTAAATCTCTGACGGTGGGTCCCCGAAAATGATATTTTACAAAAGATGATGATGATGATGATTACTATGATTGACAGGGTCTCCCTTTGTTGCCCAGGCTAGAGTGCTGTGGTGGATCATAGTTCACTGTAGTCTCAAACTCCTAGGTTCAAATGATACTCCTGCCTCAGCCTCCCAAGCAGCTAGGACTACCAAGCACAGCTAATTTTATCAGACAATGGTATTTATTTTTATTTATTTATTTTTTTTTGAGACAGAGTCTCGCTCTGTTGCCCAGGCTGGAGTACAGTGGTGCAATCTTGACTTACTGCAACCTCCGCCTCCTGGGTTCAAGTGATTCTCTTGCCTCAGCCTCCTGACTAGCTGGGATTACAGGCATGTGCCACCACGCCCGGCTAATTTTTTTTTTTTTTTTTTTTTTTTGAGACGGAGTCTCGTTCTGTCGCCCAGGCGGGAGTGCTGTGGCGCGATCTCCGCTCACTGCAAGCTCCGCCTTCCGGGTTCACGCCATTCTCCTGCCTCAGCCTCCCGAGTAGCTGGGACTACAGGCGCCCGCCACTGCGCCCGGCTAATTTTTTGTATTTTTAGTAGAGACCGGGTTTCACCGTGGTCTCGATCTCCTGACCTCGTGATCCGCCCGCCTCGGCCTCCCAAAGTGCTGGGATTACAGGCGTCAGCCACTACGCCCGGCCTAGACAATGGTATTTTAAAAAAGCTTTCCAGTGATTCCATTGTACAGCCATGATCCCTTGAACCTCACCAATTTCAACCAAACTATAGGTTCAAATTTAAGTTCCACTACTTAAAGCATGCCACTGTTGTGGGTTGAATTGTGTCCCGGCAAAAGAAGTTGAAGTCCTAATGCCCAGTGCCTATGAAGATGGACTAATTAGGATGCAGTCTTTGAAGATGTTCAGGTTAAGATGAGGTAATTACGTTGGATTTCTAATCCAATGACTGGTGTCCTTATAAAAAGGGGAAATCTGGCTGGGGGTTGTGGCTTACCCCTGTAATCCCAGCACTTTGGGAGGCCGAGGCGGGTGGATCACCTGAGGTCAGGAGTTCGAGACCAGCCTGACCAACATGGTGAAACCCCATCTCTACTAAAAATACAAAAATTAGCTGGACGTGGTGGTGGGTGCCAGTAATCCCAGCTACTCTGGAGGCTGAGGCAGGAGAATCGCTTGAATCCAGGAGGCAGAGGTTGCATTGAGCTGAGATGGCGCCACCGCACTCCAGCCTGGGCAACAAGAGCCAGACTCTATCTCAAAAAAAATAAAAATAAAAATAAAGTGTGGGCGGGGAATCTGGACGCAGAGACAGAGACACCAGGAGAACTCCATGGAATACCAGATAGTCCTAACAAACCACTGGAAGGTAGGAGAAAGGCATGGGACAGATTCTCCCTCATAGCTCTCAGCTGAAACCAACCCTGCCAACACCTAGATCCGACCTCCAGCCTCCAGAACTGTGAGACAATCAATTTCTGTTGTTGCAGCCACCCAGTTTGGGGTGATACTTTGTTACGGCAGCCCTAGTAAGCAATACAACTACTTGCATAGTAGCCAGGGGACTCTCTTCACCTGTTTCCTCATCTGTAAAAGTGGAATTGTAATAATGTGCCAGGGTGCATTCCAAATAGTTTACACGGATTGTCTCAGTCATTACATCATCCCTCTGACATAGTCACTATTACTGTCTCTACTTAACAGATGAGAAAGTTGTGAAACAGGTTAAGTAACTTGCTCAAGGTCACACGGTAACTAAATACATAAACTAATAATACATTCTTCACAGGATTATTCGAAAGCCCTTATGAGACTGCAGATGTGGACGTGAAATCGTTTTGTAAGTAGTCGGCATTTTACTCGCGTTAGTGAGGTTCTCTGTATATTCAGGACTTTTTTTTTTTTTTTTTTTTGTCATCTCTGACTCTCCTTCCTCTTCCTACGCGATACTTCTTTCCCTCGGCGACAGGGGCCGCTGCGCTGGGCGGGTGCCGACGGTCTCTCTAGCCCGCCGCACCGGCTGCTCGCTGGTGCCTATAAGTGACAGCGCCGGGCTCAGCTAGGCTTCAGTCTGCTGCCGCCGGGGCCGGGGCTAGGGTTAGTTCTGGAGCTGGACCAGGAGGAGCTGCAGCTGGGCCGGGGCGGAGCGCCGCGTCGCGCCAGGGCCGCGAGGAGGGGCGTGTTGCTGCTGGCCCACCGCGAGCCGCCCCCAGCCCGCGCCGAGGCGCCTTCCCGCCAGGCCGCCTGCCTTCCGCCTCTTTCCATTTCCCCGGAATCTCAGCCCGGCGCGCCTGGACCCCTGCCCCTCTCTGGGTGGAGAAGCTCCCGGCCGCTTCCCGGTTTCACTCCTTCTCAGCCTGGGCTCCCAGCCCCCTCTCTCCTTTTCCTGGACTGGCTCTCACCCCCTTCGGTCCCCTTCCTTTAGCTCAGGCTCCCTACCCCTTCCTTTAGCCCACAGCCCAGAGTCCCAGCTCCTCAGTCACTTTCCTCAGCCAAAGGTCCCAGCCTTCCTTCTTCCTTTCCTTTGCACTATCCCTATCCTGCCCCTTCCTCTATCCCTAGGGCTCAGTTTCCCACATCCGTCCTCCCCCTTCCCAGGCCCGGAGTTCCAGACCTTTTGGTCTCCTTTCGTGGTCGTTCCTGGGTCCTTGCCCCCTTTCCCCACTTTGGAGTTCCAGATTGCAAACCCAGCCTCCCTCCACCCCCAGAAAATTGCTTCCATGGAAATGCCTCTCTAAAACATGAACTTTTCCTAGAGACTACGCCAGTCTCTCTTCCCACTTGCTGACCCTTTGCTACCTATGTGCCCGGTTTTACTCTCATTTGGGTAAGGTCGAGGCTGGCTCTGGAAGCAGCACCATGGTTCTGCGGTCTGGCATCTGTGGCCTCTCTCCACATCGGATCTTCCCTTCCTTACTCGTGGTGGTTGCTTTGGTGGGGCTGCTGCCTGTTCTCAGGAGCCATGGCCTCCAGCTCAGCCCAACTGCCAGCACCATTCGAAGCTCAGAGCCACCACGAGAACGCTCGATTGGGGATGTCACCACCGCTCCACCGGAGGTCACCCCAGAGAGCCGCCCTGTTAATCATTCCGTCACTGATCATGGCATGAAGCCGCGCAAGGCCTTTCCAGTCCTGGGCATCGACTACACACACGTGCGCACCCCCTTCGAGATCTCCCTCTGGATCCTTCTGGCCTGCCTCATGAAGATAGGTAAGTCCCGTTTGCTCCGATGCTGCGGCCGCCACCAGACTGGTGAGCTTCTTGCCTCATCTCGCACCATTTGAGGCTGTCCAGGAGTAAGGATCTGAACTACCCCCATAAAGTAGGCAGTCTCCATCCTGCCACCTTGGTCCTTCTCAGGCTCCAGTTCTGTGGCTTCTGATCTGTGATCTGAGGCTTCCCAAGATTGGAGCCAGCACTGTGCACAGAAGAGAGCAGGATTAGAGAATGGGATGCCTCTGATCCTAGGTCCCTTCAGTAAGGCTTCCACGACTGGCAAGTCTCCTCTGGCTGGGCCAGACCCCCAGGGGAGCCAGGCACCCCGCTGTGTGTGAGACAGAAAGGAGTGTCTTCTGGCGAGTGGCACATTCTGCTCTGTCAACAGCAACCAGTGCAATTTATGACAGGCTTCACTGGAGCGTGTTCCAGGATGGAGTATATTTCTACTTGGCCTGCTTGAGGAGTTTAAGCATAGTGGAGACCTGGGCACAGGAAACTTACAAGTGTGGTGGAACACAGGGGATCCCCATATTCCCACCTTTCCTTCATCTCCAGAATGTTATCTGTCAGCTTTGCTTGTCCAGGCTAGTTAGGAGCCCCTGAGTCAATTTCCGGCCCAGGAATGCCATACTTTATAGAATCTGTGGGACAAGGGGCCCTGGAAATTTCTGAAGTCTGTTTTGGAAGTGGAGGGAGAGTAGAGGAGGTTGAGGCTTGGTCTGACCCCAGCTCACCCCCAGGTCGCTGCCTGGCTGTGTCTCAGGGTGCTGTCTGGCCTGCTGCTCAATCAAGTAGATGAGGTAGATGGGGGAGCCTAGGGATGTTCAGGCCTGAAGAGACTTTGAAACCTTCTTTTGGGGAGAAGGAAACAGACAACTTATTTGCTCTCAGAGTATTGGTCTCCCTGCTAGGCCTGAGCACTCTGTTCTGCTGAGTGATTGGGGGAGCTTACTGGAGCCTACATTGCCCAGAAGTCCCTGAAAGTGGTGTTCAGGGGGACTTTGACAACTGCCTTTGCATTTTCAGCTTGCCCCCAGCTGGCTGTGGAAGGCATGAGGTCCTGGGACTCTGCTGTCCCCTCTGCCTGAGATTTGGGTTTGGGAATTTGGCAGGAAACCTTCCAGCTCTCCCAAGGACATGCAGGAGCTGAGCGGTGCTGCCGGGCTGGTGTGAGGCAGGCTCTGGGACATGCAGCGGGAGGGAAGTGGTGCCTCTAATTTGACAGATCCAGGAGCTGGGTTCCTGGTGCAGGGCTCTTGTGCCAAGCTGGTCACAGTAGCAGAGCCTTACATGGAACTAAGCCATCAGCACCTATACCTTGATGGCAGTTAGCTTCCTGGAGAGAAATCAAGGACTGGACAAGGGGAACCATGTGTACTGATTCTGACATAAATGCATGACCTTGAATAGCTGAGGCCTTTTTCTGCAGGTCTCCCTCACCTGTGAAATGGTTAAGACTCTCAATTTGACCACACCAATTGAGTCATGAAATGTCGTCTGATTTGCTGTAAGAAGCTGAAGTGACAGTGATGTCATTTGACTGTGTGAGACCAGGAGGAGACCTCACAAGTGCAATCTATAAATTGCCTCCTGTCCCCGATCCCCTCACCTGCCCACCACACCTGGCATTACATTAGGGCATTCAGGGCTGGCAGACACACTTTGAGTGTCAGTGGCTGCTGGTGGGATGACAGCATGACTGCAGAGACCCCACTCTAGGCAGTCAGAAGTTTGTCCCTGCAGGCCTGGTATCTCTAGTGCTAATGAGGTCAGCTTGGCCTGGCCTGCTTTGTCACCACCCAAGTGCTGTGCCCGGGACCCTGGGCAGCTGGAGAGCAGAGATGGTGTCATGGCAACAATATCAGTCTAGAAGTCAGGAAAACCTGGCTTCTCTTCCTACCTCCCTCTGTCCTTGGACCAGTCACGCCTCCCTACCCATCAGTTGATCTTTGTGGTCCCTTCCAGGTGTGATATTTCTGTCATTCCACTGACTCTGGAAACTCTGGCAAGTCACTCAGCCTTGGACCTCAGTTTTCCCATTGTAAAATGATGAGGCTGGATGTGGTCTCCTTTCCAAAAGTCTGTTTCTGCCTTGGAAAGGCATTTTTCTGCCTCTGAAAACAGGAGTTCTAGCATCTGGCCATGAGTGGAGAGAAAGGTGGTCTAAAGATCTGAAGAGTCCCTGTTCAGGCCTCAAAAATGAAAGCCCATTTTTCCCAGCTTCACCTTTGCAGTGTGGAATTCAGCCACCACTCTGCCACTTAGCAGCATCTCTGAGCCTCAGTTTCCTCATGTATAAAAGGGGAACTAAGCTGGGCGCAGTGGCTCACGCCTGTAATCCCAGCACTTTGGGAGGCTGAGGCAGGGTGGATCGCCTGAAGTCAGGAGTTTTGATACCAGCCTGGCCAACATGGTGAAACCCCGTCTCTACTAAAAATACAAAAAATTAGCTGGGCATGGTGGCGGCTGCCTGTAATCCCAGCTACTCTGGAGGCCAAGGCAGGAGGATCGCTTGAACCCAGGAGGCGGAGGTTGCAGTGAGCCAAGATTGCGCCATTGCACTCCAGCCTGGGCAACAAGAGTGAAATTCCGTCTCTAAATAAATAAATAAAAAAAAATAAAATGGGAACTAATAGTATCCAGTTATAGTGCTATTAATGTGATTATTACATAAATAAATGCACATAAAAGTTTGTATACACAGGAAGTGTTCAATGAGTGACAGCTGCCCCTGTTAATATTTTAACCACCTACAGCAAATGCATCCCTACCTCAGCCTCCTACAACCTTCCTCTGAGCTGAAGGATTACAAATCTCTCAAACCTAGGCTGCCACCAATGTCCTTCCTTAGGGTATCAGGGTTTCCATGTGTCCTATACTGTTCACTTGAGCTGGTCATGGCGGGAGGGAAGATGACACCAGCTGCCTTGTAGGGATAAGGGTGGGGGGCTGAGGCCATGCTCCCTCTGCACTCTCAGATACCCAAGAGCCTGGGAGCTGATTTTGGGGTCTTGCCTATTCTCTCAACACCCCTGCGTGGGTAGGAGTTCCGTTGGAGCCCTCATTCTGTCATCTATGGCAGCTGCTTCCCTTGCAGGTTACCCCTCCTATAAGAATAGAAAGTGCTTTGCAGTTCTCCTTCCTACCCTAACCATGGAGCAGAGCCTCGGGTAGACTCTTGCAGAGACTGGGGTGGGAGGAGCAGGGTGGGAGCTGAAGTTCTAGAATAGTTGCTTCTGGGTTCTAGTCTACCTCTGACTCAGTGGGTGACATTAGGTAAGTCACCTTCCCTCTCTGGACCTTTTTTCTCTCCCCAGCAGTCAGGAATTCTTGCTTGTCCTTGGTGGGGAGGGGCCAGTGGTGTGAAGAGGATTTAGGCTATTGGGAAAACTGTGGGAATGACTCCAAGCCTTAGGAGTTAGGTGCATTCCCCACCCCACATTGTGCTGTGGACCCCGCATGAACTCTGCTTTGTTCCATGTTCACCTGACTCCCAGGCTAGTACTTATTCCAGAGGAGAGCCTCACTGTAACTCAGCTCACCACTGGCATCTCCTGCAATTGTTTACCCATGTTCCTGACCCAGAATGCCTGGCAGAGGCCCGGGAGCCCATAAAGCAGGTATTCATCTTGTCTCCTGACCAGGGACACAAAAGGCTTCTTTTGTCCCTTTATATCTTATAGCTTTTTTTGGTTTTGGTCTTTGCAAGGCGAATCCTGCCATCTCCTCTGTAGATTAAGTCTGTGAATAGGGGAGATGGGGTCACTGCCCACTTCACATGCATGGATATCAGACCCAGCAACTGGTTTCCTATAAAAATGACACTAGAAGGTGCCTCTCTCACTTCTCAAAAGAAGAGAAGAACAAATAGCCTAAAGGTCACCTTGAAACTGTCTCAAGAAGCCCAGATAGGACTCTAAAAAGGAAGCGATGACCTTTTTCTCTTTGGGAAAATAGCAGACTGACTGCAGAACAGTGGGAGGGAGGTCAGCTGGGGACTGGGAGGAAGGCTTCAGGTAGGACATGTGTCTCTAGGAGTGCCAAGGCACTTAGAGGGCTTAGTTGGTCAGATTGCCCAGACTTCATTCAGCTGAGCACCCTCGAAGTTTGCCTTTCCTCTCCTTCCAAGCCAGCCCCATGGCGTCCAGCCCTGGTACAAAGGAAAGACGTAGTCAGAAGCCCTGGGTTCTGCTCCTGATGCTGCCTCTCAGTACCTGTGTGACCATGAACCTTGAGGTTCATGCACCTCATTCTCTGAACCTGACTTGCCTCATCCTTAAGACCAACGTAGAGGCTGAACGTGGGAATGCCTGGTAGAGTGCCCAGCTCACTGTAGTAACTTTCAGGGCCGTGCAGATTCTTCCCCTTTTGGGAGGTCTTCCCAGCCCACAGCAGTCACTTTCTCTTTCTCTCCCAAACCCTTTTCCCTTATTGTTTATCCATAACAGTGGCATTAGGCCTTGCCTGCCCTGTGACATCTCCTGTGTTGAACGGGTGTGTGTGTTTTAATAATAGTTGCCACTTAGTATCTACAGAGTAGTGTCAGGCACTTTATAAAAGCAATCTTATTTAATCCCTACTCAAATCACATGAGATAAA
Source organism: Homo sapiens (assembly GCF_000001405.40). NCBI lineage: Eukaryota > Metazoa > Chordata > Mammalia > Primates > Hominidae > Homo > Homo sapiens. The sequence goes on along the minus strand of NC_000001.11, from coordinate 27,149,374 downwards.
AGCTGTCTCTGTTTTGCAGATGAGGAAATGGCTCAGAGAGGTTATCTTCAGTGATGTCAAATTGCTATTTATTGTCTGTTCGAGTCTTGGCATAGCCTGCTAGAGGGGTGCAGCTGCATCTCCTGCCTCTGGCATTCCCGCAGCAGATGCACATGGCCCTGCACTGAGAAGCGCCCAGCTCACTGCACCTGCACTCAGGAATTGTAGGACTCCCTCTAGGAGTTGGGCACATGTCGTTGGTGGGAGCCCTGTCCCTGCCTTGAGAAAGCTGTAGGTGTTCTGTGTCCAGCTGTGCACCTGTCCTTTGTTTTTGTGAGTCTTCTTGGATGCACCTGAATCCTGCATTCAGGAGGCCTATCCCTTGTTCTCTGCTAGCAACCCTGCCTGCTATCTCTCTTCCGGTGCCCTCTCAGCCATCAGACCAGAGCTTGCTTCTTCCCTGCTTGGGCAGGGAAGTGCCAGGTAAAGGGTGGTCTCCTTTAGCCACAAGGGGTGGCTGACCTTATGACCTCCCGCCTCTGAGCAGAAAGGTGACAGGCTGCTTTTGGTTACCCTCAGGGCCCAGCAGAGTCCCCTGAGAGGCAGCCTCTGTTGGGAGCAGGTGGCACAACTTTGTTTAGCTCTACAAGGCAGGAGGAGTTTAATAGTACTTCTCATTAGCACTGAAATTTGTTTCCAAAGCACTTGTGTGTACAATATTTAATTTAGATCTTCTCAGTGGTCCTGTGGGTTAGAATAGCATGTGGTATTGATGTGTTCATCATTTTACATCTAAGGAAATTGAGCCTTCGGTTGTGACCTGCCTGAGGTCACTTAGCATGCCTGGGACTAATCACTCAAGGCCAAACTCTCTCCTGCCAGGCCAACATGCTGGGTTCTTGTTGGATCAAGGGGGATGAGAGATTTAAAGGGGCTTTGAGGAGAGTCAATGACCAGACACATCCACATTGGTAACCTGGATTGTTGTCAGGAGGGACACCTGTTCCTCCTGTAGGCAGGAAGGGCTAAAGGGTCTGGGTGGTCTGGAGCCTTGACAGCTTTGGCTCAGCTCCAAGTTCTTTTCTACAACTTGAACATACCTGTATTTGCATGAAGGAGGATGAGGGCCAGAGTTGCACTGGGGACTGACATTCTCATAGCCCTTATCTGTGGAGCAGCAAATCTTTGAAATGGAGGACTTGTCCTTTCCCCCAGAATGTTGCATGCCCTCTGGGAGAGAAAAGGAGAGGCAGAGAAATGATTACAATGGAAAACATGTAGGATGGGGTGAAAGGTTAAGATACCTGAGATCTAGTCTCAGCTCTCTGTTGCCCAGCTGTGTGACTTTAGGCAAGGCATAACCTCTCTGAGCCCCTGTTTTCTTTTTTCTTTTTTTTTTTGATACAAGAGTTTCGCTCTTTTTGCCCAGGCTGGAGTGCAATAGTGCAATCTCAGCTCACTGCAACCTCTGCCTCTTGGGTTCAAGCAATTCTCCTGCCTCAGCCTCCTGAGTAGTGGGGATTACAGGCATGTGCCACCACACCTGGCTAATTTTGTATTTTTAGTAGGGATGGGGTTTTGCCGTGTTGGTCAGGCTTGTCTTGAACTCCTGACCTTAGCTGATCCTCCCACCTTGGCCTCCCAAAGTGCTGGATTACAGGCGTAAGCCACTGCTCCTGGCCTGAGCCCGTTTTCTAATTGATAATATAGATACTTAATTTTTCATTTTGTTTTGTTTTGTTTTTTTAGAGATGGGGGATGGGGATCTTCCAATTTTGTTGTCCAGGCTGGTTTTGAATCCCTGGCCTCAAATGATCCTCCCGCCTCAGTCTCCTGAGTAGCTGGGATTATAGGGATGAGCCATCACACCTGACTCCCTATTATTTTATTTTTATTTATTTTTTTGAGATGGAGTCTCACTCTGTCGCCCAGGCTGGAGTGCAGTGAGGCGATCTCGGCTCACAGCAACCTCCGCCTCCAGGTTCAAGTGATTCTCCTACTTCAACCTCCCAAGTAGCTGGGACTACAGGCATGCGCCACCACCCCCAGCTAATTTTTGTATTTTTTTCTTTTCTTTTTTTTTTTTTTTTTTTTTTGAGACAGAGTCTCGCTCTTTTGCACAGGCTGGAGTGCAGAGGCATGATCTCAGCTCACTGCAACCTCCGCCTCCCGGGTTCAAGTGATTCTTCTGCCTCAGCCTCCTGAGTAGCTGGGATTACAGGCACCAACCATCATGCCTGGCTAATTTTTTGGTTTTTTTGTTTGTTTGTTTGTTTGTTTGTTTTTAGTAGAGACAGGGTTTCACCATATTGGCCAGGCTGGTCTCGAACTCCTGACCTCAGGTGATCTGCCCGCCTCAGCCTCCCAAAGTCCTGATATTACAGGCATGAGCCACCGCGCCCGGCCTAATTTTTGTATTTTTAGTAGAGATGGGTTTTCGCCATGTTGGCCAGGCTGGTCTTGAACTCCTGACCTCAGGCGATCTGCCCGTCCCGGCCCCCCAAAGTGCTGGGATTACAGACATGAGCCACTGCACCCGTCCGGTAATTGGTGATATATTTGTTAAATACTTGTTAATTAGCTGCCACTTATTAATTTTTTATTTTGTTTATTTTTGAGACAGGATTTCGCTCTGTCTCCCAGGCTGGAGTGCAGTGGCGCAAAGACGGCTCACTGCAGCTTCAACCTCCCTGGCTCCAGGCAATCCCCCCACCTCAGCCTCCTGAGTAGCTGGGACCACAGGTACAGGTCACCACATCCAGCTAAGCTGCCACTTATTCATATCTAGTTTAGAGGTTGTGAAAGGTACTTGCACAGCTAGAAAACATTGGGGTTTAAGCCCAGATTTGTCTGACTTCAGAGCCTGTGTTCTTTTCATCCTCATGCCCTGATTCCAAGGGCCTTTTCAGTTTAGAAATTCAATTTTTCCCATAATCATTTTGAATTGGGGGAGATTTAAAGACTTTAGTATTTTGAGCCTTGGCTGCTTTCTGTGGATCACTTCTTGGGTTTGGGGAAAAAGCTGACCCACTCCAAGTCCCACTGTGAAGCAAATAACCTTTCTCAGAGGTGGCAGCATGCAGAAAAATACAGGAGTGACGGGGAACTAGAGCTGGGGGCCTGAGGCTGTCTCTGGGAATGCCAGCCCATACACAGCCTCCTTTCCTCCTCACCGCCTCTCCCACCTGCCCCCTTTCCTCCTGAGGCAGGGAGAGAAGGCTCGCTCAGCACACCCAGGACCTGGGTTATTCCTGAGTCATCCATCGCCTGTGTGGGCCTCATTTTGCAGCACTCGCTCCCCCTGCAAATGTCTGAGTCAGGCATGTCTCCCCAAGGTTGTCTGCACACACTGCACTGGGCCAAACTGTCTCTTTAGATGCCGATAAACATCAACTGATACTTTAAAGCAGCCCGTGATTATATGTTGGTATTTTAATCTTATGGGCTAATCTAATTTTAACTGAACTAAGTTTTGGGTTGGGCCTGGATCAGTGGGCTGCCCGCCTTCCCTGGGATCATGCTGACTTCATTTTCTTCCCCCTAAAGCTCATCTAATATACAGAGCCGATTTTGGGGTCTATTAGGCCAGACCTGAGCCCTGAGTTTTTATACTACTTGCCAAGAATCCAGAGTTCCCCCCAAATTACCCCAGCAAATTCTTTCCTGAAAAGATATGTCCTTAAGCAGTTCTAACTGAGATTCAGGATGAAAAGCTCTGTTCCTTCCCAGGCCCCCTTCCCTGTCCCTTGGGAAGCACTTACCCCTAAGCCCAGACTGGCCTTGCCACAGTGCTGAGCCTGTTTGAGACCAGGCCACAGAAGGCGGAGGAGTGATATCACAGCTGTGTGTTAGAGCCCACAAGTTCACTAAACCAATAAATAGCTAACACTTGCATAGCATTTGCTGTATGCCAAGTGAAGCTGGAAGAGGCTGTGTCTTTGCATCAGCCAGCCAGGACCAAGAGCAGCTCGCTAAGATCCTGGGTGGAAGAGGCAGGTCAGCTGAAATCAGCTAGCAGGCATTTAGCATATGGCCATCAAGGAACAAAAGAAGAGTAAACCCAGGCCCTGCTCTTTAGGAGCTTCCAGCCTGCCAGGGCTGGGCGGACTCCTGGCAGAGGCAAAGTACAGAGGGAGCAAGCAGTCCCTGAGGACTGGGGTGTTTAGAGAAAGCCTCTCAAAGGAGGTGGAACATTAGTCTGAGTCTTGAAGGATGGAAAGGAATTAGATAAGCAGGCTATACTTAGTACCAATTTCCATAAGAATGTAAGCCTCTTGAGGACAGGGACTTTGTTTGTTCACTTTCTTTTTTTTTTTTTTTTTCCTTTTTCCTTTTTTTTTGAGATGGAGTCTTGCTCTTCGCCTGGGTTGGAGTGCCAGAGTGCAGTGGCGAGATCTCAGCTCACTGCAACTTCTGCCTCCCAGGTTCAAGCAATTCTGCCTCAGCCTCCAGAGTAGCTGCAGGTTCAAGCAATTCTCCTGCCTCAGCCTCCAGAGTAGCTGGGATTACAGGCTTACATCACCACGCCCAGCTAATTTTTTGTGTTTTTAGTAGAGACGGGGTTTTGCTATGCTGGCCAGTCTGGTCTAGAACTCCTGACCTCAGGTGATCCACCCACCTTGGCCTCCCAAAGTGCGGAGATTAAAGGCGTGAGCCACCACGCCTGGCCTGTTCACTTTCTTATCTGTGCCTGGCACAGAGTAAAGGCTCCATAAATATTTGGGGAAGGAATACATGAATGAATATGTGATTGACTTCAGTGTAAAGATAGGATCCCTGCAAAGCCCTGGGGCAGACAAGAAACCAGTTTGACTGCTCAGAGAGGAGGGAGAGCAAAGGTTGCAGAGGCTCCTTGGCACCAGACTGCCAAGCCAAGGAGTTTAACTGAGCTCGCTGGGAGCGACACTCACAGAATGATGCCTTAGGCGCCAGCCAGTGTTTAAGTGGTGCTGCCTTGGCCACCTCCCTCGGCTTGGCTCTAATGGAGGGTCTGCAAGGGCATCTTCTCTGGGCCGGGTGGGGTCTCTCTGGGAAGATCTGGATCTGTTTGGTCTGCCCTCAATTTGTGTAAGTAAAAGTAAGATACCAGAGCTTCCTTGGGGAGCTGCCGAGAGCCCTAATTGAATTAAGCTTTTCCTGGGAAGATTCCTCAAGCCGTAAACTGCACTGTGACTGTGAATTAATGAGACCAGTGGCTTTAAACCATACAAGAAGGCAATCTTGTTAATTTATAGTTGTACCTGGACAGATTTACTTATGGCTTCTCTTTGCTTTAATGTGTGTTGGGAATGGGTGGGCTGGGCCAGAATCTCCTTTCTATGGCAGATTTATTTTTATAATATGAATAAATAAAACATGTCAATGGTAAAAACAAAACAACAAAAATAAAACCCAACAGTACAGAGGGTATTGAGGTGAAAGGGAAAAGTCCCCCTCATTACTTCTCTGACCACCCCCACTGTCATACATTCCAGAGGTTACCACTGTTAACTGTCTTGTCCATCTTTTTTAGAAATTCTCCATGTATATATTGAGTATGTGAGTGTGTGTGCATGCAAGGCAAATTTAGTTTTCATAAAGCCATTGCATAAAGGAAACGAGCTCTAGGCTGGTAACTGGGGACCTGGGTCTTAGTCCTAGCTCGCCTCTTTCCTGCATATTGACCTTTGCTAAGCTATGTTTGCCTTCCTGGGCCTTAGTTTCCCTATCTGTCGATTTCATCTTGAAGGGCTCTCTGGGGCTGTCCTGTGGGAAAGGCGGTCATTCCAGGGAAGCCTCTGTTCCGTTGAGGCCTAAGCAGACTGTGAGGCCCTCAGATGGGGAATTCCACAGCTCTATCCTTTGGGAGTGGGCCAGTGCTGTCATTGAGCCCTGGCTTCAAAGCACAGGGCTTTGTACAAGTACAGATCACGGTCATCTCTAAGTCCAGCTGAGGGTTACAAGGTTGAAGAAATGAGCCCACAGGGAGTCAGCTTTCTTGCTGGGGAAGTGAGACAACATACAAGGGAGAAAGCACAGGTGGGAAATTGTGTGGTTCAGGCTGGATGCTTGGGGGAATCAGAGGAGAGGAGAGATGAGGGAAGCTTCTTGAAGGAGGCGGCCTTGAGAGGTGGGCCAGGGGTAGAAGAGGAACATCATTCAGGAGGGGTTGCTAAGGGATTCTGGTGTAGGTGAGAGGATGGACTGGATGATCTGTTGTTCTAGGATCTAGGTTTCTAAGATTGTTTCTGAGTCCATGATAAAGTTTGTGGAGCTCCCAAAATAGTCTGCAGACAGTTGTATATATGTGATTTTATCAAGGGAGAAGGCCCATGATAGACTCAGATTTTTTTTTTTTTTTTTTTTTTTTACACAGTTGATTGTCAGTGTGTAAGCCACAGATTCTGAAGGTTAAGAGCTTCTGCCTTTTGTGTGGTGGGAACTTGAAGAAGGGTAGAGGACTAACTGGTCTGGGATGAATCCTTGGAGGAGGTGGTACTTAATTCTGGGATGAGTGGGGTTTGCCTGTGGGACTGCAGAATACCTTCCAGGCAAGGAGAAGGACCCCAGAGTGAGTAAGCTGTGTCCTGAGAGAAGGGAAGGGGAAATGAGTCCTTAAAGTAGAGAAAAACTTTTCTAAGTTGGAAATCAAAGCAGATGCAACATGCTCCGCCTACACTGTGCAGCAGGGAAGGTACTGGCTTCTTTATGCCCTCTGGGTCTGCTGGGTTGCCATGGTGAGCCCAGCTCACACACAGTAGGTGACTCAGGCCACCTGCCCATTTCCCTAAAGCGGCTAGGGCCCAGGCACACCTCTGAGGCTCTGCTAGTGGGGAAGCAACCACCTTTGAGGCAGCAGACGCAAGAGAAAGCCTCTGAAGGTGGACAGGCTTTGAGGATGCAGCTAGGAAGCCCTGACTGGCCTCTGCTGTTTCCTGGACTGAAGGTCCCTGTTCTCTGTTCTCACTCTGCTTCTAGGAATGAAAGTATAGAATATTCTAATTCTAGAATGTTAGAGATGGAAAAATCCTTATCATAGCTTGTAACCCCCAGGCCCAAAGGGAAATGGAGATGTTTTGATCAAGTTCTCTGTTTTTCCAGTTGAGGCCCAGAGAGGATTGGCCCCAGGCCACTCGTGAATTAATGGCAGAGTCAGTCTTCTTCCCTGCTCTGTTAACTAACTCAGGAGTCCCTAGGCAGTAAGACCTGGACAGTGGACCGAGAGGAGGGGCTGTGGTTTTTGGCTTGGATATTGGTAGCATTGGCAAACCTCAGTTCTTCCAGTGGGCCCTTTAAGCCTAAAGAAGGGCAGCTTCCTCCTGGGGTATCTATTAGGGAGCTGTCCTTGGCAGAGAAACCATTGGTCCTTACACTGGTCCTTACAGGGGAGCCAAGTACAGGTCTTGGGACCTCTGAGACAGCCCAGAGGCTTCTGCCTTCACCCATTGAATCCCTCAGGTCGTGTAGTCCATCACAAGCCAATGTTGAACTTGGGTGCTGTGCTTTTTATAGCATCTTTGCCATCAAGCCAGGGAATAAGATCTTATCTCCCCGGTGGCCAGGACCCACAGGAATCTGGATGCTGTACCAGGTAGGCGTTATGCCAGCATGAGGCGGGGCCAACTCACCTAACTGGGCAAAGCCTAAGACTCAGGTTACAGCAAGATGGGGGAGGGGAGCAGGCACCCTACCCCACCCGCTTCCCTGACTGAGCACTGCCTGCCTGGCTGGTGGAAGGTGCAGAGATGCATGAGAACTGCTTCTTTTACCAAGCTCAACGACTTGTTTGAGAAATGCGGTACAGATGCAAAACAGTCAGACAGTAGAAAGGGGGTGTGATTTGAAGTGCAGATGGAATTCTACGGGAGTTTAGAGGTGGGAGAGAGAATTTCGTACCTGGGAAGATCCCAGTAGGCTGTGCAAGTGACCACTGAGCTAGGCCTTGAAGTATATGTAGGATTTAGATGAGATACTTGAATGAAATCTCACTGGGCACAGCCAGAAGCTTCTACTTGGGGCAGAACCTCTGGATTGCAGAAGAATGTCCCAGAGCAGTTCCCTTTGGAAACATGCCCACAGGCATGGTGGTTAGAAAAACAAGCTTTGCAGCTTGACAGACCTGGGTTCAAATCTCAGCTCTACTACTTTGTAGCACCGTGACCTTGGGCAAGTCACTTATCCTGTTTTAAAAAAATTTTTTTTAATTTTTTATTTTGAGATGGAGATTCTCTCTGTCACCCAAACTGGAGTACAGTGGCACAATCTTGGCTCACTGCAACCTCTGCCTCCCTGCTTCAAGCGATTCTCCTGCCTCCCGAGTAGCTGGGATTACAGGCTTGTGCCACCACGCCTGGCTAATTTTTGTATTTTTAGTAGAGATGGGGTTTTGTCATGTTGGCCAGGCTGGTTTTGAACCCCTGACCTCAAGTGATCCCCCCAGCTTGTCCTCCCAAATTGCTGGGATTACAGGCGTGAGCTGCCGTGCCTGGGCTGTGGAGGTGACCCGCCTGGTGTCATATAGCCTGACTGTGGCAGAGCTGAAGCTGGACTCCAGGACTTCCCCTTCCAAGTCCTGTGCCATTTCTCCTACATAACATTTATGTTATGTTACCCCACCTAGCTGGAGTAGCAAGACTGATCGTCTGAAACATTTAATGAGCAAAGGGTGATTTTGTATGACAACTTGATGTGTAGCTATAAAAGCACTCAATTTTGCAGAACAGATGATGGTTTTAAAAATAGTCCCAGCTATGATAAGTGCTAGGTGAGTGATGCCAGTATTAAGGGGAAAAGGTGTGCCCTTTTTAAGCTACATCACCCTGTCTGAGCCTCAGTTTCCCCAGTCTAAAGGGGGGTGATGTCTGTAAAGCCCTGAGCACATTGTAAGTGCTCACTAATGGGAGTTGCTACTATTCCTGGAGCCTTAAAGGAAGAGGTGAGGGTGGGGTCAAGCACTGGAGGATGGTTTTAGGTATATGGACTGGAGGGCATTGGGGTGAGCTGAGTACTGAGGTTAGGGGTGCAAATGAGACCATTAGCTGAATTGTCTGAGCTCGTTCTTTAGTTGGGAGGTGGGGAGACACATGTTCAGCAAATGGATTCGTGCTGATAAATACTGTACTGAAGATGGAAAGATGGATAAATATAATCCCAGCCTCAAGGGAGAGGCTGGCATGTAAACAGGCACTTGTGATGTGCTGTGAAGTGCTGCAGCAGGAGCCTGCAGAGCTGTGGGTGTGCGGGAGGGAGGAGTGGAGGTGGGTGGGTCAGGAAAGGCTTCCCAGAGCTTTGAGCTGGGTCCTGAAGGTTAAGAATGAGTGTTTTGGCCAGGTGCGGTGGCTCACACCTGTAATCCCGGCACTTTGGGAGGCTGAGATGGGCGGATCACTTGAGGTCAGGAGTTCCAGACCAGCCTGGTCAACATGGTGAAAGCTCATCTCTACTAAAAATACAAAAATTAGCCAGGTGTGATGGTGCAAGTCTCTAATCCCAGCTACTTGGGAGGTTGAGACAGGAGAATGGCTTGAACCCAGGAGGTGGAGGTTGCTGTGAGCCGAGATCGCCTCACTGCACTCTAGCCTGGGCGACAGCGAAACTCTGTTTCAAAAAAAAAAAAAAACAATGAGTGTGCTTAGCTCACATAGAGGGGAGAACTGGAGAAGGGCACAGAGATGTGAATGACACAGAGCCACAGATCATGCAGAACCATTGACCTTTGCTTCTAAAACTCATTGGGATGTTTCCAACCCTTCCACCTCACCCCCAAACACGCCTCACTCACCTGTTTTGCTGGGCAGAGAAGCTAACTGCACCTGTGGGGCACTGAGCACCTGTGATGGCTGTCGCCCTGGTATAGGCAGTGAGGACAGAGCTACCTACCACTTACTGAGACCCTGCCAGTGCCTGGCTTTGTGCTCAGGGCTTCGCATAGTGCATCATTGCCTTCTGCACTATGTGACGGCCCCGAAGGGTGCGAGTCATGGTATCTAGCTTTATTTAGCTTACAGCTACTTTAGGAAAGTGAAACAGGGAATAATTAAGTGCTCGAGGATTGCTGTGCTGTTGCCTCAAAGAACAGGAGACCTTTAGGAAGGGGAGAAATGTGGCTGGAATGAACATGGAGCAGAGATCTTTGTGCAGACACCTTCACCAGACCCTTCTAAGAGGGAGGGAAGGTGACCAATCAGGCAATGGCCGTGACACCGGTTAAGGCTCTTTGCAGGCTCTGAGTACTAGGTATGGGCAGGCACCTGTTGGGGAGCCCAGCCAGCTGCAGGAAAAGTCTGGGTGAGGAGTCAGTGAGAAATAAGACAGTAGGTGGGCGGGGCTGGATGAAGCATCTGGAACTCCAGAGGGGTGTAGACTTGGCCAGGGCTCCTCAGACTGGTGGCAAACACAACCACACCTGTCAAAGGCTTGCCTCTTCACTCCATCTTCTCCAACCCGGGTGATTCCCGGGCCTCCTGAATGGTCTTGCGGCTCCACTGCTGTCTGCCTGCAGGCAGCTCTCCCCAGAGCAGCCGCAGGGAGCTTTGAGACCTGTAAACCAGAGCATGGTGTTTCCCCTGCTGAAAACCTTTCAAATGCTTCCTGATGAACTTGGGAGAAAATGCAAGGAAAGTGTGGCCCACCCCTTTCTCCACTTCATGCCCCACTACCCTTTCCCTGTTCCAGTCGCACCGGCCTTCCTGTGTCCCTAACGCACATCTGCCTTGCCAGGCCTGTTCCTCCATACAGCTGTGGCATTTGCTCGATCCCCAGCCTGGAGCACTGCCCATAGACTGCCTCGCGCCGGTGCTCTCCTTCAGGCCCTAGATCAAACGTCATCTCTTCAGAGAGGCCTCCCTGACTGTCCAGTCTAACGGGCAGCACACGCCCCACCAGCTGCCTCTACCCCCATGTCAGACACTATTCTGGATCTGAGGACACAGCCAGGAACAAGACAGAAGAGGCTCCTGATGTCAGGGGGCTCCCATGCCAGCATGGAGCATTGGATGTGGACAAAGCAGTGTCAGGTAGTGGTAAGTGTCCTGAAGAAGGCAGACATGAGGGAGAGGTGGGGCTGCTGGATGGCCAGCAAGGGTTCTCTAAGGAGCTGGTGTCTGAGCTGAGACCCAAAGGACAAGAAGAGCTCATCTTCCAAAGACCAGGGCCCCTGAGGGGGGTGTGCTTGAGGAACCTGAAGTGCGGGGGAAGAGGGGAAGCATGGTGTGAGAATGGAGAAGAGGGCAGGGGCCAGATCATGCCAGGCCCGTGGGCCTGGGGCTAGGATTCATGGTGCTGTGTGGCACCATCAAAGGCTCTTGAGTAGCATGACATGGTCTGACCTGGGGAGGGATGTGCGGACAGCCTGGGAGTGCGATAGAGTCGGCTCAGGCCCTGGGCTGGCCCCACTCAGTGTCCTGCCTGCCAGCAGCTCAAGCTGGGTCTATGAGGGCAACAGAGTAAAGCTTCCCGACAGGCACCACTGGCCAAGCCAGCAGTGGGATGGAAGCTCCAGCCTAGGAGAGCTGCTAGCAGGGAGGGGCGAGCAGGACGCTGGAGCAGAGTGGGCGTGGAGTCAGGGGCACATTGGGGAGGGAGGGGCTGAGTGGGCACCAGGCTCTGCTGGACTCCTGCTGGCCACCCCTCCCTTGCTGAGCCTCAGCGCCTGCAGGCAAACAGTCACCAGACCTGTCATGTGGGAGGCGTGGCATTGCTGAACACCAGGGTTGGACATGCGTGTTCCCTGCTGAACCCTATGGTCGTGGCCTGGGGAGTTGTCAGGTCAGGAAAGGGCAGACCTAGAATCAGAACCAGACTTTAGCACTGGGAGGGATCCTAGAGACTGCAGAAGTCCAGGAGGAGAAGATAAGGGGTTAGGGAATCAAAAGACCAGGACTGAAACCCCCCTCCCCCACTTGCAACTTTGTGGTCCCCATGTGCAAAGGTGTGGAGGTTAAATGAGAATGCTGAGGCGAGCACCTAGCAGTAAGGGCTTCTAAATGTCTGACATGATGACAGAGCCCGGCCCATCCCCCTCAGCTCACAGAGGAAGCAGAGGCCAGGGCGGAAGTGACTTGCTTAAGGGCCACAGAGCTGCATTGAGCTCAGCTCCCCGACCTCTAGTCCAGGCTCTCCTGTGATGCTATAAGTGGTCCTTCTTCCCACATCGTTCCCTCCGCAGAGGTGAGGCGGCCTCCTGCCTGTCCCACTTTCTTTTCAGCCTGCCTCTGAGCACCTACCATGCAGCAGACACAGTTGCGTGGTTGGTGGTTCCCACCCTGGAAGCGCTGGCACTGACACTTGTGTGTGGGAGACAGACATGTAAACAACTAAAACACAAGGCAGGCTGAAGTGCCGCAGGGACACAGCACGTTGCAGGTGGGCCCTGGGGGCAGATGGGGCTCCATCTGGCACTACCACTTACAATGGAATGGCAACGAGGCCCAAACCTAAGTTAGAACAGATCAAGAGGGCCTTGGATTCAATGCAGAGAAGTGTGGGCTCTTTCCTGAAGATGGGGGAACTGCAGAGGTTCTGGAGGAGCCATGACCATGACTGGCCTGTGTTTAGGATGAGGGCTCTCCTGGCTGATGGAGAAGGGACTAGATGAAGCTTTTCCCCCAGTGTTCTTGGCTCTGGGAATTTTCCGCCTCCTCCTTCCATGGATAATTATCCTTCCTAAGAAACTGATCAGATGGGAAACTGCAGGAAATTGTTTGGGACGGGGATTGTGTAGGAGTTGAGGGGAGAGTGGAGAGGATGTAGCCGGAGAGGGGTATCCGTGCCAAGCAGCAGGTGGTGGCTCCCTTCAGAGGGGAGGGAGGGAAGCCTGGGCAGGGCTGGGAATTTAGAGCAGGAAGATGCAGGTGCTTCTGGGGGAGCTGAGTCCCTCAAAACTCCTGGTCTTATCCTCGGTTGAGGAGAGGGGTTAGGGTGACTGGCAGGGTCTGACTTTTCTGGGTCAACAAGAGCTGGGGAAAGTGTGAGGCAGTGTGGCCCAGTGGGCGGGGCCAAGCCCAGGCCCAGCTCTGCTTGGAAATTCCCTTATTGTGGGCCAGGGCTAGTTAGGAGTGGTGAGTGTGCACTGGGCATCCTCCCTTGGCACAGAGCAGTCCTCCTCCTGCCCCCTGCTCCCAGCAGACCCAGAGCTTGAGTCGTGGACCTGGCTGCTGTCCCCTTGCTAGTTAAGCAGCAGTTCTCCATGAGCTGAGGCTTCTGGAGAGCCAGGCTTCCCTTAGTGACTGAACCACAGGGATGTGTGCTTAGCGCTGAGGATAAGGGGGTCCCCACATCTGAAGCCAGGAGCGAGACTGCCTCTAGAGGGGCCCAGAAGGCTCTGCAGGTGGAGATTCAAGGCATCCTTCTGGGCAGTCAGGGGCCAATAGAGACTGCAGAGTCCAACAGACCTGTCTGAATCCCAGCTCTACTACCTGCCTGCTATATGCCTGTAGGCTGATTATCTGACCTGTGTCATTTTTCTGCAGATAATTCTGGGGTAACCACAGTTCTGACTTGGATCATCATCAGTTGATCTTACCTGTTCTTGAACTTCATCTGAATGGAATCATAGGTACTCTTGTGTGTCTGGCTGCTTTTGCTCAGCCTATCTGTGAGATTCCTCTTCACTGTCACATGTACCAGAGGTTTGTTCATTTTATTGCTGTTCGGTGTTGCCTCGTATGAATACACCACAGTTGGCTCACTCTCCTGTTGATGGGCTTTTGGATTGGTTCCCTTTTTTTGACAATTGTGAATAAAGCTGCTCTGAGCATTCTTGTACTCCGTAGGGTTTTGTGAGAATTAAATGAAATAATCTGTGACAGTAAAGTGTTTAGTACTGAATTTTGACTCAGAGAGCAGGTGCTCAGAACATTTTCCCTCCAGATTTTTTTTTTTTTTTTTTTTTCCAGAAAAAAGGAAGAAATAAAAAAAAAAATCAAACACTGCTTAAGTATATAAAGAAGAAAAATGCAAGTTATACCCCTTTTACTCCCTTGCTTCTCGGGCCGAGCACTCTGAATAGTTCATCCTGGGCTTTTCTCTACAGTGGTGTGAACCACTTTTTCATAAAAAATGTTAATCTGTGCACAGTGGCTCACCCCTGTAATCCCAGCACTTTGGGAGACCAAGGTGGGAGCATCATTTGAACCTGGGAGTTTCAGACCAGCCTGGGCAACCTAGGGAGACCCTGTCTCTACAAAAATAAAATAAAAAATTAGTAGGGCATGGTGGCACAGGCCTGTGGTCCCAGCTACTTGGGAGGCTGAAGTGGGAGGATTGCTTGAGCTCAAGAGGTCGAGGCTGCAGTGAGCCATGATTGTGCCACTGCACTCCAGCCTGACAGAGCAAGACCCTGCCTTTAAAAAAAAAAAATTTGGCATAAAAACAACCATGCTGGTCTGGCATGGTGGCTCATGCCTGTAATCCCAGCACTTTGGGAGCCGAGGCAGGCAGATCACCTGAGGTCAGGAGTTGGAGACCAGCCTGGCCAACATGGTGAAACCCCATCTCTACTAAAAATACAAAAATTAACTGGGCATGGTGGCACATGCCTGAAGTCCCAGCTACTTGGGAGGCCAAGGTGGGAGAATCATTTGAACCCGGGAGGCAGAGGTTGCAGTGAGCCGAGATTGTACCACTGCACTCCAGCCTGGGTGACAGAGCAATTTGCTCTTGAAACAAACAAAATCGTGCTGTCTGTACTCTTTTGCAGCTTAACTTTTTAAATTAAATCGGATCTTTTGAAAGAGTTTCCTTATCGGCATCAAGAGAACAGCTTCAAGAGGGGAGAGTCTGGGATGGACCCTGAAACCAGTCACTTGCGGCCGTTCACCCTGGCCGGGCAGATTTCCTTCTAGGTGGAACCCAGGATCTGGCCAGAACCCAGGGTGTAAATCTTGGCTCTGTTGCTCCCTGTCTGGGTATGTTCTCAGGCTTAAATGCCCTGAGCTTTGGTTTTCTCATCTTTAATGTAGGAGGACCCTCGGAGAGATACCATGAGGTTTAAATGAAATAATGTACATGAAAGAGCAAAGCAAAATGAAAAGTGATGTGTGCTGGTTATTATGTAAAATCGTGGGCTGTCAGAGCTAGAGGAAAGCTTGGAGAAGTTAACCCAGCCCCATCATCTTATCTGTGAGGAAACTGTAGCCCAGGGAAGGTCACAGAGCCAGCAAGTAATAGAGCCAAAACTGAACCAAGGGTTTCTGAACCCCAGGAGTCTGCACTGTTCCTCTTCCTGGGCAGTGGGAACTCCCCTGGAGGGTTCTCACTCTCTCTGGGCCAGAGCTCAGCTCTGACCGACTCACTTCTTAACTGTAGGGCTTCCTGCTACAGTGGAAAGGCACTTTAGAAAATGTCCAGGGCTCAGGCCGGGCGCGGTAGCTCATGCCTGTAATCCTAGCACTTTGGGAGGCTGAGGTGGGTAGGTCACGAGGTCAGGAGTTCAAGACCAGCCTGGCCAAGATGGTGAAACTCCGTCTCTACTAAAAATACAAAAATTAGCAGGGTGTGGTGGCAGGCACCTGTAATTCCAGCTACTCGGGAGGCTGCGGCAGGAGAATTGCTTGAACTGGGGCAGCAGAGGTTGCAGTGAGCCGAGATCGCGCCACTGCACTCCAGCCTAGGCAACAGACTGAGATTCTGTCCCAAAAAAAAAAAAAAAAATTACCAGGGCTCCAGTTCTTCTCTCCCCTTCCCTAGCTGAGGGACTTCCAGGCAGTGAAGTATGCCCAACATCCTCTGGTCTAAGAAGGCAGTGGAGTGGCCATTTGGATGGGGCGGGAGATGCTGACCCAATAGGGCACATAGCACCCTTCCCGTCCTAACTACCTCTAAACCTGGGCCTCAGTTCCCTGCTCCCACCAGGCTCACTCCCATCCCCAAGAAGTCAAGCCAGGACCCCACTCCCTCACCTCTTAGTCAGATGAAGTCCTGGCTTTGAGTAGTCTCTTACACTTCTTCTAGCTCAGTGTTTGGGTCTCCTCAGCTTCAGGAAAATAAAGAGGGGGCCCCCATACTTATGAGATTACAACCTAGGTTGACGTCAAGAATCAGGAAATGGGCCAGGTGTGATGGCTCATGCCTGTAATCACAGCACTTTGGGAGGCCAAGCACAGGTGGGTCGCTTGAGGTCAGGAGTTTGAGACCAGCCTGGCCAACATGATGAAACCACATCTCTACTAAAAAATACAGAAATTAGCCGGGCGTGGTGGTGCATGCCTGTAATCCCAGCTGCTGGGGAGGCTGGGGCACAAGAATCGCTTGAACCCAGGAGACGGAGGTTGCAGTGAGCTGAGATCACACCACTGCACTCCAGCCTGGGCAAGAGAGTGAGACTCCGTCTCAAAAAAAAAAAAAGAATCAGGAAACAAAACCCTGACGGGCTTGGGCTAGGCCTTTGCCTCACCCACCCTGCTCCCTCCCAGGAAGCATTTGGCATGATAAGATTTCCATGGTACGGGGCCAGGTGGGTCCCACTCTCCCGGGTGTTTAGCTACCACGTCACAGTGCAGTACCAGGTACCAGGCAGTGGAAATGGCTCCTGGTGCTCCAGCGTCCGCCCTTCCCTGGAGCCACAGCTCATTAAGCAAGCACTGTGGCAATGATAATCAGGGAGCCAGGCGGGGCTGTCCGAAAGTGCCCTGTTGGCCTAGGGTGGGAGTTGGGGAGGGACTGCCAGCCCTGGTATCTGCTTTCAGGATGAGGTCATGGAGTGACACTCATTCCAGTGGCAGTGAACAGTGATGAGAAAAAGTCCTGCTCTAATTGTAGGAGGCACCCCCACCTCATGTTTCAGTACTTGCTTTGTCTGGTCCTATGCTAGGCTCTCTGCCTTCATCATTTTGAGTGGTCCTCACCTGACCCTGTGAGGAGGGGAGAGGCATCTTCATTTTAAAAATAAAGACCCTGATGTCCAGAGAGAGTAACTAACTTACCCAGGATCACACACACAAGAAAGCAGTGGAACCGGGTGACCTTGAATCCTAGGGAGTCAGGGCAAAAGAGCCATTTGAGGTCACATAGTCCATTCCCCTCATTATATGGCCGAGCAAACCCGAGACCCAGAGTGTCACTTCCTGAAAGAGGGTAGTATGGGGACTGGTGCTCAGGGACAGTGTTCTTTCCTCTCCATTGATGACAACAGTCACCATTATACTGAGGCCCCCAGCCTGCTCCTTTGAACATTCTGGGAGAACTGTGGTTATGTCCTCCTTTTGGAGAATTGAGAAAATACTCATCCAGATCATTTTCTCTGTGGCTCGTATGAGGAAGTAGTTGAGCATGAGTACCTGTCTGCTCTAGAGTCAGTTTCTGGGCTTGAGTCCTGCTTGGCCCTGTAACCTAGCCTCTCTGAGCCTCAGTTTCCTCATCTGTGATATTGGTGTGATAGCACCTACCTCTTTGAATAGTTGTGAGGATTAAGAAGCCTTCAATAAGTGTAGCCATAATTTTATATATATATATATATATATATATATATATTTTTTTTTTCTTCTTCTTCTTCTTTTTGAGACGGATTCTCCCTCTATTGCCCAGGCTAGAATGCAGTGGTGCCGTCTATGCTCACTGCAACCTCTGCCTCCTGGGTTCAAGCAGTTCTCCTGCCTCAGCCTCCCATGTAGCTGAGATTATGGGATTATAGGGGTGTGCCACCATGCCTGGATAATTTTTTTTTTTTTTTTTTGAGACAGAGTCTCATTCTGTTGCCAGGCTGGAGTGCAGTGGTGCGATCTCAGATCACTGCAACTCCACCTCCTGGGTTCAAGCAATTCTCCTGCCCCAGCCTTCTGAGTAGCTGGGACTACAGGCGCGCGCCACCACGCCCAGCTAATTTTTGTGTTTTGAGAAGAGACAGGGCTTCACCATGTTGACCAGGATGGTCTTGATCTCTTGACCTTGTGATCCACCCACCTTGGCCTCCCAAAGTACTCGGATTACAGGCATCAGCCACCGTGCCCTGCCTCTTTTTTTTTTTTTTTTTTTTTTTTTTGTATTTTTAGTAGAGACGGGGTTTCACCATGTTGGCCAGGCTGGTCTTGAACTCTTGACCTCAAGTGATCCACTCCCCCTAAGCCTCCCAAAGTGCTGAGAGTACAGGCGTGAGCCACCACACCCAGCCACTATCATTATTATTAACATCCCCATTTCAACTGGACGCTGCGTGACAGGGCTCGTTAGAACCATGGTCTGGGGGTGGGTGGCAAAAAAGAAAAAAGAACCACGGCTCTTGCCTGAATTCTTGACCCTCCTTGTCCTGCCCAGTGGTGGCTGCTTCCCCAGTTCTGGCTGCCCCAGGCATCTCCCCTGCCCTGCTGGAGGGAGGCATGTACACCTTGTGCCAGTGCCATGTGTGGGATCACACGATGGGCCCTGCCCAGTCTCAGCAGCCAGCACAGGCCAGGCGGAAGTGGGCACTGACAAAGGCTTCCTTATCTCCTTCCTGGGCATGGGGCACTTCTATGGGGTGAACTGGTTGGCAGACAAGTAGGCAGGCAGGCAACCTCTCAGCCTGCCTGGAGCCCTTGGCCCTTTGTGCTCAGCTTATCACCAGTGGGCTCTAGAACCTGTGCCCTGAGGACCAGAGTGCCAGCAGGAAGCAGTTAACCAGGCCCGGCTTGAGGGCAGAGCTTGGCTTCTGGGATCAAATACCAGTTTGGTTGTTTCCTGGCTGTGTGTCATTTGAGCTAGTTCATTAAGCTCTGAGCCTCAATTTCTCTACTGGAAAATTGAAACAGTAGTGTCTACCTCATGGCATTGCTGAGGCTAAATGAGAAGGCACAGGGCTTCGTAGTAATTCTCCCTTCCCACAGTGGCATGTGCTGGAGGGCTGCACTGTGTCTCCTGAGGCATTGCACATGGGTTTTGAGCAGAGGCCTGCAGGCTAGACCCAGTCTGGGGAGCTGCTGTCAGTGGAGCTCCATTTCCCATTACTAGGGTGCCAAATAGCTCCTGCTTCTCTCCTTGCAAGGCACACACAGAACCAGGGCACACTGGTACTGCTAGGGATCTTAGAAAGACCAGCAGTTTAGGCCGGGTGCGGTGGCTCACGCCTGTAATCCCAGCACTTTGGGAGGCCGAGGCAGGCGGATCACGAGGTCAAGCGTTCGAGACCAGTCTGGCCGACATAGTGAAACCCTGTCTCTACTAAAAATACACAAAAAATTAACCGAGTGTGGTGGCGGGCGCCTGTAATCCCAGCTACTCAGGAGGCTGAGGCGGGACAATCGCGTGAACCCAGGAGGCGGAGGTTGCAGTGAGCCAAGATTGTGCCACTGCACTCCAGCCTGAGCGACAGAATGAGACTCTGTCTCAAAAAACAAACAAACAAACAAAATGAAAGACCAACAGTTTAGAATGGGTGAGTGACCTGCCCAAGGTCACACAGCAAAGGAGTGACAGACCTGGCAATAAACCAGGGCTCCTGCTCCCCACACCCACCATTTGGTCCAGAAAACTGGGGCTCAGAGCTGCAGGCAGCATGGTTGGGGCCATGGCTCTGGAGTCAGACCATTTCTCTCTGCCCCGGTTTCCTCAGCTGTAGAATGAGGAGGGTGATCCCTGTGTCAGAGGGCTGCTAGGAGAATCGTGATTGAAGTATACAGAGCATCAAAGTGAGGCACTCAATAGAAGGTAGTTTAAAAAAAAGAAGTGGGAGTGGAATGGGGGGGTTGGCACCATGTTCCAAGCAAGGACCAGTTTTGGAGTGGACCATCCTGGGTGTGTGTGCCAGCTCTGCTACCACTTTGCTGTGTAACGTCAACCAAGTTCCGTCCCCTCTCTGGGCTTCATCCTTTGCATCTGTAAAATAGAGGGGTTGCACTGGATGGTCTCAGAGGGCCCTCCCTCTTCTAATCTCTGACTTCTTGCTGCCCCTCTTCTCCCACAGGAGAGAGCTGACCTCCCATTGCTGTTTCTAGAGCCCTGGGCCTTCCTGGCACCAGGACCAAGCCCTGCAGCTGGCCGTGTCCTCATCTTTTCTCTGCAGTGTCCTCTAAAGGGCAGCCTCCTCTGAGCATGCTCAGTT
This sequence comes from Homo sapiens, assembly GCF_000001405.40. Lineage (NCBI taxonomy): Eukaryota > Metazoa > Chordata > Mammalia > Primates > Hominidae > Homo > Homo sapiens. The sequence continues at coordinate 27,129,405 of NC_000001.11, read as the reverse complement.
CTCCTATCCACTCTACATCTCGTGGCTCCTAGAGGCCTGAAGTGACAAACTATCCCCAGTGTGGTGGGAGAGGAGGCAGGGAGAGGCCCTCCAAGCATGCCCTGTCTCTCCCACCACACAGAGCCCAGCCAGCTGGATCGTTATCAGAAGTGTATGGGAGACCCTTAGGGGACCCCCTTGAGATAGAGGATCCAGTATCAGGAAAGCTCACCCATCTTGCTGGTATTGTGCAGGAGGCAGTGCCTGCTGCCCATGGAGCCTTAATGCTGTGCAGTTGGACAGCTTCCCCCTCAGGTGCCTGTTTAGGAGAAGCTCTTGCCTCCCTAGTGCTGCCAGCTTGCCTCTGGGACCCTGCCGCTGCTGGTTTCTGGGAATCTAGATCTGCACGGGAGTGTCTGGCATGCGTGCGTGCGTGCATGCATTTGTTTGTTTGTTTGTTTGTTTGTTTATGGAGTTTCCCTCTTTTTGCCCAGGCTGGAGTGCAATGGCGTGAGGATCTCGGCTCACTGCAACCTCCACCTCCTGGGTTCAAGTGATTCTCCTGCCTCAGCCTCCCAAGTAGCTGGGATTACAGGCATGCACCACTACGCCCGGCTAATTTTGTATTTTTAATAGAGATGGGGTTTCACCATGTTGGCCAGGCTGGTCTCAAACTCCTGACCTCAGGTGATCCGCCCGCCTTGGCGTCTCAAAGTGCTGGGATTATAGGCATGAGCCACCACGCCTGGCCTTTTTTTTTTTTTTTTTTAAAGACAGGGTCTCACCCTGTTGCCCAGGATAGAGTGCAGTTGGCATGATCTCGGCTCACTGAAACCTCAACCTCCCGGGCTCAGGTGATCCTCCCACCTCAGCCTCCCTAGTAGCTGGGACTACAGGTATGCACCAGCCATGCCCAACTAATTTTTAAATTTTTTGTAGAGATGGGTTTTGCCACGTTACCCAGGCTGCTCTCAAACTCCTGGGCTCAAGTGATCCTCTCGCCTCGGCCTCCCCCGCTGCTGGGATTCAGGTGTGAGCCACCTCCCCTGGCCTGGGCATATATTTTTGTTTTTGCTTTTTTCTGAGTGTTTCTGTCTCTGTTCTCTCCTCTTACAGCAACGCTGTGCCATAGACATTCTTTATCCCAATGTTAGAAAGGAAGAAACTGAGGTTCAGGGCAGTACCGTGATTTGCCTTATTAGGTCACAGAGAAGTTAAGATTTAGAATTGGGACAGAAACTACCTCCCTCATTGATGGACCAGAGCTCTTTACGCTGCCCGCTGCTGCCTCGTGCAAGCTTGCTATGGCACGAATGCTATTCTGTACCCAGATGCCACAGTTGCTGGCATGGACAGAGATGGTGAGTATCACAGAGCCCGACTTTGTCCAGCTGCAGAGTTCATCAGTCAGATGTCAGAGGTAGAGAGGCTCTCAACAAGCCCCCAAGGATGGAGAGACTGAGACCAAAGAGAAGCAACGGCTTGTTCAAAGCCCACAGAATGTTAGTGGCTGAGTCTAGACTGAAGCCCAGTTCCCCTGATCCCCAGCCTGGGCTTGACTCAGGCCTTTCTTTTCTCAGAATTGTAGTTTTCTGGTCTTTTGAGGCATTTGGAGGTAGGATGGAGGGGGTGCTCACCCATCCTGCTGGTATTGTGCAGGAGGCAGTGCCAGCTGTCCCTGGAGCTGAGACTAAATGGCTGTGCATTTGGACAACTTTGCCCTATGCCAGGTGCTGAGCCTGGGTGGCCAGCGCTGTCTCCCTTGACCACCTCCCTGAAGTGGCAGAATTTCATGTTGTTCCCCAGGCCAGAGCCCTCCAGTGGCTCTGCCTGGCTCAGCAGGGTGATTGGGAATTCTCTCCCTGCAGGGTATTTGTGGCCTTTCATAACTGGCCTTGGCTGAGCGCTGGATTGGGAGTCAGTAGTTCTGGGTTTGGGACCTGCCTCCGCTGCTACCCATGTGATCTTGGGCCTGTGTCTGGACCTCTCTCAATGTCTGTTCTCTCATCTGTTGCCCACTGCCAGGGCATGTTGTGAGGGCGAGAGAAAAGTCTGCTTTACAGCATCTAAGTAATGATTTCCACTCCAGTCCACTGCCATTTGCTCCAATAGAAAGCCTCTACCTGGGCTGGGCTCAGTGGCTCACGCCTGTAATCTCAGCACTTTGGGAGGCAAAGCAGGCAGATCTCTTGAGCTCAGGAGTTTGAGACCAGCCTGGGCAACATGGCAAAACCCCTATCTCTACAAAAAATACAAAAACTAGCTAGGCATGGTGGCACGCGCCTGTAGTCCCAGTTACATGGGGGGCTGAGGTGAGAGAATCACTTGAGCCCAGGAAGTCAAGGCTGCAGTGAGCCATGTTCGTACCACTGCACTCCAGCCTGGGCAACACAGCCAGACTCTGTTTTCCCTGCCCCCTCCCCCCGCAAAAAATAAATCTTCTACCTGTACCACACTCGTTTCCCTGTCCTGTCTTTCCAGATGCTGCTGATTTGCCTGCCAGGCCTTCTTGGTGCCTAACTCTCACCCTTCCTTCAAGGAAAAGGCCAATTCAGCTGGAGCTTAGTGTCCATGTGCTTAGTGCCAAACACTGGAGATTAAGTTAAACCCAAAAATATATACACAAAAGGGAAGGAAAAAAAGTTAAACCAGACATGACTTCTGCCCTCAAACAGTTCTGCTAGCTCAACAAGTCTTTATCCTTACTATGTGTCAGGCTCCGTGCTGAGGCCTAGAGAGTCAAAGATGAATAGGACAGGGTCCCTAGCCTTGCTTGCAGGTAGAAACTTGCTTGTGGTCTGGAGGGGGAGACAGACCAACCAGCTGTGCCGTGTCATCAGACTCTTAATAGAGGGCTGTGTGGTCCCAGGCTCTGCAGGCCACAGAACTGAGCGTGACTGGGTTCTGCTCCCTGGGGTATTTAGGAAAAACTGCTGAGCAGCACCTTGGAAGAGTGGCTCTCCAAGGGACAAGCTGATGGTGACCCCCCCGACAACATCTTGTGGTTCGCCCAGTGCTTTTGTGTTTGTGGTCTCATGTAATCCTCACAACCTTGTGAGGTCACTGAGGTAAGAGAAAGTCATCCATCCAGCAAACATTGATTGTGAACCTCCTGTGTGCCAGGTACAGCCTAAGGTGCCAGGGATACAACAGTGATTGGGACAGAGGCTGCCCTCACGAGGCTTATGTTCTGGGTGGGGAACGGTCAGAAAGCACATCTAGACGTCAGGAAGTGGCAAGGGTAAGCGGATAGAGAGGGTTGGGAGGACCTCTCTGGGGAGGTGGCATCTGAGCAGGGACCTGAAGGAAGGGAGGGAATCTGTCATTCACCTACATGGGGAATAGTGTCTCAGGCACAGGGAACAGCAAATGCAAAGGCCCTGAGGTGGGGGCATGTTTGTGCTCAAGGAAAAGCAAGGAGGCCAGTAGAGCTAGGGGACAGTGAGTGGAGATTCAGGTGTGGTGGAAAGACGCGGAGGGGGATGTAGTCCCTGCCTTTCAGTAGTATGTCTTACCTCTTAAAAAGCTTCACTCTTGGCTGGGCACAGTGGCTCATGACTGTAATCTCAGCACTTTGGGAGGCTGAGGTGGGCGGATCACGAGGTCAAGAGATCGAGACCACCCTGGCCAACATGGTGAAACCTCATCTACTAAAAATACAAAAATTAGCTGGACGTGGTGGCATACGCCTATAGTCCCAGCTACGCAGGAGGCCGAGGCAGGAGAATCGCTTGAACCCAGGAGGCAGAGGTTGCAATGAGCCAAGATTGCGCCACTGCACTCCGGCCTGGAGACAGAGTGGGACTCCGTCTCAAAAAGAAAAAAAAAGCTTCACTCTTGGCTGGTGTAGGAAGAGCCTGGGGGGCAAGAGTGGATATGTGGGCTGGGCGCAGTGGCTCAGGCCTGTAATCTCAACACTTTGGGAGGCCACGGTGGGCAGATCACTTGAGGCCAGGGGTTCGACACCAGCCTCACCAACATGGTGAAATCCTGTCTCTATTGAAAATACAAAAATTGGCCAGGTGTGGTAGCATGTGCCTGTAATGCCAGCTACTCAGGTGGCTGAGGCACAAGAATCACTTGAACCCAGGAGGCGGAGGTTGAAGTGAGCCAAGATTGCGCCACTGCACTCCAGCCTAGATGACAGAGCAAGACTGTTTCTCAAAAAAAAAAAAAAAAAAAAAAAAAAGAAAGAAAAGGAAGGAAGGAAAAGAGAAGAGAGACTGATTGGATGCTGCTGCAGTGGTCCAGGCAAGTGATTGTGCTGGCTTGGATGGGTGTTAGCAGTGGAGGCGGTGAGAAGTGTCAGGGTCTGTTCATGTCTAGAAGGCAGAACCAGCAGGGTTTGGTGATGGATTGGATGTCAGGAGTGAGAGGAAGAAAGGAGTTAGGACAACTCCAAAATTTGGGGCCTGAGGAGCAGGTTTGGGGACGAGAAAATAAGAATTTCCTGTCAGGAGCACCCAGCTCCTGTGCATTTGCCATTCTGCAGTCCACCCCATGCACACCGTAACACACCAGCCTAAGGATGCTCATGCCCCCACCTCTGGGAAGGCCCCCCATCTTTTCTGCCCTACTCCAGGCTCTGTCCCCTGAGAGTCATTTTCTCTCACTGATCCTTTTCTGGCCCTTCTGAGAGGTCACTAAAATGTCCAAGTGGAGGATGGCTAACACCCCTTCTTCATCACTGCCCTCAGATGCTGTGAGGGCACACAATAGACCCCATAAAGCTGATAAAGCTACTAGGGATAGAAGGGGCCCCAGTTGCCTCCCAGAGGCTGCTGGTCTGTCTTCCCCACCCAGCCAGTGCCGCCTGTGTTTTGTTCTTCCTTTGCGGTCCCCCGCATTCCTTGTAGTGCTGAAAATAGGACACTGTGACTTGCTTTCTGCAGGGCAATTGTCCTGGAAATTGTAGAATTTCTTTTTGTGTTGCTTTCCTACTGGTACCTCTTTATATTCCACCTCTGTAGCCAAGTAGGATGAGATTTCAAGCAAGTTGAAGTTATATATAATGAATTTAACACATTGGTAAGCTTCTAAGCTAACTGACTTTCAACTGGAAGCAATACTAAGAACAACAGATATTTGGTATACTCAATTTTTTTTTTCTCTCAGATTTGCATTTTGCAAGCTCTACTGTACCCCCAGCAAAGAGGAAAGAAAAATCTAGCTCTCCCATGGCTCTAAAGTTTCTAGAAATGGAAGCTCTCTTACTGAGCCTCTGTTTCTTCCCCCACCTCTGCCCCACCCCAGGTGTGGGGCAAACTGGTACCTGGAGCACCTGATACCATCTGTAAGTCCTGACAGCAGTCTGGCAAGAGGCAAGGACAGGCCAGGGATAGAGATGGAGTGGGGAACGGAGCACCTGAGCTGGGGAGCCACACATCCGGGACACTGGGAAAGGAAAGGAGGGAGATGGTGGCTTGAAATACAAAATTAGCCGGGCGTGGCACACACCTGTAATCCCAGCTACTCAGGACGCTGAGGCAGGAGAATCGCTTGAACCCGGGAGGCGGAGGTTGCAGTGAGCCAAGATCGTGCCACTGCCCTCCAGCCTGGGTGACTGTGCGGGACTCCGTCTCAAAAAAAAAATTTTTTTTTAAAGCCCAATAAAAGGGCTGGGCGCGGTGGCTCACGCCTGTAATCCCAGCACTTTGGGACGCCAAGGCAGGTGGATCAGCTGAGGTCAGGAGTCCAAGACCAGCCTGGCCAGCATAGTGAAACCCCATCTCTACTAAAAACACAAAAATTAGCCAGGTGTGGTGGTGGGCACCTGTAATCCCAGCTACTCGGGAGGCTGAGGCAGGAGAATCACTTGAACCCAGGAGGCGGAGGTTGCAGTGAGCCAAGATTGTGCCATTGCACTCCAACACTCCAGCCTGGGTGACAGAGCGAGACTCTGTCTAAAAAAAAAAAAGCCCAATAAAAATAAAAAGTGGATAATAATTATACCTACTGCATTAGGGTTGTTGAGAGAATTAAATGAGATGCCTCAGTACTTAGTGCAGTCTCTGCCCCATAGAAGCAGTTGAAGCACAGCATGTGTGATTTACCATTCACACATAATTTTAAATAACCTATAGATACAGAAAAGTCTTCAAGAATATATACCAAACTTAACAGAAATTCGGTTGTGGGGGAGACTGGTATAGTTGGTAAAAGGGAAGGGGGAGAATCACTGTGAGATGATTTTCCTTATACTTAAACACTTATATGACTGTTAGAAAAAAATTTTAATGACCATAAGTTTTATTTAAAATCACCAAAGCAATATAATATATTTCCATTTTGAGAAAATCAAAAGAAACCAGTGTGTATCATATGGTCACCTACCAGACACCCAATCCAGCCATGAGAGTCTTTGGAGCTTGAGGTCCTACCCCTGCCCCAAGTAAAGCCGACCCCCTGAGCTGCCCCCCACCGCTTCCCCAGGTAACCCCCTCCCCAGGTAAGCACCCCACTGCCTGGCACCTCTCCCTTGCCAGGCACTGTTGGGCCTGTTGGAGCTCTGCCTCTTGTCAACACAACACGGGCTCTTTACTGCCGGTCCCAGTCCCTGTCCCTCCCTCTCCCCTGTGAGTCATCCTCTGCTTCACTGCATGGGGACTCTTGATCCAGTGCCTTTCCTGCAGGGGGAGGGGCAATCTGCTGGAGTGAAATTTATTCAACAAATGTTTATGCAGAGCTTGGATGATTGGGAAGGTCAGGCTGGTTACCAAGAGGTGCTGCCCCAGCTTGGAGTGGTATAGGGGTTACAGAAATGGGTCCTTGAGACCCAGGGAGAAGGCTGGTGGTGGTAGAACCAGGCTGCAGGCTAGGATGGGGCATTCAGGGCCAGGCTGAAGGTCAGGGGACCCTCTGAGGCCTGCTCTGTTGGCTCAGGCTCCTTGACTCAGTTCCTTCCTTGATCTGCCCGGGTCAGGCCTGTGTGCCAGCATCTCCTGCACTGTTCACTCTCATTTCCAGGCTGGCTGCAGGCTTCAGGATCCTCAAAAGGCTTTTGAGGTCCCCTCTCTTTTCATTTGTTCACACTCTTCCCCCTTTAGTCACCCACCTTTGAGACCAAACTCTAGTCCTACATCCTTCAGGAAGTGTTCATCATTCCCTTAACCCGTGTTTTCTGAGCATCACTTTTTGGGGGTCCAGAGCTGTGTGCTGGGATGCCAGGCTGGCTGAGGCACCGAACACAGCTCCTCAGTTTGGAGGGGCACCTGACTCAGCCTGGGGAGGGCGGGGGTGTGGCTCCAGGAAGGCTTCCCAGAGGAGGTGACACCTGCACTGGGGTTTTTTGTTTGTTCGTTTTTGTATTTTTGAGATGGAGTCTCACTCTGTCGCCCAGGCTGGAGTGCAGTGGCGCGATCTTGGCTCACTGCAACCTGCGCCTGCAGGTTCAAGCAATTCTTATGCCTCACTCTCCTGAGTAGCTAGGACTATAGGCGCACACTCAGCTAATTTTTTGTATTTTTAGTAGAGATGGATTTTCACCATGTTGGCCAGGCTAATCTCGAACTCCTGACCTCAGGTGATCCACCCACCTCGGCCTCCCAAAGTGCTGGGATTATAGGTGTGAGCCACTGCGCCCGGCCCTCCACTGAGTTTTGAAAGGTGGGTAGAAGTTCCAGGTGAGGAAGAGTTTCCTGCTGTTTGCTTAGAGGTGGGATTTGGGGACTTCTGGTCACTGGAGTCAAGGAGTTGATGTAGATGGGACAGGTGAGAGGAGAAAGGAAGGAGAGAGGGAGAGGCTATGCATTGTGAGGGATTTGTAACCCAGTGCCAGGGTTGCTGAGGCTGTGATCCTCTATCACAACATGCCTGCCTCCGGAACAGCCTCTCTTGCCAGGTCTCTAAGGCAGTTGCTGCTGGCTCAATCGCTGCTTATTACTCCAGGGGCCGCCCAGGCCCCCCAGCCTGCCTGACCTCTCTTTTCTCAGTCGTTTCAGTGCACAAGGTGCTCCTGTGTCTAGTCCCTGTTCTCACTTGTTTACAGACAAGAAAATGGAGGTTATTCCATGGTATAGTGATTTACGCAAAGCTCATGGTTACTAAAGGGCAGAGTGGGGTCTGGACCTGGGGTTTTGGCCTCCTTGCACGGTCTTCTCTTTTCCATGACTCAGATAGTCCAGTGTATGCTGCTTGTGTTTTCTGACAGCTTTTTACCTGCTTTCCCATCCAGACCTGATGTTCCCAGAGGGTGAGACCCTTTCTCTCCAACATAGTAGGACCCCCTGAAATGTGGATTGAAACAAGCAAGAAATAGAAGTGCTGTTTGGAAGAATGATGGGGAAAAACACAGAGAGAGACTGATTGCCCGGGTATGGGGAAGGATGCTTGCCCAGGTACTTGGAACAGATTTATTTATGGCTGTTTTTGTGGGGGAGGCATATTTATTGCAGACTTGAATTCTCTTCCTGGTGATCCTGACAAGCTGTTTTCTTTGAAGCAGCATGGCCCAAAGAACTAGCAGTTCAGAGAACTGGGTTCTAATAATGACCCTGCCACTTCCCAGCTAGGTAGCCTTGGACAAGTTACCTCTCTGAACCTGGATTTCTTCATCTGTCAAATTGGGGGTCAGGATGTGAGATGAAATGAGAGGGGGTGTGTATAAGCCCCCTGCACAGAGCCTTGCATCAGATTCTCCAAGTGTCCAGTGTTTGTCTCCTGGGTGCTGGAGAGTTTATCTTTTTTTTTTGAAATGGAATTTTGCTCTATTGCCCAGGCTGGAGTGCCATGGTGTGATCTCGGCTCACTGCAACCTCTGCCTAACAGGTTCAAGTGATTCTCCTGCCTCAGCCTCCTGAGTAGCTGTGATTAGAGGCGCCTGCCACCACACCTGGCTAATTTTTGTATTTTTCGTAGAGACGAGGTTTCGCCATGTTGGTCACTGTGGTCTAGAACTCCTGACCTCAGGTGATCCACCCGCCTCGGCCTCCCAAAGTGATGGGATTACAGACGTGAGCTGCCACCCCCAGCTGGCTGCTACATTTTAAAAAAAGTATTATTTGGCCAGGTGCGGTGGCTCACGCCTGTAATCTCAGCACTTTGGGAGGCTAAGGTGGGTGGATCACCTGAGGTCAGGAGTTTGAGACCAGCCTGGCCAACATGGCGAAACCCCTCCTCTATTAAAAATACAAAAATTAGCCAGGCGCCATGGTGGGTGCCTGTAATCCCAGCCCCTGGAGAGGTTAAGGCAGGAGAATCACTTGAACCCGGGAGGCAGACGCTGTAGTGAGCCGAAATCGCGCCACTGTACAACAAGAGTGAGACTCCGCCCCCCCAAAACAAAACAAAACAAAACAAAACAAAAAAAACCTCCCATCCCCACAGCAGAAACTCAATGAATAATACTTTTTTTTTTTGAGGTGGAGTCTTGCTCTGTCACCAGGCTGGAGTGCAGTGGTGCAATCTTGGCTCACTGCAACCTTCCCCTCCTGGCTGAGTTAACTTAGGAGAGCTTCCTGGAGAGGGCAGCCTTTGAAGATAGGAAGGATTTCATGAAGTCTTTACTAGGCCACTAGAGTAGAAGCAGTGGGAGACTTCCTGGAGAAGAGCTCATGGAAAGAAAAACCTACCGCTGGCCCTTTGGGAACTGCTTTGGGCCTCTTTAGTCCTAGGCTCACACGCCCCTTAGAAACAAAGTAAGAATAAAGCCAGGGATAATACAGTGAGTGGCCAAGAACACAGACTCTGGAGCCAGACTACCTGGGTTTGAATCCCAGTTACCAGCCATGTGACTTTGATCAAGTTGCTTAACCTTTGTGTGCTTCAGTTTCCTCATCTGTAAAATAAGGGGATGGTAATTGTGACTTCCCAGAACTATGGTGGAGAGCAAATGGGTTAAGAGTGTGCCGCTGTAAACTGTAGAGTGCTGGGCTTTCATTGGGAAGTATTACCTTTCATTGCTGCAGTTGAGACTGGTTGCTGGGGCAGTTGAAGAGGGAGTTAAAGAAATGGAATCATTGTGCAACTAGGAATCCCTTGGGACCTGGCCGAGTTGCAGCCCCAGAGCAGTCCTCAGGCCTGGAAGTAGGGCGACAGAGCCCTCAGTGTGCCCCTGGGTCCCTGGTGACCTGGCACTATGGGCCAAAGAGACCCCTCTTCCCAGCACTCCCCTCTGACTTCCCAGGCCAGAGGAGGGTTGCGGGAAGGGGGATCAGGCATGTCTGGTCACCCTGGCAACCCAGGGTGATGTCGGACAGCCTTGCCTGCTCCACTGAGCCAGTCTCAACAGATGGGGACCGTCCGAGGAGATATAAATAAAACATTCTTGTGGTGCAGAGCAGCCGCAGGGGGCTGGGAGCCTCCATCAATTGGAAGTTTGGTGAGGTGTCTGCTCAGCAAGAGTGTGTGTGTGTGTGTGTGTGTGTGTGTGTGTGTGTGTGTGTGTTCGTTCCAGCTACCACCTACACTAGATAGAATGAAAAACACTTCTCCCATCCCCCAGCCTCTTCTAAAAGGAGCGCCAACTCTGAACTGTGTCAGAGGGTTTGGCCTGTGGCTGTGCTTGGAGATGTTGAATTCCACACTTTCGTGCCTCCTTGTTCTGGGAGGACTGGACGTCCTCGAAGAAGGCTGTGTGGCTTGGAGTGTCACAGACTGCTGGGGTAGAACTGGACATGTGATCATTGACAGGTCACTGGCTGTCTCTGTCTCCATTTCCCTGACTATATAATGGAGAATTTAGATGCTCTCCAAGATCCATTCCAGCTCTTACGACTCTGGTTCTTACTCTAACTGCCTCTTCCCATCCCTGATTTCACCCTGGTGACATCACTGCTGCTGCATGTTTGGGCCCTGAAAGTTTTGCCTCATCTCTTGGCATCCTGGGATCTTGCCTCCATGCAGGGCTTTTGTCAGGGTACCAGGGGCCGCAGCCATCCTTCTGTGCCCCTTTCACCACACCGGGTGTCAGCAAGCATCCTGCTCTTTGTGGGGACTCTGCAGGGATGCAGAGTGAGCGCAGTTGGTGGAGTCAGGGCGTTAGGAGAGGGACAAGCCAGCGCAGGTCCAGGGGCTGCTTCCCACTTCCCTGAGCCGTTGCTCCTGAAGGAGCCTCCTCTTGATGACAGAATCCCTTCCTCCCCCAGCCCTAGAAGTGCTTTCCAATAATGTGCCACCTACCCACAGGCAGGGAGCCAAAAGTGGATCTCAGACCTTTCTCCTCAGCCTGGCCCGGCCCGGCCCTCCCCTCAGGCCCAGAGAGCCCATCAGGGCCTAGAGCTCCTTCAGCTCACTGAGCGCCAGAGACAAAACAGGAAAGCCAGGGAAACCAGCTCCAGGAACATGGCTCCAGCCCCAGGTACTCTGGAGCTGGCTGAAGGAGAAGGAGGTCGCTGTGCTGTAGTCAGGAGGCCCGGGACCCAGTCCTGGTTGGCCTGGCTGAGTGCATGCAGCCTCCTCTCAGAGCTCGTTTTTCTTGTGTTCAATAGGAATGCCAGCTCTCTGTTCACCTGGTCATAGAAGCTCCAAGGGCTGGAATAGCATGGCCCTCCCCATCAGCTGCTCACGGAGGTTCAGAGTCTGAGTCACCTCAATGTTCCCAGTGTCCCATATGGCCTGGCTCAGAGAAAATACCGAGCTTTGACTAAAGAATTAATTAGCGCTCTCTGCTACCGGTTTGAGACACCTAAGCTAGAATAGAGGTCCTCCCTTAGACACTAGGGGAGTGGCATAACCTTGCTGAGCCTCAGCTTTGTCTTCTGCAAAATGGAGGCAATACCTATCCCAAGGGCTGTGGTGAGGACTGAATGAGATGGTGCGTGCCAGGCTCCCAGCACAGTTCTGGCTCATGGGACGCCCTCAGACCTGAGGAGCCGTCTTCATGTTGCTGTTCTTGGCTTGTTTCACATGCCTGCCCCCTCCCCAGGCAGGAGCTGTGGCCAACTCTTCTCTGGGTCTCCCAGGCACTGTCTGGCGATTTATGGGGCCAGGAAAGCTCTGTGGATTGGGTTGATGGCACAGAGTGAGGGTAGGAGGCATTTTTAGAGCCCGACCCCTTAGGTGGAGGTGGAAGCCATCATCTGCCTACCCTGGACTATCTCTTTAGACTCTGCCTTCTCTTAAGGCAGCTCTTGGTGCTAACGCCAGGACAGGGGCAGGGAGGCTGTGGAGGGGGGTCAGCATGCAGCTGGCTGGAGCTGGACTTCCGGCCTTGGGAAGGTGCTTTCTGGCCCCTGCCTGTAGGAGCTCTGCTCCCCTAAATCTTCATCCTGCTTATCTCCGCTGCGCTGTGCCTGTCTCCCCTCCAGCACACTGCAGGTCTTTGGGGTCTGATGCCATTGTCTTGTCTCAGCTGCTTCTGCCTGGGTTGTCTGACTGATCTCGGTGGGTGCCAGGAAGAGAGAGAGGAACCTGGGAGATGACTGTGGATTGAAGGTTATGAGAGAGGGAAGCACCAGAAGATTCCTGCCCTAACCTGAGCAGACAGGTGGTGGTCAGGGAATGCTTCCTGAAGGAGGAGGCAGGCAGAGGATATGGTGTCAGCCACATATGGTGGGGGTAGAGGTAGAGGAATGATTTCTAGAGAGAGGAACTAGACTAGGTGAAGATTGGCAGGCAAAAGAGGATGTGGCTCATATGGGGCAATTGCAAGGAATTTGGCAAGGCTGAAACCTAAGAGTTGACAGTGGGGAGAATGGGACATGAGGCAAGAGCAGATGACAGAGGCAGTGCTGAAAATGTGGGCTTTATCCTCTACAGCAAGAGAGACTTGGGTCCAACATGACTAGCCCTTCCCAGTGGACCAGCCAGCTACACACTGGATGTTGACTGGTGGACAGTACAAAGACTGGGGGACTTTTCAGCAAAAGGGGTGATTTTGGAATTATTTTCCCTTTTATTGATGTGGGAAGTAGATGAACAAAAAGTGACTTTTGGTCATGTCTATTTTGAAATCAGGAGAATGCACATGGTGCCTTCGAGGTCCTCTTGGCCTAGGATGGAGACATCTTTTTTTCCCAATGTGTTTTGAGTGTCTTCAGGGTGCTTGGCACTGTGCCAGGATTCTGGGCCTGGATAGTGTTCAGTGTGTGAACTTTTTTTTTTCAAGATGGAGTCTTGCTCTGTTGCCCAGGCTGGAGTGCAGTGGAGTGATCTTGGCTGGAGCTCAGTGGCGTGATCTCGGCTCACTGCAACTTCTACCTCCTGTGTTCAAGCAATTCTCCTGTCTCAGCCTCCCAAGTAGCTGGGAATACAAGCACCCACCACCACGCCTGGCCAATTTTTATATTTTTAGTAGAGACAGGGTTTCACCATATTGGTCAGGCTGGTCTTGAATTCCTGACCTCAGGTGATCCACCCACCTCGGCCTCCCAAAGTGCTGGGATTACAGGCGTGAGCTACCGTGCCCAGCCAGCAGTGTGAACTTTGACTTGTCACCGTACTAGCACTGCCCAGATTCCTACCTGAGAGTAGGAAGGGCTTTGGGCATGGAGAGGGAAGTTCCTCCTCTGTCCCAAGGATCTCAAGAGTAAGTAATGAGAGCAGAGGCCTGGCCAGGCATGCAGGTTATCGGAAATCTTGGGTGATGTCCCAGCCCTGTGTATTTTCAAGTCAGCTGATATTTGTTGAGCACTTCTTGTGTCCTAGCCCTGGGTGTATAATGATAAGCAGTTATGGGATCTGCCTGCACAGAGCTTGCAAGATAGGGAAGGGGAGGAGAGAGAGCTTTGCTTTCTTCTTTCTTTTTTTTTTTTGAGGCTGGGCTCAAGTGATCTTCCTGCCTCGGCCCTCCTAACTAGCTGAGACTACAGGTGCATACCATGCCCAGCTATTTTTTTTAAGTGGAGATGAGGTCTCCTATGTTGTACAAGCTGGTGTCAAATTATTGGCCTCAAGTGTTCCTCCCACCTCAGCCTCCTAAAATGCTGGGATACAGGCATGAGCCACCATGCCAGGCCAGAGAGAGCTTTCCTCTTGAGCAAAGGGACAAACCCTCTTGGCTATGCCAACCCTGGGAGCATAGTACCCAACATACAACTAGATGCTCAGATTTTTTTCCACCTACTTTCCCACCCCAAAACAAAACAAACAAGTAAACCACTCACAGGAGCTCAGGGTTCTCTGGCCATACCTGATATTGAGAGAGGCCCTCTCAACGGGGATTTTTGCTACTCCTCAGCTCTGGGTTTGAAGCCTTAAGGTGGACTACAGCAGAGCGGCCTGTTGCTGGCCAGGACACGGCCTGGGGAGATGGCTGGTGGGTCCCAGGCAGAGGGGTGTGTGAGGAGGCCTTGATGGGAGGGAAGGATAGGAGAGCTTGAATTACAGAACTGTGCAGTTTGATGGGAACTGGGGCATCAGACCTGTGTTCTATTCTAGTTCTGCTCCCCACTTGCTGTGTGACTTTGGGCAAGTCCCTTCCCTTTTCTGAGCCTTAGTTGCCCCATCTTTAAAGTGGGTGGCATTGAGCTAGAAGCGGGATAGCAAATAGATTTTATCTCACCTGCCAAAGCTGGTTGCCACTGACATCCTTGAGCCGTGTCTTGAGCAGCTGCCTGGACTCAGTAGGAAAGCCTACTGTTTTGCAGGTTTGCAGACCCCAGGCCTTATTATCCCCAAGTTCCTTCCCACGCTGGTATTCTTAGATTCTTCTGTGCTTTCTTCTGTCTCCTATGCCACTCCCCACCAGCTGGTTGTCTGCCTTCTGCTTAAACAGCTCCGTGATAGGGAACTACCATCTTCCCTCAGACAGAATTGTTAGATTGTTATTCCTCAGGTTGAGCTCAGATCTGCCTCCCTGAACTTGTGCCTGGAATAATGCCTTGGGTTCAGGCGTAGGTGATGCCCGTAGGTACTTGGCACGTCAGTAATCAATTTATAATTTCTGCCTTCTGGAAGCATATAGAACTGCTGCTTTCTAACATTTTATGACAGTGACAGAGATAGCATGTATATATCCTTTGAAAAAAGTGCTTTAAAAACACTGTCACTTGGTTTATGATGGCAAACCTGTGAAGCTAGCATTGTCCCTTCCATTTTACAGGCGAGGAAGCGGAGGCTCAGAGAGTTAACAGAGCAGCCCTCTGAGACCCAGCCTGTGCACCTCTCACCAACTGCGCTCCTCATCCCCGGCCCATCCCCAACCTTCTATTCTCCTGGCTCCTCCGAAAGCCCATGGCCTCCCGTTCTCTCGCCCTCCGCAGGTTTCCATGTGATCCCCACTATCTCAAGCATCGTCCCGGAGAGCTGCCTGCTGATCGTGGTGGGGCTGCTGGTGGGGGGCCTGATCAAGGGTGTAGGCGAGACACCCCCCTTCCTGCAGTCCGACGTCTTCTTCCTCTTCCTGCTGCCGCCCATCATCCTGGATGCGGGCTACTTCCTGCCACTGCGGCAGTTCACAGAAAACCTGGGCACCATCCTGATCTTTGCCGTGGTGGGCACGCTGTGGAACGCCTTCTTCCTGGGCGGCCTCATGTACGCCGTGTGCCTGGTGGGCGGTGAGCAGATCAACAACATCGGCCTCCTGGACAACCTGCTCTTCGGCAGCATCATCTCGGCCGTGGACCCCGTGGCGGTTCTGGCTGTCTTTGAGGAAATTCACATCAATGAGCTGCTGCACATCCTTGTTTTTGGGGAGTCCTTGCTCAATGACGCCGTCACTGTGGT
The DNA here is from genome assembly GCF_000001405.40 of Homo sapiens. Taxonomy (NCBI): domain Eukaryota; kingdom Metazoa; phylum Chordata; class Mammalia; order Primates; family Hominidae; genus Homo; species Homo sapiens. The sequence continues at coordinate 27,113,823 of NC_000001.11, read as the reverse complement.
GAGGAGGCCAGGGGCCATGCCCATGTCCAAACGGTACAAACCCAAATCCAGGCCCACCAGTGAATCCCTCATCCACCCGCTAATAACAGTAATAAAAACAGCTGAGGCACATTCCCGCTTCCCGTATGCCAGGCACCATGCTGAGCCCTTCGGCATGGATTATCTCATTTAAGTCCTCATGGCTGCCTTAAGAGGTGCTTATTATTCTCATTTTCCAGGGGAGACACAGGCCCAAAGAAGTTAAATAACCTGTTGGAGTATGAACCAGTTTGTGATTGAACCAGGTCTGACTGACTCCAGGGCCTAAGCTCTTGGTTTTGCTAGGTTATATGCTCCCTCCTTGACTTGACTTGCTTTTTGTTTTTTAAGAGACAGGGTCTTGCCCTGTCTTCTAGGCTGGTGAACTGGTACGGTCATAACTCACTGCAGCCTCAAATACCTGGGCCTGAGATCCTCCTGCCTCAGCCTTCCGAGTGGCTAGGACTACAGGCATGCACCACCACACCCGGCTAATTTTTTAAATTTTTTGTGGAGATGGGGTTTGACCATGTTGCCCAGGCTGGTCTTGAACTCTTGGCCTCAAACCATCCTCCTGCCTCGGCCTCCCAAAGTGCTGAGATTACAGACCTAAGCCAACAAGCCTGGCCCTTCTCTTGCATTTTGATGTGAGCTTGGGCAAATTACTTACACTCTCTGTGCCTCAGTTCCCTCTTCACAGACCATATCATCTGTGAGGGGCCTTTCAGCTCTCATGTTGGCTATATCTTAAGTTAGAATTCGGTTTGTGCACAGTTTTTGGGCGGAGATTATGGAAAGGGGCCTTGTCTCCAAAACATCTAGAAGGTGATAAGTAAAAGAAGTTGGCCACTTGCTTGCTGTGTGACCTTAAGCAAATGCTATACCTCTGTGGCCCTCACCTTTTTTTTTTTTTTTTTTTTTTGAGATGGAGTCTTGCTCTGTCTCCCAGACAGGAGTGCAGTGACGCAAGCTCAGCTCACTGCAACCTCCGCCTCCCAGGTTCAAGCAATTCTCCTGCCTCAGCCTCCCAAGTAGCTGGGATTACAGGCGTGTGTCACCATGCCCAGCTAATTTTTGTGTTTTTAGTAGAGACTGGGTTTCGCCATGTTGGCCAGGCTAATCTCGAACTCCTGACCTCAGGTGATCCGCCCACCTCAGCCTCCCAAAGTGCTGGGATTACAGGCATGAGCCACTGCGCCCAGCCAGCCTCACCTTTGATAGCTGCAAAGTGGCAGAGGATTAGTGCTTTCCTCCAGGGTCTGCACGTGGTAGCACCATATACACCTGCACATGCCCTTCCTCCCAGCTGGTTTCCTTGGGAAACAGATGTGTGCATGTGCATGCTCACGTTGTGTTGTGAGAACACTCCCACCCCCTCCTGAGCTGTCCCGCTCAGAGCAGCTGCACACACAGGAAAGCTCAAGGGCACATGTGCATTCCCAGGCCATGACTCCCTCCTCTGCAGCCCCAGCCTTCAGGAAGCAGCACCTCAGAGTAGAGACAGACTGTGGTGTTCAGCTGCTGGCAGCCTCAGCTTCCTGTTCCTCCCACGCCTCCTCATGGGGCTGGGTAGAATAGCCTGACCTGAGCAGGCAGGCCTCCATCCTGGCTTCCTCTAGCACTAGCTCTTGCCCAGGGTTACCACATGAGCCTGAGTTTCCCCATCTGTGACACAGGGATTGCAGTACTCAGCCTGTCATCCTCCCAGGCTTCTTACAGGATTACTTACATTAGTGAGTCATACTCACTAATGTCTGTGAAGCCAGTGAGTGCCAAAGATAAAGCCCTCTCCAGTGGGATCTGGGTGTTGGGGTTCAGGTGAGCACTGCTGTGGAGCTTGGGGCATGGTTGCATCAAGCAGGTAACAGACCCAGCCATTTGTGGACCCATGGTCATGTCTCCCAAAGGCAGTGGCAGCGGTGGTAGTGATTGCTGGTGTTCATTGGGTGCTTCCTGTCTGAATGTGTATTGCCTCATTTTTATTTATTTATTTAGAGACAGAGTCTCCTGTCACACAGACAGTGTCACTCAGGAGTGCAGTAGCACAATCATAGCTCACTGCACCCTCAAACTCCTCAAATGATCATCCCCTCTTAGCCTCCCAAGTAGCTGGGACTGCAGGTGCTGGCCATCACACCCAGCTAATTTATTTATTTATTTATTTATTTATTTTGTAGATATGGGGTCTCATTATGTTGCCTGGGCTGGTCTCAAGCTCCCGGGCACAAGCGATGCTCCCTCTTTGGCCTCCCAAAGTGCTGAGATTACAGGCGTGAGCCACTGTGTCTGGCCTATGTTGCCTCATTTAATCTATACAGTAACTCCATGAGGTTGACACAGTTATATTCCAGTTTTTTTGCGATGAGGAAACTGAGGAACGGAGAGGTTACATAAGCCTGATATATGATATAGCTGAGGTTCAAATCCGTAGTCTGAGTCCAAAGCCCAAGTGCTTACCACTGTGTTACTCTGTTTCTCTATAGTTCCAGGGGTAATAGCACCAGGCCAGAAAGGAGGACTTTCCCCTCTGTGCCGACTCCATGGGCCCATGTGGTAGACCATGAGGACCCATGAATCCCCTCAGGCCAGGAATGAGTTTAGCCCACGGCTGAGTACGCACCTGCTAAGAGGCTGTCTGCCGCTGGAGCCCTGTCCTATCCCCCAGACAGCTGGGGCCAGGCCGCACCAGGCCTGGCCAGTGCTCTGCATCTCCCCTTGCTGCCTGGCCCAAGTCAGGTCTTTCTGGAGCTCTTGGCATAGGTGTGAGTGCCCCATTTCCCAGAGAGTAAAGCCAGAGGCTGACCCTGAGCTGCCTGGTCTCAGGTCTGTGCCCTAGACAGGTCACTCCTCACGGTCCATTCCTCCTGCTCCAGGTCCTGGGGGCTTTGGAGGGTTCCCTGTCATGGATCCTCACGTCCTTCCCTCCCTTCCCCCAGGCCTGGAAACTCCCTGCTCCTTCCTGGCAGAGCTGTCTAGGACAGACTTGAGTAGGCCAGGCAGCTCAGGGACCTAGCAATAGGAGGGGCAGATCCTCAAAGCTGAGCCTGCTGGGGAGGCCTCAGCCATGGCTGTCAGGGAATAAGTTCTGGGCCCAGTTCTTCTGCTCCTGGGCTGGGGGCCCCCTGGCGTGTTGTTTTACCACTGTGAGCCTCGGTTTAGCAAAGGAGCATCCTTGACCCACCTGCCTCGCATGGTTGTTGAGTGTCGACTCAGATAAAGACTATCAAAGGGCTTTACAGTGTATGAAGTGCCACTTAAACATCTGATGGTAGTGTTGCAATGACCATCTATTTCCCAGTCCAGGAGACAGGGATGCCTTAGCCTCTAATTCCATAGCATCTGAACTTGGCTGTTCATTGCAACCCCTGGGGTGCTTGTTACATAGAGATTTCTTGGCCCTATCCCAGAGAGTCCAAGTCCAGTATGGCCTGAACATGTGTATTTTCAGAAAGCTCCAGAGGTTAAGAAATGACATTCTAGTTCATTGTGTGAACGTCCCTTTTTTGTGCTGAAGGAGGGACTGAAACCCAGTGATGGGCATGACGTGCCCAAGGTCAGGCAGTGAGAGGCAGACTTGATAGCACCAGATGTGGCTAACACTGCATCAGGTAAGGCTCCGAGCACTTGATTCGCTGATTTAGTCCTCACAGCAGTCCTAAGATTTGGTATTATTATCCTCATTTTATAGACAGGAAAACTGAAACACAGGGAGATGAATTTGCTTCCTGTACACAACTCAGGAGTGGCAGAGCCAGGATTCCAGTCCAGGCAGTTTGGCTTCAGGGTCTTCACAGAGCTTCCCAGGGCCCACCCTTCACCAGTGGGGCACGTGGCTGGCCCAGAGCAAGCCCCTCAGCCCCAGGCTGAGGTTTTGAGCACCTGCTTGGCACTAGGGTTTCTCTGCTACCGTGTGGCCTCTTCTTGTGGCCATGGTTAACGGAGGGGACAGGATTGCCCTGGGTGGACCCCAGGGAACCGTGGGGCCAGGGCCCTCTCCTCCCACCCACCAGCCTGCACACCCTCCCCAGGTCCTGTATCACCTCTTTGAGGAGTTTGCCAACTACGAACACGTGGGCATCGTGGACATCTTCCTCGGCTTCCTGAGCTTCTTCGTGGTGGCCCTGGGCGGGGTGCTTGTGGGCGTGGTCTACGGGGTCATCGCAGCCTTCACCTCCCGATTTACCTCCCACATCCGGGTCATCGAGCCGCTCTTCGTCTTCCTCTACAGCTACATGGCCTACTTGTCAGCCGAGCTCTTCCACCTGTCAGGCATCATGGCGTGAGTCTGCGTGCAGCAGGCAGTGGGCTTGGCGGGGTGGGGGCGGGGGCTGCCAGCTTGGATTCCCCAGGCTCGTAGGTTCACGGAGCTCCCAGGGCCCAGCCTTGAGCTCCAGGGATGAGACATGAACTCCAGGCTCCAGACCTGCTTGGTAGCCATTTAAATGGCCAAGGGCATCAGTGGCTTCCTAGAAGAGGAGCACTTCTGCAGCGCCCCCTGGGGTCCAGGAATCGGGAGAGGGCATTTCAGGCTATGAGCAGATGAAGCAAGAATGACCTGCATGAAGGCAAGCCCAGGGTATAGGAGAGCAGAGCCTTGGAAGCCACTAAGCTTCAGGTTGAGGAAAGCCACAGCCCTGCTACTTCATTGTCTCAAAGGGAGTCCCCTCAGCAGCCCCAGTAGGAGGCTCACCAGGCCTGAGTCCTGGCGGTCCTGAGGTCTCCACCGGGTCTGGAAATGGGGAGAATGGGATGTGGGGAGGCAGTGAGGGGTGAAGGTGTTCCAGTGCCGAGCAAGGCAGAACTGGGGTTCAGAGCCCCTGGCTCCCAGGAGCAGAGCCCGGGTGTGAGCACTGGGCTGGGAGGACTCCGAGCTCCAAGCAGCTGCTTGGAACAAAGCTCCCTGTGGAGACCCCTGTGTAATGGCAGATGCCACGCTTGAGGGGAATGAACCCAGGAGACCATGGGTCTGTGTCATTGACTCCTATTGGGTCAAGAGGCAGTGTGGCCTTGGGGCAAAGGTGCAGGCTTTGGAGTTGGACACTGTGGTTTGTGTGTCTTGGCTTTGCTGCCTGCAGGCAGCGTGACAGGGGAGAGGTGACTATTTCTCTTAGAGTCAGATCTCTCATTTTTTTATTTGAGACGGGGTCCCACTCTTGTCACCCAGGCTGGAATGCAGTGGCACGATCTCAGCTCATTGCAGCCTCTGAGTTCGAGATTCTCCCACTTCAACCTCTCAATTAGGTGGGATTACAGGTGCCCACCACCACACCTGGCTAATTTTTGTATTTTTAGAAGAGACTGCATTTCACTACATTGGCCAAGCTGGTCTCGAATACCTGGCCTCAAGTGATCCGCCTTTGTCGGCCTCCCAAAGTGCTGGGATTACAGGCGTGAGCCACCGTGCCCAGCCAAGATCACTCATTTTAAAAATGGAGGAATAGGGCCGGGCATGCGCTCGTCGCCTGTAATCCCAGCACTTTGGGAGGCCAAGGCGGGTGGATTACAAGGTCAGGAGTTCAAGACCAGCCTGGCCAAGATGGTGAAACCCCGTCTCTACTAAAAATACAAAAAAATTAGCCAGGCGTGGTGGCGGGCACCTGTATTCCCAGCCACTCGGGAGGCTGAGGCAGAGAATTGCTTGAACCCGGGAGGCGGAGGTTGCAGTGAGCCAAGATCGCGCCACTGCTCTCCAGCCTGGGTGACAGAGTGAGACTCGTCTCAAAAAAAAAAAAAAAAAAAAAAATGGAGGAATACACCGTGTCTATAGGGTTGATGTGAGGATGAGTGGCAAGAGGGTGTAAAGCACACAGCGGGCCCCTGGCCCATAGAGGAGCTTGGGACATGGGCACCTTGGTCGTGGCCCCATTGCCCCTGGCAGTGGAGGGGCTCGAGCAGGTGCAGCTCGACACGGAGCCCTGACCCCGCTCTTTCCTGCTCCAGGCTCATAGCCTCAGGAGTGGTGATGCGCCCCTATGTGGAGGCCAACATCTCCCACAAGTCCCACACCACCATCAAATACTTCCTGAAGATGTGGAGCAGCGTCAGCGAGACCCTCATCTTCATCTTCCTCGGCGTCTCCACGGTGGCCGGCTCCCACCACTGGAACTGGACCTTCGTCATCAGCACCCTGCTCTTCTGCCTCATCGCCCGCGTGCTGGGTGAGGGCCAGGGCTGGGGCGGGGTGGGGGTTGTGGTGTGGGGTGTGTGTGGGGGGTGGTGGGCTGTGGTGCTGTGTGTGTGGTGTGTGCAGTGCACTATGTGGAAGGGCCAGGCTATGTGGTGTGTGCATGTGGTGCAGTGTATAAGTATTGTGTGGAGGGGCTGGGCTGTGGTGTGTGTGTGTATGCGTATTGCGTGTGTGGTGTGTGTAGTGCATTGTAGGGGGGCTGGATGTGTGTATGGTGTGTGTGTAGTGTGTGGAGGGGTTGGGGGTGTGTGTGTGTAGTATGTTGTGTGGAGGGCTTTGTATATATGTGTGTGTTGTGTGGAGGGATTGGGCTGTGGTGCAGTGTGTGTATAGTTGTGTGGAGGGGCTGGGTGTATATGTGGAAGGGCTGGGTGTGTGTGTAGGGGTTGGGTGTGTGTAGAGGGGCTGGGTGTGTGTGTGTGTGTGTGGAGGGGCTGTGAGGGTGTGGGTGTGTGTGGAGGGGCTGTGAGGGTGTGGGTGTGTGTGTGTAGAGGGCCTGGGTGTGTGTGTGTGTGTGTGGAGGGGCTGGGGGTATATGTGTGATGCAGTTTGTGGTGGAGGTTTCCTGGTTGGCTCCTGCCTGCTCCCAGCACAGCTAGACAGGAGGGACTTCCCATTTCCATGATGGGCCCTTCAGCAGGGAGAAGCCTGTGTCACAGCAAGGCTGTGGTCTCTGGGGACAGAGTCAGGCTGTGTCAAAGTGAGGGGGCCCTGAGACTCTGAGCCTGTGGCTGTGGCTGTCCTGATGAGGGGCCTGAGGCCCACAGAACCCAGGTCTGTGACTCTGAGCTGAGTGCTCTCTGCACTGTCTCAAGACAGGTGACGTGAGCATGTGCCGAATCGCATGCAGAGCCACGTGCAGTCCTCCAAACCTATGCAGCAGGCCGGGGCACACGTGGGGACCAGGCCCCAGGTGCATGGGTTCCACTCACATGTGCCCCACATGCCTCACCCCAGTGCCTCAGTCGCCTCCTCCCTGGATCTCTCACTTCCTCTCTGAGGGTTAGGTCCATGTCCCCAAGCCTGGCAGGACCTCACATTTATTTGGTGCACTTTTGAAATCCCCTTTATTCCTGAGCCTCATCCTCCAGGGATTCTGGTTCTGTGGGTGGAGGTTGGGCCCAGCCCTCTGCATTTTTTATGCTTTATTATGGAAAATTTCAAGTACTTAGAAAAGTAGAGAGAATAGGATCATGACCCCCCACACACCCATCACATTTAACAAGTATTGACCTGTGACCCATCTTGTTTGATCTTTTCTCCCTCTTCCTGCCCCCAGCCCTCCAGCCACTGGAGGCCTCCATGATGTCTCTAAAGCACATCCAGGTTGGGGAAGTCCTTTAAGGATCCACCCAGCTCTTGGATTGAGGAGTTCAGAGCACTCTGGGCTGAGGGACCCAGGAATTGAGTGAGCGGGGTGGGCTTCGTAATGGAGACTTCCTGGATGCACAGAGAAATCACTGATGCAGAATCCAGGAGGGACTGGGGACAGCCCGACCTGACCCTCATCACCCCCTGCCTTCCCCTGCAGGGGTGCTGGGCCTGACCTGGTTCATCAACAAGTTCCGTATCGTGAAGCTGACCCCCAAGGACCAGTTCATCATCGCCTATGGGGGCCTGCGAGGGGCCATCGCCTTCTCTCTGGGCTACCTCCTGGACAAGAAGCACTTCCCCATGTGTGACCTGTTCCTCACTGCCATCATCACTGTCATCTTCTTCACCGTCTTTGTGCAGGTGCTGGGCCAGGGCAGGGCAGGCCCTTGCCTTGGGGACCCTCACAGGCTGTTCCCGTGGAAAGAGAGGAAAGCGTGTGATTTGAAATGCGATTCTAGTCCCAGCTCCACCACTAACTTGCTGTGTGACCTTGGGCGAGCCACTCCCCCTTTCTGGGCCTCAGTTTCTTCAATCGTAAAGTGAGAATTGTGATGAGTCATTGCAGAGTGACTGATCAGAATGTAAAGGAACCAGAATGCTGCCCAACTTAATTTGGAACTCATAGAGCATTAAGAGAAGTGGGTACTGGCCGGGCACGGTGACTCAACGCCTGTAATCCCAGCACTTTGGGAGGCTGAGGGGGTGGATCACCTGAGGTCAGGAGTTTGAGACCAGCCTGACTAACATGGTGAAACCCCGTCTCTACTAAAAATACAAAATTAGTGGGCATGGTGATGCATACCTGTAATTCCAGCTACTTGGGAGGCTGAGGCAGGAGAATCACTTGAACCCAGGAGGTGGAGGTTGCAGTGAGCTGAGATTGCGCCATTGCACTCCAGCCTGGGTAACAAGAGTGAAATTCCATCTCAAAAAAAAAGAAAAAGAGAGAGAAGTGGGTACAGTCAACAGGCCCAAGATCTCTCTTTGCTACTAACTCATTGTAGGGCTTTAGGCAAGAGATTTCATATCTTAGGGTCTCAGTTTCTGCATCTGTAAAATGGGAATAATATCACAGCATGGGGAACTGGAAAGGGCTATGAGCCAGGCAGCAGGAGGCCTGGAGTCAGCCCTAGCTCTGTGTTGGTGTCCCTCTGACCCTAAGAAAGACCCCCACTCTTCTCTGGGTCTCAGTTCCCATCTGTAAAGTGAGGGAACCAGGCGAGATGATTCCCAAGAATCCTTCCAGCCTGCTGCTCAGTGATTTCTGTACATTTAAACGGCTCAGGCTTAGCTGACAGCCACTCTCCTGCCTAAGGTCCCCAAGGAAGCCCAGCCTGTGATGGTGCAAATTGCTCTGCCTTACCTGACTTTGCCTGACCTTGGGCAAATAAGAAACACTCTGTCTGAGCCTCCATTTCTTTACCATCCTTTCTGTCTTTTCTGGGCACTGATACTCAAAAAGCCCTAGATGGGATACATCTTTGCATTCTCTTGAGAAAAAAAAATAGGGGAAACCTGGGGCTGGGCTTATTTTCTGTCCTTTAAAGGGAGAGGGGACCCTGGTGCAGTGGCTCACGCCTATGATCCCAGGACTTTGGGAGGCCGAGGCAGGAGGATCCCTTGAGCCCAGTAGTTCAAGAGCAGCCTAGGCAACATGGCAACCTTGTCTCTACAAAAAATAAAAAAAAAATTAGTGGGTATGGTGGTACACACCTGTAAGTCCCAGGTACTTGAGAAGCTGAGGTGGGAGGATAGCTTGAGCCCAGGAGATTGAGGCAGCTGTGAGCTGTGATTGAGCCTGTGTGACTCCTCCAGCCTGTGTGACAGAGTGAGACTCTCTCTCGAGTTAAGAAAAAGGAGAGAGGCTGGGCGCGGTGGCTCATGCCTGTAATCCCAGCACTTTGGGAGGCCGAGGCAGGCGGATCGCCTGAGGTCAGGAGTTCCAGACCAGCCTGGCCAACATGGTGAAACCCTGTTTCTACTAAAAATACAAAAATTAGCTGGGCGTGGTGGCAGCCGCCTGTAATCCCAGCTACTTGGGAGGCTGAGGCAGGAGAATCACTTGAACCCGGGAGGTGGAGGTTGCAGTGAGCTGAAATCGCACCACTGCACTCCAGCCTGGGTGACAGAGCAAGACTCCATCTCAAAAAAAAAAAAAAAAAAAAAAAGAGGAGGAGGCTGCCACTTTTGTCCTCTTGCCCTGCTTCCATCTTCAAAAAATTTTTTTTACCTTGATTTTGCAGTTGTATGTGCTAATGATTTTCCAAGCCCATTTTCATTGAAGGCAACATTGGGGAGGGGGCCTCCCTCCAGAGCCAGCCTGCCTGGGTTTAAATCATGGCTTTACTGCTTCTCTGGGATCTTAGAAAGCTGCTTATCCTCTCTGAGCCTCAGTTTCTGCATCTGTTAAATAGAGACAATGGAAGGACCTCCCTCTTAGTGTTGCGGATATTGGAGAGCTGATTGATGCTAGAACACTTCCAAGCACGTGTGTTGGTCACATGGCAGGTGTGCAGTTCCATCTGCTGCTGCTGTTATTACTCGGTCCTCCTCACAGTCCTGGTGGGGAGGCAGTGCAGAGGTAGTTTTCCCTGTGTGTGGGGCCTGACTTCCATGGGGTTGCAGAGCAAGTCTGTGGTGCAGTCCACATCTGAACCCAGGCTGTCTGCTGCCTGGCCCAGGCCAGATGACCAGTGTGGGGGTCATTTGGCAGTGAAACCTCTGACCGTGTCTCCAGGAAGAAGCAGGCCTTAAGGACCTGTCTTTAGATAAGTGCTGGGAGGTGGGAGAGTTCTCACACCCTTGGGTCCTGGGAGAGAGCAGAGCAGAGAGGGCATCCTAGCCTTGGGGGCCTGGGGTGAGGGAGGGAGGCTCTGTGGCCTCCCTGCCTGGGTAGCAGAACTGGAGTGCCTGACACCTGCCTGCCCCCCAGGGCATGACCATTCGGCCCCTGGTAGACCTGTTGGCTGTGAAGAAAAAGCAAGAGACGAAGCGCTCCATCAACGAAGAGATCCACACACAGGTACTGGAGTGCGGGCTGGGCCCTTGGTTGCAGAAGGAGGAACAGGGAGATAGGGAGCAGCTGGGCCTCAAGTCTCTGCCCCCCATCAGCCCCTTCTCCCTGTGCCAGTGCCCAGGGGCTCCCTCTGCCCCAGGAGGCCGCCAGGGTCTAGCCATAGGAAGGTGTGGTGTGAGCAGCTGGGAGCCTGAGGAGGGGGCATCATGCCATCTCTGCCTCCATTTGAAACCTATCCCAGGCATAGGTCCCAGGTGGGATTAGAGAAGGGGGCTCAGCCGGACACAGGCAAGGCTTCGAGATACCCAGAGTCAGGGCCGCTGGGTTCGATGAGTGGAGTGTGGGCGCCACCTCCTGGCTGCTCATGGAACCACAGGGCTGGACCCAGCAGGGCTGCAGCTACGGGAGGGAGTGGGGCTAGTCAGAGGTCTTGGTAGGGAAGGCGCCCCACAGCGAGGCTTGACTTGGCCCTGGGCCCCTTTCAGTTCCTGGACCACCTTCTGACAGGCATCGAAGACATCTGTGGCCACTACGGTCACCACCACTGGAAGGACAAGTAGGTGGCAGGCCTGGTGGGCAGGCAGGGAGGGGCAGGCAAGGGTCTCCTGGGCCTGGGCATCTCCCCACTCCTGGAAGCTGGCGCCATCCGTCTCCCTCCTCCTCCCACCAGGCTCAACCGGTTTAATAAGAAATATGTGAAGAAGTGTCTGATAGCTGGCGAGCGCTCCAAGGAGCCCCAGCTCATTGCCTTCTACCACAAGATGGAGATGAAGCAGGCCATCGAGCTGGTGGAGAGCGGGGGCATGGGCAAGATCCCCTCTGCCGTCTCCACCGTCTCCATGCAGTGAGTGCTGGGGCAACCAGGCAGCTTCTGCTCCCACACACCGGCCCCTCAAGCCCGGTTGGAGGTGGCCACCTGGGGGGCGGGGTCTTCTGTTGTCCTGTTGGGGCGGACAAGAGAGCTGTGGGCTCGCACCAAGGACCTGAGGCTTTGGCGCCCACCTGGGTCATCCCTAGGGTGACTTCCTTCTGGCCAAACCTGGGAGGCACCAGGATCCCAAGAATCTTGGGGACCTAACCGATGCCCTATTGCCCCAGGAACATCCACCCCAAGTCCCTGCCTTCCGAGCGCATCCTGCCAGCACTGTCCAAGGACAAGGAGGAGGAGATCCGCAAAATCCTGAGGAACAACTTGCAGAAGACCAGGCAGCGGGTGAGGGCCTGCTCCCCAGCCCGACCCCCAGGGTACAGGAGCCCTTCAGCCCCTCTCTACGGCAGCCCTGCCCTGCCCGTGCCCCTCGGCACCCACCCCAGGACTGGCCCGGCCTCCAGCACTGCCCCCACCCCTCCATGAGCAGAGCCTTCCGGGGCCCGCACTGCCCTGACGCTGTCCCTCCCACAGCTGCGGTCCTACAACAGACACACGCTGGTGGCAGACCCCTACGAGGAAGCCTGGAACCAGATGCTGCTCCGGAGGCAGAAGGCCCGGCAGCTGGAGCAGAAGGTAGCCTCTGCCTTCCTCTGGGAATCTGTATCCCACCCCACTCGCCCAAGCTCCGCCACAGCCTCTAAGGAAATGTACCCATTCTAGGAACAGGGTTTGGCTTTCGAGGGGCTTTTAGCAGTGTAAGGGCATGGAGAGCCATGAGTTCTAAGCAAGGGATTGGCGTGGGGTTGTGGGGCATGGCCTGGGTTAGGGCAGTGGCAGGGGACAGAGGAATGGGTGGATTTAAGGCTGAGCAGTGTAGGTGTATTCAGGGAGGCTGTGACAGGAGCCTGGGATGAGCCCTTAGGAGCTCCTGAGGGGCCAGTACGGGTGCCCACACAGGCACAAGGGAGGGGGAGCAAGCGCCCTGCATATACGAAAGGTGGGGTGTGCACTGGCCGGGTTCTGTCCTGAGGGGCTCCCTCTGCCCAGCTGCCTGTGCTCACCCCGTCTGTCCTCTCTGTCAGATCAACAACTACCTGACGGTGCCAGCCCACAAGCTGGACTCACCCACCATGTCTCGGGCCCGCATCGGCTCAGGTAAGGGCCTGGCGAGGGGCCTCAGGACTGGGCACTCTGAGCTGCCACCTCCTGAGGATGGGGCTCCACAGGAACAGTCCTCAGCCACTGGGAGGACAGGCCTGGCCCTCGCTGACCTCAGGATCCCCTCCCAAGCCATGAGCTGCTTCTACGTCAGGGGCCATCCCTAGGGAGAGAGACGTTCCGGGCGAGGACTGTGTGGGGAGCTGGGAGAGCCACGGTGCCTGGCAGGAAGGCAGGGTATCTGCCCCATCGAGACCCCCAACACGTGTGGGGAACGTGAGGGCAGGGCCCCAGGGCAGACTGACTCAGGGAGGAGCCCCAGGCCTTGGCCTGTGGAGGGACACCTCTGGGAGCCCCTGTCAAAGGAGAGGGCCACAGTCTGAGGAAGAGAAGCTGTGGGGTGGAAGGTCGCAGAGGCCTGCTTCTGAGGCCTGTTGGGACCGGGACGGCTGTGCTCATGAGAAGGCCTGAAGGAGGCACTGACGCGGCCGAGTGGCACGTGCTGGGCCGGGCTCCAGAGCGGAACCCAGCTTGTGCCTTGCTCTTGGTCCCCAGACCCACTGGCCTATGAGCCGAAGGAGGACCTGCCTGTCATCACCATCGACCCGGCTTCCCCGCAGTCACCCGAGTCTGTGGACCTGGTGAATGAAGAGCTGAAGGGCAAAGTCTTAGGGTTGAGCCGGGATCCTGCAAAGGTGGCTGAGGAGGACGAGGACGACGATGGGGGCATCATGATGCGGAGCAAGGAGACTTCGTCCCCAGGAACCGACGATGTCTTCACCCCCGCGCCCAGTGACAGCCCCAGCTCCCAGAGGATACAGCGCTGCCTCAGTGACCCAGGCCCACACCCTGAGCCTGGGGAGGGAGAACCGTTCTTCCCCAAGGGGCAGTAACACCAGGGCCAGCAGGCAGCGCCTGTCCCCTCACAGACTCTTCCACCAGAGCAGGGGCTGCTGGGGGCTCCCCTTGCCCTTCCTGACCCGGATTGGCCCTGCCCCTCCCCCTACCGCATGGCAGCTGGGCCCACAGCCCCCACCCCAGCACAGCTCCTCCCCTGCCGCCTCCCGGGAAGCATCCTCCCCACCAGAGCTGCCTCCCCAATCCATTTGGCAGAACTGCTGGGGCTGGTGAGGCCGGCCCTGCCCCTCCCTAGATCCAGGCTTCTCCCGGACCTGGACTAGGGCCTCGGAGGCTCCTCCCTCTGCCTCATCCTCCTCCTCATTCAGACCAATCTTAGTTTCTAACCAAAGAGTCTCTGGCTCAGCTGTGGTCCCACCCAGGAAGGGAGGGAGCTGAGGCCTCCCTTGAGTAGGCCCTGCTTTATCAGGGGACAAACCAGGGGTACCAGGCACATGGCTGGGGGAGGGACTGCTGACCCACCAAGGTCTCACACTCCTCCTGCCAGCTCTGTCACCCTGGCCACCACCCAACCTGTCCTTACTCAGAGCTGCGGGCTGAGGGCATCTCTGAGTGTCTCTGCCTGGAGCAGGGGTGGTTTCTACGGTGACAGTGACGTGACTCAGAGCTTTTCGAACTGTGCTCCCACGGGGACCACTGGGCCCCTCAGGGGAAGCTGCTAGGGGAAGGACTGGCCGTGGCTCCAGAATGTGCTGCCTTTTTAAGTTTTGTTTGTTCACACTCCTATATATGATTGTTTGCACAGAGGGCGCTCCTGTTTTTAAAACATTTTGAAAACCCCTGGCTGAACAGTGCTCTGCCTCTAACTCCCTCCTCACACTCCAGAATTACCCTTCCTCATCTGTGCCTGTCTGTCCAACCCCTCCCCCACGTCTCTCTGCCTGCTGGGCTCTTAACTGTTGCTCGAAGACTGTGACATCAGAAGTAACTCCCACTCCTAATCAAGAGTCTCTCCAGCCTCACAGATGCTGGCCTCTTGGCACCTGCCTAGCTCTTGGGCCTGACCTCCAGTCCTGCTGGCCTGCTCTTACTTCCCCCACCCTGGGTTTGGCCCCTGGAACCTTTCCCTTGTGTGTACCACACCCTGCCTGCTGTGGAGCCCATTGTGGAGGCGGTGGGGGGGAGAAGGCCTCCCCTGAGGATCCCCTGTCCCCTGGGGCTGGTGGATTGGGCAGAATCCTGGGCCCCCAGAGACCTTTGCCCACACACACTCCTTCCCCTTGTCCCTGGGGCACTCCCCCAGGATTGTGCAATAGTCAGAGTGTCCCTTTTTGCAGGGGACTGGGCCATGGGTCCTCGGCCCATCTGTCCATCCTCCTCTCCATGCAAGTGCTGTTTGGGCAGGAGTCACCATGCAAGGGTGACATCGACAACCACGTACCAAGCCACCGCAGCTGCTGCCACTCTGCTGCCTGTACAGAAGAAACTGAATCTTTTTCATATTCTAATAAATCAATGTGAGTTTTTAATAGAGTCAAGGGCTGCTTTCTGGGGACGAGGGTCTTTAGGAGGGAGGGTGGCCTGAGGGCGTGAAGTACTTAGTTCAAAGGCTGGCACAGAAACACTTCATGGCTGTCAGCTGCTGGGGTGGTTGTTCCCACATGCCAGGCACTGAGATACCACAATGAGCTAAGCAGGACGTGCCCTGCCCCGCGGGGGAGAGCGGCACTAACCAGTGCCCAGTGTTTGTGCAAGAGGTGAAAAAGAGGCAGAGGGGAGGGAGGGACGGCGAGGAGGACCCTCCTGAGTCCCGAGTGAGTGAGATCCCAGGAGGGGACTGAAGAAGGAGCCAAGGCTTCCGGGTGGAAAAGGACCCAGAAAGTTCCCAAACATTGTAACTGGGAGCTGTGCCCACGAACACTGGGACCTGAGAAAAGGCCGGGTGGCTGGGTCAGAGTGACAGGGGAGGCAAGGATGGGGCCGCGTGCTCCATGGTTAAGATTTTGCTCTTAACCGTGGGAAGACCAAAAGGGCAGTGGGAAGTCACTGAAGCCCTCAAGTTCTCACCTGTAAAGTGGGGACAGTGACCCCTGCATGAGATAAGCTCAGGTGTGTACAAACTGAGCCTCCCTAATCAGAAAACCCAACACAACGCCATGAATGGAGAATGCACACCTGACCTCATGAGACAGTCAAAACTTTGCTGCATGTGCAATATTTAAAATATATAAAATTGGGCCGGGCGCGGTGGCTCATGCCTGTAATCCCAGCACTTTGGGAGGCCAAGCTGGGCGGATCACCTGAGGTCAGGAGTTCAAGACCAGCCTGGCCAACATGGCAAAACCCCATCTCTACTAAAAATACAAAAATTAGCTGGGCATGGTGATGTATGCATGTAATCCCAGCTACTCGGGAGGTTGAGGCAGGAGAATCACTTGAACCCAGGAGGTGAAGGTTGCAGTGAGCTGAGATGGAACCACTGCACTCCAGCCTGGGTGACAGAGCAAGACTCTGTCTCAAAAAAAATAAAATATGTAACATTAATTTCAGGCTATGGGTAGAAACTGTATATGAAACATAAATGAATTTCGTGTTTAGACTTGGATTCTATCCCCAAGATATCTCATTATGTATGTGCAAATATTCCAAAATCTGAAACACTTCTGCTTTCAAGCATTTGGGGTAAGGATTGCTCAATCCCTAATGGGCTCGGTTCAGCAGAGGTTGGAGCCCTGAGGTGCATTTCCTGGATCCAACCACCAGAGGGCAGTGGGGCCTTGGCGCGCACCCCTGGCACCCTTCGAACCTGGGCTGTCCAGGAAAGCATCTCCTTTGCCCAGTCTGGGACCTGAGTGTGGAGCTGGTTTAACTCACAAAATCTGAAGCGGTTAGTGCCAAGAGGATTACAGGGTTATTATCAAAGGATTATTCCTGTATCCATCGGTTCCCTAGCAGGAAATGGATGTTACAGCCATCCCTCCATATTTTCCGGGGATTGGTTCCAGGACCCACATGGAAACCAAAATCCTTTCATGCTCAAGTTCCTGATGTAAAATGGTGTAGTGCTGTTGGCCCTTCATGGATTCTGCATCCATGGATTCAACCAACTGCAAATTGAGAATATTTGGGGAAAAAATTCAAATAATAAAGTGTAACAACTATTTACATAGTATTTACATTGTAATCTAGAGATGATTTAACGTATATGGGAGAATGGCTGGGCACAATGGTTCATGCCTGTAATACCAGCACTTTGGGAGGCCGAGGCGGGCGGATCATTTGGGGACAGGAGTTTGAGACCAGCCTGACCAACATGGTGAAACCCCGTCTCTACTAAAAATAAAAAAAATAGCTGGGTGTGGTGGTGCATGCTTGTAGTCCCAGCTACTAGGGAGGCTGAGGCAGGAGAATCACTTGAATCTGGGAGGTGGACTTTCCAGTGAGCCGAGATCGCGCCACTACACTCCAGCCTGGATGACAAAAAAAAGTATATAGGAGAATGTATGTAGGTTATAGCCAAATACTACATTATTTTATATAAGGGACTTGAGCTTCCTTGGATTTTGGTACCTGGGAGGGTCCTGGAACCAATCCCCCATGGACACCAAGAGATGGATGCATTTGCGTATAACCAACACTCATGTTCCCATATACTTTAAATCATCCATAGACTACCTATAATACCTAATACAATGTAAATTCTGTGTAAGTAGTTGTCAGCTGGGTACGGTGGCTCACTCCTATAATCTCGGCACTTTGGGAGGCGGAGATGGGCGGATCACTTGAGCCTAGGAATTCAAGACCAGCCTGTGCAACATGGTGAAACCCCACCTCTACAAAAAAGACAAAAATTGGCCAGGCATGGTGGTGCACTGGTCCCAGCTACTTGGGAGGCTGAGGTGGGAGGATTGCTTGAGCCCAGGAGGTCGAGGCTGCAGTGAGCCATGTTCACGCCACTGCACTCCAGCCTGGGCAACAAAGCAAGACCCTGTCTAAAAAAAAAAAAAAAGTTGTTATACGGGTTTTAAAGTTGTATTTTTATTGTATTGTTATTTTTTGTTTACTCATTTTTATGTTTTCAATTTGTGCTAGGTTGAATCTGAGGCTGCAGAACCCGAGGGTACAGAGGCCGACTGTGTATTTAAAGGGGTACCAAGAGCCTTCCACTAAGGGATTAATTAGAGATGTGGGCGGGGTTGTGGGAACCTACCAGGGATGGGACCCAGCAGGGCTCACACTACAGGAAGCCATTACAACCCATAGACCTGAAAGGGCAAGAGGAGGGAGCTCTCATCATGGGAGGGGACTGCCCAGCTAGAACTGTGGCCATGCTTAGAACACCCCCTGCCAGAGAGGGAGCCGGGGAGGTTGGGGGTGGACAGCTTTCATCCTGATGGTGCCTCCCACTGGCGAGTCCCAACTGAAAGCCTGAAGAGAAGGCAGCCAGAGTAGGTCAGCCCTTCATCGAATGGGGAGTGTGGATGTGGAAGGGAAACAGGAGATCCAAGCAGGGCTATTCCTTTTACCCCTCAGCACCCACTCTTGTCCTTTGGGTGAAAAACTCATGTCCCTATTGCTTAATGGTTGCAGAATTTCTGTTTGGGATGATGAAAAAGTTTGGGAAATAGGTTGTGGTGATGATTGTACAACATTGTGAATGTACTAGATACCACTGAAGTGTTTGCTTTAAAATGGTTAGTTTTATGTTATGTGAATTTCATCTTCTTTTTTTTTTAATGGAAGGAACAATCTCATCAACACCATCAACCTTGTCAGATTCACCCTGGTCTTGTCATACTCACCTGGAGCAACAGGGCTTTTTTTTTTTTTGAGACGGAGTCTCGCTCTGTTGCCCAGGCTGGAGGGCAGTGGCGCAATCTCGGCTCACTGCAAGCTCCACCTCCCGGGTTCATGCCATTCTCCTGCCTCAGCCTCCCAAGTAGCTGGGACTACAGGTGCCCGCCACCATACCTGGCTAACTTTTTGTGTTTTTAGTAGAGACGGGGTTTCACCGTGTTAGCTGTGTTAGGATGATCTCGATCTCCTGACCTCGTGATCTGCCCGCCTCGGCCTCCCAAAGTGCTGGGATTACAGGCGTGAGCCACCATGCAACCGGCCTCTTTAAATAAGACAACGGGGCATGCAAATAACAGAAAATTGCTACAGCCCCCACTTTGGCAGCTGGTCACCAGGCCCAAGTTAGCAATCACAGCATCCTTCCTCCACCCCCACTTTCCTCTAACCATGTGCCAGCACTGTGGCTGACTGGGGTTTTTATAGGTGGGGTGTCCTAAACCTTTACTCCTGTGCAATGCAGCCTCTTCTGGTCTTATGTTTGTTGGATTGTCACATTTCCCCTTCACTGTCAATACTGGAAGGGGGACTGGGGGGACTGAGGCACCTGGTGAATCCCCTCTTTTCTGTCATTGTCTTCTGCCCTCCCCACATTGTGTAGCAGGAACTTATTTTCCTTCTGGCAATCCTAGCTGATCACCCTGTCAGGTACAGAACAGTTGACCCTCTTCTCCGCCTTTTAGTTAAGCAACATACAGACCTCAAAATGACCAGGGGAGAACACTCTACTTCCAATTCTTTTCTTTTCTTTTTTTTTTTTTGAGACAAGAATCTCGCTGTGTCACCCAGGCTGGAGTGCAGTGGCACGATCTTGGCTCACTGCAACCTCTGCCTCCTGGGTTCAAGTGATTGTCGTGCCCCAGCCTCCCGAGTAGCTGGGATTACAGGCCTGCACCACCATGCCCGACTAACTTTTGTATTGTTAGTAGGGACGGAGTTTCACCATGTTGGCCAGGCTGGTCTTAAACTCCTGAGCTCAAGTGACCCACCCACCTCGGCCTCCCGAAATGCTGGGATTACAGGCGTGAGCCACCGCGCTCAGCCTCTACTTCCAGTTCTAAAGGAGTCATATCCACATTCCCTGGAGGGAGTGTTCCTCTTTTGAGCATAAAGCTCACCCACTGAACACAAAATTTAGGGCACAGGAAGCCAAAACTCTTCCAGTGGGTAATTGGGAATAGTGGTGAGAAAAGCTACTCCCATATCCATCCCTTGGTCCCTGGGCCTGTGTATTTTGGCTGTCAAAGAGGTAGGACCGTATATTAGCCATTGATTTCAAGCGTGTGCTGCTTCCTACCCATCAACAGCTCAGCTGCGGGGGTTGTCTCCCACCTGGCGCCGTAACTCTATTCTGCCCAGTCAGCTTCTTCTGGTTGCAGGGCCTGTTTTAAGACCAGTGTGTTCTGGGCCGGGCACAGTGTCTCATGCCTGTAATCCCAGCACTTTGGGAGGTCGAGGTGGGCAGATCACTTGAAGTCAGGAGTTCGAGACCAGCCTGGCCAACATGGTGAAACCCTGTTTCTACCAAAAATACAAAAATTAGCCAGGCGTGGTGGCAGACACCTATAATCCCAGCTACTCAGGAGGCTGAGGCAGGAGAATTGCTGGAATCAGGGAGCGGGAGGTGGCAGTGAGCTGAGATCATGCCACTGCACTCCAGCCTGGGCGACAGAGTGAGACTCCGGGAAAAAAAAAAAAAAGGAAAGAAAGGAAAGGAAAGGAAAGGAAGGGAAGGGAGGGGAGGGGAGGGGAAGGAAAGGGAAAGACTGCTCTCTTCATGACAGGGGGTCGGTGTAGTCAATCTGCCAGTGGGTGACTAGCTTGCCCCCTTAAGTGAGTCTCACCATTTTTGGTCTCAGGAGTCTTTTACACTCTTAGAAACTTAGGATCTTTGAGGATCCCAGTGGGTTTTTTTTTAATGTGAGTTATATCTATCAGTTTTACTGAATTAGAAATTAAAACTTTATTAATCAATTTAAAACTAATAAACCCATTCCATGTTAACATAAGATTTTTAATGAAAAATAACTTTTTCAAAACAAAATTTGTTAGAATAGCATTTGACATTTTGGCAGGTCTCCAGAGCTGGCTTAATAGAAGACAGCAACATTCTCAAATCTTCAGCATTTGATCTGTTGTATGCTTGCTATGTAGCCCATGGGAAATTCCACTCTACACTCAATGACAGTGAAGAGGGCAAATAATGTCTTAGTATTAATATGAAAATAGATTTGACCTCACAGAACTCCTGCAAGGGTCTTGGGGACCCCCAGCGAATGGTGCCATGTAGGAAACTCAGCTTGGTCTTTGCTGTTGGACAGCTTGGCACTCAACGATGCCATTGCCGTGTCAGATCTGGTGAGGGAAATGTGTTGAGTCTATGTGTATTAGTTTTCTGTGGCTGCTGTAACAAATTATCACAAGCTTTGTAGCTTGAAACACTATTTTCTGACAGCTCTAAAAGAAGTCTGAAATGCATTTCCCTGGACTAAAATCAAGGTGTCAGCAAGTCTGCCCTCCTTTCTGGAGGCTCTAAAGAGACTCTTGTCTGCCCTTGCCAGTTTCTAGATGCCCCCTACCATCTTGAAAGCCAGCAACATCTGGTTGGGTGTTTCTCACATCACATCACTCTGCCTGACTCTTCCAGATTTAAAGACTTCTTCCGGCCAGGCGCCGTGGCTCACGCTTGTAATCCCAGCACTTTGGGAGGCCGAGGAGGGCAGATCACCTGAGGTTGGGAGTTTGAGACCAGCCTGACCAACATGGAGAAACCCCGTATCTACTAAAAATACAAAATTATCTGGGCGTGATGGTGCATGCCTGTAATCTCAGCTACTCAGGAGGCTGAGGCAGGAGAATCACTTGAACCCGGGAGGCAGAGGTTGCAGTGAGCTGAGATCGTGCCATTGCACTCCAACCTGGGCAACAAGAGCAAAACTCTGTCTCAAAAAAAAAAAAGACTTCTTCCACATTGTGATTACGTTAGGCCAACCCAGATAATTCAGGGTAATCTCCACCCCCACCTTTTTTAAGATGGTCTCTCTCTGTTGCCCGAGCTGGAGTGCAGTGGCACAATCATAGCTCACTGCAGCTTCCATCTCCCAGGCTCAAGCGATCCTCCTGGTTCAGCCTCCCAAGTAGCTGGGACTACAGGTGCACACCACCACACCCAGCTAATTTTTTTTTTTTTAAGTAGTAGAGATGAGATCTTCCCATGTTGTCCAGGCTGAGTTCCCATGTTGACCTCTGAGTTCAAGCGATCCTCCTGCCTCGGCCTCCCAAAGTGCTGGGACTACAGATGTGAGCCACTGCACCCAGCCATAATCTCCTGATTTTTAAGGTCAGCTGATTGGCAACCTTATTCCATCTTCTGCCTTAATTCACCCTTTGCAGCTGGGCACAGTGGCTCACACCTGTAATCCCAGCACTTTGGGAGGCTGAGGCGGGTGGATCTCTTGAGGTCAGGAGTTCAAAACCAGCCTGGTCAACATGGCGAAACCCACATCTCTACTAAAAATACAAAAACTAATCAGGCATGATGGTGGGTATCTCTAGTACCAAGCTACTCGGGAGGCTGAGGCAGAAGAATCACTTGAACTCGGGAAGCGGAGGTTGCAGTGAGCTGAGATCACACCACTGCACTCCAGCCTGAGTGAGAGAGCAAGACTATGTTTCAAAAAAAAAAAAATCACCTTTTGCCGTGTACCATGCAACATATTTAGTTCTGAGGATTAGAACATGGACATTTTTGGAATGCTGTTACTCTGCCTACCACACTACACATAGCCAGTCATCCCTGCCACCACAGCATGTATATAGGCCCATTAAACAAGAACCAGGGTAGCTGGGAATAGAAGTTGCCATCTACAGGATGGGTCATCTTGTCCACCTGATTACTGAGGGCTTCTCCACAATAGATGCCCTTTCAGGGTACTTGCGTGTGTTAAAATTAGCTTCACCACCTCTGCCCATTTCAAGCAGCCCATCCGTATTTCTCTCCCTTACACCTGCTCATCACCAATCTCTCAGTCTTGTGATTTGTAAGCCCCCAGCCAGCCCCTGACTTGTTAGCCACTGCTCATGAGCCAGTGTGGATCTGCCTCTCAGGTCATCTTTCCTTCCGTGCAAGTGGATAATCCACACAGCCAGAGGTTCTGCTTGCTGGGACAGAACCTTCATCGCTGTCCTGCAGGGACACCCTGAGTGTGGCTATAATGCAGTAGCTGTCTCTTTGTAGTTGTGCTGAGGTACCATGCAGACTCATTTAGAAATCATGTCTGTGCTTTTTCCGCTGTGTTAACTGGTCATAGCAACTTCACCAAGTGTGGGTAGAGAAAGAAACAGTGAAGCAATAAGGGTAGGTATCCCGGGAATTTGAACCACCCGCTCATGCACTTTCTTTGTGCCTTCTGGACTTGCTCAGACCTGATCTTATATATACTATTCAGTAATAGAATGCCATTCCTAGTGCTGGCAACTGGTTGACAGAGGGAGAGAAAAGAAAAAGAATAGAACACTACCATGCATGTCCAATCTTACAATCAGGTGGATCAGATCACATCTACTTCTGGTGGCGTGGGTCACTTGGTGTCCCACAGTCAGGCATTCCACCTTCACCGTGTCTGGTTGTGAACCAGGAGCTGTTTTTTTTATTTTTTTGAGACAGTCTCGCTCTGTCACCCAGGCTGGAGTGCAATGGCGTGATCTTGGCTCACTGCAACCTCTGCCACCTGGGTTCAAGCGATTCTCCTGCCTCAACCTCCTGAGTAGCTGGGACTACAGGCACCCACCATCATATCTGGCTAATTTTTGTATTTTTAGTAGAGACGGGGTTTCACCACGTTGGCCAGGTTGGTCTTGAACTCCTGATCTCAGGTGATCTACCCACCTCGACCTCCCAAAGTGCTGGGATTTCAGGTGTGAGCCACTGCACCTGGCCGGGAACTGTTTTTTGTTTTGTTTTGAGACAGAGTCTCGCTCTGTCACCCAGGCTGGAGTGCAGTGGCGCTATCTTGGCTCACTGCAAGCTCCGCCTCCCGAGTTCATGCCAGTCTCCTGCCTCAGCCTCCCAAGTAGCTGGGACTACAGGCGTCCGCCACCACGCCCGGCTAATTTTTTGTATTTTTAGTAGAGACAGGGTTTCATCGTGTTAACCAAGATGGTCTCGATCTCCTGACCTCATGATCCACCCGCCTCAGCCTCCCAAAGTGCTGGGATTACAGGCGTGAGCCACCGCGCCCGGCTGGGAACTGTTTTTTTAAACGGTGACTAGTTATTGGTAGAAGACAGCATGACTTAATCCCAAACCTAATGGTCAGTAACTGTACTGTGATTCTCCTGTTGGAGCTTTTCCATACAGCATCATCTGCTACAGTCACTTCCAAGTCATAAGCTCATGTGATGGAGCTTGCTCTGCAGCCTGGACCTGCTTCAGAGCTTTACCTTGCTCCACGCCTCACTCAAAACTTACAGTCTTATGGGTTTTGCAGTAAATGGGTAGAGCAGCACAGCTGAATGTGATATATGTTGGCTCAAAAATCCAGAGTCCCATAAAAGATTTTGCCTCCTTATTTGTAGTGGGCAGTATAAGGTGCAGCAACTTGTCTCTCCTTTTATAGGAAATATCCTGACATGCCATGGCCCCCACCACTGGATCTTCTAGAAACTTCACTGACATGGCATGTCACTGAATTTTTGTGGAGTGTACCCCCTTCAGTTGGCATAAAGTATTTTACTAAGAAACTAGAGTGCTTGCAATGGCCTGCTTACTGGGGCCAATTACCGTAATGTCATCAATGCAGTGGGCCAGCCTAATGTTCTGAACTATGTCAAGATGATCAGTGACCCTTTGGACTAGATTATGATTGACATTGTGAGAGCTGGCAAAGCCCCGAGGCAACAGAGTGAAGGTGTACGGCTGTCCCTGCTACACCAAGGCACACTATTTCCAACTATCTTTACTTGGTGAAATAGAAAAGAAAGCATTTGGGGATCAAATGCCACCAGGCCGGGGGCCGTGCTGATTTGTTCCATTAACAATCTCATGTTTGGGACCACAGCTGCAACCGGCATTGCACCTAACTTTTTTCGGGGGGGGGGTGCTTTTATTTGAGATGTAGTCCCTATCACCCCTTGGGACACCATGATTAGCCATGGTGCTGATCCATGAGGGTCGCTCCTTCCCTGGGCTTTATCGTAAAGAACCTGGTCTCCAAGGTTAATTGGCACCCTCGGGCCTCCCCCACGGCTGGGTCTGAATGTGGTATAGGTTGCCTCAAAAATCCAGAGTCCCATCAAAGATTTTGCCTCTTTCTTTGTAGTGCGCAGTCTAAGGCTCAGCAACTTGTCTCTTCTTTTAGAGGAGCTACCCTGACGTGCCCCAGACCACTGGGTCTCCTAGAAACTTCCTTGATATGAAGTCCATTGAGTCAGGAAAGCAAGAAGCCAGATTGCATTTGGCATGTCCTACATTATCTCCAGCCTATAGAGGAGAACTAACGTAGAGCTTTTGGGAACTGTGGTGAAGGGGTGCCCTTCTCCCTCTGCCTCCCTCCACAGCTTGCCAGGGAAGTGCCAGCATCTCAGCTTCTCTGTAGGCCACGACTGGATCCAGGTTGCAATTCACCAGCTCAGACTGGTAATCCCACTCCAGGTACTCAAGCCAACACAACCCCCAGTGCTGGGTGCACACCTGTGTCACTCATTTGGCCTGATCTAATCTTTTTTTTTTTTTTTTAAGAGACAAGGTCTTGCTATGTTGCCCAGTCTGGTCTCGAACTCCTGGGCTCAAGCGATCCATCTGCCTCAGCCTCCCAAAGTGCCGGGATTACAGGCATGAGCCACCATGCCCGGCCTAATCTCATATTTTGTCTTCCTTAATCTACCACCCTTGGATGCAACCCAGACTCCTGCCAATACAAATTGTCAAAGTTCTGCAACTCCTTTAATGTATAAACTCTCTCCTCCTGGGATACACCTTGTCCTTTTCTTGACTGGGCTCTATGGGGATATAATTCTCATTATAGGCCTGGAGGAAACGAGAGGTGATGGGGGTGTATCCTGGGGTGCATCTTCCCTGGTGAGGCAACCACTTCAAGTGAAGTCACTGAAAGATTTCTGTGCTGGGAAAGACCAGTTTTCTCAGACTGAAGACAAGGGGTGCTGCCTTTACCAACAGGGAAGATTCAGGAGGTGCTGGTGTTCAAAGTTCTATCCAAATGTCCCCATCTTGGGATCTGTTCCTTCTTAACCAGTGCCCTTCCCTTAGCAGAAGAGACTGAGCGAGGTTGTGCACTTAATTGGCTCCGCGACTCTGTGATCCTCACAGTCAGAGCCTGAGCTTGGTTCTCAGCCCCATCTGCCCTGTGGCTGGCAGAGACCAAAGATACTTTCAGAGCCACCCTAGGGCCTTTCGGAATCTCCAGCCTTGCACTGAGTCGGGAATTCAAGGCTTTCAGTCTGTTCCTTTGTGTGTGTTTCTAGGGCAGTCAAATGTACAGTCAGAAGCCCACGCCACAGTCTTTGTCACTATTTCTTAGTCATTATTGTCGTCATATTGACTAAATGCCATAGCCACTTGATCTCCCAACATCAAGCCACCACTGGTCATAAAGTAACTAACTGTGATGCCACTGTGTGCCATAGATGACCATTGTCCATTACCCCATGTCAAGGAGGCTATTCACGCACTAATCAAGAAGCATGAGCAACCCAACCCCAGAATCCCTTCCAAGGATCTGTCTCCCAGAGCTATTCTGGTACCAATTATTGCAGCAATCAGGGCCCTGGGTGGAAACAGATGGCACATTCAAAGGGGTATTGTGGGTTTGATGAAGGGACTCTTACAAAGTGCTGGGCAGAGTTAAAGGAACCAAGAAAGGCTGGTGAAGCCTGAAGGGTCTGCAGCAGCAGGAAGCTCTTACCAGCCGGGGAGCAGGGAAGGTCCTGGAATCTGGTGAGAGCTGGAGCCTGGGGAGAGGTCAGCCTCTAGGCCCAGCGCAGAATGGAGAAAGGTGAAGAGGGCACCTGGACTGGCAGGAGGAACATATGACCCAACACCCATTTTACAGATAAGAAAACTGGGCTGGGTGCAGTGACTCACACCTGTAATCCCAGCACTTTGGGAGGCCGAGGCAGGCAGATCACTTGAGGTCAGGAGTTTGAGACCAGCTTGGCCAACATGGTGAAACCTGTCTTTACTAAAAATACAAAAATTAGCTGGGGCGCATGCCTGTAATCCCACCTACTCAAGAGGCTGAGGCAGGAGAATTGCTTGAACCCAGGAGGCGGAGGTTGCGGTGAGCCAAGGTCGTGCCACTGCACTCCAGTCTGGGTGACAAGAGTGAGACTCTCAAAGAAAACTGAGGCTCAGCTGCCCCATGCAATTTGACAGATAGGTCCAGAGCACCTGCTGTGTGTGTGTGTGTGTGTGTGTGTGTGTGTGTGTGTGTGTGTGTGTTGTGTGGCGGGGGGTGGTGTGTGTCTGTGGTGTGAGGTATGTGTGGGGTGTGTGTTTGGTGTGTGGTGTGTGGTTGTGTGTGTGGTGTTTGGTACGTGAGGTGTGTGTGTGGTGTGTGGTGTCTATGGGTGTTGTGTATGCTGTGTGTGTGTGTGGTGTGTGTGGATGTGGTGTGTGTGGTGTGATATGTGGGGTGTGTGGTGTGTGTGGGATAGGCGGTGTCTCTGTGTGTGATGTGTGTGGTGTGCAGGGTGTGTATGGGGTGTGTGGGGTGTGTGTATGTGTGTAGTGTGTGGTGTGTGTGGTATGTGGGATGTGTGGTGTGTAGTGTGTGTGGTGTGGTGTATGGATGTGGTGTGTGTGGTGTCTGTGTGTGTGGTATGTGGGGTATGTGGTATGTGTGTGGTGTGTATGTGTGGTGCAGTGTGTGGGCTGTGTGGTATGTGGTGTGTGTGTGGTGTGGTGTGTGTGATCTTTGTGGTGTGTGGGGGTGGTGTGTGAGGTGTATGTGGTGTGTGATGTGTGTGTGGTATGGTGTGTGTTGTGGTTGGCAGAATTGTAAGATGGCCTCCAAGATTCCTGCCTTTTGTTGTACAAGACATGTATAATCCCCTCCCCTTGACGGTATACAGGCAGAACCTGTATGGTGGGATATTGCTGTGATTAGGTTACATTATATAGCAAAGGTGAATATTGCAAATATAATTAAGGCCCCTAATCAGTTGACTTTGAATTAATCAGAAGAAACTCATCTTGGTGGGCCTGACCTAATCAGGTGAGCCTTTTACAGAGCGCTTTACTGCTGGCCTTGAAGGAGCAAACTGTCCTCTTGTGAAGGGGGTCACATGTCAGTGAGCAACTGGTGGCCTCTAGGAGCTACGAATGGCCCCTGTTGGCAGCCAGCAAGAAAGTAGAAACCTCAGTCCTCCAATTGCAGGAAACTGAATTCTGCAACAACCAATAAGCTTGGAAGATGACCCTGAGCCCCAGCTGGGGTCACAGTCTGGGCTAGTTCCTTGATTTCAGCCTGGTAAGATGCTAAGCAGAGGACTCAAAACATGCTGGGCTTCTGACCCACAGAAACTGTGACACAATAAATGTGTTTTTTGTTTGTTTGTTTGTTTGTTTGTTTGTTTTTGACGGAGTCTCGTTCTGTCACCCAGGCTGGAGTGCAATGGCACAATCTCGGCTTACTGCAACTTCCACCTCCTGGGTTCAAGAGATTCTCCTGCCTCAGCCTCCCAAGTAGCTGGGATTACAGGTGCGCGCCACCACACCTGGCTAATTTTTGTATTTTTAGTAGAGACGGTTTCGCCATGTTGACCAGGGTGGTCTCAAACTCCTGACCTCAGGTGATCTACCCACCTCAGCCTCCCAAAGTACTGAGATTACAGGCATGAGCCACCACGCCTGGCAAATGTGTGTTCTTTTAAGCCACTAAGTTTGTGGTAATGTATTACACAGCAATAGAAAACTAATACAGCCATTAGTTTACTTTTGTTTTGTTTGTGTGTGTGTTGGGGGTGGAGAGTGGATATTAGAAATGTTTTTAAAGTGGTGGGAAATGACCCAGTAGAGAAGGAAACACTTTGATAAAGTAAAAGAGGTAGAGATTCAGAATCAAGACATTCTGAGGCCAGGCACAGTGGCTCACATCTGTAATCCCAGCACTTTGGGAGGCTGAAGCAGGAGGAGCTCTTGAGTCCAGGAGTTCAAGACAAGCCTGGGCAACATAGAGACACTGTGTCTCTACAAAAAACAAAAGACAAAAAAACATAGCCAGGCATGGGTGGTGGCCCATGCCTGTGGCCCCAGCTAGTCAGGAGGCTGAGGTGGGAGGGTCGCTTCGCCCAGGAGATTGAGGCATGATTGCACCACTGCACTCCAGTCTTGGTGACAGAGCGAGACCCTGTCTTAAAAAGAAGGAGAAGGAGGAAAAGAAGGAGAAGAAAGAGAAGAAGGGGAAGAAGAAGGAGGAGAAGAAGAAAAGAAGAAAGAAGAGAGAGAAAAAAAAGACACCCTTGAGAGAAGTAGGGACAACATCTCCAAAGTAGGAAGAAGCAGATGGGTTTGCAGATTTTGTGGAGGAAAGATGAAAAGGTGTCTGTGTGACTGAAGGCATTAATTCTCTCAATAAATAGTCAGGCAAGGTTACCAAATCAAATGAGAATGAATCTAGAAAGGGAAATAGGAAATTTGAAGAAAGAGGAAAAGAAGTGAAATAGTTACCTTGAGAAAGAGGAGAAGAAAGAAACTGTTCGTGTTAGAAAAACAGTAGAGTTTTCCGTGTCGAGTCCCTTTGATGTTTGAGAACAGTGGCACTGCTCAGCTCAGCTGTACGAATTTGTCAGTGATCTTCAGATACTTGAGTGCAGGCACCAAGACAGATGGGTTTTGCCAGGCAAATAAGATGAAGTCAAAGAGGGGTTATGGAGTTCCAGGTATTGGCAAAGAGATAGTGATAATGATAAACCATAGACCCTAGAAGAGACCCAAAGAGAGGTTAAGACTGGAGGAAGTTGAGAACTAGGATTAATGTACTGGACATATCCCTGGACGGGAGCATTATTAAATGGGTCTCTGTTAGTTGGGGATGAGGCTAAGGTGCTGTCACAAAGCTGTCCCCAAATACAGCAGCTTCACATAAGTGTTTTTTTCTCATGTAACGATCCTGAGATAAGTGGTCCAGGTTGTTGGGGCCACTGTGTGCCCTGCTGTCATTCAATGCCAGGTTCCTTCCATCTCATTGCTCCTCTGACATCCCCTAAGGTGTCCTCCTAATTTTCATGGTCAAACCATGGTCCGTGTTTAAACCACGGGAAGGAAATGAGCATGAAGGAGAAGGCACCTAAATTCTAAAGCCTGTAGTTGGAGGTGACACACATCAATTCTGCTCACATCCATTGCCAATAACTTATGACATAGCCCCACCCAGCTGCAGGGAGGCTGGGAACTGTAGTCTCTAGGTGGGCAGCTAAGTAACTCTACTGTTTATACAAAAGAAAGAGAGAATAGATTTTGGTGGACACCAAGCAGTCTTTGCCATAAAGGGTATTTTAGCAAATGAGCATGATAATTGCAATATGTTATCTTGTAAATTTATTTAATAATTCCCCTGTTTTGAACACATTTGCCTATTATAACATTTTACCTATTATAACTAGTTTGCCAATTGACATCTCAGTACATAAGCTTTAGGGAGTACAGTTTCTGGTAAACATCTTCCTAAAAACATCTTCCTGAAAATCAATGACCAGCTAATAATGAAATCACCAGTCAAACGTAAGTGAAATGAGAGGTAAGCCTGTTTTTTCCTGAGATCATTTGCTAGCCAGGTATACAGGGGCTTCAGGTTGGGTGGTCTCACAAAGTCCAGAACTTAACCAAGAAGGAGAATCTGATATGAGACCCCAAAGTGTCATACTCTCAGAGTAAGGGTGAACCAGAAGAAACCAATCCCCCACCCCCAGGGGCCTGCAAGGAAATATGCCCTGGTGCCACAAAGAGCAGGAAGAAGACAATCAGATATCTGAGAAGTTGCATCCTGACACTACCCCTTATGCAGAATCGCACAAGAAACTCACATCACCTCCCATGCTCTACACATCTTCAAACTGTGAATTCAGTTGAAAATGACCTCGGGCTTGTAATGCCCCTAGTACCTGATAGAAGCAAATGCAAATGTTCTCTGAAGGAATGCACCATCATCCTCAGCCTCAAGATTTCAATAAATTATGTGTTTTAAAAATGCAAACTGGGCTTTTAAGAGACAGGGTCGGGGCTGGGCCTGGTGGCTCACGCCTGTAATCCCAGCACTTTGGGAGGCCAAGGCTGGTGGATCACCTGAAGTCAGGAGTTCAAGACCAGCCTGACCAACATGGAGAAACTCCGTCTCTACTAAAAATACAAAATTAGCCGGGCATGGTGGCACATGCCTGTAATCGCAGCTACTCGGGAGGCTGAGGCAGGAGAATCGCTTGATCCTGGGAGGCGGAGGTTGCGGTGAGCCAAGATCGCGCCATTGCACTGCAGCCTGGGCAAAAAGAGCAAAACTCCGTCTCAAAAAAAAAAAAAAAAAGAGAGAGACAGGGTCGGCTGGGTGCAGTGGCTCACGCCTGTAATCCTAGCACTCTGGGAGGCTGAGGCGAGTGGATCACAGGGTCAGGAGTTCAAGAGCAGCCTGGCCAAGATGGTGAAACCCCGTCTCTACTAAAAATACAAAAACTAGCTGGGCGTGGTGGCGGGAGCCTGGAGTCCCAGCTACTCAGGAAGCTGAGGCAGGAGAATCGCTTGAACCTGGGGGGCAGAGGCTGCAGTGAGCCAGGATCAAGCCACTGTACTCCAGCCTGGGAGACAGAGCAAGACTCCGTCTCAAAAAAAAGAAAAGTGAACTGTTAACCACGCAAACAAGGGAATAAGGTACCATGAGAGACCATAAAAGGCAGATATTTTTAAGTATGTTAAAATTCAGAGACCCCATAAAGAGAATGAAAAAATGAGGCATAACATGGAATAATACTTGAACTCATAAAACTAATAAAGAAGTTCTATCCAGAATATATAAAGTACTCCTACAAATCAATAAGAAAAAGACAAATCCAACTGGGCGCGGTGGCTCAGGCCTATAAATCCCAGCACTTTGGGAGGCTGAGGCAGGCAGATCACGAGGTCAGGAGATCGAGACCAGCCTGGCCAACATGGTGAAACTTCATCTCTACTAAAAATATGAAAACTAGCTGGGCGTGGTGGCGCATAGGCTGTAATCCCAGCTACTCAGGAGGCTGAGGCAGGAGAATCACTTGAACCAGGGAGTCGGAGGTTGCAGTGAGCCGAGATCACAGCACTGCACTCCAGCCTGGCGACAGAGCAAGACTCCATCTCAAAAAAAAGAGAAAAAGACAAATCCACTGATAGAAAAATAGACAAATTGGCACACCTGTAATTCCCAACAGTTTGGGAGGCTGAGGCCTACAGATCACTTGAACCCGGGAGTTCAAAACCAGCCTGGGCAAAATGGTGAGACCCCCATCTCTACAAAATACACAAAGATTAGCCAGGTGTGATGGCATAAGCCTATAGTTCAAGCTATTCAGGAGGCTGAGGTGGGAGGATGGCTTGAGTCTGGGAGGTCAAGGCTGCAGTGAGCTGAGATCATGCCACTGCACTCCAACCTGGGCGACAGAGCAAGATTCTGTCTCAATTTAAAAAAAAAAGAGAAGAAAAATAAATACATATAATAGGCATGTGACAGAAAAAGAAAATTCAAATGGCTAATAAATATATGGAAAAGTGCTTCACTCCATAAATAAGCAGGGAAATGCAAAAACTGTAATGAAATACCATGATACATGTGCCAGTTAGGAAAATTCAAAAGCCTGGCAATGTCAAATAGTGGCGAGGACGTGGTGCAGCACGGCCTCTCATATGCTGCTGGCGTATATCAGTATAACGACCTCCCGGGAGAGTTTGGCATTTTCCAGTAAAGTAGTATAAATACTCAGGCCCTAAGACTCAGAAACAGGACAGGAAAAATCCCCTAAGAAGTGTATGCACTATGTACCAGAAAACATGTCCACAAATGTTCAGAGTAGAATTGTTTATGTACACTCAAAGTGAAATAATTCAAATGCCTGTCAATAGTAAAGTGGTCCCTGCACTTTGGGAGGCCAAGGTGAGCAGATCACTTGAGCCTAGGAGTTCGAGACCAGCCTGGGCAATATGGCAAGACCTCTGTTTCTACAAAAAATACAAAAATTAGCCAGGCATAGTGGCACATGCCTGTAGTCCCGGCTACTCGGGAGGCTAAGTCAAGAGGATCACTTGAGCCCTGGAGGTTGAGGCTGCAATGAGCCAAGATCACATCCAGCCTGGGCAACAGAGTGAGACTCCATCTCCACAAAAAAAAAAAAAAAAAAAAAAAAAAAAATATATATATATATATATATACAGTAAAGTGGATAATTTTTATAATCATACTATGGAATATTAAACAGCAATGAAAACAAACAAACTAGAACTTCACAATAACATATATTGATGGTGTAAATCCAATGGTGAACAAAAGAAGCAAACACAAGAGATCTACAGGGAATGATTCCATTTACATAAAGTTCAAGAAGAGAAAAATCTAAATTATATTGTATAGGGATGGATAAACTAGAAAGAACCATAAAACTATACTGGCAGACAGAGATTATCATAAAAATACAAGGATGATTACCCTTAAGAGGAAAGGAGGGATGTGATTGAGAAGGGGCACGTGGGGATTCCTGTGGTGCTGGAATTATTTCCGTTTCTTGAGTCGGGTGGTGAATACACAGATGTTTATTTTATAATTACACATTATGCACTTCTAATTTATGTACCTTTCTGTTTGTGAGCTATATTTTATAGTTAAGCTTTTAAACAGAAAGAAGTTATTATGAATAGCTTTATGCTAATATATTTAAAGATTTAGGCAAAATGGGCCAGATGCAGTGGCTCACGCCTGTAATCTCAGCACTTTGGGAGGCTGAGGCGGGTGGATCACTTGAGGTCAGGAGCTTGAGACCAGCCTGGCCAACATGGTGAAACACTGTCTCTACTAAAAATACAAAAATTAGCCAGGCATGGTGGTGGGCACCTGTAATTCCACCTATTGGGGAGGCTGAGGCAGGAGAATCACTTGAACCAGGGAGGTGGAGGTTGCAGTGAGCCAAGATTGTACCACTGCACTCCAGCCTGGGCAACAGAGCAAAACTCCATCTCAAAAAAAAAAAAAAAATAGGCAAAATGAACAAATTTCTGGAAAACTATTACTCTCCAAAACTGAATCAAACAGAAATAAAATACCTGAATAGTTCTATAACTAGTTGCACTAGTTAGCTATTGCTGTGTAACAAATTACCACAAACTCAGCTGCTTAAAAACACACATTTGCAGCCAGGCACAGTGGCTCACACCTGTAATCCCAGCACTTTGGGAGGCCAAGGTGGGTGGATCACAAGGTCAGGAGATCGAGACCATCCTGGCTAACATGGTGAAACCCCATCTCTACTAAAAGTACAAAAAATTAGCCAGGTGTGGTGGTGGGCGCCTGTAGTCCCAGCTACTTGGGAGGCTGAGGCAGGAGAATCGCTTGAACCTAGGAGGAGGAGGTTGCAGTGAGCCAAGATCACACCACTACACTCCAGCCTGGGTGACAGAGTGAGACTCCATCTCAAAAAAACAAAAACAAAAAAAAGGCACACATTTACACATTTACTACCTGATGGTTTCTGTGGGTTAGGAGTCCTGGCATGGCTTAGCTGGGTCAAAGTCTCTCACAGGGTTGCAGTTGTTGGCCAGGGCTGGGGTGTCATCTGAAGACTCAACTGGGGAAAGACCCATGTCCAAATTCACACAGTTGTTGGCAGCATCCAGTTATTAAAGGGTTGTTGCACCATGGGCCTCAGTTCCTAGCTGGCTATTGGCCAGAGGACACCCTCTGTTTCTTGCTGGATGGACCTCTCCAATACAGCCACTTGCTTCATCAAAGTGTGCAAAGAGGCAACAGAAACCTGGGCAACATAGTGGGACCCCATCTCTACAACATTTTTTTTTTTTTAGATGGAGTCTCGCTCTGTCGCCCAGGCTGGAGTGCAGTGGCATGATCTTGGCTCACTGCAAGCTCCGCCTCCTGGGTTCACGCCATTCTCCTGCCTCAGCCTCCTGAGTAGCTGGGACTACAGGCGCCTGCCACCACGCCCAGCTAATTTTTTTGTATTTTTAGTAGAGACGGGGTTTCACCACGTTAGCCAGGATGGTCTCGATCTCCCGACCTCATGATCTGCCCATCTCGGCCTCCCAAAGTGCTGGGATTACAGGCGTGAGCCGCTGGGCCTGGCCACAACATTTTTTTTTTAATTAGCTGGGCATGGTGGCTTGTGCCTGTAGTCCCAGCTAACTTGGGAGGCTAAGGTGGGAGGATCACCTGAGCCCGGGAGGTCGAGGCTGCAGTGAACCATGATCGCACCACTGCACTCCAGCCTGAACGACAGAGGCACTGTCAAAAAAAAAAGGCAATAGGGAGAGGCTGCTAGCAAGACAAAAGTTACTATCTTATGTAATCTAATCATGGAAGTGACATTGCATTACCTTTGCCATATTCTATTGGTTAGAAACAAATCACTTATCCCGCTGGGCGAGGTGGCTCATGCCTGTAATCCCAGCACTTTGGGAGGCTGAGGCGGGCAGATCACCTGAGGTCAGGAGTTCGAGACTAGCCTGCCCAACAAGGCGAAACCCTGTCTCCACTAAAAATACAAAAAATTAGCTGGGCGTGGTGGTGGGTGCCTGTAATCCCAGCTACTTGGAAGGCTGAGGCAAGAGAATCACTTGAACCCAGGAGGCAGAGGTTGCAGTGAGCTGAGATCAAGCCACTGCACTCCAGCCTGGGCAATAAGGGGGAAACTGTCTCAAAAAAAAAAAAAGAAAGAAAGGGCTGGGCGCGGTGGCTCATGCCTGTAATCCCAGCACTTTGGGAGGCCGAGGCAGGCGGATCATCTGAGGTCAGGAGTTCAAGACCAGCCTGACCAACATGGAGAAATCCCGTCTCTAATAAAAGTACAAAATTAGCCGGGCGTGGTGGTGCATGCCTGTAATCCCAGCTACTCGGGAGGCTGAGGCAGGAGAATCGCTTGAACCTGGGAGGCAGAGGTTGCGGTGAGCCGAGATCATGCCATTGCACTCCAGCCTGGGCAACAAGAGTAAAACTCCGTCTCAAAAAAAAAAAAAAAAAGGAAGAAAGAAAGAAAAAGAAACAAATCACTCATCCCACCCACACTCAAGGGTGGGGGATTATATAAAGCGTTGATAACAAGAGGCAGCGATCACTGGGGGTCATGGAGTCTGCCCACCTTGTGAGTAAAGGAATTGAATCAGTAGTCAAATATCTTCCCGTAAAGAAAACTCCACCCATGCCTGCTCAGTTCTGCCAAGTGTTAAAGTAACAATTCTGATCTTACATAAATCTTTGTCCTCATTTCCAATTATTCCCTTAGAACGGGGAAATTAATGAGGCAAAGCTCTTGACAAATGCTGCTGATTTCTTTTCCAGGAATGTTGTACTAATTTACACTCCTACTACGTTCTATACCTAATCTTTCCAACATTATGAAAATTTTCAAACATGAAGAAAAATGGAGATAACTGTACAATAAATGCACATATACTCACCACCTAGATTCTATAGTTGTTAGTATTTTGCTCTATTTGCTTTATCATAGAGCTATCCCTCTATTGATTCATCAACACATTTTTTTTAGTTATTTTCCAGAGATAGGTTTTGCCTCTTCTAGAACTTCATGCAGTAAGTACTCTTTCGTGTCTGCCTTTTTCTTTTTTTCTCTTTTTTTTTTTTTTGAGACGGAGTCTTGCTCTGTCACCCAGGCTGGAGTGTAGTGGCACGATCTTGGCTCACTGCAACCTCCGCCTCCCAGGTTCAAGCGATTCTCCCTGCCTCAGTCTCCCAAGTAGCTGGGATTACAGGCGTGATCCACAGCACCTGGCCCTGCCTTCTTTCACTCATCCCAGTGTTTTTGAGGCTCATCCACACTGCTGTCTGTATAGCAGTCCCTTCTGTTTTGTTGATGAGTGGTATTCTATTGTTTGAGTACAACAAAATTATTATTTTGATGAACACTTGGGCTGTTTCCAATTTTGGACTGTAACAAAGCTGCTATGAACTTTGTACGAATTTTTTTGTGGATATATATTTTCATTTCATTTCATTGCAGGTAAATACCTGCAAGTGGAATTACTGGTCATGCGGTACACGAATATTTAGTTTTATAAGAAACTGCCATTGGGAGGCTGAGGCAGGAGAATCACTTGAGCTCAGAAGTACAAGTACAGCCTTAGCAACATAGCAAAACCCCATTTCTAAAAGAGAAAGAAAGAAAGAAGGAAGGGGAAGGGGAAGAGAAAAAGAAGGGGAGGAGAAGGGAAGAAGGGGATGGGAAGGGAGGGGAGAAAAGAGGAGGGGAAAAAAGGAAAGGAGGGAAGGAAGGAGGAAGGCAGGAAAGAAGGAAGGAAAACTTTTCCTCTTGCCAACAATATATGAGTTTCAGTGGATCCTTGTCTTGGACACACTTGGTGTTGACAGTCTTCATTTTTAGCCATTCCGATGGGTCATTTTATTCCATAGCATCTCATTGGGGTTTTAATTTGCATTTCCTTGATAGCTAATGATATCGAACATTTTGTCTTATATTTATTGGTTATGCACATATCTTTCTTTGTGAAGCGTCTGTTCAAATCTTTCACCCATTTTAAAATTGGGTGTTTGGCTTTTTATTGTTGAGTTTTAGAAATTATTTATATTCTGGCCAGTCACGGTGGCTCATGCCTGTAATGCCAACACTTTGGGAGGCCGAGGTAGGCAGATTACTTGAGGCCAGGAGTTTGAGACCAGCCTGGCCAACATGGCAAAACCCTGTCTCTACTGTTACATTACTTACAAATGACAAAAACCACAATTGCTTTTGCACCAACCTAATAAAAATACAAATATTAGCCAGGCATTGCAGACCACACCTGCAATCCCAGCTAATTGGGAGGCTGAGCCATGAGAATCGCTTAAACCCGGGAGGCAGAGACTGCAGTGAGCTGAGATCATGCCACTGTACTCCAGCCTGGGTGACAGAGCAAGATTGTAAAAAAAAAAGAAAAAAAAAAGAAGTTCTTTATATTCTGGAAACAAATCTTTTGTCAAGCAAAGTGGCTTGTCTAATCATTTTCTCAGTGATGACTTTTTTTTTTTTTTTTTTTTGAGCCAGAGTCTCACTCTGTCACCCAGGCTGGAGTGCAGTGGCACGATCTCAGCTCACTGCAACCTCCGCCTCCTGGGTTCAAGCAATTCCCCTGCCTCAGCCTCCCAAATAGCTAGGATTACAAGATGTGCGCCACCACGCCCAGCTAATTTTTGTATTTTTGGTAGAGACAGGGTTTCACCATGTTGGCCAGGGTGGTCTCGAACTTCTGACCTCAAGCAATCCACCTGCCTCGGCCTCCCAACGTGCTGGGATTACAGGCGTGAGCCACCGTGGCCGGCCTAGTGATGACTTTTGATGATAGAAGTTTGAAATTATGATGAAGTCAAATTTATCATTTTTTAATGGTTATTGCTTTCTGTGTCCAGTCTAAGAAACAGTTGCTGGCCGGGCTCGGTGGCTCATGTCTGTAATCCCAGCATTTTGGGAGGCCGAGGTGGGCAGATCACCTGAGATCAGGAGTTCAAGACCAGCCTGGCCAACAAGGTGAAACCCCGTCTCTTCTAAAATACAAAAATCAGCTGGGTGTGGTGGTGGGCGCCTGTAATCTCAGCTACTCAGGAGGCTGAGGCAGGAGAACAGCTTGAACCCGGAGGTGGAGGTTGCAGTGAGCTGAGATCCCACTATTGTACTCCAGCCTGGGCAACAGAGCAAGACTCCATCTCAAAAAAAAAAAAAAAAAAAAAAGAACAAAAGAAAGAAAGCGTTGCCTACCCCCAGGTTGCTAAGATTTTCTCCGGTTTTCTTCTAGAAGCTGTATGGCTTTAGTTCTACAATTAATTTTGACAACAACTCAAGAATTTGGCAGGGCGCGGTGGCTCATGCCTGTAATCCCAGCACTTTGGGAGGCCGAGGTGGGCGGACCACCTGAGGTCAGGAGTTCAAAACCAGCCTGGCCAACATGGTGAAACCCCATCTCTACTAAAAATATAAAAATTAGCTGGGCATGGTGGCGTGTGCCTGTAATCCCAGCTACTCGGATGCTAAGGCAGGAGAATCACCTGAACTGGGAGGCAGAGGTTGCAGTGAGCTGAGATCACGCCACCGCACAGCCTGGGTCACAGAACGAGACTCTGACTCAAATAATAATAATTAGATGGTGTTTTTCTTTCTTTATAGGGGAGGAAACTAAGGCCATAGAAAGGCTAAGTAACTTGCACTTGGGCACACACATGCACAGCCATGTGCACACACACAATCCTAGTAAGTGATTGTGCTGGAAGCTGGAACAGGAATCCAGGCAGTAGGCTATAGACCCAGGCTCTGACACCACTCGGTGCCACTTCTGAAAGGGGCAGTGGGGCGTCCTCCTCAAGGTAGTAGGGTTCTCTGGAAAGAAGGAACCAGACCAAACTATTATCTAGGGCCAATGGCCCTGTCCTTTCCTACAGAAAGAGAGAGCCAGGCCCCTGGGGCTGGAGAAGGAGGAAAGAAAGGCTGGAAGGACTTGGGGTCATGGGTGACTCCAGGAGGGGTTGGACGAGTCTGGCCAGGCTCCCTCTGACTGCTCCAGGCCAGCCCCCAAGTCCCTCCACAGGCCCCACCAAGGGGCTTCCCATCCTGTTGGTCCCGAGGGCAGTATTTCTCTCCAGCTCTACCTAAGTTCCTTTTGCATTTAGCCAGCACAGGCACTGCAGCTAGAGGATTCATTCAGGACACAGACTTTTATTCAGGAAGAACCTGAACCCTTGTGTGTTTGCCCATCAAGGGTGAGGTTTCTCCACTGACTTCACCACTGGGCATGGGGGAACCAGGACGCATCTCAGATGATCCCACCCCACCCTGGGCTCTTCAGATCCTCCCTATCTCTGCTCAACAGCAGCTTCCATTTCCCTTTGAGACTCAGGGTCACACCATAATGACTCATATTTTATCATCTGTTTTCTCAGTGGTGGTGACAGTCTCAGCTTCCACTTCAGAGGAATCATTTTTTAACCTCCTGATGGATCCAGTCCTCCCCTGAGGACCAAGGATGTGCCACTCCCTGCACTGGCTCCCAGACCCATGGACACTGACTCCAGGAGAAACAGCATCATGTGTTTTTTTGAGACAAGGTCTTGCTCTGTCGCCCAGGTTGGAGTGCAGTGGTGTGATCATGGCTAACTGCAGCCTTGACCTTATAGGCTCGGGTGATCCACCCACCTCAGCTGCCCAAGTACCTGAGACTACAGGTGTGTGCCACTACACCTGGCTAATTTTTTTTTTTTTAGAGACGGGGTCTCACTACATTGCCCAGGCTGGTCTTAAACTCCTGTGCTCAAGCAATCCTCCCACCTTGGCCTCACAAAGTGCTGGGATTTCAGTCACGGAGTCACCACACCCGGCCGTATCACATGTTGTTACTGGCACAGAGCATATGCCCCCTTCTGCAGATCTGCAGGCTTCCAAGGTGGTGTGACTTGGCTGCCAGGGCAGTTCACCATGCAGAGACCACCTAACCCAGGGTCATGGGTATAAGGAAAGTCCAATGAGCCCCACAGGGACCGGCCCACTGTTCATTGTTGTTGTTGTTGTTGTTGGTTTTTTTGTTCTTTATGTTTTTGAGATGGAGTCTCACTCTGTTGCCCAGGCTGGAGTGCAGTGGCATGATCTCGGCTCACTGCAGCCTCCACCTCCCAGGTTCAAGTGATTCTTCTGCCTCAGCCTCCTGAGTAGCTGGGACTACAGGCACCTGCCACCATGCCCAGCTAATTTTTATATTTTTAGTAGAGATGGGGTTTCACCATGTTGGCCAGGCTGATCTTGAACCTCGGACCTCAGGTGATCCACCTGCCTCAGCCTCCCAAAGTGCTGGGATTATAGGCGAGAGCCACTGTGTCTGGCCTGGCCCACTGTTTCACACCTCTGCAGCCTTCACAGAAGCATGAGCTTCTCGGCAGGAGGCAATGTCCTGTAGGACACCCAACAGGTGCCCTTCAGTGAGACCCTGATTGGAAGTGCAGAGGGAGGATGGAAACGCAAGTCCAGCTCGACAACAAGGATCCATCGAAGGAGGACAAATTGCTGTCTTCCATGAAGGAAAATGTTTGTGTAACCAGGCAGTCACCAGCTGGCTGGCTGAGCCACAAGGGCTCAGGTGTGGCCACTCAGAGGTGATGGCAACCAGGTTGGCTTTGGTGAGGGAAGGTCGTACTGGAGAAGCTGGGCAAAACCTCCATGCCTGCCCCCATACCTGCCCCCATGCCTGCCTCCTTACCTGCCTCCATGCCTGCCTCCTTACCTGCCCCCATGCCTGCCCCCATACCTGCCTCCATACCTGCCTCCATGCCTGCCCCCCATGCCTGCCTCCATGCCTGCCTCCGTGCCTGCCCCCATACCTGCCTCCGTGCCTGCCCCCATACCTGCCTCCATGCCTGCCCCCATGCCTGCCCCCATGCCTGCCCCCATACCTGCCTCCGTGCCTGCCTCCGTGCCTGCCCCCGTACCTGCCCCCGTACCTGCCCCCATGCCTGCCCCCATGCCTGCCTCCATGCCTGCCTCCATACCTGCCTCCATACCTGCCTCCGTGCCTGCCCCCTTGCCTGCCCCCTTGCCTGCCCCCGTGCCTGCCCTCATGCCTTCACCCATACCTGCTTCCATGGCCACTTTGTTCGTGGCCCCATTGATTCGTTTCTTGACCAGCTGTGGCTTATGGGAGACTCACAGAACCCAGGACTTCACCACGTAACAGTATGTTCTCCTCTTGGGAAGCAGATGGAATTAACAAACGGTAACTATTAAGCAAGTTACACCAGGAGATAAATTACATATATTGCAACAAGGGGAAAGAAAACATGTGATGTTTGCAAAATTCTTAAGGGAATTTATCCTTGTCCTGGAAAAAAAAAAAAAAAAGCTGGCTTGCTGGTCAACATTTCTATTCGAAAATTAAGGCTCATCGTGCTTCAAGTAAGGTAAGGAAGTCTGGGATGTCACCCTGGATGCCACCTCAAATGAGGTAGAGTCACAAACTAGTGGTGACTAGTTCTGTCCCCAGGGAATAATGATCACATGTTGATTGGCATTATTAGAGCAGGATAATGGACCAGGAAAAACCCTGTAAATGGTCTGTATCCTCTTTTTATTATTATTATTTTATTTTTTTATTTTTTTGAGAAAGTCTTGCTCTGTCACCCAGGCTGGAGTGCAGTGGTGCAATCTCGGCTCACTGCAACCTCCGCCTCCCGAGTTCAAGCGATTCTCCTGCATCCACCTCCTGAGTAGCTGGGATTACAGGCGTGCACTACCACGCTCGGCTAATTTTTGTATTTTTACTAGACACGGGGTTTTGCCATGTTAGCCAGGCTGGTCTCAAACTCCTGACCTCAGGTGATCCACCGGCCTTGGCCTACCAAAGTGCTGGGATTACAGACGTGAGCCACCGCGCCCAGCGTGTATCTCTTATTCTAAAATTTAAGTCTCATTGCAATTGGAAGTATCAAAGGTAAGGCTACATGTGGTTGGGACATCTTCTTGAATTTTGTCCAGGTCCTAATAATAGAGAAAGGGAAGATGGTGACACCCACAGGTGTCACCTGACTGTTAAAAGCCTCTTTTGAGGGGGAGGGCTTTGGTAAACAGTCACTCGGGTCAAGCATTCTCTTGTAATCTGGGCCGTTTCTGAGAGTCCCACCACATAGTTGCTGACCCAGTGCCTCTGTTTCACCAACTTCCCCATCACCCCCTCCCAAGACTGGCCCACCCGGCAAGACCACCAGCCACTGCCCCGGCTGAAGTAGAGCCAGACCTTGGGCCACCTTTCCTTTCACACAAAGTGCAGCTCTTCATACAGGACCCCACGTGCCTGTCAGTGCTTCTGCCCAGGAGCTCCAGTCTTCACCAGTCTTTCTGCTTGCATCTACCCTGGACTGCTGCAGGCACGGGAAGGGCCTCTCCTCCCTCTTGCTGGTGGAGACAGGCAGCAGTGCCTCCGCAACTCATTTCAGGCTGGGGCTGGCTGCTGCGGAACCATCTGTTCCCAGGCTGTGGAGAGAGCTCAGAGTTGTCTGAGGAATGACCTCGAAGGCTCATCCTGGGTTGCCTGGCAACCAGCAAGCTGGGACCAGTGGCTCCCTGTCCATACAGGAGGGGCAGTGCCTGAACTCAGCTTCCCACGGAGGGAGTTGGGAGCCGAGGGAGATGGGAGTGCAGTGCCTCCGTACAGGCCCACGCTCCACCACACAGCTGGCACAAGCTCAAAATATTCATGCCCCACCCCATTGCCTAAGGTCATTCTCACACCCAGCCATGACAAGGGAGAACGTAGAGGGGCTTGCATCCCTGTGCTCCCTGATGCCTCCAGCCTCACACTGGACGCCATGTGCCTGTCACCGCTTCTGCCCAGGAGATCCAGTCTTCACCAATCTTTCTGCTGGCATCCACCCAGGCTGTCTGCCTGGCTCATGCTCGAGTGTTCAGTTGGTCTTAGGGACCTGTGCCCAAGGTATGGGCGG
The DNA here is from genome assembly GCF_000001405.40 of Homo sapiens. Lineage (NCBI taxonomy): Eukaryota > Metazoa > Chordata > Mammalia > Primates > Hominidae > Homo > Homo sapiens. The sequence goes on along the minus strand of NC_000001.11, from coordinate 27,070,807 downwards.
ACGCAGGGGCTTTGGGAAGCTGGAGAAGGGACTCTGGGGAAGGAGCTGCCTGCTGAGAGGCTCAGCTGGGCTTCAGGACATGCCTGCGCTCAGCCCTCACCCACGTGTACTTTCTCCCCTTGATGACAGAAACCGTTGGGCACACCTGACTTTGTGGCAAGGTCAGACAGTGCTCAGCTCTGGTCACATGGTCCCCAGGTGCCGCAAGTCAGGTGTTCCATCTCCCCAGGGCCCAGGAGCTTACCAAAGGCATGAGCTGTTTCTCAGGAGAACCATGGTTTACAGAAGGGGGCGCAGCTTTGCACTAAAATCCTGGCTCCTGAGCTGAGATTGGCTTCCTGGGGCTGGTCCCAGGCTCCATAAGGGTAGCTCGATGTGCTGTAGACACTGGTAGCCTCAGATGATTCCAGCAAGCTTTGGAGTGAGCGCTGTGTGTGAGGGCAGGGTTACGAAGGCTGGGTCATCCTCACCATCCAGGGCCCTGGGGACAGGGCTACCTCCTCAGGGAGGGCTGCCCAGAGCCTGCCTCAGGGGATGGACACAGATGACCTGAGGCCCTGGGTGCTTGACCCCTGCCCTCCACCCTCACTGCCTCCCCCAAGTCCCCTGATCTCCACCTGCCTTCAGTTCACCCAAGGGTTCGGAATGGACTCCTGATTTTCTTAAGAGTTACATGAGGACACAGAATGAAGCCCTGTGGTCTCCAACTTGAGTGTGCCTTGAAGTCCTCTGCATGGAGAACGTGGTTAAAGGAGAACTGCCCAGGTCCCAGCTCTAGAGAGTCTAATTCAGCAGAGCTGAGTGGTATACCAGAATAGACATTTTATTTTATTTATTTTTTTTAGAGACAGGGTCTACTTCTGTCACCCAGGCTGGAATGCAGTGGCACTCACTTCAACCCCAAACTCCTGGGCTCAAGTGATCCTCCTGCCTCAGCCTCCCGAGTAGCTGGGACTGTAGAGAGGTGTGCGCCACCATGCCTAGCTAATTAAAAAATTTGTGTAGGGGCTGGACATAGTGGCTTACTCCTGTAATCCCAGCACTCTGGGAGGCCAAAGCAGACAGATCACTTGAGGTCAGGAGTTCGAGACCAGCCTGGCCAACATGGTGAAACCCCGTCTCTACTAAAAATACAAAAAAAGGCTGGGCGCAGTGGTTCATGCCTGTAATCCCAGCACTTTGGGAGACCGAGGTGGGTGGATCACGAGGTCAGGAGATCAAGACCAGCCTGGCCAAGATGGTGAAACCTCATCACTACTAAAAATACAAAAATTAGCTGGGCGTGGTGGCGGGTGTCTATAATCCCAGCTACTTGGGAGGCTGAGGCAGAGAACTGCTTGAACCCAGGAGGTGAAGGTTGTAGTGAGCCGAGATCACGCCACTGCACTCCAGCCTGGACGACAGAGCAAGACTCCGTCTCAAAAAAAACAAATGAACAACAACGAAAAAAAGTAGCCAAGCATGTGGTGGCGTGCATCTGTAATCATAGCTACTTGGGAGGCTGAGGCAGGAGAATCACTTGAACCTGGGAGGTGGAGATTGCAGTGAGCTGAGATGGCGCCACTGCACTCCAGCCTGGGCGACAGCCAGACTCTGTCTTAAAAAAAAAAAAAAATTCTTTTGTAGAGATGGGATCTTGCTATGTTGCCCAGCCTGGTCTCAAACTGCCAGGCTCAAGTGAGCCTCCCTCCTCAGCCTCCCAAAGTGCTAGGATGATAGATGTGAGCCACTGCACCTGGCCTATAATCTGTGTTTTAAACACGCTTCTCACCGTGATTCTGATTCAGGTAGTCACCCATCAACACTTTAAGAAACACTGGTGGAGTTTCTCAGGGTCAGGCAAGCCTGGGTCTAAATCCAAGTTCTACTCCAGCATTAATCTGGATTCATTTCAGCTACGAATGATGGATACCTGAATAACAGAAGCCTAAATGTGATAGAATTTTGTTGCTCTCATTTAAATTTTATTCTCTCTAGGAATACAGTCCAGGCTGGCACAGTGATGCCACAATCATTAGGGACCTAGACTTTTTCTGTCTTGTTGCTCCCAAATTCTCTGCATTTGTCTTTTGTCTCATGGCCCAAAATAGCTGCTCCAGCTCGAGCCATCATGCCTACATTTCATGCAGCAGGAAAGAAGAAAGGGGAGGAGAAAGACACATTGCCTCCGTTTAAGGGCAGTTCTTGAAAGTTGCATATGCCACTTCTACGTGCCAGAACTTAGTTATTTTGGCTAGAGCTACTGCAAGGGAGGTGGGAAAATGTAGAGATGTATTTAATTTTTTGTAAATAGTGACTTAAGGCACACAAAGAGTGTCTAAAGAAGCTGAAACAGGCTGGGCACAGTGGCTCACACCTGTAATCCCAGCACTTCGGGAGGCCGAGGCAGGTGGATCACCTGAGGTCAGGAGTTCGAGACCAGCTTGACCAACAGGGTGAAACCCCGTCTCTACTAAAAATACAAAAATTAGCCAGGCGTGGTGGCTAACGCCTGTAATCCCAGCCACTTGGGAGGCTGAGGCAGGAGAATCGCTTGAACCCGGGAGGCGGAGGTTGCAGTGAGCCGAGATCGTGCCATTGTACTCCAGCCTGGGCAACAAGAGCGAAACTCTGTCTCAAAAAAAAAGAAAGGCCAGGTGCGGTAGCTCACGCCTGTAATGCCAGCACTTTGGGAAACCGAGGCAGACGGATCACGAGGTCAGGAGATCGAGACCATCCTGGCTAACACGGTGAAACCCCATCTCTACTAAAAATACAAAAAAATTAGCCGGGCATGGTGATGGGCACCTGTAGTCCCAGCTACTCGGGTGGCTGAGGCAGCCGAATGGCGTGAACCCGGGAGGCGGAGCTTGCAGTGAGCCGAGATGGCGCCACTGCACTCCAGCCTGGGTGACAGAGCAAGACTCCGTCTCAAAAAAAAAAAAAAAAAAGGAAGCTGAAACAGAGAAAAACAGAGAAACAGAGAGAGGGAGAAGATGGTGCAAGCTAAACATAAAATCGGCTAACCTCAGTTGTGTACTTCCTGAGTGCCAGTTACAGTTCTAAGCCTAATTCCTCCCACAGTTCTGTGAGGTTGGACCTACTATTTTTTTTTTTTTTTTTTTTGAGATGGAGTCTCGCTGTATCACCCAGGCTGGAGTACAGTGGCGCGATCTCAGCTCACTGCAACCTCTGCCTCCCTGGTTCAAGCAATTCTCCTGCCTTAGCCTCCTGAGTAGTTGGGGTTACAGGCATGCGCCACCACAACCAGCTAGTTTTTTGTATTTTTAGTAGAGACAGGGTTTCGCCCTGTTGGTCAGGCTGGTCTTGAACTCTTGACCTCGTGGTCTGCCCACCTCGGCCTCCCAAAGTGCTGGGATTACAGGCATGAGCCACCGTGCCCAGCCTGGTCCTACTATTTCTTATCTTCTGGAACAGGGACACACACAACCCACCCCTGAACCCAAACTACACAGATTGAAACATGAGCTTTGCCTGCTTACTACCTGCATGACTCTGAGCAAGTTCTTTGCTAATGAAAGGGAATGTGGTGGGGCGCGGTGGCTCACACCTGTAATCTCAGCTCTTTGGGAGGCTGAGGCTGGCAGATCACTTGAGGTCAAGAGTTCGAGACCAGCCTGGTCAACATGGTGAAACCCCATCCCTACTAAAAATACAAAAATTAGCCGGGTGTGGTAGTGGGCACCTGTAATCCCAGCTACTCGGGAGGCTGAGGTGGGAGAATTGTTTGAACCCAGGAGACGGAGGTTTCAGTGAGTCAAGATCATACCACTGCACTGCAGCCTGGGCAACAGAGTGAGACTGTCTCAAAACAAACAAACGAAAATAAAAAAGGAATGGAAGCCATATTTAATTAGGACCAAACAAAATTCACCCCCTCCACCTGGGGATGTTGCCCCAACACCTTCACAGAGTCAGGCCTCTGCCAGCCAGGAGGAGGGGGCACACTCTGCCATGTCTATAAACTGGGTGTCGGCAGGGGTGCTCACGGGACTGAGGCAAGTTTTCCTCAAGCCCCATCCCATGCCCTGGGTCATGCGAAGCCCTCCCTCCATCCTCTGTACACTCCAGAGATTTTTGTTCTCAGGGAACTTCTAACTCTGGCTTCTTGTTCTGCTGAATTCTTAAGTCTGTGTGTGTTTGGAGCCTCGAGGTGCAATTGCTGGGCTCTGGCACTGCCAGTGGGTCTGCTTCTGACACAGTGCCGGGTACCACGAGGATGTTCAGTAAATGCTTGTTGAATTAATAATGACAACCATTATTTAATAAGTGCTTACCATGTGCCAGGCACCATGCTAAGGACTTTACATATATTCTGCCATTTGACCCTGACAACTGCCAAGATCTTCATTGTACCCACAAAGAAACTAAGACTCGGGCTGAATGTTGTGGCTCATGCCTGTAATCCCAGCACTTTGAGAAGCTGAGGCAGGAGGATCTCTTGAGGCCTGGAGTTTGAGACCAGCCTGGGCAACATAGTGAGATTCTGTCTCTACAAAAAAAAAAATTTTTTTAATTAGCCAGGCATAGGCATGGTGGCATGAACCTATAGTCCCAGCTACTTGGGAGGCTGAGGCGGGAGGATTACTTGAGTCCAGGAGTTCTAAGTTACAGTGAGTTATGATCATGCAACTGCAATCTAGCCTGGGCAACAGAGCGAGACCCCATCTCTAAACAAAAATAAATGGAGACTCACAAAGCTTAGGTACTTGCCAAAGGTCTCATAGCTGGTAAGTGTCAGAGCAGGAATTTGAATATGCAAATTTTTTTTTTTTTTTTTTTTTTTTTTTGCCCAGGTTGGAGTGCATTGGCGCCATCTCGGCTCACTGCAACCTCCTCATCCTGGGTTCAAGCGATTCTCCTGCCTCATCCTCCTGAGTAGCTGAGATTATAGGCTCATGCCACCATGCCCAGCTAATTTTTGTATTTTTAGTAGAGATGGGGTTTCACCATGTTGGTCAGGCTGGTCTTGAACTCCTGACCTTGTGATCCGTCCGCCTCAGCCCCCCAGAGTGCTGGGATTATAGGCGTGAGCCACTGCACCCGGCCTACAAATTCTTAACCATAATTATCAGGTGTCTACATCCCTCAAATGACCACCCCTCCCACCCCACTCATACTGCAACAGATCCAGGAGCCTAGGGTCCCAAGAAGGGCAGAGCCTATCTAAGGTGACGGCTCTGTGGGCTGACACCACAAGAATGAGTTTGTTTGTTTTTTTTTTTTTTTTCAGTGCCTTTATTTTTTATTTATTTTTTTTTTTTTTATTGATCATTCTTGGGTGTTTCTCGCAGAGGGGGATTTGGCAGGGTCATAGGACAATAGTGGAGGGAAGGTCAGCAGATAAACAAGTGAACAAAGGTCTCTGGTTTTCCTAGGCAGAGGACCCTGCGGCCTTCCGCAGTGTTTGTGTCCCTGGGTACTTAAGATTAGGGAGTGGTGATGACTCTTAACGAGCATGCTGCCTTCAAGCATCTGTTTAACAAAGCACATCTTGCACCGCCCTTAATCCATTTAACCCTGAGTGGACACAGCACATGTTTCAGAGAGCACAGGGTTGGGGATAAGGTCACAGATCAACAGGATCCCAAGGCAGAAGAATTTTTCTTAGTACAGAACAAAATGAAAAGTCTCCCATGTCTACTTCTATCCACACAGACCCGGCAACCATCCGATTTCTCAATCTTTTCCCCACCCTTCCCGCCTTTCTATTCCACAAAACCGCCATTGTCATCATGGCCCATCCCCAATGAGCCGCTGGGCACACCTCCCAGACGGGGTTGTGGCCGGGCAGAGGGGCTCCTCACTTCCCAGTAGGGGCGGCCGGGCAGAAGCGCCCCTCACCTCCCGGATGGGGCGGCTGGCCGGGCGGGGGGCTGTCCCCCCCACCTCCCTCCCGGACGGGGCGGCTGGCCAGGCAGAGGGGCTCCTCACTTCCCAGTAGGGGCGGCCGGGCAGAGGCGCCCCTCACCTCCTGGATAGGGCGGCCGGCCGGGCGGGGGGCTGTCCCCCCCACCTCCCTCCCGGACGGGGCGGCTGGCCGGGCAGAGGGGTCCTCACTTCCCAGTAGGGGCGGCCGGGCAGAGGCGCCCCTCACCTCCCGGACGGGGCGGCCGGCCGGAAGGGGGGCTGACCCCCCCACCTCCCTCCCGGACGGGGCGGCTGGCCGACCCCCCCCCGCCTCCCTCCCGGACGGGGCGGCTGGCCGGGCAGAGGGGCTCCTCACTTCCCAGTAGGGGCGGCCGGGCAGAGGCGCCCCTCACCTCCCGGACAGGGCGGCTGGCCAGGCGGGGGGCTGATCCCCCCACCTCCCTCCCGGACGGGGCGGCTGGCCGGGCGGGGGGCTGACCCCCCCCCCCTTCCGGACGGGGCGGCTGGCCGGGCGGGGGGCTGACCCCCTCACCTCCCTCCTGGACGGGGCGACTGGCCGGGCAGAGGGGCTCCTCACTTCCCAGTAGGGGCGGCCGGGCAGAGGAGCCCCTCACCTCCCGGACGGGGCGGCTGGCCGGGCGGGGGGCTGACCCCCCCCACCTCCCTCCCGGACGGGGTGGCTGCCGGGCGGAGACGCTCCTCACTTCCCAGACAGGGTGGTTGCCGGACGGAGGGGCTCCTCACTTCTCAGACGGGGCGGTTGCCAGGCAGAGGGTTTCCTCACTTCTCAGACGGAGCGGCCGGGCAGAGACGCTCCTCACCTCCCAGACAGGGTTGCGGCCCAGCAGAGGCGCTCCTCACATCCCAGACAGGGCGGCGGGGCAGAGGCGCTCCCCACATCTCAGACGATGGGCGGCCGGGCAGAGACGCTCCTCACTTCCTAGATGGGATGGCGGCGGGGAAGAGGCGCTCCTCGCTTCCTAGATGGGATGGCGGCCGGGCAGAGACACTCCTCACCCTCCAGACTGGGCAGCCAGGCAGAGGGGCTCCTCATATCCCAGACGATGGGCGGCCAAGCAGAGACGCTCCTCACTTCCCAGACGGGGTGGCGGCCGGGCAGAGGCTGCAATCTCGGCTCTTCGGGAGGCCAAGGCAGGCGGCTGGGAGGTGGTTGTAGCGAGCCGAGATCACGCCACTGCACTCCAGCCTGGGCACCATTGAGCACCGAGTGAACGAGACTCCATCTGCAATCCCGGCACCTCGGGAGGCCGAGGCCGGCGGATCACTCGCGGTCAGGAGCGGAGACCAGCCCGGCGAAACCCCGTCTCCACCAAAAAAAAACGAAAACCAGTCAGGCGTGGCACTGGGCAGGCTGAGGCAGGAGAATCAGGCAGGGAGGCTGCAGCGAGCCGAGATGGCAGCAGTACCGTCCAGCCTCGGCTCGGCATCAGAGGGAGACCGTGGAGGGAGAGGGAGAGGGAGAGGGAGAGGGAGAGGGACGAGTTTGTTTTTTTTTGAGAGGAGTCTCGCTCTGTCACCCAGGCTGGAGTGCAGAGGCGCGATCTCAGCTCACTGCAACCTCTGCCTCCCGGGTTCAAGTGATTCTCCTGCCTCAGCCTCCCGAGTAGCTGGGATTACAGGCACCCACCACCACACTCGGCTAATTTTTGTATTTTTAGAATAGATGGAGTTTCACCATGTTAGCCAGGCTGGTTTTGAACTCCTGACCTCAAGTGATCGGCCCACCTCAGCCTCCCAAAGTGCCAGGATTATAGGCATGAGCCACCGCACCTGGCCAAGAAAGGGTTTTTGTTTAGGCTTCAAACAACTGCAGGACATTTCTGTCCAATATCTTCTATTTCCTGCCCCCAGCTCCCCAACACCCACTTCTCCACCAGCAATTCTGCACAGCAGAGAATGGAGGCCACTTCCACTGTGGAAGGTGTGGGAAGGACAGGCCTTTCACCCACGGGGGAACTGGAAAACATTTCCAGAAAAGCAGCCTGGTACATAGCTGAGAGTCCGGACGCTAGCCTGCCACTCTTCAGCTCTGTGGCCTTGGCCAAGCCAGTGGGGATTAAATGAGTTCATACAGGTCACATAAAGCCCTTAGGATGCTGCCACTGCACTATCTACCCTCCAAGGGTTAGCCTCCATGATGATGACTTCAGCCACAGCCAGTACCAGCAGGAGTCAACAACCCTGGGGAGGGTGGGGTGCTGGCCCCTCATCTTTCTTTTTATAAATAATGACTTTTGGCTGGGCACGGTGGCTCATGCCTGTAATCCCAGCACTTTGGGAGGCCAAGGCAGGAGAATCACCGGAGGTCAGGAGTTTGAGACCAGCCTGGCCAACATGGTGAAACCCTGCCTCTACTAAAAATACAAAAATTATCTGGGCGTGGTGGCACATGCCTGTAGTCCCAGCTACTTGGAGGCTGAGGCAGGAGAATCGCTCGAACCCGGGAGGCGGAGATTGCAGTGGCCCAAGATCATGCCATTGCACTCCAGCCTGGGCAACAAGGGTGAAACTCCATCTCAAAAAAAATTTTTTTTTAAATAGCAAGTGATATATGGTCACTTATTATAAAAAAATGTAAAAATTCAGATTTAAAACGAATCACCTGGCCAGAGGTGGTGGCTCACTCCTGTAATCCCAACACTTTGGGAGGCCAAGGTTGGTGGATCACTTGAGGTCAGGAGTTGGAGACCAGCCTGGCCAATATGGTGAAACCCTGTCTATACTAAAAATACAAAGATTAGCTGGGTGTGGTGGCACATGCCTGGAATCTCAGCTACTCTGGAGGCTGAGTCAGGAGAGTAGCTTGAACCGGGAGGAGGAGGTTGCAGTGAGCTGAGATCACGCCACTGCACTCCAGCCTGGGCGACAGAGTGAGACTCTGTCTCAAAAAAAAATAAAAAAATTAAAAATTAAATAAAACAAATCACCTATAACTCACTCTCCAAAGATCATCTTTGTGGCTGTCTCACCCATCAGCATCTGCCATTGAGTCACCCTGGTCCCAGTCACCCAAGACGCTGGGTTTGCTAAGGGACTGATGTCTCAGGGAGGAAAAGAGGCTGAAGAACAGGCCGTGCAAGTGTGGCTGGCTTGTCCCCAGCAGAGAATTTAGGAGCAAAGCATTTCAGTGACTTTTAAAAGTAAATCAGGCCAGATGTGGTGGCTCATGCGTGTAATCCCAGCACTTTGGGAGGCAGAGGTGGACGGATTGCTTGAGCTCAGGAGTTCAAAACCAGCCTGGGTAACATGGTGAAACTCCGTCTTTACAAAAAGTAGCCAGCCACTGTAGCATTTGCCTGTAGTCCCAGCTTCTCAGGAGGCTGAGGTGGGAGGATCACTTGAGCCCAGGAGTTTGAGGCTGCAGTGAGCCAAGATCTCACCAGTGCGCTCCAGCCTGGGCAACAGAGTGAGACACTGTCTCAAAAAAAAAAAAAAAAAAAAAAAGGTAAATCAGAGGGGCCACCCCTGCTTAAAACCTTTCACCAGCTTCCCACTATGCTGAGGAAAAGGTCAGGGTCCCTAAAGTAGCCCGCAATGCCCATACCCCACACACCTGGCCTGCATGCTGGCCTCCATGTATGAGCTGTATGACTTTGAACGAGTTATTTAAACTTGTCTGTGCTTCAGTTTCCTCATTTATAAAATCGCAATAACAGAACCTACCTCAGGACTGTTTGAGGGTAAAATATGCTACATGAGGTGCTTAGAATAGGGCCTGCCATGCGGAAAGTCCTCAAGAAGCATTGCTGCTATTACTGTTATTATTTTTGTCCCACTGTCTCTTGCTCTCCCCGCTAGGATACACACCCCAGCTGCCTGACTGTGGAGCTCCGCCTTCTAACCCCTCTGGCAGCATCCAAAGGCAAAAGGCCACGGCAAAGCTTCTCCTCAGACGTCCTCCTTGAAGACGTCCTCCTTGTTTTATAAGGGGGTGGGGGAACTTTCCAGAACCCCTTTCTGTCTCATTGACTAGAATGGGATTCTATGCCTGCCCCTAAACAAACAGAGGTAGAGAGTGGGGCCGGGCGCGGTGGCTCACGCCTGTAATCCCAACACTTTGGGAGGCCAAGGCAGGCGGATCATGAGGTCAGGCAATCGAGACCATCCTGGCTAACACGGTGAAACCCTGCCTCTACTAAAAAATATAAAAAATTAGCCGGGCGTGGTGGCGAGCGCCTGTAGTCCCAGTGTAGCAGGACGAGCTGCAGACAAAACTCCTCAGACACCGAGTTGAAGGAAGGGGTTTAATCGGCTGGGGGCATCGGCAAGACTCCTGTCTCGAGAGCCGAGCTCCCCGAGTGAGCAATTCCTATCCCTTTTAAGGGCTCACAACTCTAAGGAGGGTGCGTGTGAGGGGGTCGGGATTGATTGAGCAAGCAAGGGGTACGTGACTGGGGTCTGCATGCACTGGTAACTAGATCGGAACAAAACAGATAGGGATTTTCACAGTGCATTTCTATACAATGTCTGTAATCTATAGACAACATAACTGATTAGGTCAGGGGTCGATCTTTAACTACCAGGCCCAGGGTGCAGCGCCGGGCTGTCTGCCTGTGGATTTCATTTCTGCCTTTTAGTTTTTACTTCTTTCTTTGGAGGCAGAAATTGGGCATAAGACAATGTGAGGGGTGGTCTCCTCCCTTACCAGCTACTCGGGAGGCTGAGGCAGGAGAATGGCGTGAACCCCAGAGGCGGAGATTGTAGTGAGCCGAGATTGCGCCACTGCACTCCAGCCTGGGCAACAGCGAGACTCCGTTTCAAAAAAAAACAAAAAACAAAAAAACAACATCAACAATAGAGGCAGAGAAGAAAGGGAATACCATAGTTATACACACCTGACCCAAAGCAGGGCTCTGTTCCCGTAGACTGGTGGTTCTCAGGTTCCAGGAGAGTCAGAATCACCTGAGGGTTTAAAAAAAAAAACAATTTCCAGGCCGGGCACGGTGGCTCATGCTTGTAATCCCCGCACTTTGGGAGGCCAAGGCAGGCGGATCACCTGAGGTCAGGAGTTTGAGACTAGCTTGGCCAACATGGCGAAACCCTGTCTCTACTAAAAATACAAAAATTAGCCGGGCATGGGGGTGGGTGCCTGTAATCCCAGCTACTCCGGAGGCTGAGGCAGGAGAATTGCTTGAACCTGGGAGGCGGAGTTTGCAGTGAGCCGAGATCGCACCACTGCACTCCAGCCTGGGCGACAGAGCGAGACTCTGTCTCAAAAAAAAAAAAAAAAAAAAAAAAGAATCCCAGCGTGGAAGAGGGGAAAAGATGTAACCCAGCCTGCAAATGCGGGCTCCTCCCTAGAGACTGGCATAAGGTGAGTGCCAGCCCAGACGTGGCCATCACTGTAGCTACACAAAGCCTCCAAGGTTTCTGCCAGCTCTGGGGGCTCATGTGCTCATGGCTGCTGTCCTGCTTCTGCTGATTCCTTGCAGCTGTCGCCTTTACTTCTGTCCTGGAGTTGACCCAAATGAGGGGCAAGAACTGCAGGACATTTTCCCCTGCTCCCAGAGCAACTGCGGGTATAAGGCTGTTGGGCTGTCGTGTGAGGGGGATTTTCCTAAAGACACAGCACACAGGGAGAATAACAGAAGTCACCTTCCTGAGGCTGCCCCGCACTTGGGTTCTGAGGACCTTCGCTCCCTCCCCTCCTTCTCTTCTCCTCCCTCCTGTCTCCCCTGCGGCAACCTGAACTACTCGGCTCTCTCCCCGCTCCTCCTCCTCCTCTGCAACTCAGCTCTAGTCCTGCCTGAGGCCGAACCCTTGAACAGGAGGCCAGGGCTGGAAAGTTGTGGAAATGCCCCTGTGGGGAGCCCTGCCAAGGATGCTGAGGCTGAGCCCCAGCCTGGGGGAGGGGGTGTCCTGATCTGAGCAGACCCTGAGGGCAGACAGAAGGCAGCCAAGGTCTAGAGCTGGTGCCTCTAACCACCTCTACCCCAGAGGCTGTGGGATGCTTGGGAGCCAGGATAGGGCCGGGCTTTGGGTCTACACTACCTTGGTCCTGAGATGGAGTCTAGGAACATTGGTGGGGGTGCCAAGCATTCTGTAGAGGTAGGATGGGGTGGGTCCCTCTCACTTCTTCAGCCCTCAAGATTGCATACAACAGGCTCCTAAGAAATCACTGAGGCTGGCTGGCACGGTGGCTCACAGGTGGCTGAGGCAGGAGAATCACTTGAACCCGGCAGGCAGAGGTTGCAGTGAGCCAAGACCGCGCCACTGCACTCCAGCCTGGGTGACAGAGCGAGACTCCGTCTCAAAAAAAAAAAAAGAAAAAAAGAAAAAAAGAAATCCCTGAGGCTTTTAAGCCTCGGAGGGAGAGCCTGCTGACTCCTTGAGGTGTACAGAGGCACCAGTTTTTAGGAGGACAGAATCTTTCTAAGGCAGTTTGATTTTTACCTTCTCAGGTGCAGGAAAAGTGACTGTTTCCTTCTCTGTGAATTTCCCATGGACTAAGGGACTCCCGACAGGGGGAGGGCCCTCTTGGCAGTCAGCTTATTCTGAAATTTGAATTTCCAATGCACCTGGAGGAATCCAGAGGGGAAAGGTTGTTATTTATAACCAAAGCTTCCTTCTAAGGAAAGTAGATCCTGCTGCATTAACTAAAAGGCCCTTTTGTTCTTAAAAGGCCCTTACTGGGTTTGGCTTGGCAGCCTGGTTTGGGAAGAGCAGGAGGGGCTAGGGAGAGCTGAAATGCAGGGTCTCCTGTGTGAGAATTGGAAGCCCCTGGGGCATCGAGGTGTCTGTCACGCAGGGGCTGAAGAAGGGAGGCGGGTAGATGGGCATGGGCGCCAGCAGATGGGAGCAGCAGCCCTGTGCGGGCGGGGCTGGAGGATGCCTGAGAAACCAGCTTGTAAGAGCAGAGACGTCCCAGTGCCACTTTCAGTCGTGTGCTGAGCCACTCTATAACTCTTCCAGGGACCCACAAATCTTAGTGAAATTCTGCTTACAGAGCAGTCTGGTATCCACGGTTTCTTGGGAGAAGAAACGGGCTGCATCCTACATTTGAGTCAATTCCAGGGCAGAAATAAAGGGAACAGCTGCTAGAATTCAGCAGAAGCCGGAAATCAGAGGCACACAATTGTAAGCCTGAGAAATTGCAGAAGCCTTGTGGAAAGTAAGGGATGGGGTCTGAGCCAACCTTATTTCAATCCCAGTGGGCTGGCGGACCCCAGCTACCAACCATGGGTTCTGCCTAGGGGCAGATATTTGCCCCCCCGCTTCCTTGCTAAAAGAAGCTTGTTTTGTTCTGGTGGGAGGACAATGTACTAATTACCCCCAGGTGGATGGTGACTGGGATATTTACATTTGATCCACTCCCCTCTGCTGGTAATTGGGTTGGGGAGAACCATGGGACCCTGTTCTGGCCAATGAGATAAGAGGGGGAGGCTGCTGGGGGCTTCTGGGAGGAATTTTCCTCCTCTTACAAAAAGAGATGTTTTAGGAGGACCCCTGTCCAAGCCTCCCTTCCTGAGATGCTGCCCGTGGCAAATGCAGCCACACAAAAGTGCAGGCTCCAGGGTCAAACCATCTGGGCTAAAAGCATGGCTCTGCCTCCGATTGGCTGTGTTGTCTTAAGCAGATTACTTGACCTTTCTGTACCTCGTGTTCCTCCTCTGCAAAATGAAAATAATTGGACTTTCTTCTCAGGGTGCTGTGAAAATCAAATGAGTGAATACACCTAAAATGCCCAGACAGTTCTAGCACATGATAAGTACTCAATATATAACAGCTGTTATTTAGTTGCTCTCTGTGGATATGATGCTTGGAGCCACGGTAGTCATCTTTCAACCATGAGGGCCTTGACTCAAAAATGGTCTACCCCAAGATATCTTAAGATAAAAGTCCTGTGGGGTTTTTTTGTTGTGTTTTTTTTTTTTTTTTTTTTTTTTTGAGACACTCTCACTCCATTGCAGAGGCTGGAGGCTGGACTGTAGTGGTGTGATCATGGCTCACTGCAGCCTTGACCTCCCAGGCTCAGACGATCCTCCTGCCTCAGCCTCCTGAGTAGCTGGGACCACAGGCACATACCACCGCACCTGGCTCATTTAAAAAAATTATTCGGAGAAGGCCGGGCACAGTGGCTCACGCCTGTAATCCCAGCACTTTGGGAGGCTGAGGCGGGCAGATCACGAGTTCAGGAGTTCAAGACCAGCCTGGCCAACATGAGGAAACCCCATCTCTACTAAAAATACAAAAATTAGCCAGGCGTGGTGGTATGTGCCTGTAGTCCCAGCTACTTGGGAGGCTGAGGCAGAAGAATCACTTGAACCCGGGAGGTGGAGGTTGCAGTGAGCCGAGATCGCACCACTGCGCTCCAGCCTGGGCAACAGAGCAAGCCTCTGTCTCCAAAAAAAAAAAAAAAAAAAAAATTATTTGTAAAGATAGAGGTCTCCTCTTATGTTGGCTAAGCTAGGAAACTCCCAACTCTTTAGACAACTTTTAGCTTAGTATTCTGTTACTTGCAGCCTAAATCTCCCTAACCAATTCATAGATAAAAACTTGATACTTATGATTGTTTTATGATAAGAAATTAAACCACCTAATCCATGGGATACTCATATTTACTGAGAACACTGCTGAGAACCCTGGAGGCAGATTACACAGCATTGACTGCTAGTCATCCTCAAATGCGTAGTTTCTCCTTCTCTCTTTAATAAATAGAATGGCCATATTTTAGCTGGGCACATGCTGCGTGGCTAGAAAGCACATTTCCCAGGCCGGGCCTGGTGGCTCACACCTGTAATCCCAGCACTTTGGGAGGCGGAGGCGGGTGGATCACTTGAGGTCAGGAGTTCAAGACTAGCCTGGCGAACATGATGAAACCCCGTCTCTACTAAAAATACAAAAAATTGGCCGGGTGTGGTGGCCAGTGCCTGTAATCCCAGCTACTTGGGAGGGTGAGGCAGGAGAATTGCTTAAACACAGGAGGCGGAGGTTGCAGTGAGCCGAGATCACGCCATTGCACTCCAGTCTGGGCGACGGAGCGAGCGAGACTCTTCATCTCAAAAAAAAGAAGAAGAAGAAGAAAGAAAGTACATTTCCCAGTTTCCCTTGCAACTAGGTGAAGCCATGGGCCCAAGCTTTAGCAAAGAAATATGAATCGAAGTGATACGTGCCAAAGGATTGGGTATTTTCCCACCTCACTCTTCTGTCTCTGTTTTTTTTTTTTTTGAAACAGGGTCTCACTCTGTCACCCAGGCTGGGGTGCAATGGTGTGATCACAGCTCACTGCAACCTCCACCTCCTGGACTCAAGCAATCCTCCTACCTCAGCCTCCGGAGTAGCTGGGACTAGAGGTGTGGGCCACCATACCCAGCTTATTTTATTTTATTTTATTTTTTTTGAGACGGAGTCTCACTCTGTCGCCCAGGCTGGAGTGCAGTGGTGCGATTTCGGCTCACTGCAACCTCCACCTCCCAGGTTCAAGCAATTCTCTGCCTCAGCCTCCAGAATAGCTGGTATTACAGGCCCCCACCACCACACCCAGCTAATTCTTGTATTTTTAGTAGAATCGGGGTTTCACCATCGTGGCCAGGCTAGTCTTGAACTTCTGCCCTCGTGATCTACCCGCCTCGGCCTCCCAAAGTGCTGGGATTACAGGCGTGAGCCACTGCGCCCAGCCGCCCAGCTTATTTTTTGTATTTTTAGTAGAGACGGGGTCTCACTATGTTGCCCAGACTGGCCTCAAATTCCTGAGCTCAAGTGATATGCCCACTTCTGTCTCCCAAGGTACTGGGATTACAGATGTGAGCCACCATGCCCAGCCAGAAGGGCCATTTTGAAGGTGGGCACAGTTGACCCACCAGACATGAAAACATGAAGACCTAACTCCGACCTCTTACATACAAGAAAACAAACAATCTTGTTTAAGCCACTGTATTGTTTTATTGCTTCACTGCAACAGATCTACATGAAGCTCCAGAATATCAAGTGGAAATAGCAGCACAGAAATACTGTCCTGTGAGTGTTTCTGCGACCCATTGTATCAGTTCGCTGTTGCTGCATAACAAACCACCCAAGACTTAGGCTTAAAACAGTAATGTTTTTTTATTTCTCATGAAAATGTGGGTTGGCTGCATTCTTCTGCTGATTTTTCCAGGGCTTACTTGTGCAGCTACGTTCAGCTGGAAGAATGGCTGTGGGCTAGGTTCAGCTGGGATGGTGGGGATGGTTAAGCCTCACTCTTCATGAGATCTTTCATCCTCAAGGATGACCATGTAGCCTAGGTTTCCTCACATGGTGGTTCCAGGACAGTGCTAACAGAGTAAGCCCCAAATCACAAGCACTTATCTGGCCTCTGTGTCATAGTCACTGATGTCCCACTAGCCAAAGCAAGTCACGTGGCCAATCCCAGAGTCACCATGGGAGGGGCCTATCCAAGGGCGTAGATACCAGGAGGCTTGATTCATTGGGCCATTTGATTAACAATCAACCTCATTCTATCATGCCCCATGAATTTTAGGAGCTCATTAAGGATAATTAGAAATCCTGGTGCAGTACTCATTAGGCCCATCTGCACAGGGACTAATATAGGATTAGGGGCAATTGAAATTCCTTCCCCTATTTGGTTATTCATCACCTAGCTCTGGAAAAAAGTTTGAAGTTGTTTACATAACTATAAAAGATTTTTAAATGATAAAATTAAAAATGAACGTTGGTGAGAATCAGAACAGAAAGAAAAAGAAAGGAGAGGAAAAAAAAAGATGGTATCAGGAGTAGGGTTAGAGCAAAAATTGCCTATCCCAGGGGCCCAGGCTCCTGCTAGGAGAGGGACTTGAGGTCTCGCTAGACAGTGCTGGGACAAGATCAAGGAGATGGTCAGGGCATGGTGGAGAGGATTGGGGTCGAGGATGTGGCCTTCCAGTGAGCACCAGCACTTTGTGCAATTTGCGGCACTTTGGGAGCTGGGATGAAGCTACATCTGAAACACTTCTCAACCTTTGCTGTGCATCTGGATCGCTTATAGAGCAGGTTTAAATATAGATTCCTAGGCCCGATGTCTAGAACTTGTTTTTTTCTTTGTTTTGAGACGGAGTCTAGCTCTGTTGCCCAGGCTGGAATGCAGTGGCGTGATCTCGGCTCACTGCAACCTCTGCTTCCTGGGTTCAAGCGATTCTCTTGCCTCAGCCTCCCAAATAGCTGGGATTACAGGCATGCCTGGCTAATTTTTTTTTTTTTTTTTTTTTTTTTGGGAGACAGGGTCTCAGTCTGTCATCCAGGCTGGAGTGCAGTGGTGCAAACATGGCTCACTGCAGCCTCGACCTCCTGGGCTCAGGTGATCCTCTCGCCTCAGCCCTGCAAGTAGCTGGGATCACAGGCGCTTGCCATCACGCCTGGCTAATTTTTCGTATTTTTTGTAGTGATAGGGTTTTGCCATGTTGCCCAGGCTGGTCTCGAACTTCTGAGCTCAATTGATCCACCTGCCTTGGCCTCCCAAAGTGCTGGGATTGCAGGCGTGAGTCATGGCACCGGGCCTGGAACCTGTATTTTTAACATACTTCCCAGGTGATTCTAAAACAAGTGGTCTTTGAACGACATTTTAAGTGACTTTGAAGCCCATAAGTGGGTGCCAGAATCTGGGAAGGATATTCACAGGGGAAGAATAGGTGAGAGGAAAGGTTCTTTTTCTTTTTTTTTTCTTTTTGTTTTTTGAGACAGAGTTTCGCTCTTGTTGCCCAGGCTGGAGTGCAATGGCGTGGTCTCGGCTCACCGCAACCTCTGCTTCCCGGGTTCAAGCGATTCTCCTGCCTCAGCCTCCCGAGTAGCTGGGACTACAGGCATGCGCCACCACGCCCGGCTAATTTTGTATTTTTAGTGGAGACGGAGTTTCACCATGTTGGCCAGGCTGATCTCGAACTCCTGACCTCAGGTGATCCGCCCACCTCGGCCTCCCAAAGTGCTGGGATTACAGGCGTGAGCCAGCACGGCCGGCCGAGAGCTAAGGTTCTTAAATTAGTGAGTGGTTCTCAGAATCTCAGGAAGATCCTAGAAAAGGGAGGGGGGGTGTCATGGGCTCTTGGACCACCCTAATATCTCAGATCCTTTTTTCTACACAGAACAAACCTCTTCCTTGAGTAGCTATCCTCCTAGTGAGTTTCTTGGCCCTCAGCTGTGTTAACTGCCCTAGGACCTGCCCCACCCCTACGCCATCATGGCTGGGAGTCCACCCCTACCCCGCCATTGCTGATTGGACCAGGGATGGGCACCTGACACGGCTGAGCCAATTAGATTCTGTCTGCCAGGAAATTGGAGCAGAGACAAGTCTCTGGTACCAAGTCTAGCTGTGCTCCACAGTGAGAGCCCATGAACCCCCGCTGTTAGCATCCACAGGACTGCCCTGGTCCCTGCCCTTCCTGGGCCTTGGCTCTTCAATTTCCCTTTGTACTGTGACGCACTCTGGCACCCTCCCACTGGATTCCACTTTTTTTTTTTTTGGAGGTGGAGTCTCGCTCTGTCGCCCAGGCTGGAGAGCAGTAGCGCAATGTTGGCTCACTGCAAGCTCCGCCTCCCGGGTTCAAGCACTTCTGCCTCAGCCTCCCAAGTAGCTGGGACTACAGGCGAGGCAGCTGGGACTACAGGCGCATGCCGCCACGCCCGGCTAATTTTTTGTATTTTAGTAGAGACGGGTTTTCGCCGTGTTGCTCAGGCTGGCCTTGAACTCTTGAGCTCAGGTAATACGCCCACCTCGGCCTCCCAAAGTGCTAGGATTACAGGCGTGAGCCACCGCGCCCGGCCTTGGATTCCACTTTTGGCTGAGTTGGCTTCTGTCACTGGCCTCCAAAAGAACCTTCACTGTAGCTGGCTGGTAGAGTGAGATGAGGATAGAGTTAGTGGGTTCAAGGTTGTCCCTGTGGTCTTAAACTGGGCTGTCCCTAAGAAATGGGCTCATCTAGTCAGTTTCCTGAGGAAACCATGAAATGCCAAAGGCTGAGGCTGTTGTTGGAACAGCTGTGGCAGTCGCTGGAGGACCCCTTTTTGCTATGGCCAGAACAGGCTGCTGAAACACAGAAAGTGCCAGTGAGTGAGGGGCAAAGCAGGAAGTGAGCCACTGGGAAGTTGGTGGGGCCTGCACGGGGCATCTTCCTCATCCTTCTTCAAACACAGAGCCCCTCATGGATAGAAGATGCTTAAACCCATTTATGCCTAGTGTTCCATTATTGGAACACTAAGCATGTGGGAGTTATTTATATCCTACTGCTCAAGGGCACCGCCAAGGTCTCATTGCAAAAATTCAAAAAATTGCAACCTCAGGCATAAATGGGTTCTCTTAGGTAGTTCTCGGAGGCATGGGAACCACTGAGTATAAAGTTTGAAGATTTACCTGAAGATTAACCCAAAGGCTGGTGAGGTAGCCAGCCTCCAAGATGGCCCCAGCAACCCCTACCTCCTGCTAGTTACAACCTTGTGTGGTCTTCTCTCACATTAAATAGGGTTGGCCTGGGTGACCAAGGGAGTACAGCAGGAGTGATAGCGTGTGATTTTCAAGGCTAGGCCATAAAAGAGATTGGTGGCTTCAACCCTGCCATGTTGGAACGCTTCCTCTTGGGGAGGGCAGCCACCATGTTGTGAGGATGTACAAGCAGCCCTGTGGAGAAGCCCATGCGTGAGGAACCAAGGCCGCCTGTCATCAATCAGCACCAACTTGCCAACTATGTGAGCTGCCTTGGGAGCAGATCCTCCAGCCCCAGTCAGGCCTTCAGGAGTCGGTCATCCCAGCTGACATCTTTTTTTTTTTTTGAGATGGACTCTTGCTGTCACCCAGGCTGGAGTGTAATGGCGCGATCTTGGCTCACTGCAACCTCTGCCTCCTGGGTTCAAATAATTCTCCTGCCTCAGCCTCCTGAGTAGCTGGAATTACAGGTGCGTGCCACCATGCCTGGCTAATTTTTGTATTTTTAGTTGAGAAGGTGTTTCACCATGTTGTCCAGGCTGGTCTCAAACTCCTGACCTCATATGATCTGCCCGCCTTGGCCTCCCAAAGTGCTGGGATTACAGGCGTGAGCCACCACGCCCAGTCCCAGCTGACATCTTGACCACAACTTTAAGAGAGACCCTGAATCAGGGCCACCCAGCTAAGCTGCTCCTGGATTCCTGACCCTCAGAAGCTCAGTGAGAGGATAAATGTATACAAATGTATATTGGTTTTGGGGTTTTTGTTGTTGTTGTTGTTGTTGTTGTTGTTGTTGTTGAGACGGAGTTTCACTCTTGTTGCCCAGGCTGGCGTGCAGGGGCACAATCTCGGCTCACTGCAACCTCTGCCTCCCAGGTTCAAATGATTCTCCTGCCTCACCCTCCCGAATAGCTGGAATTACAGGCATGCACCACCACACCCGGCTAATTTTTTGTATTTTTAGTAGAGATGGGGTTTCTCCATGTTGGTCAGGCTGATCTCAAACTCCTGACCTCAGGTGATCCGCCCGCCTTGGCCTCCCAAAGTGGTGGGATTACAGGCGTGAGCCATCATGCCTGGCCAAATGTATATTGTTTTAAGCTGCTAAGTTTGGGGATGATTTGTGCCCTACGAATAGATCTCTAAAATACCTGAGGATAAGAATGTGCTGGGCTTGGAATATCTCCAGAAATCACTCATAAAGGCGGTAATGGAGTGAGGCTGTGTGGCCCAGATTTGCCTCAGTGGGACTTCAGGCACCAAAGGCAGCTGTGCAGAGCCCTCCACCTTCTCCTGTATCTGCCCCTTTGGAAACGGAGGGAGGGAGCCCACGCCATAGGACACGGCTGCTAACATTCCTGGCCCTCTCAGGTGCACCCTGCTTCATCAGCATAACAGCCAAATTAAATCCACAGTTCCTCTGATATTCAGAATACTAGTGTTGTAGGAGTTATTAAGAAATTATTTTAGGCAGATAGAGAGGAAAAGGAGTCCTTGGAAAGTTTTTGTTTTTTAAAGCATCTCCAGAAAAGCCTTTAATATGCAAATGCAGGTCATTAGAAACTGGGTCCACCCAACATGGCAATTCCTGCAGCCTTCTTGCTCTTGCCCCACATGTTCCTGGCAACATGGCTGCCCCCACATATCCCCACGTGTGTAAAACATCCTGGCACCCTGCATTTGCATATTAAAAGGCTAGGGTGGGAGGGCCAGCTTTTTTGCGGGCTAAGTGAATGACAGGCCTGGTCAAACCAATCCCCTGAGCCCCATGCAAATCAGACACCGCCTCCTCCAGCCTCTGTATATATACCTGGCTGGTTTGCACCCCACTTGGGGTTCCCTCTCTCAGCTTTGGAGTCCTCCTCTCTCTGTCTCTGTATGGGGGAGCTTCTTCTTTCTGCCTTCTCCCTTCTTGCCTATTAAACTCTCCACTCCTTAAAACAACTCTACATGTGTCTGTGTCGTTTTATCTAAACCAGCATGAGAACCAAGGACCCTGGTGTTCCTCCAATCATCAGAGCCATATCACCAGGATTTCTGAGTGCCCTTCCTATTGGTGGTAGAAGGTCCAACTTTTCTTCTCCTGAGGGAAGTCCAAGGATCCCAGAGTGTCTGACAGTCTAAACGAGGCCATCCTGATCCGTTTTTCCCAGCAAAGGAAGAAACCAAAAAATCTCATCTAGACCTCTGAGGGCCTCAGCCTTCCCCAAACCAGAAATTCCAGCAGTTTCTCACAGTACATCTGAGGAAATGAAATACTGCCTTTACAAAACCCCCAGGGACCCATCCTGATGGAATAACTTTGGGATATTGTTGTGGTTGGACTATTTGTCTCCACCAAAACTCATGTTGAAATACTTTTTTCTTTTATATATGTGTGTGTGTATATATATACATATATGTGTGTGTATATATACATATATGTGTGTATATACATATGTGTGTGTGTGTGTGTGTGTGTGTGTGTATATATATATATTTTTTTTTTTTTTTTTTTTTTTTTTTGAGATGGAGTCTCGCTCTGTCGCCCAGGCTGGAGTGCAGTGGTGTGATCTCGGCTCACTGCAAGCTCCACCTCCTGGGTTCACACCATTCTCCTACCTCAGCCTCCCGAGGAGCTGGGACTACAGGCACCTGCCACCACGCCCGGCTAATTTTTTTGTATATTTAGTAGAGAAGGGGTTTCACCGTGTTAGCCAGGATGGTCTCGATCTCCTGACCTCATGATCCGCCCGCCTCAGCCTCCCAGAGTGCTGGGATTACAGGTGTGAGCCACCGCGCCCAGCTCTTTTATATATTTGAGACAGGACCTCGCTCTGTTGCATAGGCTGGAGTGCAGTGGCACAGTCATGGCTCACTGCAGCGTCAACCTCCCTGGGCTCAGGCAATCTTCCCACCTCAGCCCCTGGAGTAGCTAGGACTACACGTGCATACCACCATGCCTGGCTAATTTTTTTATATTTTGTCAAGATGGGGTTTCACCATGTTGCCCAGACTGGTCTGGAACTCCTGGGCTCAAGCAATCAGCCCACCTTGGCCTCTCAAAGTGCTGGGATTGCAGGCATGAGCCAGTGCACCCAGCCTATGCCGAAATGTAATCCCCAGTGTGGCCATATTGAGAGGTAGGACCTCTAAGAGGTGATTGGATCATGAAGGCTCTGCCCTCATGAATGGATTAATCTCGTGGGTTAATGGATTAATGAGTTAATTGGTGATTATAGGAGTGGGACTGAGGACTTTATAAGAAGAGGAAGGGACACTGAGGGACACCACTCAGCCCCCTCACCATGCGACGTCATGCCCTCCCACAGGAGTCTGCAGAGAGCTCCCACCAGCAAGAAGACTCCCACCAGATGTGGCCCCTCGACCTTGGACTTCCCAGCCTCCAGAACTTTAAAAATACATTCATTTCCTTTAGAAATTACCCAGTTTCAGTATTCTGTTGTAAGCAACAGAAAACAAACTAAGACAGATGTCTGAATCTGTCAGAGCAGAGAAGTCCAGGCCCCAGCACAAGCTGTCATCCTGGAAGCTATCAGACCACATGCTTCCCAGGAAAGGAAGGGAGATGCAAGGTCGTGCAAACTGCAGGAAGCCCGCTGGCCTGTCCGGGCCCTGGGGGTCTGGTGCTGCTTCTCCCCTACCTGCCTTCAAATTTACCCCACCATCCACTTCATTCCCAGCAGATCTCACTGCCTATAGGCCTCAGGTGGCCAGAGACCAGGGACCTTTCTGCTCAGGATCTGCTTCCCAAGGACTCCTACTCTTTTCTCTGATTCTCCTTTTAGGGAATCCCTGAGACGCAGGAGCACTGTGGTGACTTCTTTCCTGCTGCTGTCACAGTCACGGGGCAGAGGGCAGAGACCCTAACCTAGAAGAGGAAGGTTTTCTCCCTGATGCCCCACAATTGTGCACCCAGCATACAGGGAAGAGCCAAGGAGCCAGGGAAACACTGCCCAGCCAGCACCCAGTGGGACAGATGTGTGCCCTGGCCCCGGTGCAGACCTCACTACCATGATGGCCTGCACACCCTGCCTGCCCACCTCCTTCCCCTTGGCCTGCTGCCCCTACCCCAGGGCAGGGTCTCAGCTGAGGAGGGAGCTGTGGTCACCCCAGCACTCCTTGCCTGCTGAGTTGGGATGGGACTGTGCTTGTAGTTATTCCCACTACATTCTGGAGAACTTTCCAGGCCCTTGGGAAGCGCATAGGAGGTGCTTCTTATGCTGCAGTCCTCCATGAATGTGAGTTTATGGGAAGGCCAGGGAAACAGTGAGGCCTGGGGACAGCTCTTCAGCCATCCTCTGGCCTGAGTAAAGCCGAGTATAGCAAAGAGATACAGCCTTCCCCGACGACCAGGACAGACCCAGAGGAGCAGTAGCCACTTTCTCACCTGTAAAATGGGAATGAAGCCGGAAGCGGTGGCTCACACCTGTAATCCCAGCACATTGGGAGGCTGAGGCAGGCGTATCACCTGAGGTCAGGAGTTCGAGACCAGCCTGGCCAGCATGGTGAAACTCCGTCTCTACTAAAAATACAAAAATTAGCTGGGCGTGGTGGTGTGCACCTGTAATTCCAGCTACTCGGGAGGCTGAGGCATGAGAATCACTTGCATCCAGGAGGCAGAGGTTGCAGTGAGCCGAGATCGCACCCCTGCACTCCAGCCTGGGTGACGGAATAAGATTTTGTCTCAAGAAAAAAAAGGGGGGGGAGGAATGAGAGCTTGAAAGGAGAGAAAGAAGTAAAGCTTTTTATTCATCCTCTGCTGAGGTGCCTTTTCCAGGTTTCCAGGGGGGTGTGGATACACCCAAAGGCAGGGCAGGGGTGGGGGGGGGGGCAGCATGGGATGGGGCCCTGAGATGGCAGAATTCATCCTCAAAGGTGAGTGAGGCCTTGCTCCTTCTGGGAGCAGCAAAGCCGGACAAGCAGAGACAAGGGCTGCTTCTTGGACACAAAGAATTCCTGGAGAGCCTCAGGAATACGACTTGGGGCCTGGACACTTTGTCAAATCAAAGATTGATTGAATCAGTGAATGGCTGAATTTATGGCTGGAGATGAGCTCACTTGGAAGCAGCCCTGTGATCATGAGAAAACTTGACCCAAAAGAGGGGGAATGGCCCGGCGCGGTGACTCACGCCTGTGATCCCTGCACTTTGGGAGGCCGAGGCGGGTGAATCACTTGAGCCCAGGGGTTCAAGACCAGCTTGGGCAACATAGCGAGACCACGTCTCAAAAAACTAAACAACAACAAC
The DNA here is from genome assembly GCF_000001405.40 of Homo sapiens. NCBI lineage: Eukaryota > Metazoa > Chordata > Mammalia > Primates > Hominidae > Homo > Homo sapiens. The sequence goes on along the minus strand of NC_000001.11, from coordinate 27,046,279 downwards.
CAAAAAAAAAAAGAAGGAAGGAGGAGGAGAAGAAGGATAAGGAGAAGGAGGAGAAGAAGAAGGTGGGGAGGGGGTGGGGAGAAAGGGTCCCGTGAAATCCTGAAGTCAGGAAACCTGACTCCTGCGGGGCCGCAAGGGTCAAAGAATTCCCCACGTGCGGCTGAGATTTTTGCCTCAGCGCCACCTGCTGGCGGTTACTGACCCTGGCTGCAGCTAGAAGTTACCGCCTGAATGGGGAAGATTTTGCAAAGAGGAGGACCAAGCTCTAAGATGGCCTGCCTGCTCAGCAATGGCTGCTACCTGATTCATCCTGATCCTTCCAGGAGTCGGCCAAGAAAATATATCAAAGCCTGGGAAAAGGCAAGAGATTTCTGGGTGTGTTCCTTTCAGAGGAGTGCCGGGTGTTGGCTGTGACCCTCTAGTGATGATCTGATTCTTTAGGGGTGTGTGCTTGTGTGCTTTTGATTGTCTTTGATTGGCTTTATAGCTCTGTAGGGATAGAGGCAATCTGAGGAAAACAGATCACAAAGCAAATGATTCCTGCTCATAACCGTGCAAAGGAATTTTGTCCAGTAGAGAATATAAATACCCGTAAGTCAAATTCTCAGTTGAACTTATTTTAACATCTTGCTGATTCCATGTCAATTAATAAGTCAAAGAAAATCTTTGACACATGTTCATTTTAATTTGTATGGGAGTCATGATATTGCCTCTTTGAAAGTTATCCTGGAGCAGGTCCTTTGCGCATAAGAAATCTACAAAGTCTCTCACACATTTCCTCCCTTCCCTCCCACAACCGGTTCAGGTGAGACCAACAACTGCATCCTCTGGGTCCCCAGACCCAGCCTCACCCTCCAGACTGCCAGCTCCCAAGGGCAGGGGCCAAGTCTGATCCTTGCTGGAACTGCGGCGCTCTTGTAGATGCTGTTGAATGAGTCTATGGATATATTTAGATATAACTCACCTTATTACTTATTACTTATCCATTACTGGCGATGGAGCACCAATGGGAAAGGCAATGCATGCACGTGGCCGAACGCTTCTGAGCCTCAGTTTCTGCATCTGCAAAATGAGGATAACGGGTTCGGCCTACAGATGGAGAAGTCTTAAGCCAATCCTGCCTGTTTTCCATTTATCTCTTTTGGTTTCTATTCCTACCTCCTATCCCACCCCCAGGATGCTAAGAACAGGAACCAGGTCATTTCCTCTGGCTCCCCACCCTGCAAGGCCCACAGGAAGTGTTCCGTTAAGTCCTCCTACCTGGTTCATGAATGACAAGGGGAGGAGGGGTTGGTTTAAGAAGCCTGGGCGTGGAGGGAGAGGTGCCTGCTCAGCGGGAGACTCGGGCTCCAGTGCTGGAGGGAAAGGGGTACGTACAGGGAACCCCTAGGAGACAAACCGAAGGGAGAGGCTGAAGTGGCTGGACTTTAAGCAAATCTAGTGCCAAGCCCCACTCCATCCAAGCTTGAGGAGCCTACCTGCTTCTCTGGCCCTTTTTCCCCGCAAACAGCTTCCTCTGCTAAGAAGCGCCGCTGAGTCCCTCATAACTGGGATTCAGGCGCCATCTCGTGGCCATTCCTGGAACTGCCAAGGCTGAGGGGAGCCCTGACGTCCCAGGATAGAGGAAACCAGGCCAACACTTCTCCAACTTTCTGGACCTCCATCCTCCTCATCTCCATCTTCTCCTTTCCATTTATTGAGCACTGACTATGCCAGCCTCTGTGCTCAGCCCTTTACAGGCCCTTAGCACATTTATTTCTTGAATAGCCTTAAAAGGAAGTTATATTTAAGGTATGCTTATTATCATTTTACAGCTGGGCGCAGTGGCTCACACCTGTAATCCCAGCACTTTGGGAGACCCAGGCAGGCGGATCACCTGAGGTCAGTAGTTCGAGACCAGCCTGGCCAACATGGTGAAATCCCGTCTCTACTAAAAATACAAAAATTAGCCGAACGTGGTGGTGGATGCCTGTAATCCCGGCTACTCTGGAGGCTGAGGCAGGAGAATCGCTTGAACCAGGCGGCGGAGGTTGCGGTGGGCCAAGATTATGCCAGTGCTCTCCAGCATGGGCGACAGAGCGAGACTACGTCTCAAAAAAAAAATCCAGATGTGGTGGCTCACGCCTGTAATCCCAGAACTTTGGGAGGCTGAGGCAGGAGGATCACCTGTAGTCAGCAATTCAAGACCAGCCTGGTCAACATGGTGAAACCCCGTCTCTACTGAAAATACAAAAAATTAGCCGGTCATGGTGGCGGGTACCTGTAATCCAGCTACTCAGGAGGCTGAGGCAGGAGAATCACTTGAACTTGGGAGGCGGAGATGGCAGTGAGCTAAGATTGCGCCATTGCACTCCAGCCTTGGCAACAAGAGCAAGATGCTGTCTCAAAAAAAAAAAAAATTTTACAGATGAAGAAACTGAGGCACAGAGAGATGAAAGAGTTTTCCCAAAGGCACGCAGCTAGGAATTGGACCAGAATAGCTTTTCTCTGGAAAGGAGAGTGACAGTGACGCAGCTGGTCCTGCCCCTCAACAGTCATTTGGGCCTGGAGCCCTTCAGCTCTAATTCAAATATGGTTTGGGACTGGGCACAGTGGCTCACACCTGTAATCCCAGCACTTTGGGAGACCAAGGTGGGTGGATCACTTGAGGTCGGAGTTCGAGACCAGCCTGGCCAACACAATGAAACCCTGTCTCTACTAAAAATACAAAAATTAGCCGAGCGTGGTGGCGGGCGCCTGCAATCCCAGCTGCTCGGGAAGCTGAGACAGGAGAATCACTTGAACTGAACCTGAGAGGCAGAGGTTGCAGTGAGCTGAGATAGCGCTACTGTACTCTAGCCTGGGCAACAAAGCAAGACTCTGTCTCAAAAATAAATAAATAAATAAATAACGTAAAAATACAAAAAATTAGCCAGGCATGGTGGCAGACCCCTGTAATCCCAGCTCACAAGCGTGAGCCACTGCATCCGGCCAGTCTCCTGTAATTCCATCTCAGTTCCTGTTAATGCCCTTCACAGCCCCTATCACTGTTTATATGGCCTGATTTACTTAAGTGTCTGTCTCCCACCCAAGACTGTGGGCTTCCCGAGAGCAGGGACCTTGTCTGTTTTCTTCACTGCCATGTCCCCAGAGCAAAACATGGATTCCAGAATACAAAATAGGAGCTCAATAAACATCTGTGAGTAACTGATACATAGATTAATTAATGGAAGATTAACCAAAGACTTGTCCCTGCCCTGTGTCTCAAAAAAAGACACTGTCTCAAAAAAAAAAAAGCCAGAGAGGGTGCCGAGTGTGGGGAGATAACACGAGGCAGAGGCCAGGTGGAGGAAGGTCTCTTGCCCACTGGTATGCCCAAATGAGGATGTAACATGTAGTAACAAAGGGACACAATGGGAGGAACGCAGGAGCTGCTCGCCAGGCCACTGTGCGCTTGCATCTCATTACCCAGCCACACCTCCCACTGTGCACTATGAATTCATATTTTCTATAAATCCTCTAATTATCTTGTGAATAATAGCACAATTACATGGCATTGCATTGTGTGTGTGTTTTTAAAAAGTTCGTTTGTTAAACATAAACCTTTAAAATGCATGATGTTTTCCGCAGCCTTTTTATTTTTTAATTTAATAACACTGGAAGCCTTAAAATTGGAAGCAGCAGGGGCTTTTCCTTTTTTTTTTTTTTTTTTTTGAATCGGAGTTTCTCTCTTGTCACCCAGGCTCGGGTGCAACGGCGCAAACTTGGCTCACTGCAACCTCTGCCTCCCAAGGTTCAAGAAATTCTCCTGCCTCTGCTTCTGAGTAGCTGGGATTACAGGTGCCCACCACCACGCCGGGCCAATATTTGTGTTTTTAGTAGAGACGGGATTTCACCCTGTTGGCCAGGCTGGTCTCAAACTCCTGACCTCAGATGATCCACCCGCCTCGGCCTCCCAAAGTGTTGGGATTACAGGCGTGAGCCACCCATGCCCGGCCTGCAACAGGGGCTTTTCTTGACCTTCAAGAGGTTGGTCCTGGGGTAGTCTACACGCACAGTCACACTCACACAGCCACCCACCCTCACACTCACTTGCCCATGGTGCCCAGCCAGAGGGCAGAGACCTGTTCCCCTGCCACCACAGGGTGACCTTGGGCAGGTCACTGCAGCGTCTTCACTACCTGGGCTCCACCTCACTCAGCCCTTTTACACAGAACATGTTTACATGTTTTACAAAAAACATTCCCATCCTCGTGGACCTTCATTACAAAACAGTCAGAGATGTGTGTGTCCATTTTACAGACAGGTAAAATGAGGCTCTGAGAGGTGCCTGCTCAAAGCTGCTGGGGAGAGCACAGGGACTCCAGAGAAGACAAGATGGGGACGGGTGGCCTGGCATGGTGGCTCATGCCTGTAATCCCAGCACTTTAGGAGGCTGAGGCGGGCGATCACTTGAGATCAAGAGTTCGAGACCAGCCTGGCCAACATGGTGAAACCCCATCTCTACTAAAAATACACAAATTAGCCAGGTGTGGTGGTGGGCAACTGTAGTCCCATCTACTCTGGAGGCTGAGGCAAAAGAATTGTTTGAACCCAAGAGGCGGAGGTTGCAGTGAACTGAGGTCACACCACTGCACTCCAGCCTGTGTGACAGAGCAAGACTCCATCTCAAAAAAAAAAAAAAAAAAAAAGATGGGGATGAAGAGATTGAAAGGTTTAAAGGTGACCAGAGGGGCAGGAGAGTGTCAACATGAACGCTTGGGTGGGCTATGACCTTCGATAGACCTATGTTTGAATCCCAGCCCCACCATTCATTTATCTTGGGTAAATTACTGAAGCTCCCTGAGCCCCAGTTTCCAAATCTTTACAGTGGGAATAATGATAGCATCACCCCAAGATCCTCTCGTGCAGGTTCAATGAGGCAGTATGGGTGAAATAGCTGCTGTTATTTTCAGACTTACCAAGCTTGTGACCCTGGAGTGTAGGGTGAGGTGCGGTGGGGAAGAGGCCACTCAGGGTACAGCCTGCCCAGCCACAGGCTGGGGAGACTCCTGCTGTGTTGCTGCCTCTGCCTGCTAGACAGTAGTTATTTTACAATTACTATCGTCCATCCTTTCCCATCACTCCTGCTTTAGAGTTTACAGAGTGCTTTCATTCATTCATCCCTCCATTCACTCATTCAGCTTTTACAGAGTGCCTCTTATGTAAGCCAGGCATGGTGCCGGGCTTCCAGTATATCCTGGTGAACGAGGTAGGTACTGTCCTTGCACCTGGACGACTTACAGACATCCAGTAGTTAATCACACGAATAAATATGTAGTTAGAAATTGGATTGCCGGGCGCAGTGGCTCACACCTGTAATCCCAGCACTTTGGGAGGCCGAAGTGGGCAGATCACAAGGTCAGGAGATCGAGAATATCCTGGCTAACATGGTGAAACCCCATCTCTACTAAAAATACAAAAAATTAGCCAGGCGTGGTGGCAGGTGCCTATAGTCCCAGCTACTCAGGAGGCTAAGACAGGAGAATGGCGTGAACCCGGGAGGCAGAGGTTGCAGTGAGCCGAGATCGCGCCACTGCACTCCAGCCTGGGCGACAGAGGGAGACTCCACCTCGAAAAAAAAAAAAAAAAAAGAAGTGGTTTCCCTGAGAAACTGGGAAGGCCCTTCAGAGTGGACCCAAACTGAGGCAAGGTGGCCAGGCCTTTGAGCCTCCCATTAACCAGTAACAGGCTGCCCCTGGGGAGCAGACATGCCCTTGTCCCTGAGGATGGGACATTTGACTGAAATTTGAAGGCTGGAAAGGAGCTGAGGGAAATGGAAAAGAGCCCTGCTACAGAGGGAGGCATGGGGAACAGGGAGGCAGCCTTGAGGCAGCTGCAGCAGCTGAGAGGAGGTGTGCAGAGCTGGGAGGTAACCCCCGGGGTCAGGAGCTCAATTTATCGTCAAAGCAATGGGTAGCCTTGAAGGGCTTAAGCTGGAGATTGGCTGGATCTGCTTGGATCCTTCTGGCTGCCCTGTGGAGAAGGGGTCAGAAGAGGCAAGAGAGCCGGGGGGGGGGAAACCACTTAAGAAGCTGTGGAGATTTAGACAGGCCACAACCTTGGCCTCAGGCGGTGGCTCCCGAAATGGAGAAAGAAGGAGGAGGCAGTAAAGTCTGACCCTCGGGGGGCTGAAGCCAAGCCAGAGCCTCCACTATGGCTGGTTGGTTGTCTCAGGAGCAGTCACTCTGGGCTCTGGGCTCTGGGCTCTGGGACCCTGAAACAGACTCAGAGGAGATCCTCACTCAGCAGCTTACGGGGGGCTGCTCTCAGGGACCACCCCAAAAGGGAGTGAGAAGCAGAAGCTACAGCCAAGGCCTCAGCCTATTCCACAGGGAATTCTGGGGCTGAAAGGGCCCTTTAGAGGCGACCCAAACTGAGGCAAGGCGGCCGCATCTTTGAACCTCCCTGTTGACTGTTAAAAATCTAGACTTATTACAGAGCTCTCCCCCATCCCTCCCATTTGCGGAACTTCACAGGTGTTTACATACATCCAGGAGCCCACACTGGGTCAGCCTCAACTCTGGGTGCTGCTCGGCCCAGTACACAGTAGGCGCTCACTGAATGTTAGAAGGCCCAGACAGAGTGGAGGGAGGAAAGAGGCTCAAGTTCTAAGGAGGCTCCCAGCTTTCTTTGTGGTTTGGGCCCCAGGCTAAAACAGGCCAAACTGGGGAGAGAAGACCATGCAATGAGTTTGGGACATGTGAGGCTGCGGTGGCCAGCCCCCCGAGAAGCCCCACCGTGAAGGAGGAAGAGGAAGAGACCGAGAGGAGAGGACTCAGGGAGGGGGAGCCTGGAAGGTAGAGTTCCAGAACGCATGGAGGTGGCAATGATGACGCCAAGGAAGGAGCAGCAGAGATGAGGACCCAGAAGAGGGGATGCAGAGAATGCGGCAGGGTCTGGTGAGGGCAGGGTCAATGCAGGAAACAGAAACCCCTCTTGGTGTTTTTAGCAGCAAAGTATTTAATACAGAGCAGTAGGTCCTTGCACAACCATCAGAGAGGCTCAATGAGCCAGGCCTCCAGGAATGATTCCAGACCTTTCCATACTCGACCCACTGAGAAAGTCAACGCCAGAGCTATGAATTCAACAACTTACCACTGAAGCTTCAATGCAGGGATCAGAAAGCTGGATTTAAGAAGCTGCTACCCCTGCTTTCATCCCTGCGACTACCTCTGAGCAAGCTCGAGGCTGGAGCCTGACACCAGATCACCAGTGCAGAAAAACCTCGTGTTCCTGCAACCTTGCAGGCTGGCAGAAACAGCCAAAAGGGGGCACAAAATAACTTAAAATTAATAAAATGACAATTTAGCAACAACAACCAACACTTACATAGTGCCTATTATGTGCCAGGCACTGTTCTATTATTATTTCTATTTTATTTTTATTTATTTATTTATTTTTATTTTTATTTTTTTGAGACACAGTTTCACTCTTGTCACCCAGGCTGGAGTACAGTGGTGTGGTATCAGCTCACAGCAATCTCCGCCTCCTGGGTTCAAGCAATTCTCCTGCCTCAGCCTCCCAAGTAGCTGGGATTACAGGTGCCCACCACAACGCCCAGCTAAGTTTTGTATTTTTAGTAGAGATGGGGTTTCACCATGTTGCTCAGACTAGTTTCGAACTCCTGACCTCAGGTGATCCACCCGCCTCGGCCTCCCAAAGTGCTGGGATTACAGGCGAGAGCCACCGCGCCTGGCCTATTCCTATTTTGTAAATGAGGAAACTGAAGCACAGAGAGGATTGAGCCTCACTTCTGCCTTCCAAACCCTGCTGCAGTGAGTCTCTTGGTGGAGCCTGTCCCCCACGCAGGCACAGCAGGGAAGGGACAGGCAGTGCTTTGCTGTCCAGCTGCCCCAGCTAGGAGGGTAAAATGGACTTGAGAGAGCCAAGCCACAGCGTCTGCCCCACAAATCACCACTACCACTGTCACCTCTCCACCAAGACTATGATCTGCCACCACCATTAGCAATCACTTGAACTACCCTCAAGTCATTACCAGCCCCCTCACTTCCTCCGCCAACATCGAGATCTAATAGAGCCATCACCTTTTCGTCACTCAGCATCACCATCAATGTCACTGCCACCGCTGCCATGATTACCCCCATTACTCCCACCCTGGCGGCAGGGTGGTGTCGAGATGGCAGTGAGATCACTTCCTTGCCTTGGTGCTCCCTGTGGTAATTGCTTAATGAGATGTTTGCAGCTCTGAGCATACTACTTACCCTGCACAACTAGGAACCCTCCCCAGGTTCTGATGAGGCCAGGATGGTTTGTGAGCGGAGGGCTCTGCGGCTGTAGTGTGGCTGGGAGGGTCTGAGAGCACCTCTGGAAGGCCCATTTTGTCCGTCCCCCTGCCTCATCAATGTTTTGCCTTTGTGGTGGAGAAAAGCAAGAGTGTGATAATGTAGGGAACTCGAAGAATCTGTCTAGGTCAACTTACACAACTGACTTCCCCTCTCTGGGCCTCAGTTTCCTCATCTGCAGGATAGGAGCAAGAAGAATTATCTGATCGAGTAATGTGGGGATTCGAGGTAATGCAAATAAAGAATCTGGCACAGTGCCCAGCGCCCAGGTGGCTCCCACATGGAAGCTGCTAATATCTTTATTTTATTAAACATTTATGGCTGGGCACCGTGGCTCACGCCTGTAATCCCAGCGCTCTGGGAGGCCGAGGCAGGCAGATCACCTGCAGTTGGGAGTTGGAGACCACCCTGACCAACATGGAGAAACCCCGTCTCTACTAAAAATACAAAATTAGCCAGGCATGGTGATGCACGCCTGTAATCCCAGCTACTCGGGAGGCTGAGGCAGGAGAATTGCTTGAACCTGGGACGCAGAGGTTGTAGTGAGCCAAGATCACACCATTGCACTCCAGCCTGGGAGACAGAGAGAGACTCCATCTCAAAAAAATAAATAAATAAATAAATAAATAAATAATTTATATAATAGTCACTTTGTGCCAGGCATTGCTCTGACACTTTACAAATTTCAACTCACTGATTTAAACCTCCTGAGATAGGTACTACTATTGCTCCCATTTTACAGATTAAAAAAACTGAAGCAGAGTTAAGTAGCTTACCCAAGATGACACAACTAGTTAGTGACAGAGCTGGGATGTAACAAGGGAGTCTGAGCTCTTAATCTTGGTGCTCTTTGGCCCTAAGTGCTTCACCCTGTTCTAAAAACCTTCCCTGCCCGCCCTGGCCAGGCTGAAGAAGACTCTGCTCTTTTTGTCTGTCATTTGGAAAAGGGCCTCCAGAAGTCAGTCCCTTGTCTTGGGATAGAAATGCCCCCACTGACCTTGTCCAGGGCCTCCCATCCCCCCCAGTCAGGAAGTCCTTCCTGTTGTCTGACTTGAATCTGGGCTGAGGCAGCAGTTCCCAGGGAAGAACCTCTTCAGCTGGGATACCTGGTGGGAGGGGCCTCAGGAGATATGGTGGAGGAGGGAGGGGGCTCAACCCTGAACTCTCAGAGAGTGGAATTTGGGGGGCAGGTTCTGGGCATCTGAGTGGTGGCAGAGCTCTGGGGCAGGAAACCCTGTTAGCTCCTCTCCAAAGGGATCTTGCTTTCCCCACCCCTCCATAACTGCACCAGCGACTTCTCAAACTACCTCCCAAGCTCAGATAAAAGCAGGAACGAAGGAAGTGACAGCATTGGACAGGCCAAGCCTGCTGCAAGACATCTGGATATCACTGTCACCATCAGACACCACATTGGCAACTGCTACCAAAGACCACTTTTCTTTCCTTTTTTTTTTTTTTTTGAGACAGAGTCTCCCTCTGTCACCCAGGCTGGAGTGCAGTGGCGCGATCTCAGCTCACTGCAACCTCAGCCTCCCGGGTTCAAGCAATTCTCCTGCCTCAGCCTCCCAAGTAGCTGGGATTACAGGCATGCGCCACCACGCCCGGCTAATTTTTTTTTTTTTTTTTTGTATTTTCAGTAGAGACAGGGTTTCACCATATTGGCTGGGCTGGCAAAAGCCTCCTTTCTAAGTGAATTCTTACCCTCCTGTCTTGGCATCACTCACTCCAAGCCCTGGGCTACGCCCCTTGGCCGCCCCAGGTTATGTGCCCATGTCCTCTCTGCCAGGGAGTAGGAAGAGGGGTCTGTGGTCCCCTCCAGCTTCTATAGTGGGCAATAGGGCCCAGATGTCCATCAAGACTCATGTAGTGGGGGCTCCTCCCCAAAGAGAAAGGGGCTTTGAATGTAATGGGAAGACAGGAAGGGCTGTCCTTTGATAAGAGGAGGAGTTCGTCCTCAGGAGTGAGGGAGGAAGGAGGAAATGGGCACAAGGCAGACAGAAAACAATGAAAGTCCTGCTCAGAGAGGAAGCCCGGGGGCCGGGATACACATAGAAGCTGGAGGAAATGCTGCCCTCTGTACCAAAAGCAAATCAAAGTTGGAGGCGCCCGGACCTCTCAACCCCAGGAGGCTCAAAGCCCCTTGAGCTCACCCAGCAACCTCTGCTGCCCCCCACCACAGGGGCACCTGCAGAGCACTAGCCCCTCTTTCATACTCTGGCCCAAATGTTGGGGGGAAGCTTGGCCCATTCCCTTTAGAGCCCGGTGGAGAGAAGAAACCAGGCTTGGACCTGCAAACAAGATGTTAGCAATGGCCCAGGGACAACAAAGGGGAAATAAACACAGACATGTACTATATATTCCATGTGCATTTATCTGGTACCAGCCAGATTCCAGGTACCACAGACAATGAGCACGCTGCCCTCATGGAGCTTACACTCTAGTGGGGAAGACCCTGAAACAAGTCACACTGCAGTAAACAAGGTGACCCATCAGTGCTGGGCTGACCACAACAAAGGTGAAAACATGGAGAGTAACTGGGGAGCCCCCTTTAGAGGGAAAGGTCAGGGAAGGGCTCTTTGGGCCAAGACTGGGACGATGAGTAACCAGACACGCAGAGACTGGGAGGCAACTGTGGGCTCCAAGTCCCTGAGGTAGGAACAAGCTTGTTGTGCTTGTAGAACAGAAAAGGGGCCAATCGAAGCTGAAACACAAGGAGCCGGGGGTGGAAGGGGGAGATGAGGCTAAAGTCATCCCGTAAAGAATCAGCATTTTATTCCAGCCAATGGGAAGTCACTAAGGACTGTCCTTTAGGCCTGGCGTGGTAGCTCACGCCTGTAATCCCAGCACTTTGGGAGGCAGAGGCGGGAGGATCACTTGAGGTCAGGAGTTCGAGACTAGCCTGGCCAACATGGTGAAACCCCATCTTTACTAAAAATACAAAAAGATTAGCTGGGCGTGGTGGTGCACACCTGTAATCCCAGCTACTCAGAAGGCTGAGGCAGGAGAATTGCTCGAACTTGGGAGGCAGAAGTTGCAGTGAGCTGAGATCGCGTCACTGCACTCCGGTCTGAGCTAGAGAGCAAGACTCCGTCTCAAAAAAAAAAAAAAAAAAAAAAAGACTGTCCTTTGATAAGAGGAGGGACCCAACCTCAGATGTGAGTCAGGAAGGAGAAGAAGAAGGGCACGGTGCAGGTAGGAATACAGATTACACCATGGAAAGGTGAGCGCGTCCCACAGCTGGGCTCCTGTCTCCTCAATGCAGCATGAGGCCAGGTCATCACTGCACAGTGGAGGAAGGGGAGAGTGGCAGGAGATGTGTTCATTAGGTCACATCAGGTTTCCAGTTTCCTGCATAGAGCCACAACACAGCCCTGAGGACCCTGGGCCCTAATTGGCCCTCATACCCCTGGGCACCTGGCCGTGTCCCTTGAGTGACAGAGGCATTTACTTCACTGGCCTCTTCTCCCCGTCACTGAAAACACACCAGTAACTGAAGCTTCAACCATCACAATCACAATGTCAACTATAGCCACAATCATAATCACAGTCACACCAACAGGCACAAGGGCAGGACAGGAAGTCCTCAAGGGTACCCTAACTTGGCAAGCCAGCAGGACCCCAGCCCCTTTCTGGGCCCCGTGGAAGGCAACGGGACTGTCCTGGAACAGGTACGGGGGGTGCTGGAGCCAATTCTGCACATCTCTTCACAACTTCACGTGTAGTGGCGTCATGTGGGTAGCCTGAAATTGACCATGGTGGAGGGCTTTTGGTTATTCTTTCCAGCTAGCCAGTTTACCAGAATCCATACCTCTGGACAGAGCCCTGAGGACAGTTAGAGAAGCTGTGCCCTCCCCGCCCCCACAAGTCCAGCTGCCACTAGAAAGAGCTGGTTGTGGTACCACTTTCTTGTGTAAGCACCAGGACCTTAAGTAGGAACAGTGGAAGGAGATGGCCAGTCATGTTCACAGAGTCCTGGTGGCTGAGCTGTAAGGTGGGGAATGTGGGTCGAGATGGGGAGTTCATCTGCCCTGAAAACCCACCCAGTGGTGAGTCAGAGACCCTGGGCCTCAGCTCGGGGACATCACCTTCACTCAGAGCCTCTGCTCTAGCCCAAGAGCCTAAGACCTGTGGGCTCCAAGACGCCTGCCTAACTCACCCTACTAGAACAAGAATCCTGGGCTGGTTCTGTCCTGGGAGAAGCTAAGAGCTGCTTCTCCCTGTTCCCTGATCCCAGGATGGGCCCTGACCTTGGTCATAAACTGAGCCTGTGCCCAGTGACAAAGATCTCCACCCAGGCCCAGAAAGAGCCCCACCTGTTCTGGGCTAGGCCTCGATGGGGTCACTCACAGAAAACGCACTCACCTCTATCTGATCCTGCCACAGGCCCCAGCTTGGCCCTAGACTGGAGACAGAGCCTGGCCCTTGAGCCCAGACATGCCCAGAGAAGGGCTGGCACAGCCTCTCTCACCTCTGTTGTCAGGGCTTGGGCCTCCTGCCTGGGAAGCAAAATAGTGAAAAACAAAAGCAAGTTAAAACCCACTATCATCTCCTTGCGTTAGTGACACATATCTGTCTTAGGAAATAAAGCATAAAGGCAAAGTGTATTTTCAGAGGCACTAAAACTTCTCCCCTTCCCTGCTGGGCGGGTGCTTTGATTTGGAGTATTCTTGCCCTAACCCCTCCCTCCCACGGTACCCAAACACAGGCCCCAGTTGCTCAAGCAGGAAAGACAGGGAGCTGTGAAAGGCTCAGAAACTTCATCTGAGACCCTAAGGAGTGGGGGTCAGAACCTTATCTGGCTTCTGAGCTTGGGCAAGACCCTTCCCCTCGGTGGGCCTGAGCTTCCCCCTCTGTATAATGGTTTAGACTTCCAGCTCTGGTATTCGAAGTTAAGGATCCTGATGGTGGCCAGGCGGGGTGGCTCATGCCTGTAATCCCAGCACTTTGGGAGGCCGAGGCGGGTGGATCACTTGAGGTCAGTTGTTTGAGACCAGCCTGGCTAACATGGCGAAACCCTGTCTCTATTAAAAACACAAAAGCAGGCCAGGCGCAGTGGCTCACACCTGTAATCCCAGCACTTTGGGAGGCCGAGGCGGGCGGATCACCTGAGGTCAGGAGTTCAAGACCAGCCTGGCCAACATGGTGAAACCCCGTCTCTACTAAAATATACAAAAATTAGCCGGGCGTGGTGGCAGGCGACTTAATCCCAGCTACTTGGGAGGCAGAGGCAGGAGAATCGTTAGAACCCAGGAGGCGGAGGTTGCAGTTAGCTGAGATAGAGCCATTGCACTCAAACCTGCGGGATAACAGCGAGACTTCTCTCAAAAAAAAAAAAAAAAAAAAATACAAAAGCAGCCGGGCGAGGTGGTGCACACCTGTTATCCCAGCTACTCCAGAGGCTGAGTCAGGAGAATCTCTTAGAACCTGGGAGGCGGAGGTTGCCGTGAGCCGAGATCGCGCCACTGAACTCCAGCCTGGGCAACAAAGGGAGACTGTCTCAAAAAAAAAAAAAGGATCCTGATGGAAATTTAGAGCCCCACGTTCAAGGGTTGGAATGGTATTCCTGGATAATCCAGGCCCAGAAGACCCAGAAAGCTTCTCCTAAAACATGTATGGCATATCAGGTTCAGGTCCTGGAATGTCCTCTGAGCTCTAGCACCTTGTCCTAGTGACTTGGCCTCTCTGGGCCTCAGTTTTGCCATCTGTCAAATGGCAAGAACACCGAGTTTATGAGGATAAAACATGACAGTGGCAAGAGAAGTGTCCTGTAAACTGCAGAGTGCAGTCCTCCTGGGAGGGAAGGACAGTTGTTGTTGTTGTTAGGGGCTCATGTTTTGCCTTCCAGCGGCGCCGGGCGAGCAGATTAGCCTGGCCTCGTTCTCACGGTGGGAGACCTCCTCCGTCCTCCCCAGGAACCACGGCCCCTGCCCTGCCCAGATCAGCAATAGCCCTCCATAAGCCTCCCACCTGGAGGGAGGTGGCGGGCAGGGAACAGCCAGGTAACCGTGGGCTCCTCACTGCAAGGGCCCAGCTCAGATTGAAGGCAGAGGGAACGAGCGAGCGAGGAGGAAGTGGGGAGAGACGGAAGGAGGGGCAAGCGAATCAAAGCACTAGGGATTTACTCACCCAAGCAGGGACAGGGAAGGAGATGGGGCTAGCAGGGCGGGGGACGCCCATGCGCCGCCCCTTCAGAGGACAATTCCCGGGGCCTCACTCCCTCCCACTCTCTCCCTCCCCCGCGGCCCATTCCCGGTGCGACTCCTCCCGTGGGAACTGCTGTCGCTGCAGCGGGCGCCCTGCCACGTGGATGCCAGGAATCAGACTGGGCGGCTGCGGCAGGGCGGGCGCTTCCCTGGGCAGCGATCAGGGCAGGCCTGGGAGAGGGCTGACCCTCACTGGGGTCTGGGGAGAGGGCGGCTCTGGGCGGAAGGGCACCTCGGGAACTGGACGCCCTGGGCTTCGCAGCCCCTCAGATCTGCAGCCAAGGTCATCTTTTCCCAGCTTGAGGAGCAACAACTGGGCACCACCTGGGAGCAGGTTAGAAATGCAGGCTCTCAGGTCTAGCCCCAGACTTGCTGACTCAGAACCTGCACATTCCAAGGAATGTGCCCCAGGTGGCTCCCGGGCACTTTCAAATTTGAGAAGCCTTTTTTCTACAAGAGTAGGCCTGAGTATTTACAGGTTTAAAAAGACGCGGTGGCTCACGACTGTAATCCCAGCACTTCGGGAGGCCGAGGCCGGCTGATCACGAGGCCAAGAGATGGAGACCACCCTGGCCAACGTGGTGAAACCCCGTCTCTACTAAAAATACCAAAAAAAAAAAAAAAAAAAAAAAAATAGCTGGGCTTGGTGGCGTGCGCCTGTAGTCCTAGCTACTCGGGAGGCTGAGGCAGGGAGGATCGCTTGAACCCAGGAGGCAGAGGTTGCAGTGAGCCGAGATCGCGCCACTGCACTCCAGCCTGGTGACAGAGCAAGACTCCGTCTCAAAAAAAAAAAAAAAAAAAAAAAAAAAGACAGACAAGGCCAAGGCCAGGCACGGTGGCTCATGCTTGTAATCCCAGCACTTTGGGAGGCCGAGGAGGGCGGATCACTTGAGCCCAGGAATTCAAGACCAGCCTGGGCAACACTGTGAGACCCAGTCTCTACAAAAAAAAAAAAAAAAAAAAAAAAATTAGCCAGGTGTGGTGGCGTGCACCTGTAGTCTCAGCTACTGGTGAGGCTGAGGTGGGAGAATAGATTCAGCCCAGGAGGCAGAGGTTGCAGTAACCCTTGATTGAGCCACTACACTCTAGACTGGGCAACAGAGCGAGGCTCTGTCTCAAAATAAATAAATAAATAGGCTGGGCGCAGTGGCTCACGCCTGTAATCCTAGCACTTTGGGAGGCCGAGGCGCACCTGAGGTCAGGAGTTTAAGACCAGCGTAGCCAACATGGTGAAACCCCGTCTCTACTAAAAATACAAAAATTAGCCAGGCGTCGGCCAGGCGCGGTGGCTCACGCCTGTAATCCCAGCACTTTGGGAGGCCGAGGCGGACGGATCACAAGATCAGGAGATCAAGACCATCCTGGCTAACATAGTGAAACCCGTCTCCTCTACTAAAAATACAAAAAAAATTAGCCGGGCATGGTGGTGGGCGTCTGTAGTCCTAGCTACTCGAGAGGCTGAGGCAGGAGAATGGCGTGAACCCAGGAGGCGGAGCTTGCAGTGAGCCGAGATCACGCCACTGCACTCCAGCCTGGGCGACAGAGTGAGACTCCATCTTAAAAAAAAACAAAACAAAACAAAAGAAAAAAATTAGCCAGGCGTGGTGTCACATGCCTGTAATCCTAGCTACTTGGGAGGCTGAGGCAGGAGAATCACTTGAACCCGGGAGGAAGGGGTTGCAGTGAGCCAAGATCACGCCATTGCACACCAGCCTGGACAATAAGAGTGAATAAGAGTGAAACTCCATCTCAAAAAAAAAAAAAAATTAGTAGTGTATAAATAGACCACATAATCTATGAATTGTATTCCATTATAGGAAAGGGGCATTGCAAGATACTTGTTACAAAAGGGGGCGTGAGGCCTGCTGGGGCTGGGAACCCACTGAGGAACACTCACTCCTGTTTTCAATCAACAGCATGGCTCTGAGGAAACAGAAGCAGGAACTAAATGGCGCTTGAATCTGAGGAGCTTCTACCCTGGCAGGCGAGATGAGATAGAGACGCAAATCGCCACCTTCCTGAGCCTCAGTTTCTTCACCTGTGAAATGGGCTTTCTCACCACTCACCTCTGCCTGCCTCCCTGCAGGGTCGGATCAGATGGGCCGAACCAGCTTCTAGACAGGGAGGGGCTTCATGAGCCGCTCCACACCTGAGGGAAGGGAGATTGGAACATCTGCCCTGCTCACATCGTGCCAGGGACAGCTCAGGCTTCTGTGCCTATCTTGGTCTTCAGACTCCAGCCTCTGGCCCTGCAGATTCTCTCTCAGGGCCTCGTCTGCTTTCTCTGGTGTCCCTCTCTCTTCCACCTTCCTTCTCCACTCCCCTGTATCCCCGCACCACCGAAATCCACACCTGTCTGAAGCTTGTACCAAATTAGCAAATTGGCAGTTTCTGAGGAGGGCAAGCCAGCCTTGACTACATACCAGACACTGCTCACACACTGGGTCTTTTATGCTAGCCCTGAGAGGTAGATGGTGATGACCTAATGAATAGAGGAGAACACCAAGGCTCAGTGAAGGGGAAGGGTTCGCACCCAGGTCACCCAGCCAATAAGAGGCCAAGATGGGATAAGAACTGGAGCTTTGGCCGGGCATGGTGGCTCACGCCGGTAATCCCAGCACTTTGGGAGGCCAAGGTGGGTGGATCACCTGAGGTCAGGAGTTCAAGACCAGCCTGACCAACATGGAGAAACCCCATCTCTACTAAAAATACAAAATCAGCCAGGCGTGGTGGCATATGCCTGTAATCCCAGCTACTTGGGAGGCTGAGGCAGGAGAATCGCTTGAACCCTGGAGGTGGAAGTTGCGGTATGCCGAGATCACGCCATTGCACTCCAGCCTGGGCAACAAGAGAGAAACTCTGTTTCAAAAAAAAAAGAAAAAAAAAAAAGAAGAAGAACTGGAGCTTTGACTGGGCACGATGGCTTATGTCTGTAATCCCGGATCGCTTGAGCCTAGGAGTTCAAGACCAGCCTGGGCAACATCTCTACAAAAAATACAAAACTTAGCTGGGTGTGGTGGCGAGTGCCTGTAGTCCCAGCTACTCAGGAGGCTGACAGGGGAGGCTGGCTTGAGCCCTGGAGGTTGACGCTGCAGTGAGCTGTGATTGTGCCACTGCACTCCCAGCCTGGGCTACAGAGTGAGACCCTGTCTCAAAAATATTTTTAAAAATGTTTTAAAAGTACACACACTCAAGAGGGGAGTGTGGGTGTACTCAAGAAAGTCACACAAGGGGCTTTGTGGTTTCTATTTTTTTTTTTTTTTTGAGGCAGAGTTTCGCTCTTGTTGCCCAGGCTGGAGTGCAACGGTATGATCTCGGCTCACTACAACCTCCGCCTCCCGGGTTCAAGTGATTCTCCTGCCTCAGCCTCCCGAGTAGCTGGGATTACAGGCACGTGCCACCACGCCCGGCTAATTTTTTATTTTTAGTAGAAACGGGGTTTCACCATATTGGCCAGGCTGGTCTCAAACTCCTGATCTCATGTGATCTGCCCACCTTGGCCTCCTAAAGTGTTGGGATTACAGGCGTGAGCCACTGTGCCCAGCTGTGGTTTCTATTTTTATAGGTTTCTTTAACCAAGGGGTGGAATATTTATGAAAGTTACTGGAAAAAGGTGGAGATTTCTTGGAACTGTGGTGCCACCCATTTTTACACCAAATATGGGAACTATAGTGGTGCTGGTGGGTGTGTGATTTTTAGTATGTTAATAAGCGTATAATGAGGTCCTAGGAGAAACCTGGGTCAAATCCAGCACCATGCTGTGTCCAGTTGGTCTCAGCCAGCTTGCTCCATGCCCTGATTGTTCAGGGTCTTATGAGCCCCTAGCTTCTGCAGTTATTTCAACAGCTTCCTTTTGCTAGTCATGTGAAACTGCTGCCTGGAATTTTCCATTCTTCTGCGACCCATGTTAGTCCTGTCTCACCTTCACTCATCCCGTGAATATTTACTGAGCACACACAGGTTTCCAGGTGCTGGATTACATAGAAAACAAAATCCCTGCTCTCCTGGAGCTTTGGTTCCAGGGGCGGGAAATGGGGCAATAAATAGGTAAATACGCAGCATGGTAGATGGTGTTAGGTGCTTTGGAAATAGAGAAGAGGCTAGCAGGTGTGGGGAGCGAGGGCGCCATTCTAATTGGATAGTCAGAGAAGGCCTCCCTGAGAACAGGAGACATGGAGAAGACGACCTGGAGGAATTGAGAGAGCAGCCATGTGGGGATCAAAGGAGACCGTGCCAGGCAGATGGAAGAGCAGTCGCAAGGCCCTGAGGTGGGAGCGTGCCTGGCATGGTTGAGGAACATCAGGGAGGCCAGTGTGGCTGCCCCCGATAAGGGAAGGGGTGTGGGAGGAGATTTCGGCTTGTATTCCAAATGAGAAGGAGGCATTAAAATGACATGATCTGACTTGTGTTTAGAAAGGATCACACTGGCTTGCTGGGATGAAAACACTGTAGGCGACAAGCACGACGGCAGAAAGGCTCCAAAAATCCTGGAGAGTGGGGCGTGGCTTAGACCGCAGAGATGGCAGTAAGCTGGAGGTGGGGCCAAGATGTGGTCAGGGCCTGTTTGGGTTCTGAAGGCAGAGCCACAGGGCTTGCTGACGAATGAGAAAGTGCAGCGTGAGAGAAAAAGGAGTGGAAAGTGGCTTCAGAGTTTGGGGCCAAGAACTGGAATTTGCCATTTGCTAGGACTTCAGTTCGAGAAGTCAACATTGAACGTGCAAAATTTGAGATGACTACAAACATGAAAGTAGAGATGTTGACTAAAATTAAATAAATGAGCCTGGAGTCCCAGACAGAGCTCTGGACTGGAATATATAAATTTGGGATTTTGGGAGAGAGAGGTTGCAGTGAACCGAGATCACACCACTGTACTCCAGCCCGGGTGACAGAGTGAGTGAGATGTCGTCTCAAAAAATAAATAAATAAATAAATAAATAAATAAATAATAAATAAATCTGGGATTTGCCAGCACAGAGATGGTATTTCAAGCTTGAGACTGGTGAGATCACCAAGGGAATGAGTGTAGACAGAAAAGAGAAGACCAGGGAATAAGTCCTGGGCATTTTATTCTTTAGAGGCTGAGTGGATTCGGAGGAAACCACAGCAGTCAGTGAAACAGAAGGAAAACTAGGACACTGTGGTGTCTTTGAAGGCAAGGGAAGGTCCGCACATGGTGGCTGACACCTGTAATCCCAGCACTTTGGGAGGCTGGGGCGGGTGGATCACTTGAGGCCAAGAGTTTGAGACCAGCCTGGCCAACATGGAGAAACCCACATCTCTACCAAAAAATACAAAAATTAGCTGGGCGTGGTGGCCTGCGTGTGTAGTCCCAGCTATGCCAGAGGCTGAGGCACCAGAATCACTTGAATCTGAGACGGAGGTTGCAGTGAGCAGAGATCACGCCACTGCACTCCAGCCCAGGTGACAGAGCAAGACTCTGTCTCAAAAAAAAAAAAAAAAAAGCCAAAGGTAGAAAGTATTACAAGGGGCCAGGCACATTGGCTCACGACTGTAATCCCAGAATTTTGGAAGGCCGAGGTGGGCGGATCACCTGAGGTCAGGAGTTCAAGACCAGCCTGGTCAAGATGGTGAAACCCTGTCTCTACTAAAAATACAACAATTAGCTGGGCGTGGTGGTGGGCACCTGTAATCCCAGCTACTCGGGAAGCTAAGGCAAGAGAATCACTTGAACCTGGGAAGCAGAGGTTGCAGTGAGCAGAGATCGCACCGCTGCACTCCACCCTGAGTGACAAAGTGGGAATCCATCTCAAAAAAAAAAAAGAAAGAAAGTATTACAAAGAAGGAATGATTAGCTGTGTCTTGGGCAATTTAGAGATTAAATAAAATATGAGGATTAATAATTAATAATTAAAATGGGAGAAAATTTTGCAAATCATATAAGGGACTGTATCTAGAATAAAGAACCCTTACAACTCAATGATAATAAATAGCACAATTTAAAAATGGGCAAAGGAACTGAATTGACATTTCTCCAAAGATACAGATGACCGATAAGCACATGAAAAGATGCTCACCTCCTTAGCCATCAGGAAAATACAGTCAAAACCACAATGAGACACCATTTCACACCCATCAGGATGGCTATAGTCAAAAAGGACAGTAATCAACAAGTGTTGGTGAGGATGTGGAGAAACTGGAGTCCTCAAACACTGCTAGTGAGAATGAAAAATGGTGCAGCTGCTTTGGAAAACAGTCTGGCAGTTCCTCAAAGGGCTAAACAAAAAAATTACCTTATGACCAACATTTCTACTCCTGAGTATATACTGAAGAGAAATGAAAACATATAGGCCAGGCGCGGTGGCTCATGCCTGTAATCCCAGCACTTTGGGAGACTGAGACAGGTGGATCCCTTGAGGTCAGGAGTTCGAGACCAGCTGGCCAACATGGCAAAACCCCATCTCTACTAAAAATACAAAAATTAGCCGGGTGTCATGGTGCACGCCTGTAATCCCATCTACTTGGGAGGCTGAGGCAGGAGAATCGCTTGAGCCCAGGAGGCAGAGGTTGGAGTGAGCCAAGATCGCACTATTGCACTCCAGCCTGGGTGACAGAGCCAGACTCCATCTCAAAATAAATAAATAAATAGTTTTTTTAAAAAAATGGATGAATTATGCCAGGCGCGGTGACTCACGCCTGTAATCCCAGCACTTTGGGAGGCCAAGATGGGGGGATCACAAGGTCAGGAGATCAAGACCATCCCGGCTAACACAGTGAAACCCCATCTCTACTAAAAACACAAAAAATTAGCTGGGCGTGGTGGCGGGCGCCTATAGTCCCAGCAACTCGGGAGGCTGAGGCAGGAGAATGGCGTGAAGCCGGGAGGCAGAGCTTGCAATGAGCCGAGATCGCGCCACTGTACTCCAGCCTGGGCAAAAGAGCAAGACTCCGTCTCAAAAAAAAAAAAAAAAAAAAAGGATGAATTATATGTTATGTGATTTATGTCTCAGTGAAGTTGTTCTTTTATAAAAATAATTGGCCGGGCACGGTGGCTCACGTCTGTAATCCCAGCACTTTGGGAGGCCAAGGTAAGTGGATCACCTGAGGTCAGGAGTTCAAGACCAGCCTGGCCAACATGGTGAAACACTGTCTCTACTAAAAATACAAAATTAGGCAGTCATGGTGGCATACGCCTGTAATCCCAGTTACTTGGGAGGCTGAGGCGGAAGAATCACTTGAGCCCGGGGGGTGAAGGTTGCAGTGAGCCAAGATCACACCACTGCACTCTAGCCTGAGCAACAAGAGTGAAACTCCATCTCAATAAATAAATAAATAAATTCAAATAAAAATAAAAAAATAATTAATTAGATTTGGCAATGTGAAGGTCACTGGTGACTTTGACAAAAGCAGTTTGGGTAGAGTGCTGGCAACAGAAGCCTGGCTGAAGTGTATGCAAGAGCGAACAGGAGAGCCCTGAAAGCAGCAAGTGTAGATGCTGTCAAAGAGTTTTGCTATATGGAGAAATGGGGGCCGGGCACGTTGGTTCACGCCTGTAATCCCAACATTTTGGGAGGCTGAGGTAGGCAGATCACCTGAGGTCAGGAGTTCAAGACCAGCCTGGCTAACATGTGAAACCCTGTCTCTACTAAAAATAGAAAAATTAGCCAGGTGTAGTGGCGGGCGCCTGTAATCCTAGCTACTTGGGAGGCTGAGGCAGGAGAATCACTTGAATGGGGAAGGTGGAGTTTGCAGTGAGCCAAGATGGAGCCGCTGCACTTCAGCCTGGTAACAGAGAGAGACTCTGGCTTAAAAAAAAGAAAAAAAAAAGAGAGAGAGAAGTAGGGTAGAAAAGGAGGGAGGTTTGGGGTCAAGAGACGCTCTTGGTTTTGTTGTGGGTTTTCTTTTTTTTTCAGATGCAATAAATTATTATTATTATTATTTTTGAGACAGAGTCTTGCTCTTGTCGCCCAGGCTGGAGTGCAATGGCACGATCTCGGCTCACTGCAACCTCTGCCTCCCAGGTTCAAGTGATTCTCTTGTCTCAGCCTCCTGAGTAGCTGGGATTACAGACGCGCCCACCACGCTGGGCTAAGTTTTGTATTTTTAGTAGAGATGGGGTTTCACCATGTTGGCCAGGCTGGTCTCAAACTCCTGACCTCAGGTGATCCGCCCACCTGCGCCTCCCAAAGTGCTGGGATTATAGGCGTGAGCCACCGCGCCCAGCCTGAAGTTATTATTATTATTATTATTATTATTATTAGAGACAGGGTCTCACCCTCGCCCAGGCTAGAGTACAGTGGTGCAATCATAGCTCATGGCAGCCTTGAACTCTCACGTTCAAGTAATCCTTCTGCCTCAGCCTCCCGAGTAGCTAGGACTACAAGTGTTAGCCATCACACTCGGCTAATTGTTTTTCATTATTTTATTTTAGAGACGGGGGTCTTGCTATGTTGCCTAGGCTGGTCTTGAACTCCTGGCCTCAAGCAATTCTTCCTGCCTAGGCCTCCCAAAGTGCTAGGAATACAGGTTTGAGCCACTACTCCTGGCCCAAGAGATCATATTTTAATGGTGATTGGAATGATCTAGTCAGGGAGAGAGGGACACTTGCTGGTGTGAAGGCCTTGGGCAGGTGAGAAGGGTGGGATGTGGTGTACAAATGAAGGTGTAGCCTTGGAAAGGAGCAAGCAGGGTTCATTCCCAGGGGCAGGAGGGGAGGCTGAAAATAAGGCATAGCCTCAGGTGAATGGATAGAGGTATTCAGTCCAAGGAAATTGTCTTCTTGATACTGGTGGGCTGGGGAAGGTCCCCCAAAGCCGGCGGAAACTCGACCCCAGCCAGTGTCCAGGTTCTTGATGCCATCGCGAGAAGGAATTCATGAATGAGTCAGAAAGTAGTGAAAGTACCGAGATTTATTGCAAAGCAAAAAGTACACACTGAACGGGAGTATGGGCAGACTCAAGAGAGAGTCACACAAGAGGGTCTGGGGCTGCTACCTTTATGGTTTTTGTTTTTGTTTTTGTTTTTTTTTGAGATGGAGTCTCACTCCCACCGCACAGGCTGGGGTGCAGTGGTGCAATACTGGCTCACTGCAACCTCCACCTCCCGGGTTCAAGCAATTCTCCTTCTTCAGCCTCCCGAGTAGCTGGGATTACAGGCATGCACCACCACGCCCAGCTAATTTTTGTATTTTTAGTAGAGACGGGGTTTTGCCATGTTGGCCAAGCTGGTCTCGAACTCCTGACCTCAGGTGATCCACCCGCCTCGGCCTCCCAAAGTGCTAAGATTACAGGCACGAGCCACTACGCCCAGCCATTTTATGGGTTTCTTTCACCACGTGGTGGAATATCATGAAAACTCCTGGAGAAAGGTGGAGGTTTCTCGGAACTGTGGTGCCACTCATTTTTACACCAAATATGGGTGTTCTCAGAACTGTTGTGGTGCTGGTGGGTGTGTGATTTTTGGTATCTTAATGGGCATGTAATTGTTGTAGGAAAAAACGGGTTCTTCTCACAGGACCAGGAAGAGTTAGGCACGCAGAGACTGAAGGATGAGGGGGGACAGAATTTACTGGGCAAAAAGGAAAAAAAAAAACTCAGCATAGCAAGAGGGGTTCCTGCTTACAGGCCCCCACCTCACAGATTGAATCCCAGGTCCCCACCCAGGAACAGGAGAGGCCATGCTCCTGCCCCTCGCAAATGGTGTGAACTTCCTGAGTCTCCACCCCATCTTCCCAGTGGACAGGGTGGTGGGAAATTCTCCGGGGACCCTCCCCCTTATCTTCCTTCTGCATCTATCATAATGAGGTCCGAGGAAAAACCTATGTCAAATCCAGCACCATGTTGGGTCCAGTCAGTCTCAGCCAGCTTGGTCCACATCCTGTTTTTCAGAGTCTTATCAGCCCCTCGCCTCTAGTCATGTGAAACTGCTGTCTGGAATTTTTATTCTCCTCTGACCACCCCATACTATTCCTCTTACTCTGATTGCCTCTGTTTTTCTTAGTGAAGTAGGAAGCAGGGACACCAGATGAGAAGACGATGGGGGAGGAGCTGTCAGGGACAGAGGAAAGAGGAGAAGTTATATCCTTGTCCTAAAGGACTGCGGGAGGGTGAAAAGCCTGGGTCACATGGTGGGATTGCCGGCCAGCGAGTGCTAAGGGCCCCTGGAGGATAATGGGCATGATGTTCGAAGGAGACCAGTCGGCAGGGCTGTGTCTTTCACTAGCCTCAGTCACCTGTGTGGAATTAACCAGGGTGTGGCCTTGCCAGGTGGATGCAGTTTAATGAGAGCGGGCCAGGGGGTTGAGGGAAGTAATTATGAGGGGTTGCTAGGATGTAATTATAACAATGTTCCATGGAGTCTAGCTGGTAAAAGAGGAAGGTCAAGACATGAGGGAAGCAAGGAACAGTGACCAAAAACAGTTAGTATCAGTGGACTGGAGGTTCTGGAAGGTCAAAGAACTGCTGGACTCCCAGCTGTACAAGGAGTGAGCTGGAAAGATAGGAGGTGCTGTTAGGGGGATAGGATACTTGGTATTCAAATTACCTGGGGTAGGGATACAATTATTGTTAATGACAAGGTCCATTACCTTGGTAGGACCTGAGGTAGGGTGGAGGACAAAAACCAGAGAAGGAGGGGATGGGTGATCCCCCCTTCAGTGTGTGTAGCTGAACTCACTGTGTCATCTTCAGAGGCAGAGCCCTGGGTAGGGAATAGGCCTGGGATTCAGTCAGAGCTGCTATAAACTCCCTCTTTCCAACTGTGGAGCCCTGAACAAATTACTTAGCCTCTCTGAGCTTCAGTTTCCACTTCTGCAAAGTAAGAGTTTGCTCCTTTTCATAAGATCATGTTCTGAAAATTAAATAAGGCCAGGTGCGGTGACTCACGCCTGTAATCCCAGCTTTTTGGGAGGCTGACGCGGGAGGATCACTTGAGGTCAGCAGTTCGAGACCAGCCTGGACAACATGGTGAAACCCTGTCTCTACCAAAAAATACAAAAATTGGCTGGGCATGGTAGTGCATGCCTGTAATCCCAGCTACTCGGGAGGCTGAGGTGGGAGAATCGCTTGAACCTGGGAGGCGGAAGTTGCAGTGAGCCAAGGTTGTGCCATTGCACTGCAGCCTGGGAGACAGAGCAAGACTCTGTCTCAAAAAAAAAAAAACAGAAGGCCAGGTTCAGTGGCTTACACCTGTAATCCCAGCACTTTGGGAGGCTGAGTTGGGTGATCACGAGGTCAGGAGATCGAGACCAGCCTTGCCAACACAGTGAAACTCTGTCTCTACTAAAAATACAAAAAATTAGCTGGGCATGGTGGCACGCTCCTATAATCCCAGCTACTTGGGAGGCTAAGGCAGGAGAATCACTTGAACCCGGGAGGCGGAGGTTGTAGTGAGCTGAGACTGTGCCATTGCATTCCAGCCCAGGTGACAGTGTGAGACTCCGACTCAAAAAAAAAAAAAAGAAAAAGAAAATTAAATGAGAGACTGGAAACACCTAGTGCAGTTCCAGGCACAGAGGGCACTCAGTAACCTGGGCTGATAATATAGCTACACAGCACTTCCCAGAATACTTCTGTCTGGGGTCCCAAAGCTGAGGAGGGGCCAATGTATGAAACAAGACTCTCCTCAGGACCCTTTCTCCCTTCCCAAATCATAGAAGATATGAATGGAAGAGCCTGGCTCCTATTTCACTCCCATTTTACAGAATAGGAAACAGGTCCAGATGGGGAAAGTGATTATATCACTAAGACTCAATTATCATACAGAGTAAGTTTCCTTTTAAAATCCATTGAGGCCTGGCATGGTGGATCAAGCCTGTAATCCCAGCACCTTGGGAGGCCTAGGCAGGAGAACTGTTTGAGCCCAGGAGTTCGAGAGCAGCCTGAGCAACGTGGTGAGACTCAATCTCTACAAATAAAAAAATTAGCCCAGCATGGGAGTGCATGCCTGTGGTCCCAGCTACTGTGAAGACCAAGGTGGGAGGATCACTTGAGCCTGGAAGGTCAAGGCTGCAGTGAGCCATGATCAAGCTACTGCATTTTAGCCTGGGCAACAGAGCAAGACCCCATCTCAAAAATAATCAGTTGGCCAGGCACGGTGGCTCACACCTGTAATACCAGCACTTTGGGAGGCGGAGGCGGGCAGATCACTTGAGGTCAGGAGTTCGAGACCAGCCTGGCCAACATGATGAAACCTTGTGTCTACTAAAAATACAAAAATTAGCCAGGTTGGTGGTGCACACCTGTAGTCCCAGCTGCTTGGGAGGCTGAGGCAGGAGAATCGCTTGAATCCAGGAGGCAGAGGTTGCAGTGAGCCGAGATCATGCCACTGCACTCCAGCCTGGGCAACAGAGTGAGACTCCATCTCAAAAAAAAAAAAAAAAAAAAAAAAAGGATCAGTTGGAGTTCAGGTGCGGGGTCTCATGCCTATTATTGAAGTGCTTTGAGAGGCAGAGACAGGGGGATCACTTGAGGCGAGGAGACACCACCCCGAGTAACATAGTAAGACCCCATCTCTGCAAAAAATTTTTAAAAATTAGCTGGGTATAGTCTTAGCTACTCAGGACGCTGAGGTGGAAGGATCACTTGAGCCCAGATGTTTGAGGCTGCACTTGAGCTATGATCACACCACTGCATTCCAGTCTGGGTGACAGGAGAAGCAAGACCATGTCTCTAAAAAAATAAGAATAGGCTAGGCCCGGTGGCTCATGCCTGTAATCCAGCACTTTGGGAGACTGAAGTGGACAGATCACCTGAGGTCAGGAGTTTGAGACCAGCCTGGCCAACGTTGCAAAACCCTGTCTCAAAATACAAAAATTAGCTGGGTGTGGTGGCGGGCACCTGTAATCCCAGCTACTCAGGAGGCTGAGGTGGCAGAATTGCTTGAACCCAGGAGGCGGAGGTTGCAGTGAGCCAAGATCACACCACTGCACTCCGGCCTGATGACAGAGTGAGACTCCATCTCGGAAAAATAAATAAATAAATAGGAATAAAATAATAAAATCAGGTGGAATAATAATTAAGATGGAAAAATTATGTAGGAGGAGGAGGGAAGGCTCATATATAATATCTGAAAGCCAACTGGACTCTTCAGAATGTACCCCAGTCAACGTTCCCCTCCATTCACTGGAACAATTAAAAGCTGGTCTTGGTGAAAATGAAAAATCTTACTGGATATACCCCTTCTCTCTCAGCTTCCTACATCCCCCATCATCTCCAGCCCCATCACAGTGTTGTTCAGGTCTTGTTCACATTGGGCAAACATTGAAACAATCAGCTTTGGGAATGAAAGTGTCAACAGAAAGGTGATTCACAAAGCATGAATTTGCTAATTGTTCTTTCTAGCTCAGATGGAAGTAAAGAGGGAGGGAAGAGAGAGGAAAAAGATCTCAGAGTTTCCTTCCTTAGAAAACTTGATTCTGCCAGGCGCAGTGGCTCAAGCCTGTAATCCCAGCACTTTGGGAGGCCAAGGCGGGTGGATCACGAGGTCAGGAGTTCGAGACAAGCCTGGCCAATATGGTGAAACCCCATTTCTACTAAAAAATATACAAAAATCATCTGGGCATGGTGGCATGCGCCTGTAGTCCCAGCTACTCAGAAGGCTGAGGCAGGAGAATCGCTTGAACCCGGGAGACTGAGTTGTAGTGAGCTGAGGTCGCACCACTGCACTCCAGCCTGGGCAACAGAGTGAGACTCGGTCTCAAAAAAAAAAAAAAAAAAAGAAAACTTGATTCAAGTGTTTAGGATGGGCATAGCACCAGCCAGTCACCGCAAGGCCCTGCCCCCTGCCTGGTTTCCAGCATAGCTACTCCCCCTGGGGTAAATCCCTCCTGCTTTCTGTACCCGTTTCCACATCTATAAAGTGAGAAGATTAACGGGCTGGGCGCGGTGGCTCATGCCTGTAATCCCAGCACTTTGGGAGGCCGAGGCGGGCGGATTGCCTGAGCTCAGCAGTTCAAGACCAGCCTGGCCAACATGGTGAAACCCCCACTCTACTAAAAATACAAAAAAAAAAAATTAGCCAGGCATGGTGGCGGGCACTTGTAATCCCAGCTACTCAGGAGGCTGAGGCAGGAGAATTCCTTGAAACCAGGAGGTAGAGCTTGCAGTGAACCAAGACTGTGCCGCTACACTCCAGCCTGGGTGACAGAGCAAGACTCTGTCTCAAAAAAAAAAAAGATTGACAAAGGCCCTCCTAGTTTTGGCCTTCAGGGTTCTAGGAATATGTGTCCTGGTAACTTCCCTGTTGCCCTGGCTGTCCAGGCACAGGGAGATGGGGCAGACTTGGATCCAACAGATCCAGTGGAAATGTCACCTCATTATTGGAGGACTTCCATAACCACATCATCTCATGATATCTCTAGTTCTCGCTCTTGCTGTATCTCTATCTCACACTCACATATGCACGGTTGTTCTCTCTCCCATGACCCTGTTTTATTTTCTTTTTAGCACTATCAGAAATGTCTTCTTTATTTGTTTACTTGACTGCTGTCTTTCGACATTAGAAAGTTCTAGGGCTGAGAGCGGTGGCTCACACCTGTAATCCTAGCACTTTGGGAGGCTGTGGCAGGTGGATCACTTGAGGTCAGGAGTTAGACTAGCTGGGGCAACATGGTGAAATCCAATCTCTAAAACAAAGAAAGGGAGAAAGAACGAAAGTTCTAGAAGGGCCGGGCATGGTATCTCATGCCTGTAATCCCAGCACTTTGGGAGGCCAAGGTGGGCAGATCTCTTGAGATCGGGAGTTCGAAACCAGCCTGGACAACATGGTGAAACCCTTTACTAAAAATACAAAAATTAGCCAGGTGTGGGCCTGTAATCCCAGGTACTTGGGAGGCTGAGGCAGGAGAATCATTTGAACCTGGGAGGTGGAGGTTGCAGTGAGCTGAGATTGTGCCACTGTGCTCCAGCCTGGCAACACAGTGAGGCTCTGTCTCAAAAAAAGAAAAAAGTTCTAGAAGGGCAGGGACCTTGCCTATTATTTCTCAGGGCCCAGCCCAGCACCTGGTACACAGATAGGTGCTCAGTATGTATGTTGGCTGATGAATGAATGAATGTATAGATCTTGTGGGTGGTGCCAGGACTGTGCCAAGCATGACTGATCTGTGCTGAGTCTTCTTAGAGGAGCAGTTGAACAATAGGGCTCTGGGGTCAGGAGACCTGGATTTGAGTTCCAAACTGCCAATTAGTGACTGTATAACCTTGGGCATATCACTTAACCTCTCTAAACCTCAGTGTCTTCATCTGTAAATTGGGGATAATGATCCCACATCTTGCGGTGTATCTTTAGGAATTAGAGCTTATGTATGTAAAATAATCTAGTGCATAGTAGGTGTTCAGTAAATGTTAGTTTCCTTTCCCCACACCTCCTTCCTCTGCTGGGGTATGGAGGTGGGGGTAAGAGACAGTGCTGTGGCTGAGCCTCAAGCTCTTTCATCAGTAGCCTCAGAGAGACTTGGTAGTTCAAGGGTTTGGAGACTCTGGACTCAGCCAAAGGCGATTTCTATCTATTTCTTTTCTTTTCTGAGACAGGGTCTCTTTTTGTCACCCAGGCTGGAGTGCAGTGGTGTAAACATGGCTCACTGCAGGCTTGACCTCCCCACCTCAAGCGATTCTCCCACTTCAGCCTCCCAACTAGCTGGGACCACAGGCACGTGCCACCATGCCAGGCTACTTTCTTTTAATTTTTGTAGAGATGAGGTCTCGCTATGAAGGCTGGTCTCAAACTCCTGGTCTCAGATGACTTTCCCACCTCAGCCTCCCAAAGTGCGGGGATTACAGGCATGAGCTACCACTTCCGGCTGCTATCTTTTTTTTTTTAATTTATTTTTATTTATTTATTTATTTTGAGATGGAGTCTTGCTCTGTCGCCCAGGCTGGAGTGCAGTGGCACGATCTCAGCTTACTGGAACTTCCGCCTCCTGGGTTCAAGCAATTCTCCTGCCTCAGCCTCCCAAGTAGCTGGGACTACAGGCACGTGCCACCACACCCGGCTAATTTTTTGTATTTTTAGTAGAGACAGGGTTTCACCATATTGGTCAGGCTGGTCTTGAACTCCTGACCTTATGATCCGCCTGCTTCAGCCTCCCAAAGTGGTGAGATTACAGGAGTGAACAACCGCACCTGGCCTTTTTAAAATTTTTATATAGAGATGAGGTCTCCCTATGTTTTTATGTAGAGATGAGGTCTCCCTGGTCTTACAGGCATGAACCACTGGTCCCCTCCATTTCTTAGCTTTCAAGAAAAGGTAAAACAAAGCAGGCACTTGCCTTGAGGATGATGAAAGGGACTTCCCCAAGGTCACGTGGTCAAGCAGTAGCACAAGTAGTGTGTCCCCTCCCTGAGGGCCAGAGGAAGCCCCTGATCCTAGACAAGATGGAGTGAAGCGAGATGGGCAGCCTCTTGCCTGGGCTCGCCTCCAGAAAGAGGAAGTGGCTGCTCTGTTGTGAGAGTCAGGCTCCTGGGTTTTAGTTCCAGGTCTGTCAGAGTCAACCTGATGGCATTGGGATGTAGTTTACTGTTTCTAGGTCATGATTTCTCCTGTAAATTTGGTGTATTACTCCTTCCCAACCTGCCTGACAGGCGAATGGGAGAATATTACGAGAATGAAATTTAATTTAATATATTGTTAGGAGAACTTTTTTTTGAGAGAGAGAGAGTATAACTATTGTTGCCTAGGCTGGAGTGCAATGGCACAGATCTCGGCTCACTGCAATCTCCGCCTCCCAGGTTCAAGCGATTCTCCTGCCTCAGCCTCCCGAGTAGTTGGGAATACAGGTGCTACAGGTGCCTACCACCACGCCCAGCTAATTTTTTGTATTTTTAGTAGAAATGGGGTTTCACCATGTTAGCCAGGCTGGTCTCAAACTCTTGACCTCAGGTGATCTGCCTGCCTCAGCCTCCCAAAGTGCTGGGATTACAGGCGTGAGCCACCGTGCCTGGTCAGGAGAACAATATTTAAGAAAAAAAATTGCAGCAATGAATCAGATAGACTCAATTTCTGAATTTTTGCTACAGCACATGTTTAAAATCAGAAAAAAAAATTAAAAGCAACAGGTGAGGTTGGGGAAAAATAAAAGTAATAACAGGCCAGGCACAGTAGTTGACACCTGTAATCCCTGCACTTCAGGAGGCTGAAGTGGGCAGATCACTTGAGCCCAGGAGTTCAAGACCAGCCTGGGCAACATGGCCAGACCCTTATCTCTACAAAAAAAAAAAAAAAAACAGAAAAATTAGCTGGGTGCTGTGGCGTGTGCCTGTAGTCCTAGCTACTCAGGAGGCTGGGATTGGGAGGATTGCTTGAGCCAGGGTGGTTGAGGCTGTGGTGAGCCATGATCATGACAGTCAACTCCAGTCCAGGCAACAGAGTGAGACCCTCTCTCAAAAAATAAATAAATAGATAAAAATAAAAAATAAAAGTAACGACAATCATAAGCCTCATCCCCTAGGTCCTGTAAAGTGTGAGAGCAAAACATGTAAACATATTTTTTTTAAATTATGTTTTGTCTAGACCTGCAGAAAAACATGTAAACACATTATTCGTTCTCTAGCTCCAGAAAGGAGCTGGGTCTGCATAGGTACAGTGGAAAAAACATGCACCACAGATTCTATAGCCCTGGTTGAGGACCAGGGCCTTACTAGTTTGCTGTGTGACAGTCGGGTAATCACAAAGCCTCTCTGAGCAGATCTCTCCTTCCCTAAATTGGCTATGCTGTACATCAACGCTCATCATGCTGTGGTTTGCGAGGCCAATCAACAGTGTCTTAGAAAGCCTTTACTTTAGGGCCGGGCACAGTGGCTCACGCCTGTAATCCCAGCACTTTGGGGGTCGAGGTGGGTGGATCACAAGGTCAGGAGTTCAAGACCAGCCTGGCCAATATGGTGAAACCCCCGTGTCTACTAAAAACACAAAAAAATTAGCCGGGCTTGGTGGCGCATGCCTGTAATCCCAGCTAATCGGGAGGCTGAGGCAGGAGAATTGCTTGAACCCGGGAGGCGGAGCTTGCGGTAAGCCAAGATCGCGCCACTACACTCCAGCCTGGGTGACAAAGCGAGACTCTGTCTCGAGAAAAAAAAAAAAAAAAAAAAAAAAAAAGGCCTTTACCTTGGTATGCAGAGTTTATTATTATTATTAATTTTTTTTTTTTTGAGGCGGAGTCTCGCTCTGTCGCCCAGGCTGGGGTGCAGTGGCGCAATCTCGGCTCACTGCAAGCTCCGCCTCCCGGGTTCACGCCATTCTCCTGCCTCAGCCTCCCGAGTAGCTGGGACTACAGGCGCCCGCCACACACCCGGCTAATTTTTTGTATTTTTAGTAAAGACGGGGTTTCACCGTGTTAGCCAGGATGGTCTCGATCTCCTGACCTTGTCATCCGCCCACCTCGGCCTCCCAAAGTGCTGGGATTACAGGCGTGAGCCACCGCGCCGGGCCCAGAGTTGTTTATTATACCTTTCCTAGGCTCTGGAAAACTGCCAGAGCATGAGCAGTGCTGTGCAGAGTTGATCACGTGGCTCAATCTCTTTGGGCTTCTGAAAATAGCAGGACAAGGCTAGGTGACTTCTCAATTTCTTCCAGCGCTAAAAAAAAAAAACAGAAACCTGGAATTTCTCAGTGGTCTGACTCTGCTACAAACTCCGCAGGTCACTTCCCTCCCTCCTGACCCTGGCGGGGCGGGGTGGGCGCTGTCCCTTTAAGTCCAGGCCCGGGCCAATCACAGTGAACAGAAGTTCTTTAAGGACCAAAGGAGGGAATTCAGCCTGAGAAGGAGGGCGGGGCAGGGGCGTGCCCTCTAGCCAATCGGAATCTCCCTAGAGAACAGTGACTCACGTGCAAAGCTCTACAGACCAGTGTCCGGAGCGTTCAGAGGCGGGGCGGCTCTCGCTGTTGGCAGCGGCCCGGACCAATGGGCACGTCGCCCGCGGCCTATAAGAGTCCGCTGGGCCGCGGGCTGCAGGCGCTAGGGTCGGTTAGTCGTCGCCGTCTGAGGTGTTCCCTGGCTTTGTCTCGCCGTCGTTGCCGCCCCGTCCCTGCCTTCGTGCCCCCCGCCTTGGCCCCTGCCCAGCCGCTCTCCCTGTCCTCCTCCCCTTAACCACCCCCACGGTTTCTGCCGTCGGGGCCCGGGGGCCGGGCGGATGATGCCGTCGGAGAGCGGAGCTGAGCGCAGGGACCGGGCGGCTGCTCAGGTGGGGACGGCTGCGGCCACGGCGGTGGCCACGGCAGCCCCGGCAGGCGGCGGCCCCGACCCGGAGGCCTTATCGGCCTTCCCCGGACGGCACCTGAGTGGGCTGAGCTGGCCACAGGTGAAGCGACTGGACGCTCTTCTGAGCGAGCCGATTCCCATTCACGGGCGCGGCAACTTCCCCACGCTGAGCGTGCAGCCCCGGCAGATCGTGCAGGTGAGAGGACGCCAGGCGGGGGATGTGGGGGAATCCCTTCTGAGGCTCTCGTGGCTGGAAGGCATTTGTAGTCTGTTTGACTTTCTAGACAGCTAGGGAAACTGAGGAACGGGGACATGGCTGTAACAATTGCACAGCATTATGAATGGTAGACCAGACCTCCCCCTGCATCTACTAATCCTTCCCCACCTGGCTTTTCCATCTCGACTCTTGGAGAACCCTGATTCCCCACGGATCACTCACCCAGGGCCTGGCTGGGAGAGGGGAGGAGGATGTCAAGGGCATTGGGGGAAGAATTTGTCTCTGCCTGCAAGGACAAAAGACGCCAGGTGGCCCTGGGTGGGTAAGTGTGCATGCTTGAGTCCAAAATAGCTTTTCCTTCCCTATCTGGGCATCCCTGGACCTCACCCTCCTTTCCTCTCTCGAGGTTCTAGGAGCAGCCTCTGCCATTGTGCTCCTACAGCCTTTTGCTGGAGAAACCCCCCCTTCCCCCTCCACCCCGTGGAAAAGCCAAGAAAACTTGTCAGGGACTCCCTCTCTCTCAGCTGGGGTTGTGGCCCAATATTTATTAAGCCGAAGGTCAGACCTGATACCCCACCCCCAAGGGCAACATTAAGTGACCAATTTAGGTGTTTCTTCTCCTTCCCAAGATTGGAAATGAAGGCCAACCCAGGCCTCAGGCCCCACGTCCTCTCTCTCCTGAGGAAAGGGAGAAGAGAATTCTGACAGCCCCTCCCTCCTCCAACTCTTCCCTTTATCTGAACCTCAACGACCCCAAGACTGCTTTTTCATCTGTACAGCCCAGACGCTGTCATGTTCTGAAATACCACAGTGTGGTCATTATTGTACCCATTTTATAGCTGGGGCAGTTTGCCACCCAAGATTACTTAATGAGGTGAAAATCAAACCTAGGGAATTTTGGGTCTTCCCAGGAGCAGATTACAGTAGGTTCAATGTTTTCCCACCCCTTCCCCGGCTCCCAAGGTCAACTTCTAGGTGTTAGGGAGGGTCCTTTGATAAAAGAAACCAAGAAACCCAGCGAGGACTCCTGTGCGTTCCTGCCAACTGATGGCTTCCTTTGGATGAAGTAGGCCTTTCCCCTGCCTCCTACTACCTTGGCTTCCCACAGAGGGGGAGGGTTGCCTGCTGGGGGATTACCTCCCCCACCCTCCCAAGGAACTAGGAACTGGAGGGGGCGGGGGCAGATTCTCCTTGGCTGACTCACACGCGGCCCAGTGGAGTTCGCCGAGGCATTCCTCGGCTGCTCGCTGTCACCTGGGTGATTAGGAAACCAGTCGAGGCTTTAATCCCCGGGACAGTCAAGTCATTCCTGGGGCCCCAGCTGCTGCACCTCCAGGATTGTGGCCCCAGGCATGGCAGGGAGGGGAAGGTGGAGCCCAGTGTGGCAGCCCCCCTCTGCAAGAACAAGGGATACCCTGGAAGGAGGAGAAGTCCTTGCCCTGTCAGTATGGCTCAGATTGCCTCTTGGTGTCTGCTCTGTGCCAAGCCCTGTTTAGGAAACCAAGGGCACAGATGTGACTAGGACTCAGCCTCCATCCCTTCAGGTGCTCCTAGCCAGATGGGGGAGACTCCAGGTCAATAGAAGCTAACTTTACAATGCAATGGTGGTGCCATGTCCTTCTAGACCTGGGTCAGAGATAGCACAGAACAGGGAGCTGTCGGCGATGGTGAGGAAGGGCAGCAGAGACTTCAGAGCTGGGCTGGGAAGTTGGACTTCTGGATTCAGGCCCTGGACTGTTTGTTGTCAATTCTCTTTGCTGGGCTCAGTGTCCCCATCTGTTCAACTGGGATGGATAGATTAGGCTGCTGCTCTCCAACACCCTCTCTGGTTCCAGACTCCAAAGGGGACAGGTGCCTTCACCTGGTCTGTACAGCTGCCTCCACAGCGAAGAAAGTTTCTTGGAAGAAATCCACAGCTGGCAGCTTCTAAAGCTGTTGGGATGTGTGCAGGGATGGGGGCGGGGAGAGGGGGAGGGTGGTGTCGGTTGTTGCCTTGGGGCTTTTCACTGCTGCTGAGTTGTCCTATGGCTCAAAAATTGGAACCTTTCTCCCTCTACCCCCCTGCAAGGCTTTGCCTGTAGTGGCAATCTGAGTGGCTAGAGATTCTGTTCTTGCTTGTACCTGTACTAAAGGGACTCACCCTACTGTAAGGAGCCTTCCCAGAGCTACAGGCAGGGAGGCCTTTTATTGGTTGTGTAACCTTGGACAAGTCCTTTGCCTTCTCTGGGCCCAGAGGATTGAACTAGACAATCTGATTTCTCCAGCTGCAGCCAGAGGGCCTGCATCAGGCGGCAGAGCATGTGAGTTTTGTAAGCCTGCTGGCTGACGGCGTCTGTCAGTCTCCCTGCAGGTCTCAGCAGCAGCCTGGAGCAGAGTGGTTGTGGGGAGGGCCTTGGCATGGGAGAAAGGAGGGTGCAGCCACTGCCCCCTCCATGGCTGGAAAGTCTGATTCAGGAGGCACCAAGCTGCCCTGCAGTACTTGGGTGTGGTGGTATCTGGTGACCGTCTGCCAAACTGGCTGTAGTCACACCTGGGAAGGAGACAACAGCGACTGGCTGGCTGACACAGCTGGCCCCATGGCCCTGACGCAGGGGATTTAACAAGAGTACTGCTACCTACTCACTAGGCCAGATGCCAAGCCCTGGGGTGGGCACCAGCCTGGGAGCAGGAGCTGGCACTGAGTAAGGCTCAGTCAGCCCTAATGGGATCTGAGGAAGGGGCTGGTCTTCTCTGCAGGTTTGGTAGGGTCCTTGGACCAAGGTCTTTGGCCCATGCAGGCACAGCTGCCAGCTGACAGGGTGTGGGTTAGAAGTCCCACAGGCTGGACTGCAGCAACTGGCCTTGTCTGGCCAAGGCATCTCCCAACCCTCACCTTCCTGTTCCCCAACTATTCTGGCTCTGGGCTTCAGTAGCTTGAGGGTTGCCTTTGCTTTGAAATTTAGAAAGGGAAGGTGGATTAGAACACTAGTCTGCTCCTTCTGAACCCTGGGACTGTAATGTGGTAGAAACAGGATAGGCTTTGCTGTTGGCCATCCCTGGGTTTGAAGGCATCTCCACGTGATCTTGTGCAAGTGACATCACTCCTGTGAGCTTCAGTTTCCCAGGAGACCTGTCCTGGGCCAGGCACAGTGTCTCACGCCTGTAATCCCAGCACTTTGGGAGGCTGAGGCAGGGGAATAGCTTGAGTCCGGGAGTTCGAGACCAGCCTGGGCAATCTGGCAGGATTCCATCACTGTAAACAATAAAAAATTGCTGGGTGTGGTGGCACGCACGCACCTGTAGTCCCACCTACTTGGGAGGCTGAGGTTGCAGTGAGCTGAGATCGTGCCACTGCATTCACTGCATTCCACCCTCAGCTACAAAATCAGGACTCTCTCAAAAAAAAAAAAAAAAAAAAAAAAAAAAAAAGAAGGATGGAGGAAAGGAAGGTAGAGAAGGGTTTGGAAAGGCAGAAAAAAATTCCATATTAAAAAAAAAAAGACTTGGCCTGGCATAGTACCTCATGCCTGTAATCCCAGTACTTCGGGAAGCTGCGGCAGGTGGATCACCTGAGGTCAGGAGTTCAAGACCAGCTTGGCCAACATGGTGAAACCCTCTCTCTACTAAAAATACAAAAATTAGCTGAGTGTGGTGATGGGCGCCTGTAATCCCAACTATTCGGGAGGCTGAGGCAGAAGAATCACTTGAACCTGGGAGGCGGAGGTTGCAGTGAGCTGAGACTGCACCACTGCACTCCAGCCTGGATGACAGACTCAGACTCAAAAAAAAAAAGACACCTGTCCCCATAGATTCTGGCAACAAGGTCCAGTGCTCGGCACTCATTAGATGCCTAGCCTCCTTCTGCCACCCTCTGTGTTCCTGATGGCCAGCTGCTTACGCCCCATTCTCCGTGTTCCTTGTGGCCAGTTGCTTACCCTCCCATTGCCATGACAATATCTTCCCCTGGTAAAGTTGCTCCTCCCGGAAGTCTTCCTGGAGGGCGCCGCCCGCCTCTGATTGCCCCACCACAGCTTGCCTTCTCAGCACTTAGGTGCATTCTTTGTAGTAATTCCCTGGGAGGCAAGGAGAACAGCCTGGTCTGGAGCTGGGTGCTGACTTGGCAGCAAGGCAGGGTTGCAGAATCACTCAGGACAGGAATGCTGCCTGGTCACTTTCAGGACAACTTTGGGTTACTGAGAAAACTGAATGTCCCCAACCCCCAGCTTCACTCTTCTCCCTACCTGGTACCTCAGCGGAGGGACCACTTATAGGTTTATCTGTCCTGTGCCATCAGGCCTGGGGACTGTCTGAAGGCTGAGAGTTTTCACTGAGCCTTAGCTGTTTCACCACTGTAAGCCTCAGTTTCCTCATCCGAGAGCAAAAAAAGTATATAATTTTTGCCTCACTGGGTCCTTGTAAGGATGAGTTAGGATGAGTGCATTGTAGTCAAAAGGACATAGGTGAACTTGAGAATCCCAACTAACCTGGGTTCTGGTCTCAGCCTGACCGCTCTGTGACCTTGACTTTACCTCTCTGCACCTGAGGTCCTCCATCTATCAGTCAAAATAATACTCAAATGTAGGATTATGGGGAGGGTTAATGTGGTCATGAATGTGAACTGCTAACCATATTCCCAACACGTTTGAGCAGTTAGCACAGTGCCTGATACAGAACTGTTTTACTAGCAGTTTGAGAGGTAGAATAGCACGGTTAAGACTTAAACCACCGAGCGCGGTGGCTCACGCCTATAATCCCAGCACTTTGGGAGGTGTGTGGATCACGAGGTCAGGAGTTAAAGACCAGCCTGGCCAAGATGGTGAAACCCTGTCTCTACTAAAAATACAAAAATTAGCCGGGCACAGTGGCAGGCCCCTGTAATCCCAACTACTCGGGAGGCTGAGGCAGGAGAATCACTTGAACTCGGGGGACGGAGGTTGCAGTGAGTCGAGATCACGCCACTGCACTCCAACCTGAGTGGCAAAGTGAGACTCCATCTCAAAAAAAAAAAAAAAGACTTGGACTCGGAGTTTTATTCCCAGCTCTGCATTCACCAGCTGTTTGCCTTTGAGCTAGTTACTTGGCCCCTCTGTACTTCCATTTTTGCATCTGTAAAGTGTGAATAATAGTATCCACCTCACAGGGTTATTGTGAGGATTAAGTGACCTGCTGTTTAGTAAATTCTATGCAGATGTGTGCTATTATCATTGCTATTCTTCCTGAGTCATTCCTCCAGATGGGCCATTCTCAGATTAGGTTTAAAGAGTTAAATGACTCCCCCCCAACCCCCCCACCCCCACCCAATAAAAAAAAAAGTTAAATGATTTTCCAAAGGCATAACAGCTGGTTAGGGGCCAATAGTGGTTGAAGTTACCGTGATAAGTAAACGGAAGTCCTTGGTGGACCCCTGAGGCCCGCTCCTGACACCTCTCCTTCCTGCTCTCCCCTGCAGGTGGTCCGCAGCACCCTGGAGGAGCAGGGACTACATGTGCACAGTGTGCGGCTGCATGGTTCAGCTGCCAGCCACGTGCTGCACCCTGAGAGTGGCCTGGGCTACAAGGATCT
This sequence comes from Homo sapiens, assembly GCF_000001405.40. NCBI lineage: Eukaryota > Metazoa > Chordata > Mammalia > Primates > Hominidae > Homo > Homo sapiens. The sequence goes on along the minus strand of NC_000001.11, from coordinate 27,006,844 downwards.
GGACCTGGTGTTCCGGGTGGACCTGCGCAGTGAGGCATCCTTCCAGCTGACCAAGGCAGTGGTGCTGGCCTGCCTACTAGACTTCCTGCCGGCCGGTGTGAGCCGGGCCAAGATCACGCCACTGACACTCAAGGAGGCATACGTGCAGAAGCTGGTGAAAGTGTGCACAGACTCGGACCGCTGGAGCCTCATCTCACTGTCCAACAAGAGCGGCAAGAACGTGGAGCTCAAGTTTGTGGACTCGGTGAGACGCCAGTTTGAATTCAGCATAGACTCCTTCCAGATCATCCTGGACTCCCTGTTGCTCTTTGGCCAGTGCTCGTCCACTCCCATGTCTGAGGCCTTCCACCCAACGGTCACAGGCGAAAGCCTGTACGGGGACTTCACCGAGGCCCTGGAGCACCTGCGGCACCGTGTCATCGCCACGCGCAGTCCCGAGGAGATCCGAGGTGGTGGCCTCCTCAAGTACTGCCACCTCCTGGTGCGGGGCTTCCGGCCCCGGCCCAGCACCGATGTGCGCGCCCTGCAGCGCTACATGTGCTCCCGCTTCTTCATCGACTTTCCAGACCTGGTGGAGCAGCGGCGCACCCTAGAGCGCTACCTGGAGGCCCACTTCGGTGGGGCAGATGCAGCCCGCCGTTACGCCTGCCTGGTGACACTGCACCGGGTGGTCAACGAGAGCACCGTGTGCCTCATGAACCACGAGCGCCGCCAGACGCTGGACCTCATTGCCGCACTGGCGCTGCAGGCACTGGCTGAGCAGGGCCCAGCTGCCACTGCCGCCCTGGCCTGGCGCCCTCCAGGCACTGACGGGGTTGTGCCAGCCACTGTCAATTACTACGTGACCCCCGTGCAACCTCTCCTGGCTCACGCCTATCCCACCTGGCTGCCTTGTAACTGACTCAGACCCTGGCCAGAAGGGAAGGGACTGGGCCTCACGGGGTGGGGTGGGGCCTCCAAGAGTGTGTGGAGGACATGACCAGAGGCGCAGAATGTGCCAGGAGGCCCAGCACTGCAGGGTTGGGCCTTTGATTGAACAGACCAGACTTTCCCGAGCACGAGGCCCCTGTGGGCTTAATGCCAGCCTGGGGCTCTCAGCAGGAGGACCCTTTGGTTATTGCATCACACTTTTGGACCAGCATGCCGGTGGGGTGCAGGCGCCATTTGTCTTGGAAGTCAATTTCCTTCAGGAGACAAAGCAAGTTTGGGGTGGTAGCCTTAATGCCCAGCACCTTGGATTGATTCCCATGGTCTAAGAGGGTCTTTTTGACTAAGGCCAGCCTGTGGTGATCCCAGCAGCTTTGGAGGGCCTGCAGCCCACACACTGACTGATACATGGTATGTTACAGGGACTTGTCACTTTGGATCAGGCTGGGCCACTACAGGGCCTGATGGGCCAACTTGGGTAATCACTGGGAGGAGGGAAACTGAGGCCCGAGGCAGATACCTGGGTTTGGGGAGGGCTGGGTTTAGCCCGGTTCTCTGAACTACATACCCCCAGCTGTGAAGCCTTCCTCTTGAGGGGTTGAGGTGGGCAGTATACAGGAGCCAAGCAGCCCAGGGTGGGTCGCAGCCCAGGCCCCTTCCAGGGTGCCACTCCTTTCCCCCTTGTGTTGCAAGGAGCCCTCCTGCCTGGGAGCTTGTTCTTTGGAAGGTGCTGAGCCTGAATTTGCCACAGTCAAGTCAACGTTCCCACCCCACTGGCTTGGTTACAGGGCTCTCACATGGGGTAGGGGAGCCATACTCCCACCCCCTTGCGTATTCCCCTGGGTTTGTTGATATTTTGCACTCTTAACACCTGCCAATAAAGACGGTCTACACTGAACCTTAGTGCCATGCTTCCTCTGGGGAAAGAAGGACCTTCCGTAGCAGTGGGGGTTGCAGCTGCCTCCCCCAGTTGGAGTCTGGCTTGTACTGTGGAAGGGAGCATTTGCGGGGGCGGGGTTTGAAGCCTGGGCTATGGCTGGGGGACTGCCCCTCCTTCTCCCAACCCCAGCCGCAGCCTGACCAGCTGTATATTAAGAGCTGCTGTCTACATGTGTGACCTGCACGTTGCCTTAGCAGGTCTAGGGCTCTTGTTAAGGAGTAAATATTTTTATGTTTTCTACCTGGAATCCAAATAGCTCTGGGCCTAGACTCAGACTCTGGTGCTCAGGGGTACTTGTTCCCAGCTCTGTCTACCCCGTCTCTTCCAAGGGAGCAGCTAGAGAACAGGCTGGGTGAATCTGGACTGGAGGCCCCTCCAGTAAAGGTGGCTGAGACTGGGGAACTTGTAGGGTTCCCCCTAAGCCTGAGCCCAGGTAGGGCCTCTATTTGGGAGAGGCTCCCTCAGTCCTCCAGCTCCTTCCCTTGCCCCGAGCACTGATGGGTGTGCTCTGGCTCGCTCTAATCAGATCCCCTGGATGGGGAGGGTCTCCCCTTCCCAAACCCACATGGGGCCATGCCAGGCTGTCTAGGAGTGTCAGCCGCAAGTTCCTAGCATGCTGCGCCCTCAGAGTATCAGCCAGTCAGTCATGGGCCTGGACGCTGCCTGCTGTTTGCCCAGACTCTTTGATCCAGGGATTGCAAAGCCCTTAACATATTCAGCCTCATTAGGGGCCTCTGAAGTGGTGACTTTGATGGTTCTGGCCAGGGTGGAAAAAACAATGCTGCAGAGGAGGCCCCAGGTCACCAGGGTGAGTCCAGCCACCTCACCTGCTCTGAGTCCCTTGTGCTGCTGGGCTCAAAATGGCTGGAAAGTGAACAGAAAGGCTTTCTTTGCTTGGTGACTAAAACCAGCTCCCACCCCCATCCCAGCTGTGACCACCCAACTATGGTCATGGGAAGGACTAAGTTTGTCTCACCTCCTGAGTTGGCTATTTCAGCCTTGGCATGAGAGGCTCACAGTGTAAACACAACAGACTTACCTTTTTGGGCTGGGGGGTGGAGTTCACCTGGATGTGCTTGTTTAGTTAAGGGCTGAAAAAGCGAGAAACCCATTTGGTACATGTGTGTATACACTGCATTCAGCCACCATGTGCCAGACACCGTTCTGGGTGCTGGGAATACATCAGCAAACAAAAGACAAAATCCCTGTCCTTGTGAAGACTACATTCTAACGGAGTAGATAGAAAATAAACCGAACCGTATGGTCTTAGATGATCAGTGATATGTAAAAATATAGCAGGGTAAGGGACTGGAAATGCTGGGTTTTGAAAATTGAAAAATAAGTCAGGAGCCTGGCGCAGTGGCTCATGCCTGTAATCCCAGCACTTTGGGAGGCTGAGGTGGGCAGATCACTTGAGGTCAGTAGTTCAAAATCAACCTGGCCAACATGGTGAAACCCCATCTCTACTAAAAATACAAAAATTAGCTGGGTATGGTGGCGTGTGCCTGTAATTCCAGCTGGTCGGGAGGCTGAGGCAGGAGAATCGCTTGAACCTGGGAGGCAGAGGTTGCAGTGAGCTGAGATCATACCACTGCACTCCAGCCTGGACAACAGAGCGAGACTCCATCTCAAAAAAAAAAAAAAAAAAAAGTCAGGTGCAACTCATTGAAAGGTGATATTTGATTGAACAAAGACATAAAGGTGGTGGGAGGTGGGCATGAAGATGTTTAGAGAAAGAGCATTCCAGGCAGAGAGCTTGCCTGTGAATGTGCATGCACTGTGGCACATGTACCTGAGGGTGTCTGGCAGGCCTCGTCCAGGTGCTGGTACTGCACACACGCATGGGCCTGAGGCAGTGGGGGCGTGTGAGACAGTTATTCACAGTAGCAGCCACCATTCCTGGTGGGCTTCACTCCAGCAGGCACTATGCTGAGGTCTTCCCAATCATGATCTCCCAAATCATCCTTGCAACAACTCCACAAGGGGAAAGAAAGCATTTCCATTTGGCAGACAGAAACTGAGACCAGAGAGGTCAAAGAGGTTTGTCTGGATCCAGAGCCATTGCTGTTAACCTCTGTTCCATCCTGCTCCTGCACTGTGATTTCACATGATTGTGACAGTTGTCTCCTGTACGTATGTGACAAGGCATAATTTGACATTACTGTGACATTTGTCATTTTATATGTGACTATGGCACAGTGTAGCAGTGTGGCAAGATGTACATTTTTTTTTTCTTTTTCTGAGACGGAGTCTCGCTCTGTCGCCCAGGCTGGAGTGCAGCGGTGCGATCTCAGCTCACTGTAACCTCTGCCTCCCGTGTTCAAGCGATTCTCCTGCCTCAGCCTCCTGAGTAGCTGGGATTACAGGCACCCACCACCATGCCCAGCTAATTTTTGTATTTTTAGTAGAGACGGGGTTTCACCATGTTGGTCAGGCTGGTCTCGAACTCTTGACCTCGTGATCTGCCCACCTCGGCCTCCCAAAGTGCTGGGATTACAGGCGTGAGCCACCACACCTGGCCAAGATGTATGTTTTCTTGATATACATGTGACAGTAATTATGGCTTGTGATGACTGTCCAGGGCTCATGATGGCAGCAGCACGCCTGTGGTTTTGTTTGGGAGTGGTGCAGCGTTTCTGAGTGTGAGAAAAACACCGACTCAGTGGCTGACATGGTTCCTCCTGTGGACAGTTCCTGCAGCTACCTAAGACACCAGGACAGGCAGGAATCAGGAACTGGGACTCAGAGCCAGCAATGCAAAGGCTGAGAGGGAAAAGCCCTGTCCTCTACCTTCCAACCTTACTGTGCTCTCCAAGCAACAGTCCACCCACCCCTTCAGACCCGAGGGTTGTGGGAGCTCCGGATGGGGAAGGAGCGTTGCTGTGGACTTTGAGGAACAAGGCATAGCCTCAGACAGTTACATGATATGCTGCCCTTCCGCTTTCACTCGCCACACTTCTGCTCTGTTCCCTGGGGGCTGGCATCTGTGGACTGCATCAATGGCTCCCTTGTTCCCCGGCTTCCTGTTGGGTTGCCAATGAGACATCCCAGCGTCTTAAGGAGACTTAAGGGAGGAGTAGATATTTATTCTCTTTGTTCCCTCTCTACCAGGTTGCCATGGTTGGCCACATCTCTCAACCAAAGGTCACGGTTCTTGTCAGGGGCCCCACTCCACACAGTGACCTCTCCTCACCCTCAGACTCAGGAGTTGCAAAGGCTTCTCACTGTTGCTGGCCCCAGATTGCTGAACCATCCCATTACATTTTTTTTTTTGGGTGGAGGGGGGAGAGCACTCACCCAGGCTGGCATGCAGTGACGCGATCTCAGCTCACTGCAACCTCCGCCTCCCAGGTTCAAGCCACTCTCATGCCTCAGCCTCCCAAGGAGCTTGGACTACAGGTGCACACAACAACGCCTGGCTAATTTTTGTATTTTTAATAGGATGGGGTTTCGCCATGTTGGCCACACTGGTCTCAAACTCCTGACCTCAGGTGATCTGCCTGCCTCGGCCTCCCAAAGTACTGGGATTACAAATGTGAGCCACCAAACCCAGCCCCTTGTTAGTTTCTTAAGCCCAGCCCACGCCTTTGGAAATAGTCTGTTTTATTTCTTGAGATAGGGTCTTGTTCTGTTGCCCAGGCTGGAGCGCACAGTGGTAGGATCACAGCTCAGTGCAGCCTTGACCTCCTGGGCTCAAGCAATCCTCCCACCTCAGCCTCCTAAGTAGCTGGTACCACAGGCATGTGCCACCCCACCTGGCTAATTTTTTCATTTTTATAGAGCAGGGATCTCCCAGGCTGGTCTCGAACTCCTGAGCTCAAGCAACCCTCCTGCCTCAGCCTCCCAAAGTGCTGGGATTACAGGTGTGATCCACCATGCCAGGCCAGAATAGCCTATGTTTAAAACACTTCCCAGTTTGAGTGTGCCATCTCCTGCTTAGACACCGACTGACAAAACAGGTCCATATGGTCGCCAGCACAGTCACACTAGTCACACAACCCCCACAGGCCATGGTGCTGCCATGTTGTCACCAGTTCGCACAACCCTCCTTGGTGTCACACAGTCTCACATGTGCATTCTCATCCCTGAGCTCCGTCATCACATCCTTTAATGAGGAAGACTTCCTGAGGAGGGGGGTAAGAGCAGGCGGCTGTGAGTCAGGTCAAGGGAGAATTGGTCTGCAAATCAAAGTCAACAGGGCCAGACTGCCAAACGAAACTAAATACAAGCTGCTCCAGGAACCGTCAACTTAAAGAGCCATAATAGACACAGAGGAAAGGCAGCAAGGGCACTTGCAAAGTGAACCTCAGAACCCCATGCATTTGCCTTACATTATGGAAATTTATTCCTCCTGAATGTATAAGGCAGGAGACTAATTCAATATACATTCACTATGCAGAATTCTACAAGTTCTGGGCTATGTGTAAATGTGCCCCCCTTCCCTCCATTATCAGGATGTTTAAATGTGTTTCCTTTTTTTCATTTAAAACTTTGCTTAGATGTTTTACATTGCCATCACCTCTTCCTGAGAAAAAGGTGTGTCCCCCACCCCAACCCCTAGGAGCCAGCAGACTATCTTTCTGAGGGGCCACAAGCACACTCCCACGTGGAGAACAAGGGCAGTGGATGAAGGGAACGGGGATTTTTCAAACTAATGTTTTCCCTCAAACAGGCCTCCCGGCGCCGTTAGACTTGAAGCAATGACATCTATTAAAATGGGGACCCCAGCTGGGGGTTAAGAATGTTGTTTAAGAATGATGACGATATCTTGAAAAGAAATTCTTGGCTGGGGATGGGGTAGGGGGAAAGGGAAAAAAAATAAATTATTTTGACTTTCCCATTGGCAATGCTTGCTACGCTTAATCTGATTGCATCTCAGGGACCTGTAGCAACATCTCCAATTGTACAGTGTAAGCCAAAGTCAAATGTGGGGTATATGAAGAAATTCAGAGCATCAGCCAGTTCTCCAGAACCAGCCCCTTGCCACTGTAAAGTGAAAGGCTCCTGTGAGGAGGGCGCTGGGATTGTGTAAGGTCAATTCTCAACGTCTTCCTGAAGGCAGTGCCCAGGGAGAAAGCCGAATCCAGAGGTCCAGATCCATAGAGTGGAGGTTCTGAGGAGTTGGAAGGAGCTGGAAAGAATAATTCCAAGAGCTTTAATGGCCTCTTTCCCACAGCCACCCAGCCCCACCCAAGCCCTTCAACTTGAAATCTGCCTGAAGGGGGCGGGGGCATTGTGGAGAGAAGATGCAGGAGGCAATAGTATGGAATGGGACTCCTGGGGAAGCAGAGGTTCCCTTGGGCCTTTGTCCTTGGCTGGGATCCCCTAGCCTGAGCAGTTAGAATGGAATGTTCCTGGGATGAAAAGCCTGCCCCTCCTCCACTTCTCCCCTTATGGAGTTCCCCAGGGCCCATTCCAGGGATTCCTGATATGGTGATGCTCTAGAGAAGCAGAGGCCCACGCTGCCTGGGGGTTCTGTCCTGGCGGCCTCTCCAGGGCTGGGCAAATTGGTTCCATCATTTACGGATCTCTACTATGTGCCAAGTACTTAGTATGACTTTTCATTTAATACTCAAGTTTTCTTTTTCTTTTTGAGACGAAGTTTTGCTCTTGTTGCCCAGGCTGGAGTACACTGGCGCGATTTCGGCTCACCGCAACCTCCGCCTCCCAGGTTCAAGCGATTCTCCTGTCTCAGCCTTCGGAGTAGCTGGGATTACAGGGGTATGCCACCACGCCCGGCTAATTTTTGTATGTTTAGTAGAGATGGGATTTCACCCTGTTAGCCAGCCCAGATCTACAGGGAGAGGAGGCAGCCCTCCAAGGCAAGCCCTTGGGAGGCTTGAGCCCTGAGCATCCTTGGCCCACCCTCCTCAGAAGCCAGGTTGCTGACTCAGCCTGACTCACCCCCAGGGCCCAGCCAGGTTGGGGTGTGCCCAAACTCTGGGAGGGGCACCTTCTGCCACCCCTCCAGCATCTCATGTCCCTTCCAATACCCAAGGACCAAGGGTCACTATACACAGCCTTGAATGTGGGAGCCCAGATATCCCCCTAAACGGACCTCTCTTTAGCCTGATAAATGAATCACCATATATCCTAATGTTTAAGAGATCCCTCACTTATAGCTCCTATGTCTTTGGGCAAGTCACCCGCCCTCCCTCTCTGTTTCTTCACCTGTGGAAATGGGAATAATAACCCTTACTTTGCAGAGTGGTTGGGAGAACCGGAACAGATTAATGGGTGTAAAGTGCTCAGGGGCCTGGCATAGAGGAGGTGGTTAAGATATTATTCCAGAACCAAGAGTTCCCTTCCCCCATCGCCCCTGGCCAGGGTGCAGTCAAGGACCAATGGGGGAAGAAGTAGGTTGGGGATCTCCAGGCTTTCCCAAATACCTCCTCCTGCACCGCTCTCATGACAGCAGGCCTCTCCTTCAGCTCTGAGAAGCCTAAGCACCCGAGTTGTTCTTGAAGAACCCACCAACAGGGGAGCGGCTGCAGGCTTGGACCACCTTGGCCAGGTTCTGTGGCTCCAGCCTAATCTCTAAGAGGCAACACTGGCCACCACTGGCAGTGGGACCCTGGGTTCTGATCAATTAGTGTAACAAATCTGTGAATACAAAATAACTCTGGTCTTTTATCCTGATAGTGACCCCAACAAGGGCTACCTGTCTTTTCTGGAAGTCTTTCCTAATGGGTCTTCTCCCTGGGGTTCCAGGCTCAGCCCAACCAAAGGAGCTTCCTTTGCTCCCCCCTTTTTTTTTCAGTAGAGGCGGGGTTTCACCATGTTAGTCACGATGGTCTCGATCTCCTGACCTCGTGATCCGCCCGCCTCAAACTCCCAAAGTGTTGGGAGTACAGGTGTGAGCCACCGCACCCGGCCTTGCTCCCCTTTCAAAGAGGGTTCCCGCCCCTAGGGAGCCGGTGATGGGCACAGCTCTGGCCTCTAGTCCCACTCCACCCAGGAAGCTATCCCCAGAACTACACTCCCACTCTAGGGCTGCGCTGACCGCGACTACCCTGCTCGTTCTCCCAGGCCCCTGCAGCTCAAGGTCTAGGAAGCCCCGGGGACTACCGGGCAAAGGGATGATTGGGGGCAGGAACAATAAAGGACTGAACCTCCTCCAGGCCACACCCCTTCGTCTCGAGAAAGCAGCCCCACACTGCCCTCTGGTGGCAACGCTCACATGGTTATCCAGTTGAGGGGCAGGTCCCAGATTAGAACCTTGAACTGGTCTCCCAGCCCCAAGCACCAGCCTGAAGAAAGGCTCCTGTTCCCCCCTCATTTCCCTTTGCTGAGATATAAATTCATTGGTGGCCGTCAGTGTCCTCAATGCACAGGTCCCCCAAGATCCCTGTACTCAGTCCTGTCCCCAGAGCTGGGGGCCACCAAGAAAGTGTTCTGAAAGTCATGTGGGGAAAAGGGGTGGGTCAGCCTTCTGTCCGAGGCTAGAGCTGGCCTCCAACAAACTGCTCAGCCCCCAAGGGATCCCCTGGGATGGTGACAGCCAGAAAAGCCTGCCTGGAAAAGAGCCAGGAGACATAAGCCCTTAAAAGTAGAGACCCTCCTCTGATTTGGCTCTGCTTTCTGAGCCCCTATCAATATTTGCTAATTAAGAAGAAAATGGAGGCAGACGGGTGAGCTTTTTTTTTTTTTTTTTTTTTTCTTGAGACACAGTCTTGCTCTGTTGCCCAGGCTGGAGTGCGGTGCAACCTCCACCTCCCGAGTTCAAGCAATTCTTTCTCAGCCTCCCGAGTAGCTGGGATTACAGGCACCTGCCACCACGCCCAGCTAATTTTTGTTATTTTTAGTAGAGAAGGGGTTTCACTATGTTGGCCAGCCTGGTCTTGAACTCCTGACATCAAGTGATTGGCCCTCGTGGGCCTCCCAAAGTGCTGGGATTACAGGCATGAGCCACCGCACCCAGCCTGAATAAAGCCAGACGGGTGAGCTTCTAGAGGGGGCCCTGGAGGGTCAGGCAGGTGTGGGAGGTGCCTTTTGTTAGTTGGCTATGTGGTAATGGACATAGCACTAACTAGGAGCTGGGGTTCAAGTCTACATGTGTGTGCCCTGGCCAGGAAGCTTGATGAGGAGCAGTGGGACATCTGGAAGTGGAGGGAGGGGGCAGAGCTGCCTGTGACACCAGGACCAATCTCCATTTACTACCCTCTACTTCACACACACACACACACTAGCCAGTGTCGTCTCTAATTCTCTACTCACCCACCCCACCCCCAAATCGGGACAAGCTGATTACAAATAAATCCTGGAGAAAGCCAAAACTGTGATGGCACCGAGCACTTTACACCATTAGCTAAAAGCTTCTCCGGACCAAGTGCCCCCTCCCATGCAACCCAGAAAACAAATGGTCCTGGCTGCAGCCCAGCACCAAGGCCTGAGCTCAGCTCTTTCCAAGATGTCCTGTCCTCTCTAAGCCTCTAGACCCCAAATGACCCAAGTGGCTTTGGAAGGTGTTCCCTGTTTGGAAAGACCAGAGGATGGCATTGCCCCCTTCATTACTTCCCTGGGGTTCCCTAACTTTGTCAGAGGCTCTGAGACTCCCTCCTGAACCTCCCTTCCCCAGCTAAGAAAGGGTTCAGGAAAGCCTTGCTGTTAGCCGAGAAACCAGCCAAAAAGTTTGGTATCCAGGGAGAAGGGCTGATGAGGGAGGATCCCATAAGGGCCCCAAGCCTCAGCCTATCAGAGCAGTGCACCTGACCCTCCCAGATTCCTGTGGAAGGAAGCATCCTCCCCACTTCACCCCATTCCCAAGCCCTGACTCAAGGAGGGACTGAGGAAAGAGGCCCAGAGAGGGGGCAGAGTTGTTCTAAGTCACAGAGCAGACAGGATCCAGAGGACAACTCTCCCTAGCCCCTGCCCAGGGTACTGTGGGAGGTGCACACACAGGCCAGGGACCTTGATTCTTCCCTCACTGGCATGTGACCTTGAGAAATCCCCTCTCCACCCTGCAAAAGTAGGACTTTAAATTAGCTCATGGCTCTATCAGCAAAAGCAGTGCCTGTTTCCAGGTGTGAGTTAAAATAATACATTATCAGCCAGGTGCAGTGGCTCACACCTGTAATCCCAACACTTTGGGAGGCCGAAGCGGACAGATCACCGGAGGTCGGGAGTTCAAGAACAGCCTGACCAACATGGAGAAACCCGGTCTCTACCAAAAATACAAAATGAGATGGGCATAGTGGCACATGCCTGTAATCCCAGCTACTTGGGAGGCTGAGGCAGGAGAATCGCTTGAATCCGGGAGGTGGAGGTTGCAGTGAGCCAAGATCGCACCATTGCACTTCAGCCTGGGCAACAAGAGCGAAACACTGTCTCAAAACAAACAACAACAACAAAAAAATTATCTTTCCATGATTTAGTGAGGAAGAAGAAGGACCTCTGCCCTGGGTTAACGTCACCACAGCCCCTCTGGGAGGTTAAGAGATCCACTTCGCAGACTGATAAGTGAGAGTGAAATTAACTCAGCTGGTGAGCAGCAATGTGGTAGCCAGGTCATTCACAGTGGGGACAGAGGAATGGGAGACTGAAGGGCATCTGGACAGGAAGAGAAGCAGATCTCACCTCAGATCTGGCTCTTTAAGGCCCCCCTTTCTGGAAGCTGATACCACACCTGCCCCCTTGGGGCCTGTTAAAGGGTATCACCTGGTTCCAACCTGGCCGAGCCATCTTAGTAACAGGTTGGGAGTTAAGCCTCTAGGTTCTGCTATGTAAGGATCCCTGGGTGAGCAGGTGCCAGACATCCTGTCCTGGTTATGTGAGTCAGGCTGTAATTTTTGCGAACCTGCATGACGGCATAAGAAAAGCTGTCTCCTAGAAGAAGAAGGGCCTAAGTATGAAGAGAACAAATCCTAAACCTCTCTGGGATTCCGTCTCCCCAAAGGTGAAACAGGCCTAGAGGGGGAATTCAGTGGTACAGCCCTGTGCCAGCCTCCACCCCATCCTGGGGCCTCATTATTCTGTCCTCCCGAAGGCACGGAGCTGGGCGGCGCCAGGAAGCAGCATCCTCAAGGGCAAGACTGCTCACAGCTCCGAGGGGCCCGGGAAAGGCCACGCAAGTGGGGGTGAGGATGGGGGGTGCTGCATCCGTGCGGCAGGTTCCAAGTGGTAAAAGTTTGCCGCCAACCCGTTCCTGGGATCTGAGCCCCCTCAAGAGTCCAACTCTTATAATGGAGACTTGATGCTACCACCTCTCACTCTCCAGATGGTCGGGAGAGGCGGCAACAGAAAGTGGCAGCTTTACTAGGGACCCAGCAGACGCCAGAAGCTCCAGGGAAGGGAGTTCCCGGGCCCTGGACCAGCCCCCCACACGCCATGACCGACCCTCGAACGCACCAGCCGCTAAGACCGCACCTCAGCCTCCTCTACTGGGCCCCTGGCCCCCAACTGCCTCTTCCTGCGGATCCGTAGTCCTTCCAGCCGGCGTCCGCGATCAGTCGGTCGGTCGGCACCTCGGCGAAGCTTGTCGGGGTGGCCAGGGGTCCGGGCGTGGAGGTCAGCGCTGCGGGGAGGCGGGGCCGCGGGGCGGGCTGCGGCGGAAGGGCGAGTCGGGCTCGGGGCCGTGGCCGCGCCGCAGTCGCCCGGCACCCCAGGGCACGCAGCCGCCCAGGCCCAGCGCCGAGGCCAGCAGCGCGGGGGGTCGGCCGCGGCGGCCGCGGCGCGGGCCCTTCTTGAGGCGCGACCCGTGAGCCGCCAGGTAGAGCTCGGCCTGCGCCACGCCGCCGCTCAGGCGGCTCAGGCTCTCCGCGCGGTGCGCCAGGCGCAGCTCGGCCGCCAAGAAAACGCGGTGCAGCTGCAGCACGCGGCTCTCCAGCTCCGACACCAGGCGCCGGCGGCCCTCCACCTCCAGCAGCCGCCGCCGTGCTTCGGCCAGCTCCAGCGCGCGGCCCCCCGCCCCCGCAGCCGCGCCAGAGCCCCCTCCGGGGCCGGCGAGCCCCGCGATCCCGCTAGCGCCCTGGCGCCAGCGCTGCAGCTCCTGGTCCTCGGCCGCGCCTGCTGAAGCCCCAGCTGCGTCCGGCAGCGGCGGGGACTGACCCGGGGTCGGGGTAGGAGTCAAGGTCGGAGTTGGGGGCGGGGGCTGAGAGGACGGCATGGGATCCCAGGGCGGCGGCGGCGACCTCTGCTCTGCCGTCCCCTCCTGGGCCCCCGGGCCGCAGGCGCTGATGCGGCAGCCCGGCATCCCCCGCCCCCCACCGGCGGTCTGCGGCTGTAGGTGCGCAGGGAGGATGACCACAGCACACCCGAACAGCTAGACACGGCCACAGCCCCCACCCCAGAGGCGCGCCCGCCGTCCGCGCATCTTATAGAACACGGGGCGGAGCGACGGGCGGCACAGCCAATCAGAGACAGGCACGCCCTGAATCCGCCCCGCCCCCCCCCCCCCCCCCCGCGCTCTGCACATTCAGGGCATTCCCCAAACCCTTCAGGTCCTGCCCTTCGCCGGATTCTGCTCCGCTAGGGCATCCGGTCCCCTTTCGCCTCTCCCCAAATTTTGGGTGCAAAGGGAGCCTCATCTTCCCTGGTTTGGCCCCTCAGAGTCATAAGCTCTGGTAGCTGGTGTTTAGAAATTCACGGAATCCGGTCTCCATCCGGGGGAGGGTCTTGCCTAAGGCCTCTGTGCGAAGAGAGCCTGGGCTAGAACGCAGGAGGCTTGACTCCTTGTGCCGTGCTCCTCCCACACCTCATGCTGCCCTTGGCCGAATCAGTTCTGCCCGGTCTCTCCTGGGCCATAGGGCTCTCAAGGACCCCCTTTCCCACCTCACTAGGGCAGTGGAAGGGTTAACGCAGAGGGGCGACTGCCGTCCTGGTGGGACGGGGATCTAGCTGGACTGATTCCACGATAGGTAGAGCGCTTTATTCGCAGAACAAATACCTCAGCGCTGCCGCTGAGCCTGCAAACCTTGGTGGCATCACAGAGGAGCCCCGGACCCCACGGTGTGCAAAGTTCTTTCCCTGCCCCGGCTCGTGTTTACTCCTCCCAGCCGGTGTTCCTACACATTTTAAAGAGGGGGAAACTGGCCGGGCGCGGTGGCTCACGCCTGTAATCCCAGCACTTTGGGAGGTCAAGGCGGTCGGATCACCTGAGGCCAGGAGTTCAAGACCAGCCTGAGCAACATGGCGAAACCCCATCTTTACTAAAAATAGAAAAAAATTAGCCGGTCGTCGTGGTAGGCGCCTGTAATCCCAACTACTCGGTAGGCTGAGGCAGGAGAATCGCTTGAACCTGGGAGGCGGAGGCTACAGTGAGCCAAGATCGCGCCATTGAACTCCAGCCTGGGCGACAGAGCAAGACTCCGTCTCAAAAAAAAAAAAAAAAAAAAGCCGGGGGCGGGAAGGGGGAAGGGGGGTGTGCGGGGGCGGGGAACTGACTGGCGGGGCGCGGTGGCTCCGCCACCACTTTGCGAGCCCGAGGTGGGTGGATCACCTAAGGTCAGGAGTTCTAGACCAGCCTGGCCAACATGGTGAAACCCCTGTCTCTACTGAAAATACAAAAAAATTAGCCAGGTGTGGTGGCGCACCTCTGTAGTTCCAGCTACTCAGCAGGCTGAGGGAGGAGAATCGCTTGAATTCGGGAGGCAGAGGTTGCAGTGAGCAGAGATTGTGCCACTGTACTCCAGCCTGGGCGACAGAGCAAGACTCAGTCTCAAAAAATAAATAAAAATAAAAAATAAAGAAGGGGAAACTGAGACCCTGAAGGGCAGTAGTGCTTTGCCCAATGTCTTATTGACGACTGGTGGCTGAATCCAGATTTTTGAATCTGGACAGAAATGCACGAGCTCAGCCATTCATGCCCTCTGGGGGCTCAGATACCTGGGTCTAGTCCTCTTGGTGGAGGGACGTTCTTTATGTGGGACTTTATCTGACACTTCTCATCTGGCCCTGACAAAATGATAGAATGGAACCCTGCCCACTTTTCCCCCAACAGAAATGACCCTGCCATACCAAACACTGGCTCAGACACCATGGGCCTGCCTCAGTTTCCATCTACTTGAAGGTGGCATCAGAGATGGGAGGTCTCTGTGGTGGGTGGGGGCAAGGGCCAGGGGTCCAGAAACCAGCTCTGAACCCGATTGGGAAGGACTGCAGCAGACCCTGGGCTCAGGAGGACCTGCGGAAGGTATGGCCAGTGTGACTGCTGAAGCCTGAAGAGGAGGCAGATGGCGTGCTTGCATGATGTGCAGGATGATGATAGAGCCTCATCCTCCCCCCATGAACACATGTTCTCTAACTGCTTTCAGGTGTCTTAGAGTGAGTGAGACTGAGTGATGGGGACTCGTGGGCGAGACAGTTGGGCTCCAAAGAGGCAGCTCAGAAGCGGCTGGGAGAGGAAGGCGGGTGGGTGAGAGGCGCCAGGCTCAGTGAAGAGGAAGGGTGGAGGGGTTGGGGGAGGGAGGAGGTCAGAAGCAGGGTGCCCAGTGACCAGGGGTGGTGGAGACTCAGTGAGGGGAAGGGGAGGGCTTGGGAGGATGACTCAGTCAGAGGGGAAGAAGAGCTGTTCAGTGACTGTGCTGGGGCTCAGTAGGGGGAAGGGGCTGAGTGTGTGCAAAGGTGCTGGCGGAGGCTCGCCATGGGGGAAGGGAGGTTCAGTGAGGGGCATGGGAACTCAGAGAGTTGGAGGGGCTCAGTGAAGATGAGGGAGGCTCAGGAGCTACCAGGTTGCCCCCAGCAAGGAGGCTTGCCCTGCTGAATGATGGTGTCCCTTTGAACAGTCTCTTTTGTGTCATGCAATCATAGGTCTTTCTCAGGGCAGAAGCCCCTCATTGCCATGGTGGTGGGGAGATGGACAGGTGTTTTGCCTTCATGAGGCAGATCACTGCTCCCAACTCCTCAAGGACTGATTCAGGGGAAGAAGACTAGGACTTATCTCCACCCCCAACCACTGGCCAGATCCAGAGAACCAGTCAGACCCGGGTTGAAAACCAACACACACTGCCCATCTGGGTGACCTTGGGCAAGTAATTTATCTGAGTGGGAGAAGATGCACAGTATATATTTATTGAAGGAATGAATGTTCTCTGTCTCGTGATATCATCCCTAAGAAAGGGAGATTGATAGCCGTCTCTTCCTGATGAGAAACCAAAGTCCAGAGAAGTGAAGAGGCTTGCCCAAGTTCACACAGCAGGTAAATGGCCAAGCAAGAATTCAAACACAGATATGACCCACTCCGTGGTCACTCCTTACCTCCCTGTTCTCTGACAATGCTCCCTGTTGCTATCCTCTGTGGTATTTCCTATGAGTCATATGTATGTATTTGTTTATTGTTTAATTATTAATAGTCTCTCCCCCTTGACTGGTTTTGCTTATCACTAGAATCCCCTGAAGTCAAGCAGAGTGCCTGGCCCCATAAAGCACTCAATAAACATTTGTCTGAATTGAAAAATTTAGGCCGTGCACAGTGGCTCACGCCTGTAATCCCAGCACTTTGGGAGGCTGAGGCAGATGGATCACCTGAGATCAGGAGTTCAAGACCAGCCTGGCCAATGTGGTGAAACCCCATCTCTACTAAAAATACAAAAATATGGCCAGGGACGGTGGCTCACACCTGTAATCCTAGCACTTTGGGAGGCCGAGGTGGGTGGATGATGAGGCCAAGAGATCAAGACCATCCTGGCCAACATGATGAAACCCCACCTCTACTAAAAATACAAAAAATTAGCTGGGCGTGGTGGGGCAAGCCTGTAGTCCTGACTTCTCAGGAGGCTGAGGCAGGAGAATCGCTTGAACCCGGGAGGCGGAGGTTGTAGTGAGCTGAGATCATGGCACTGCACTCCAGCCTGGCGACAGAGCGAGACTCCATCTCAATAAATAAATAAATAAATACAAATACAAATACAAAAATTAGCCAGGCGTGGTGGTGCACATCTGTAATCCCAGCTACTCAGGAGGCTGAGGCAGGAGAATTGCTTGAACCTGGGAGGCAGAGGTTGCAGTGAGCTGAGATTGCGCTACTGCACTCCAGCCTCGGCAACAGGAGCAAGACACCATATCAAAAAAAAAAAGAAAGAGAGAGAGAGAGAGAGACGGGGGTGGGGGGAGACAGAGAGAGAGAGAGAGAGAGAGAGAGAGAGGAGAGAAGAGGAGAAGAGAAGAGAAAAGAAAAGAAAAGAAAAGAAAAATTAACCGGGTGTAGTGGTGCATGCCCATAATTCCAGCTACTCGGGAGGCTGAAGCAGAATCACTTGAACCCAGGAGGCGGAGATTGCAGTGAACCAAGATCACACCACTGCACTCCAGTTTGGGCAACAGAGCAAGACTCCATTAAAAGAAGAAAGAAAGAAAGAAGGAAGGAAGGAAGGAAGGAAGGAAGGAAGGAAGGAAGGAAAGAGAGAGAGAGAGAGAGAAGGTAGGAAAGAAGGAAGGAAGGAAGGAAGAAAAATAAAAATAACACAAGGGTAGGCCGGGTGCGGTGGCTCACTTCTGTATTCCCAGCACTTTGGGAGGCAGAGGCGGGTGGATCACGAGGTCAGGAGTTCAAGATCAGCCTGGCCAAGATGGTGAAACATCTCTACTAAAAATACAAAAAAGTTACCCGGGCATGGTGGCGGGTACCTGTAATCCCAGCTACTGGGGAGGCTGAGACAGAGAATTGCTTGCACCCAGGAGGGAGAGGTTGCAATGAGCTGAGATTGCGCCACTGCACTCCAGTCTGGGCAACAGAGAGAGACTCCGTCTCAAAAAAAAGAAAGAAAGAAAGAAAAGAAAACACAAGGGTAGAGCTTGCTGAGAATGGAGAGTTCCCTTCTCCATTCATTCATTTATTCTTTTTTATTTTATTTATTTATTTATTTATTTATTTATTTTTTCTGAGACGGAGTCTTGCTCTTGTTGCCCAGGCTGGAGGGCAGTGGTGCAATCTCAGCTCATTACAACGTCCGCCTCCCAGATTCAAGCGATTCTCCTGCCTCAGCCTCCCGCATAGCTGGGATTACAGGCATGAGCCACCACGCCTGGCTAATTTTGTATTTTTAGTACAGACAGGGTTTCTCCAGGTTGATCAGGCTGGTCTCGAACTCCCAACCTCCAGCGATCCGCCCGCCTCTGCCTCCCAAAGTGCTGGGATTACAGGCGTCAGCCACTGTGCCCAGCTTCTTGTCAGCTTTCTTAACTGGCCTGAGCACCACACTCTCGGAGTGGATAGGAGCCACAGTCTACCACCTATTAGTGCACATCCAGCCCAGCAAACACAACACCTGGAATGAAGAAATCCATCCATAACTGTAATGATTATTGTGTTTTTCTGATCTTTATAAAAGTTATAGAGTACATTCCTTTTGTAGAAAATCTGGAAGACAGATAAAATACTAAAATACTGAAAAAGAATAGGCTGTCAGGCAAGGTGGCTTATGCCTGTAATCCCAGCACTTTGGGAGACTGAGGCAGGAGGATCACTTGAGCAACTAGGAGTTCAAGACCAGCCTGGGCAATATGGTGAGACCTCATCTCTATGAAAAATAAAAATAAATTACCTGGGCATGGTGGTGCATGCCTGTAGTCCCAGCTATTCAGGAGGTTGAGGTGGGAGGATCGCTTGAGCCCAGGAAGTCGAGGCTGCAGTGAGCTGTCTCTTGCCACTGCACTCCAGCCTGGGTGACAGAGCAAGACCTCATCTCAAAAAATAAAAATAATAGGCCAAGCACAGTGGTTCGTGCCTATAATCCTGTACTTTGGGAGGCCAAGATGGGAGGATTGCTTCAGTCCAGGAGTTTGAGACCAGCCTGGGCAACATAGCAAGACTCTCTGTCTCTATGAAAAATTTAAAAAATTAGCCAGATTTGGTGGTGCACGCCTGTAGCTACATGGGAGGCTGAGGCAGGAGGACCCCTTGAGCCCAGGAGTTTGAGGCTGCAGTGAGCAGCGTCTGCACCACTGTACTCTGGCCTGGGAGACACAGAAAGACCCTCTCTCTCTCTTTTTTTTTTTTTTTTTTTTGAGATGGAGTCTCACTGTGTCACCCAGGCTGGAGTGCAATGGTGCGATCTCAACTCACTGCAACCTCCGCCTCCCAGGTTCAAGCAATTCTCCTGCCTCAGCCTCCTGAGCAGCTGGGATTACAGGCGCCCGCCACGACACCTGGCTAATTTTTGTATTCTTAGTATTCACCCAGCCGACCCTGTATCTTTAAAAAAAAAAAAAGAAAGAAAACAAGAAGAAGAAGAAAAGAAAAAGCCTGGGCGTGGTGGCTCACGCCTGTAATCCCAGCACTTTGGGAGGCCGAAGCAGGTGGATCACTTGAGGTCAGGAGGTCAAAACCAGCCTGACCAACATGGTGAAACACCATCTGTACTAAAAATACAAAATTAGCCAGGTGTGGTGGCGCACGCCTGTAATCTCAACTACTTGGGAGGCTGAGGCAGAATTTCTTGAACCCAGGAGGGAGAGGTTGCAGTGAGCCGAAATCACATCATTGCACTCCAGCCTGGGCAACAAGAGCGAAACTCCATCTCAAAAAAATTTAAAAAAGAAAGAATAGAGGAAAGGAGCCTGAAATCAGAAAGACTTATGTTTGAATCGAAGTTCAGTCCTTTTCTAGCTATGCAACCCTGAGAGAGGCACCTTTGTTCTCTGAACGTCAGGGTTTTCATCTGAGAAGTGGAACGGCTAATATCTATGGCATAGACAAGGACATTGACTCATGCAAGGATATGCCCAAGATCTCACATATCTATGGTCATATCTGGTCGTATCTATCTGACTCAAAACCTGTGGCCTGAGTTTGAGACCCTGAAAGAGAAGAGGCAGCTGAGATGGGACCAGGTTCCAGAGTCTGGTCCAGTATGTATCTATTGCCTCCAGGACAGCAGCCAGAAGAGACAGCCTTGTGGAGGGGACAGTGACTGTGGCTGTGGCCCCAAGCAGGATCCCCAATCCCCTCCATTAGCTGAGAGTGGGGTGGGGAAGGGGTCAAGGCCTGAGGAGTATATGTCCATCCCAGCCTAGAATATTTGAGTCCTCTGCTAAGAGATCCAACCTCTCCCTTTCAGCCTCTCCCTGGCAACCTGGCCTGGCACCCTCTAGGAAGTGATCTCAGTTTAATAATTTAGCAGATGCAGACAAAGATAGCAGCTCCGAAAATAACCCAGTCAGGCCCCAGCCTCCACCTTCCCTTTCCTTAACAGACTCCCCTGCCCTCCCCACAAGGTCTCTGGTTGCCCTACACACCTGTCAGTGTTCCTGCCTGCCAGTGAACACCTGATTCAATGCTTCCTCATTCTTCTTCTCCTCCTTGCTCCTTTCTCTCCATTGTTATATCAAGAGCTTTTATATGGGTCAGGCACGGTGGCTCACACCTGTAATCCCAGCACTTTGGGAGGGCGAGGCAGGTGGATCACCTGAGATCAGGAGTTCAAGATCAGCCTGGTCAATGTGGTGAAACCCCATCTCTACTAAAAATACAAAAATTAGCCGGGCATGGTGGTGCATGCCTGTAGTCCCAGCTACTTGGGAAGCTGAGGCAGGAGAATCTCTTGAACCTGGGAGGCGGAGATTGCGGTGAGCTGAGATTGCACCACTGCACTCCAGCCTGGATGACAGAGTGAAACTCCGTCTCCAAAATAATAATAAATAAATAAATAAATAAATAAATAAATAAAATAAAATAAAGAGCTTTTGCCTTTATGCAACCAACATGGAGATTTTGTACCATGTCCTGTTCTTAGTGCTTGAATGTCCTAACCTGAAGCTGAAGAAGCCGCCCTGGCTGCACATGCTGTCGGCCATGACTGTATGCTCTGGTGGTGGTGTCTTCCTCATTACCGGAGGAATCATTTATGATGTTATTGTTGAACCTCCAAGTGTTGGCTCTATGACTGATGAACATGGGCATCAGAGGCCAGTAGCTTTCTTTGCCTATAGAGTAAATGGACAATATATTATGGAAGGACTTGCATCCAGCTTCCTGTTTACAATGGGAGGTTTAGGTTTCATAATCCTGGACCAATTGAATGCACCAAATATCCCAAAACTCAATAGATTTCTTCTTCTATTCATTGGATTTGTCTGTGTTCTATTGAGTATTTTCATGGCTAGAGTATTCATGAGAATGAAACTGCCGAGCTATCTGATGGGTTAGAGTGCCTTTGAGAAGAAATCAGTGGATACTGGATTTTTTCTTGTCAATGAAGTTTTAAAGGCTGTACCAATCCTCTAATATGAAATGTGGAAAAGAATGAAGAGCAGCAGTAAAAGAAACTTCTAGTGAAAAAACAGGAAGCATATTGAAGCTTGGATTAGAATTTCTTCTTGGTATTAAAGAGACAAGTTTATCACAGTATTTTTTTTTCCTGCTGACCTATTGCTGTACCAACGATGTTGAGTGGCATTTTCTTCTTAGTTTTTCATTTCTTAAAGAAAATATACTCTATATCTCAACTATAATATCAAGTAAAGTGATTATTTTTTACAACCCCCTTACCATTTTTTAGAGATGACATTTCTGATTTTCAGAAATTAACATAAAATCAAGAAGCAAGATTACATAAACTGAGAACTCTGGACAGCTGATCAGCTTTATCTATGGTGCTTCACTTTAACTAGAGTGTGTGATGGTAGATTATTTCAGAATTGTATGTAAGACTTTCCTGAACAATAAGATGTATGAAAGGAGCAGAAACAAATACTTTTTCTAATTAAAAACAAAAAAGCTGGGTGCAAGGGTGCACACTGTAATCCCAGCTACTCGAGAGGCTGAGGCAGGAGAATCACTTGAACCCGGGAGGTGGAGGTTGTAGTGAGCCGAGATCGCACCACTGCACTCCAGCCTGGGTGACAGAGTGAGACTCTGTCTCAAACAAACAAACAAACAAACAAAAAGCTTTTATATCAATTAGGGCTTAGGGAAATCTTTCCACTGGGCGTGGTGGCTCACACCTGTAATACCAGCACTTTGGGAAGCCAAGGCAGGCAGATCACAAGGTCAGGAGTTCGAGACCAGCCTGACCAACACGGTAAAACCCTATCTCTACTAAAAATACAAAAATTAGCTGGGCATGGTGGCACACGCCTAGAGTCCCAGCTACTCGGGAGGCTGAGGCAGGAGAAACGCTTGAACCCGGAAGGCAGAGGTTGTCGTGAGCTGAGATCAAGACTGTGCCACTGCACTCCAGCCTGGGTGACAGAGCAAGACTCCATCTCAAAAAGAAAAGAAAAGAATAAAGAAATCTTTCCTAGAAGCCAGAAGACTTGGGCTTAATTCACTGTGTGGACCTGAGCACTCTCCTTCACCTCTCTGACTCTGTTCCTGCATTTGTAAAATGAGGCCTCTGGAAGCCGGGCGCGGTGGCTCGTGCTTGTAATCTCAGCACTTTGGGAGGCTGCAGCAGGAAAATCACTTAAGCCCAGGAATTTGAGGTCAGCGTGGGTAACATAGGGAGACCCCGTCTCTACAAAAACATTTAAGAATTAGCTGGGCATGGTTGCACATGGCTGTAGCCCCAGCTACTCAGGAGGCTGAGGTGGGAGGATCGCTTGAGCTCAGGAGGTCGAGGCTGCAGTGAGCCGAGATTGTGCCACTGCTCTCCAGCCTGGGCAACACAGTAAGACCCTGTTTCGAAAAAATTTTTTTTGAAATGAGGCCTCTGGATTCCTAAATAAGACATGAACAAAATGTTGGTGTGGGTGCCAATTACTTGGATAGGGGACTGGATGTCTTCCTCAGGAAGGCACAACTGCCGTGTCAATGTCATCTCAGTCAACAGCACTACAATCCATCTATGCTGCTGCTCTATACAGGGAGCCCAGATTTCTCTGTGTTTGATTTCTCTTGTGAAGAAAGCTTTGCCCTAGTTATTATTCCTAGAATAAAAGGCTATGACTTGTGTTCACAGTGGCGGTAGCAGGTTCCACATGCTTTTGATGCTTCATCACATTTTTGGTGTTACTTTTTTTTTTGCAGTTTTCGTGGTTTTATTTAAACATGAATCAGGCATGCATGCACGTGAGCCGTCTATTCATTTTCTTTGCTGTGCAGCCTGGAATTGGGGTTGGAGACTCTGGGGGCTAGTTATGCTGCTCTTTCCACTCAGGTTTTGTGGTTCTTGGAGGAAACATTGCGAGCAGTCTCAGCACAGTAAGATTTGCTGCACATCAGCAGCACTTCCAGCTCCTTGACATTGTGGACCAGGAACTTCCAGAACCCACAGGGCAGCATGTGCCTGGTTTTCTTGTTCTGCCTATGCCCAATGCTGGGCATCAAGATTTGGCCCTTGAATCTTCTCTGTACCCTACTGCCAATAACACTAGGTTTCTGTCAGTTACACTTAATTTTCACTTAACAGTCTGCTCCATCCATCAGACTGTTCACGATGCCACATGAACTTCTTGGTCCTCTTTTTGATGATCTTGGCTTCCTGAGGGGTGTGAGGGTGACCATGCTGCTGAGAAGATGGCTCCCACTTCTGTAGACAGCCCCGAGGAAGAGAAACTTATCACGTTTCTGATAAGTAGAAATTATACCTTCTCTCCCTTGAAGCATTACTCAAATCACCCCTCCTTTTTTTTTTTTTTTTCTTTTTTATTTGAGACAAAGTCTCACTCTGTCGCCCAGGCTGGAGTGCAGTGGTGCGATCTCGGCTCACTGCAACCTCCAACTCCCCGGTTCAATCGATTCTCTGCCTCAGCCTCCCGAGTAGCTAGGATTACAGGTGCCTGCCACCACGCCTGGCTAATTTTTGTATTTTTTTTTTTTTTAAGTAGAGACGGGGTTTCACCCTGTTGGCCACGCTGGTCTCGAACTCCAGACCTCAAGTGATCCACCCGCTTTGGCCTCCCAAAGTAATTACAGGCGTGAGCCACCGCACCCAGCCAAATTGCCCCACCTTTAGGGACTCAGTTTTCACACCTCTAAAATAGCCATACCTTGAAGGGCAAGTAGGGGCAATGTCAGTTCCATAAGGGCTGAGGTCACATTTGTTTTCATGCATTCATTCAATGTCATTAAGCACCTACTATGCACCAGCCACTGTGCAAGGTGCTAGAGGCACAGCAGTAAATACAAGAGGTGCAATGCAATCCCTGTTTCCACAAAGCTTACATATCATAAATCAAAATAGTTAAATCCCAAGAAATGTACCATGAGGGAATAATAAAATACCTTCTAATATTTATGGCTGGGCACAGTGACTCACACCTATAGTCCTAACTACTCGGGAGTCTGAGGCAGGATTGCTTGAGCCCAGGAGTTTGAGGCTGCAGTGAACTATGATTGCACCACTGTACTCCAACCTGGGTGACAGAGTGAGACCCTATCTCTAAATAAATAAATAAATATTTTAAAAATATTTAAGGCCAGGCATGGTTGGCTCACACCTATAATCTTAGCACTTTGGGAAGCTGAGGCAGGAGGATCGCTTGAAGCCAAGAGTTCAAGTTGCAACAAAGCAAGACCCCATGTCTACAAAAATAAAAATAAAAACATTAGCCAGGCATGGTGGTGTGTTCCTGTAGCCCCAGCTACTCAGGTGGCTGAGATGGGAGGATCGCTTGAGCCCAGGATTTTGAGGCTGCAGTGAGCTATGATTGCACCACTCCACTCCAGCCTGGATGACAGAGACCCTGTCTCTAAAAAAAATTTTTTTACAGGCATGAGCCATGATGCCTGGCCTAAAATTTATTTTTTATTTTTTATTTTTATTTATTTATTTATTTATTTATTTATTTATTTATTTATTTATTTTTTGAGACGGAGTCTCGCTCTGTCGCCCAGGCTGGAGTGCAGTGGCGCAATCTCAGCTCACTGCAAGCTCCACCTCCCGGGTTCGCGTCATTCTCCTGCCTCAGCCTCCCGAGTAGCTGGGACTACAGGCGCCCGCCACCACGCCCAGCTAATTTTTTGTATTTTTTGTAGAGACAGGGTTTCACCGTGGTCTCGATCTCCTGACCTTGTGATCCGCCCGCCTCGGCCTCCCAAAGTGCTGGGATTACAGGTGTGAGCCACCGCGCCTGGCCCAAAATTTGTTTTTTAATTAAAATATTTACTTAATGCTTCCTCTATGCCAGGTACTGATCCTACAGGGTACTATATTTTGCAGATGAGGAAACTGAAGGACAGAGAGGCGAATAGCTAAGGTCACATAGTCAAGGAGCAGTGGAAATAGGATTCAACACCCCGGTAGTGTGCCTCCAGAGTTCTTCCCTAGAAATCATGATCAAGGAATAAGCTAGTGACATGATAGAAAAGGGAGTCAGGGAGGTATTAAGTGTTCTCCTTTAGTGACATTTAAGCTGAGACCTGAAAGATGAGCAGGAACCAGGCATGTGGAATTGGGGAGTGAGATTTCACAGCAGAAGAAATAGGAAGTGCAAAGGCCCTGAGGCAGAAAAATCAGTGTGTGCAGTGCCTGGTGAGCCAGCAGGAAGGTGAGGAGGACTAAGGTAGAGACACAGCTTGGGCCTGAAGGCCAGGGTGAGGATTTCAGATTTTACTCTAATTGCAGGGGAAGCCTTTAAATGGTTTAAGTTGGGGATCAACATGATCTGATTTGTTTTTAAAAGATCATGCTGTTTGCTGTGTAAAATGAATGGACTAAAAGGGAGCAAGAAGGGAATGAAGGAGACCAGTTAGCAGATTACTGCCATAATCCCAGCTGAGAGGGAATGGTGCCAGGCGTGCTGGCAAGGGCTGGGATGGGGGATGGGTTTGAGTTTTATTTGGAGGTGAACGAAAGGACTTATACATGGATTAGTGTGGGGATGAGAGAATGCCCTCTGGCTTTGTGGATGAAGCAGCAGGGTGGATTAGGGTACCCTTGTCTGAAATGGGGAAAACCAAGAAACAGCAGATCGGGCTGAGAAATCAAGGTCAAGAATTTTTGGGCCCAGGAGCAGTGGCTCACACCTGTAATCCCCATACTTTGGGAGGCCAAGGCAGGAGGATTGCTCGAGCCCAGAATTCCAGACTAGCCTGGGCAACAAAGTGAGACCCTATCTCTACAAAAATAATTTTTTTTCACCAGTTGTCAAATGATCCTTTATTAAAATATTTTCCTTTGTGCTTCTTAACTAGCTGGGCATTCCACAGCACCACTGTTGATGTCATCTATGATGTCATGAGGGTGGTGGCCATCAACATTGCAGCCCACAGACTGGGCAGTCCCCGAGATCTCTTTAATGGTTCCAGGGAACTCTCTAGCTAAGGATTGGTGCTGCGGGCCAGGGGCGGTGGCTCACGCCTGTAATCCCAGCACTTTGGGAGGCCGAGGCGGGTGGATCACGAGTTCAGGAGATCGAGACCATCCTGGCTAACACGGTGAAACCCCATCTCTACTAAAAATATAAAAAATTAGCCGGGCGTGGTGGCAGGTGCCTGTAGTCCCAGCTACTCGGGAGGCTGAGGCAGGAGAATGGCGTGAACCCAGGAGGCAGAGCTTGCAGTGAACGGGAGATCGTGCTACTGCAATCCAGCCTGGGCGACAGAGTGAGACTCCGTCTCAAAAAAAAAAAAAAAAAAGATTGGTGCTGCATCTGTCAAGCAATGTTGAAGATTTCATCAAACGTGATATTCCCACTATGTTTAATATTTTTCTGTTTTTTTCTGTCTCTTGGTGGTTCCTTGAGGGCTTTGATGATCAGGTCAGAGGCAGAAGGCACCACCTCAATCTGGGCCTGTCTGTTCTGACTGGTCAGTTTCACTGTAATCCTCAGGCCCTTCCAGTCACCCGTTGCCTTGGCAATGTCATCACCAACCTTTTTGGGAGACAGACCCAGGGGGCCGATCTTGGGGGCCAGCGCAGAAGTGGCACCAACTTCACTCCTGGTGCACCTCAGGTATATGACTTTGATCTCGTTGGGGTCAAACTTCCATGGCACTGGGGAGGCGGCTGGTGTCGGATGAACCCGGATTTGGGACGACCAAAGAAAGTTGCACCTTGGCCTCCTCTGAGCCGAAAGGAGAATTTTTTTTTTTTTTTTGAGACGACGTCTCACTTTGCTGCCCAGGCTGGGATGCAGTGGCGAAATCTTGGCTCCCTGCAATCTCTGCCTCCTGGGTTCAAGTGATTCCGCCTCAGCCTCCTGAGCACCTGGGATTATAGGTGCATGCTGCCATGCCCGGCTAATTTTTGTATTTTTGTAGAGACGGGGTTTCACCATGTTGGCCAGGCTGGTCTAGAACTCTGGATCTCAAGTAATCTGCCTGCCTTGGCCTCCCAAAGTGCTGGGATTACAGGTGTGAGCCACTGTGCCCGGCCTCTACAATTTTTTTTTTTTTTTGAGATGGAGAATGGCGTGATCTCAGCTCACTGCAACCTTTGCCTCCCCAGTTCAAGTGATTATCCTGCCTCAGCCTCCCAAGTAGCTGGGATTACAGGCGCGTGCCACCACGCCAGGCTAATTTTTTGTATTTTTAGTAGAAACAGGGTTTCACCATGTTAGCCAGGCTGGTCTCGAACTCTTGACCTCAGGTGATCCACTGCCTCGGCCTCCCAAAGTGCTGGGGTTACAGGCATGAATCACCGTGCCTGGCCAAAAGAAATTTTTTTTTTTTTAATTAGCTGGGTGTGGTGGCACGCTCCTGTAGCCCCAGCTATTAGGGAGGCTGAGGGAGGAGGATTGCTTGAGCCTGGGAGGTTGGGACTGTAGTGGGCTATGATGGTGCCACTGCCTTTTAGCAGGGTGACAGAGCAAGACCCCCTTCTCCAAAAAAAAAATAATCATAATAATAAAAGAAGTTGAAAGGAAAAAGAAAGCATGAGAGCCTGGCTCTCCAGCAAGTTCATTCCTGCCACAAGCCTTTATTAAGCACTTACTGTGTGCAGACACTGCTCCAAGTGCTGGGGATGTAGCAGTGATCAAGACAGGCAAGAACCCTTCCCTCTGAGCACTCTCAAGCCAGGGCAAGAGAGGAAGGCCATAGAGTCTACACAAATAAGGTCATATGCGCTATGAAGGAAGTGAACAGTGAAGTGTAGGGAATAACCAAGGAAACCTACAGTAGAAAGGGAAGTCGAGGATGATGGAGTAGGCAGCTGTGGCTTTTGCCCTCCAAGCATCCATTTGTCCTACTTTTGGTAACAGTGACTTTATATTTTGTGGGGAACCATCTCTCCTACCTGCTCAGTGCATGTTTGTTGGGTTTTTTTTTTGGTTTTTTTTTTGAGACAGAGTTTTGCTCTTGTTGCCCAGGCTGGAGTGCACAATCTCGGCTCACCTCAACCTCCACCTCCTAGGTTCAAGTGATTCTCCTGCCTCAGCCTCCCGAGTAGCTGGGATTACAGGCATGTACCACCGCGCCCGACTAATTTTGTATTTTTAGTAGAGACAGGGTTTCTCCATGTTGGTCAGGCTGGTCTCGAACTCCTGACCTCAGGTGATCTGCCTGCCTCGGCCTCCCAAAGTGCTGGGATTACAGGCATGAGCCACCGCACCCGGCCTCAGTGCATGTTTTTTGTCTTTAGGAATGGGCCCATCTTTAGGAATGGGCTTGTGACCCTGGCCTGGCCAATGAAACTCAATACTGGGATGTTTGCTGAAACTGTTGAGAAAGAGAAACTCTTTATTTGAGAATTTTTTTTTTTTTTTGAGATGGAGTTCAAGCAACTCCCTGCCTCATCCTCCTGAATAGCTAGGATGACAGGCGCCCGCCACCATGCCCGGATAACTTTTATATTTTTAGTACAGACGGGGTTTCACCATCTTGGCCAGGCTGGTCTTGAGCTCCTGACCTCATGATCCACCCACCTCAGCCTCCCAAAGTGCTGGGATTACAGGCGTGAGCCACCACACCCGGCCACTTGAGAATTTTTGACCAAATAGATTATAAACATGGAGATGCAGGCAGCCATCTTGCCATCACAAGAAAAGTGCCTGCCTGAGGACGCGCCTGCCTGGCAGGAGAGCACAGAAACAGAGAAACCAGATGAGTGGTAAAATCACCTGAGCACCTGATGCCAGGAGTATCTGAAGGTAGTTCTACCCTTGGACTTTTTAGTTAAGTGAGCCAATAAATTCTGAAGGATGCAAGGGAGCCAGTCCAGGGAGTGCCATGAAGGAGCAACCCAGAGGGAAGGAACAGAAAGTGCAAAGACTTTGCAGAAGAGAATTTGGCTCATTTGTGGAATGCAGTCAGCACCTAAAGCAGGAACACAACACTCTGTGCTGACGGAATGAGAAGGGATAGAGCCACAGGAAGAGAGTTCCATTTCCAACAAAATGGAAGAAGAAGGGTGCAGAGAAACCCTTCCTCATATATAGCACTTAAAAAAATATAGATATGTTCCAAAATTATCTTTTATAAGGCATTGATGATGTCCTGAAGTCCTGTCCTGGGCAGGCCTATGCAAACCTATCCTCAAAGTCTGAAGAAGCTAAGAGGCTGAAGAAAAAGGCTAAGCCGGGCATGGTGGCACAGCACTTTGGGAGGCTGAGGTGGGTGGAACACCTGAGGTCAGGAGTTTGAGACCAGCTTGGCCAACATAGTGAAACCCCATCTCTACTAAAAATACAAAAAATTAGCCGGGCGTGGTGGTGGGCACCTGTAATCCCAGCTACTAGGGAGACTGAGGCAGGAGAATGGCTTGAACCTGGGAGGTGGAGGTTGCAGTGAGCCAAGATTGCGCCATTGCACTCCAGCCTGGGCAACAGGAGCAAAAATCCATCTCAAAAAAAAAAAAAAAAGAAAGAAAGAAAAGGAAAGAAAGAAAGAGAGAAAGAAAGAAAGAAAGAAAGAAAGAAAAGAAAGAAAGAAAGAAAAAAAGGCTGACAGATCCAGTTTTTCAGAAAGAAACATGTAATAGGGACTTACAAACAGAAGCTATGCCTGTTTCTCGGGGGACAGTGATGGTGGATCCCTGTGTCATTACCCCTGACCCAGGGCTTATCTACCACAGGGAAAGAGTAGACATGATTCTGAAGAGATGTATAGGACAACTGAAGTATGAAAACATCAAGGTTGTTTTAAGGTTGACTTAAGGGCAGGATTTATGGTAAGTACCTGTGCTTACACAAAGAACTGGAAATCTTAGAGGCCTTCCTGGAACTAGGGTTAATCAGAAGTCAACATGACAGATTAGCATCCAAGGTGGAGTTGCTTTGGCCTCCACAATGGACTGACTATGCAGTAAGGGAAAAAAATTAACAGAAATAATAAGAAAGGGCCACTCCTCTTCAGTAAATGAGCCTTATAGCTGGCATTTGTCCCAAGGGCACCTGTTGAACCCCGAGGCCACCTGTTGAACCCTGAGGCCTAGATCAGTCAAAAATTTTTTTTACTTCAGCTCATGATTTGGCATTTTACAACAGGACCCAATATATAGACAAAAGTTTCACAAGCCATACTCACCCCAATTATGTGTGGGGCACACTGATATTTCCTTGCCAATCTATTCTATGCCATTCTATTTTCTTTTTGAAATGGAGTCTCACTCTGTTGTCCAGGCTGGAGTGCAGTGGCGCCATCTTGGCTCACTGCAACCTCCGCCTCCCGGGTTCCAGAGATTCTCCTGCCTCAGCCTCCCAAGTAGCTGGGACTACAGGCGCATGCCACCATGCCCGGCTAATTTTTGTATTTTTAGTAGAGACGGGGTTTCACCATGTTGGCCAGGCTGATCTGGAACTCCTGACCTCAGGTGATCAGCCCACCTCGGCCTCCCAAAGTGCTGGCATTACAGGTGTGAGTTACCGTGCCCGGCTTCTATTTTCTTTCTTTCTTTCTTTCTTTCTTTTTTTTTTTAATGCACCTGGCTGGGCACAGTGGCTCACGCCTATAATCCCAGCACTTTGGGAGGCCAAGGCAGGCGGATCACCTGAGGTCGGGAGTTCGAGACCAGCCTGACCAACATGGAGAAACCCCGTCTCTACTAAAAATACAAAATTAGCCGGGTGTGGTGGCACATGTCTGTAATCCCAGCTACTTGGGAGGCTGAGGTAGGAGAATCGCTTGAACCCGGGAGGTGGAGGTTGCGATGAGCCAAGAGATCGTGCCATTGCACTCCAGCTGGGCAACAAGAGCAAAACTCCATCTAAAAAAAAATAAAATAAAATACAGGTTGAGTTCCATTGAATGATGCAGTACCAGGAGTTGTATTCTATTTGGGGAGGGGAAGCCAAGTTGCAATCACCATTGCAATCAGAAAGCATTCAGAAGAAAGGGGCCATTTGGGGCTCCAGCATTGTGTTGGATTTCTTTTCTAGGGAGTGCAATTTTAGACATGTTGAGTTTGAAATGCCTTTTAGATATTCAAGCAGAGATTTCAAGTGGGCAGTTGAAATTGTTTCTGGAGCTCAAGGCAGGGGATGGGGCTGTAGATATGAATTTGGAATGATCACATAGCTGGCACTGAACTGGATGAGATGACCGTGAGATGAGAGGAGAGGACCAAGGGCTGAGCCTTGGGCTGATATTAAGCGGCCAGTGAGAACAAGTAGCCACAACCTTTGCCCTTTTCTCTCTACTTTTCTCCATCTTGCTGTCAGAAACTCAGATTTGGTGAATGCCATCAAGAACCTTAGGAACAAGCAGGGGCCTGGCCCTCGGGATGACAGAACAGTGAGCTGCTGGCCTCGGATTAGATTCCAGCTGAATCCAATTCCTAACTGATAGAGTAACGATACTGAGCAACTCCTGGCAAAATTGATCAAGACAAAGAAAGGGAGGTGGCACAAATAAACAATGTTAGGCTTGAAGAAAGGGACTTAACTATAGTTGTTGCTGAGATTTAAAAGATAATAGGGCCAGGCGTGGGGGTTCATGCCTGTAATCCCAGCACTTTGGGAGGCTGAGGTGGGCAGATCACCTGAGGTCAGGAGTTCTAGACCAGCCTGGCCGACATGGTGAAACTCCGTCTTTACTAAAAATACAAAAAATTAACTGGGCGTGGTGGCACACACCTGTAGTCCCAGCTACTCAGGAGGCTGAGGCATGAGAAGTGCTTGAACCCTGGAGGTGGAGGTTGCGGTGAGCCAAGATGGTGCCACTGCACTCCCGCCTGGGTGACAGAATGAGACCCTGTCTCCAAAAAAAAAAAAAAAAAAGTGACCGGCTCGGTGGCTCATGCCTGTAATCCCAGCACTTTGGGAGGCCGAGGCGGGCAGATCACCAGGTCAGGAGATCAAGACCATCCTGCCTAACAGGGTGAAACCCCATCTCTACTAAAAATACAAAAAATTAGCTAGGCGTGGTACATGCCTGTAGTCCCTGCTTCTCGGGAGGCTGAGGCAGGAGAATCACTTGAACCCGGGAGGCGGAGGTTGCAGCGAGCCAAGATCATGCCATTGCACTCCAGCCCGGACGACAGAGTGAGACTCCGTCTCAAAAAAAAAAAAAAAAAAAGTACTGGAAAATCTCATTAAATTAGTGCTGGCTGCCTGGATGTTCATTACATTTTTTTTTTTTTTTTTTTTTGGATACTGAGTCTTGCTCTATCACCCAGGCTGGAGTGCAGTGGCGCAATCTCGGCTCACTGCAAGCTCCATCTCCCAGGTTCACGCCATTCTCCTGCCTCAGCCTCCCGAGTAGCTGGGACTACAGGCACCCGCCACCACCCCCGGCTAATTTTTTGTATTTTTAGTAGAGATGGGGTTTCACCGTTTTAGCCAGGATGGTCTCGATCTCCTGACCTCGTGATCCGCCTGCCTCGGCCTCCCAAAGTGCTGGGATCACGGGCATGAGCCACCGCACCCAGCCTGTTCATTACATTTTTAATATTTAAATGATACATATACTTTTATCTAGATATATGTACAAACATGTATATTTTATATGTATATATGTATACACATATACACACATGTATACATACACACACATACATATATTCTTCTCAATGTATGAGATATTTCACATTACAAAGTTTAAAAACAAATGTGTAAGGGTCAGGTCACATGGTGTCTTGTAGCCCAGGACCCACTGCAGACACATCATAAACATGCACTGAATAGTTTCTCAGCCGTTGAGTTCTGGATCAGGTCCCTCCTGCTCATGCACGTTGAAGCTCCAGCTCTGGCTGGCTGCTGTCCCCCCACCACCCAGGGGTGGGGATCCTGGGATCCTCCCACCCCGACCTTAGCAGGCTCTCTGGCTGGGCCTGAAGCTTCCAGGCCCAAGAGGGATTGCTAGGCTGGTCCCAGCTGCTTGGTTGTAGGATGCTGAGGGACAGGTCTCCAGACCCAGGGACCAGAGTGGGAAGCTCCTTCCCCAGCCTCTTAGGCAGGGATGGCAGTTCAGGTTCCCCAGTTCCAGGGAAGGGATCCAGGGTCTGAGTTCAAGGGGATGAGTGCCATTCAGAAGGTGGGATCCCACATGGCTCCCAGATCAGCAAAGATTGCATGTTCCATGCACAGCTGGCATCAAATGGCACAGTCCCTGACCTGATGGGGTAATGCGGGTCAGGTGACCAGAGCAGCCTGGTAACCAGACTGAAGGGCTTTGTTTTTGTTTTTTGTTTTTTGTTTTTGAGACAGAGTCTCACTCTGTCACCCAGGCTGGAGTTCAGTGGTGTAAGATCTTGGCTCACTGCAACCTCCATCCACCTCCTGGGTTCAAGCAATTCTCCTGTCTCAGCCTCCTGAGAAGCTGGGACTACAGGCGCATGCCACCACACCCGGCTAATCTTTGTGGTTTTTTTTTTTTTGTTGTTGTTGTTTGAGACAGAGTCTCGCTGCAACGCTCAGGCTGGAGTGTAATGGTGCAATCTCAGCTCACTGCAACCTCCACCTCCTGGGTTCAAGCCATTCTCCTGCCTCAGCCTCCCGAGCTGAGGGATTACAGGCACCCGCCACCACACCCGGCTACTTTTTGTATTTTTACTAGAGATGGGGTTTCACCATATTGGCCAGGCTGGTCTTGAACTCCTAACCTCAAGTGATCTGCCCTTTCTGCCTCCCAAAGTGCTGGGATTACAGGCATGAGCCATCGGACCCGGCTGAAGGGTCTTGTTCATATCTGGTTCTGTAACATTTCTGGGCCTTGGCCAAACTCTGGGGGCTGTCACAGGTTAAGACAGCCCAACAATGATGGAGACTGGATTTCGCAACAGCCAGGTAGAATGAGGGCTCTAAGTGTGTTTTTAAAAATAGCCCGTTTCTTGCCTACCTAAATGTGTGCACCAGTACTCATCCCCACTACACCTGCTTCTGCCTTTTTTCTCCCTTCTTTCTCTTCTGACTCTCTAGGTCTCTGTCTCCATCCCCTCTCTTTCCCAGATTCTGCCTGCCCTGCCCCCAGTCTCCTCCCCTCCTGAGACCCCAGGCTCTCAGGCTGGCTTCCAGCCCCCTACAGCAGGCTCTAGTTCCAAGGAAAAGAGGCTTTTTGCTGTGAGCGCATCAGATACCAGGACCTCCCCTTCCGCCTCCATCCCTTCCATCCTCCTCCTCCCATTTCTGAGGACATAGCAGCCACCCCCACCCCTGCCCCCAGACATGCTGGGGGGAAGGAACAGCAGGGCTCAGGATGTGGTCGAATGTGGGGCTGCCTTTCCCTTCTGCAGAAGGCCAGAGTTCAGCTGGCTCGTGTATATTTTCCTTTTTTCTACCATTCATATTCCTCTGGGATGGCTTATGTGTCATTGAGCTCCCGTGCTGCAGCTCTGCTTGGCAGAGTCCTGGAGACCCGCAGGACCAGCCTAGAAGAGTAGGTGAAACTCAAGGTCACTCAGACCAAGGCTGAGCTAGACCAGGCTCTGAGCTCCCAGCCTCCTTCCTATTCCCCAACCTGAGCCCCAAGGGCTAAACCTGGCAATGACTCTCCTTCCCCACTTGGTAGGGAACCCTGCTCAGACCCAACCTGAGATACTCCATGCTCTCCCTGGCCCTGACCTATGGCTTCTGACCTTCACACAGTTCCCCTTCATCCCTGTAGACTTGGGGTTCCTGAGATCAGACCAGTGTTTCCCTGCCCCCTCAGACGGGGAGCCTCTGAGGCCTGGATTCCACAGAGGGGGGCCTGAAGGCAAGGCTGGGGTTCCCGCCTCAGATTGGGGGCTCCTTGGGGACAAGTCTGGGTCTGCCCATCCCCAGTCCATGGCACCAGCTCCCTTGATGTCTCCTCACAGGGTTCTGCCCACAGTAAGAAAAGACGTCCTTAAGGGAGGTAGCACAAGCCTAGGACAGAGGGAGGGGCACTCCCACAGCAGCTCCTCCCCATCCCACACCAGCTCTGCAGAGAGCCCTCCCTTCCCTCACCTTCGCTATGATTTAGGCAAGAATTGGACAGGATGGAAAGAAGCCCAGGATGTGGGGAGACAGGTCTGGGTTGAGTTACTTCTTCACTCAGAGCCTCAGTTTGCTTATCCATAAAATGGGAAGAATCCTATCTTCAGATGGTCTTCTCTTGTGTGTCTGCTTTTACCTATTGCTGCCAGGGATGGAAGGTGGCTGGTATCTCACCCTGCACCACCTTGTCTGACCAACAACTATTTTCTAGCGCCTCCTCAAATTGAGAAGCACTCCTGGAATCCCTCCCCTGGGACCCAACGAGCCCTGGATAACCTTCCACTGCAGCATTAAACTGTCGCCTCTCACGTTGTGTTGGCATCTCTGGGCATAGTCTGTGTCCTGACACACTGTGGGCTCCCCAAGGTCACTCACTGAGTCCTGTTCTCTCAGTGCTTGGCCCAGGGCTAGGCACGGAGTAGGGGCTCAGGGAGACCTCTTGGGTTCCCTACCTCGATTACTGCCCCCTCCCCACCCCCACTCCCACCCCACCCTGCCTCACCGTACCTGCCAGGGACTTTGTGTCTCCACTGCTGCTGACTCTCCCAAGCCCAGTGTCCTCCTGTGTCTAATTTGGGAGGTCCTGGGCAGGACCCTGCACCATCACCCCATGACCTCTGGCAAACCCCACCCACTCCCCTCTACCCTTGAATTTCATTCATTTCCTTCTACCACAAATGTAGGGGTGGTGCTAAACTGTTACACTGGTGGCCTCCAATGAACCATGGTCTTGTATGGTCCCCTCCCATGTTGACTCTGGGCTTGGCTGTAGGACTTGTTTTGGCAACGGGACACCAAGAAGCATGAAGCAAGCAGAGGCTTGATAAGCATTTGCACACTGGGGCTTGTCCTCTTGGAGGCCAGCTGCCACGCTAAAACACGGTCGGCTAGACTTCTGAATGATGAGAGGCCGTGGAGGAAGACAAGCCGTTTTGGGTGATCCAGTCTCAGCTAAGCTCCCAGCCACATGCATCAGCCAGGCGGAACCAGAACTGCCCTGCTGAGCCCCAACCAAGCCACAGAATTTTTAGAAATAATATATCATTGTTGTTTTATGCCACTAAGTTTTGGGGATAGTTTGTTTCTCAGCAATAAGCAACTGAAATAAGGGATACCCTAAGTCCCCTCTTCCCTCACCCTCTGCATCCAGTCCTGTGGGATCCGCCTCTGGAATATTTCATGGATCTGACCACTTCTCACCATGTCCCCAGGTGCCATCATCTCTCACCTGGACTCCCCGCGTAAGCATTGCCTTCCTGCAATCACCATACAGCAACCAGGGCCACTCCCTGGCTCAACACCCTCCAGTCAGTTCCCATATCCCTTAGATTAAAAGAAGTCCCGGGCAGGCATGGTGGCTCACACCTGTAATCCCAGCACTTTGGGAGGCCAAGGCGGGCAGATCACGAGGTCAAGAGTTCGGGACTAGCCTGACCAACATGATGAACTCCTACTCTACTACAAATACAAAAATTACCCAGGCATGGCGGTGCACACCTGTAATTCCAGCTACTCAGGAGGCTGAGGCAAGAGAATCACTTGAACCCAGGAGGTGGAGGTTGCAGTGAGCCGAGATCGCACCACTGCACTCCAGCCTGGGTGACAGCATGAGACTCCGTCTCAAAAAAAAAGATTAAAAGAAGTCCCTCTCCCCCTTGCTCACTGCACTCGGACAACACTGGCTTCCTTCCTGTTCCTCTAACATGCTGAGCTTATCCCAACCTCAGGGCCTTTGCACCAGCTGTTCACCCTGCCTGGAACACTCTTCCTCTCGGTCTTTCCATCTAGGTCTTTCCATTCTCAGCTTAAATGTCTCCTCCTCAGGAATGCTATCTATAGAAGAGGAAACTGAGGCTCGGAAAAGTGAGGTCATTTCCCAAGTTCACACAGTTAGGAAAAGGCTGGACCAGGATTCCATCCCAGGTCTGTTTGACCCTCTCTCCAGGGCACTTTCTCCCACATCGATGGTTTGGGAGGCAAAGCTGGTGGTCATGGGCTCCTGAGAAAGGGGAAGAATTGGAGGGGCCTCCTTCACTTACCCCCTCCATAAACACTCCCAGCCAGAGCCTTTGGGCTCTGCCCTGGCTGGGTGCTGGGGACTCAGGGATGAATCAGAACAGACCTTGCCCACTGGGAGCTTCAGTCTGAAGGCAGGAAAAGCAGCAGGGGAGGTCAAGATCACTTAGGGACCCAGATGGCCTTGACTTAGCATAGGGGACAGCCTTCTAGCTGGGGGCTCTCTAGGAAGGCTTCCAAGAGGCATTGGCTCTTGGAAGTGACATTGGCTGGGGTGGGCAGAACGTAGGGGGTGGTGTTCAGTGGCCAGAGCTGCAGTGCTCTCTCTGAGTGACCAGGAGCCTCAGCTTGGCCATGTGTAGCCTTTCCTCTGTGTGTGTGTGTGTGTGTGTGTGTGTGTGTGTGTGTGTGTGTGTGTGTGTGTAACAGTGAGGGAGTAGTATGGTGGGGGATGAGGGTGCAGCCAAGAGAAGGGCTGAATGAATAAATGCATTTCACTGATGTAGAAACTAAAGCCCAGAGAGTCTGAGTCACTTGTCCAGGCTCACAAAGCACCAAGCAGTAAAGGCAGGATCTGAACCCAGGTTTAACCTGACACCACACAGAGGCAAGTGAGGAAGCAGAGGTCCATATTCACCAAGGCCCACCCCTTACTCACTATGTGACCTCAACTAAGCTCGTTCCCCTCTCGCACCTCATTTTCTCATTGGCAAATTGAGGGGGTTGGGTGAAGCTTCTTTTGGCACAAGGACTCTGGAAAATACTTTTACTAGGGACTTGGAACCAACCAGCAGATCCTGCCTCAACCTGGCACAAGATAGGGTTCCTCAGCCTGCAGCTCCCTCTAGGCCCAGCCAATGGGGTGCAGCACTGGCACAAGACAGAGAACCCCAGGAATCCCTGGGGGCTCCCGTCTAACAGTGCAGCCTGGAGTTCCAGGGGGCTTCCCCTGCACCTCTCTCCACAGCTCTCACACAGTACAGAGCCCTGTTCGCTTGCCCCTCACCCCCTTCACCGCCACCCCCACCCCACAAGCGTAACAGTTTTTTTTGTTTGTTTTGTTTTGTTTTTTGAGATGGAGTCTCGCTCTTGTTGCCCAGGCTGGAGTGCAATGGTGTGATCTCGGCTCACTGCAACCTCCACCTCCCGGGTTCAAGCGATTCTCCTGCCTCAGCCTCCCAAGTAGCTGGGATTACAGGCATGAGCCACCATGCCCAGCTAATTTTGTATTTGTAGTAGAGATGGAGTTTCTCCATGTTGGTTAGGCTGGTCTCGAACTCATGACCTCAGGTGATCCGCCCACCTCGGCCTCCCAAAGTGCTAGGATTACAGGTGTGAGCCAACGCAGCCGGCCTCTAAGGACCCAGTTTCTGGGGGGCCCAGAGGAGCCACTGCAAAGAGCTCAGGCTCTGAACCAGAATGAACTTGGGCTCAGCTCTAGGCTCTGCCACTTACTAGCTATGTGACCCTGGGCAAGTGGTTTAAATCTCTGAGCCTCTGTTTTCTTAGCTGTAAAACAGGAGTTTGAGATCTGTTTACTGAGTTATTGTGAGGATTTTTTTTTTCGCTTGGGGGACAGGGTCTTGCTCTGTCACCCAGGCTGGAGTGCAATGGCATGATCACTGCTCACTGCAACCTTGACCTCCTAGGCTCAAGTGATCCTCCTGCCTCAGCCTCCTGAGTAGCTGGGACCACGGGCGTGCATCACCATACTGGCTAATTTCTTTTCTTTCCTTTTTTTTGGCAGAGACAAGGTCTTGCTGTTTCCCAGCCTGGTCTGAACTCCTGAGCTCAAACGATCCTCCTGTCTTGGCCACTCAAAGTGCTGGGATTGCAGGTGTGAGCCACCCTGCTGGCCTTATTATGGGGATTAAATGGAATAAGGCACATAATAAACCTAACATGTTGTAGGCAGTCGTGGTCAATACCAGTAATTTGCTCAGCTTATTCTCAGAGGCAGTGGTCTTGCCTTTGAGAGTCCCAGCCCCAGAATGGCGGGGCAGGGAGCCAGAGGGTGGGGTGTGGAGGTGAGGAAGGGGGTTAATATAAAATAGCTAACATCTGTTTAGCACTTACCATGTGCTGGTCTCGGTTGTAATCACCACATGAAGCTATCACCCACACTTTACAGATGAGGTGTCTGAGGCACAGAGGAGTTCAATAACTTGGCCAAAGGAACACACAGCAAGTACGTGTATGAGCTGGGGCACGAGTTCAGATCCTATGGCTCCAGAACTCACACTCTAAACCACTGTGTTATCTTACCTCATGTTAAAACCATTTTTGGATGAGAAATGCTGAGGTCCAGGCCAGGCGTGGTGGCTCACGCCTATAATCCCAGCACTTTAGGAGGCCGAGGTGGGTGGATCACCTGAGGTCAGGAATTCGAGACCAGCCCGGTCACATGGTGAAACCCCATCTCTACTAAAAATACAAAAATTAGCTGCACGTGGTGGCCTGTGCCTGTAATCCCAGCTACTCCAGAGGCTGAGGCAGGAGAATCGCTTGAAGCCAGGAGGCAGAGGTTGCAGTGAGCCAAGATCGCACCATTGCACTCCAGCCTGGGCAACAGAGCGAGACTCCGTTTCAAAAAAGAAAAAAAAAAAAAAAGGAAATGCTGAGGTCCAAAGAGGCTAAGTTCACACCACAGCTGAGCATCTAGTATTCCAAGTCAGAACCTGTGACCCTGAAGTTCTGGCAATTTCCACTGTTGTGTGCTGTCCCCTAGTGCCCTTATGGGAGAAGCACACCAGAGGCAAGCAGCAGATACCCAGGGAAGGAAGGGAAGCAGGTCCACTGAAGCCGGCTCCACACACCACTGCCTACATTCCCCTGACCCACGGCTCCTCCACAGCCCCAGCGCTGTACGTGTTGCAGCTCCTAAACAGCACTCCAAAATGGCATCCATGGATACAATGGTGATATGTCTGGGCTATCTTACAGACCATCAAATTCAATAGGTCTAACACTACGTTTGCATTCTTACACCCCAAACTGGTCCTCCCCAGTCATCTCCATTCATCCAGTAACACAGCCAGAAGCCCAGCGTCATCCTTGATACTTCCCTCCTCCCACCAAGCTGTCACCACCAGCCTGGGAGCCTAAATGGTGGCTGAGGAGGGTGATCAGAAAAGTAAAAATTGAACAGAGTGGAGCAACCATGGGGAAAGCAGGGGATTGGGACAATGGCCCCAGGTCAAGGCCAAAAGGAAAAACTGAGCTCAAGAGGCTGATGACAGAGGCAGTTGTCCACTCTGCTTAGAAAGAAACCCAGACACGCTGGGTGCGGTAGCTCATGCTTGTAATCCCAGCACTTTGGGAGGCTGAGGCGGGTGGATCACGAGGTCGGGAGATTGAGACCATCCTGGCTAACTCGATGCAACTCCGTCTCTACTAAAAATACAAAAAATTAGCCAGGTGTGGCAGCACACGCCTGTAGTCCTAGCTACTAGGGAGGCTGAGGCAGGAGAATCACTTGAACCTGGGAGGCGGAGGTTGCAGTGAGCCAAGATCACGCCACTCCACTCTAGCCTGGGAGACAGAGCAAGACTCTGTCTCAAAAAAAAGAAAGAAACCCAGACACAGCTGTAAGGGCTTGGAGGAGGGCACAGTGAGGAACATTGTATGGGGAGTCAGAAAGATGGGGTTCCCACCCAGCTTTACTACTCATTAGAAGTGTGGCCTTGAGCAAATGGTCTAACCTTGATGGCCTCAGTTTCCCCACTTGTAAAAATGAATATGACATTGCCAACCTCATAGGGCTGTAATATGGATCAAGTAAAAAATGTGTTTGTTTTGTAAAGTGTAAAGGAAAGCGCACAGGAGAGGCAGGTTGTGACCCGGAAAACTCACCCCAGTAGACCTCTCTCTCCTTTGTCGGCTGAATGATGGACCTATAAGGTACTCTGTTTTGCTTCAAAGAGTGTCAATTTTTTGTTTGTTTTTTGTTTGTTTGTTTGTTTGTTTGTTTGTTTTGTAGGGAGGGGGTTGGTTTTGTTATTTTTTGTTTATTTATTTTTATTTACTTATTTATTTTGAGACAGATTTTCGCTCTGGCGTCCAGGCTGGAGTGCAATGGCGCAATCTCACTGCAACCTCCGCCACCTGGGTTCAAGCTACTCTCCTGCCTCAGCCTCCCGATTAGCTGGGATTACAGGCATGAGCCACCACGCCTGGCTAATTTTTTTGTATTTTTACCAGGGACGGGGTTTCACCATGTCAGTCAGGCTGGTCTCGAACTCCTGGCCTCAGGTGATCCGCCCACCTCGGCCTCCCAAAGTGTTGAGATTACAGGGTGAGCCACCGCGCCTGGCTTGTTTTGTTATTTATTTATTTATTTATTTATTTATTTAAAAAATTTTATTTATTTACTTAAATTGACTAATAAAAATTTATTTACTTAAATTGATTAATAAAATTATTAGTATTTTTATTATTGTTTGGTTTTTAATTGTGGGAAAATACTTCTACATAAAATCTGCCATTTAAACTATTTTAAAATATAAATTCAGTGGCATTAATTACATTCACAGTGTTGTGCAACCATCACAACTATCTATTTCCAAAACTTTTTTTTATCACTCCAAACAGAGACTCTGTACCCATTAAGCAGTAACTACCCATTCCCCTCTCCCTCCAGCCCCTGATAACGGCTAACCTTTCTGTCTCTATTAATTTGACTATTCTAGATATTTCATGTAAGTGAGAATCATACAATATTTGTCCTTTGTGTCTGGCTTATTTCACTTAGCATAATGTCTTCAAGGTTCATACCTATTGTTGCATGTGTCAGAACTTCATTGTTTTTATGACTGAATAATATTCCCTTGTACGTATATATCACATTTTGTTCATCCATTCATCTGTTGGGTTGTTTCTACCTTTTGGCTATTGTGAATAATGCTGCAATGAACACTGGCATACAAGTATCTGTTTGAAGCCCTGTTCTGATTATTTTGTGTATGTATCTAGAGTGTCATTGATTTTTTTTGGGTTTTTTTTTTGAGACAGAGTTTTGCTCTTGTCACCTAGGCTGGAGTGCAATGGAGTGTTCTTGGCTCATTGCAACCTCCGCCTCCCAGGTTCAAGCGATTCTCCTGCCTCAGCCTCCTGAGTAGCTGCAATTACAGGCTTCTGCCACCATGCCTGTCTAATTTTTGTATTTTTAGTAGAGACAGGGTTTCACCATGTTGGCCAGGCTGGTCTCAGACTCCCGATCTTAGGTGATCTGCCAGCCTCGGCCTCCCAAAG
The DNA here is from genome assembly GCF_000001405.40 of Homo sapiens. Classification (NCBI taxonomy): domain Eukaryota; kingdom Metazoa; phylum Chordata; class Mammalia; order Primates; family Hominidae; genus Homo; species Homo sapiens. The sequence goes on along the minus strand of NC_000001.11, from coordinate 26,964,561 downwards.
TGCTAGGATTACAGGCGCCCACTACCACGCCTGGCTAATTTTGTATTTTCAGTAGAGACGGGGTTTCACCATGTTGGCCAGGCTGGTTTCGAACTTCTGATCTCAAGTGATCCACCTGCCTCGGCCTCCCAAAGTGCTAGGATTACAGGCATGAGCCACTGTGCCTGGCCCAAGTGTCATTGATTTTTGACAGACTTTTTGAATACGCACCGTGGCAATGGGAAGGACCCTTCGGAACAGGGCCCAGTATCTTTGAGTGAGGGAGGGAGACGAGCAGAGAAAGGGGAGGTTTCAGTGTGGCTATAATTAGAATAACAGCTACCTTGTGCCTATTGCAAAACTCTTCACAAAACACTCACCAGAAAGCGTAGCCAGAGGTTCAGAGATCATATTTATTTATTTATTTCCTTCCTTCCTTCCTTCCTTCCTTTCTTCCTTTATTCTTTCTAGGCAAGGAAAGTAGCTCTGAGCTGCTTCAGTCATCATATTCTTATTAATCTACAGCATTTTAGGTACCACAGAATTAGAATTTTGTAGAGCAATTCTGCACTTCTACAGCTAAAGTTCTGGAAAAAGCAAAACTATGGAAACAGAAGAAAGATCAGTGGTTGTTAAGGGCTGGAGTCAAGGGGAGGAACTGACCACAGAGGGGTTCAGGGGAATTTCTGGGAGGTGATGGAACTGATCTATATCTTGATTGCTGTGGCAGTTGTGCCATTGTATGCATTTTTCAAAACTCACAAAACTGTACACTAAAAAGGGTGAATTTTACTATAGGTAAATTATACCTTAATTTTTTCTTTTTAAAAAAAGAATGAATAAATAAATGGGGAGAAAACTAAATAATACTTAATACTCCCAGCTACTCGGGAGGCTGAGGTGGGAGGATTCCTTGAACCCAGGAGGCGGAGGCTACTGTGAGCCAAGATCACATCTCTGCACTTCAGACTGGGTGACAAAGTGAGACCCTGTCTCAAACAACAGCAACAACAACAACAACAACAAAAACTAAATAAGAACCTAGGCCAGGCGCAGTGGCTCACGCCTGTAATCCCAGCACTTTGGGAGGTCGACGCAGGCGGATCATTGAGGTCAAGAGATTGAGACCATCCTGGCCAACATGGTGAAACCCTGTCTCTACTAAAAATAAAAAAATTAGCTGGGCATGGTGGTGCACACCTGCAGTCCCAGCTACTTGGGAGGCTGAGGCAGAACTGCTTGAACCCGGGAGGCAGAGGTTGCAGCGAGCCGAGATCGTGCCACTGCACTCCAGCCTGGTGACAAAGCGAGACTCCATCTCAAAAAAATAAAATAAAATAAAATAAAATAAAATAAATAAGACCCTAGGCTCTCATGTGTTTGCGTATCTTGAGAACTTTGCAAGTGACACTAACTCTAATTATTTAGCATTAGAGCATAAACTTCTATTTTTTCATTCATTCATTATAAAATGAAAGCCCCTGAATCCACTATTCACAAAAACCAGAACATTGCTAAAAATTAAATCTACCTATGGGTTTCTCTCCCACAGGTAGATTTAATAGGAGGATCCCTGCATCCTCCCCCAGGTAATTTTGTGTGTGTGTGTGTGTGTGTGTGTGTGTGTGTGTGTGTGTGTGTGGTGTGTTCCAGGCTGGAGGGCAGGGCAGTGGTGTTAATATGGTTCACTGCAGCCTTGACCTCCTGGGCTCAAGCAATCCTCCTGCCACAGCCTCCCAAGTAGCTGGGACCACAGATGCATGACCAGCCTTTTTTTTTTTTTTTTTTTCCTTCCATAGAGACAGGTCCTTCTATGTTGCCCAGGCTGGTCTTGAAGTCCTGGGCTCAACCAAACCTCCCAAATCCTTGGCTTCCCAAAGTGCTGGGATTATAGGCATGAGCCACCATGCCTAGCCCCCCAGGTATTCATTATTCTGAACTTTGTGTTTCTCATTCCCTTGCTCTTTTCTTTCTTTTCTTTTTTGAGATAGGGTCTTGCTATGTTGCCCAGGCTGGTCTTGAACTCCTTGGCTCAAGAGATTCTCTTGCCTCAGCCTCCCAAGTAGCTGGGATTACAGGCCCAGGCTATTGCACCCAACGCCTTGCTCTTTTCTTAGTTTTTTTTCACGTAAAAATTAGGCTGAAGCACATGAATCTGCCATTACTTTTAGATCAAAACAGGTCAAATAACAGCAAATTCATATGGTTCAACCAAATATTATGCTTAGATGCAGTAGTTCTAGTTATTTTTGAATCATATATAAAGGATGTCATTCCATATGTAGTCTTCTGAGATTTGCCTTTTTTCAATCCAATATTATATTACCATGATCCAACCATGTTGCTATTTTTCATTCATTTTCTACTGCTCTATAATTAATTCCTTTGCATGAATATCCCACATTTCTCTATCTCCTGTCAGTAGCATTTCCGTGTTTTCGGTTTGGGGCTACCACAAACAATGTTTCTAGTAACATTCTTGTATACATTCTCTCCTGGTGCATTGCACAAGAGCTTACTGTGGCTGTACCATAGGAATGGACTTGCTAGGTTTTAGAGTACACAGATGTTCAACTGCACAAGATGTGACTGTGAAGTGAGGATGTGACTCATTCTCTGAGCTCCAAATAAGAATACAATGTGCACTTTCCTCAGGAGGGAATGTGGACAAGATGTGGTGGGAGGCGCTGGGATGGAGGGTCTCTGGTGGAAATTGAACACCTATGCCTAATGCATCCCAGTGATATCTTCCTGTTGCATCCATGATCTCTTTTAATCCTCCCAGTTAAAGAGAGGTACTACTATCTCCAGAGATTAGGTTTAGAGAAGGAAAGTGCCTTGCCAAAAGTCAGTTTGTGCCAACTGCCTGAGCAAACAATGTCCCCTCTCTAAGCTTCAGTTTCCTCTTACTGTAAAATGGATATGATAATACCTGACCCACTTCACAGATTAACGGCTTCGGCATGCATGGCTCCTGGAGATGCTCCCTAAAAGTCACTTGTTTGTTTGTTTGTTTTGTTTATTTGAGACAGAGTCTCGCTCTGTCGCCCAGGCTGGAGTGCAATGGCGCGATCTCGGCTCACTGCAACCTCTGCCTGCTGGGTTCAAGCCATTCTCCTGCCTCAGCCTCCCGAGTAGCTGGGATTACAGGCACTTGCTACCATGCTAGGCTAATTTTTTGTATTTTTAGTAGAGACTGGGTTTCACTATGTTGGCCAGGCTGGTCTCAAACTCCCACCTCGCGATCCTCCCGCCTCGGCCTCCCAAAGTGCTGGGATTACAGGCATGAGCCACTGCGCCCGGCCAAGTCACTTGTTTATTAATGCTATTGTTAAGTTATTGAGTTGTTATTAATATTAAGGGGAACAGTAACCCAGAATAGTCTGAGCCTTGCCTTATTGACATTCAATGGTGTTGCCTCTTGCAGAGACCTTTTTTGGATGTAGTGACCATGGCCCATTTTGGCCACCACTTCTGATCCTGGATGTATCTTTCAGAGCTGCATATCCGGTCCCCCTCCTCTACCCTACTCGGGGCCTCAGAGCTGAGGTTCCTGTCTTTACCTGCAGATTTCTCTGAACAAAAGAAAAGGTAAACTGATCAGCGGCCCAGGCTCCCAGTTCTGCCTCAGGGCAAAGGGAGAAATTGGGGCCCAGGGCCTCATTCAGTGGAAAATATTTGTTGAACACCTAGTATGTGCCAGGACCTGTGCTGAGCACCAGGAACACAGGGGAACAAGACCAAACCCTGCAAGGTAGGAGGCTAAAGGAGGAGACAGAAGACAACAAAACGACAGTGTGCTGAGTACAGGGACTGTTCTAACCAACAGAAAAACAGACAGGATCAGGGAAAGCTTCCCAGAAGAGAGCTTCCCTTTGAGTTGGAGCTTTACGGCCGGGCAGAAGTTCCACAGGTGCTCAGAGACTGACAGGACCACCAGCCTGTTGAACAGAAGAGGAGACTGAGCCCCAGCGCCTCTCGACCCCTCCCCGCCACACCTCACCTACCCGGACTAGGCTGAACGGGCCGAGCACTCGAGCGGGGACGCGCAGCTCTGCAGAGCCCCGGGGCGGGGCCTCGGTCCAGGTGCGCGGTAGCGCTTCGCGGAGGCAGGAAGTGTGTCCCTAGCGGCGGCCCGTGCAGCGCTCCCGCGAGACGCTCACCTGCGCCCCAGGTGAGCGGCGAGGGGGCGGGGGAGGGGCTGAGCCGGAGGCGGCTCACCTGGCGGGACAGGTAAGCCCGGCGCGGGCCCAGGGGGGCGCAAGCCAGGGCGGCGCCGGTGTCGGGAGCCCCCCGAAGCTGAGCCCGGACAGGAGAGGGTCCCGGGCCCGGTTCCTCGGGGGCCACCCTCCTACTTCCGGGGTGCGCGGGCCGGGCTGGGGAGCGGCCTGAGCGGGCGCCCGGGCTGGGCGCGCAGAATGGGGTGAGGGGCCGCGTTCGCCCTTAGGGCTGCACTGGCTGGGTGCGGGGGCCGCACTCACCGGGGGGCAGCGTCGGGATGGGACAAACGCTGGTGCTCACCCCGAGGAACAGCGTCGGGACGGGAGGGAGGCTGGGTCCGCCCGCGGGGTAGGGCCCTTGCAGCTGGAGAGGGTAGTGCTCGCCCCGAGGGCAGAGTTGGTGTAGGGGCTGTGGTAGCCCGGGGGACAGTGCCAGGATCTGGTTCTTCCTTGTCCCCAGGACTAGCTGCCCGCGGATATGGGACTCTCGGGCTGCACCTTTGGGGCAGGAGGCCGAGGGTGCACTGAGCCGACGGCTGTTTCTCGAGCAGGACTGGGGTGGTCCTCCCCGGCCGGGTGTCCGAGGCTTGGCACTGGGCTGGGGGCAGAGGCTGGTGCGGCCGGGCCTGTCCTGGGGACCCTCGGAGGAGGGGACGGTACATAGACCCTTGAGTGTGTGTGTGTGTTCGCGGGACTAAGGGGGAAGAGGAAAGCATCAACGAGAAATCCAGGGAGGGCGGGCCGGGACCCTCTGACCCCCGGGAACATCCTTGCGGTGCCTTAGATCGCCTAGTGACCTAGCCCCTCCCATGGGCAAGGCCACTGCGGGAAGCCCCCTGCACTCAATATTTCATTTAAATCTCACGGGATTGGCGGGGCATGAAGATACTAGTCTCTCCTTATTTAAAGATGAGGAAAGTGAGGTTAAGAATCTTGCCTCAAGCCACAATAGGGACAGGGAGTCTCCCCTCACTAAACCAAGTGACCAGGTTCCTAGGATTGGGCGGGGTGGTGGCGGGGCGGTGGCAGCAGGGTCGGGGAGATACAGCCTGGAAGAAACTGCCTGAGTTTGACTTCAGGAGGGTTCAATGGCTGGAGGGAAGTGGGGAACTGAGGCAGGCATTGTCCTTATCCCAGGTCTTCTCTTCTCATCCCACCACCGCTGGAGATGTGTGGCACACACAAAGTACGCAGGCTTCAGAGCCTGGCGGGCCACAGTGCAAATCTTACTCCAGCCCTCTCTTGCTAGGTGTCTCTGGGCCAGTCACTTCACCTTTCTGAGCTTCAGATTCCTGATCTGTGAAATGGAGATATACTACTTATTTTCAGAGCAATTGTGAGAGTCAAATAAGGTGAAAGTCCTCTGGCCCATTCACTGCTGTTTTCTCAGCATTTAGCACAACGCTGGGCACCTCGTTGTATTAATTTAATCAATAATAGAGAGTCCTAAAGCTTTGGAGGTTGGGGAGAAGACAATAGCCAGTCCATCCTCAGGAGCCCCACGTACTTCCGAGCTCAGCATGGTTAACTGTAGATCTGTCCACTCTCCTGAAGGCTTGAGCCTGGAAGACAGGGCTCCCAACATGGGCTCTCTCTGGGCACACGCTGGTCCATGGAGCTGGCAGCTTTGACTGCCTCTTTTCTCCCAAGTAATAGATGGGATGGGGTAGTGGATAAGAGTCTGGGGCCAGGCCAATTGTGTACAGATAGATGTATGGCTTTGGACAACTTATTTAACCTGTCTGTGCTTTAGTATAATAATACAGGTAATAATATTACAAAGAGGGTTGTGAAAATTAATTGGTTATTATGTCTGAAGTACTTAGAACAGTGTAAGCCATCAATAATCAACTCTCACTGGATTGTAAACTCCTGAGGTTGAGGGATTTTGTCTGTTTTATCACTTTATCCATAGAATTTAGAACAGCTAGGCCGGGCGCGGTGGCTCACGCCTGTAATCCCAGTACTTTGAGAGGCCGAGGTGGGTGGATCACGAGGTCAGGAGATCAGACCATCCTGACTAACATGGTGAAACCCCATCTCTACTAAAAATACAAAAAATTAGCCAGGCGTGGCACGCGCCTGTAGTCCCAGCCACTCAGGAGGCTGAGGCAGGAGAATCGCTTGCACCCGGGAGGCAGAGGTTGCAGTGAGCCAAGACCACGCCACTGCACTCCACTCCAGACTGGGCAACAGAGTGAGACTCCATCTCAAAAAAAAAAAAAAAAAAAAGAATTTAGAACAGCTGGCTGGGCGCGGTGGCTTATGCCTGTAATGTCAGCACTTTGGGAGGCTGAGGCAGGTGGATACTTGAGGTCAGGAGTTCGAGACCAGCCTGGCCAACATGGTGAAACCCCATCTCTATTAAAAATACAAAAAAATTAGCTGGGTGTGGTGGCATGCACCTGTAATTCCAGCTACTCAGGAGGCTGAGGCATGAGAATTGCCTCCACCTGGGAGGCAGAGGTTGCAGTGAGCCAAGATCGTGCCATGCACTCCAGCGTTGGTGACAGAGTAAGACTGTCTCAAATAATAATAATAATAATAATAAATCCAGCATGTGGCACACAGTGGGCCCTCAGTAAATATCTGTTAATTGCGTGAATGTGTGAATCCATACCCCACATTTCTCAAACTAAAGCAAAGATTTTTAACCACTTAGCTCAGATTGCAAGGGAATTTAAAATCACCTGTTAGAATTTTATTTGGGATACCGTTGCAGATGGGATTTCACTCTCTCCCTCACCTCCTATCCCCCATCCATACTCTGGTCAACGTAGAGCCTAAGTCTTTTTTTCTTTGTACCCAGTGGCGCTGGTTCTACCCTGAGGCAACCTGAAATCTGTCAGTCCCCTGAGGCACCTAGTGTACCAAACCCTGTTCCAGACCCTGAGGCAGAAAAGAATTACACACAGTCCCTGCACTTCAGGGTCATGGTCCTTGGGGACATAGACTTATCCTCAAACAATCAGTACAAGGCTGACCCAGCTGACAGCCCAGCAGAAGGCCATGGGGAGAGGGCCTCCCATCTGACTAGTGGTTCCAGAAGGTCCCTGGAGAAGGAGTGCTGAGTAAGGCCAGGAGAGTAGGTTAAAGAGTTGTAGGAATGGTTAAAGAACTGTATCCTAGGCCAGGCACAGAGGCTCATGCCTGTAATCCCAGCACTTTGGGAGGCCAGGGCAGGAGATCACTTGAGGCCAGGAATTCAAGACCACCTGAGCAACATAGCAAGATCCCATTTCTACCAAAAAACAAAACAAAACAAAAAACTAGTGGGGCAGGGTGGTATGCACCTATAGTCCTAGCTACTCAAGTGGCTGAGGCAGGAGGATCACTTGAGCCCTGTTGTTTGAGGCTTCATTGAGCTAGGGTTGCACCACTGCACTCCAATCTGGGTAACAGAGGGAGACCTTATCTCTAAAAATAAAATAAAATAAATAAAAGAACTGTATCCTTCACATCCCCATTTACCATGGGCAACATTCCCTCTTTCCCTTTCTCTACACACACATAACTTTTGTTCTTTTGTGTTTGAACCATTTGAGATTAGGTTGCAGATAATCCTGCCCCTTTATCCCCAAGTGCTTCAATGTATGTTTCCTAAGAATAGAACATTATCTTATATAACCACAGTAATCAAATTCAGAAAATGTAACATTGATATAATACTATCAAATAACATATTTCACCAGTTATTCACATTATCCAATTTCCAATTTTTTCCTCCCAATCCAGGATCCTTTCTAGGATCACACTGCATTTAGTTGTCATGTTTCTCAACTTGGGCTTGTCTATTATTTCCTCATTATTACATTCAGGTTATGCATTTTTGACAGGAATACTTCGTGAGTTGTATCCTCCTTAGTACATAGTATCAGGAGGAACTTGATGTCAATTCATCCCATTATGGTGATATTATCTTTGATCATTTGATTAAAGTGGTGTCTGCCGTGTTCCTCTAAACATTTTAAAGTTTTTACTTGCTACAGCAAGTAAGAGGGAATGGAAGTGGCCAGAATGGCGGCTGTGACAGTATTTGGGTGAGAGATAATGATGGCCCTCTTTAGGGAGGTGGCATTAATTTTCCCAAGTGCCAAATCTGGGGTTAGATTAGGGCCAGAACTGGAACTAAAACACAGATATCCCGATGCCCAGTTCCACATTCCTCACACACCCCCGGTTTAAGACCCCAGTGCCATTAATTCAGGAATAAAAGGATAAGGGATCAGTGTCTCAGAAAATCCAAGCTAAGGATAGTTACTGCCTGGCAAACCCCTACATGAGATCAAGGACCTTCCCAAATACACTACTGCATAATCTTCCTTGACTCTGTCAGGCAGAGTTATTTACTCCCATGATGCTTCATATATCCTACATGCTCCATCTTACAAACTTTGTTTGTTTGTTTGAGATGGAGTCTCACTCTGTTGCATAGGCTGGAGTGCAGTGGTGCGATCTGGGCTCACTGCAACCTCCGCCTCCCAAGTTCAAGCGATTCTCCTGCCTCAGCCTCCTGCATAGCTGGGATTACAGGCACGCTCCACCACGCCCAGCTAATTTTTGTATTTTTAGTAGAGACAGGGTTTCACCATGTTGGTCAGGCTGGTCTCGAAATCCTGACCTCGTGATCCACCCGCCTCAGCCTCCCAAAGTGCTGGGATTACCGGCATGAGCCACTGTGCCCGGCCCTCATCTTACAAACTTTTAAGCATCTGTTTTCCCTGCAAAACCATATGTGAATCATCAAGAACAGGATCTGTAATTCATTCATCTTTGGTTCTACGGTACCCAGCACAGGGCCAGCCTCAGTGTTTATGAAGTAAAGGAAGTCCTAGCTCTGAGCTTCCTAGCAACCAGGTCAGAATGGGAAAGAAGACATATTTTGTGGCTCAGCTTTTTTATCTAATCAAAGGACACCAACAGTGGTTGGTGTTAAATGTTGCTAGCAGGGCAAATGTGAGTAAGACTGAAATATTGACAGACCTTGTAAATTCCCATATCTGATTTGAAGGACCAGGAGAGGGAAAAAGGTATTAATGATCAGGTTCCATAGCAAGTCTTATGGAAAGGCATTTGTTGAGCAGCCACAGAGGCTCTCAACAAGAAAAACTTACCAACAGCAGGAAGAAACTGGGGGAAACCACTTCACAGAAAGTGAGATCCAGGAGATCTTTCTGTAAAATAGCTATAAAAGTTACCATAGTAGGCTGGGTGCAGTGGCTCATGCCTGTAATCCCAGCACTTTGGGAGGTTGAGGTGGGCAGATCACCTGAGGTCAGGAGTTCGAGACCAGCCTGGCCAACATGGCGAAACCCCATCTCTACTAAAAATGCAAAAATTAGCTGGGCGTGGTAGCGGACGTCTGTAATCCCAGCTACTCCGAGGCTGAGGCAAGAGAATCACTTGAACCTGGGAGGCAGAGGTTGCAGTGAGCCGAGAATGCGCCATTGCACTCCAGCCTGGGTGACAGAGCGAGACTCCATCTCAAAAAAAAAAAAGGTAACTTATTAACTTTTTTTTTTTTTTTGAGACAGAGTCTTGCCACTCTGTCACCCAGGCTGGAGTGCAATGGCGCCATCTCGGCTCACTTCAACTTCTGCCTCCTGAGTTCAAGCGATTCTCCTGCCTCAGCCTCCTCAGTAGCTGAGATTACACGTGCCCATCACCATACCTAGCTAATTTTTGTATTTTTAGTAAAGACAGGATTTCACCATGTTGGCCATACTGGTCTAGAACTCCTGACCTCAAATCATCCGCCCACCTCAGCCGCCCAAAGTGCTGGGATTACAGGCATTAGCCACTGCGCCTGGCCTAACCTTTTTTTAAAGAAACCACATTTGGCCAGGCGCAGTGGCTCATTCCTGTAATTTCAGTACTTTGGGAGGCTGAGGTGGGGAGATCACCTGAGGTCAGCAGTTTGAGACCAGCCTAGCCAACATGGTGAAATCCTGTCTCTACTAAAAATACAAAACTTAGCTGGGCGTGGTGGCACGTGCCTGTAATCCCAGCTACTTGGGAGGCTGAGGCAAGAGAATCACTTGAACCCAGGAGGCAGAGGTTGTAGTGAGCCGAGATGGTACCACTGTACTCCAGCCTCAGTAACGGAGTGAGACTCCGTTTCAAAAAAAAAAAAAAAAACATATTTAAGCATCATTCCCATATTTAAGCATCATTCCTGTGGCATTAAATACATTCACATTGTTGTACAACTATTGCCACCATCCATCTCCAGACCTTTTTCATCTACCCCAGCTGAAACTCCCTACCCATTCAACACTAACTCCCCAGTCCCCTCTGCCCCCAGCACCAGGCAACTACCATTCTACTTTGTGTCTCTATGAATTTGACTATTCTAGAGATGTCATATAAGTGGAATCTTACAATATTTGTCTTTTTTTTTTTTTTTTTGAGACAGGGTCTGGCTTTGTTGCCCAGGCTGGAGTGCAATGGCACGATCTCAGCTCACTGCAACCTCCACCTCCAAGGCTCAAGTGGTCCTCCCACCTCAGTCCCCCAGGTAACTAGGACTACAGGTGTGCACCACCACGCCCAGCTAATTTTTGTATTTTCAGTAGGGATGGGCTTTCACCATGTTGGCCAGGCTGGTCTTGAACTCCTGCGCTCAAGTGATCCACCCATCCCAGCCTCCCAAATTGCTGGGATCACAGGCATGAGCCACCGCACCCGGGCTATTTGTCCTTTTGTGTCTGGCTTATTTCACTTAGCATAAGTTCTTCAAGGTTCATCCATGTTGCAGCATGTATAAGAATTTCCTTTCCTTTTTAAGGCTGAGTAATATTCCATTGTATGTATATACCACATTTTGTTTAGTCATTCATCCATTGGTAGACACTGGGATTGTTTCCACCTTTTGGCTATTGTGAATAATGCTGCTGTGAACATTGTCTAAACATCTGAGTCCCTGCTCTCAATTAGATTGGGTATGTACCCAGAAGTGGAATTGCTGGGTCGTGTGGTAATTCGATGTTTAATTTTTGGAGGAACCACCGTACTGTTTTCCATAGCAGCTGCACCATTTTACATTCCCACCAGAAATGCACAAGGGTTCCAGTTTTTCCACATTATTGCCAACACTCATTATTTTCTGGGAGAAGGGAGATTATTTTTAAATACAGATTGAGAGATTGAGTATCCCTAATCCAAAAATCCAAAACACTCCAAAATCTGAAAGTTGAGCACCAGCATGATACTTAAAGGAATGCTCATTGGAGCATTTCAGATTTTTGGATGAGGAATGCTTAACAGGTAAGTATAATGTATACAATCCACAATTCAGAATCCAAAACATTTCTGGACCCAAGCATTTCAGATAAGATGTTCAACCTTTCTTTTTTTCTTTTTCTTTCTTTTTTTTTTTTGAGACACAGTCTCGCCCTGTTGCCCAGGCTGGAGTGCAATGGCGTGATCTTGGCTCACTGCAACCTCTGCCACCCGGGTTCAAGCGATTCTCCTGCCTCAGCCTCCCAAGTAGCTGGGATTACAGGCACCCACCACTATACCTGGCTAATTTTTTTTGTATTTTTAGTAGAGACGGAGTTTCACCATGTTAGTCAGGTTGGTCTCGAACTCCTGACCTCAGGTGATCTGCCTGCCTCGGCCTCCCAAAGTGCTGGGATTACAGGCGTGAGCCACCACGCCCGGCCAATGTTCAACCTTTCATAGCCATCCCAATAGGTCTAAGTCACAGGGAATTTTGAAATCTGGGTTAGACCACAGAGACTTTCTCTTTGTGGAGGGAGGGCCACAAGAGATAAGGGTTTTTGGGCATACTTGGGTCCATCCACATCCCAGGCAAGGGTTTTTGGGCATACTTGGGTCCATCCACATCCCAGGCCTCTCAGAAACTAGAAATGTGAAGCTGCTCAAGTCAGCCCAGGAGTTTGTCCCTCACCTCTGATCCTGACTCCTTCCTGGCCTCTCCCCACGCAGGTGCCTGGCTGCTACAAACCATGCAATGAGCCATGCCCCGCCCTGGACACCCCCGCCCAGCATCTGGGCCTCCACGCTTGGGACCGTGGGAGCGGCCAACAGAGCTATGTCTGGAGACATATGATAAACCACCTCAGCCCCCACCAAGCCGCCGCACCCGTAGACCAGACCCCAAGGACCCTGGCCACCATGGGCCAGAGAGCATTACCTTCATCTCTGGCTCTGCTGAGCCGGCCCTTGAGTCCCCCACCTGCTGCCTGCTCTGGCGACCCTGGGTGTGGGAGTGGTGCCGGGCTGCCTTCTGCTTCCGCCGCTGCCGGGATTGCCTCCAGCGCTGTGGAGCCTGTGTGCGGGGATGCAGCCCCTGCCTGTCTACTGAGGACTCCACTGAGGGGACTGCTGAAGCCAACTGGGCCAAGGAGCACAATGGAGTGCCCCCCAGCCCTGATCGTGCACCCCCCAGCCGGCGGGATGGCCAGCGGCTCAAGTCAACCATGGGCAGCAGCTTCAGCTACCCCGATGTTAAGCTCAAAGGCATCCCTGTGTATCCCTACCCGAGGGCCACCTCCCCAGCCCCTGATGCGGACTCCTGCTGCAAGGAGCCACTGGCCGATCCCCCACCCATGCGACACAGCCTGCCCAGCACCTTTGCCAGTAGTCCTCGTGGCTCCGAGGAGTACTATTCTTTCCATGAGTCGGACCTGGACCTGCCGGAGATGGGCAGTGGCTCCATGTCGAGCCGAGAAATTGATGTGCTCATCTTCAAGAAGCTGACAGAGCTGTTCAGCGTACACCAGATCGATGAGCTGGCCAAGTGCACATCAGACACTGTGTTCCTGGAGAAGACCAGTAAGATCTCGGACCTTATCAGCAGCATCACGCAGGACTACCACCTGGATGAGCAGGATGCTGAGGGCCGCCTGGTACGCGGCATCATTCGCATTAGTACCCGAAAGAGCCGTGCTCGCCCACAGACCTCGGAGGGTCGTTCAACTCGGGCTGCTGCCCCAACCGCTGCTGCCCCTGACAGTGGCCATGAGACCATGGTGGGCTCAGGTCTCAGCCAGGATGGTAGGTGGGGGCCCCATGGGGCTGAGGGGCAGAGTAGGGGAGGCTCTGGCCAGGGGAGGGTTGGAATGGGGTCTTTAGTCACTGTGGGTCTACCCCTCAGCCAGTCCCTGCCTTTCCTCCTCCTTTCTGTCAACTCTTGCATCCCCTCTCCCCAGCTCCCACTCTGGCCCTTCCTGGTGAGGTCCGAGCAAGGCTGAGAGAAGCATGCAGACCCTGGGAGAGCTCTCTGGCCATCGCTGCTGTCCCCAGAAAGGTCAAGGTTCCCTCTGCATTCAACAAGTTTACCCAAAAGGCTCCTCTCCTCTGCTGTCTCCTGCCAGAGTAGCTTCTAGGCCTGGTCTGGTGAACAGGACCTAGGGACCCACATGAATTTGGGCCTCTGACCTGTTCTGGGCTAACCAAAACTCCCACTCATCCATCACTCTGCGCATGCACACGTTGTCTATGTCTCTGTCTTTAAGCATTATTTTTCTAGCCCTGCCCAGGAGTGAGTGGCTCCTCCCTCATCGGGCTGGGAACAGAAGTAGGAAATAGGGTTGAAAGAACGTGCTAATGACCACTGCTTGCCTCACGTTCCCTCCCTAGAGCTGACAGTGCAGATCTCCCAGGAGACGACTGCAGATGCCATCGCCCGGAAGCTGAGGCCTTATGGAGCTCCAGGTGTGGTCTTGACCTAATGAGGGGTGTGGAGGGTGGGGGACTACCCTAGGGGCCCCTCACCTGCTGCTCTCCCAGCTTTCTTTTGGGGTGATGAGGATGACATCAAAAAGGGACGGGGACCTAAGCAGCCACAGACCTGTCTCCATCTAGCAAGCTGGCTTAAAGTGGGTGCAGGTGCCCAGAACAGGCAAGCTGAAAGTGATCAGACCCCAACCTTCAAGCCCAGATGACTAGGAAAGTAGTGGGTGGGGAGCCATCCAGCATGGTGCTGGAAAGACACCCGTGTGGTTCTGTTGCGGTCTTCTTGCCCTTGACAACAACCCCCTGGGAGTGGAATCATTATCCTTTTACAGAAAGGGAGGCTAGGGCTCAGAGAGGTCAATAAACTGAGTGGGTCATCCAGCCAGGATCAGACTGACCCAGGCTCAAGTCCCACTCTGCTCCTTCTCAGCAGGCTTCTCCCTGGTCATGGGATCTGGATGAGCTCCTTCCCCTGAGCCTGTTTCCTCCTCTCCTCTCCTTCCTACCAGGGTACCCAGCAAGCCATGACTCATCCTTCCAGGGCACCGACACAGACTCGTCGGGGGCACCCTTGCTCCAGGTGTACTGCTAACCCCTGCCAGGCCCAGCTGCCACACCCTTTCTGGGAGAAGCATGGCCTACAGAATGAAGAGGGGGACCAGGAACCCCTGTGGGAGAGGCTTAGACCTGAAGCAGTGCCCACTCTGGCTCCTCCTGCCTTGGCTGACTGGGTTCCTGGACCATGTGCATTTCACTGGGCCATGGGATCTACATCTCCTTGCATCCCCAGCTGGTCTGATCCCTGCCAGGGCCCCTTCCTTCCTGCTCATGGTCTTCAGGTGGCCTGATCATGGAAAGTAAGGAGTTAGGCATTACCTTCTGGGAGTGAACCCTGACTCCATCCCCCTATTGCCACCCTAACCAATCATGCAAACTTCTCCCTCCCTGGGGTAATTCAACAGTTAAAAGAAGCTTATCTTAAATGTATTGTATTGGGGGGTGGGCAGGGCCCACTCTATGTTATGTTAAGGAGTTGGTTCTGGTTCTTGGCTGATGTTCTGTATCTTAACATGACCACAGTTTGTAAGTACAAAGGTAATTGGTATCTGCCTGCTTTCTTGGCTGTCCTTTCTCTCCCATCTGCCTCACTTAACTGCTGCCCAGAGCAGGAGACAGGATATGTGTCCAGCCTGGCTTAGTGCCCTGCAGTTAAAGTAGGAAGGATAAAATGGGAGTAATGCTGCCCCCATTTCAGGTTCACTGTGAGTTCCAGGAGATAAAGAACCAAGCACAGAGTCTGTGCCTGAGAAAGGTTGGATAAATGGTTTCTGACATTGTTTGAGAGGTTCTTCTAGGGAGGCCTGTCCGAACTGCCTCTGCTCTCCCAGTCCACTGCCTGCAGGCTGGCCTGCTTCTGCCCAGCCCACAGTTTCCCCAAAGCCTTGATCATTTGTTGGCCCTACCCAGCCTTGGACCTGCTGCTCCCCTTCCACTCTCTCTGTGGTAGTAACAGAGCACTGTGGTTTTTTTTTTTTTTTTTTTTTTTTTGAGATGGAGTTTTTGCTCTTGTTGCCCAAGCTGCTGGAGTGCAATGGCACAATCTTGGCTCACTGCAACCTCCGCCTCTCGGGTTCAAGCGATTCTTCTAACTTAGCCTCCCGAGCAGTTGGGATTACAGGCATGCGCCACCACGCACAAATAATTTTGTATTTTTTAGTAGAGACAGGGTTTCTCCATGTTGGTCAGGCTGGTCTCGAACTCCTGACCTCAGGTGATCCGCCCGCCTCGGCCTCCCAAAGTGCCGGGATTAGAGGCGTGAGCCACCGCGCCTGGCCAGCACTGTGGTTTTCACCAGTATCTTCTTGGCCTCTCCAATAACGTTGGAGAAAGGACATTATTCTTTCACAGAGAGGAAACGTGGGGCTCACAGTGAGGTCAAGGAACTTAGTGGGACACGCAGTTAGTAACTGTGGCTCTGGCCTTGCTGGGGCAGATGCAGAATCCCTTCATTAGGTAGCAGAGCCCAGATGAGTTCAGAAGGATCCTACTTGGCTGCTCCTCACACACAGGCTTATCTACTGGTCCTCTTTCAGCAGAGAGGCCGGGGCAGGCCCACCAGCCCATTCTTAATTAACAAACAAGCTAGAAAGTGTTGAGGATCCCCCCACTCCAGCTCCCATCTGACCTGCTGCCCCCACCGCCCTTTTTATTGTTCCGAAAGGCACCCTTTGGAAAGTAACTACTAGACAAATTGTACTTGTTTGTCCAGTTTCCTAAGGGAAACAGGATGATCTCTCAGGGCTATGAACATAGGGTTCAGTTCTAACTCCAGGCTCTGCTGTCGCATCCGGGTCAAGGCCTCCAAAAGATTAAAATGACCACGGGGCAGAACAGGAGTACAGAGCGGTAGAGTGACACCACGAACCAAGCCTCAGCCCTAGAGCACCATTTTCCAAACCTAGCCTTTTAAACCATTATTTGCATTCCCAGGAAAAAAAAAAAGGTTTAGCAAGTTTGGAAAACAGACAAAGCTATGTACTGCATAGCCTCTCTGAAATCTTTAACAAGCTATTCTGAATTTTTTTTTTCCCCGAGACAGAGTCTCGCTCTATTGCCCAGGCTGGAGTGCAGTGGCACGATCTTGGCTCGCCACAACCTCAGCCTCCCAGGTTCAAGTGATTCGCCTGCCTCAGCCTCCCAAGTAGCTGTGATTACAGGCACGTGCCACCACACCCAGCTTTTTCTTTTCTTTTTGGAGACGGAGTCTCACTCTGTTGCTCAGGCTGGAGTGCAGTGGCGCGATATCTGCTCACTGCAAGCTCCACCTCCTGGGTTCACACCATTCTCCTGCCTCAGCCTCCCAAGTAGCTGGGACTACAGGCGCCCGCCACCACACCCGGCTAATTTTTTGTATTTTTAGTAGAGACAGGGTTTCACCATGTTAGCCAGGATGGTCTCGATCTCCTGACCTTGTGGTCCACCCACCTTGGCCTCCCAAAGTGCTGGGATTACAGGCCTGGGCCACCGCACCCGGCCAACACCCAGCTAACTTTTTATATTTTTGGCAGAAATGGAGTTTCTCCATGTTGGCCAGGCTGGTTTCGAACTCCTGACGTCAAGTGATCTGCCTGCCTTGGCCTCCCAAAGTGCTGGGATTACAGGCGTGAGCTACTGTGCCCAGCTATTCTCAAATTCTAAAAAAAACATCTGTGTTCCAGAAATTTAGGAGCCAAAGAACTAAGCACTCACAGCAAGTCAACCTAGACATTCTTGCTATAACCTCTGTGGCCCAAGCATTCTGACCTCCACTCTCTAGCCAAAGTGGGGCAGGGGTCAGCTCTGTGGGCTGGATCTGAGCAAAGGGGAGCACCTCTTCAGCCCTGGGAGCTGGCTTTGAGAAGGCCTAGAATCTGCAGAGGTCCAGGTCTGAGATACAAACAATGGAGCCTCACTGGACTTTACTCTGTCCTCCTGGTAAGGTCCCTGTACCACACACACCAGATCTGAGGCCTGAGCTGTCCTCCTGGTACCCCTCCCCTGAGCCAGGCAGTGTCACCTTGGCCCTTGCTGCTCTTCTGCCCTGGGACACAATAGTCTCTAGTTTCAAGAATACTTGATTCACGGCTAGAGGGCAGACCCGCTGCAGTGGGAAGTAAAAATCAGATCAACAAGTCCAGCGGTCTTAAAACTTTTTTGGGTCATGCGCCCCTTTGAGAATCTGACATGTGTTCTGGTCTCTGTAGCCAGAAAAACTCAACCTTTGCTCAGAAACATACATAGACTAAAAGCCTTGTTTTATTTATTTATTTTTTTGAGATGGAGTCTCTGTCACCCATGCTGGAGTGAAGTAGTGCAATCTCGGCTCACTGCAACCTCCGCCACCCGGGTTCAAGCGATTCTCCTGCCTCAGCCTCCCGAGTAGCTGGGATTACAGGTGTGCACCACCACACCCGGCTAATTTTTGTATTTTTAGTAGAGACTGGGTTTCTCCATGTTGGCCAAGCTGGTCTCAAACTCCTGACATCAGGTGATCTGCTCCCCTCAGCCTCCCAAAGTGCTGGGATTACAGACATGAACCATCACACCCGGCCAAGCCTTGTTTTAATCTTTAAGTAATGAGAAACTGAGGCCCAGAGAGGGGCAAGGATGTGCCCTAGGTCACATGGCAGAATCTGGGCTAGAAGCCAAACTCCCAGTTCCCAGCAGCAGCCGTAAGAGGCCTGTGCCCCAGAGAAAGGCCAGAGGCAAGAGAGGACACAGAAGGAGCTGGGCAAATCGTTTTAATGTGTAACAGTAGGCCAACTGGGGAGGACAAGGTCCCAAGACCCAGCCTTTCTCCTGATGCCCCGGGACCTGTGTGCCTGGGCCAGTCCCATGCCTGCCCCAAGCCCTGAGGCCCACAAGTCCCAGAGAAGAGTGGGAAAGAAAGTTGGGTGGTTGCAGCTCAGCCCCAAGAGTTCAGGGAGGAAAAAACAGGGGCTAGTTGAATTTAGCCTTGGAAAAATCCATCTCCGGATGTTGATCCATGAACCTGGAGAAACGGAAGCAAGATGAAACAGCTCATCCTTCTCTTCTAAAGCTGTCCCTTCTCCCAGCACCCCCGTGTCAAGTCTAATCTCTTTAGACCTCAGCAACACCAAGCCAGGCTGGGCAGGAGCAGGGCCCAGGGTATCTGAGACGCATTTGAGTCCCGAGGCTGGAAGCTGAGGCACCAACACTGGCATTGTTTTCCTGTAGGTGGCAATGACCGCCTGTTACCCCTTCCCTCCTATCATGCACCATGAGCCGGCCTTGCCCTCAAGATGACCTCAGCAAATGACAAGAGTAGGCAAGCCAAAGCCATAAAGCCATAAACATGGCTGGAAAGGGGGCAGGGCAGCTCCTGAGGCAGCGCAGTGATCCACTCACTGCTGTCACCGAAGTCTAAGCCCCCAGGCACCCACGGTCCCCCAACCCCGTCTCTGAATTGCTCACTTCTTCAGAATCTCCTGTTTCTTCTGTTCGTCTGAAGTTGGCAGCCCCATGGACTTCTGTCGCTGGTCATACATCATCTTTTCCACCATGCTGCGAGTCTCACTGTCCAGGTCTGACAGCTGAGGGCAGGCAGTGACAGGAATCGGTGAAGCTCTGGAAACAACGAGGCCCCTCACCTTCCTGCTGAAGCTCCCCCAACCAGCCAGGGCTCACCTTGGAATTCTCAGGGTTAATCTTCTTGGTGTTGATCTCAGGGTCACTGGACACCAAGCGGCTCCACCACTCCATCTTATTGATCTGTGAAGAGAACAACCAGAGGGTGGGAGGTGGCCTGCTCTGTGCACCAGGAATCACCCCTTAACCCTTTCACAACCAAACTCTCTCCCATCCACATCCTGCACCTGAGACCCTTGCAGGCCTACACTGGATCCAGAGGTACAAGACTGTGCCCTTCCTGCAGCTAGGGGAGACACAGAGGCAAAGAGTTACAAATCAGTGTGATAAGGGAAAGAAGAAAGCAGAAAGGGAGATATTCATCCAGGGTGGAGGGAGAAAAGTTTGAAAGTGACACTCGGGCTGAGTCTTAAGACACAAAGCAGTATTCCAGATTTAAAATGGGAAGAAAATAAATATATATATTTTTTGAGATGGAGTCTTGTTCTTCTTGTCCAGGCTGGAGTGCTGTGGCACCATCTCGGCTCACTGCAACCTCTGCCTCCCGGGTTCAAGCAATTCTCCGGCCTCAGCCTCCCGAGTAACTGGGATTATAGGCATGCACCACCACACCTGGCTAATTTTTGTATTTTTAGTAGAGACGGGGCTTCACCATATTGGGCCAGGCTGGTCTCAAACTCCTGACCTCAGATGATCTGCCTGCCTCAGTCTCCCAAAGTGTTGGGATTACAGGTGTGAGCCACCATGTGCAGTGGTGCAGTCAGCTCACTGCAACCTCCACCTCCTGGGTTCAAGCGATTCTCCTGCCTCAGACTCCCAAGTAGCTGGGATTACAGGCGCCCACCACCATGCCCAGCTAATTTTTTGTATTTTTATTAGAGATGGGGTTTGCCATCTTGGCCAGGCTGGTCTCAAACTCCTGACCTCGTGATCTGCCCACCTCAGCCTCCCAAAGCGCTAGGATTACAGGCATGAGCTACCACGCCCAGCCAGAAAAAGTTTTTAAGCAGGGAAGTGCCAGGTGCAGTGGCTCCTACCTGTAATCCCAACACTTTGGGAAGCCAAGGCAGGAAGATCCCTTGAGCCCAGGAGTTTCAGACCAGCCTGGGCAACATGAGACCCTGTCTTTACAAAAAACATTTAAAAATTAGCCAGGTAGGGTGGCGCTCGCAGTTACTCAGGAAGCTGAGGTGGGAGGGTCGTTTGAGCCCGGGAGGTCAAGGCTGCAGTAAGCCGTGATTGCGCCACTGCATTCCAGCCTGGGTGAGAACAAGACCCTGTCTCAAAAAATAAAAAATAAATTTAAAAGGCAGGGAAAGGGCTGGGCATGGTGGCTCACACCTGTAATCCCAGCACTTTGGGAGGCCGAGGTGGGCGGATCACAAGGTCAGGAGATCGAGACCATCCTGGCTAACACGGTGAAACCCTGTCTCTACTAAAAAATAGAAAACAAAACAGACAAAAAAAAAAATACAGGCATGGTGGCGGGCGCCTGTAGTCCCAGCTACACTGGAGGCTGAAGCAGGAGAATGGCATGAACCCAGGAGGCGGAGCTCGCAGTGAGCCGAGATCGCGCCACTGCACTCCAGCCTGGGCGACAAAGCAAGTGCAGAGGCATGGAGGGGTGAGTGAGTGAAGGCAGCCAGTGCCAGTCGGACAGGCTGTTACAGGGTCTTATGTGCCCTGGGAAGTTCTCCTCAGACCCTTGGCCCTTTTCAGACCACCTTTATTTACTGATCTCTGTGTCCTACCTCTCTGTAAAGGCAGTGAGGTTGAGAATGAAGGCTTCCTGAGGGCACATATTTTCCTATGTTTTGTTCACTGTTCTCTTTCCAGCACTTAGAACAAGAACAGTACCAGGCACAGAGCAGGTGTTCAAGTATTTGATGAATTGAATGCATGTACAAACCTAGTGAAAAAGAAGTGGCTTTAGAAACTAAGACTTTCAATTCTGACTCCACCCCTTCCCAGAGGTAGGAGCTTGGGTAAATCAACGAGCTCTTTTCCTGACTCAAGCCTGTAATCTCAGCACTTTGGGAGGCCAAGGTGTGAAGATCACTTGAGGCCAGGAGTTCAAGACCAGCCTGGGAAATATAGTGAGACCCCCCGGTCTCTACAAAAAAATTTAATAACAAAAATTAGCCGAGCGTGGTGGTGTACACCTGTAGTCTTAGCTACTCAGGAGGACGAGGCGAGAGAATTGCTTGGGCCCAAGGGTTCAAGGCTGCAGTGAGCTAAGAAGGTGTTACTGCACTTCAGCCTGGGCAACAGAGTGAGACCTTGTCTTTAAGAAAATAAAATAGAGACAGATCTACTTTAAAGAGTGTTGTCATGGGGATTAAGATAATCCCACAATGCCCCCAGCATGGCTCCTGAGTAAACTAAGCACACATCCTCCCTTCTACTTCCATCAACACCCCAGGCTAGAAGGGCTGGGCCTCACATACCTTCTCCAGATGCACAGTCACCACCTTGCCGTCCTCAATGAGCCACGAGCTCTCCTCCACCTTCACTTCATTGTAGAGCTCCCCATCAATGATCGCTGGCTGCCCCTTGAGCCCCACCCGGAGGTGCCGCCGCTGGATGTCCACCACCATGTCCTTCCCTTTCAGCCGGAAGTTCACACAGAAAGGGACCGCCAGCTGCATAGGGCAGAGGCAGTCAGAAGAGGCCACTAAGTGCTGCTGGTACCCCAGGCTGGCCCCCTAAGCTTTACCTCTGGTCCCTGACACTCACGTCCAGCTCCGACAGGGTCTGGGTCCAGCGGTAATTGGGCAGGTCTGCCCCGTTGCCTAGGTTGGGCTTCAGTTTTCCTTTGTCCTTCTCATCTTCCTCCTCATCTTCCTCAGTATCCTGCTTACAATCAGGGACACTCAGCTACTTACTTGACAGACAAGACACAGATTGAACCCTCACTGGGCCAAGCCCAGGGCTAGCACTGGGCATACAGCCACAAAAGAAAACAGACCTGGTCCCTGCCCACTCCACAGAGGGGCAGACCCCCAAGCCTTGGTCCACTGGGAACCAGGTAAAACTTGGTTCTGATCTCAGTCTGAGAGGAGCTCAGACTATTAATATTATACCATGTGACAAAGGATATGGCTGGGCCCACAGAACCCAGCCAACCTCAGATGGGACCTGTAATAGGCACTGCCCTCTCTGGCTATTGGGTTTTCTTGCCATAAACAGGTTAAGGTCAGTCGGTTTTTATTTTATTTTTTTGGGACGGAGTCTTGCTCTGTCGCCCAGGCTGGAGTGCAGTGGCGTGATCTCGGCTCATGGCAACCTCCGCCTCCCGGGTTCAAGCAATTCTCTGCCTCAGCCTCCCGAGTAGCTGGGATTACGGGCGCCCACCACCATGCCTGGCTAATTTTTGTATTTTTAGTAGAGATGGGGTTTCACCATCTTGGCCAAGTTGGTCTTGAACTCCAGACCTCGTGATTTACCCACCTCGGCCTCCCAAAGTGCTGGGATTACAGGTGTGAGCCACTGCGCCTGGCAGGTTTTTATTTTTTTAACCTGGATCCTTTGGTTCAATGTCTCTGAGTGTGATCTTAAAGTATGGGGAAGATTCCCAAAGCCAGGAGGGGAGGGGATAGGATAAGGAAGGGTATTCCAGAGAAAGCAGTAGGCAGGAGATTTCCTGTAAGTTCCAAGCTCCTGGCTCATCCCAAGTCCCTGCAGTCCATCTCACCTGCTTCCCTGGGGAGTCAAGGCTGCCGTTCTTGAGCTGGGCCTCATGATTCTCTGCATCCTTTTTCTGGGGCAAAGAGCACAGCAGTTGGCAACAGGACCCCACTGCTCAGTGCCAGGGGGGATCTGAGGGGTGGAGAAGGGAAGCCCACCCTTCACCTGGTCAATCTCTAGCTGCAGCCTCTCTGCCTCTTCATCAGTTAGCTCCTTGATCTGGGGCCCTGAGGTCTCTGACTTGGCTTCCTTGGCCAGTCTGGCCGCCCGCTCCGCCTTCTCCCGCCGCTCGGCCTCCTGCCGGGCTCTCTTCTCCCGCCGGGTCTTCTGTGCCAGCTGATTGTGGTGGCTGAAAGTCTGTGTGATAAGCTGGAGAGGGAAGAAAGGCCATGAGGCATCAGAGCAGGGGACAGTGTCCCACAGCCTGGAGTCCAGCCCCACTCTCTACCTGCTGGGTGCAAGGGCAAAGCACTGCACCCAGAAACTCGGTTTCCTCATGTGCAAAATGAGGAAAATACATCTATCTCATAGGGTTGTAATGACAATACCTGCAAAGCACCTGTCTCAATAAACTGGCTGTTTTAAAAAGTGATGCTTGGCCGGGCGCGCTGGCTCACACCTGTAATCCCAGCACTTTGGGAGGCTGAGGAGGGTGGATCACAAGGTCAAGACCATCCTGGCCAACATGGTGAAACCCTGTCTCTACCAAAAATACAAAAAAAAAAAAAAAAAAAAAAAAAGCTGGGCATGGTGGCGGGGGCCTGTAATCCCAGCTACTCGAGAAGCTGAGGTGGGAGAATCGCTTGAACCTGGGAGGCAGAGGTTGCAGTGAGCAGAGATCGTGCCACTGCACTCCAGCCTGGTGACAGAGCAAGACTCCATCTCAAAAAAAAATAATAATAATAAATAAAGGAATTGGAGACTAATCTGGCCAACATGGTGAAACCCCGTCTCTACTAACAATACAAAAAAATTAGCCAGGCGCGGTGGCGTGCGCCTGTAATCCCAGCTACTCAGGAGGCTGAGGCAGGGGAATTGCTTGAACTAGGGAGGTGGAGGTTGCAGTGAGCTGAGATCAGGCCACTGCACTCCAGCATGGGTGACAAAGCGAGACTCTGTCTCAAAAAAACCAAAACAAAAAAAGTGGCGCTGTTTAAAGTAAAAACTCAAGCCTCAGTCCCTCACAAGCCTTTCCTGAGTTCTCAGGCCCACTCCTCTGACTAATCACTCTTACTCTTAGTGCATCCTGTCTCCAAGACCACAGTCCAGCTATGCAAGACTTGACACCACACCCAAAAAGGACACGTTAGCAGAAAGCCAGGGAGCTTTTTTTTTTAATTTTTTTTTTTGAGATGGAGTTTCACTCTTGTTGCCCAGGCTGGAGTGCAGTGGCGTGATCTTGGCTCACTGCAAGCTCCGCCTCCCGGGTTCAAGTGATTCTCCTTCCTTAGCCTCCCGAGTAGCTGGGATTATAGGCATGTGCCACCACGCCTGGCTAATTTTGTATTTTTAGTAGAGATGGGGTTTCTCCATGTTGGTCAGGCTGGTCTCGAACTCCTGACCTCCAGTGATCCGCCTGCCTCAGCCTCCCAAAGTGCTGGGATTATAGGTGTGAGCCACCGTGCCCGGTCAAAGTGCTGGGATTATAGGTATGAGCTACCGCGCCAGGTCAAAGCCAGGGAGCTTTCTTGAAGGAAGAGCCTGTTCACCCTCTCTCCAGCAAGCAAGCTATCAACTTCAAATCCTTTTTCTCCACTACACCTTCCCAGGAGGTTTCCACTCCAGGATGTGCTAGCCAGCCTCCCTGCTACCCAAGGACAACCCTCCACCCATACTATTGCCACCTGTCATTATTTGGCTCCTGGCCTTAGACAAGTGAACAACTTTGACTCTTTCTAAGCCTGTTTCCTTATCCGTCATGAGGATTGAGTATGACAGCACAAATCAAGAGCCTAGTGAGGTCCACATCACAGGGTTCCCCTGACCTGCAGCATCAGCATCACCTGGAACCTGTTAGAAACGCTAAATCTTAAGCCCCACTCCAGATCTACTGGATCAGAAATTCTGGGGTATGGCCAGGCAATCTGTATTTTTAACAAGCCCTCCTGGCCAATTTCCATGCATACTTCAAAATCACACCTAGATTTGAGTTCCTGGTCTACTCTTACCTGCGTGACCCTGAGGTCATGTCTCTGTGCCTCTATCTTGTTATTATTATTATTATTTTTGAGGCATGGTCTCACTCACCCAGGCTGGAATGCATTCGACCTCCCTGGGCTAAGGTGATCCTCCCACTTCAGCCTCCCCAGTGGCTGGGACTATAAGTACATGCCACCATGCCTGGCTAATTTTTGTATTTTTTTATAGAGACAAGGTTTTGCCATGTTGCCCAGGCTGGTCTCAAACTCCTGGGTCAAGTGATCCACCTGCCTCATCTTCCCAAAGTGCTGGGATTACAAGTGTAAGCCATTATGCCTGGTCTAAGTTATTATCTCTAAAAACAGTCTTGGCCAGGTGTGGTGGCTCATGCCCGTAATCCCAGCACTTTGGGAAGATGAGGCAGGTGGATCACTTGAGGCTGAGGCGGGCAGATCACCTGAGGTCAGGAGTTCTTGACCACCCTGGCCAACATGGTAAAACCCTGTCTCTACTAAAAATCCAAAAATGAGCCCGGTGTGGTGGCACACGCCAGTAGTCCCAGCTACCTGGGAGGCTGAGGTGGGGGAATCACTTGAACCCGGGAGGCAGAGGTTGCAGTGAGCAGAGATCGCGCCACCAGCCTGGGTAACAGAGGGAGACCCTGTCTCAAAATAAATAAAAGCAATCTTGGCATGTGTTGTTCTTTGCCTAGAATGTCTCATCCCCATTCTCAGGTCACCTGGCAAACCAATTCATCCTCCATGACCAGTCAAGTGTCAAAGTTTCACCTCTGGCCAGGAACATACCCTTAGGACACTCAACTCAATGCCAACCCATACACAGTGTGCATGTGCACACATACGCACATACCCCTAGAGGCCTTGCAGGGCACTTGCCATGTGATCAGTGGTCAATAAACCCTCTTTCAAGCATCTCTAAGGCAGAACTGCAGGGAAAGCTCTGCAGGGGCTCAAGGTCACAGAAGTCACCCACGGGCCCCCAGACCTGGGGTTCTGCTAAATGCCCTGTGGATTCTCACCCATTTGACGCCAAATTCTCCTGCTATGCCCAAACCCCCTGTCCCATGCCACACCACAGTAGCTCCACACTCTACAAGGTTAAAGAACACCAAACGTACCCCCTAAACCACAAATTAAACTGGTAGGGGAGGCCATTCTGCTGTCAGTAGAAACAATAGGTCATAATTACACCAGCAGAGGCTGTTCCACCACAAGGCCTTGGTCCTAAGTCCCTAATCAGAGAGACCTTGAACTAAAGGCATTTGCCAACCAGTGGCCAAAGGGAGGTGGGAGCAGGGCCCTCCCCTCTCCCAGCTCCACTGAATCATGTCACATCCCATTTGTACTTCCTTCCTAGCTCCTGGAGGTTAAGCAAGGGCAGAGCTAAACCACCAGGCAGAGTCAAGGCCAATCACAGCAGCCTCTGACCCATCCTCCCATCAGCCTGACCTAGGCCCAGCCTCAGACAGATAACCCCAGGGTTGTGGAAGCTTACCCAGAGGCTGTCACCGACTCAAGCTTCGGTCACTGGACACATCTTTGGGAACCACAGCCAACCAGGGTGGGGAGGGCTGGGCCTGCTCTAAATCCAAGCCTGTCACTCTCCCCCAGAAGAGGCCCAGGACAGTACAGGCATGTGCCACCATGCCAGCCTTCTCAAATACTTTTCAGAAGGCAGAAGAATTTTATGAAATAGCTGTTATTCAAATGCTAATCCAGGTCGGGCACGGGGGCTCCCATCTGTAATCCCAGCACTTTGGGAAGCAGAGGCAGACAGATCACTTGAGCCCAGGAGTTTGAAACCAGCCTGGGCAACATAGGAAGACCCTGTCTCTATAAAAAATACAAAAATTAGCTGAGTGTAGTGGTACCTGTAGTTCCAGCTACTCGAGAGACTGAGGCAGGGGGATTGCTTGAGCCTGGGAGGTCAAGACTCCAGTGAGCCATGATCACATCACTGCACCCCAGCCTGGGTGACAGAGCAAGACTCTGTCTCAAAAAAACAAACAAATAAATAGAAATAAAAATAAATAAATAAAATGCTAGTGCACTGAGGAACTACATCTGTGCAAATAATTTAAGTTTACCAGGTACAGTGGCTCATACCGGTAATCCCAGCACTTTGGAAAGGCCGAGGCGGGCAGATCGCTTGAGCTCAGGAGGTTAAGACCAGCCTGGGCAACGTGGTGAGACCCCGTCTATACCAAAAATACGAAAATATTAGCCAGACACGGTGGCATATGCCTGCAGTCCCAGCTACTCGGGAGGCTAAGATGGAAGGACTGCTTGAGCCTGGGAGCCGGAGGTTGCTGTGAACTGAAGGTTACAGTGAGCCGAGATTGCGCCGCTGCACTACAACCTGCGTGAGAGTGAGAACCTGTCTCAAAACAAAAACCCCCCTAAACAATGGGGTTTGGAGTTTCTAGGGTGGTGAACACATCAAGGTGTCGGGAGGGTGGCACACCCAGAGAGGGTACGGAGGCTCCAGGCCCCACCCCCATACCTAGCCCTACACAGCTATTTGGCTGTTCCTGAAGTTATGTCTTTTATAATAAACAAGTAACAGTAAATAAAGCACTTTCCTGAGTTTTGAATCATTCTAGCAAATTATTAAACCTGAAAAGGTGGTCATGGCAAACCCCAGTTTACAGCTGGTTGGTCAGAAGTACACGAGGCAATTTGGAACTTATAACTGGTGTGTCAAGTGGGCACTGTCTTATGGGACTGAGTCCTTAACCTGTGGAGTCTGCAGTAATTCTGGGTAGTTACGGTCAGAATTCAATTGAATTGTAGGATACCCAGTTGGTGTCCAGAGAACTGGAGAACTGGTCGTCGAGTGGTGGAAAAACCCCACACATTTGGTGTCAGAACGGCTGTGAGTAAAAACCATTCTTAGGATGCAATACGCAAAATCCAGATTGTGGGAAACTTTGCCAGGACAAACGACCCTTTATTCAAAAAACAAATTGCAAGGAAAAAAGAGGTCTCTTGTGTTTTATTTTTTAAATCTTAAAATTTTTTTTTGTAGGCCAGGTAGGGTGACTCACGCCTGTAATCCCAGCGCTTCGGGAGGCCAAGGTGGGTGGATCACCTGAGGTCAGGATTTAGACCACTGGAGTTCGAGACCAGCCTGGCCAACAAGGTGAAACCCTGCCTCTACTAAAAATACAAAAATTAGGCTGGGCTCGGTGGCTCACACCTGTAAACCAGGCACTCTGGGAGGCCGAGGCAGGCGGATCACCTGAGGTCGGGAGTTCAAGACCAGCCTGACCAACTTGGAGAAACCCTGTCTCTACTAAAAATACAAAAATTAGCTGGGCGTGGTGGCGCATGCCTGTAATCCCAGCTACTTGGGAAGCTGAGGCAGGAGAATTGCTTGAACCCAGGAGACAGATGTTGTGGTGAGCCGAGATCAGGACACCGTACTCCAGCCTGGGCAACAACAGCAAAACTCCATCTCAAAAAAAAAAAAAAAAAAAAAAAAAAAAAAAAAAAAAAAAATATATATATATATATATATATATATATATATTAGCCGGGCGTGGTGGTGGGTGCCTGTAATCCCAGCTACTTGGGAGGCTGAGGCAGAAGAACTGCTTGAACTCAGGAGGCGGAGGCTGCAGTGAGCCAAGATCATGCCACTGCACTCACGCCTCAGCACCAGAGACTCCAAGTCAAAAAAAAACAAAACATTTTTTTTTTGTAGAGATGGAGTCTCATTATATTACCCAGGCTGGTCTTCAACTCCTGGGCTCAAGTGATCCTACCACCTCAGCCTCCCAAAGTGCTGTGATTACAGGCCTGAGCCACTGTGCCTGACCCTTAATTTTTTGTTTTTGTCTTTGTTTGAGGTCTCTTAATTTACAGGTTTCTATCACCCAGTGTAAAGTGTGAACCTTACTTGAATTAGGAATCAAACAATCGTAATCAAATACCCAATAAAAAAGACAAATGTCTTGACTAGATGATATATGATATCATCTAGTTCTGTGTCCCCACCCAAATCTCATCTTGAATTGTAGTTCCCATAATCCCCACATGTCATGGGAAGGACCTGGTGGGGGGTAATTTGAATCATGGGGGTGGCTACCCCCATGCTGCTTTCTTGATAGTGAGTTATCATGAGATCTGATGATTTTACAAGGGGCTTTTCCGCCTTTGCCTGGCACTTCTCCTTCCTGCCACCTTGTAAAGGTGGTACCTGCTTCCCCTTCACCTTCCACCCTGACTGTAAGTTTCCTAAGGCTTCCTCAGCCATGCAGAACTATGAGTCAATTAAACCTCTTTCCTGGCCATAGTACATGAGGGTTCTGTATTAGTCTGTTCTCATGCTGCTATGAAGGAATACCCTAGACTGGGTAATTTATAAAGAAAAGAGGTTTACGGCTGGGCACGGTGGCTCACGCCTGTAATCCCAACACTTTGGGAGGCCAAGGGGGCACGGAACACCTGACGTCAGGAGTTCGAGACCAGGTTGGCCAACACAGTGAAACCCTGTCTCTACTAAAAATACAAAAATTAGCCAGGCGTGGTGGCAGGCACCTGTAATCCCAGCTACTTGGGAGGCTGAGGCAGGAGAATCGCTTGAACCCAGGAGGCAGAGGTTGCAGTGAGCTGAGATCGCCCCACTGCACTCCAGCCTGGGTGACAGAGCGAGACTCTGTCTCAAAAGAAAAAAAAACAAAAAACAAAAACAAAAAAACCTGTCCTGGCCGGGCGCGGTGGTTCACGCCTGTAATCCCAGCACTTTGGGAGGCCAAGGCAAGTGGATCACGAGGCCAGGAGATCGAGACCATCCTGGCTAACACGGTGAAACCCCGTCTTTACTAAAAACACAAAAAATTAGCCGGGCATGGTGGGGGGTGCCTGTAGTCCCAGCTACTGGAGGCTGAGGCAGGAGAATGGCGTGAACCCAGGAGGCGGAGCTTGCAGTGAGCCCAGATTGCACCACTGCACTCCAGCCCGGGCGACAGAGCGAGACTCCATCTCAAAAAAAAAAAAAAACCTCTGTCCTTTATAAATTACCCAGTCTTGGGTATTTCTTCACAGCAGCATGAGAACGAAGTAATACCTTGTCACAGATGAGCTTTGGACTGGGACTTATGGGTTAATGCAGAAATGAATTAAGACTTTGTGGGGCTGTTGGAAGGGCATGATTGTGTTTTGAAATGTGAAGACATGAGATTTGGCGGGGGTACCAGGGGCAGAATGATACCGTTTGGCTCTGTTTCCCCACCCAAATCTCACCTTGAATTGTAATTCCCACATGTCAAAGGCAGTACCAGGTGGAGGTAACTGAATCACCAGGATGGTTTCCCCCATGCTGTTCTCATGATACGAGTGAGTTCTCACAAGATCTGATGGTTTTATTAGCGTCTGGCATTTCTTCTGCTGGCACTCATTCTCTCTCCTGCCAATCTGTGAAGAAATGCCTTCTTCCATGATTTTAAGTTTCCTGAGGCCTCCCCGGTCATGCAGAACTCTGAGTCAATTAAACCTCTTTTTTTTCTTCTTTGAGACGGAGTCTCGCTCTCTCGACAGGCTGGAGTGCCATAGCACAATCTCGACTCACTGCAACCTCTGCCTCCCACGTTTAAGCGATTCTCTTGCCTCAGCCTCCTAAGTGGCTGGGAATACAGGCACACGCCACCACACCCAGCTAATTTTTGTATTTTTAGGAGAGCTGGGGTTTCACCATGTTGGCCAGGATGTTCTTGATCTCCTGACCTCGTGATCTGCCCACCTTGGCCACCCAAAGTGGTGGGATTACAGGCGTGAGCCACCGTGCCCAGCCGTAATCCTCTTTTCTTTATGAATTACCCAGTCTGGGGTATTCCTTCATAGCAGCATGAGAACAGACTAATACAGAATCCTCATGTACTATTAGTGGTAGTGTCAAATGGTGCATCTGCTATGGAAAAGATCATGGCATTTCCTAAAAAAACTAAAAACTGGCTGGATGCAGTGGCTCAAACCTGTAATCCCAGCACTTTGGGAGGCCGAGGCGGGTGGATCACCTGAGGTCAGGAGTTTGAGACCAACCTGGCCAACATGGTGAAACCCCGTCTCTAATAGAAATACAAAAATTAGCCAGGTGTGGTGGCAGGTGCCTGTAATCCCAGCTACTCAGGAAGCTGAGGCAGGAGAATCGCTTGAACCCAGGAGGCAGAGGTTGCAGTGAGCCGAGATTGCATCATTGCACTCCAGCCTGGGCAACAAGAGTAATACTGTCTTAAAACAAAAACAAAAACAAAAACAAAAACTACCATATGATCCAATAGATTACACTGCCGAGTAACACCTGCAAGAATTGAAAATAGAATCTCAAAAGATTTGTGCACCTATGTTCACAAAAGTACTATGCACAATAACCAAGGGGTGAAAGCAACCCAAAAGTCCATCAGCAGAAGAATAGATTTAAAAAAAAAAATTGTGGCCGGGCGCGGTGGTCAAGCCTGTAATCCCAGCTCTTTGGGAGGCCGAGCCAGGCAGATCACGAAGTCAGGAGTTCAAGACCAGCCTGACCAATATGGTAAAACCCCGACTCTAATAAAAATACAAAAATTAGCCGGGCGTGGTGGCGTGTGCCTGTAGTCCCAGGTACTCGGGAGGCTGAGGTTGCAGTGAGCCAAGATCGTGCCACTGCACTCCAGCGTGGGCAAGAAACAGAGCAAGACTTGTCTCAAAAAGAAAAAAAAAAATTGTGATATATACATATAATGGAATATTATTCAGCCTTAAAGGGGATGGAAATCCTGTCACATGCTACAATGTGGATAAATCTGTGGACATTACATTAAACGAAATAAGCCAGTCACAAAGACATACATATTGTATGATTCCATTTATATGAAGTATCTACAGTAGTCAACCTACACAGAAAACAGAACAGCAGTTACCAGGAGGTAGGGGAGGGAACAAAGCGAAGTTGCTTAATGGGTACAGGGTTTCAGTTCCCTAAGATGCAAAGAGGTCTTACAAATATGTTTCTTAGTGTAAGTTCACTTAACACTACTGAACTGTACACTTAAAAATGGTTAACATGGGCCAGCACAGTGGCTCACATCTGTTATCCTAGAACTTTGGGAGGCCGAGTCAGGCAGATCACTTGAGCCCTGGAGTTAGAGACCAGCCTGGGAAACATGGTAAAACCTCATCTCTACAAAAAAAACAGAAAAATTAGCTGGGGGCCGGGCGCAGTGGCTCACACCTGTAATCCCAGCACTTTGGGAAGTCGAGGCAGGAGGATCATGCGGTCAGGAGTTCAAGACAGGTTTGACTGACATGGTGAAACTTCATCTCTACATTGTAAAAATACAATAATTAGCCCGGCATGGTTGTGCGCACCTGTAATCCCAGCTACTCAGGAGGCTGAGGCAGGAGAATCGCTTGAACCCGGAAGGCAGAGGTTGCAGTGAGCCAAGGTCACACCACTATACTCTAGCCTGGGCAACAGAGCGATACTCTGTCTCAAAAAAAAAAAAGAAAAAGAAAAATTAGCTGGGCATGATGGCACTGGAGTCCAAGCTACTTAAGGGGTTAAAGTGGGAGGATCACCTGAGCCTTGGGGAGGTCAAGGTAAGTAGTGATCATGCCACTGCACTCCAGTGGGTGACAGAGTGAGACTCTGTCTCAGAAATATAAATAAATAAATTAAATAAAAATTAAAAAAAAAAAAAGGGGCCAAGCGTGGTGGCTCACACCTATAATCCCAACATTTTAGGAGGCCAAGATGGGCGGATCACAAGGTCAAGAGTTTGAGACCAGCCTGGCCAATGTTACTGAAACCCTGTCTCTACTAAAAATACAAAAATTAGCCAGGCGTGGTGGTGGGCACCTGTAGTCCCAGCTACTTGGGAGGCTGAGGCAGGAGAAATCTCTTTTTTTTTTTGAGATGGAGTCTCGTTCTGTCGCCAGGCTGGAGTGCAGTGGCGATCTTGGCTCACTGCAACCTCTGACTCCTGGGTTCAAGCGATTCTCCTCCCTCAGCCTCCCGAGTAGCTGGGATTATAGGAGAGTGCCACCATGCCCGGCTAATTTTTGTATTTTTAGTAGAGACAGGGTTTCACCGCGTTGGCCAGGATAGTCTCGATCTCCTGACCTCATGATCCGCCCACCTCGGCCTCCCAAAGTGCTGGGATTATAGGTGTGAGCCACCGTGCCCAACCGGTACGAGAAATCTCTTGAACCCAGGAGGCACAGGTTGCAGTGAGCCGAAATGGTGCCACTGCACTCCAACCTGGGCGAAAAAGCGAGACTCTACCTCAAAAAAAAAAAAAAAAAAAAAAAGGCCAGGCGCAGTGGTTCATGCCTGTAATCCCAGCACTTTGGGAGGCTGAGGCAGGCAGATCACCTGAGGTCAGGAGTTCGAGATCAGCCTGGCCAACATGGTAAAACCCCATCTCTACTAAAAATACAAAAATTAGCCAGGCGTGGTGGCACACGCCTGTAATCCCAGCTACTCGGGAGGCTGAGGTGGGAGAACTGCTGGAACCTGGGAGGCAGAGGTTGCAGTGAGCCAAGATGGCGCCACTGCACTCCAGGCTGGGCAACAGAGCGAGACTCCGTCTCAAACAAACAAACAAACAAAAAACAAAACAAAGGTTAAGAAGGTAAATTTTATGATGTGCTTTTTACCACACTTTTTTTCTGAGACAGAGTCTCGCTCTGTGGCCCAGGCTGGAGTGTAATGGCATGATCTCGGCTCACTGCAAACTCTGTCTCCCAGGTTCAAGCAATTCTCCCACCTCAGCTTCTCGAGTAGCTGGGATTACAGGCCCCTGCCACCATGCCCAGCTAATTTTTGTATTTTTAGTAGAGACGAGGTTTCACCATTTGGCCAGGCTGGTCTCAAACTCCTGACCTCAGGTGATCTGCCCACCTCGGCCTTCCAAAGTGCTGGGATTACAGGTGTGAGCCACCGTGCCCAGCCCACTATTTTTTTTTTTTTTTTTTTGAGACAGGGTTTAGCTCTGTTGCCCAGGATGGATTACAGTGCCGTTTATCATGGGTCACTGCAGCCTCAAACTCCTGGGCTCCAGAGATCCTCCCACCTTGGTCTGCAGAGTAGCTGGGACTACAGGCTTGTGCCACCACTCTTGGCTATGATTTTCTATTTTTTGTACAGATATGCTCTATGTTGGACCAGACTGGTCTTGAACACCTGGCCTCAAGTGATCCCCCCATCTCAGCCCATATTTTTTTAAAAAACAAAAGAGCTGGGTACAATGGCGGCCGCAAAGGCGGGTAGGTCGCTTGAGATCAGAATCAGAAATTCAAGACCTGCTTGGGCAAGATGGTGAAACCCCCACTCTACAAAAAATACAAAAATTAGCTGGGTGTGGTGGGGCACGCCTATACTCCCAGTTACTCAGGAGGCTGAGGTGAGAGGACCGCCTGAGCCTAGTGGTCATGGCTGCAGTGAATCATGATCGCACTACTGGACACCATCCAGGCTGGGCAGCAGAGCGAGACCCTGTCTCAAAACAAAACAAAACACAATAGTAAGAGAGCATTGAGGGAAATCAGAACCCTGACTGGATGTGGATCTCTGGTAATATTTAAAGAATTGGTATGCTTTTCTGGAGAAGGTATACCATTACAGTTACATTTGTTGTGGCTGTTGTTGTTGTTTTTGTTTTTGAGACGGAGTTTCACTCTTGTTGCCCAGGGTAGAGTGCAGTGGTGCGATCTCGACTCACTGAAACCTCCGCCTCCTGGGTTCAAGTGATTCTCCTGCCTCAGCCTCCCGAGTAGCTGGGATTACAGGCGCCTACCACCATGCCCAGCTAATTTTTGTATTTTTAGTAGGGACAGGGTTTCACCATATTGGCCAGGCTGGCCTCTAACTCCTGACCTCAGGTGATCCACCCACCTCAGCTTCCCAAAGTGCTGGGATTACAGGTATGAGCCACTGTGCCCGGCCCTACAGTTATGTTTTTAAACAGTAACTTTTCTTTTAGATAGTCACATAATATTTACTCATCAAAAAATATGCCTTCAATTATATGTAAGTGGAATGCAATAGGGTAGTCCCACCGTACCCACGAAGATTTGTTCCAGGACCACTCCCCAACACTAATTTCCGAGGATGCTCAAGTCCCTTATATAAAATGGCATTTTATTTGCATATAACCTACATGCATCCTCCTGCATACTCTCAATCATCCCTAGATTACCTAATACCTAATACAATGTAACTGCTACGGATGTAAGTAATTAGATTATATTTTTTTAATTTGTTTTTTTTTTTTGTTTTTTCAGAAGGGGTCTTGCTATGTTGCCCAGGCTGATCTCAAATTCCTGGGCTCAAGCCATCCTCCCATCTCAGCCACCCAAGTAGCTGGGATTACAGGTGTGCGTCACCACGTCGGGCTTAATTCATATTTTTTTATTATTGTACTGTCATTTAAAAAAAATTTTTTTTCCAAATATTTTCCATCAGTGGTTGGTTAAGCTCATGGATGCAGAGCCCACGGATACAAAGGATCAACTGTATTTGTCCTTTTGTGACCAGCTTATTTCATATAACATGATGTCCTCCAAGGTACATCCATGTAGCAATGGACAGGATTTCTTTCCCTTTTAAGGCAGAATAACATCCCAGAGTATGTCTATACCACATTGTTTATCCATTCACCTGCTGATGGAGCCTTTGGTTCCTTCCACCTTTTGGCTGTTATGAATAAGGCTGCTGTGAACATGGGTGTGCAAGTAAATCCTCCTCCTGATTATTTTGGGTATATACCCACAAGCATGACTGCTAGAACATACGATAGTTGTATTCTTTAACTTTCTGAGAAACCGCCATAACGTTTTCCATAGCAGATGCACCATTTGACATTCCCACCACAGTGTACAAGGGTTCCAGTTTCTCCCTATCTTTGTCAACACTTGTTATTTTGTTTTATCTTTTAACGGATGCCATCCTAACAGATGTGAAATAGTATCTCATTGTGGGTTTTGTTTTGGAAACAAAGTCCTGCTCTGTCACCAAGACTGCAGCGTAGTGACACAATCACGGCTCACTGAAGCCTCAACCTCCCAGGCTCAAGCAATCCTCCTACCTCAGCCTCCTGAGTGGTTGGGACTAAAGGCATGTGCCACAAGGCCTGGCTAATTTTTATTTATGAGTTCCTAAATATGAAATTCACAATTAAATGTTATTTTTCCTCTGCACTGCATATTTTCTCATAATCTGGTGTTCTTCAATTGACTTAAATGTCTTTTACCATTTACAAAGTTTCAGCATCTGAAAAGGCAAACAGCTATCTCTTCTTTTATAGCTTCCAGTTTTCTAATGCTGAAAAGTCTCCCCCACATAAGACTATAGTTTCCTAGTTTTCCTTACAGGATTTTTATTATTGGTATTTTTATAGAGTATGACAGATGGCAAATTTTGTTTTTTTAACCAAAAAAAATTCATGTAGCAGCATGACTTATTAAATCATGCTTTGCCTACTGAACTGAATTACCACAATAGACACATTAAATCCTCATAAATGCCAGACTTTATTTCAGGATTCTCTATTCTGCTTCACTGGTCCATTTTTCTCTTCTTCTATCAATACCATATTGATTAGATCACTATGGCTGTATTCAAGTCTACAATTCCTAGCCCCAAAAGCTATAAAAACTAAAAGTGCTTTTGTATTTTTTTGTAAGTTCGTGGCATGAGGTATTTACAGTCTTCATTTCTTCTACTTGGTATGTATATTGATATATATATTTCTGCAGAAATATTAATGTGTTTTGTTGCAGGATGCAGCTCCTGGCCTGCGATTAGATTATTGTATGTAATGCACATTATATGCACTGTATTGCCTTTCTGAAATCCAAATAATTTTAAATACCAAAACACATGTGGCCCCAAGGGATTCTGAAGTGGATTGTGGTCTTTGCCTTTTTTTAAATCCTCGTAACATCCTTGTAAGGTAAGGACTGCTCCCTCTTACAGTTAAGAAAAATTAGGGGCTGGGCGCAGTGGCTCATGACTGTAATCCCAGCACTTTGAGGGGCCGAAGCGGGCAGATCACGAGCTCAGGAGTTCGAGACCAACCTGACCAACATGGTGAAACCCCGGCTCTACTAAAAATACGAAAATTAGCCAGGCATAGGGGCGGGCGCCTGTAATCCCAGCTACTCAGGAGGCTGAGGCAGAAGAATCGCTTGAACCTGGGAGGCGGGGATTGCAGTGAGCTGAGATCGCTCCACTGCTCTCCTGCCTAGGTCATAGAGCAAGACTCCGTCTCAAAAAAAAAAAAAAAAGAAAAAGAAAAATTAGGTAGTCCCAGCACTTTGGGAGGCTAAGGCGGCTGGATCACGCCACTGTGCTCCAGCTGGGACAACAGAGCAAGACCCTGACACACACACACACACACACACACACACACACACACACACGGTTCATCTCTCTCCCTTCTTACAGCCACTGTGCTCCAGCTGGGACAACAGAGCAAGACCCTGACACACACACACACGGTTCATCTCTCTCCCTTCTTACAGCTATTCATCCTTCATATCTGAAGCGTCACTTCCTCACAAAGTCTTCTCTGAGCCCCCAACCTAGGTTAGTTTTATGTTCCCAGGGATTCTGCCCCAACACCCACTACTTTTTCACTGCTTGTTTTTTTTATTTTGGCTACACTGTGAGATCCATGAAAACAAAGAACAAATCTGTATTCACCTCTGCAATCCCAAAAGGTTTGATATAGCACCTAACATAATCCAAAGTGTTAAGTGTTCAATAAACATTCATTGAAAAAAGTAGGCCGGGTGCAGTGGCTCACGCCTGTAATCCCAGCACTTTGGGAGGCTGAGGCTGGGGGATCACCTGAGGTCAGGAGTTTGAGAACAGCCTAACCAACATGGTGAAACCTGTCTCTACTAAAAATACAAAATTAGCCAGGCATGGTGGTGCATGCCTGTAATCCCACCTACTTAGGAGGCTGAGGCAGGAGAATCACTTACAACCTGGGAGGCAGAAGTTGCAGTGGGCTGAGATCGTGCCATTGCACTCCAGACTGGGCAACAAGCATGAAACTCCGTGTCAAAAAAAAAAAGAAAGAAAAAATAAATGACTAGTCCCAAAAGCTATAAAAACTAAAAGTGCTTTTGTATTTTTTTGTAAGTTTGCGGCATGAGGTTTTACAGGTAGTCTGACCCACAGAAAGGCCAGAGGTGTTAGTGACAATACAGAAAAAATATCTGAGCTAGAAGGGGTCTACTTTCTCCCATTTTACAGATGTAAAGATGGAAAGAACCAGAGCATTGCTGGGAACTCGACTAGGTGACAAAGCTAGACCAAGAACCTGGGACTCCTACTCTTAGGTAATGTGTCTATGACAGAGTGGCCTCAGACATTCAGGACACATTAAAGAGTTTACCAACTTGTTAGAATCCTGAAGCCACAGAAAACGGTTTGCAAAGAACGTCTACGTCTCCTTCTTATTATGTCTCTTGTTTATGTCTATTATAAAGATAATGGCGCCGGGCGTGGTGGCTCACGCCTGTAATCTCAGCTACTCAGGAGGCTGAGCACAATAATTGCTTGAACCCAAGAGGCAGACATTGCAGTGAGCCAAGATCGCACCATTGCACTCCAGCCTGGATAAAAAGAGCGGGACTCCGTCTCAAAAAAAAAAAAGGCTGGGCATGGTGGCTCACACCTGTAATCCCAGCACTTCGGGAGGCCAAGGCAGGCAGATCACCTGAGGTTGGGAGTTCAAGACCAGCCTGGCCAACATGGTGAAACCCCATCTCTACTAAAAATACAAATATTATCCAGGCGTGGTGGTGCATGCCTGTAATCCCAGCTACTCAGGAGGCTGAGGCAGGAGAATTGCTTGAACTCGCAAGGCGGAGGTTGTGGTGAGCTGAGATCGTGCCATTGCACTGCAGCCTGGGCAACAGAGTGAAACTCTGTCTCAAAAAAAAAAAAAAAAAAAAATTCCTCATGATATAACAATTTTCAAAAGTATAATTACAACTTTAAGGAATCAGAAAGAAGTTCAAGGTCTCAGAATCAATACTACAAAACAGAAATCCTTAAACTCTGAGTCACAGCATCTGGGAAGACATGCCTCTGAGTATTTCTAAATTTATTTCTTTTTTTTTTTTTTTTTTTTTTGAGACGGAGTCTCACTGTTGCCCAGGCTGGAGTGCAATGGCGCGATCTCGGCTCACTGCAAGCTCCGCCCCCCGGGGTTCACGCCATTCTCCTGCCTCAGCCTCCAGAGTAGCCGGGACTACAGGCGCCCGCCACCTCGCCTGGCTAATTTTTTGTGTTTTTAGTAGAGACGGGGTTTCACCGTGTTAGCCAGCATGGTCTCGATCTCCTGACCTCGTGATCCGCCAGCCTCGGCCTCCCAAAGTGCTGGGATTACAGGCGTGAGCCACCGCGCCCGGCCTTCTAAATTTATTTCTAAGCATCAGTTTCTAATATTTGCCCAGTCTCATCTCCTAGGTTATTAGTTAAAACCTCCTCAGGCCGGGTGCAGTGGCTCACACCTGTACTCCCAGCGCTTTAGGAGGCCGAGGTGGGTGGATCACTTGAGGTCAGGGGTTCGAGACCAGCCTGGCCAACATGGTGAAACCTCATCTCTACTAAAAATACAAAAATTAGCCAGGCATGGTGGCGCCTGCCTGTAATCCCAGCTACTTGGGAGGCTGAGGCACAAGAATCACTTAAACCCAGGAGGCGGAGGTTGCAGTGAGCCTAGATTATGCCACTGCACTCCAGCCTGCGCAACAGAATGAGACTCCATTTCAAAAAATAAAATAAAATAAAATAAATAAAAGTAAAAATAAAACCTCCTGGCCAGGCACAGTGGCTTATACCTGTAATCCCAGCACTTTGGGAGGCCGAGGCGGGTGGATCATGAGGTCAGGAGTTCGAGACCAGCCTGGCCAATATGATGAAACCTCGTCTCTATCAAAATACAAAAATTAGCCAGGTGTGGTGGCGGGCGCCTGTAATCCCACTTACTCAGGAGGCTGAGGCAGGAGAATTGCTTGAACCCAGGAGGCGAAAGTTGCAGTGAGCCGACATTGCGCCACTGCGCTTCAGCTTGGGTGACAAAGCAAGACTCTGTCTCAGAAAATAAATAAATAAATAAAACCTCCTCATTGGAAAAGGAACTGAGAGGCACTGTGTCGGGGCAGAGGACAGGTTTACAACAGACTGGTTTCAACCCTGGTTCTCCCACAGCTCAGCTCAAGACTTTGGATAAGGTGCAAAATTCTCTTGAGCCAATTTCCTCAATGGGGATAGTTAACACCTGCCCCTCTTGTAGAACTGCAAAAGTCATGGGAAATAAGGTAGATAGAGGGCTGAGCAAGGAGTGGAGCTTGAAGAAATGACAGCTTCCTTCCCTTCCCCAATTCCTCACCTTTGGCATTTCGCTTCTGCTGAAAGTTACTATTATGCCAAAGAAAGGCCAGGTGAGCTTTTCTTCTGAAGAGACAGAGCCGCCCAAAGGACAGTGGTTTCCAACACTTACCTTCTCTGCCATCCCTTCTTCTCCTCCAATGAAAAAGTCTGTTTTGCGTCGAAGGAAGCTGAAGAAGGTGTTCACAAGCTGAAAGAGGGGGAGAAGATTAAAGTAGTAGAGCTGCATTTGGGAGCCCTTCAACTGCACACAAGTCAACTTGTTTTGTCTAGGAGGGAACTTGGGACTTGACTATTTTTCCTCTGAGCTTCCCAACTGAGGAGATTATCTCCCCAGCAGGTTCTCTTAGTCACTTCCACCATGAAGCAGATTTCTCATATCCTGTGTGTGTGTGCGCCTTTCACTTTCCTTGTGATGCTAGAAGCAGCCTAAGCGTATGGAACACTCCTCTGCATCCAGGGCATGAAAAGCCTGGGCCCAGCTTTCCTCTCCAGAAAGTAAAAAGCCCATCAAGACACTGGCTCACACCTATAATCCCAGTACTTCAGGAGGCTCAGGTGGGCGGGTCACTTGAGGTCAGGAGTTCAAGACCAGCCTGGCCAACATGGTGAAACCCCGTCTCTACTAAAAACACAAAAATTAGCTAGATTACAGGTGGTGGGCACCTGTAATCCCAGCTACTTGGGAGGCTGAGGCAGAGAATCACTTGAACCCGGGAAGCAGAGGTTGCAGTGAGCCAAGATCGTGCCACCGCACTCCAGCCTGGGTGAGAGACTCTTGTCTAAACAAAAAAAAAGACACTGGCTAAGTTACCGGGTCAAAGCAAGAAGGAGGAGAGCAAATGAAGCCACTTCAAAGGAGGATAAGATGGATTAATTCTGGCTGGAGTACAAGTGTAGCCAACGGTTTGAGTATCAGATGGACATATATTACCTTTTGACTTTGCAGAAGTTTCTTAACTCTGTACAACAGGAATAAGATGCAGTACCTATTTCTAGGGACCTGGTGAGGATCATGAGGTCAAGGAGGTGAGGCCTTTAGCAATGTATGGCACAGAGCAAGAGACCCACTGGCAGAGGGTAAACACCTTACAAATAGGAACCATGAACCATGGCTTAGTCTGTCTGCCACCTGCAATGCTGGGCACCAGATATGGCTAAAGGTACATAATCAGTAAAATTCTTGCTGAATGAAACAATCTAGTGGTGACTCAAGGTCAGCACACACAAACCCTTTATTTGCCCAAGAGTGGGTCTAAATCTGATTAAATCTGATGCTAGAACATATCTCAATGGTTTCCGTTCTTGCTTCTAGACAGTTTTTCAATTTGCTCAAAAATGAACTCGCTCCCAAATCCAGTTTTGTGCGAACAGTTTAGAGGAATGGAGACAGGAAGGCTTTTCACACTTGCAAATGAGAAACACTCTCCCCACCACAAAGGGCTTAGAAGTCCTTGGTCACCAGACACCTAGGTTACATAGGAATAGAAAGTTCAATGGAAACCTACCTCCAGTAAGACACAATCAGCCATGGACTCTGGGAAGCACACTGACCTGTCTAGGTGAGAACCATGTTGCATGATCTAGGCAAATCCTTGCCACTTCTCTGGCTCTGAGAATGAGAGTTCTGATCCTGACAGACTTTTCTACCGTTAACTTTGTGTTTGTTCCAAAAAAACCAACTCCAGAATCTGTAACAGTTGGCCCTTATTGTCGAGTGTGGGACACACATCAATCACACGACAAATACTTGTTGAATGAAAAAGCCTTATTACTGAGAACTTACGGTTCTTAACTACTCTCTGGAAACCGGTATTCGCAGCTGTCTCACAGATAAGGAAACTCAGGCTTGGAGAGATGTAAAGGTTCCAAGTTGGTAGGTGGTGGAAACTAATCGTGAACACAGGCCTCCTATTCCCCCATTCAAGGCCTAACAAGACCACGTGCTAACATCAGCCCGCTCCCCTACCACACACATTCGACGGCTCGCCCCAAGCCTTGGTGGATCCAAATCACGATATTTGCGACGGTTCTTACTAAGGGATGCTCCTTGGAAGCCGCCATCAAAGTGGAAACGGGGGTGGGGGCATATGTGAAACTAAAGGGGGATCCTAAGCTCAGGGATGCGATAATTTGCTACTACTGAGGGGCGCCGGGGGCCCGGGACTGATGCGAACCGGGTGAGACCTGCTGGCGGGTGGCCAGGCCGGAAGCTGGGCGCAGTGAGAATGTAGGGGCATCCCAGAAGCCCGCGAGCCGCTGGGGTGGGTCTCAGCCCTCGAAGGCAGAGAAGGGCGGAAGGAGCGTGGCCAAGGCCGCCGGGTGGGCCGACGCCGCGCGGGCCGTTACCTCCTGCACGCCGCCCTCGTGCTGCTGAGCCATGGCCAGCAACATGCCGTCGAACCGCTCCTCCTCCTGCTCTCCGCCCATCGCGCCGGCTCCGATCCACGTCCCGGAGCTCTGCACTCTAGTCCCGCGCTCTCTACGCTCCTGCGGGTCGCGCCGGGCCCAACGACTCTAGTCGTCCGCCTTCCGCAGCGGAGCCGGAAACACGCACGCGCGCGGCTGCCCAGGCCCGCCTCCACCTCCTCTCTTCCCGCCTTCCTCCCGGTTTGCGGCCATTGACCGTGCGGCAAGCAACCCGCTTCGCCGACCATTGGTCGACATTCGGAGCCAATCAACAAGCGCGTCCACGAAGCGGTAGGCGGAGCCGTGGGCCCGAGAGTTTGGCATGAGTTGC
Organism: Homo sapiens; assembly: GCF_000001405.40. NCBI lineage: Eukaryota > Metazoa > Chordata > Mammalia > Primates > Hominidae > Homo > Homo sapiens. The sequence continues at coordinate 26,921,538 of NC_000001.11, read as the reverse complement.
TATGGTCACCCGATGCCGTGGAGACTTCTAGAAAGCCCTGGACTCAAATCTGGCAGGGTTGGAAGTTAAAAAGGGACAAGTTTTGCCCCTCTCCCTTGCTAGCGACCCCCCCAGCTTGTAGAGCAGTGAAGCTGAAAGTAGCCTTACTCATCTCTTCCAATCCTAGAAGGGACTTACCACAGGACAGCCTCCTCCTCATCGACCTCACTGCGTACTTGACTAGGGCCAGCTTCATGGGAGTACAAATTGCAGTCGCACAGCACCCAGGCTTAGAAAGGCTCCACGCTTGATTTCATGGCCTTCTGTTATAGTCTTGAAATTCTTAATAATTTTGGAATAAGGAGACCCACATTTTCATTTTGCACTGGGCCCAGGAAATTATGACAGGTGCTGAAATTGACCTTCACTTCTGTTAATGCGGGGACAGGACCCAGCCATCCAAGCTAATCCCTCCACTTGTGCAATGAATCTCATCATCTTAGTCTTTTCAGGAACTCTATCCCTGTTAATTATCCCTTTTTTTAGCTTATGCATCACAAATATCTTTCTTCTTCCCTTCAATTTACAAACACGCTTTAATATCTTTTTGTTTGTTTTTAGAGATGGGGTTCTTGCATTGTCACCCAAGCTGGAGTGCAGTGGCACCATCTTGGCTTACGGCAGCCTTGAACTCCTGGACTCAAGCCATCTTCCCCACTTCAGCCTCCAGAGTAGCTGGGACTACAGGCTCACATCACCACGCCCTGCTGTTTTTTTTTTTTTGTTTTTTGTTTTTTGTTTTTTGGTAGAGATGGAGTCTGTGTTGCCCAGGCTAAGTCTCAAACCCTGGTCTCAAGCACTCCTCCTGCCTCAGCCTCTCAAAGTGCTGGGATTACAGGTGTGAGCCACCATGCCCAGCCCTGTTTTTATATTATTATTCCATGGCCCCACTTTCTTCTGCTGCTACCTCTCCAATTTTCAGCTCTCATTTGCAGCAAACTTGTTTGCTTGTTTTTCTACTCCCTCACCTCCCATCTCTCTACAGTATATTCTAGTCTATCTATTCTTCTTTTTTTTTTTAGACCAAGTCTCACTCTGTTGCCCAGGCTGGAGTGCAGTGACACGATCTCAGCTCACTGCAACCTCTGCCTCCCAGGTTTAAGTGATTCTCAGCCTCCCAAGTAGCTGGGATTACAGGCACCACTACGCCTAACTAATTTTTTTTTGTATTTTTAGTAGAGGGGTTTTCACCATGTTGGCCAGGCTCGTTTCAAACTCCTGACCTCAAGTGATCCACCTGCCTCGGCCTCGCAACGCGCTAGGATTACAGGCATGAGCCACTGCGCCCGGCCTGTTCTAGTCTATTTTTTAAAGGCTCTGATATGGTTACAGTGCTACATATTGCCAAAGCCAATGAACCACTATTATCTTACTCAACTTCTCAGGTGCATTTGACACAGTTGACGCCTTCTTCTTTCCTTTTTTCCTTTAGGTTTCTCTTTTGGTTGGAATTGCGTGTTCCCCACTTCAGACTAGAGACTTCTCCCTTTAGATTAGAGATTCCTGGAGTTGATCTGTGTCTTCTCCCTCAGACTGAGGGCTCTTGAGGGCAGGGCCTTGCACTTGCACGGGCCCATCCTAGGCACTGGGAGCAACCCCAGCAATGTCTTCATAGCGTCAAATACATATTTTTTTTTCTTTTAACATGCAAAAGCAAAATTCTAAAATTGCAATTGGTTAAGACTACTATTTCTTCCCACTCTATCTCACTTTCCCTTGAATCAGGTGATATCAGAGATGCCATGAGGATTTGGTGATCCAGCTAAGGTGAAGTTGAGTTGGAAATACACTCAGTTTGGATTGATTTGGTGGGATATAGCTGGGTGGCTGGCAGTCACTTTTGTGTATAGTTAAGTCATTGTGAGCTGTCCTGGTGTGTGGAAAGGGCTTCCAGGAATATTCCTACCATTTGCTGTACCTCATGACCCTTGCTGTACAGGATCAGAAGTCTTATCCCAATATAAATGATTCCCAGGACAACTGGAAGTATGTGAGCAGTGAAAGAAACAAGTTTATGTGTGGAACAAGAAGCAGATCCAGGCCGACTGCGGAGGCTCATGCCTGTAATCCCAACACTTGCAAAACATAGCAACACAGCAAAACCCTGTCTCTACAAAACAATTTAAAAATTAGCGGAGTTAAATAACGAGTTGATGGGTGCAGCACACCAACATGGCACATGTATACATATGTAACAAACCTGCACGTTGTGCACATGTACCCTAGAACTCAAAGTATAAAAAAAAAAATTAGCGGGGCATGGCAGTGGGAGCCTGTAATCCCAGCTACTCAGAAGGCTGAGATGGGAGAATCACTTGAGCCTGGGAGGTCAAGGCTGCAGTGAGCTGTGATCACGCCACTGCACTTCAGCGTGGGTGACAAAGCCAGACCCTGTCTCAAACAAAGGAAAAAAAAAAAAAGTAGCTGGATGTGGTATTTCATGCCTGTAATCCCAGCACTTTAGGAGGCCGAGGCAAGTGGATCACTTGAGGCCCAGAGTTCAAGAGCAGCCCGGCCAACATGGTGAAACACCATCTCTACTAAAAATACAAAGATTAGTTGGGTGTGGTGGTGTGCGCCTGTAATCCCAGCTACACGGGAGGCTGAGGTAGAAGAATCACTTAGGCTGGGTGCAGTGGCTCACGCCTGTAATCTTATCACTTTGGGAGGCTGAGGCAGGTGGATCACCTGAGGTCGGGAGTTCGAGACCAGCCTGCCTAACATGGTGAAACCCCATCTCTACTAAAAATACAAAAACTTAGCCAGGCATAGTGGTGGGAACCTGTAATCCCAGCTACTTGGGAGGCCGAGGCAGGAGAATCTCTTGAATCTGGGAGGTGGAAGTTGTAGCGAGCCGAGATTGTGCCATTGCACGCCAGCCTGGGCAAGAAGAGCAAAACTCCATCTCAAAAAAAAAAAAAAAAAAAGCTGGGTGCGGTGGCTCATGCCTGTAATCTCAGCACTTTGGGAGGCCAAGGCGGGCAGATCATGAGGTCAGGAGTTCGAGACCAGCCTGGCCAAAATGGTAAAACCCCATCTCTACTAAAAAATACGAAAAATCAGCTGGGCTTGGTGGCAGGCGCCTGTAGTCCCAGCTACTCAGGAGGCTGAGGCAGGAGAATTGTTTGAACCTGGGAGGCGGAGGTTGCAGTGAGCCGAGATTGGGCCTCTGGGCCTGGGTGACAGTGAGACTCCGTCTCAAAAAAAAAAAAAAAAAAAAGAATCACTTGAACCCTGAGGCAGAGGTTGCAGTGAGTCAAGATCACTCCACTGCGCTCCAGCAGCTGGGGGATACAGCATGACCCTGTCTCAAAAAAAAAAAAAAAAGATAAATCAAGAATAATGGACACCAGATTCCTCGGTGTGAAAGACAGGAAGTATAAATACACAAGGGGCAAAAACTAGAATGAACCCCATGATATGAGCTTGGAATTGGAGATGATAGTCTGAATTCATGTTGTTTAGTATGTATAATTATAGAAATAAATATAATTGTAAATGTGTGTGTGTGTGTGTGTGTGTGTGTACACATTCATTAGCTCTAGGAAGGACTGGGAGTAGTGACCCTCATAACAATGAACAGTTCTGGTTTCTTCTTCTTTTTTTTTTTTTTGAGACGCAGTCTCACTCTTGTCGCCTAGGCTGGAGTGCAGTGGTGGGATCTTGGCTCACTGCAACTTCCGCTTCCCAGGTTCAAGCGATTCTCCTGCCTCAGCCTCCCAAGTAGCTGGGATTACAGGTATGCACCACCATGTCTGGCTAATTTTTGTATTTTTAGTAGAGACAGTTTTACCATGTTGGCCAGGCCGGTCTCAAATTCCTGGCCTCAAGTGATCCGGCCACCTCAGCTTCCCAAAGTGCTGAGATTACAGGCGTGAGCCACCATGCCCAGGTGGTTTCTTTTATTTATTTATTTTTATTTATTATTAGTATTTTTAGAAAGAGTCTCACTGTGTCTCACCCAGTCTAGGCTGCAGTGGCATGATCTCAGCTCACTGAAACCTCTGCCTCCTGGGTTCAAGCGATTCTCCTACCTCAGCCTCCCGAAAAGCTGGGACTACAGGCGTGCACCACCATACCCAGCTGATTTTTGTATGTTTAGTAGAGATGGAGTTTTGCCATGTTGGCCAGGCTGGTCTCGAACTCCTGACCTCAGGTGATCCATCCGCCTCGGCCTCCCAAAGTGCTGGGATTACAGGTGTGAACCCCCACATCCAGCCCTATTATTATTATTATTATTTTGAGACAAGGTCTCACTCCGTTGCCCAGTCTGGAGTGCAGTGGCACTATCTTGGCTCCCTGCAACCTCTGCCTCCCAGGTTCAAGCTATCCTCCCGCTTCAGCCTCTCTAGTAGCTGGGACTACAGGGGCATGCCACCATGTCTGACTCATTTTTGTATTTTTAGAAGAAACAAGATTTCACCATGTTGGCCAGGCTGGTCTCGAACTCCTGACCTCAGGTGATCTGCCTGTCTTGGTCTCCCAAAGTGCTGGGGATTACAGGCGTGAGCCACCACGCCTGATTTTTATTTATTTATCTATTTTTAGTCAGGGTCTCACTCTGTTGCCCAGGCTAGAGTGCAGTGGCATGATCACAGCTCACTGCAGCCTTGCCCTCCTGGATTCAAGCAATCCTCCCACCTTAGTCTTTCGAGTAGCTGGAACTATAGGTGTGCACTACCTACCTAGCTAATTTTTGTATTTTTTTGTAGAGATGGGGTTTCACCATGTTTCCAAGCTGGTCTTGAGCTCCTGGGCTCAAGCAGCTCACCCACTGCAGCCCCCAAAGTCCAGATTACAGGTGTGAGCCACCGTGCCCGGCCAGTTCTTGGTTTTTTAGTATGATTCTAGTGCCTACTTCATGCTTTCTAAATATTATTTTCCACTAAAAGATTAAATCAGAGCTCTTTGGAGTATTGGTTGATTCCAGGGGCTGGAAAAGTTGATATCTTGCTATACCAGAAAGCAAGTGTTCCAGGAATTATGGAAGCAGGCCAAAATGACACAGACACCAGCTTGAAAGGGTTCCCATTGACCACATTGATCAAATAAATATAAATATTCAGGGTCTAAGGGGAGGTTTTGTGTGTGGGGTTTTTTCGTTTTTTTTTAGACAGAGTCTTGCTCTGTCTAGAGCAAGGCAGGAGGGCAGTAACACAGTCATAACTCACTGTAGCCTTGAAGTCCTGGGCTCAAACCATCCTCTTGCCTCAGCCTCTCAAGTAGTTGGGACTACAGATATGCCCCACCACACTGGCTAATTTTTTTTTTTTGGTAGAGATGAGGTCTCACTGTGTTGACCAGGCTGATCTTGAACTCCTGAAGCCTCAAGTGATCCTCCCACCTCAACTTCCCAAAGTGCTGTGATTACAGGCGTGAGCCACCGTAACCGAGTGTGTATTCTATTCTTAAAGAGGGTCCTCCAAATCGTAACCTTCAGGCCCCATAAAACCAATATCCACCTCCAGAAATTCTTGTCACTGTTTTAAAAATGAGGAAACTGAGGCACAGAAAGAGAAAGTGATTTGCCCAAGGTCACTCAGCTAAGTGAAGCAGGATTTGAACCCAGCCAGTCTGACTCCAGAGTCTGCTTCAAGGGGACACTGTGAGAATTCAGTGAGATTTAAAAACATGAAAGGAACTTTATAAATTTAAGGATTAAGACTAATAATCAAATGAAAGAGGTGTGCCTGTTTGTCCACTGGTGCTCAGCTCCACAGAGGAAAGGGGCAGAAAAATCCTCCTACCGTATGCCAGAAACCACTTGGAATTTAACAACCAGGACCTCATTTTGTCCCCATGGCAGCCCTACAGCCAGGCATTATTGTCCCAGGGAGGCTTATCGAGGTTCAAGGATCAACCCAAGTCACATAACCAAAAAGTGATGGATTCTGGAGCAGATGCCAGGGCTAGTGATGCCAGAGCCTCTCTCTCCCCATCCAGGGCACCAGGCTGCCCAACAGCATGCAGCAGAAGGCTTGCCACACTGGACTGGCCAAGGTCCAGGAACATGACACAACCAAGGGCCTCTCCACCTTCTCTCATCCCCTGTGCTCCACCATCTGAGAAAGATGCCCGGGACAGAGGAGCCACGTGGCAGCAGAGCAACACTTCTGCCCAGATCACAAGTGGGCAACGTCTGCAAAGCAGGCAGCAGCAAGGTGGGGGCAGCTAGCCACAAGCTCTGAGAATCTCAGGCTCTGGCTGTGCAATTGGGCCAGTGGGTCCAGGGAAACAAACAAGGACTTTGGAGTCAGGCAAGATCTGGGCTTTGTCTTCCTGGTGGGATGACCTTGGGCAAGTCACTTTAGCTTTTTTAGTCTCATAAAGTAAGAATCTAGCCTTAGGAAGAGGCTGCCAATATTAGAGTGGGAAGTGCCTGACACATAATAAGTGCTTAGAGAATGGCAACCATATATATACATATATATATATATATATGTATGTATGTATGTGTATATATATATACACATATACATATAAATATACATATACATATACATATACATATACATATACATATATATTTTTTTGAGACAGGATCTTGCTCTGTTGCCCAGGCTGGAGAGCAGTGGCATGATCTCAGCTCACTGTAACCTCTGCCTCCCAGTTTCGAGTGATTCTTTTGCCTTAGCCTCTAGAGTAGCTGGGACTACAGGCACATGCCACCATGCCCGGCTAATTTTTGTATTTTTAGTAGAGACGGGATTTTGCCATGTTGGCCAGGCTGGTCTTGAACTCCTGACCTCAAATGATCCCCCTTCCTCAGCCTCCCAAAGTGCTGGGATTACAGGCATGAGCCACCGTGCCCGGCTGGCAACTATCTTTTATTATAATTCTGTGAGTTCTTCTCAGCAGACCTGGCCTTTCAGGAGTGGTAGGAATCAGGCTGGGGATAAGGATTCTGAAGGACCTTATTCCTGCAGGGGGCCCAGAACTGGAATCAGAGGAGGAGGCCTCCTAGATTGGACAGTGGGCAAAGTCCTCCCAGCCCCCAGGGTCCTGGCTCCCTTCCCTGTAGCCTGCTTCTGGCTGACAACAGAAGCAGGGCCCCAAGGTTAGGCAAACAAGCTAGTGATAAGGCACTTCCAGGTTGGGCCTTGCATTCAAGGCCCACCCAGCTCTGGGGCTGGCTTCCTGGCTTAGCAAAAGCCCTAGTCTTTTGTGCACACAAGAGCGGGCACCAATGGGGACACCTGCTGATTGTGCACCTGGGGCCTTGGTGCCCTGGTACAGCCTGAGTTAATGACCTTGTTTATCCACTTGAGTCATCTGATAAGGGGCAGCTGAGTGAGCGGCAGGTGGCCCTGTGCCCTGCACCGGCCACTTCATTGACTGAGGTGATATCAGTGCCACGTGGGGTTCCCAATGCCCCCTCCCCCACCACTTCCCCACCATTCCTGCCAGGGGCAATGTCTGTGTGTTTTTTTCAATGAACATGACTTCTGGAGTCAAGGTTGTTGGGCCATTCCCCCCGTTCCACTCACTGGGAATATAAATAGCACCCACAGCGCAGAACACAGAGCCAGAGAGCTGGAAGTGAGAGCAGATCCCTAACCATGAGCACCAGCCAACCAGGGGCCTGCCCATGCCAGGGAGCTGCAAGCCGCCCCGCCATTCTCTACGCACTTCTGAGCTCCAGCCTCAAGGCTGTCCCCCGACCCCGTAGCCGCTGCCTATGTAGGCAGCACCGGCCCGTCCAGCTATGTGCACCTCATCGCACCTGCCGGGAGGCCTTGGATGTTCTGGCCAAGACAGTGGCCTTCCTCAGGAACCTGCCATCCTTCTGGCAGCTGCCTCCCCAGGACCAGCGGCGGCTGCTGCAGGGTTGCTGGGGCCCCCTCTTCCTGCTTGGGTTGGCCCAAGATGCTGTGACCTTTGAGGTGGCTGAGGCCCCGGTGCCCAGCATACTCAAGAAGATTCTGCTGGAGGAGCCCAGCAGCAGTGGAGGCAGTGGCCAACTGCCAGACAGACCCCAGCCCTCCCTGGCTGCGGTGCAGTGGCTTCAATGCTGTCTGGAGTCCTTCTGGAGCCTGGAGCTTAGCCCCAAGGAATATGCCTGCCTGAAAGGGACCATCCTCTTCAACCCCGGTGAGCTCCCAGACACTCCTGGGTGGGGGGCAAGGCTGAAGCAGGGGCCAGCCAGGGAAGGTAGCTTCTAAGGGTTTGATATCTGTTATCTCATTGGGTCCTCATTTTCTTTTTATTTTTCTGAGACAGAGTCTCACTCTGTCACCCAGTCTGGAGTGCAGTGGTGCGATCTTGGCTCACTGCAACCTCTGCCTCCTGGGTTCAAGCAATTTTCTCTGCCTCAGCCTCCCGAGTAGCTGGGATTACAGATGGCCGCCACCACTCCCGGCTAATTTTTGTACTTTTTAGTAGAGATGGGCTTTCACCATGTTGATCAAGCTGGTCTTGAACTCCTAACCCCTCAGGTGATCCACCCACCTTGGCCTCCCAAAGTGCTGGGATTACAGGCGTGAGCCACCGTGCTTGGCCAGTCCTCATTTTCATCAAATAGCCATCTCACAGAAGAGGCACAGAGAAGCTAAGTGACTAGCTAAAGGTAACACAGCCAGGTAGGGACAGACCAGGATGGCAACTCAGGTCTATTCACTCCAGAGACTGGCCCTTGCCACTCTGCCTGAGAAATTTGCTCTGACCTTTACAGAAGGCTGTGGGGAGGTGGGGTGGGCAGACACAGCTGTGTCTCAGTCACATCCTCAAAGGAAGGCTGCATGGTGAAGCTCTAGAGCTAAAACTCCTCTGTGGGTTCAGAAAGATCACATAGAAGAGATGACTGAAAGGGGCGTAGGGAGGACAGGAAAGGAGTCTTTATGGAATTCGGCCAGGAGAGCGGCAGATGGAGACAGTGCTGTTTGTAATCTGGAGAGCATCTGAGATGAGAGTTCCCCAGGAGTCCCTTGTGGCACGCATAAATCGTAGTAATTAATTGTAATAATAGTAGCAAATACTCATATCACACTTACCATATGTTAGGCCCTATTCTAAGGGTTTTACATATACTAGTTCATTTAAATCTCATAAAAGCCTAGGAGACAGGTCCTATTAATATTATTATTCCCGTTTTACAGATAAAGAAACTGAAGCCCAGAGATTAAGTGACTTGCCCAAGGTCACCCAGCTAATAAGTGACAGTGCTGGGATTCATACCCAGGAAGCCTAATTCTTAACCATTACTCCACACTGCCTCTTCATAAATGGATGGATGAATACATTGAAAATTGATAAATAAATTACCTCCTCTAAAGGAGGAGGTAGTAGTGGGACCTCAAAGGCCGAGCAAAGGAGGCAGAGGGGTGTCTCTGATGGCCCAGATCTTGGGCCAGTCTTGTCCTTTGGTGGCTGGGAGTAGGGTGCTCACCAGCCCTCTTCTCCCTCTCTGCCCACAGATGTGCCAGGCCTCCAAGCCGCCTCCCACATTGGGCACCTGCAGCAGGAGGCTCACTGGGTGCTGTGTGAAGTCCTGGAACCCTGGTGCCCAGCAGCCCAAGGCCGCCTGACCCGTGTCCTCCTCACGGCCTCCACCCTCAAGTCCATTCCGACCAGCCTGCTTGGGGACCTCTTCTTTCGCCCTATCATTGGAGATGTTGACATCGCTGGCCTTCTTGGGGACATGCTTTTGCTCAGGTGACCTGTTCCAGCCCAGGCAGAGATCAGGTGGGCAGAGGCTGGCAGTGCTGATTCAGCCTGGCCATCCCCAGAGGTGACCCAATGCTCCTGGAGGGGGCAAGCCTGTATAGACAGCACTTGGCTCCTTAGGAACAGCTCTTCACTCAGCCACACCCCACATTGGACTTCCTTGGTTTGGACACAGTGTTCCAGCTGCCTGGGAGGCTTTTGGTGGTCCCCACAGCCTCTGGGCCAAGACTCCTGTCCCTTCTTGGGATGAGAATGAAAGCTTAGGCTGCTTATTGGACCAGAAGTCCTATCGACTTTATACAGAACTGAATTAAGTTATTGATTTTTGTAATAAAAGGTATGAAACACTTGGAGCCTGATACTGTCATTTGTGCATATGGAAGGGACTGTCTCACCTCCAGGGCCCACCCTGCTGCTATCAGAGGTAGCCCAAGGGAAAAAATCCACAGGGTTGCTGGAGCTAATTTTCCAGGGAACAGTATCAGTTCACAATCCCATCACCTCATTGTCTTTATCCTCAGGGGAAGGAGGTTGCTCTCCCATTCCCAAACCCTTCACTAACCGCTCCCCTGGCTCCTACCCACTTCAGGCGCCCTCTTACCACAGTGAAAGCCCAATCACAGCCAATCAGGAAGCAGCCCACTCCCGAATTGAAACAGACAAGTTCACTGCCATTTCTGTAGTTTGAGATCATTCACTTCCCCCATTCCTGCAGATGACAAAAGAGAGTGGTCCATTATTTTCCCAAAGGGAAGGGACAAGGGTACCCAGGGCTGGCCTGGCAACTGCTTGAAGGCCAAGGCAGACCAAGGTTTAGCTGGACCACCAGGATTTGACTACATCAGTTGTTTAAGTCTGAAACCCTTCCATGACACTTGGCTCACAGCCACCACCCTGAGGCCTCCCCAGTTTCCTTCCCTGCCCCTCTGCCCCAGCCCCTCTCCTGGGATTCTCCTCCCAGACATTCCCACTGTCTAGCAACTAAAGAGGCAACTCTTGGCATAGCCATGACCTCCCTGACTGCTCCATTCAGAATATGACTTGTGTCTATTCTGACTGGTCAATATCTGTGCCTCACTGTTTGTTAAATATTTTGACCCAGTTGCCATGGGTCAGGGTGAGTGACCTGAAGGGTGGGCAGGAAGGAGTGATAACAACACACATGCCTATAGGATTTTCCGGCCTCCCCCTTTCACCCGCAGTAAGTCCTGCCCTGACCAGTCCCCACCCTCTTCACCATAACAGTTTGGATTCTTGTCACAGGGGCCAAGTTAATGATTGCTCAATAAGAGGCCATTCACTTGGGGATAACAGTCTAGGCGTCATCATTCAGGCCTTTCTCTAAGCCCCCCAGGTTAGGACTATAGCTAATTGGCCTCGTACCCATTATGGTGACCCAGTGCCAGGAGCAAGGGGAACCCTGTCCCTTACCCAGCCTCTCACTCACAAGTCAGACACCAGATAGAGACAAAAACACAGCTGAGATCTCACACAAATACAAACAACACAACTTGGACACCCCCCAACACACACATACTAAGATGTACAACTCAGGCACACCTACACAGACGCATAAAACAGACTCTCCAACCACCCACTTATAGCCCAGAAAAGCACTGCCCAGATACAGTCACTCAGCAATGTACTGCAGACCCCCACACAGTCACACAGCAGAAGCACGCACCCTTGCACCTGAGGGTGGGGCACACAGTGGGGAGACACCCCCATGCCAGAGTGTGTTCATCTTCCCTGCGTCATAGTAAAGGGAAAAGTGGCCCCCTAAGTAGGCAGACCTGTGTCTGTGCATCTTCAGGATCCTCTTGGAGTCTGTGAGCCCAGGCCAAACTGCTCTGCCTGGCATTTGGGACCCCAGCTAACCATTCATCCTCTTTCCCCCTGGTGACTTCAATGTCCCTCCTCCTCTCAGCTCAACAACTGTCCCCACCAGGACCTAATCAAATCCCCAATAAAGGCATCCTTCAGGGCCCAGAACAAGCCCTGTATCCCCCCACCTCCCACCAGATGCCCCAAACTCAGACCTCAGGCCCCCAGGACTCTCTCTGACCTGCCCTCCCCATCCCTCTGGCACATACCACCCCGTGTAACCTTGTAGACACATGAGACCACTCTTTCAAGAGCAGAAGCCCTGTTTCCCACATAGGACCCAAATCCAGAAGATTCAGGGATTTAGGGTCATTCTATATCTTTTATGCCCTACCAGTTTCTGCCTCTATTAGTTAATTGCCACATCTCTCTGAATCCTCAAGCTGGGTCTTCCCACCTCTTACCCTTCTCCTTCTCCGGCCCTGAACAACCTTTAGGAAGCATTCCTCTCTATGCCCCACCCTAGGCTTTTTCCCTCAACTTATTTAATTTTTTCCATCATCCAAACAGCTTCCCTTATTAACTCTACCTTGCCAGGCACCACTGATGGCTCATGCCTGTCATCCCAGCACTTTGGGAGGCTGAGGTGATAGGATCGCTTGAGCCCAGGAGTTCAAGATCAGCCTGGGCAATGTAATGAGACTCCTGCCTCTACAAAAAATTATAAAATTAGCTAGGGGCCGGGCTCAGTGGCTCACACCTGTAATCCCAGCACTTTTGGAGGCCAAGCCAGGCGGATCACCTGAGGTTAGGAGTTCAAGACGAGCCTGGCCAACATGGTGAAACCCTGTCTCTACTAAAAATACAAAAATTAGCCAGGCATGGCAGCACTCACCTGTAATCGCAGCTACTTGGGAGGCTGAGACAGGAGAATCGGTTGAACCTGGGAGGTGGAGGTTGCAGTGAGCCGAGATCGCACCACTGCACTCCAGCTTGGGCGACAGAGTGAGACTCTGTCTCAAAAAAATTAAAAAATAAGGCCAGGCGGATCACGAGGTCGGAGTTCAAGACCAGCCTGGCCAAGATGGTGAAACACCGTCTCTACTAAAACAAAAATTAGCCAGGTGCGGTGGCTCCCAGCTACTCGGGAGGCCGAGGCACGAAAATCACTTGAACCCAGGTGGCAGAGGTTGCAGTGAATCGAGATTGCACCACTGCACTCCAGCCTGGGCGACAAAGTGAGACTCCATCTCAAAAAATAAATAAATAAAAGTAAAATAAAATAAAGTAAGCTAGGTATGGTGGCTTATGTCTGTAGTCCCAGCCACTCGAGAGGCTGAAGTGGGAGGATCACTTGAGCTGGGAGTTGGAGGCTGCAGTGAGCATGGGAGCATCACTGCACTCCAGCCTGGGTGACAGAGCAAGACCCTGTCTCAAAACAAATAAAAAAACAACAAGAAAAATCTCTACCTTGATCCTTTTCAAATTTCTTCCCTACCAATCCACATGGTTGGGGAGCTACACTTCTGTTTCTTGTCTGCGTTTCTTGAGTCATTCCCCGTGCCCTATTTCCTTGCCTTGAGCAAAGAACATAAAGACAAATATGGCAAAACTAAAGAGATAATTACGGTACAATGTGGTAAGGGGAATCGTGCTTTCTCCATGAGACTGTAGGCTTTCCAAAAGTGGGGAAGTATGTCTCCATGATCAGCATCCTGGGTTGGGATCTGTGTCTCATTGCCAGTGAGGGAAGAGGAGGAAACAGGCTCAGATGGCGTATGTAACTTAAGGTCTGGGCTGATCACTGTCTGTGCTAAGACTCTTTTTTTTTTTTAGATGGAGTTTCACTCTTGCTGCCCAGGCTGGAGTGCAGTGGCGCGATCTCGGCTCACTGCAACCTCCGCCTCCCGGGTTCAAGCAATTCCGTTGCTTCAGCCTCCCAAGTAGCTGGGATTACAGGCACCCACCACCACGCCTGGCTAATTTTTGTATTTTTAGTAGAGACAGAGTTTCACGATGTTGGCCAGGCTAGTCTCAAACTCCTGACCTCAGGTGATCCACCTGCCTTGGCCTTCCAAAGTGCTGGGATTACAGGCATGAGCCACCGCACCTGGCCTGTGCTGAGACTTGTACTCAAACCTGTGAAGTTCTGGAGGGTTCTTGTCAGCAGCACAAGCTGGAGTGAGTCATGGCCAGGATCAAGCGGTCTGGAACCAGCTCAGCCACTGTTGACTGACCATCTACCTCTGAGCCATGATTCCTGTCCTCAGGCCCAGCCAGGGATGACTCACTGGAAAGCAGGAGAGTGGCTGTGGCTCTGGGTCAGCCTAGAGTACCATTTTATTGCCATCATTATCTCTATCTTCATTAGCCAAATCGTTGACTGCCTATTAAGTAGTCAGACAGCTGACGCATGCTGTGTCCCGCATTAACTCCACCCTGTCCTTGGGGCATTCAAATATCCTAGAACCCGTGATGCTGGCAAAAAGCCAACACCCACTATCCATCCATTAATTCATTCTATCACTCAATGTCTCTCAACCTCCATTTGTACCAACCCCTGTACTAGATGCTGGGGTAGGGGGCACAGAATAAATAAGATACATTTCTTACTCTCATGAAACATCTTGTCTGTGGCAGAGGAAGACATGTAAGTAATTGTAATGCAGAGTGATCTGAGCTGTGATAGGGGTACATACAACAGGCAACAGGAGAGATTAAATCTGCCTGAAGGTGGGAAAAATGCTTTACCCAAGTGGTGACTGGTTTGAGCTAAAGAGAATGAACAGGGTTTTGCTAGGCAACCCAAGGGATGGGCATTCCAAACAGATATATGCAAAGGCACAGAGATGTCAGAGAGCAAGAGGTGCTTAGTTAACTGCAAGTGATGTGTGGGGCCCAGGGTAGGAGGAAATGGGCCTGGAGAGATGACAGGGACCACCTCACAGAACAAGACAGCAAAGAAAGGAAATCCCAATGAAACTGGTGGAGGCGACAATGCTAAGATCTCAGGGGAGTCAGAGTTAACAAAGGAGACCTCCTCTTCCTGGCAGGGTATGGCCAGAAGAAACCCCAGGCTGTGGGTGCTCACTCTGGGTAGCTACTAAACTATAACCACATTAACATTTATTTATTTATTTATTTTTATTATTATTATTTTTTTTGAGACGGAGTCTTGCTCATTCGCCCAGGCTGGAGTGCAGTGGTGCAATCTCAGCTCACTGCAAGCTCCACTTCCCGGGTTCACACCATTCTCCTGCCTCAGCCTCCCGAGTAGCTGGGACTACAGGCGCCCGCCACCACGCCCGGCCAATTTTTTGTATTTTTAGTAGAGACAGGGTTTCACCATGTTAGCCAGGATGGTCTTGATCTCCTGACCTCATGATCCGCCTGCCTTGGCCTCCCAAAGTGCTGGGATTACGGGTGTGAGCCACCACGCCCGGCCCACGTAACATTTATTGAGAGCTGTGCTCTAAACACATTTCCTGGATTATGGTATTTCACTCTCACAACTCTGTGCTGGAAGTACTATCATTATCTCCAACCGCTTTATCTTTCTTTTTGAGACACAGTCTCATTCTGTTGCCCAGGGTGGAGTGCTGTGGTGCGATCTCGGCTCACTGCAACCTCCTGGGTTCAAGCGGTTCTTGTGCCTCAGTTTCCCGAGTAGCTGGGATTACAGGCATGCGCCACCACACCCAGCTAATGCTTTTTGTATTTTTTCGTTTTTTTTTGAGACAGAGTCTCACTCTCTTGCCCAGGGTGGAGTTCAGTGGCGCGATCTCAGCTCACCGCAACCTCCACCTCCCAGATTCAAATGATTCTCCTGCCCAACCTCCCAAGTAGCTGGGATTACAGGCATGCGCCACCACGCCCTGCTAATTGTGTATTTTTAGTAGAGACGGGGTTTCTACATTTGGTCAGGCTGGTCTCAAGCTCCCAACCTCAGGTGATCCGCCCGCCTCGCCCTCCCAAAGTGCTGGGATTACAGGCGTGAGCCACTGCGCTCGGCCTTTTATGTATTTTTTAGTAAAGGCGGGGTTTCACCATGTTAGCCAGGTTGGTCTCAAAGTCCTGACCTCAGGTGATCCACCCACCTCCACCTCCCAAGGTGCTGAGATTATAGGCATGAGCCACTATGCCCGGCCTCCATCCATTTTATAGACAAAGAAACTCAAGGAGTGAAGGATGTGCCAATGTGCCAAACTGGTATCTTGATCATTTTGGGTTGAAAATCTTGGAGAAATTGTAGTTTCAGAAAGGGTGAGCTGACCTGCCTCTTCCTGCATGCAGCAAGCCATCAAGATTCCTCTGTGAGGGATACCCTCCCTATACCAGGGCAAAAAATTACCCCTGATTACCAGAGACTGGGAACTCGGGGCTGCAACGGACCTGAATAAATATACTTTTCAAAGTAACCCTTATCTTCCACTAGTTTTACACTTCCACCTCAAATATCTCCTCATCACTCACCTAGAAATTTACTGCCCCTAGCCAGATGTCCCTTGTCCTGTGACTTCTCAAATTTATTGTTGTCTAAAAAGTATAAAAGCATCTTGTGGCTGGGCTCACGCCTGTAATCCCAACACTTTGGGAGGCTGAGGCAGGAGGATCACCTGAGGTCTGGAGTTCGAGACCAGCCTGGCCAGCATGGTGAAACCCCGTCTCTACTAAAAATACAAAAATTAGCCAGGCGTGTTGGCAGGTTCCTGTAATCCCAGCTACTTGGGAAGCTGAGGCAGGAGAATCGCCTGAACCCAGGAGGCGGAGGTTGCAGTGAGCCGAGATGGTGCCATTGCACTCCAGCCTAGGCAACAGAGTGAGGCTCTGTCTCAAAAAAAAAAAAAAAAAAAAATAATAATAATAATAATAATAGGCCAGGCTCAGTCGCTCACGCCTGTAATCCCAGCACTTTGGGAGGCCGAGGTGGGCGGATCATCTAAGGGTCAGGAGTTCGAGATCAGCCTGGCCAACATGGTGAAACCCCATCTCTACTAAAAATACAAAAATTAGCCGGGCGTGGTGGCGCATGCCTGTAATCCCAGCTACTCAGGAGGCTGATGCAGGAGAATCACTTGAACCCAGGAGGCGGAGGTTGTAGTGAGCCAAGATCTGCCTGGGCGACAGAGCAAGACTCTGTCTCAGAAAAAAAAAAAAAAATTATATAATAATAATGTATGATTTTCTCCTGTTAATTTACCATGTGTGAACTTAGTTTCTATATCCAGCAGAAGAATTCCCATAAGAGCTAAGGGGGGTTGGAGGTGATCTCTCACTCTCCTGTAGAGGTACAGAGAGATTAAGTAAAGTGCTCGAGGTTACACAGTTAATAAGTGACAGAATCAGGATTTGAGCTTAGATGATCTGTCTTCAGGGCCCATGCTCTTAAACACTATACTTGTGTCTTTAAAAGTCAGGGGTGAGCCAGGTGCAGTGTTTCAAGTCTGTTATCCCAGCTACTGGGGAGGCTGAGGCAGGGGGATGGCTTGAGGCCAGCAGTTCAAGGCTGCAGTGAGCTATGATTGCGCCAATGGACTCTAGCCTAGGCGACAGACTGAGACACTATCGCTAAAAAATATGTGTGTAATAATGAGTTGGGTGGATCACTTGAGGCCAGGAGTTCAAGATCAGCCTGGTCAACATGATGAAACCCCGTCTCTACTAAAAATACAAAAATTAGCTGGGTGTGGTGCTTGCCTGTAGTCCCAGTTACTTAGGATAGGAGGCTGAGGCAGGAGAATGGCCTGAACCCGGCAGGCAGAGGTTGCAGTGAGCCAAGATTGCATCACTGCATGCACTCCAGCCTGGGTGACAAAAAAAAAAAAAAAGTATGTAATAAAATAAAAAATAAATAAAATCCAGATATGATGTGGGTTTAAACCTAGATATAATGGTCCTATCTACAATTTCTCACTCATTAGACTTTTTTATTTTTATTTTTGTATTTTTATTTATTTATTTATTATTTATTTATTTAATTTATTTATTTATTTATTTATTTTGAGACGGAGTCTTGCTCTGTCACCCAGGCTGGAGTGCAGTGGCGCGATCTCGGCTCACTGCAAGCTCCGCCTCCCGGGTTCACACCATTCTCCTGCCTCAGCCTCCCGAGTAGCTGGGACTACAGGTGCCCGCCACCACGCCCAGCTAATTTTTTTGTATTTTTAGTAGAGATGGGGTTTCACCGTGTTAGCCAGGATGGTCTCAATCTCCTGACCTTGTGATCCGCCCACCTCGGCCTCCCAAAGTGCTGGAATTACAGGTGTGAGCCACCGCGCCCGGCTTATTTTTTATTTTTATTATTTTTTGTAGAGACAGGGTCTCACTATGTTGCCCAGGCTGGTCTCCAACTCCTGGCCTCAAGCAATCCTTCTGCCTCGGCCTCTCAAAGCGATGGGATTAGAAGCATGAGCCACCATGCCTGGCCATGTTTTCCAATTTTTAAAATTCATCATATAGCTGTATATTTGCTATCACAAGGTAACTATTGCTTTCTGAAATGAGTTATTTTCACTTTTAATATTTTTACATTTTAAACATTGAGTAAAACAAAATAATATTAATAAATATGTGTAAAGTATAAAGAATAACAGAATGAACTCTATTGTTTCATAGGTCATTATTACCATTAACTTTGAAGTCCCTTTCTAAATCTATCATTTCCCTCCAAAGGTAACAACTACCCTGGATTTTATGTTAATCATTTATTTGCTTTTCTTCCTGATTTTAAAGCTTATTTATTTATGTAGCCCTAAGAATATTTTTTAGTTTGCATTTTTGGAACTTTGCATAAATAAAACAATTCTGTGTTTTCTGACTGGCTTTAACTGAGATTATTAGTACAAAAAGCCAGCTTTTTGCACTTAAAAAGACTGTAGCTATGAATATTTATATATACTGTGAAATAAAAAACAAATCCAGGCTTGGTAAGGAGAGATTTTATTATAATTTTTTTTTTTTTGAGACAGAGTCTCGCTCTGTTGCCCAGGATGGAGTGTGCAGTGGTGTGATCTCAGCTCACTGCAACCTCCGCCTCCTGGGTTCAAGCGATTCTCGTGCCTCAGCTTCCCTGAGGAGCTGAGATTACAGGCGCATACCACCATGAGTGGCTAATTTTTGTATTTTTAGTAGAGACGGGGTTTCACCATGTTGGCCAGGCTGGTCTCGAACTCTGGACCTCAAGTGATCCGCCCACCTCAGCCTCCCAAAGTGCTGGGATTACAGGCATTAGCCACTGCGCCCAGCCATTATAATTTTTTTTTTTTTTGAGACAGATTCTCATTCTGCTGCCCACCGAATGCATGGCACAATCATGGCTCACTGCAGCCTTGCTCTCTTGGGCTCAAGTGATCCTCCGACCTCAACCTCCCGACGTGCTAAGATTACAGGTGTGAGTTACCACACCCTGCCAGGAGAGATTTTATTTGAAAGGATTATTGCAAGGGAAGAAAGGAACTATTGCAATAGAAGGAGGAAGAATATTGCAGCAGGGAGGACCCTCTGACCATAATATCTGCAAGTGACTCAAGGGTTAGGCAAAAAGGGTTCTTCTCTCATACAGAGGAGTAAACAGGGCAGAACTGGGTGGGAGGAAGTGGGATGATCAGGAGTGGCATGATGGGACAGTAGATCAGATAATGCTTTACCTTGAAGCCAGCCTATTCTCAGGAGAGGCTGTTAAGGAGGAGATGTGCGCTGGCTCAAGCTGAGGGTAAGCCAAAGTTCGGGAAGCTGGGGGAAGGAGAGAAGTTTTAACCAAAGTTTGTTCCAACTGATCAGTGGGGACAAGAAGTTCCTCAAAGCTTTCATGAGGAGATTTGGAATATGGAGTCTGTGTCTGGCTTTGTCATTGGTGAACCAGAGGGGCATACACCAGTCTTACCTAACTCACTTGGGGAAGGATGTTTTTTTGCAATATGCTGTGTTCCAGAACACAAAACAGTGGGAAGGCATTTCTTAAGCCTTAGTTTTCCAGGATCACAGGGCTTGGGTAAAAGTCAACATTATCAATAAGTCTTCTGATAAACATGTGCAGTCATTTTTTTTATTGTTTAGACAAGGGTCTTGCCAACTTGGCCAGGCTGGTCTCAAACTTCTAAGCTCAAGGGATCCTCCTACACCAGCTTGCCAAAGTGCTGGGATTACAGGCGTGAACCACTGAGCTTGGCCCTTTATTTTTTGCTTTTGTTTGAGGTCTCTCAATCTACAGGTTCCTCCTATCACCCAGTATAATGTGTAGACTTTGTCTGAATTATGAATCAATGAATCAATAGTAATCAAATAACCCAATTAAAAAACGTACAAAGAGGGCCGGGTGCGGTGGCTTACATCTGTAATCTCAGCACTTTGGGAGGCCAAGGCGGGTGGATCACCTGAGGTCAGGAGTTCGAGACCAGCCTGACCAATATGGTGAAACCCCGTCTCTACTAAAAATACAAAAATTAGCCGGGCGTGGTGGCACGCACCTGTAGTCCCAGCTACTCGGGAGGCTGAGACAGGAGAATTGCTTGAACCCGGGAGGCGGAGGTTGCAGTGAGCCGAGATCGCACCATTGCACTCCAGCCTGGATGACAGAGCGAGGCTCCATCTCAAAAAAAAAAAAAAAAAAAAAAAAAGACAAAAAGGCGGGGACCGTGGCTCACACCTGTAATCCTAACACTTTGGGAGGCTGAGGCCAGTGGATCACTTGAGCCCTGGAGTTCAATACCAGCCTGGGCAATGCAGTGAGACCCCATCTCTACAAATAGTTTAAAAAATTAGCCAGGCATAGTGGGTTGCATCTGTGGTCCCAGCACTCCAGCCTGGGCGACAGAGCGAGACCCCAACTCAAAAATAAATAAAATATTACCTACAAGTGCTGAGTCAAATGATGTGTAGCTTTGCTTTTACTAGATAACGCCAATTGTTTCCCAAAGTGGTTGTATCAACTTACATTTCCACCAACAGTGTATGAGAGCTTCAGTTCCACCATGTTGTCATCGACTCTAAGGTTTTAAAGTTTGCCAACATAGTGGATGCAAAGTGGGTCTCGCTGCATTTCTTTTATTATTGAGTTGTGCATCTTTTCTTTAACGTAAGCCTCTAGTAACTCATAGCACTTTCATTGTAAATTGGACCTGCGTGTTTCCTCTTTTGCGAAGTATCTTCGGCCCATTTTTCTACCGGGTTATCTTTTTCTTACCGATTTGTGGGAGTTCATCAACACATTTTGGAAAAATAAATGGAAGAACGACTAAAGGTTCAGAACTGAGGAAGGTTGAGATTAGGTGTGCAATATCCACAACTAAATACCTCAAAAATGACCCCTCCCGCAGGCTTCTTATTTGGTCCTCATGAGAGCTTTATGAAAGAACTCTATGACCCCATTTTCCAGGTGAGTTTTTCCATCATCGCCGGCTTCCCTCTGTGGGAAAGGAACACAGAAGACTTCGGATCTTCCAGCTCCAGGTTCCACAACCCCAATCCCAAAGGACTAGTTAGAATTTTCACAATCTCGCAACGCAGGGGCTGGAACGTTGCTCGCGGTGTTCTCGCGAGACTTGGTTCTAGCTGATCATGTGACAATCCAAGATGGCGGTGCCCGGCGAGGCGGAGGAGGAGGCGACAGTTTACCTGGTAGTGAGCGGTATCCCCTCCGTGTTGCGCTCGGCCCATTTACGGAGCTATTTTAGCCAGTTCCGAGAAGAGCGCGGCGGTGGCTTCCTCTGTTTCCACTACCGGCATCGGCCTGAGCGGGCCCCTCCGCAGGCCGCTCCTAACTCTGCCCTAATTCCTACCGACCCAGCCGCTGAGGGCCAGCTTCTCTCTCAGACTTCGGCCACCGATGTCCGGCCTCTCTCCACTCGAGACTCTACTCCAATCCAGACCCGCACCTGCTGCTGCGTCATCTCGGTAAGGGGGTTGGCTCAAGCTCAGAGGCTTATTCGCATGTACTCGGGCCGCCGGTGGCTGGATTCTCACGGGACTTGGCTACCGGGTCGCTGTCTCATCCGCAGACTTCGGCTACCTACGGAGGCATCAGGTAAGAGTGAGAAAGTTAATAGACTGGGCCTACGGGCCTGGAACAGAGGCACCTTTTCAGAGGAGTGGTGAGGATAAGTCAGGCCTCTGGTTAGGACTCTATGAGTTTAGTTCATATTCTAGACAGAGCTTCAGGCTCAACTTGCAGGGAGTTAGTCCAATACATGGAGAAAAATAAACCGGAGAGGCTTATTCGGAAGAGCCTTCATTTTGTTAGGTCCCTTTTGAGACCCTTTCTCTATCCAAGGGGTTGATTTTGCACTAACACAGAAAGAAAAAAGGAAATCCAGTCTCTAACCCTTTTACTGTCTTTCTCTCCTGCTCTCTCTGTGCTTCCTACCCAGTCCTTTCAGTAAGATACAAATGAAGAGACAATCTTTTCTCTGGACAGCTCCCACTTTCATGGGAAATCAGTTTGATGGGGAAACAGGACAGTGCAGAGCCCTCCAGTTCACACATTCAACAAATGCTTACATTGCTAGACCTAGTGTGACTAGCTGGGTATGCAGAGAACAGTTGGACATAGTGTGTGCTCAGAATCCACAAAGGAAGACATTTGGAAAAAGGTTATTGCCACAGAGATGTCATTCTAATTGTTAGCATTCACTGAGCACTCTGTATTTAGTAGGCGCTGTTCTAAGCCTTTTGTTTTCTTACCCCTCTCAACAGTCCTATGAGATAGGAGCTGTTGTTTCTCCCATTTCATAGGTGAAGAAACTGAGGGAAGCCGAAGTTATGTGACTTGCCTGAGGTTACAGAGTTAGTTAGTGTCAGAGCTACAACAAACCTAGGCATCTGTTCCAGAGCCTATACTGTTTATCACCAAGTGCTGTGAGATGACAGAGAAGGGAGAAACTAACTTCCTAGATGGATCATGAAATGTGGCTTTCCATCTGGGTCTTGAAAAATAAATAGGAGTTAATAGGAGAGAATGGTGTTTCTGGGTTTCAGGGTAAATGGCGTTTGCAAAGACACAGCTTTGAAAGCCCGTGAAAAACTTTCAGGGCATGTTAAATTGTTCATTGTGGGCTGGGTTGCAATGGCTCGTGCCTGTAATCCCAGCACTTTGGGAGGCACAGGTGGGTGGATCTCTTGAGCTCAGGAGTTCCATACCAGCCTGGGCAACATGGTGAAACCCTGTCTCTACCAAAAATACAAATTAGCCGGTTGTGGTGGCGCATGCCTGTAGTCCCAGCTACTTGTGAGGTTGAGGTGGGGGGATCACTTGAGCCCAGGAGGTGGAGGTTGCAATGAGTCAAGATCGCGCCACTGTACTCCAGCCTGGGTGACAGAACGAGACCCCATCTCAAAAAAAAAAAAAGAAGAAAAAAAAGAAATTAGGAGAAAAATTGTTTGGTGTGGCTGGAACACATCGTATGAAGACATGCAGGAGGTGGGAGTTGGTGACAGCCGAGAATCAAAAGGTCATCAGGTGGGTAGATATCACTTGAGGCCAGGACCAGCCTGGACAACATGGCGTAACCCTGTCTGTACTAGAAATACAAAAATCAGCCAGGCATGGTGGCACATGCCTGTAATCCCAGCTACTTGGGAAGCTGAAGTATGAGAATCACTTGAACCCGGGAGGCGGAGGTTGCGGTGAGCTGAGATTGCACCACTGCATACGCCAGTCTGGGTGACAGAGTGAGAATCTGTCTCAAAAAAAAGAAAAAAAAAGTTCATCAGGAGCCAGAGCTGGAAGAAACTTGTATGCCCAGCCAAGGTGATGAGAAGTGACATGAAACTACTAGGTAGTTCTGTAGTTCCGCTTGGGGAGAGATGAAAAGACCTGGAGAAGTTTGAGAGGGAGGAACAGCATGAGGCTAATGGATTTATTTTATTATTTATTTATTTATTTTTGAGACAGGGTACTCTGTCGCCCGAGATGAAGTGCAGTGGTGCAATCTTGGCTCACTACAGCCTCACCTCCCAGGCTCAAGCAATCCTCCTGCTTCAGCCTCCCAAGGAGCTGGGATCACAGGGTGCACCACCACTCCCAGCTAATTTTTTTATATTTTGTAGAGATAAGGGTCTCACCATTTTGCCCAGGCTGGTCTTGAACTCCTGAGCTCAAGCAATCCTCCTGCCTCAGCCTCCCAAAGTGCTGGGATCACAAGCGTGAGCCACTGTGTCGGCCTAGATTTTTACTAGGGATTTACTAGATGTTTACTAGGGAAAGGCTAACAGATTTAAACATTGGCCAATTTCTGGCTCAAGTGTTGCTGGAGGCTTCTGGGTTTCAAGATCTATTCTCCCTCCTTTCCAAGGTCTGGGCTCCTTTCCCTTCAAGACCCGGAAGGAACTGCAGAGTTGGAAGGCAGAGAATGAAGCCTTCACCCTGGCTGACCTGAAGCAACTGCCGGAGCTGAACCCACCAGTGCTGATGCCCAGAGGGAATGTGGGGACTCCCCTGCGGGTCTTTTTGGAGTTGATCCGGGCCTGCCGCCTACCCCCTCGGATCATCACCCAGCTGCAGCTCCAGTTCCCCAAGACAGGTTCCTCCCGGCGCTACGGCAATGTGCCTTTTGAGTATGAGGACTCAGAGACTGTGGAGCAGGAAGAGCTTGTGTATACAGCAGAGGGTGAAGAAATACCCCAAGGAACCTACCTGGCAGATATACCAGCCAGCCCCTGTGGAGAGCCTGAGGAAGAAGTGGGGAAGGAAGAGGAAGAAGAGTCTCACTCAGATGAGGTGAGTACAGTGTGCTACCCTGTCCTTGCTGGCAGCTGAAAGAGGCCGAAGGCATTAATAATACCACTCTTCAATTGTCTATTACAAGGGTTCTTAACCTGGGGTCCTCAGGAGGGTTCCAAGGAGTCCAAGAAGGAATGTAAAACTATATTTGCATGTGTGTTTCTGTATTTCTGTAGGGAGATGGTCCAGAGCTTTTACCAGAAGATTCGTAAGTGGGTCTTATTTTTCATTCCCTTGGAAGGGATATATAAGGATGGTTCCTTTTTTTTTTTTTTTGAGACGGAGTCTTGCTCTGTTGTCCAGGCTGGAGTGCAGTGGCACGATCTCGGCTCACTGCAAGCTCTGCCTCCTGGGTTCACGCCATTCTCCTGCCTCAGCCTCCCAAGTAGCTGGGACTACAGGCGGCCACCACCATACCCGGCTAATTTTTTGTATTTTTAGTAGAGACGGGGTTTCACTGTGTTAGCCAGGATGGTCTCAATCTCCTGACCTCGTGACCCGCCTGCCTCAGTCTCCCAAAGTGCTGGGATTATAGGCGTGAGCCACTGCGCCTGGCCAGGATGGTTCCTCTTTATTCATTTTTTTCTTTTTTTTTTTGAGACAGAGTCTCACTGTGTCACCCAGGCTGGAGTGAAGTGGTGCGATCTCGGCTCACTGCAACCTCCACCTCCTGGGTTTAAGTGATTCTCCTGCCTCAGCCTCCCGAGTAAGCTGGGACTTCAGGCATGTGCCACCACGCCCGGCTAATTTTTTTTTTTTTTTTTATTTTTAGTAGAGACAGGGTTTCACCGTGTTAACCAGGATAGTCTCAATTTCCTGACCTCGTGACCCACCTGCCTCGGCCTGCCAAAGTGCTGGGATTACAGGCATGACCCACTGCGCCAGGCCCATTTTTTCTTTTTTAAAAATTATTTCCAGCCGGGCACAGAAGCTCTTGAACCCAGGAGGCGGAGGTTGCAGTGAGCTGAGAAAAAAAAAAAAAATTCCACATGAAAGACCAGATAAGGAGAGTTCATTTTCATAGATGAAAATGTGCTGACCAAAACATGTGCAGTGACTTGTCTAAGATCATCTCAGGAAATAGAGGTAGAGCTGGGATATGAACCCAGTTCTTGCTTCTTCTCTAACCTGTGCGTGCTGTCATAATGTGGCTGAACAGTCATCTCTATTTTCTGACCTAGAGTCAGCAGATTGAACAGTAGCCTCCACTCTCACTTCATTAGTGACATAGACATTTCTTTGGTTCCTTTCTCCAAACTTGGTTGCACATCCATAAAATCAAGTAAGGTGTGATTTGTTGGGAAAACTTTTTTAAAAATGTGTACTCCGGGTAAAAAGTAATTCACCCATGTTTCAAAGCTTCCAGCCAGCTGGGTGCAGTGGCTCACACCTGTAATCCCAGCACTTTGGGAGGCCAAGATGGGTGGATCATTTGAGGTCAGGAGTTCGAGACCAGCCTGGCCAACATGGTGAAACCCCACCTTTACTAAAAATACAAAAATTAGCCAGGCGTGGTGCCTGTAGTCCTAGCTACTGGGAGGCTGAGGCAGGAGAATCACTTGAAGCCAGGAGGTGGAGGTTGCAGTGAGCTGAGATCGCACCACTGCACTCCAGCCTGGGCGATAGAGTGAGACTCTGTCTCAAAAAAAAAAAAGCTCCCAGCCAAGATTGCTAAGACATCTGGACCACATCCCTAGTGTGGTACCATCCTGACTTCCCCTCTCCTCTTCTCTCCCCTTCCTTCCTTCCTTTCCTTTTTTTTTTTTTTTTTTTTTAAGCAGGCTCTGGTTCTATTGTCCTGGCTGGAATGCAGTAGTGCAATCTCAGCTCACTGCAACCTCCAACTCCCTGGGCTCAAGCCATCCTCACCTCAGCTTCCCTAGTAGCTAGGACTACACTCACACATCACCACACTTGGCTAATTTTTGTATTTTTTGTAGAGATAGGGTTTTGACTTGTTGCCTAGACTGGTCTTGAACCTCTGAGCTCAAGGGATCCTCCCACCTTGGCCTCCCAAAGTGCTGGGATTACAGGCGTGAGCCACTGCGTCTGGCCCCATCCTGACTTTTCTTCAGCACTTGAAGGCCTACAGGGTTTCAAGCTAGGAGTCATTGTATCATTCCACAAGTCCCGTCAAGCCAAGGGCTAGTGTAGGATTCCAAAGGCATTCTAAGACCCATTTCCTGCCCTCAAAGAGCCTAAAATCTCCCTGAAGAGAAAGAACCAGCATCTGGAGATGCTGCACCTGGATGTGGCCACCCGGGTTTGCATTGCTGGCTCTGCTGCTCCCTCAGTGTACTCTTTTGGACAAAGAACTTTTTACTCCCCTGAACCTAGGTTTTGTCATCTGTAGAATGGGAATAATGGTACTTATCTCATAGGGTTGTTGCAGTGGTTAAAGGAGCTAAGCTATGGGAAGGGCCTGACACACCAGAGACAATAAGCATTATTGTCCATTCTTTCTTTGTGATATGACATAAAAAGGCCTAACCAGTGTGTACTGATTAGCATTGGGAGTTCAGAGACTGGTATGAGAGCTGTGGGCCTAAATGTGGGGGGCTTCATGTAGGCTGTATGACTTGAGGGATGAGGAGGATTTAATCAAGTGGAGAAGAGAAGGGTGTGGGAGAGGAAAGTGGGTATTTCAGGCAGGGAACAACATGGCCAAACGCGCAGAGGTGAGTCAGGCTTGTGGGGACAGGAGCAAACTGTTGAGAATTATCGGGCTGGAGACGTGTTGGTCAGGGGCCAAATATGTGCTGCTTCTTGGAGAAATCTGAAGGAATGGCGCTGAGGCTAGCCACACATGCCTCCTGTGCCCTGAGCTTCCCTCCCTCGGGGCATGAGGTCAGGAAGCTCAGGCAAATCACCTCTCCCTGCCTTTTAGGACGATGACCGGGGTGAGGAATGGGAACGGCATGAAGCGCTGCATGAGGACGTGACCGGGCAGGAGCGGACCACTGAGCAGCTCTTTGAGGAGGAGATTGAGCTCAAGTGGGAGAAGGGTGGCTCTGGCCTGGTGTTTTATACTGATGCCCAGTTCTGGCAGGAGGAAGAAGGAGGTAATGCTGGTACCCAGGCAAAGGCAGGGGTGACCCCTGCTGCATTCTTTTGGGGTTCCCTGTTCCACACGGTAGATTCTGTAGTGGTGAGCCCAAACAAAAGGCTAGGGAACAGGCTGACCTCTATTGTATACGAGAGACCAATCATCCTTTTTAAGAGTGGGGATCAGTGAGATGGAGAGAAAATGCCCCCCGCCCCGCCCCCAACAAATTCTGAATAACCCTCCCAGAGGAAGGATCTTAAAATACAAACAAGCTGGGTGCAATGGCTCATGCCTGTAGTCCGAACTACTTAAGAGACTGAGGCAGGAGGATCACTTGAGCCCAGGAGTTCAAGGTTGCAGTGAGCTATGATTCCACCACTTTACTCCAGCCTGGGGGACAGAGTGAGACCTTCTCTAAAACAAACAAATGCCCCGCTGGGTGCAGTGGCTCACGCCTGTAATCCCAGCACTTTGGGAGGCTGAGGTGGGCAGATCACGAGGTCAAGAGATCGAGACCGTCCTGGCCAACATGGTGAAACCTCGTCTCTATGAAAAATACAAAAATTAGCTGGGTATGGTGGCATGCACCTGTAGTCCCAGCTACTTGGGAGGCTGAGGCAGGAGAATCACTTGAACCCGGGAGGCAGAGGTTGGAGTGAGCCAAGGTCATGCCACTGCACTCCAGAATGAGATTCTGTCTCAAAAAAAAAAAAAAAAAAAAAGCCAAAAAAACTCTAGGTTTAACTCTTAATAGAACTGAGAGTCCTTAATGTACTCTGTTGGATGCTTTTCTGTCCCTACAGATTTTGATGAACAGACAGCCGATGACTGGGATGTGGACATGAGTGTGTACTATGACAGAGGTACTGGGCAAGGAGTGGCAATACTGGAGGTGAAACAGGTGCCCTGGCCTTGCAGTGACACTTTACCAGAGCTAGCAAAGGCTGAGACAGGGTACCGTTCCCGTTCCCTTGGGGTAGCCCACTGAGAGGGTTCCTCTTAAAACATCTTTGGTTGTGTACATTAAGTGCTAGTTTTGGACAGAGCCTTCATCCTTTCTTGGAGGAGGAGGAGGGATAGATAGCCCTTAGGGGCTCTAGGTCTGATGGTCAGGCCCTGGTAGGGTGGGCTGGTCAGAAGCTCAGGCTCTAGTAAGGGTTTAGATTTTAGAAGAGGAAATGACCCGGGTGGGGGAAATAGCCAAGTAGGGGAGGGAAGACCTGGGTTCTAATCCTCTCTCTGTCATTTGTTGGCTCTGTTACTTTTCTGCACCACAATCTTCTCATCTGTAT
Source organism: Homo sapiens (assembly GCF_000001405.40). NCBI lineage: Eukaryota > Metazoa > Chordata > Mammalia > Primates > Hominidae > Homo > Homo sapiens. The sequence continues at coordinate 26,892,959 of NC_000001.11, read as the reverse complement.
GATTGGGGAGAGCCATGGTTCCTACTTTTGGGGAGCTCCCAGTCTAATGAGAGAGATACAGAACACTATTAAAATGAATAAGTCAATCTTACGAGGGGGTCCTAGAAACCTGATTCTTCCCCCTTCTTTGAGAGGGACGCTTCCATAAACTGAGCTCTGTTTCCTCAGATGGTGGAGACAAGGATGCCCGAGACTCTGTCCAAATGCGTCTGGAACAGAGACTCCGAGATGGACAGGAAGATGGCTCTGTGATCGAACGCCAGGTGGGCACCTTTGAGCGCCACACCAAGGTGAGTTAGCACTGTGCCCACCCCATGGACCCCTCTCTTTTCCTTCTCTACTTTAATTCCTTCTCCCATCCCCATTCTCCCTGCTCCCAGCAGGAGCCCCATTTCTTGAGTCTTGTCCCTTCACTCTGCAGGGCATTGGGCGGAAGGTGATGGAGCGGCAGGGCTGGGCTGAGGGCCAGGGCCTGGGCTGCAGGTGCTCAGGGGTGCCTGAGGCCCTGGATAGTGATGGCCAACACCCCAGATGCAAGCGTGGATTGGGGTAAGTGTGACTGAGGGACTTCCCTGGGGGCCCAAGCCTTTCAGCTATGCCCTGGTTTCCCTCTTCCCACTGGTTTTGGCATGGCTGCTGGGTACTCGTGCGGGATGAAATTCAAAACAGTTAAGAGGAAAAAGTGGATCTGGGCCAGGCACGGTGGCTCAAGCCTGTAATCCTAGCGCTTTGGGAGGCTGAAGTGGTAGGATTCCTTGAGCCCAGTTTGAAACCAGCCGGGCAACATATGAGACTGTCTCTGTTAGAAAAATAAAAAGTCCGGGCGTGGTAGCTCACGCCTGTAATCCCAACACTTTGGGAGGCCCAGGTGGGCAGATCATTTGAGGTCAGGAGTTAGAGACCAGCCTGGCCAACATGGTGAAATCCCCGTCTCTACTAAAAATACAAAAATTAGCCGGGCGCAGTGGCTCATGCCTGTAATCCTAGCACTTTGGGAGGCTGAGGCGGGTGGATCACGAGGTCAGGAGTTTCAGACCAGCCTGATCAAGATGGTGAAACCCTGTGTCTACTAAAAATACAAAAAATTAGCTGGGCACGGTAGTGGGTGCCTGTAATCCCAGCTACTCAGGAGGCTGAGGCAGGAAAATCGCTTGAACCCAGGAGGCAGAGGTTGCAGTGAGCCAAGATGGCGCCACTGCACTCTAGCCTGGGTGACAGAGCAAGACTCTGTCACAAAAAAAAAAAATTAGCTGGGCATGGTGGCATGCGCCTGTAGTCCCAGCTACTCTGGAGGCTGAGGCAGGAGAATCGCTTGAACCCAGGAGGTGGAGGTTGCAGTGAGCCGAGATCACGCCATTACAATCCAGCCTGGGTGACATAGTGAGACCCCATCTCAGAAATAAATAAATAAATAAAGTAAATCTGACTTTTTTTTTTTTTTTAAAGAGTAAGCCCTAAGGCTTAACAAGATCATTCATACCCTTTGTTGGAGGAGTTTGGACTTGATGGTTACTATTAGGAAGTCTGTAGTGACAGAATGAAAATTTTATATGAGGCCCCTTCTTGCTGGCACTGTCAATGGATAGATAAGAGGGCTGGAGAACAAAGACCCAGATTTAAAGCCTCTGTCTTTGGACAAACCAGATATGTAGTAACTACTTCCCCGTCCTCTCCCAACCCCTTTAACTGGAGTTTGAGAGCAGCCTTCTCACTGAGAGCCCGTTTTTATCCAGGTACCATGGAGAGAAGCTACAGCCATTTGGGCAACTGAAGAGGCCCCGTAGAAATGGCTTGGGGCTCATCTCCACCATCTATGATGAGCCTCTACCCCAAGACCAGACGGAGTCACTGCTCCGCCGCCAGCCACCCACCAGCATGAAGTTTCGGACAGACATGGCCTTTGTGAGGGGTTCCAGTTGTGCTTCAGACAGCCCCTCATTGCCTGACTGACCGGGTTGGGGGCTTCCTTTCATAGCTACATGATGAAAACCCTCTGCCCTGGCCTCATCTACCACTGAAGCAGAAAGGAGTCTGGGAGCAGCAGTCTTCGTGGCTGGTTCAGGGTGTTTTGTTCCGAGCCTGCCTGCCTGCCGGTTCTATACCTCAGGGGCATTTTTACAAAAAGCCCCCTCCCGTCCCCTCCCCTTGGATATTAGGGGTAACGACCGCTTGTCTTTGGTCTCTAACCCTAATCTCTGGGCTTGCCCTTTGCCTCCTGCAGAACTTTGAAAAGCTGGGTTGAGTGAGGCTATCAGCACAGCCTTCCTTGGGGACTCTGAAGGTGTCCCCACGAAGGCCAGAAAGGGGGAAAGGGACCTGGGCGAGGAGAGGATTTGTGGTGCTTGGAAGAGCCGGCCTTGGGTGGGCCCTCCACCGCCTCTACCCTCACTGGGTGGGACTGCCAGCGGAGAGTCCGCGGGAGGTGGCTTGGGTGTGCGACGTCACGGAAGAATAAAGACGTTTACTACTGGAGCTCCCTTACTTTTCTAATTCGAGTCTGAAGGTTAGAGAAATTCCGAGAGCGATTTTCCCGCAAAGACCCCACATTCGACCCACTACCCGCGAGAGAAATGCGGCTGCGCCGCCCGCCCCTCGGCGTCTAGCTTCGTCCCCGCCGTGAGGGCGGGACTTCCTCTCGTTGGCTCGCCGTTTCCGACGCTGTCCGGAAGTCGAGTTAGTCTAGTTAGTATCGGCCTGTTATCTCCTTTTGCGCGACACGGTCTCAGCTGTTCCGCCTGAGGCGAGTGACGCTGGCCGCCAACGAGGTATACGTACTGGGACCCTCGCCCTCAGTCTCGTCTCCGGCGCGGCTACCTGCCCCGTTTTCCCTGTGAGTTGACCTGCTCCGGGCCGCGGGCCGCCAATGGCAGGGGCCGCTCCGACCACGGCCTTCGGGCAGGCGGTGATCGGCCCGCCGGGCTCAGGGAAGACCACGTACTGCCTGGGCATGAGTGAGTTCCTGCGCGCGCTGGGCCGGCGCGTGGCGGTGGTGAACCTGGACCCGGCCAACGAGGGGCTGCCGTACGAGTGTGCCGTGGACGTGGGCGAGCTGGTGGGGCTGGGCGACGTGATGGACGCGCTGCGCCTGGGGCCCAACGGCGGCCTGCTCTACTGCATGGAGTACCTGGAAGCCAACCTGGACTGGCTGCGTGCCAAGCTCGACCCCCTCCGCGGCCACTACTTCCTCTTCGACTGCCCAGGCCAGGTGGAGCTCTGCACGCATCACGGCGCCTTGCGCAGCATCTTCTCCCAAATGGCGCAGTGGGACCTCAGGGTGCGTCTCAGGGCGGGGAGGCCCATTTTGCGGATGGAGTAACTGAGACAGGGAGGACAGACGCCACGCCCCCATGTCACACAGGGAGGTAGGGGCTGGGTCGCTTTGGAGTAAAACAGGCATGAGTTCAGAATCTGGCTCTGCTACTGACTGGCTGTGTGGTGTTGATAAGTCAGTTCATCACTCTGAACCTCAGTTTCCTCACGTGTAAAATGTGTTAGTAGCCAACTTGGCGATTTTGGAAGTATGGAAGGGGTTAATGTCGAAAGTGGCATGGAGATTGTTGTAAATTGGTGGGCAAAAGTAAATGAAAGAGTGGAGTCAGATGCCATGGGATTTAAACCCCTTGCCCACTGGGAGGCTCAGTGCAAGACCTCTTGTAAGAAAAAAAAAATGACTCCTATTTCCTGGGAGAAGGAAACCAGGGTGGTTATTAGAAAGAAACAGAGGCAGGAGACTAATGGGGAAAGCTTCCCCTCTGTCCTCAAGCCCTCATTCTCATGAGGGAATGCTGATCCCTGTTTCTCCAGGCCACTCTCACCCTGTCTATTCCCTCCCAGCTGACTGCCGTCCACCTCGTGGATTCTCACTACTGCACAGACCCTGCCAAGTTCATTTCAGTACTGTGTACCTCCCTGGCCACCATGCTGCACGTGGAACTGCCCCACATCAACCTCCTTTCCAAGATGGACCTCATTGAGCATTATGGGAAGCTGGGTAAGAGCTTCTGTTCCAGGCGAAGAGCAGGGCAGCAGCTGGGCTAGAATGAAGCAGACATCTCAGCTGAAGGTAGCTGCCTCTGGTGCCTTGCGTGGTCTGGTGATAGTAGCCACAGGCAGGTTCTAACTCCTGCCCATTTATTTTGTGCCACTCTGTGCTAGTTACCGTTGTAGATTTTGGAGACAAGAGAGCTACAGATGGTGTTAGGTGTTACAAAGGAATTAAAGTGATACGACAGTGAATATTTGGGAGTGAAGTGAGTGAGCTTTGGAGTAAAACAGGCATGAGTTTAAATTCTGGATCTGCCACTGAATCATCGTGTGGTCTGGGTAAGTCAGTTCATCTCTCTGGACCTCAGTTTCTCACTTCTGCTCTGAAGCAGTGGCATCTGAGCTGAGACATGAATGGTGAGAAGGAGCCAGCCAAGGGAGGACTGTTCTATGCAGAGGCACTAGTAGGAATAAAGGCCTTGTCTTAGTCAGTTTGTGCTGCCATCACAAAAATACCATAGACCAGATGGCTTAGCCAATAAATATTTATTTCTCACAGTTCTGGAGGCTGGTAAGTCCAAGATCAAGACACAAGCCGATCTGGTGTCTGGTGAGAGTCTGCTTCCTGGCTCCTAGACAGCCTCCTTCTGTCCTCACAGAAGGAGGCTATATTCTCACCTGGCACAGAGACAGAGAAGGGGTGGGAGGCCAGGGACAAAATAGGGAAGATTGAGGTAGAAGCAGGCTGGTATGAGGCAGGGGAGTTGGCTAGAGTCCCAGTGGCCAGCTTTTTTTTCTTGATAAATTAGTACTCTCGGCTGGGCGTGGTGGCTCACGCCTGTAATCCCAGCACTTTGGGAGGCCGAGGTGGGCAGATCACCTGAGGTCAGGAGTTCGAGACCAGCTTGACCAACATGGAGAAACCACATCTCTACTAAAAATACAAAAAAGTAGCCAGGCATGGTGGTGCATGCCTGTAATCCCAGCTACTCGGGAGGCTGAGGCAGGAGAATCGCTTGAACCTGGAAGGCGGAGGTTGTAGTGAGCCGAGATCTCGCCATTGCACTCCAGCCTGGGCAATAAGAGTGAAACTCCGTCTCAAAAAAAAAAAATTAGGCCAGGCGCAGTGGCTCACGCCTGTAATCCCAGCACTTTGGGAGGCCGAGGCAGGTGGATCACGAGGTCAGGAGCTTGAGAACATCCTGGCTAACACTGTGAAACTCCGTCTCTACTAAAAATACAAAAAATTAGCTGGGCATGGTGGCGGGCACCTGTAGTCCCAGCTACTCAGGAGGCTGAGGCAGGAGAATGGCGTGAACCCAGGAGAGGGAGTTTGCAGTGAGCCGAGATCATGCCAGTGCACTCCAGCCTGGGCGACAGAGCAAGACTCTGTCTCAAAAAAAAAAAAAAATTAGTACTCTCCTGAACTGGGGACATTGTTCCCTAAATAGCATCTCTAGCAACAAAGGAACCTAGAGAAGACAGATAAAATGACCAGCACATGAGCAATAGGGAGGTTGTTGGGAAAGGGAGGTGTCGGGACCTTGTCCAGGGAGGCCAGTTAGCTTCTAGTCTGGACATGGAGTGATGTAGAGTCCTCAGCTTACTTTAGGATAGAGCTGCCAGGGAGCCCAGATACTTAAGTTTTCTGGGCAGAAACAGGCCACTAGGGGGAAGTCCAACTTACTTCTTTTAGTGAGAAATGATTTATAAAACTGAATCAGGGACCTCAGCATCATCTAGTCCTTATTTTACATTAAGAAATAACTGGCTCAGAAAAGGAAAGTGATTTACCCAGGAGGCTACCCTGCTAGAATGTAGCATTTATTCAGTTTAACCATTTACAGAGTCTTTGCAGTGTATGTGCCAGGTCCTGAGGGTATGACCTGACTATGAGCTCTGTGAGGTGAGGACGACCATGCACAGTTCTTGGTACATACTTGTTATCATTATTTGCAACTTTTTTTTTTTTTTTTTTTTTTGAGACAGAGTTTCGCTCTTGTTGCCCAAGCTGGAGTGCAATGGTGTAATCTCGGCTCACTGCATCCTCCGCCTCCTGGATTCAAGCGATTCTCCTGCCTCAGCCTCCCGTGTAGCTGGGATTACAGGCATGTGCCACCACGTCCGGCTAATTTTGTATTTTTTTTTCTTTTTTTTTGAGACGGAGTCTTGCTGTGTCGCCCAGGCTGGAGTGCAGTGGCGCGATCTCGGCTCACTGCAAGCTCCCCCTCCTGGGTTCACGCCATTCTCCTGCCTCAGCCTCCTGAGTAGCTGGGACTACAGGCACCCGCCACCACGCCCAGCTAATTTTTTGTATTTTTAGTAGAAACAGGGTTTCATCGTGTTAGCCAGGATGGTCTCGATCTCCTGACCTTGTGATCCGTCCATCTCCCAAAGTGCTGGGATTACAGGCTTGAGCCACCGCACCTGGCCTAATTTTGTATTTTTAGGAGAAATGGAGTTTCACCATGTTGGCTGGTCTTGAACTCCTGACCTCAGGTAATCACCCACCTCGGCTTCCCAAAGTGCTGGGATTACAGGCATGAGCCACCGTGCCCAGCCTGTTTGCAGTTATTGATCAAGCACTTCTCTGTACCAGACACTGGGGTTTATAGCATTTAATCTTCATAACAGTCCTATGAAGTAGATACCTGCCTATATAGCTAGTAAATAGCAGAGCCAGCAGGTAAAACCAAATGCTTTTTTTCTTAGTAACTTCATTTTACTGTGTCAAGAAATATTTGAGTGCATGAGTGCACAAAGGAAAAAAGGAAAAAGGAACCTCGTCCTCAGGTCTTTAGCCTGATACTGGTTGCTCCTGAACACTGGTTTCTCTCTTTAGCCTTCAACCTGGACTACTACACAGAGGTTCTGGACCTCTCCTACCTGCTTGACCACCTGGCTTCTGACCCTTTCTTCCGCCACTACCGCCAGCTCAATGAGAAGCTAGTGCAGCTCATCGAAGACTATAGCCTTGTCTCCTTTATCCCTCTCAACATCCAGGTACTAGGGGCTAAGACGGGACTCTTGACAGTGCATGGGATTCACCAAGCCAAAAGCACAGGAAGCTTTGAGGGCTTAAAGAATGGTCTTTGCCGGCTGGGCGCGGTTGCTCAAGCCTCTAATCCTAGCACTTTGGGAGGCCGAGGTGGGCAGATCATGAGGTCAGGAGATCGAGACCATCCTGGCTAACCCAGTGAAACCCCGTCTCTACTAAAAATACAAAAAATTAGCTGGGCGTGGTAGCAGGTGCCTGTAGTCCCAGCTACTCAGGAGGCTGAGGCAGGAGAATGGCGTGAACCCGTGAGGCAGAGCTTGCAGTGAGCCGAGACCACGCCATTGCTCTCCAGCCTGGGCGACAGAGTGAGACTCCATCTCAAAAAAAAAAAAAAAAAAAGAGTGGTCTTTGCCCTGGGTTGAGTATCACTGAGAGTAACCTTAGTTTCAGGACCAGGGGCTGCTGTAGGGGCAGAATTCCAGTAAAGAGAGTGGACCAAACTTTTGCCCTGTCTATTTTGTGTTGCTGGATCCTCTCTTCACATGTTCTGTCCTCTGTGAAAATGGGTGAGTTCAGAAAGTCATCAGCAAGAAAGTTCACCAGGACCAGGGACAAGTCTCTTAAGCCCTTTCAACTGGGCAACTGTCTGTTGACTTTGCAAAGTGGTACCCAACCCCTGTGCCTCTCACCTTTACCCTGCAGAGATAACCTGGGAGACGCAGGTGCATGTTAGATTCCTTTCTGCAGTGGGTGGACTTGAGCTAACTTGTCTCCTCCCTTCTAATGCCACACTCTTCTGATATGAGGAGATGAACTCTATAATATCAATCACAACAATTACCTCTTATTTATGGCTTTCTGTGCTGGGCACTGTGCTAAGGACTACACATACATAATTTTGCTTTGTCCTTCCCACCATGTGATATATGGACTGTTCTTATCACTGTATGTGGATGAGGAAACAGTTATAGTTTTTTTTTGTTTTGTTTTGTTTTTTGTGACGGAGTCTCACTCTGTCACCCAGGCTGGAGTGCAGTGCGTTATCTTGGCTCACTGCAACCTCTGCCTCCTGGGTTCAACCGATTCTCCTGCCTCAGCTTCCCAAGTAACTGGGATTACAGGCATCCATCACCATGCCCAACTAATTTTTGTATTTTCAGTAGAGACAGGGTTTCACCATGTTGGCCAGGCTGCTCTTGAACTCCTGACCTTAAGTGATCTACCTGCCTTGGCCTCCCAAAGTGCTGGGCTTTACAGGTGTGAACCACCGTGCCTGGCCCAGTTATAGATTTAAAACATGCATATTCATTGGATGTCTACTTAAGAGAAGTACTGTGCCAGGCACTGGGAATACTGCGACAGATGACCTGGCCCTAAGGGGTGTTTAGTTGAGTAGGGGAGGCAGGTGAGTTAATAGGCGTTTATTACATGGCAGGGATACCATGTACAATAGGTGTAAACCCAGGGGACTGTGGATATGCATAGGGGAGCTTATCTGTTCTAATCTGAGTGAGTTGGTGGTCAGGAAACATGAGATTTATCCAGCCTTTGGGGACATGTAGAACTACTCCAGGCCAAGAAAGCTACAGGTACAGAGGCAAGATGGAGGAAGGTGTATTTAGAGATTGCAAGCAGTTTTACATACTTCTGTTTCACTCACAGAACTGTTTCTCTCCTCCCTGCTCAGGACAAGGAGAGCATCCAGCGAGTCCTGCAGGCTGTGGATAAAGCCAATGGATACTGTTTCAGAGCCCAAGAGCAGCGAAGCTTGGAAGCCATGATGTCTGCCGCAATGGGAGCCGACTTCCATTTCTCTTCGTATCCTTGCCAGCTTCCTGGCCATAGCAGAGAGGGTGAGACATGGGACTCAAGAATGGCCACAGGAGGTGCAGTCATCAACCTTGTGGATGACCAATTTCTTTTTTTTTTTTTTTTTTTGAGATGGAGTCTTGCTCTGTCGCCCAGGCTGGAGTGCAGTGGCACGATCTCAGCTCACTGCAAGCTCTGCCTCCCGGGTTCACGCCACTCTCCTGCCCCAGCCTCCTGAGTAGCTGGGACTACAGCCACCCACCACCACGCCCAGCTAATTTTTTGTATTTTTAGTAGAGACGGGGTTTCACTGTGTTGGCCAGGATGGTCTTGATCTCCTGACCTTGTGATCCACCCAATTTCTTTTTTCTTTTTTTTTTTTGAAAGGGAGTTTCGCTCTTGTTGCCCAGGCTGGATCGCACAATGGCGCAATCTTGGCTCTGTGTAACCTCTGCCTCCCATATTCAAGCAATTCTCCTGCCTCAGCCTCCCAAGTAGCTGGTATTAGTGTGCGCCACTGTGCCCAGTTAGTTTTTATATTTTTAGTAGAGACGGGGTTTCACCATGTTGGCCAGGCTGGTCTGGAACTCTTGACCTCAGGTGATCCACCTGCCTCAGCCTCCCAAAGTGCTGGGATTACAGGCATGAGCCACTGCGCCCGGCCGTGGATGACTGATTTCATATTGATCAGTTGGGCTTCCTGATGACTGTCTCTCATGTGCAAAGGTGGTCCCTTGGCTTCAGAGTTGGTTGTACTGAGGACAAGAGAGGATATTGATCAATAGGAGTAACAAATACAGAGGCCCAGAAATGAGAGGGCATTAGTCATTCGGGAGAGATGCAGGAGTCCAGTTCCTGGTGTGTTGCATGTGAAGAGGAAAGGGCGTTGCAGGGGTACAGGCAGGGCTGCCGAGGGAGGGGCCTGAGTGCCCTACTAAGGAATGTGGACTTCAGTTCATGGGTGGGCAGTGGGAGCAAGTATTCAAGCAGTACTGTTGAACAGGGTGTGACACAATCAGATGTACATTTTAGAAAAGCCCCTGCAATTGTGGAAAATGCATTTAAGGGACGTGATTGGGGGCAAAAGAGTTTTACAGTCTTGCTAGGTGAGAAGGGTTGAAAGATTTGTAGTGAGAATAGAAAGAAAGGTGTAGAATGGAAAAATACTAAGGAGATAGACTGTAAGAGTCAGTGACTGAATGGGATAGATGGAGCTGGAGTAGAACTTAGCTTCCCAGATCTCTGGCTTAGACGGTGGGTGGTTGTACTAATCACTGAGGCAGGAAAAGGAGGAGGGAGCAGGTTTGTCACATGGATGAAAGGGACAAGAGCTGGCAGATGTGCTGTGTTCAGGGGTCCATGGGACATCCAGAGCTGTCCAAGAGGCAGCCAGACTTTTGGAGCTTGGTTAGTGACTAATGAGGCTGGAGCCAAGGTCATGGGTAGGTGTCCATCAGGTCACAGAGGCCATGCGTGAAGCAGGACAGAAAAGTCCAGGCCCTCTAGGCTGATGCTCTCACAGATTCAGCATCTATGCAGCATGCTGGAGACAAGGGGGACTCAGGAGTCTTAGGGTATAGAGGAAAATAATTCCAGCCAACACTTACTGATGTTTCTCGAGCCATATGTGGGAAACAAAGCTCATGGGGTCGGGGTTGGAGGAATGACTTATAAATGATGGCAGTAGAGTGTGCAGTCCCTGATGAAGGTACTAAGGAGCTGCGTCACACCTGCAGTTAATGTAGGCCAATTGGACTGCATGTGCTCAGCAAAAGAGGGGAGGAGCAATTTTTTTTTTAAATTTAAGATGGACTTTCTTTTGCTGTTGTTGCCCAGGCTGGAATGCAATCTCCAACTCCAGGGTTCAAGTGATTCTCCTCCCTCAGCCTCCTAAGTAGCTGGGATTACAGGCATGCTCCACCACACCTGGCCCTTTTTTTTTTTTTTTTTTGAGACGGACCGTCAATCTTGTTGCCCCAGTTGGAGTGCAATGGTGCAATCTCAGCTCACTGCAACCTCCATCTCCCACGTTCAAGCAATTCTCCTGCCTCAGCCTCCCGAGTAAGTGGGATAATAGGCGCCCGCCACCACGCTCAGCTAATTTTTTGTATTTTTAGTAGAGACAGCGTTTTACCATGTTGGCCAGGCTGGTTTCGAACTCCTGAACTCAGGTGATCCACCTGCCTTGGCCTCCCAAAGTGCTGGGATTATAGGCGTGAGCCACCATGCCCGGCCTGCAACTTTTATATTTATTTCTTAGAGGCAGGGTCTTGCTCCTTTGCCCAGGCTGGAGTGCAGTGATGCAATCATAGCTCACTGCGACCTTGAACTCCTGGGCTCGTTACCCTCCCACCTCAGCCTCCCAAAGTGCTGGGATCACAGGCATGAGCCATCGTCCCCAGCTGGGAAGGGCAGTTTATGTTTGTTTATTTTGTGAGGCAGAGTCTCACTCTGTTGCCCAGGCTGGAGTGCAGTGGCGTGATCTCAGCTCACTGCAGCCTTGACCTCCCTGGGCTCAAGTGATCCTCCCACTTCAGCCTCCTGAATAGCTAGGACTATGGGCGTGTGCCACTGTGGCCAGCTAATTTTTGTAGAGATGGGGTTTCACCATACAGCCTAGGCTGGGAGAAGCAATTTAAATAATGTAGTATTTTGTACACCGTACAGATGGTTCCCAACTTATGATGGCTCAACTTTATGATGGTGTGAAAGCTATATGCATTCAGTAGAAATCATACTTTGGGTACCTATCAATCATTCTTTCACTTTCAGTACAGTATTCAATAAATTACATGAGATATTCAATACTTTATTGTAAAATAGGCTTTGTGTTAGATAATTTTGCCCAAATGCAGCTAACGTAAGTGTTCTAAGAATATTTAAGGTAGGCGAAACTAAGCTATGATGTGTGGTAGGTTATGTGTATTAAATGCATTTTCGACTTAAGATATTTTTGATTTAGGATGGGTTTATCAGGATGTAACCCCATCATAAGTCAAGGAGCATCTGTACGTTACTTTATGTATTCGTATATATAAAGGATTCTATTCACAAAACCATGTATGCTGCATTTAACAAATAATTTGAGGAATTTTAAAGAGTATTTTTAACCATATACATTTGTGCTGATTTTAGATTCTGCCCTGACCCTAACCCCCTTAAGATTCAGCAGCTCTCTGTAAGAGAGTAGGGACTGATACAAATAAGGGAGTGGTCAGCTTTGCTGAAGGGTAGGTGGGTAAGGAAAGCTTTATGGAGGCATGACACGTGAGTTGTGTCATTTCAAGGTGAGGGTTAGCCAGTCTAATGAAGAAGAAAAGGGAATTCAAGTTAAGAGAACATGCAAAGGCATAGGGGTTCAAAGTTGAGACAGGTTTCAAGGGTTGCAAATAAGATGGCATGGGCCAAGTGTAATGGCTTCATGCCTGTAATTCCAACACTTTGGGAGTTAAAGGTGGGAGGATTGCTCAAGGCCAGGAGTTTGAGACCAGACTGGGTAACATAGTGAGACCCCATCTCTCTCTCTTTTTTTTTTTTAAAGTATAAAAATTTATTTTTGGCCAGGCGTGGTGGCTTACGCCTGTAATCCCAGCACTTTGGGAGGCCAAGGCGGGCGGATCACGAGGTCAGGAGATCGAGACCATTTCTGTCAACATGGTGAAACCCTGTCTCTACTAAAAATAGAAAAATTAGCTGGGTGTGCTGGCATGTACCTGTAGTCCCAGCTACTCTGGAGGCTGAGGCAGGAGAATTGCTTGAACCAGGGAGTTGGAGGTTGCGGTGAGCCGAGATCGCGCCACTGCACTCCAGCTTGGTGACAGAGTGAGACTCTGTCTCAAAAAAAAGAAAAAGAAAGGTCTGTAACTCGAACATCATTTGGTGGGCTAAGTGCTTTACTTGCAGGGTCATTTAATCCTCATTTCAACCCCTTTTATAATTGAGGCGACAGGCCCAAGGTCCCTCTCCCGGGATGTTTTGGAAGAACAGTTCAAACCTTGGTTTTGGTGGGTGTAGAATCTGTTTCTTACTTTGGAGCCATCTGGTAGTACAACAGCCATGGTGTCCTAACATAGCCAACCTAGCCATGGCTAACCTCCATGTCCTCGTCAGACCCCAGACCCAGACATCATCAGGTTTTGAACTCCCTTAGTCTGGCTCCAGAGCATGTGCCATAACGCAAAATTGCAAGGTTAGTACTGTCCAGTCCTTTGATCCGCAGCAGTGTGTGGAAGAGGCAGATAGAGGAGCATTTGAGTCTGGGTGTTTTTGGAGGCTTCTCATACCTGATTGGTCCCTATAATTATGAGGAAGAGAGGGATGGACATGGTTGGAGTGTAGGCATCAGCGGAAGTCAGATCCTGCCCAGACCAGCTCCCCATCCTCTGCCTATGCTATCAGCCTTGACGCACCCTTCCTCAGCACACTGGGCATCCAGGAGAAGTACCTGGCACCCTCGAACCAGTCAGTGGAGCAGGAAGCCATGCAGCTGTAGCAACAAGGTGGACCCTGGAGAGCAGGATGCATAATCCAGCACTGGGGAAAGTGGAGGCTCCTGATGCAGGCTGCAGACCCAAGAGCAAGTCCTCCCAGCCAGAGCTGGCGGGCTGGCAAGGGGATATTCAGCTCTGCAAAGGACTTCTGGCCAAAAAGCCAGACATGGTGCCAAGCAGAACACCCCCCATACTGTCAGTGGTGTCCGTGAGCTCTGGGCCCTGCCACCAGAAAGTCGAGCACTGGTCCTAGTCAGGCTGTGATGAAATGTGCTACAATACAAGAGTTTATTTTCTACTTTTTGTGACTTCCAAACTTTTCTTCAGTCTTCCGGGCCCAGGGGTTTGGGGAAGAATGAGGGAGTGTCACCTAGCCTTGGAATAATCAGTATTTCCCCAAAGCATATAATTCACATTCAGTCACATAGGATTTACATTCAGTCTCCAGTCATGTGTTTTTATTAATCTTCAGTTTTTGGTTCTGAGGTTTGTTTTTTAAAAGATGGGGTCTTGCTATATGGCCCAGGCTGGACTCAAACTCCTGGGCTCATGTGATCTTCCCGCCTCAGACGCCTGAGTAACTGGGACTACAGGTGTGAGCCACCATGTCCCACAATTTTCAGTTTTAACAGAGCCTCAAGCTTCAGCTTTCACAGGCAACACTTCCTAACTAGAACTTTGTTAATGTTTTATATTCACTGTATTTGTTTTATGGTTTTATTCTATTGTTGACAAGTGTTAACTAGTTTTCCATTTACAGTAGTGGTTAAAAGTTTACTTCAAGGCTGGGTGCGGTGGCTCACGCCTGTAATCCCAGCACTTTGGGAGGCCGAGGCAGGCGGATCCCAAGGTCAAGAGATCGAGACCATCCTGGCCAACATGGTGAAACCCCATCTCTACCAAAAAATTTTTTTAATTAGCTGGGCATAGGTGGCGCGTACCTGTAGTTCCAGCTACTTGGGAGGCTGAGGCAGGAGAATCATTTGAACCCAGGAGTCAGAGGTTACAGTGAGCTGAGATTGCACCACTGCACTCCAGCCTGGTGACAGAGCGAGACTTTGTCTCAAAAAAAAGGTGTACTTCAAAAATGAAATACAAGGCTGGGCGTGTTCACTCATGCCTGTAAGCCCAGCACTTTGGGAGGCTGAGGCGGGCGGATCACCTGAGGTCAGGAGTTCGAGACCAGCCTGGCCAACATGGTGAAACCCCTCTCTACTAAAAACATAAAAATTAGCTGGGCATGGTGTTGCACGCCTATAATCCCAGCTATTGGGGAGGCTGAGGCAGAAGAATTGCTTGAACCCAGGAGGCGGAGGTTGCAGTGAGCCAAGATTGTGCCTACATTCCAACCTGGGCGACAGAGCAAGACTCTGTCTCAAAAAAAAATAGTAAGTTGTGTAAAGAAAAATATTAATTATATAATATGGCAGTTCCTATGAGAGTGTGGCAAAAATCAAGAGGGCTTGGAAGTTTTTTCTTTGCTCTTGCAACTGGCTGGATGCAGTTCATATATTTTTCAACCAGTAGGTGGCACCCCAACCTAATTTTTTGCAGTTGTAACCTGGTGGCAGAAGGGGCAGGACTGATGGCTTGGGCAAGACTGTTATGCCAAGTTTTATTTGCATGTATTTGGACTTTCTTTTTTTGGAGACAAAGTCTCTCTCTGTCGCCCAGGCTGGAGTCCAGTGGCACAATCTCGGCTCACTGCAACCTCCGCCTCCCAGGTTCAAGCAATTCTCTGCCTCAGCCTCCCGAGTAGCTGGGATTACAGGCGCCTACCACATGCCCGGCTAATTTTTGTATTTTTAGTAAAGACGGGGTTTCACCATGTTGTTCAGGCTGGTCTTGAACTACTGACCTCATGATTTACCCGCCTTGGCCTCCCAAAGTGCTGGGATTACAGGCGTGAGCCACTGCACCCGGCCACATTTGGACTTATTAACACATATGAAGTGCTTGGTATTTTAGAGTGCTTCCACACACACAATCCTCATTAGAGATAGACAGGATGGGGAGAATTAATAAGCCATTGCCCGTGTTACAGTGAGGAAGCAGAAAGATGAGAAGTTTGAACTTTGGTCAGCCTGGCTTTCTCATAACCCATTTTGCTGACTAAATTGCGAGTATCCCTCCTTTGGTATATTTATTGGTGAGAAGTCACAGCCCTTGTCCCACAGGTTTTGCAGCCAATCAGGAGAAAGAAATTAGGCACCTGTAAAGTATTACTGAATCATAGATAGTTCACCAGTGGTTTGGGCAGTTGGCAAATTAATTTAGGGACATCTGTTCTGAAACAGCATTGAAATAGGACTGACTGCTTTGCTTTCTGGTTGTGGCAGCCAGAGCCAAAGGCAGATGAATGAGGGGCTATGAGGAGGCTACTGTGGCTGGAACAGTATGAAAGCAACCTCAGCTCCCACGCCTGGCTGTAAAGGGGATAATAACTGGGTGCTGCTTCCCAGCCTCTTTCATCTGAGAAGTTCAAAGCACCTCACCCCTATTAACACCCCACAGAGTAGGTAGGAAGTACCAATAGAGCAAGCCAGGAAAACTGAGGCCAGGAGGCACAGCCTGGGGCTAGCTGTGAATCACCTGTGGGGCCTAGAGCCCAGGAATCCTGACGCCCAGGCTACTGGACAAATCCTTTATCAGGGCATTAGGGTGGGTGCTATGCTTTTGAAAGCAGTACCAACGGCTGTGGTCGTGGGTTTTGATGCTTGCCACTCACAGAGGCCCCAGCTCTCACCATAACAAACCAAATGGGGGCTGGAAGGCATCCTTTACAACTTTATGGTCTCGTATGCAAGCACCCTCAGCATTCTCTGCACCCATGGAGTGGAGATGGGTGGGAGTAATCCAAGGCCTTTATTTTCAGGCCATGGTTTGACAGCAAGGGTATTTTCTTCCCCAATAAACGTAGCTTCTGTCTACCTTCCACTGGCAGCAAAATGATTTTCTGTTCTCTGCATATACTGAGGGGATCTGCACAGTGCAGAAAGGAAGATGTCCGAGATCCAAGTGAGGCCTGTTCAGTGTGAAATGTCTAGGGTAGAAGAAAGACCATCCTCCATTATGGCTGGCATGTGGCAGTCATCCTTAAGATTATTTTTAAATTTCCTAATAAATATAGGAAAGTAAAAAACTTAGAAAATGAAAGAGAAGGCCGAGCACGGTGGCTCACGCCTGTAATCCCAGCACTTTGGGAGGCCAAGGCGGGCTGATCACCTGAGGTCAGGAGTGTAAGACAAGCCTGACCAACATGGTGAAAACCTGTCTCTGCTAAAAATACAAAAAAATGAGCAGGGCATGGTGGCATGCGCCTGTAATTCCAGCTACTTAGGAGACTGAGGCAGGAGAATCGCTTGAACCTGGGAGGCGGAAGTTTCAGTGAGCGGAGATCGCGCCATTGCACTCCAGCCTGGGTAACAAGATGGAAAGTACATCTCAAAAAAAAAAAAAACGAAAATGAGTCACCCAGAATCCCATAACGGAAACTTTCTATGGGGTCATCTGTTTAAGAGAAAAATAAATTCTATATTCAAATGTATATTTTGTGTATTCTCTTTTTTTCTCATCTCTGTAAATACCTGGAGATATTTTATGTATTCTTTCAGCCTTATTTTTATACCTGGGGTGGATATTGCATTTATATAAGTGGGATATTTTATAATTGTGTTGTATCCTGCCTTTTTCAGTTAACACCATTCCATGTAATAAAAAATAGATACAATTCCTGTAATTCTAGGACTCTGGGAGGCTGAAGTGGGAGGATCACTTGAGCCAGGAGGTGGAGGCTGCAGTGAACTATGATTGTGTCACTGCACTCTAGCTTGGGCAACAGAGTGAGACCCTGTCTCAAACAATCAAGTAAATAACCTTTTTAATGTCACTTTGGTAATAGTCCATGGTTTGGCTATAACATTGTTTACCTATCCATACTCCCGTGGTTAGCCTACTACTAGCCTACAAGTCATCACCAACTTTTACTTTTGTAAATAGTGTGATTAATATCCTCGTACCCAAATCATTGTCTGAGTCTCTGATTTTTAACTTGGGAGGTAGTCCTGGAAATGAAATAACTGACATATTCCAGGTTCTGGATTCATGTTGCCAAAATGCTTTCCAAAAAATGTGCCACTTTACATCTCACTGATAGTGTCTGAAATTGCTCTTCTCATCTCCAGACCTCCCTTGACAATTCTCTACAACTTCGGGAGGGAGGAAGCCCTCTCTGAGTGTCTTAGAAGGGACCTTCCTGGTCATCCCTACTAACCACTGACATTAGGTTATATGCATTTCTTGGCTCTGAACTGGGAACCTCAACAATTAGAAGACAGTGTAGAATTGGAAGAACTTAGCAGGGACCACAGGTAATTGGAAAGGTTTCCAGCCTGACAAAGAGGCTTAGGCATGAGGGTGAGGCCCTAAAGCCCACAGAGCTGAAGCACATCCAGTCTGCCTGGATTAGCAAAATGCTCACCCGCTGGTGGCTGAGAATATAGGAAGTATGGTCCCATTAGGATCTGTGGGAAAGAGAAAGGGAAGGCCGATTTGAGGAATTCTCTGTCCCTTTCTCAAGAATCCTGAGGGGGGAGGGGAGTGGCTTCAGACCCACCCAAGCACTATTAAGGCCCTCGCCAATTTTGAAAGCAGTGAAGAGGCCCAATTATCCCGGAATCCTGGAGGGAAATTCTCTAGCAAAACACTAGTCCCCTCCTCTCTCTCTTCTCTTGTCTCTGGCTTTTGAGTCTTTACTTACCCAGCCTGATCTGGGCCATTCACTCTCTTTTCTTGTCCCGTTTAGAAGGAGTTGCAGCACATACCTCCATGGCATCAGGCCTGCTAAAGATGTGGAAACCTGTGTCCCTCATTTCAAGCCCAGTGTGACCTTTTCCAGCCAGGGAGCTAACTCCAGGCAGCCCCAGAAGCCCAGGTGTCTAGATGGGCCAAGACAGGGGCTGTGACAAGATGGGGTGGGGATTTAGGGGCCAATTGAGGTGGAAAAAAGACAGTGAAAACAAGTAAAAAATGACAGTATTGGTAAATTGCTCTGGATGAGAATGCACAGCGAAGGTTGTTTTTTTCTCCTCATTCTAAAACTCTGAAGCAGTTGTGGAGGAGGGACATGAGAGGCCCATTCACAGCCATGCCAAATAAACGTGAATTTTTTTTTTGAGACAGAATCTTGCACTGTTGCCCAAGCTCACTGCAACCTCCACCTTCCAGGCTCAAGCCATCTCCCACCTCAGCCTACTGTGTAGCTGGGACTGTAGGCCCATGCCACCATGCCTGACTAATTTTTGTATTTTTTGTAGAGATGGGGTTTCGTCATCTTGCCCAGGCTGGTCTCGAACTCCTGAGCTCAAGCTATCCTCCTGCCTCAGCCTCCTAGAGTGCTGGGATTACAGGCATGAGCACCCGGCCAAATGTGAAGTCTAATGCAGTGTGCTTGCCATGTCAATGTAGCTTCCAGGAATGTCCCCTAGTGCCTCCCTTTGCACTGAATTGTCACCTCCAAGTTCTTCCTATATTTAATCCTGGAGCCTCCACATTGTGGAGTCACAGAAACAGCAAAGAACGGAGACTGGGACATGGGTTAAGATTTCCCTTGGCCGGGCGCGGTGGCTCACGCCTGTAATCCCAGCACTTTGGGAGGCCGAGGCGGGTGGATCATGAGGTCAGGAGATCGAGACCATCCTGGCTAACAAGGTGAAACCCCGTCTCTACTAAAAAATACAAAAAATTAGCCGGGCGCGGTGGCGGGCGCCTGTAGTCCCAGCTACTCGGGAGGCTGAGGCAGGAGAATGGCGTGAACCCGGGAAGCGGAGCTTGCAGTGAGCCGAGATTGCGCCACTGCAGTCCACAGTCCGGCCTGGGTGACAGAGTGAGACTCCGTCTCAAAAAAAAAAAAAAAAAAAAAAAAAAAAAAAAAAGATTTCCCTCAACTCATAAATCATATAATCTCAGTAATCTCAGAGGTCACATAATTTCTTTTTAGTAGAGACGGGGTCTCACTATGTTGCCCAGGCTAGTCTCCAATTCCTGGGCTCCAGCAATCTGCCTGCCTTGGCCTCCCAAAGTGCTGGGATTACAGGCATGAGCCACCTCACCTGGTCACATAATCTTTTTTGAGATGAAAGTTTCACATAATTTTTTTTGAGCTAAAAGTCATTCCTCTCTACAGTCAGACAAGGAAATCTCAGATTAGCTTTACTCTAGAGGAGAAAAGGGAGAGAATGTCTCCCTGCCTTCCTTCTTTCAACAAATATTTCTTTAATACCATAATATGTATTCAATGCTGTATCTAGCCCCACCGATTTGAAGACATGATGCTTTTCGAGTCCTGGATTTTTTTTTTTTTTTTTTAGGCCAAGTTGTGCTGTGTCACCCAGGCTGGAGTGCTGTGATGCTATCTATCTCAGCTCACTGCAACCTCTGCCTCCCAGATTCAAGCAATTCTCCTGCCTCAGCCTCCCTAGTAGCTGGGATTACAGGCACCTGCCACCACACCTGGCAAATTTTTGTATTTTTAGTAGAGACCAGGTTTCACCATCTTGGCCAGGTTGTTCTTGAACTCCTGACCTCATGATCCACCTGCCTCGGCCTCCCAAAGTGCTGGGATTACAGGCGTGAGCCACTGTGCCCAGCCCAGAGTCCTGGATTTTACTCTTTTATTTCTTTTTTTTTTTCCAAGACAGAGTCTTGCTCTGTCGCCCAGGCTGGAGTAGTGCAGTGGCGAGATCTCGGCTCACTGCAAGCTCCGTCTCCCAGGTTCATGCCGTTCTCCTGCCTCAGCCTCCCGAGTAGCTGAGACTACAGGCGCCCGCCACCACACCCAGCTAATTTTTTTTTGTATTTTTAGTAGAGACAGGGTTTCACCATGTTGACCAGGATGGTCTCGATCTCCTGACCTCGTGATCTGCCCACCTCGGCCTCCCAAAGTGCTGGGATTACAGGCGTGAGCCACCACGCCGGGCCCTTACTCTTTTATTTCTAGACAAAGGGTTAAATTTCCCAGAGAGCTGTAAGGAGAAGATTGGGTGGAGATGAGAGATGAATCAGCCTCTGACACCCCCAGGGTGACATACCTGTCTGCTGCCCCCACAGACATTCCTGGCTCCTGACTCAGTGGGTAGGTGGGACTAGGGGGATTCTGAGAGGAGGGGGACCTTCCTTGTAGAAACCTGCCTTTTCCACTCCCCACACAGCAGGGATGAGGTGGACCCTGTGAAGAGGGTGAAGAATTTAAAGGAACTAAGAGTGGAATCAGGTTAAGAGAACCTAAACTTGGTGAATGAGCCTGGAAATTGGTCCAGTTCACAGTCTTCTCATTTAAGACAATTATTTTCTGCCAGAGACTAGGGTGGAATTAGATTGACAGGAGAGCAAGGCGGCTTTCTTTTAATTTTATTTATTTTTTGGAGACAAGAGTCTTGCTCTGTTGCCCAGGCTGGAGTACAGTGGTGCAATCTCAGCTCACTGCAACCTCTGCCTTCTGGTTCAAGAGATTCTCCTGCCTCAGCTTCCCAAGTAGCTGGCACTACAGGTGCATGCCACCATGCCTAGCTAATTTTTGTATTTTTAGTAGAGATGGGATTTCACCATGTTGGCCATGCTAGTCTCGAACTCCTAACCTTAAGTGATCTGCCCGCCTCAGCCTCCCAAAGTGCTGGGATTACAGGCGTGAGCCACCACACCCAGCCAGAAGAAGGCTTTCTTGATTCTTAGAAAGTCTAAGATAGGAGCAGGGCACCATAACATAATGTAGTTAGTTTGGGCTTTTTTGTTTGTTTTGTTTTGTTTTGAGACAGAGTCTTGCTCTTGTTGCCCAGGCTGGAGTGCAATGGTGCAATCTCGGCTCACTGCAACCTCTGCCTCTCGGGTTCAAGCGACTCTCCTGCCTCAGCCTCCCGAGTAGCTGGGATTACAGGTGCCCACCATCACACTCAGCTAATTTTTTGTATTATTATTTTTTTTTTACACGGAGTTTTGCTCTCGTTGCTCAGACTGGAGTGCAATGGCACAATCTCGGCTCACTACAACCTCCGCCTCCTGGGTTCAGGTGATTCTCCTGCCTCAGCCTCCCAAGTAGCTGGGATTGCAGGTGTGAGCCACTGCGCCCGGCCGCCATTTTTTGAATTTTTTAGTAAAGATGGAGTTTCACCATGTTGGCCAGGCTGGTCTCGAACTCCTGACTTCAGGTGATCCACATACCTCGGCCCCCAAAGTGTTGGGATTACAGGTGTGAGCCACAGCACCTGGCCAAATGTAGATACTTTTTAACTGGTGAAACTCTAATATACGAAACTGACATATGTGTGGCTGTTTTGGCCAAAGTATACAGAAACGGGAAACTGACCACTCGGCTCCTGCCCCATGGCAGCTTCTGGGAAACCACCTGAACACAGTTTGAAAACAGCTATTGTAGTTTAAAAAACATGGGAATGGCTGGGCGCGGTCTCATGCCTGTAATCGCAGCACTTTGGGAGGCTGAGGCAGGCGGATCACCTGACGTCAGTAGGTTGAGACCAGCCTGATCAATATGGTGAAACCCTGTCTCTAAAAAAAAAAAATTAGCTGGGTGTGGTGTCACGCACCTGTAATCCCAGCTACTTGGGAGGCTGAGACAGGAGAATCACTTAAACCCAGGAGGCAGAGGTTGCAGTGAGCCGAGATGGCGCCACTGAACTCCAGCCTGGGCAACAGAGCGAGACTCCGTCTGAAAAAAAAAAAAAAATCATGGGACTTGGGCCAGGCATGGTGGCTCACGCCTGTAATCCTAGCACTTTGGGAGTCCGAGGTAGGCGAGTTGCCTGAGCTCAGGAGTTTGAGACCAGCCTGGGCAACACGGTGAAACCCCATCTCTACTAAAATACAAAAAATTAGCCGGGCGTGATGGCATGTGCCTGTAGTCCCAGCTACTCGGGAGGCTGAGGCAGGAGAATTGCTTGAACCCAGGAGGCAGAGGTTGCAGTGAGCCAAGATTGTCTCACTGCACTTCAGCTTGGGTGACAGAGCAAGACTCCGTCTCCAAAAAAAAGAAAATCATGGGGCTTGGAGTCAGACCCTGTTCCACTCCCCAGCACCAGCACATGAGTAGTTGTATAACCTTGGTTATTAGGTTATTTAGCTGCTCTGAGCTTCAGTCTTTTTATTTGCAAAACAAAGGTAATAACATGTATTACTGTGAGGATTAAGGTATGAAACTGCCTGACACACACTTATCATGCCTGCTGCTGCTGCTACCATACTCTGTTCTCTAGCAAGAAGCAGAAATGGGACACTGTCGGTCAGAAGAGCAAGCCTTGATGCAAGCCTCTGGACATCTGGACGTGTGTGTGTGTGACAGAGAGAGAGAGAGAGAGAGAGAGATGGAGGCAGGGAAGAGTACCTTGCTTTTTCTGGAAGGAGCCACAGTGGCCTTGGCCTTGCTAGGGTGCCTGGCTGGTTGTGAGAAGGCAATCTTGGCCTCCATCACCTACTCCTGTGGATTCTAAGAGCCATTTGGAAGTAACTATGCATAACAGAGGTAAGAGTAGATATCTTCACTCGGTAATTTTAGGTTGCAGATTTTCTCCATACCATTCAAATTCTTGGGAGGAGAAGATATTTGCAAGAGCTGGGCCTCCATTTTCTGGGGGATAATCTGGCAATATAGAAAAGATAAGGCTGAGGTCCCTTGAATCTGTGTGAGCCCAATCTCTGGACAGCCCTTCCTCATCCCAGGACCGGCTGTATTTCCATTTCCATCATGATTTGGAACTAATCCTGGTTACCAGGCATTTGGAAGGGTAGTTTTAAATCAAGTTCTGGCCAGGTGCAGTAGCTCACACCTGTAATCCCAACACTTTAGGAGGCTGAGGCTGGAGAATCACCTGAGGCCAGGAGTTCAAGACCAACCTGGACAACATAGCGAGAACCTGTCTCTACAGTAATTTTTTTTTTTTTAGACAGAGTCTCGCTCTGTCACCAAGGCTGGAGTGCAGTGGCCGCACTCATGGCTCACTGCAAGCTCCGCCTCCTGGGTTCACGCCATTCTCCTGCCTCAGCCTCACGAGTAGCTGGGACTATAGGCTCCCGCCACCACGCCCGGCTAATTTTTTGTATTTTTAGTAGAGATGAGGTTTCACCACGTTGGTCAGGCTGGTCTCGAACTCCTGACCTCAGGTGATCCACCCGCCTCGGCTTCCCAAAGTGCTGGAGTTACAGCTGTGAGCCACCGCACCCACCGTTTTTTTGTTTGTTTGTTTGTTTGTTTGTTTGTTTTTTTTGAGATGGAGTCTCGCTCTGTCGCCCAGGCTGGAGTGCAGTGGTGGGATCTCCACTCACTGCAAGCTCCGCACCCCCAGGGTTCATGCCATTCTCCTGCCTCAGCCTCCCGAGTAGCTGGGACTACAGGTGCCCACCACCACGCCTGGCTAATTTTTTTGTATTTTTAGTAGAGACGGGGTTTCACAGTGTTCGCCAGGATGGTCTCGATCTCCTGACCTCGTGATCCGCCCGCCTTGGCCTCCCAAAGTGCTGGGATTACAGGCGTGAGCCACTGCCCCCGGCCTTTTTTTTTTTTTTTTTTTTTTTTGAGAGAGAGTCTCGCTCTGTCACCCAGGCTGCAGTGGCAGTGGCGCAATCTTGGCTCACTGCAACCTCTGCCTCCCACTTTCAAACGATTCTCCCGCCTCAGCCTCCTGAGTAGCTGGGACTACAGGCGCATGCCGCCACACCTGGCTAATTTTTGTATTTTTAGTAGAGACGGGGTTTTGCCATATTTGCCAGGATGGCCTTGAACTTCAGGCCTCAAGGGATCTGCCTGCCTCGCCCTCCAAAGTGCTGAGATTACAGGCATGAGCCACTGTGCCTGGCCTTGAAATTGTTCAAATATCAATTCTAGGCCAGGAAAAGCTGGCAAGAAGTGTTCACCAAGAGATTAAAAAAAAAGTCATGGACAAAAAGGTTTGGGATCCTTGTGGTCAGAACCTGGTGCCTAATATGTACAACTATTATGTACCCATAAAAACTAAACATTAAAAAATGAAAAGAGCCTGGACGCGGTGGCTCACGCCTGTAATCCCAGCAGTTTGGGAGGCTGAGGTGGGTGGATTGCTTGAGCTGAGGCGTTCAAGACCCACCTGGGCAACATAGTGAAATTCTGTCTCTACAAAAATTAGCTGGGTGTGGTGGTGCACACCTGTAGTCTCAGCTACTTGAGGGGCTGAGGTGGGAGGATAGCTTGAACCTGGGAGGTCAGCTTCAACCTGGGAGGTCAAGGCTGCAGTGAGCCGAGATCGTGGCACTGCACTCCAGCCTGGGTGACAAAGTGAGACCCTGTCTCAAAAAAAAAAAAAAAAAGAGAAAAGAAAAGAAGAAAGGAGGGAGAGAGAGAGAGAGAGAGAGAGAGAGAGAGAGAGAGAGAGAGAGAGAGAGAGAGAGAGAAAAGAAAATAAAAGAAGCTGGTGCCTAAGCCAGCTCACATTTAGCCCTGGTAAGCATCTGATTTAGAGATATTCCAATGCACAGCATCTGGTTTAAAATCCTTACACCGACACACTACCTTAGGGCAGCTCACTTCTCCCCATATGGGACAACCACGAGTGGTCCAGAGCTAACAGACAAAAGTCAGAGGCTGAGAGAAAAGAAAGAAGTTCCTTTCCCAGGATGTAGCCCATTAAGAGAGAGTCACCAGACCTGTCTGGTGAGAGAAATCAGGTCACCTCTAGATCTGAGTGGAGTTACTTGCCCTGCCTAGAGTCCCTGGTTTGGAGCCTTGAAATCTGACACACCTCTAGGAAAGGAAGGGAGAAAACAGGGGACCCAGAAGGCATCAGAGTGGTCCTGCCGGCTTCCCCTGTAGAAGCAGGAGTTCTGACAAAAACCCTTCAGTTTTGAGTCCTATTGGTGTGGCCAAGCTTGGACCCTGGGCTTAGCTCTCTCCATCTTGCCAGGTGGAAGAGTGACCACCTGATGTGAGGGCAGCATTCTCAGGGGGCTCAGCAGGCGTGCAGGTCAGCTTTGGCAATAAGGCTGCCCCTCAGGACTGGGCCTGCCTCATGATTCTGCTTTAGGCATAAAAATGCTGGCCAAATCCTAGACTTATTGAAGCTGGAAGGATTCGTTAATAGCTGACATTTGAGGCTGGGTGAGGTGGCACAAGCCTGTAACCCTAGCACTTTGGGAAGCTGAGGCAGGAGGATCGCTTGAGCCCAGGAGTTTGAGACCAGTCTGGCCAACATGGTGAAACCTTGTCTCTACTAAAAATAAAATAAAAAATTAGCTGGGTGCGGTGGCAGGCACCTATAGTCCCAGCTACCAGGAGGCTGAGGTGGGAGGATTGCTTGAGACCAAAAGCCACTGTCACGCCTGGGGTGACAGAGCCAGACCCTGTCTCAAAAATAAAAAATAAAAAATAAATAAAAAATAGGCCGGGTGTGGTGGCTCACGCCTGTAATCCCAGCACTTTGGGAGGCCAAGGTGGGTGGATCACGAGGTCAGGAGTTCGAGACCAGCCTGACCAACATGGTGAAACCCCCGTCTCTACTAAAAATACAAAAAATTAGCTGGACATGCTGGTGCATGCCTGTAATCCCAGCTACTAAGGAGGCTGAGGCAGGAGAATCGCTTGAACCCAGGAGGCAGAGGTTGCAGTGAGCCGAGATTGCACCACTGCACTCCAGCCTGGGCAACAGAGCGAGACTCCATATAAAAATAAACAAAATAGGCCGGGCGCGGTGGCTCACGCCTGTAATCCCAGCACTTTGGGAGGCCGAGACGGGCGGATCACGAGGTCAGGAGATCGAGACCATCCTGGCTAACACGGTGAAACCCCGTCTCTACTAAAAATACAAAAATTAGCCGGGCATGGTGGCGCGCGCCTGTAGTCCCAGCTACACGGGAGGCTGAGGCAGGAGAATGGCGTGAACCCGGGAGGCGGAGCTTGCAGTGAGTCGAGATCGCGCCACTGCACTCCAGCCTGGGCGACAGAGCGAAACTCCGTCTCAAAAAAAAATAAAAATAAAAATAAAAATAAAAATAAAAAAAATAAAAAATTAGCTGGGTGTGGTGGCAGGCCCCTGTAGTCCCAGCTACTAGGAGGCTGAAGTGGGAGGATCGCTTGAGACCAGAAGCTCGAGTTTGCTGTGAGCTGAGATCACGCCACTGTCGCACCTGGGTGACAGAGCCAGACCCTGTCTCAAAAAAAAAAAAAAAAAAAAAAAAGTCCTGGCGCAGTGGCTCACTCCTGTAATCCCAGCACTTTGGGAGGCCGAGGCAGGCGGATCACCTGAGGTCAGGAGATTGAGACCAGCCTGGTTAATATGGTGAAACCCCGTCTCTACTAAAAATATAAGAAAACTAGCCAGGCTGGTGGCATGCACCTGTAATCGCAGCTACTTGGGAGGCTCAGGCAGGAGAATTGCTTGAACCCGGGAGGTGGAGGTTGCAGTGAGCCGAGATCGTGCCACTGAACTCCAGCCTGGGCGACAGAGCGAGAATCTGTCTTAAAAAAAAAAAAAAAGCTAACATTTGTTGAGTCTGTCCTATGGGTTACTTTACAGCAACTATAAAAGGAAGGTACTGTTTTTCAGTTCCCCTGTTTATAAATGAGGACACAAAGGTAAGCAAGATTAAGAGCCTTGGCCAAGGCAGGCTGGGAGTCAAACCCAGGCTGTCTGAGTCCAAAATCGCAAATTTTCTCTTTTTCTTGGGTGGGGGGACCGAGTCTCGCTCTGTCGCCCAGGCTGGAGTGCAGTGGCGTGATCTCGGCTCACTGCAAGCTCCGCCTCCTGGGCTCATGCCATTCTCCTACCTCAGCCTCCCGAGTAGCTGGTACTACAGGTGCCCGCCATCACTCCCGGCTAATTTTTTGTATTTTTAGTAGAGACGGGGTTTCATTGTGATAGCCAGGATGGCCTCGATCTCCTGACCTCGTGATACGCCCGCCTCGGCCTCCCAGAGTGCTGGGATTACAGGCGTGAGCCACCGCGCCCGGCCAAAACCGCCATTTTCACTCTTGTGTTAGCCTTTAGTCCAAGCCCCTTATGATACAAGAGGGAAACTGAGGCCCAGGGAGGTATAACGGCTTTTCCAAGGTCGCACAGCCAGCCAGGGACACAATCCAAGCCTCTCGGCGACAGGTCCAGGGCTGCTTGGATTTCGGAGTGTGGTGGGGGCATCTTGGCGGCCTTTTTCCAGCCAACCCCCGCGGCCGGCCCGGCCCAGGCCCAGCCGGGTGAGCTGATGACTCAACGGGCAAGCACTGCATTTTGCGATCCTGGCTCGTCCCGCTGCTCTAGAGGGTTCCCAGCTCTCGGGCCGGACGGGCGGCAACTTGTCTGAGTGAAACCGGGAAAGCTCCGCCCCTCGGCGCTCAGCGGGCGGCGGGGGCGCCTCTCAGTCAGTCAGCGAGTCGTGGTGTCCGCCAGGCCTGGCGGGCGGCGGGAAACTCGCCGCGCGCGTTCCGCCGCTCACTTTCCCATTGGCCAGTCAGGCCCCCGGGGCGGTACCCTGGGGCAGCTCCCTCCTGTGATTGGGCGGTATTGGCCTCGGGCCCCGCCTCCAGTCCAGGGCTGCGAAGGCGGGACGGAGCAAGGCGGCTGCAGGTTCCGGCGTGTTGCTGGCTGCAGAGAGCTCAGGCAGCGGGCTCGGTAGGCACAGCTCCCAGCGGCCCTTCCCACCCAGCTCGTCCTTCCTCCCCTTCAGCCCGTTTCCTTTTGTCTCCATCTCCGAACTCTGTGGGACGTGACCCTCTCCTAAGATCTAGGCTTTTTTGGCGGCGCTATACCCCTTCCTCAGATCGTACTCCCCTCCGCTGAGATCTGAGCCCTTGATGAAACTGTGACCCGCCTGCAAATCGGGTGCTCAGTGCCGCTCACTACTGCGGCGCTGTCCTTAGATCTCACGCCGGAGACTTCACTATTTCCTGCCCCGCTCCACCAGAGCTCGTCAGCCTCCCGCGCCGTGGCTCCCACTCACCTCCCCTCAGCCCGGCAGAGGAGCCACGGCGCCTCCTGTGGGTTCACCCGACCCTCCCGGTCCCGTCCAGTTTGACTGGGGCCGCCGTGATGGAGAGAGCCGGACCCCGGCCTCACCTGGACTCAAAGTCTTGCGTGCGGGCCACTGAGCCACCTAGGGAGTTCAGGGCCCTAACTCAGAGGTCCAAAGTCAGGGTCTCTAAGTCAGATTCCAGTCCCACTCCCAGCCCATCGCCAAGAACTGGAAGAGAGACAGGAGGAGTGTCACAGGGGAACTTTATTGAGAGGAAACATGGTCACACCCAGCAGACATGCTTTCCCTCAATCTCGGTCTTGCACTGGCGCGCGCGCACACACACACACACACACACACACACACACACACCCATCTCCAGCCCCTGCCACTGTCCAGTTCTCAGCCACAAGGCGGGACACTCCTCAATTCCTACGATCAGAGGCAGCAGGGGCAGGAGGGAGGCAAGAGGAGGGGAGAAGTAGCCTGGTCCTGGGGTCGGGAGGAAGCGGGTGCGGAGAGCAGGGGTGGGGGCATGACCAGTGGTTAGGTGCGCTCAACAGCTGCAAGAAGAGTGGGATCCCCAGCCCCAGGTGGCCTCAGCTCTGCCAGTCCCTCTCCACGGAGCCCTTTGGAGCAAGAACAGCGCCTAGGGGAGAAGGGTGGGGCCTCCCACCCCATACTAGTCCTCTCGGCAGGGTGGGGGACTGGAGGGGGCAGGGCGGGGCGGTGGCGGGCAACACTCAGCTCTGGGGCTCCTGGGGAGCCTCGCCCCCCTCTTCCCCGGCGTTGTCGGCCGTCCACAGTGTCAGGTTGTCTCGCAGCAGCTGCATGATGAGGGTGCTGTCTTTGTAGGAGTCCTCGCTGAGGGTGTGCAGATCAGCCATGGCCTCGTCGAAAGTGGTCTTGGCCAGAGAGATGGCCTCCTCGGGGCTGTTGGCGATCTCGTAGTGGAAGACGGAAAAGTTCAGGGCCAGGCCCAGGCGGATGGGGTTGGTGGGCGGCATCTCCTTCTTGCTGATGTCCATGGCCTCCTGGTAGGCTGACCGGGCTGAGTCAATGATGCGCTTCTTGTCGTCACCGGTGGCCACCTCGGCCAGGTAGCGGTAGTAGTCACCCTTCATCTTCAGGTAGAAGACCCGGCTCTCGGCGTCCCCGGCCTCCTTGATGAGGTGGCTGTCCAGCAGGCCCAGCACGGTGTCGCACACGCCCTGGAGCTCAGTCTCCACCTTCTCCCGGTACTCACGCACCTCGGGCCCCTTCTCCTCCGAGCCCTCCTCGTTGCTTTTCTGCTCAATACTGGACAGCACCCTCCAGGCAGCCCTCTGGCCGCCCACCACGTTCTTATAGGCTACTGAGAGCAGGTTTCGCTCTTCGCAGGAGAGCTCCTCGCCCTTCTCCACGGCGCCTTTCATGAAGGCTGCCATGTCCTCATAGCGTTCGGCCTGCTCTGCCAGCTTGGCCTTCTGGATCAGACTGGCTCTCTCCATGGCTCTGGGGACACACAGGCGGGCGGCGGGCTAACTGCTGCCTGGGACCAATGCCGGACTCTGTGTCTCTCCTGCTCTTGGCCTGCCTTTTGGCTGGGTGGCCAGGCCCAGAGAAGGGTGGGGAGGAGCAGGGGGCGGGACCAGGGCCCAAGACCTGCCTCCCTCTCCTCTCTTCCCCACACCCTTTCCGGCTCTGCAGTAAAGGTAAAAAGGCTGGGATGTGGGGGTGAATCATCAGAACAGTCAGCAGGAGAAATCTGGGCGTGGGCCCCACCTGCACTGGCACCTTTCCAGGCTCCAGGCTGCCCCCTCTTGTTCGGGGCTGGCATCACATGGCTGCCCACATCAGGAAACGGCTTCTCAAATCAGATCCACTTTCACAGTGCCCTTCCAGGGGCTAAGGACGGCTTTAGCCCCTGGCTGCTTCAGCCTCGACAGAGCCCATAAAGGTTCAGGAGGATGGGGTTCCTAATCCTGCCAGGTAACTTCCCCCCTTGGTTCAGGTGAGGATAACTCATGTTTAGGTAGGGCCATGGAGTTTCCCAAGCACTTTCATATTCACGATCGAATTTAATCCCCACCATGTCTCTGTGACACACACAGGACCATAGAGATGGGAACACTAAGTCTCAGAGAGGGGTGAGATTTGCTCAAAGTCACATAGCCACCAATTCCCTGAAACTCCTTTCTGCACCCTCTTCCTTTAGCTTTTCTCCCATTGAGGCCTCTGACCTATGAGCTCCAGACTGTGTTTGGAAGTGAGATCCAGGCTCCTTCTCAGTCTACCTGAAGATGGTTCCATCCTCCAGGCCTCATTCCCCCTCAGGGTCCCCTCTGAGCTCCCAGAATGCGCAGGTGGCAGCTTTCAGAGTGCCGCTTAATGAAGTGTTTAACAAGCAGCCTCTGAAGCTCCAGCCCAGCCTTTGTAATTAGTCACCCAGTAGGTTTGTTGGACACATTTCCCATCACTACACAATTTTCCCTTTCAAGTTGGTGGCCTGTTGCCACTTGTTTGAGGATTTACCCTCTGGCCCTCCACGCCAGGTCACCTGCCCTCTCCAAGCCACATGCCATCAGGTACCAGCGGGGCTCACAGAGGGTGGGGTCCAGCTCCCCGGCTGTCCCACTTTCCTGCCTGACTCAGACTGCTCTCTGTCTGAGGCTGGGAAGCAGTCCAGTTTGATCCCCCAGGGGGGACGCTAGCAACCTGGGGAGAGAGAGGACTGAGAAAGGGAGGTGGCAGTGACACATACCATTCTGTTTTATGGGGCAGCAATTCCAGCTACGTGATGCCTCCCCCAGCCTGTTTCTCAGAAGTTTACTTGTTCTTTCCTTTTTTTTTTTTTTAAATAGAGAGCAGATCTCACTACATTGCCCAGGCAGGTCTCAAACTCCTGGGCTCAAGCGATCCTCCTGCCTCAGCCTCCCAAAGTGCTGGGATTATGGGCATGAGCCACTGTGCCTGGCCTGTTCCTTCCTTTTGACCATTGCCCCATCTCTGACCCCTGGCAGAGTCCTCAGAGATGGAGACCTCTGTTGCCAACGTTCTTTCCCTGCTTGCCGGAGCCCTGGCCTCAAGTTTCATCAAGAGTTTCACCTAAGGGTGTTGGCATTGAGCCTATAGGGATGGATTCCTGCTTATCTGCCCCACCCATAGCCAAAGCTTAGATGGGGCTCAGAGGTAGGGCTCCCTTCACTGGGATTCTGCCGACCTAATAGTTGAGCCAGGATAATTTCACAGGCCTGTGTCTCCCCCAGCTACTCTGAGTGTCTGAACACTCATCTTCCCTCCTGGAGGGAGGCTTAGGCCAGAACTCTGGGGACCAAAGACGAGATCCTTCTCTTTGCCACAAGGAGGAGTAGGGACATGTCTGGGCTAATGCTACAGGGTTTCCAAGGAAGTAAAGGGGATTTTAAGTTTGACGTCCCAAAGATTTTGCTCAAATCAGAGAACTGACACAGAAAACAATAGGAACCACACTAAAATACCAACTTCTAGAGGGTATCTTGAGGTAGTGAGAGTGAGTGATTTTGCTTCCCTTTGATTTTCTTTCTTCTCAATTTCCTTTTTAGAGATAGGGTCTTACTCTGATGTCCAGGCTGAAGTACAGTGGTATGATCACAGCTCACTGCAGTCTCAACCTCCTTGGCCTCAGGTGATCCTCCTGCCTCAGCTTCCTAAGAATAAGGTGCTCACCACAACGCCCAGCTAATTTTTGTATTTTTTTGTAGAGACAGGGTCTCACCATGTTGCCCAGGCTGGTCTCGAACTTCTGGGTTCAAGCAATCCTCCTGCCTTGGCTTCCCAAAGTGCTGGGATTACAGGTGTGAGTCACTACACCTGGCCCTTTTGATTTTCTTATTCTCTCCAATTTATAAATAGTGAATATAGGTCGGACGCGGTGGCTCACGCCTGTCATCTCAGCACTTTGGGAGGCTGAGGTGGGTGGATCACAAGGTCAGGAGATCGAGACCATTCTGGCTAACCCAGGAAAACCCTGTCTCTACTAAAAATACAAAAAATTAGCCGGGCATGGTGGCACATGCCTGTAGTCCCAGCTACTCGGGAGGCTGAGGCAGGAGAATCGCTTGAACCCGGGAGGCGGAGCTTGCAGTGAGCCGAGATGGCGCCACTGCACTCCAGCCTGGGTGACAGAGCAAGACTCCGTCTCAAAACAAAACAACAACAAAAAAGTGAATATGTATTGTTTGTCTATGAGATACAGAATAGACTAGTATCTTTGGAATCAGACTGCCTAAATGTAATTCTTATAGCTGTTTGTGGCCTTGGCCAAGTGATTTAAGCTCTGTGAGCCTCAGTTCCTGTAACTATAAAATGGGACTTGTGAGGATTACACGAGTTAATGGAAAGCACAGTAGAATGGATGGCAACTATTATTATTATTATTTTCTTTTTTTTGAGACGGAGTTTCGCTCTTGTCACCCAGGCTGGAGTGTAGTGGCACAATCTCAGCTCACTGCAACCTCCACCTCCTGGGTTCAAGTGATTCTCCTGCCTCAGCCTCCCGAGTAGCTGGGATTACAAGGGTGCACCACCACACCCAGCTAATTTTTGTATTTTTTTTTTTTTTAAGTAGAGATGTGGTTTCACCATGTTGGCCAGGCTGGTCTCGAACAGCTGACCTCAAGTGATCCACCTGCCTCAGCCTTCCAAAGTGCTGAAATTATAGGCATAAGCCACCATGCCCGGCCAGATGACAACTATTATTATCATGTGAAAAAATCCCGTCAACTTTATTATGATCAACATATACTCACAAAGCACTAACATAGAGTTAGGTTCTGTGAAATGAGGAAGGACCCCAAGCCAGGACTTAGCCAAAGGCCAGACCTTCCCAGCTGGGTGTCTACAGGGGAGAGGAAGCAGTTTGCCCATAGCCTTCTCTCTCCAGATGGATGAATGGCCAGATGTGCTCAGCACTGCCTCCTTCCTCTCCATCTAGGACAGGCGTGTCCAATCTTTTGGCTTCCCTGGGCCACATTGGAAGAATTGTCTTGGGCCACACATAAAATATACCAACACTACCAATAACTGATGAGCTAAAAAAAAAAAAAAATTTGCAAAAAAATCTCATAATGTTTTAAGAAAGTTTACTAATTTGTGTTGGGCTGCATTCAAAGCCATTCTGGGCCACATGCAGCCTGTGGGCCGTGGGTTGGACAAGCTTGATCTAGGATATTCCTGTGACCTCAGCAGGTCCTGGAACCTCAGGGGCCTTCATTTGTACTAGTCATCCAGCCGGGGCTTCCCCAAGTCCTGGGGAAAGCTGGAGATCCCAGGACACTGGGAACCTGGAAGGCAGGCCCAGGAACTTTGGAGCCTGAGTCCAGGGAGGGACCATTTGCTTCCCGCCACTTAAGCCAGAGGACCTGGTGGTGGTTCACGCCCTCCGCATAGCCATGAGCAAGGGCAAGGAAGCCCCTTCATTCCTACTCCTCCCCTGCTGGAGCTCAGGGGTGCATCTGGGAGCCAGGCTGCCTGATACCTCCTGCCCGCTCTGGCCTGTTGATCCTGACTCAGTTCCTGTCTCAGGTACCTCCCTTTGCCTCTGGGCCTCCATTTCCCAAGTTCAGGAGCTCAGACGGGCAGGAGGCAGCAGGCCCTGGCAGGGCATGGAGCTCCACAGTCAGCTGTCTGAGTCAGCAGGACAGGAGCTGGGGTTGCAGCTCAAAGGGGCTTTCCTCATTCTGCCTGCTACCTCCCCACCCTCCTGTACAGCATCCATTCTACCAGCAGGCTCAGGGGCTCTGGCCCCATAGTCAACCAATCCTTCTTAGCTGGTAATAATAGGCTTTGAAGGGTTGTGATGAAGAAAGCAGCAACCATTTGCTCTCTACCTCCACTGAGGACAGAGGACAGGGCTCTGATAGCAGTGGGAGGGACACCAGGTAGATTCTAGAAAGAACTTCCTAAGAAATGTTTCTGTCTTGGAATGATCAAATTAAACAGGTGGCCAGAGGAAGCTCTAGCACCTTTTCCCACTGGCTAGTTGTGAACAAGAGTCCAGTTACCTAGCCAAGAGCTTACTTTACTGGTTACCTTTGGGAAGGGATATTAAATTATTTTAATTATTTTTGTGGCTCCTTGTGGAGCAGGGCGACCCCATAGGCAGTGTGCCCAGAGTAGCTTACATTACTTTTAAGTGATTCGTAGTTCTGATTCTTTTTCTCTTGAAGGCACTGCTGTTTAGAGTATCCCACATCTAAACCAGTCCAGTCTAGAGACAGTGCAGAATTTATGGAGAGAGAATGGAATGAGGTCAGAGTGTGGGACTGCATCCCAGCTCTGTTATAAGGCCTTGGGCAGGTCCCTTCCTGCCTCTGGGCTTCAATTTCTCCATCAGTAAAACAAGGAGGCTGGCCCAGATCAACTCTAAGCCCTCTACTGGCTATGACATTCTCTAATTTTAGGGTTTCTCCAAGATCTCATCCTCCCACCGCTGTATTCATTCCTTGGGTAGTGCAGATGGCTCAGAGCTCGGGGCAGAGATCAGGTTCCGATCTGGGATTTGCTGCTTTGCCAGCTGGGTGACCTTGGGCAGCTCCTGTTTCTTCCTTGAGTCTCAGTTCCCTCATCTGTAAAAAGGCTGACATCATCCTCCTCACAGGTTAAGATGAGAAAATGGGCCCGGGACTCGGCAAGCCCTTGCTGAACGGTAGCGGTAGCTATTTTTTTAGCCCATAGTACAGTGTATGCACATGTGTGTATCTTGATGTAGTGCAGCAACTGGGGAGAGAGAAGTTTCCATGAGATCGTTACCCTGGGCTGGGCTCAGTTCATGGGTATGGCAGTCCCAAACTGGAGTTAAACCCTCTGTCTCAGCCTGCACTGGGACCTATCAGAATCCAGAGGTCAGCTAAGGCTGGGTGGTGTCTGGAATTGAGACCAAGAGTTCTGGAGGGGCAGAGTGAAAAGGATGTCAGCCACTTTTCCTGTGTCCCTCCTGGCTTCGTTGTGCTTGTAAATCTCCAGAGCAGCACTGGCCAGCTGGAAGAAAGCTGGGAGCGAGGGGGAGCCATATGTTCCACACGCCCACTGCAGGTCCCATCCCTGGGCCCCAAAGTAAAGGCGCCACCAGACAGCCAATGGTATGGCAAGAAGAGGGGAATCTTTATTTTGGTTAAAAAAAAAAAAGGTACAGGATAGCAGACAAGCAGCCCCCAGCCCTGGGCTCAGCTGATTTTCCTTGGCTCAGCTCTTTCCTTTAGTCCCCTGAAGTGTATGGGGCTGTGCACGGCTAGCTTGGTCCCTCAGTGCCTAGAGCAAAGGAGGCACGCACCCTCCCTACATCCTACCTACTCTGGTGGAGGGTTGGGGGTGGGAGGTGGACAGGCCGTGGGAACAGTATCAAGCCAGTTGTGCTTAGAACAGTCACCAAACTTGTTCAGCAGCGTCATCCACCATCAACACCCCAGACAGCTCCTGAGGAAACCTGCTGGGCTTGACTATGGCTATGCCTGATCTGAGGGGGTGGAGGGGCAGGCTCTAAGGCCAGATTCCTAGTCTTGACACCTCACAAATCCGGGAAGGGGAAGTCAGTGGAGGAGAGAGGGAGCATATCAGCGTAGAGTCACATTATTGTGCTGATGGCTGCGTTATGGCTTTCTACACTCTGGCCGGCATGGAGCGGGAATGGGGCAAAGAGGCCAGCCCCTGCCCCCTATGGGGGTCCTAGAGAGCACACAGGCCGGGCAGGCTGGGGGGCAGACCCTGTAGGCACAGATGGTGGCAGATGGGCCACAGGTTAGGCAGGTGGAGGTGCCGGGTGCCTGGCTCCCCCCAGGCCATTCCTGGAGAGGCAGAGAGCAGCGGTCCTCAGGAGGTCCTTAAGCCCCCGCACACACTGGAGATCCCCGGCAGGACAGCAAAGAAGGAGAAGAGAGAGGGTTAGCAGGCCTGGGAGGAGGGAGGCGGCCTGCAGGGGCCCCGGTGGTGGGGAGAGGTGCTGCCACAGCACCTGCCTCTGCCCGAGAGAAGGGCCAAGGCTTAGGCAGCAGGCAATGAAGCAGGAGAGAAAACGGGCGGGTGAGAGAAAGCTCAGCGGGGACAGAAAGCCAGGACATAAGAGTGTTAGTGACCGGTGGCCCCTGCATACCAGGACCCCACCAGCACAGACCCAAGCACCTCAGGGCAGGTTCGCCATCCTCTCCCCAGCCTCACCCTCCACCTCCTCTTCCAGCTGGAGAGCTGCTCTGCGAGAAGCTACTTCCTCAGTCCACAATGGGGCTGGGCTTTTAGCCTTGCCCTATATCCCGATCCTTCTGCTTAGCGGGGAGTCCCTGGAGACCCTACCACCACCAGCACACACACCGCACCACACACCAGACAGATGGACGGGCTCCATGGGGTTGGCGAGGCATGCGATGAGGATGAGATGGTGTGTGAGGGGAGCGGGCAGTGCTGGCCGACAGGGAAGAAACGGTCTTACCAGCTAACCCTCTGCAAAGAGGCCTGTTAGCTCCCCTCAGGCTGTGCAGGAGATGGCAAAATCCTGACAGGTGTCCTCCTGAGGGAGATACCAGAGAGGTGGGCCAGTGTTATGAGTTGTCTGGCTGGGCCCTGGTGCCCAGGTTGGAGGTGGTAGCCAGGGAAGCTCCGGCTCTCAAACTGGAATCTACTGTCTCAAACATTTTCTTAGCTGGGCACTCATTGGGGATCGGAGTGGAAAGGCAGTAGGGAAGAAGAATTTGGGGGTCTCCAAGCCCCTGAGGCAGGGGAAGGTGGAGGGGACAAAGAGGGGACAGGATGGCCTCTTTTCACGTGCCCATGGGGGCTCAGCCGCAGCCCTCTCTGCTCTTCCTCCAGCGGACAGAGCTCCAGCCAGGTGAGGGAAAATGTAGCCAGATCACTGGGCTGCCTGCCTTCTCACAGTCTCCCCAGGAAAGAACCAAATTTGTCTGAAAGAACAGAGGGCTCCCAGTTGGGGCCTCAGCAAAGGAAAAGCAAACAAAAACCAAACCAAAGCAAAGCAACTCTTATAAACTGAAGTTTTATTACAAGCAGGAACAAAGAATACTGGCTTAAATAAAAGGTAGGTGGGAGCCCCCTCCTCTAGCCAGCTTCTTCCTCACCTCCCAGGGCCACTGCAGTGATGGCCCAGGGCCCTGAGGCTGGGGTGAAGCTGTTTCTCCCAGAGGGGACCCTCTGTGGCTGCCATTCCCAGCTGTCTGTGACCACTAGCCTCTGGAGTGAGAAGGGCAAGATCTGGGGACTTCCTATGTCACTTTCCAAGGGCTTCAGCCCACTTGAAGGGCCAAGGAGGGGGATGGTGGAACAATATCTATTTTGATAAGAAACTACAGCTCCCAGCAGAGGAGAAACATCCTCTGAGTTTCCGGCCCAGACTCAGGCCAACCTTCACTTGCCTCTTGGCCCACCCTGCACCTTCTTCCTTTTCTCTGGATGGAGGTCCCCGTTTGGCAGAAACACCTTGTCTTCCAGCTCCTGGCACTGGGTCCCATATTCAGAGCTCAGAGGAGGGGGTGTGGCTTGTAGGATGGCAGCCGCTCCCCAGAGCCATCACCCCACCCACCACGCCCAGGCTCAGCCTGTCTGGGCAGGTCCCAGCTGGAAGCCTCACCTGGGGGCTGGTGGGTAGGGCTGGGGGTAGAGTGGCAGAGTCCCCAGACACTGGCTGTCTGAAGTCCATAGAAGAAGGAAAGATAGGAGGCTGGGCTGAGCCCCAGTGGGAGCCCAGGGTTTTCTCGTGACCAGTGCACGTGCCCCCTGTCCCCTTGGCTCAGAGTGCTTCTGACACTCAAAGGGGATGGGGCAGGGGGCAGCCCAGGGGATATGGGAGCCAGCCACATTCATACAGGGCACACATGAACACACACACACATGCACACACACTCTCACTCATTCCAGCCAGAAGGTCTCTTGGAATAAACTTATTAAAACCAACCAGCCTTCTGATAACCCTTCACCTGGCACTACACAGACAGTAATGTGGCTGACATTTTCTCCTTCCATTTAAAAAAGACTATGTAGAAAAGAGGTCTATAAAATTGTGCAAAATACCCAGCATTAATAAACCCGTTTCAAGTATTGCCAGCATGAGCATAACCCACCCATGCCGGGACCTGGCTTGGGAGAGAAGTGGAGGGGCAGGCTGGGATCCCTTAAAGAGCTCTCCATGGGCAGGGGAAGGACCAGGCTCCCACTTCCACTGTGCTGCCCAGGAACTGCACAGGAGCTGAGGCTGTGGGTGCCTGGCTGGCTGATTTACCTTTGTCTGATACAGGCTGC
Organism: Homo sapiens; assembly: GCF_000001405.40. NCBI lineage: Eukaryota > Metazoa > Chordata > Mammalia > Primates > Hominidae > Homo > Homo sapiens. Next base: position 26,854,442 of record NC_000001.11, on the reverse strand, counting down.
CCCCACCCACCACCAACCCTGCCTTCTCTACTGGAGCCCCAACTCAATCCTATTGGCCAACTCCATAAAAAAGGGGGGAAAACCCCACCAAAAATCCCACAGAATAAAGGGAAATTATCACCAAGGGAATGAAGGAGCCCACAGACCAAAGCAGCCCATGGAGGCTTCCTCTCCACAGCCAGCTATCCAGAGCTGGCCACTCCTCAGTCCTGCTTCACCCTGAGGACCCTGGCTCAGCAAGGCCCAAGCAGTTCCCCCACCTGGGAGGCCTCACGCTCAGTTCACAGCCTCACTCACACAGGGCTCGCCCGGCACAGGCAAGGACTTGGTGTGGTCCCCTGGGTAGCCTCCAGAGGCTCTGGTCTCTCCTGGCACTGATCAGCTGGGGTACCTAGGGCCCAAGGCTGTGGGAACCTGGGTTTGGGGAGCAGAGGGCACAGCCACGGAACAGTTCAGGGAAAGCCACGCAGGATGGGAAATAAATATGAAAAGACTTGAGTCTTTGGCAGTTCTGCTTCCCTTGGATGGAATAGGGAGGGTCCCGGCAGGTGAGTGCGGAGGGTCAGACAGGCCAGCAGGTGGCAAGTACTGAGCCGTGGTCAGGGGTGGCCTCCTACCATGCTGGCATCAGGCTTGGCTCTGCAGGCTGGCTCATCGCTTCTGATGGGTGAGGGCAACACGGTGTCGGACTGCACAAATCCCCTCCGGTCAATTAGGCTTCCAAAACACAAGGGAGACACATGAGGGCTCTGCCCAACACTGAGGCTCTAGGCCAGGGGTTGGACGGCAGAGTCTATCTCAGCCAAGGAAAGGCCCAGGCTGAGAAAGGCTGAGGAAAGGAGAGCTGCTGCCCATCTGGGGGCCCAAGACTCTTACCTCTGGCAGGCCTCTCTCTGCCCTCTGGCCACCTGGCTTTTGGCCACAGAATTTATTCACTATTAATTCCAACTGGCCCACCTGTCTGGCTGCCAAGAAGCCAGGCTGCAGGTGAGGGAGGAAAGCAAGGATGAATAGGTATTTGATGACTATGAAATTCCTATGTTCCCTTCCCCTCTAGGCAGGCTGGGTGACAGGGATACTGGGTGGGGTAGGTGACATGACTGTGTGGGAATGACTTGTCTTAGCAGTACCCACAGCAATGTAATCCCCGTTCTGGAACTCTGGTGCCCCCTGGTGTCAGGATGAACAGGGAGTGACCCAGCAGGGCTGAGTCCCCAGGGTTCCTACTGCCAGGAGAGGATGGAGTCGCCACCCAGTCCAGGCAGTGGGCAACCGGAAGGGCAGTGTCATTCAAACATGGCTGAAACAGTCATGGTGGCTACCCCCGGGGAGTAGAATTACATGTCATATCCAATGCTCCTCTGTTTTACGTTTTGTACTTAATTTTTTTTTTCTACAATGAGCACGTGATTAAATAACAATTCTCCATGGAATTCCGTCACATGACAAATGCCCTCCAGGGGGTAGTGGACGGAGGGCATCTAGGGTGTAGGGGGAGGTCGGCTGATATCCAGGAACACTTTGATCACTGGCCAGGCATGGCCCTGTTACCCCTCTTCCGCACCCCGCTCACTTACCTGGGAGGTAGGGGGCCACAGAGCACAGCACAGCAGTTGGTGATAATACTTTTATGGCTGTAGGGGTTGACAGAGGCCTCACCGCCCCTCTTGCTGGACCACGAGCCTTTGATCTGCAAGCAGGAAGGAGGCCTAGGTCAAGTACCTCCTTTTGCTTCACTTTTCTAGGAGGCAGGTCTAGAGGCTGGGGACAACTGGACAATTCCGAAACCAATTCTGGTTACAGAAGGCGACATGTCTTTCATGTGGGCCATTCAATGAGAATGTGGGGGACCCCTGGCAGAGATCAGGAGGCCCCAAAGAGGAGATGACAGAGCAGAGCCCAAGAGAAGCATCCAGAGGAAACGTTTCGGATGACTCCTCCCTTCTCCGGCCAGCCACTTCTGAAGGAGGGTAGCGCAGGGGCACAGGGTGAGGGCTGACCTGCCTGTGAGCCCCGGCCCTGCTACTCACTGGCTACGTTACCTGGACAGATCACCACTTCGCTGAGCCTGAGTCCTCATTTGGAAAACAGGGAAAATAATACTAATTCTCAGATGACATTGCTAGGGCATTAGATTAATTCTTGCCAGATTCTCTAGCTCTGTGAAGTCAGCTATGGAAGGCACTGGAGAGTTTAGCAATAAAGAATACCTTGACTTTAACCTAGAGTTTTCTACACTTATTTGGCCACACACTCCTTTCTCTTTAACCTCTGGTAATGTGCTGCAGAACTGGCACCCAAGAAGCTACTGCGGGAGATACTGGCTGATGGCATTTCTGTTCTCACTGATCACCAGGCACACAACGCCCTGTCATGTGTGAAGTTTTGTTTCCCTGAATGAGAGGATGAGGTCTGGGAATGTATTTTCTGTTGGAGGATGGGTTGCTGGTAAGTATCAGATGGTGGGCCCTGAAACAGATGCTCTCATTTACTTTTTAGTGTTTGGAGGATGGGGAGGAGAAGTCAGGTCTGGCCTAGGACTGGGCACATCAAACATGCTTGTTGATGGCAGTCTGCAGGGTGGCAGGCAGGGAAGGTCAATGGAGCCCACTGGCCTGTGCCCTGTCTCCCCCAGGCGTGCATATTGAGAGGGGCAGCCAGGACAGGCCAGTGCCACCTTGAGAATAGTCACGGCTTTGCTGCTGACAGGGGCAGTGTGGAAGAGGGAGCGCATACCTGTGACTGGGCACCAACCTTGGCTCTGTCCCCTCCCAGCTGTGTGACCTCTCAGACATGGGACATGTCTCTCAGTCATCGAATGGGGAAAAAACATCCCTGTCCTTTCTGCCTCAGGCTTGGCAAAAGGACCCAAAGAAATGACGGGAACTGAAAGAATTCTGTAAGCGGTCATGTGCCAGCCAAACATCATGCGTGCTGTGGTGTGAGTACTGCCTCCTGCAGGGCTGTGGAGAAAAGCAACCTGGGACCTTGGGAGCCTGCACTGAGAGAATGAAGCATGTGGAGGTGTCAGAAGCCTGCATCGGACCCACCAGGGCCAAGCTGAGATGACTGGGAGGCATCTGGCTGCTTAAAAGGCATTATCCCAGCAGTCCGTGAGTCAGGACTGTGCTTGGCTGCCCCAGGCTCCCTCAGCCCTGCCTCCTCCTGAGGGCGCTGCCCTAGAATGAGGGGTGGCTCCAGGTTTACTCACGTCTTCATTAGTAGTCAGGTTGGAGGCGACGAGGTACGTGTGAAACCCTGAGAGGCCCAGAATGGACCAGATGGAGAAGAAGCAGATCACCAACTCCAGCACGGTGAGGGCAGTTAAGGACTTCAATGGGTGGAGGGTGGGGAGCCTCCCAGCCACACCTGGCCTGTCTCACCTATCCTTCCATGGAGCTGTTTCCCCAGAGAGCTGAGAAGTTTTGGAACCTTCCTGTGGCCCAGTCCCCACTTCTTAGCAGGATCACCTCCTGGGCCCCTCGGAAGGGTCAGGACCCCACTCAAGAGCCAGACAAGGTCAGGGTGATGGACGGCAGAGAAAACTGAGGGTTCCAATCACAAAGAGCCTTGGGCACGACACGGTCCAGGGAGCTTGGCATCTTAAGGGACATACTCTTTTCCAGGCCCCTGAAGACGAGGAACCCCCGGCCCCACAATGCCCCATTTAGGATCAGCTCTTGCCTGGGTGTGAACAGAAGAGCTGGCATGTTGGATTCTGGAGGACACATGTGAGCTGTACGCTGTTCCCTTCTGATTAGAGGATGAGGCAGGGCACCCACCCAGTGAAGGGACCTCAGTTCCCACTGGAGTGTCCTCTAGCTGACAAAGGATATCTTGCTGGTGTCTCCTTCAGAGTGGAGAGGAAGTTGCTTCCCTGAGCGCCTGGGGAGAAAGAAACAGGAGAGGACAAGCTCAGAGGGACAGTGACTGCTGAAGCTTGCTGACCCTTGAGCTTGCTGGCTGACCCCTTCCACTCCCCACTGCCCTCACCCACAACTCACGCAACGTCAGGTGGGTGACCACACAGGCGAAGATGAAGGCCGTCAGGAATGAGAGGGAGAGAATAAACGCGTAGAAGAAGCGATAGTTCCGTCTCCCCACACAGTTGCCCACCCAGGGGCAGTGATGGTCAAATCGTTCTGGACAAGGGCAAGGGGCGATGGGTTAGTGTGGGCTGGCCTGCAGCCAGCACAGGCATTTGGCGGCCTCACCCATGGCTGGGGCTTTCCTACCCCGTTCACTCTCGCAGCACCAGCTGGCTCCCAGGCCTTGGACACACCTGCCTCTGGTCCTTTGTGTACCAGTTCCCACTGCCTGATACATTCTCTCGTCTCTTTACCTGGTTAACTGGAACTTCTCCTTCGCGTCTCAGCTGCAAAGCCACCTCCTTAAGAAAGTCTCTTCCAATCCCAGACTAGGGGAGGGGGCCCCTGTTATCTGCCCCATCACTTCTCTTTTGTCACACTCTGCCCATGTGTGTTTTTATGCTTATTTATAATAACTGGATTGGCCAATCAGCCCTACTTGACTGTAAGCTCCATGGGCGAGGGGGGCTGTGCTGGTCTTACACCATGCTGACTCCCCAGGATCCAGAGCAGTGCCGGCACAAAGACTCACAAAAATACTTGTCACCTGGTCTACCATCCCAACCACATGCTAACAGTCAACAACCCGTCTCCTGCTCTAGGACTAGCGGCCCAGGGAGGGGCTGAGCTGCAATGGGGTTCACAGCCAGCCAGCATCACAGGCCAGGTCAAAGGGCTGAGCTCACCTGCACACTGTCCCCGGGGGTGGAGGCACACCCAGACTGGTAAAGAAAGTCCTTGTGGGAATGTGGGTCACAAGCCCATTGCAGGCCTCATGCCAAGGCCAGTGCCCTTTGCACGGCGTGGGCGGGGCAGCTCCTTGGGGATGAATGGTGCCCACTGAGTCACCCCCTTCACTGCATGCCGTCACGGGGGGGTGTTCCCTGCTGTTCTCTTGCTTAGGGAGTACTGAGCTGGCATGATGAGCTCACTGCCCTGGGAACTATGCACAGTCACTGTGGCTCAGCTCACCTGGGCCCTCTCATGCATTATTTCCCTTACAACACCCTCTCAGGGTGCCCATCAGAACTACACAGCCTCTGGAGAGCAGGGAGAGGGGACAAAACAACCACTGCAGGCAGCTGTAGGGTCAGGAGCCATTTCCAGTGGTGACATCCTCTGCACCTCATCAGCTTAAACGCCTCTGTTGCTAGATGCTTTTCCCTCTCAACTCTGGGAATCAGATCAAAG